>NC_000010.11:110370368-111620368 GCF_000001405.40 Homo sapiens
AATTTAAAAGCTAGAGCCTTTGAGAATAAAATAATGGATTTGAACAACAATAACAAAAACCCACTTCGGCTGGGTATGATGGCTCACGCCTGTAATCCCAGCACTTTGGGAGGCCAAGGCAGGTGGATCATAAGGTCAGGAGATCGAGACTGTCCTGGCCAACATGGTGAAACCCCGTCTATACTAAAAATACAAAAATTAGCTTGTGTGGTGGCGCTTGCCTGTAATCCCAGCTACTCGGGAAGCTGAGGCACCAGAATCGCTCGAACCCAGGAGGTGGAGGTTGCAATGAGCCGAGATCACGCCTCTGTACTCCAGCCTGGTGACAGAGCAAGACTCTGTCTCAAAAAACAAACAAACAAACCCACATCTAGGAATATAGGCAAAAGAATTGAAAGCAGGGACACCAACAGACATTTGCATACCCGTGTTCACAGTGGCATTATTCACAGTAACTAAATGGTGGAAACAACGCAAATGTTTATGTGGATAGAATGTATGTGCTATATACATACAGTGGAGTATTATTCCGCCTTAAAAAGGAATGAAATTAGGATGCTACAACATGAGTGAACCCTAAAAATCTACTTACTGAAATAAGCCAGACACAGAAGGACAAATATATTATTATAATGTAATATTGTAATATTATATTATAAATACATAGATTCTGCAGCCATAAAAAAGGATGAGTTAATGTCCTTTGCAGGGACATGGATGAAGCTGGTAGCCATTATTCTCAGCAAACTAACAAAGGAACAGAAAACCAAACACCGCATGTTTTCTCTCATAAGTGGGAGTTGAAAAATGAGAACACATGGACACAGGGAGGGGAACATCACACACTGGGGCCTGTCAGGAGGTTGGGGGCCAGGGGAGCAAGAGCATTAGGAGAAATACCTAATGTAAATGACGGGTTGATGGGTGCAGCAAACCAACATGGCACGTGTATACCTATGTAACAAACCTGGACGTTCTGCACATGTATCCCAGGACTTAAAGTATAATAAAAAAATTTTTAAATTCAATAAATACACACATACATACATACATACATACATACATAGATTCCATCTATATGAGGTACCTAGAATCATCAAATTCATAGAGACAGAAAGTAGAAGAGTGGTCACCAGGCTAGGTGGGGAGGAGGGAAGAGGGCGTTATTATCTAAAGGGTATAGAGTTTCTGTTTGGGATAATGAAAAAATTCTGGAAATGGAAATTGGTGATGGTTGGACAACATTGTGAATGTACTTAATGCCACTGAATTGTACACACATCAATTGTGTATTGATGGTTAAAATGATATTTTTACCACAAGTTAAAAAATACAAAAAAGTAAAAGTTTCAACATCATCCGCTAGGGCTTGTCCCTCACGTCCGTGTGAAGAGGCCACCAACAGGCTTTGTGTGAGCAACAAGGCTGTTTATTTCACCTGGGTGCAGGCAGGCTGAGTCCGAAAAAGGAGTCAGCAAAGGGTGGTGGGATTATCATTAGTTCTCACAGGTTTGGGATAGGCATAAAAAGTACATTCTCAAGGGTGGGGGAGAATATATTGTATCTCTTAGGGTGGGGCAGGAACAAATCACAATGGTGGAATGTCATCGGTTAAAGCTATTTTCACTTTTTTTGTGGATCTTCAGTTGCTTCAGGCCATCTGGATGTATACGTGCAAGTCACAGGGGATATGATGGCTTAGCTTGGCTCAAAGGCCTGACAGGGCTGATTCATTTACAATGCTCATACCCTGAAGAATCTTTTCATTAGTTTCTGCTACCTGGGCACCCAGTCTTCTTATATTCCTGTTCTGGGTTTGAATCTTGGCTCCACCACATTCCAGACATGTGACCTTGGGTGAGTTACTGTGCTTCTTTGAGCCTCTATTTTCTCATATGTAAGTGAGGATAATACCCAACGCATAGAGTGGTTGGGTTCCGTAAAAGAAGGCACACCTTGTTCTTAGCATAGAGCTCTGCACATGGTACATGCTCAGTGAAAGGTGGGTGCATTATCCTCATGAGAATAGCTTTAATTCCTAAACACAGAGTTTAGGAACTAAACCCACATTCACATAACCAGTCAGCAACAGAGTTGTGACTAGGACCAGACTTCCAGACCCCTAGGTCTCCAGCTTGAAGGAGGAGAAAATGACCTGAGAGGTCTTTGGTAATTGCAATGGACGGGAGAGTTTTTCATCAGCTCATAGGACATCTGCTCTTCGAGTCCTTAGTTGCGAAAGCCATTTGCTCCCCAACTATCATTGTTTAGCCATGAAGACACTTTAAGGAAGGGAGAGTTTTGTCTCAGTAGGAAATTGGGGGAAGGAAGGAAACCCTACACACAAAGGCACCTTAGAATTGACTTACTTTGAGCTTTTCTTGGGTTACAACCTCCCATCCCAACAGAGCTTTGTGAGGATTTAATGAGATATTACCTATAGGCCCTAGCTTGATTCCTGGCACACAGTAAAGACTCAATAAATTCTAGCTGTCATTGTTATGATGACTAATAGGCACTATGGTGATGTGAGTTCAAAGGATTTGCGAATGGCTCATCAACCCCCACTCCACCTTGAAATGCTACCCCCATCAGTTCCCAGGGTCTGAAATTCCTTTAAGGAGAGACTGATTCTTTTTCTTCCATAGTCAGAGATATAGTTGACCATATAAAGTAAAGGAGGAAGGGAAGGAGATGTGAGCAGTACGCATCTTGTGCTGGAGCAGAAATGCTGGCTGGGGACCCTGGAGTCTGCGCTCATGGTTTCTGAGCTGAGCACACTCTCCCCACAGTCTCAGTCCACCTGCTCTTGTGTCTGATCCCTGGAGAGTCTCTCATCCCTTCACGCAATAGAACCTAGATTCTGAAGACTAAGGTGAGAAGGAGCTGTGAGTTGGAGGGGTGAGTAATAAGGAGGAAATCCCCTAAGCCCAACTGGAGAGAAATCCAGGAGTCTATAGCGTTCTCGGCTGGAAACCCCAAACATTGCTGGTTCACTGTTCTCTGGTTTCCTGGTCATTCAGCATTTTCCCAGCACTTGCCAGGAACACGAAGACAAGTAGAACTGTGGCTCCCACCTTCCAGGGATTCTGTAGGGATGCCTGTGGTGCCCGACTCACAGCCCCTGGATCCACTGCTCTCAGCCACAGCTGCTGGGACAGTGGCAGGTGAGCCTGACAGCACCCCATCTTGCCTGCCTAGTTCATGCCCCAGGGCTGTCTCCAGAAAGTATAGGCCAGAATACTTATGGAATACAGAATACAGAATATGCCTACCAGAAAGTATAGGCCAGAAATTCATTCCCCCAGGACAACTGGCCAACCAGCGGAGCCCAAGAGCCTTCCTCCAGGCAGATGACTCTGGCCACATTCTGATTTCTCAAGGGTGTCCAGGAGACCTCAACCCCTATTTCCCACAAGACCCACCTTGATAACACACACTCCTCCTGGGCTTTTCCTCATTTCTTTCCTCACTTTCCCCATTCCCTGCTCCCAGGATCACCTTCCACATAGACTGCCTGCACGTGAAGCCTTATGCAGGCTTGGTTTTGGGGGAATCTGATCTCAGATAGGTTTCTCATCTATTATCAGAGTGATGAGTTCTGAAATCAAGATAGGAATAGGGCGCACAGAGGAGGAAGAACAAGCCACATGGGGACAGAAAAAGCCCCCAGAGGAGATGACATTTGGTCTGAGTCTTGAGAGATGAGAAGTCAGTCAGTAGACCAGAGACAGGAGGCATTCATTCCAGGCAGAGGGGCTAGCCCACGCAGAGACCCAGAGGTGAGTGAGAACATGTGGAAACTTCCAATAGTTCAGTCCACTGGAGTCTGGGATGCCAGTGAGGGCAGGTCCGGGGGAACTGGGCATACAGGTGGGCCTGGGCCAGGAAATGTCCGCCCATGGAGAGGTGGTGAGGGTCCAAGGTAGTAACAAACAAGAAACCCCCGTGTGAGCCCCTGAAACCAGGTCTGTTCAGTCCATCTGGGCTCCCAGAGCTGGCAGGAGAAGGTGTTCTGTTGACATGGGTAAAGGAAGGGGAGGAGGAGGAGAAGCCAGTGAACTGAACTGGCCAACCATGCTGTTGGCCACACACAGGTCCTGCAGCAAAGACACAGGACGGCCTTGCCTACTCACCTGACAGTGATGAAGGGGGTAGGGAAGGGCATGACTTGAATCCCAGGGTAACTTCATTCGGCAAAGTCCTCCTGGGAAATCACCCCCCAGGGTCCCTTCCCCAGGAAGCCCCTCTTCCTCCACTCTCACCTCCCTCCCACCACCTGCCAACTCACCATCGCCACCATGAAAGCTCCTTGAAAGTGCCCCTTCCCTTGAAAGACACAGTTTCCAGGGCTCTTTTCCCTCGTAGGACACCGGACCAGATGCTTAGCCCCATTCATGATGTTTGTGTTTTTTAAGACAGCAAAGAGGCCAGATAGGGTTTTAAGTTGCTTTTTTATTTTTCTTTTTTTTTGAGACGGAGTTTCGCTCATTGCCCCGGCTGGAGTGCAATGGCGTGATCTTGGCTCACCGCAACTTCCGCCTCCCGGGTTCAAGCAATTCTCCTGCCTCGGCCTCCCGAGTAGCTGGGATTACAGGCATACGCCACCAAGCCTGGCTAATTTTGTATTTTTAGTAGAGGCAGGGCTTCTCCATGTTGGTCAGGCTGGCCTGCCTTTTTGTGTTCTTATAATGCTACAGCTTTACGGTGGTAAGATGTGTCCCCAGGGAGCTTGTCCCCTGGCAAGAGTGACCCATTTGTGGAGGATATAAGGGATCTGCCAAGGAGGAGATGAAGGATTGAAGGGGCAGACCTGGATGAGGAAGGGCGACTGCAGGTCTCACCTTCCCTCCCTTGCCAACCCAGAGCACTGCAGCTATGCCTCCATGCTCAGTGAGAGCTGTTGGCCCCCTCCAGTCTACATCCCACAGGGGAAAGCCTCCCACTTCCCTAGCTCTGATAGATTGGCAGACAGGGCAACCTCACCTTGGAGCAAAAGCATGAATTATCCACCCGCCCAGTCTTGCAGTAGCAATCTTCATTTAGTACTTACTCTGTGCTAAGCACTTTACATGAGTTAACTCATTTCATCCTCATAATTGATTTAGATACTATTATTATCTTCAGTTGCAAATGAGGAAAACAAGACTCAGAGAGGCGATGTAGGTAGCCCAAGATCACACAGCAGGTGGTGGAAACGGGCCCTTAGGCCCCACAAGCTCAGGATGGTACGTTGGATGTTCCCGTAATCGGTGACTCTGTGGGCCTGTGTGTAGGGAGGGAAAAGACACACATGTGAGCGGAGTGTGTGTGAAATAAGAAGAAAGCCCAGTTGTAATAACAGTAATTCTGATCATAACAGCAGTGGCGCTGACTGGGCACTCAGTGTGTTCTGGGCCTCGTGCTCTACCTGTGGTTTCATTCTCACCCATGCCGCGATGAGGTAGGTACTGCTGGTGCCATCATTGGAAGAGAATGCTCTTTCATCCACTTGTTTCCTCCTTGCACCCCTTCACTCATCACTCCTTGAGCTCACGCTGGGGGTTGTCTCCAAAAACTGGTCCAGATGCCCAGTGAGAGCAGCCTGACCCTGGCCTGAGGCCTCCCCCAGCCATGCTCTGGGTCTGTGGCTTCATTTACCCACATGCTGAGCACCTCCCTCCTCCATCCATGCCCTCGCGGGACCAGCTGTCCTCCCAGCCCTGCAGGCCTTGAGCCTGTGCATTGCTCAGCAAGCACAGCTGCTGGCGCCTACCCATCCTGCCCGGCCAGCTCACCGTGGGGCGGGCAGACACCACAGCCTTCACCCAGCCAGGGCTTCCACATCCCTCTGCTTCCCCATCCAGCACGCGCTCCTGACACCATGCTCTGTTCGGGCTTTGTCAGAGGTCCTGGCCCACGGCCTGGAGAGACCCCACGGCCCCAGCAACACCACAGCCTCCACCCTTGCCCTCCTCCCCAGGGCTCGGCGTCCCAGTGTCCATCCAGGAAGTCTGTCCTTCCTCCCCAGGCGACTTGGCCTTGGCCAGGGAGCATCCTCAAGTGCAATTTCCGTCCAACTTTGTCCCATGACCGCTGTGCCGTGGAAACGCCACCCTCCACTCCCCTCCTGCCTCCGGCGCCACCTCAAGGCCACTTCCTGTGTGACCTTCCTGCTCCTGGGATCAGTCATTCCCACACTGGCTGGTGCTGGGGCCAGCCCCTTCTCTCCCTTCCTCCCTCTCTCCTCTGTTCCTCCCACTCTCCGGAAGGGAAGAAGGTCTGTCACCAGGCCCACAATTGATTAATAGCCCAGCTTTCACTGATAATTCCACCTCTGGGGGCTGCAGCACAAAGGTTTGAGTAAACATAGTGATTTTCTTTAAATACACATCCTCCCCACAAAGTAAAGTTTGTGACCCACCAAGGCCAGCTGACCCAGCAACTGTTTTCACCTCGGTGTCCTGGTTCTCTCCTCCGCCACCCCCCATGGCAAGGGTGTGGGAACAGCTTGGGATTCAGAATCCCCTTGGGGCCCAGGGCCCTCACCCTACTTTGGTGAAGCCTTTCTAGACCCTCTTCAGCCTGAGGAAGTTCCTCTCTGCTCCTCCCCTGCTGCCTCCTGGACCGTCCTTCAGGCTCAGAGCTCCTGGTCCCTGCCACTGCTGACCCCTTCAATGGTGCCTGCCACCCACTCCAACAAGGAGCAGAGTAACCAGGCCAGCCTGTTGCTCTTCCATTTTAACCTGCCATTCCTGGCTGTCCCTCTTGGACTTGCGAGGTCAAACATTCCTGTTTCTGAGCTCCCGCCTCTTTCCCCAGCTTATCTCCATAATGTGTTTGGACCCCCTCTCCTGCCTCTACTCTCATGGCCTCAGTTTTGACCTCCTCTGCCCAGTTCCATGCCCTACTTCAGTTGCAGGGGCAGGGGATTAGAGGCCCTGGGGACTGCACACGCTGCAGGATTGAATGCCTCAGGGGCAGGAACTTGCGGAGGACAGAGTCCACTGCACGAGCTAGTAAAAAACTCCATCATTGAGGGTCACAAAACTGAAGGTCTTGATTCCGAGCTCTTCAGAGGGACCCTTGAGTGGGGCTCTGGTCCTGTGGCCTTTGATCTCATACTCAGTCCATTGCAGCAGATGCTGTGGTCACGTATAACGCTGGATCTTTTTGAAATATTAATTTTTTCTTTTTTTCCTCTACATGTTAGCTCTTTTTTTTCTCTCATTCAAGCAGGAGGCATTTGAAAGTTATGCTGGGTCTTCGTTTGCCCACAGATCAAGAACAATTTAGGGAGTTTGCAGAGCAGATGAACAGAGATTTATGGAATGAGCAAAATGCCCTGTGGGAGCATTGGGGAGTGAGTTCTCTGGCATCTCCTGCTCTGAGACCAGAAAGCGATTCCTCTGAGGAGATGGGGAGGCCACCCAGCAGCTGGATCCCAGCCCTGCTTCTTTGCAGGGTGTGTGGAGACAGCAAGACCCCGGGGAGGAGTGGCTCCCCGAGTGCAGCACGCATTTGGAATCAGCACTGGGTTTCTGGTCTTGGCAAAGTCTCTGGCACAGAGGCAGAGGAGAGTCAAAGTCAGGCACAACAGCATGTCCATACCAGGCCATGGAGACTGGTCACTGATTCCATGTTTTGGTGCAGGAGATTACAATCCTAGAATACCAGGAATGATGGGGTGACATTTTCCGTAGCTTGGAGGAATAGACCTCAGAGTCAGAAATGAATTTTACTTACAAAAGATGACTTCTGTGTTTGTGCACTAAGATTTATACCCTAAATAACCAGAGGACGTGTGGTTATCAGAGCACACCACGCTATTTCCCGTCTTCTGCAGCAGCCTTTGCATGTGCTGTTCCCTTTGACTAGAAAGTCCTTCCTCCCTACAGTCTGTGTGCTGACTCCTGTTGGCCCTTTAAAACCAGGCTCAGGTGGTGCTTTCTCTCTAGGAAACCTCCCCAGAGAGGCAAAATTCTCCACACCTGCTTCCCTCTCTGTGTGCTGCTTGCCTCTATAATGTTTTTTATATACATATATATAATATCCATTTTATATGTATATAATATGTACATATTATTTATAAATATATATTCAACTATATATTATATGTAATATATTATATGTTTTAATATATTTTTATATATGCTTCCCTCTCTGTGTGCTACTTACCTCCATACTGTTTTTTTATATATATATTTTTTCTTTTTATTGAGATATAATTGACGTACCATAATGTTCATCCTTGTGAAGTATTACAGTTCAGTGGTGTTTTCAGCATATTCACAAAATTGTGCAACCATCATGATATGGTTAGACTTTGTAGCCCCACCCAAATCTTATCTGGAATTGTAATCCCCATAATCCCCACATACTGAGGGAGGGACCTGGTGGGAGGTGATTGGGTCATGGAGGCGGTTTCCCCCAGGCTGTTCGTTCTCATGATAGTGAGTGACTTCTCACGAGATCTGATGGTTTTATAAGGGGCTCTTCCCTCTTCGCTCATCCCTTCTCTTTCTTGCCACCATGTGAGAAAGGTCCTTGCTTCCCCTTTGCCTTCCACCATGATTGTAAGTTTCCTGAGGCCTCCCCAGCCATGTGGAACTGTAAGTCAATTACACCTCTTTCCTTTATAAATTACCCAGTCTCGAGTATGTCTTTAGAGCCATGTGAAAATGGACTAATACACATCACCACTCTCTAATTCCAGAACATTTTTATCATTCTCAAAATAAACCCATACCCATTAGCAGATACTCCCCTTTCTCCTCTGCCCCTAGCCCTTGGCGACCACTAATTTACTTTCCCTCTCTATGGATTTGCCTATTTTGGACATGTCATATAAATGGAATAATACAATAGGTGGCCTTTTTTGTCTGGCTTCTTTCACTTGGCATAATGTTTTCAAAGTTCATTCATGTTGTAATATGTACCAATACTTCATCCTATTTTTAAATTTTAGATAACAATATATTTTATTACTTGACCAAGCTATTTCTAAAAGTAAGCTAGTTATTACACCACAGAAAAATAATGTCTTATTCAAAAAGAATTACTCTAGATTTATTTGGCAAGTCTTATTTTTGTTAAATATTAATTTTAATGAATTTTACCCTTTTTTTTTTTGAAACAGGGTTTCACTCTGTCACCCAGGCTGGAGTGCAGTGGCTGGATCACGGCTCATTGCAGCCTTGACCTCAGGGGCTCAAGCAATCCTCCTGGCCTCAACCTCCTGAGTAGCTGGGACTACAAGCTACCTCGCCCAGCTGATTTTTGTATTTTTTGTAGCGATGGGGGGGTCTCACCATGTTGCGTAGGCTGGTCTCGAACTCCTGGTCTCAAGTGATCTGCCTGACTTGGCCTCCCAAAGTACTGGGATTACAGGTGTGAACCACCGTACCTGGCCCATTTTACACTTTTAAATCCTTTTCTACTAAGGTGATCATTCAATCAGTTTCCATATAGTTTTTCCTCTGTACATAAAGATTGGTAACATTGTAAATAAGTATTACAATCCGAATTCACAGAAAATATTTATAATCTCAAGAGAACAGAATCTATTTTGAACAGAGCTCTTGTTTTTGTAATTAGTTCACCACCACATTTTTCCATATGTTTCTGTATCCACCTTTTCTTGGAACTTATGGGCAGGAAATGACAGAAGAAGGCAGGAAAAGGAAACGTCAAAGTTTTTTTGGAGGGACTGCATTTTCTGGGACTGATAAGATGGATGACTTCCACTGTAACTCTGGTTATCAAAGGAATAGGAGAAATAACAAATTCTCAGTATAGTTGTCAATCTCACTTAATACCATCAGAATGAAGGATTTAAATGAAAAGTTCAAGTTAAAAGGCATCTTTATACATAATCCTCTGATATTCCTAGTGCTCTCACTTATTTACCTGTGTGGGTGTTTTTAAAAAACTGGAAGTATAATAAAAAGAATCCAGAATCCATATGAAAAGTAGATATGTGTGTTAACATAGAAATTGAATAAATTGGTATTTCAAATATCAATCCCTGTATTTTTTCCATCATGAAAATGAAATACATTTTTAATGTAAAGTTTTGGGTTTTGTTTCTTTTTAGAACTTTCACTTATTTGTAACTTTCATTTCTTATTTTTTGTAACTTTCATTTTTAAAAAATTAACTGCTTTGCATTTCCCCTTGTGGAAAAAAAGAAAAACTACTCAAAATAGCTTTCCCTTTATGAAGTGAATGTACTCCATTTATTTTTATGGCTGAAAAATATTCTATTGCATGAATATACTATGTTTTATTATTCCATTTGTCAATTAATGGACATTTGATTGTTTCCATTTTGGGGCTATTCTGAATACTGCTGCTACGAACATTTGTGTACAGATTTTTGTGTGGACACATGCTTTAATGCTTTTGGGCCTATATGTAGGAGTGGTATTGCTGGGTTACATGAAAACTCTGTGTTTAACCTTTTGAGGAACTGTTGAAAGTGGCTGTACCACTCTACATGCCCCCCCAGCAGTGTATGAAGATTCCAATTTCCCTACACCCTTTCCGTCACTTGTTATTATCTGTCTTTTTGATTAGAGTCATCTTAGTGGTTTGAAGCAATATCTCATTGTGGCTGGATTTGCATTTCTGTAATGACAAATAATGTTGATCATTTTTTAATGTGCTTATTGGCCACTTGTGTGTCTTCTTTGGAGGAATTTCTATTCAAATCCTTTGTCCATTTTTAATTTTTTTAATTGTTGACTTGCGTGTGTACATATTTCCACTAGTGCATTTCCCACACTGTTCTGTCGCCTATGCTTTATGTGTCTGAGTTTCCTATTAGACTGTGGCCAGATGTGGGCAGGGTCTGGGTCAGACTTGAACCCAGGCCCTTCTCATGGGCACAGTGCAGAGCATGCAGTAGGCACCTGGTAAATGCATCAAGACTGGAGACCCAAACTCTCTGGGGAGCCCTTGTGCTCTCCTCCAAGCTTCTTTCTTCTCAAAGTCCCTGCATTTCTAGATTCCTTATATATGGAAGCCCGTGGTGGGTCTGGGTCCTCTCTGGGGAAGCAGGGGTTGAGCTGAGAGGTCTCAATTCTGGAACATACTGCCTCACTGCCTAGGTAAGGGCCCCGCTCCACACTCAGCCTTGCCTCTGTGCCTATTCTCTTTTCTTGTTTCTCTTTTTGTGTTGGTGGAGGTGATGGGGGAGAAGAAATGATTGCTTTTGAGCCAGGGTTGATGCAGCCCTGGTTGAATTTTTAAATAAAAGGAAAATCTCCATCTCTTAGTTTGTGCCACATGAATCCCAAGATGCATTTGTCTTGTAGCCACATTTAGTGAATCTGCTAACTCTACCTTGGCTAGGGTTCTGGAGACCTTCTGTTTGCTGCCACCCACTCCATCCACTCTCTCCCCTCCTCTGTGCCCAGAAGCTGACATTGGTGTGTTATATCAGTGGGTTCCTTTGGGCTCTGGCTTCCAGCTGGATTTGACCAGTGGGACACTGGCTGGAAACTGGACAGACATGGAGGTGAGCAGTTAGAGGTGTTTATTCCCTTCTTGCTGAGCTGTGTCTATGTCTGTCCACTGAAGGCCACAGCTCCTGCTAGGGAGCCTCTCCACATAGCCCCTGTCTCAGGTTCGGGCCCAAGAGTGCTGTCCACACAGCTGGCATGAGCTGAGGGTACACTGCTCTCCACTTGGGCTTGCCCAGACCCTGCTAATACTTCTGTGCAGTGTCCCTTTATTCACTTTCCTGAGAATACCCAGTTTGAGTGTGCTTCATTTCCTACAGGACCCTGGCTGATATAGCTGGGGACTGTCAAATGTGATGGCAGAGAGCCAGGTATTGGTCTCGGACTGCCACACATTAGCTGCATTAACTTGGGCAAGTCATGTAAGCTATCAAGCCTCAACTTTCTCATCTGCAACGTGGACACAATACCAGTTCTTCCTTCACAGAGCTGACGTGAGAAGGAAGTGAGGCTGTGACTGTCAGCGCAGCAACTGGCACATACTAAGGCCCCCTTCAATAGTGGATGCTATCGTTAGAAGGACTAGAGCTTTGGCTGTTGGAGGAGAGTGATTTACTCTTTGTCCTTGCCTACTTGCTCCCATTTCACTTGAGATGAACAGCTGAAGAGCACTTGCAGGAACTCAAGGTTGAAACAGGAGTAAAATAGCACCTGATCCACACTGGGAAGATTGTGGAAGGACACAGGAGTCTAAGAGAAGATCTTCTCACCTTTAGGGAATTGGCCACACACTGGAGAAGTCAAGACAGACCCACAGGGGAACTGGGCATGAGAGGGTCTACTGAGCCTGGATAACTAGAGTCGTAGCCACTCAGACACTTGAGCCTCCTGCCGTGTGGCAGGGGTTTGGATGTATTCTCCATAGTTCAGGGGACAGAGGTGGCATCAGGAAATGAATGTTCCTCCCAACTCTAGATCCTGTGAAACTCCCATTTGATAACAAGTGAGCCTCCTTCTGGTTTATCTCGGAGGCTTTCTGGGCTATAACAGGAAGAGTGTCGGCCTTGGGGGCTGCAGAGACCTGAGTGTGACCTTGTGTTGCTCGCTGGCTGGGGACCAGGGCGAGACACATGACCTCTTTGGGCCTCCATGTCCTCATCTGTGTTGAGCACACAGAGAAGCTTTATCAAAGGGGATAGTGGCCATTCAGACTTTTAAAAAGAAAATAAACTAAGTATATAAGGCAAGGAGGAAAAGAGCTCTGGGTGGTCCCATGAGGGATCAGAGCCAGGGAGTTGTGAGCTGGGCTGAGCGTTGAAGGCCAGTGGATCTAATCAAATGTCTGGAGATGGGGAATGTGTCAGGCTAAGGGTCTCAGGGAACCTGGGTGAGAGGCCACCCTCAGTGGGTAGAGTACAGGTCATAGAGAACGACATTAGAGAGACTGGTTGTATCTGACACCCCTCACCCTGGCTTTCCTCCTGGGGCTTAGGGCTGGGGCAAGGGGCAGGCATAGGTGAGCAGACAGGTGGGTAAGTAAATGCTGGGGCCTAATGCCAATAACCGGGGGGAGGGTTCCACACACCCGGGCCTGCCTTCATTTGCTCAACAACATTCAAGGAGCATTTGTTATTGCCCGTGACATTCCAGACCTGTGTCAGATGTGGGGACATGGCAGGAAAGTGATCCAAGTGCTGGTCTCAAGGAGGTCACAGTCTTAGATGCCTTACTTAGTTACGCCAGGTCCATCTGAAGGCCCACAGCTCTCTTATGAGCTCTGTGATCTGGGGCAAATGAGTTGTGTTTTTTGGACATTTCCCTCATCTGAGCGGATAGGGACACCAGTTCCATGCAGGGTTGATTGGAGGAATAACAACATGTGAGATTATGACACAAAAAATTTAGCATTCCCCGGCCGGGCGCTGTGGTTCACGCCTGTAATCCCAGCACTTTGGGAGGCCGAGGTGGGCAGATCGTGAGGTCAGGAGATGGAGTCCATCCTGGCTTACAAGGTGAAACCCCGTCTCTACTAAAAATACAAAAAGTTAGCTGGGTGTGGTGGCAGCCGCCTATAGTCCCAGCTACTCGGGAAGCTGAGGCAGGAGAATGGTGTGAACCCAGGAGGCAGAGCTTGTAGTGATCAGAGATTGTGCCACTGCACTCCAGCCTGGGTGACAGAGCGAGACTCTGTCTCAAAAAAAAAAAAAAAAAAAAAAAATTTAGCATTCCCCAAGTGCCAGTACATGGCAGCTATTTGATTGACATGCATTCAGGTACACTTGTAACCTTAATAAGTAAATGAAAGTTTTCCTAGAGAACCACTTCTACATGTGTGCAAAGAGGCATTTATGCTGAATGGTCTGTAACAGGCAAATACTGAAAATAGTGTCGAGTGTCTGTCTTAGTCCATTCAGGCTGCTATAACAAAATACGTTAGATGGGGTAATTTTTTTTTTTTTTTTTTTTGAGATGGAGTCTGGCTGTGTCACCAGGCTGGAGTGCAGTGGCATGATCTTGGCTCACCGCAACCTCTGCCTCCCGGGTTCAAGCGATTCTCCTGCTTCAGCCACCCAAGTAGCTGGGACTACAGGCATGCACCACTGTGCCTAGGTAATTTTTGCATTCTTAGTAGAGACGGGGTTTCACCATGTTGGCCAGGATGGTCTTGATCTCTTGACTTTGTGATCTGCCTGCCTCGGCCTCCCAGAGTGCTGGGATTACGGGCGTGAGCCACCACGCCTGGCCAGGCTGGGTAATTTATAAACAACAGAACTGTATTGCTCACAGTTCTGGAGGTTGGGAAGTCCAAGATCAAGGTGCTCACAGACTTGGTGTCTGGCGAGAACTCACTATGCTTCATAAACGGCACATCGGGACACAAGGATGAACAAGCTCTTTTGAGTTGCTTTTATAAGGGAACTAATCCCATTCACAAGGGTGGATCCCTCATGACTTAATCACCTCTTAAAGGCCCCAACTGCTAATACTACCACACTGGGGACTAGGTTTCAACATGTGAATCTGGGGAGACACAAACATTCAGACAATAGCAGTGTCTGTCAGAAGGGGAATGCTTAGCTATGGTACGTTAGTACTATGAAATACTGTGTAGTAGCTTAAATGAATGTGGTAGCTTATATGTACTGACACGGAAAGATCTCTAAGAAATAGCATTGAGTATAAAGGGAAAGTTGCAAAATGGGTGCAGAATGGTTCCATTTCTGTAAACCTACAGAAGATATCTAGATGGATTCACACAAAAGTGATGTAACCTTCGGTTACCCACTGGGGAGGGGCGGGAATTAATGAGGGAGGGTATTTCATCTGTTCAGATGCTGCTCAACTTGTGTCAGGGCTCACATCCCAATAAACCCATCATTAGTTTAAAACACTGTAAGTCAGACCATCATAAGTTGGCGACTGTGTGTACTGTTTAAAGTTTAGAATACCTGTTATATCTGAGGTATCAAAAATGAAGTTAAGGGACTGGGTGCAGTGGCTCATGCCTGTAGTCCTAGCAGTTTGGGAGGCCGAGGTTGGTGGATCATCTGAGGTCAGGAGTTCGAGACCAGCCTGGCCAATATGGTGAAACCTTGTCTCTACTAAAAATGCAAAAATTAGCCAGGCATGGTGGCTTGTGCCTGTAATCCCAGCTACTCAGGAGGCTGCAGCAGAAGAATCGCTTGAACCCGGGAGATGGAGGTTGCAGTGTGCAAAGATCGCGCCACTGCACTCCAGCCTGGGTGACAGAGTGAGACTTCATCTCAAAAAACCAAAAAAAAAAAAAAAAAAAAAAAACACAAAAAAACAAAAAACAAAAAAGATGACTTTAAGAAATGACTTTTTTTCTACCTCTCTAAGACTGTTTCTTTCTTTGCAGAACGAGGGGTTTTCATTAAAAGATATTTAATAGTCTTTCCATTCTTTTTTATTGTAGTAAAATATATATGATATTTATCATTTTAACCTTTTTTTTTTTGGGACGGAGTCTCACTCTGTCACCAGACTGGAGTGCAGTGGCACAATCTAGGCTCACTGCAACATCTACCTCCCGGGTTCAAGCGATTCTCCTGCCTCAGCCTCCCAAGTAGCTGGGACTACAGGCACATGCCACCACGCCCGGCTAATTTTTATATTTTTAGTAGAGATGAGGTTTCACCATGCTGGTCAGGATGGTGTTGAACTCCTGACCTCAGGTGATCCACCCACCTCTGCCTCGCAAAGTGCTGGGATTACAGGCGTGAGCCACCGCGCAGCCCATTTTAACCATTTTTAAATGTACACTTCAGTGACATTAAGAACATTCACATTGTTGTACAATCATCACCACCACTATCCAGCTCCAGAATGTTTTCATCATCCCAAATTGAAACTCCATACTCATTAAACAATAACTCCCTATTCCCTCCTCCCCACAGCCCCTGGTTACCACTATTCTTTCTATCTCTATGAATTTTACTATTCTAGATACATAATGTAAGTGGAATCACACAATATTTGTCCCTTTGTGTCTGGCTTATTTCACTTAGCATGTTTTCAAGGTCCGTCCATGTTGCAGCATGTATCAGAATTCTTTTGAAAGACAATAACAACCCAGTTTATTGTATCACATTTTGTTTATTTATTCATTTGTCAGTGAACATTTAGGTTGTTTCCACCTTTACTATTGTGAATAATACTGTTATGAACATGAGTATACAAATATCTGTTCGAGGCTGGGTGCGGTGGCTCACACCTGTAACCCCAGCACTTTGGGAGGCCGAGGTGGGCTGGGCAGATCACTTGAGGCCAAGAGTTCAAGACCAGCCTGGCCAACATGGTGAAACCCTGTCTCTATCAAAAATACAAAAATTAGCCAGGTATGGTGGTAGTGTGCCTGTAGTCCCAGCTATCCCAGAGGCTGAGGCAGGAGAATCGCTTGAACCTGGTAGGTGGAGGTTGTAGTGAGCCAAGATCGCACCACTGCACTCTAGCCTGTGCAACAGAGTGAGACTCTGTCTCCAAAAAAAAAAAAAAAAAAAAGAAAGAAAGAAAGAAAAGCAAGAAAAGGAAAAAAAAATCTGTTTGAGTCCCTGTTCTAATTCTTTTGTGTTTATACTTGGAAGTGGAATTGCTGGACCCTATGGTTATTCTGTTTAATTTTTTGAGAAACTGCCTACCGTTTTCCACTGAGGTTGCCTCATTTTACATTCCCACCGGCAATGCACAAGGGCACCAATTTCTCCACATCCGTACCAATACTTGTTACTTGTTTTTTGATAATAGCTACCCTAATGAGTACGAAGTGGTATCTCATTGTGGTTTTGATTTGTATTTCTCTAGTGATCAGTGATGTGAACATATTTTAATGTGTATATCTTTTTGTATATCATTTGTATATCATTTTGTATATCATGTGTATATCATTTGTATATCTTTTTTGGAAAAATGTCTATTCAAGTCCTTTTCTCATTTCTTGAATTGGGTTGTTTGGGTTTTTGTTGTTACTGAGTTTTAGAGTTCTTTAGATATCCTGGATTAATCCCCAATCGGATATATGATTTGCAAATACTGTATCTCATTCTTGGATGGTCTTTTCACTCTGTTGATAGTGTCTTTTAATGTGCAAAGTTCTAACTTTTTATGAAGTTCAATTTATGTAAAGGAATTACTCTAAAAGTATTTAAAATAAAAAAGGAGAAAAGTGCCGGGTGCATTTGCTCACACCTGTAGTCCCAGCAACTCAGGAGGTTGAGGCAGGAGGATTGCTTGAGCCCAGGAGTTCAAGGTTACAGTGAGCCATGGTTGTGCTACTTCACTGCAGCCTGGGCAACAGAGGGACATCCTTTCTCTAAGAAAAAGAAAGAAAGAGAGAAAGAGAGAAAGAAAGAGAGAAAGAGAGAAAGAAAGAAAGAAAGAGAGGAAGGAAGGGAGGAAGGAAGGAAGGGAGGGAGAGAGAGGGAAAGAAAGAAAGAGAAAGAAAGAAAGAAAAAGAAAGAAAGAGAAAAAGAAAGGAAGGAAGGAAGAAAGAAAAGGAAGGGAAGGGGAATGGGGGAGGCAAGGGAAAGGAAAGGAAGGGAGAGAGAAAGAAAAGAGAAAAAAAAAGAAACGAGGTGGAAAAAGAAAAAGGAAGATGGGGCAGAGACATGTGGAACCAAAAGCAGGTTCTGTGGTCCTTGGCTCTTGTTCCTGGCTCGACATCACCTAGCTCAGGCTGCCCCAGCCCAGGGGCACAGCATTGAGAACAGAAGGTAGAAGGTGGGAGAGAGGCTGGCTGGGTTCCGGTTAGCCCCAACCCAGGCTCACAGGCCGCCTGACTGGGAGTGGGTGTGTGTGTGGAGGGGGTGGGAGCCCTGGGGTTTCCCTGAGATCTGTAACCTGGGGACTAGTAGGTGGGCTCAAAGGCAGGAAGTTCTCAGTTAGGAGACCTGTGGGTGCACCCACCTGCCTCTCTCAGCCTCCTTAACTGCAGATTAAATTCCGGGGCCCAGAGCCACGGTTTCTAAAGAGCATCTGTCTCTCTCTCTCTCTTTCTGTCTCTCTCTCTCTGCCCTTTGCTCCCTGTAAATCACTCATCACATTTCTTTTGTTTCATGAGTTTTTTTTTCTGATTCTAAAAATAATATGCTTATAGAAAAGTGACCAAAGAATAGAGGGAAAAAACAAACCACAAGCCTACCATCCTGTGTAATAACAGTGACCATTCATTGGGTGTGAACCTTGTGGCAGGAACTGGGCTTCATACTTCCCTGACACCCGCCTCCAGACTTCCCCCAGCCCCTCACAATCATACAGGCCCCACCAAGGAAACTGAACCACTTGGTGAAGGGCTAGTTCGAACACAGCTGGGCTAGAAGAAATGATCCTGGCATGTCTTGGGGAAAGTAATCTGGTGTTAGGGTGACATGCATGACAAAACCATGTGCACAGCGGCCAGCAAGGAGGAGTGTGTGAGTGACTTTCCCTGTATCCAGCTGCTCTGGAAAGTGGGGTAGAAGGGAAAGTCGGGGACTCATGGCTCCCAAGACCTCTTTTATCTCCCTTCCAACAACAACGTGAAGCACAGAGCTCAATCCTATCACCCGTGATAAACCTCACAGTTAATGATCCAGCTGCCGCCAGGGGGACAGACTCACTGTCGCGCTGTCCAGAGAGATGTCTAGAGGGATAAGGGAGGGGATTTAGGAGGTCTATACATTATGCCTCTGGGTGACCTGTAGCAGGGAAAGGGGGTGTTGGGGGAGGTCTTCCCTTTCTTGTCTCCAGGCCAGAAAGTGAATGATCCCTTGGGATTGGTCACCAAAAGACACATTTTCAAAAAACCGCTGCCTTTGCTGTTAGTTGTCATGAGGTTGTCATGGTTGTCATGAGGAGTGTGAGGGGGCTCTTCAGGTCCCAGAGGCTTGACTGGCCGGGGTAGAGAAGCCCCCAAATGCCAGGTTTCGGGGGTCATTCCACTGAATCTTTCCCCAGGTCTGGCTGCTCCCTGTGTCCCTCCTGAAGAACCACAGCCTCACATGCCTGCATTTCCATGGCACACGGGGGTGGCTGACTCCTCGGCGTGAGGAGCCTGCAGCCTCGGAACCTCCCTTGTGCTTTGCTTCAGCCTTGTCTGCACCAGGCACTGAGACGAAATGATGAGCAACACCCATGAGGCTCTGCCTTCACAGGGGAAGACAGACCAGAAACATAGCAGCAAATCAGGAAGCAGATGATTCCAGCTGGTGACAGTGGTGACGAACCTCAACTGGGATGAACCGGGTGAGGCTGACTTTAGCCAGAGCTCCAGGTGACTGCTCTGAGGAGACAACATTCAGGCTGCAACCAGAATGATGAGAAGGGGTCTGCGTGTGAAGATCTAGAGGAAAAGACATCTGGGCAGAGGGAAGAGCAAATGCAAAGGGCCTGAGTGGGGAAGGAGCATGCCTGATTTGAGGGAAAGAAAGGCACATTTTAAAGCAGCAAGGCTCAGTGACCTTGCCCAATGCTGCCATATTGTGGATGAAGAGGCAAAGGCCCGGGAGAGAACCTGATTGGTCCATTGTCAATAGCCAGACCTTCCCTCTCGTCCTGGACAGTACTGTTTTCACTCTGCAAGTCTGCAGATGCCCCTCCGGCTTCAACTCATCCACCTGGTAAGGGCAGCATTGCAGCATAGGGCACAGTCACAAGAGCAACCCCACCCTCCTCTCCCTCATGATGGAAAGTTGTGGTGGCTGGGCATGGTGGCTCATGCCTGTAATCCCAGCTCTTAGGGAGGCAGAGGCGGGAGGATAGCTTGAGCCCAGGAGTTCGAGACCTGCTTGGGCAATATAGTGAGACCTTGTTCTCCACAAAAAGGAAAAAAAAAAAGAAAGAAAGAGTGTGATGTGAATGGGTGAGGGCAGCCCTCCTGCTGCTGGGGGACCTGGAAGCCAGCCTCCTTATCCATCAATATGGCACCTTGACAATCAGCAGCGGAAAGAGTAATGTGGCTTAAAACTCACCTCATGGTGGGTCACTCACACATGAGCGCTGAGACCTGCTGAGTGGTGCAGGCCTGACTCCGAAGGTCTCGCTAGTCCAGCCTTCTCCTCCTAAGATGGGGAAACCCAAGGATGAGCTGGAAGAACAGGTGAGAGGACCTCGGTTCTAATTGTCCAGTTCGTGTCTCAGTTTCTTCATTAAGAAACAGGCTAACTTGGCCAGATGCCATGGCTCATGCCTGTAATCCCAGCACTTTGAGAGGCCAAGGTAGGAGGATTGCTTGAGCCCAGAAATTTGAGACCAGCCTGGGCAATATAGGGAGGCCCCCATCTACAAAATTTGTTTTAAAAATTAGCCAAGCATGGCGGTGTGCACCTGTGGTCTTCAGAAGGCGGAGATGGAAGGATTGCTTGAGCCCAGGAGTTTGAGACTGGAGTGGACCAGGTTCGTGTCACTGCACTACAGCCTGGGCAACAGAGCAAGACCTTGTCTCAAAACAAAACAAACAAAGCTAATTCAAGTCTTGTCTTACTTTAGGCAAGTTTTGTCCTTAGGAAAACAATTCTCATTTAAATAGTTTACAGGGGCTATGACAATGCTGACAACTCTCACCCAGTGGTTAGAGAGTTTAAATAAGAAGTTTTGGTGGGTGCAACATGGCTCCCACCTGTAATCCCAGTGCTCTGGAGGGCCGAGGCGGGAGGATCCCTTGAGCTCAGGAGTTCAACGCTACAGTGAGCTGTGATGGCACCACTGCACTCCAGTCTGGTCAACAGAGTAGGGCTCCCATCTCTAAAAAGAAAGAAAAATAAAATAAATAATAGAGTTCCTTGAAGGGACAGATGGAAACCCCACACAAAATACCACTGGCTCTTAAACGTAGAAAGGTGCTCATCCACCTCCTAATAACAGCAATGAGAATTCAAGCTACGCTGAGACTCTGTATTTCATCTGTCTGTTTGCGAAAGACCAAAATGTTTGCTGATGCTGTTGGCGAGTAGGGGAGGAGAAGCTGGCCCAACATTCTGTGGAGGGCTTGGTGGCAACATTCAGTGAAAGGATAAAGGCCTGCACTCTTCTAGTTGGTACTGCTATTTCTAGGAACCCGTCCTACAGCTTGACAGGAAACAACCTAAATGTCCACTAAGATGGATCTGGCTAAATAAATTATGGGATGTCCACACACCAGAATACTATGCAGCTATGGAAAAGCGTAAGAAGGGCGTCTGTGTACTAATATGGCAGAATCTCAGGATAACCTTAAGTAAAAACATGGTGCTGGGATTTTTTTTTTTTTTTTTTTTTTTTTTTCAGTCATCACCCAAGGGCTTTCTAGCTCTTCCTCCAAAGACCTGTCTGGGCGATCATAGCTTTTTGGTCCCCAGCCCTGGAGCCCTCTCCAGACCGGTGCAGGCTCTGCAACTTGTTGGAACACCAGGTTTGCCTACAGAGCGAGGGACCTTTGGGGCACCAGTGACAGGCCGCGGTGAGGTCCACCTGGGTTAGCTCTGTGGACAGCTGCTTCTCCGGAGGCACTGACTGGCCAGTCAAGCCAGGCCCAATCCCTCATCCCCCGGGGTTTTGGTCCTTCCTTAGTCTACTATCCTGCAGATATAACTCTACAGGCCAAGCTCTCTCCCTCCAGGACTATCCCCACTGCACTTGACTTTTCCAAAATCCTGGCTGTGCTGTCTCAGGGAGCCCACTCTGGGTCTCAAGTCTTCCAAGAATGCCTGCCCTGCGGCTCAGCTTCCTGGGGACTCTCCTTTGCCCCCCTCCCACCAGTATCAAAAACCACTATTTCTCAAGAGGCAGGGTCACCTGTGCCAGGGGTCTGGTGGTAAACTGCTTGGGTTCCAATCTTGGCCCTGGGGTCTCCCAGTATATGTTAGCTGGCAGAGTTACTTGCCCTCTCTCTTCTAAGAAGTGGAGATGCTAATAGCCTTTCTCTTTAAGGTCTACTTAATAGCACTTGGCACAAAAGCAAGAACCCAATAAATGTTGCTATTATTTTATGGACCACTGGGAAGCTAGCCTGAGTCAATACATGGCATACTGAGAGGAAATTTATTTCCTCCGAGTTTCCCCCAACGGACTTTAGGGGGAGAAAGTCATTTGGCAACGCTTTGCCCAATAGCGTGGCAATTGTGTTGGGGGAGTGGCCCTGTCCACCACGGTGGGCTTTGTGTTTTAAGAGGTGTGGTCCAGTAAGCACTGTCTGCCCCCAGTGTTAGCCAACCACCTCAGGTTGGCAGGAAGCGCGAGACCCTTTCTCTGCTGAGGTCCATCTCTGGCTGGGATGAGGGATTCAGGAGTGAGTAGGGCTGGTGCCTGGTAGAGTCCAAAGCAGCTTAAGTCACTCACTTAAGTCAGTGAGGCTTTTACTTCTAGCCTGACAACTCCCACACAGGTGAGAAGATCTGGGAGTCACAAAAGGGGCATGGGTGAGAGAGACCCCTCCCCTGTCCTCTCCTGATGGTAGCTTCCTGGCAGAGCTAATGGACCCCTCCTCCCCTGTGGGCTTCTGCCTGTCCCCCTCCTTCCTCAGGCTCACAGCACATCCCCAACAAGTCCTAGTCCCAGACCCTTGCTAGAGGCTCAGCACTCAGCCATGTCACTCTGTTGCCAGACAGGATGCCCCCTCTGCCTGCCTCCTCCATTCTCCTGCCTTTCCTTCCCTCCCTGCTCTCTCCTCCTCCTATCTCCTCCCTGCCTTGCTTCCTCTCAGCCTCTCACAAAGGCTCAGGGAGTTCCCCCCACCCCCGCCCTTTCGCAATCGGGCCACATGGCTCTATCATTCGAATATTCCCTAGATTTATGGCAATGCCGAGGAACAGTCGGGTGCTCCCAGGCGCCCGCCTTGGTATGAAGACACATCTGTGCGGAAAGCCGCTCTCTCTGGAAGCGGAGGATGGAAGTGTTGCCAGCAATTTTCCTTCTAAAAAAAAGTGGCAAATGTGGCCCAGGGGCTTTGTGCTGCCAAGCAGTTTGCTGCTTCCTTAACTCTGAGAAGGTCTAGTGGGGAAGAAGCCCGAAGGGGCACATTAAACTCCCCCAGGTGGGGATATTAACCAGGATTAACTGGAATTAACTGAGGACAATGTGAGCCCTGGGACGGGAACTCCTGCTGCTCTCAGGGCAGACAATCAGGGAGACAATGCCGGGCCTGACTCTGGAGGGACAGCTTTGCCCACCCACTCAGTGGGCTCACACTTGACACCGTATTTTCACATCACTGTGGGCACTCGCTGCCCAGCCCACAGGCCCTCGACCCACATGTGGATTCCACAGGCAGCAGGTTCCTCCCCTGCCCACACACCCAGTGCTCATCCATATGCCCCAAACAGACTCACAAAGACAGCAATATTCCCCATCACAACCCCCACAGCTGACACAGACACACAGAATGACCACACAGAACCAGCTCCCATAGGCAGCAGGTAAGTCTCCACGCACACCTCCCACCGTTTCCACTCCCACCTGCAAGGCACACGCGTGGCGGATTCATAGATGCAAAGGTGACTCCCAGCCTTCCCTCCCCTCACACACGGACACCTGCCCCTCAGGGACTCAGCCCTGGCCCATGGAGTCTTCAGGCGATTCTCACAGCTCTCATGTTTCATACCCAGCAGCTTCACATCAGGCACTGCCTCTCATTTGGCCACTGATACTACCACTTGCACATAGGCGTGAGCACACACACACACGAGACCTCTACACACACAGACACACACATGCATACTCATGCCTAGATTCTTCCATCCCTGCATCTCAGCACTCCCCCTCCAAGCCCTGCAGGGGCGAGGGTGCTCTGGCTTCTGGGAAAGCAGCCCTGGGAGCAGACCCCATGCTTCCCGGAGGCAGGAGGATTCCCCTCCCGACCTGGCATCCCAGGACTCCCACCCTACCACTCCTGCCTGTCCCAATGCATGCTCCGGAAACCTCTGGGAATAGGCAATCAAACTCATCCTGGTTGGCCAATGTCCTGAAACCCCTTCAGTCATTATCAAATGGGGAAGGTTGGTCAATGTCTTGGGGAACGCAGTTTGGGCCTGGCCGGGTAGACGTAGCCCCTGGCTATCAACGTGTGCATCAAGGCAACTCATTTCCTCTGAGTTTACCCCTCTGTCTACAGGTCTATACAATGGAACTGTGGCTTTTCCTTAAACAGCCTTGGGCCCTGGCTGTTGTCCTCAGCCCCGGGCCACAGCCTCCTCTCTCCTGGGGCCTCCATCCTGGAAGCAGGGAGATGCCCAGGCAATGCGATGCCAGAGCTGGCCCGAGCTTATGAGTCCAGAGCTCCTAGCAAAAGCCTGGGGACGGGGGTGGGGGCAAGGCAGGCTGGGCAGGTCAGGCCTGGCTCCAGGAATGGGACACACTGCACCACAGATGTGCTTGGAAGGGGGCATTCAAGTAGGACCACCTGCCTGAAATGTCTTTCACTGCCAGTTATTTTACCATTAACACTCTCATCCCTTATCATCTGCCTGCTCAGATATCCTCCTACCTGCCTCCTGCAGGAGTCATCACATCCTACGAGACCTGTTCTTTCGGTCTTATATGATTGGCTTATATACACTGAAAAGCCAGGAAGTCGATCTGAATTTGGACAAAGATGGAAGCTCAGTAGATGTGATCTGGAATCCTCCTCTCTCTCTTAAACACACACACACACACACACACACACACACACACTCACTCACACACACACCCTCTTCTGCTCCTTTTTTCAAGGATTCCACTCTTAGATTCTCATAATCGTGACCAAAATGGCGGAGCCCACCTCCAGACTCCATCCTACAGCGGAACAACAGCCATGTAAAGAGAGGTCCTTGTGCCCAGCCACAGTCCCAGCGTTGATTTGGATTGGCCAGGACTCACTTTCGTGTGCCCTCAGGGTTCTGGAGAGTGGATTAGCCCTACTGAAGCACATATGGCCAGAGTTGGGGCCCATGGTTCTCCCCCAAAAAAATACGATCAATTTTACCAGAAGAAGGGGGAATGGGCCCAAGACAGGCAAAATAATGTCCACTGAAGTGGGGCTTTTCAAACTTTAATGAGCACACTCATCTCTTGGGGATCTTGTTTAAAAACGCAGATTCTGGTTCAGCAGGTTGGGGTAGGGCCTGAGAGTCTGCATTTTTGACAAGCTCCCAGGGGATGCTGATGCAGCTCCGCTGGGAACCCCATCCTGGACAGTGAGGGACCCAAAGCACCTTAAGACCTGGCCCCGAACACACTTCATGTATGTGCAATGTGCGAGGGGGACTGAAGTGCAGGTGGGCTTGGTGACCACCTCAGTCCTCCTTGAACCCCAGGGCCCAGATGCCCTCTTAGATGGTTTCTCACTGGCACCTGACAGGACAGGCAAGGCAAACCTTCTTTCTTATTCCTATTTGGCAGATAAGAAAACCGAGGCTGAAATAAACTCCGTAGCTCTCCCAAGTCATGCTAGGACAGGGGTTGAACTGGGTCCCAGTGACCCGGCTGCTCTGAAGGACAGTGCAGTCCTCCTAAGCCAACTCCCTCCTCTTAAGGGACAAAGAGCGGTAAGTCAGAGCCCTCACTAGAACCCCTCCCACTCTTAGGAAGGTGTTGAAGGGCTGCCAGGGAAAAAAGAAAGAAAAACAACTGCCTGACCTCTGTGTATCGGTCACACCACAGGACTGGAAATTCCCAGGCCACTGAGTAGAAAGCTGCGTCAGCCATGAGGTTTTACAGCCAGCATAGACCCAGGTGATCTCCTGGTTGTGATGCTTGTAAATCAAAGTTGCAAAGGGCAAAGGTCATGTGGGCAGCTCATGGGTTATTTTTAACCTTCTCTCCCTTATCAGTTTTCTCCTTCCTGCTCTCCAGGTGGTTATCGTTAACAGATATGTCTCACCCAGGGTGGGGCCCATCATACCTGGGCTCCAAGGAAAGAAATGAGGGTGTCCCTGGTCCCTGGCACCACCTGACAGAGTGGGGCTGGGCATTTGCAAGAGATTTTAAGGAGGCTCCTTTGTGGATCTCTGGGCTGGCACAAGAGGAAGATCATTCAGGGTGATCCAAATATGGAATGGGCTCCTGGAGAGGGAGGGAGTCCCCATCTGTTATGGGTTGCATTGTGTGACCCTCAAATTCATATGTTGGAGCTCCAACCCCTAGTACTTCAGAATATGACCTTATTTGGAAATAGGGTCTTTGTAGATGTCATTAGTTGAGTAGGTTGGGTCCCTAATCCAACATGATGGGTGTTGCTATTTTAGAGGAGAAATGTGGACCCTGGGAGAACAGCATGTGAGGACAAAGGCAGGGATAGAACCAGGGTGATGGAAAGCATAGAATTCATAACGCTTTTCAGCTATAGAAGCCACAGATCCCAAAAGATGGCCAGCAAACCTCCAGAAGCTAGAGGAGAGGCAGAGCCTCAGAAGGAACCAACACTTTGATTTTGGACTTCCAGTCAGAGACAATAAATTTCCAGAACTGTGAGACAATAAATTTCTATTATTAAAGCCACCCAATCTGTGGGGTTCTCTGTTGCAGCAGCTCTAATGATCTAATACACCATCTTTAGAGGTGTCTGCTGAGGCTGCGCTGCTACTTGGCAGGGATATTGTCCAGTAGAGACATTATGCTAGCCACGTATATAATTCAAAATTTTCTAGCCGGGCATGGTGGCGTGCACCTGTAGTCCCAGCTACATAGGAGGCTGAGGCGGGAGGATAACTTGAGCCCAGGGGTTCAAGGCCAGCTTTGGAAACATAGGGTGACCTTGTCTCTAAAAAAGAAAAACAAATAATAAGTAAAATAAAAATGTCTAGTAGCTACATTTAAAAAGCAAAAAGAAACAGATGAAATTACAGTTGACCCTTGAACAATGAGGGGATTAGGGGTGCCAACCCCTATGAGGTCAAAAATCCAAGTATAACTTTGACTCCCCCAAAACTTGACTATAACTAGCCTGCTATTGACCAGAAGCCTTGCCATTAAAAAAGAAAATGTTATTAAGAAAATTATAAGGAAGAGAAAATATATTTACTCTTCATTAAATGAAAGTGGTTCATCATAAAGGTCTTCATCCCTGGCGACTTCACATTGAATAGGCTGAGGAGGAAGAGGAGGGGTGGGTCTTGTCTCAGGGACAGCAGAGGTGGAAGAAAATCTGTGTATAAGTGGACCCTCTCAATTCAAACCGTGTTGTTCAAAGGTTAACCGTAATTTTAATGATAGATTTTATTTCATCCAATATATCCAAAATATTATTTCAACATGTAATAAGTACTAACAAGAGCTATAAATTAGATGTTTTATATATTTTTTGTTTGTTTCTTAGTAGGTCTGAAATCTGGTGTGTTGTTTACACATACGGTACAGCTCAGTTGGGACTGGCTACATTTCAAGCACTCACACGGCTAGCTACATTTCAGATACACGGCTAGCGGCCCACATGTTGAAGAGCGCAAGTTGAGTTTTTCTTCCCCTTTGTATCCATGTGGCTTCAGGTAATTTACTGAGCATGTTAGAGCTTCAGTTTCCTCACCCATAAGACGGGACAGTTTCTTCACCCATAAAATCAGGCAATAACGGACATACCTGTCTTCAGTGATTTCCTGGCATGGGGTCAACCTCCACAACCAAGCCCTGTAACTGTGGTACAGGCCTGTGGGCATCAGGCAGGATATTTAAAAACCTTCCCACTCCAAAGGATCACACAATTGCCTCATTCCTCGCTATGTTCATCTTGAACCCCCTTCACACTCAGACCTACCTCCAGCCTCCCCACTCAACCAACCTGAGTCCACCTCCTCCAGGAAGCCTTCCTAAGGTCCCAGCCCCCATTTAAAATTCCTAGAACACCTAGGGAGAGTCTCGCAATTTAACACTTAATTGTTCTGTGAATTGTGTTATTACTGTGAGTGAGGTTTTGAATTCCTTGAAGGCTGGGATGTGCCTCCTCTGTTTTCTCATCTGGCCTGGAGTTATGAGCCCGGTTCAGTTACTCAGTCAGGCAACACACCTTTATTGAGCACCTATCCCAAGTCAGCCACTGGGCCCTGCTGGACTTATAGTAGGTGCCAATTAATGGTGTGCAGGTTGATTTAGCTTTTTCTTTTCTTTTTCAGCCCAGCTCTTCTAAACTCCATAGGTTGACTTATCTATGCATACCTCTCAGAAGCCCTGGGAGAGATATTCTCCGGGCACCAGGACTCACTGCCCAAGCTCGAGTCGCTGTACCTCTGGGCCAGGGCAATGGAGGTCCTGGAACCTTCCAGGAAAAAGAGTTCAAAAGGTTTTGGCAGTGACCTTTTCCAGTGTGCTTCCCCCCAGGCAAAGAAAGGTTTTTCACTGCAGCCTGGGGATGGGCCTCAGGTAGGCACTTTACGAAGCCCAGGATGCCCAGGCTCAGGATGAGACACCATCCTCCCCTCCCCATTTCCCTCTTGCCTGGATGGCATCTTGTGACTTGTTTACTACAAGTCACATCCTGATAGAGGCCCCACTCGCTGGAAGGGGCAATGAATCACCAGCGTCTCCATGGGAATCACAACCCAGCTAGCCCAGCCCCACCCCTCCTAATCCACTGCCCTTACCCCACCCCCCAACACACACAAACAGTCATGTCCACTGGGTGAGCCTGCTAGGGCTGAGCCTGGCACGGGACAAGGAAAGGCTTGCCCAAACAAGAGGTCCCCGCCCACTTCTGCCTCCCTGAGCAGCAGCTCTCTCTTCTCCTGTCAGCTCTCGGACTGGACCACCCTCCATACAGATTACAGAGGGGGCATTTGTCCCCCAAGAGCCATCCCACACAAGACTTCCCTGCCACCTCCTCTCTTATTGGAGGTAAAAAACAAAACAAAACAAAAAACAAAACAAAAACTTGGGTTTATACCTGACTCTGATACCTCTGACTGTGTGGCTTTGATCAAGTTACTTAACCTCTCTGAACCTTAAATTCCTCAACCATAAAATGAGGATAGCAGTATTACCCAGACCACTGGGTTGGTTGTGAAGTTTAAATGAGAACATTCACATAGCATGCTTGGAATAGTGAGTGGCACACAGCAAGTGTGCCTGATAACTGATCCTTCATGATGGTGGTGATGAATATCATGGGCTTGTGTAGCACAGCAGGAGGCTCATTTGGCCACCAGAATGCACATTGCATTCTATTGCAAAGCTAGGAAACGTGATGTCAATCGTACCTGCATTTCCGGGATTTTGTAGCCTATGACTTTTGTTGAGGAATTTGTACCGATGCAGGGCAACTCATGCATTCTACAAATATGTACTGAGAACTCATTCATTCTACAAATATGTACTGTTAAGGAAGTGACGTGTTCTTGGCAGTCCCAAGAGCAGAACTGGGGGATGTGGATGAGAGGCTGTTCCTGGCAGCTTCCCAGACCCGTATCATTTGATTTGCAAAGGTTGCACATCAAATCATGAAAGTTCCTTTCATGATTTGCTGAGATGACGGCAGGTTCTTTGCCTATATATTGGGTCTAGTATGGACTGGAGGTGATGTCCAGGGAGGTGAGGCAGGAGGGGCCTGTGCCCAGGTCTTGAAGCAGTGTTGGTTTGGGCCATAGCTTCACCTCTTCCAAGTCTTGTGACCTTGGGAAAGTCAATTAGCTTTACAGAACCTCGGTTTCCTTCTCTGTTAAATGGGCATAGTAACACCTAGCCTGTGACCTCACAGGGTTGCCGTCAGCTCACATGTGTGAAAGATAGCCTCTTAATAGCTGTATTTTCCATTCATTCATTCATTCAGCCCTTACCTATCCACCCAACCATCCAAGATTATTTTGATTATCTACTATCTTTCAGTTACAATAGGAGGAGCTGGGTACAAAGGGAAACCCAGAAGACGTGGGGAAAATGCTGGCCACCAGGATTCCATAGCAGAGACAGTCCATCTTCCAGCCCTCCAGATGTCAATGTTGGGGCCAGCAGACAGGAGTCATCGAATAAGTTCTTGGGAGGGGACAACCCTTCTTCAATCCACTCCAGGTGACAAGTGGTTCCTTTGGTCTAGGTGAGAAGCAGCCCATCCTCTGGACAGGTGCCCAGGGTGGACCGTTCCCCTCTCTTGGACCCCAGCCAGCCTGCCCAGCCCTCCAGACTGAACTCTTGACCCTCTGTTTTTCCATATTTTGGCAGGAGATGGGCTCTGAAAGAAGATACCTGGCTGGGCTCCAGAGAGTATACCCACACTTCAGGCAGGAGGTAGGGAGGATGGGGCCCAGCCATGCTGTCTCCTTCTTTCAGAAAAATAATGCTTTTATGCAGGTCTCCCCCAGAAACCTCTGCTTAGTTTTCTTTGGACAGAACTGGACCATGTGCCTACTCCTCATTGCAAGGAAGCCTGGGAAAAAAGGAGCAGGATTATCATGATTGCTTAGACCAAAGGTTGCAAACTTTTTCTGGAAAGTTGTAGACAGGAAACATTTTAGGTTTTGTGGGTCATACAGTCTCTGTTGCAACTACTCAACTCTGCCTTTGTCACGCAAAAACAGTCATAGATAATATATAAACAAACGTATGTGGTTGTATTTAAATAAAACTTTATTTATGAACACTTAAACTTGAATTTCAGCTGGGTGCAGTGGCTCGCACCTGTAATCCCAGCAGTTTGGGAGGCCGAGGCAGGAGGATCACTTGAGGCCAGGAGTTTGAGACTAACCTAGGCAACATAGCAATACCCTGTCTCTATAAAAAAATAAAAATTATACATTGAAATTTTAAAAATCTTCAATATCATATAATTTTCATGTGTCACAAAATATTATTTTTATGTTTTCAACCATTTGAAACGTGTTAAAAACCATTTTAGCTCATGTACCATGTAAGAACAGGGGGCATTCAGATTTGGCACTCAGGCCGTAGTTTGCTGACCCTTGGCTTAGACCAGTCATAGTCCATTGCCTGGAGCTGGGTTCGCTGTCACTGTAAGGAAGGGTGTGTATGTGGCAGAAGGTGTAGCATAAGGGGGGCTGTGGGAGATGTATGACACAGGCAACTAACAGTATTCGTCAACAGCAGAGTTTGAATCCAAAGCATCCACTCAGCCTGTCATGGGGGTGCACGCTTGTATCCCAGCTACTCAGGCGTCTGAGGCAGGAGGATCGCTCGAGACCAGGAGTTCAACACCAGCCTGGGCAACAAAGCAAGACCCCCATCTCAAAACAAAACTGAAACCAAAAAAAGAAAAAGAAAAAAAGAAAAGACCCATTCACTCTTAGCCTCTGTGTTCATGTTCTCTTCTCAGCAACCTCCCTGTGCTGGGAAGGTGAGAGGGAGAAGGCATGCAATTAGGCATCGGGATTGTGGTGTCAGCTTTGCTATCAAGATGGCTCTGGCTGGGACACATGCCATGTCTCCTGAGGCATTCCAACAGCCTCTTCTCACCAAGGCCCCAGATGGGAGATCATAGGAGGGGGATGCAGGGAGGGGTCCCCAGGTGGCAAAGACTTCTCAGGAAGCTGAGAGGGGCTGGAGGTCCTGCCTCCCTCCCTCCCCATGGTGCACACCCCTGAGGTGTGGAGCAAGGGGTGGGGGTTTACCTCTGGCCCTGGATGGAGCAGGATTTACCTTTCCCCTTGACATTGATAGGCCTGAAACTGGGTCTTGGTCTTAAAACTGGAGAAGCAGGAACTGCCATCAGCCTCTGACTCCCTCCTTCCTGTGTTCTTCGCTTCCTGCCCACCCCAGCATGAGGGAGATCTGGGAAAGAATCAAATAGTGAGGGAGCACGCCAGCATGAGGCATAGGAAAACTCAGAGATGTCATTCTTTTAGCCATTTAAAAAAATCTTGGTTTTAAGCTCTTACCATAGGATTTATTTTTAAAAAATTAATTCAGTTTCCACCAAGCACGAGCCGGGTACTCCTCTAGGAATTTTACATTCTCTGACTCATGTGATCCTCCAATAATCCTGTGAGGTAGGGGTCTTAGACCCATTTCTCAAGGGTGGAAACTGAGGCCAAGAGTTTACACCATCAATGAGAGATCCAGGATTTCATCCAAGGCCGACTGACTCTAGATAGAGTCCCTTCTCCAGGACCAGTTGAAATGCTTAGGCACAAAACGTAAGGAGGTACTGATTCTCAGGCCGGCGCAAGTGCCCTAGGTACCTCGCCTGCCTCACCCTGCCTGGCCCAGGCACACCCCGGTGTCACTCCCTCCCGTTAAGATTCTCAAGGCCCCAAGCTACCATGAGCTGCTGTGCATTTGTTCACGTGGGTCCCATGCCTGAAGTATCCTCTCCACCACCTTCGCTGTGCACCCAACTTTTCCTTTTCCTTTAAGATTCAGTTCAAACACCACCTCCTCTAACAAGCCTTCCCTGAACCCTCCTGGTCAGGATTGTTCCTCAGCTCACCACACCTGCTATCTCATATTCTGTACCTCAGGACTCCATCTTGTGAGAGCAGGAACCAAGGCTGAATTTGTCTTTGTTGCTGTAGCACAGAAATAAGATAATCGACGTGAAGTACTTAGCACAGTGTCTGGCTCCCAGTGAAGATGCCCTTGGTTGCTACAGCTTCATGGAAACTTTACCCTAAATAGCTGCAAACACACAGAATGTGTTGTGCTTTTTTGTTTTGTGTTTTTTGATACAGAGCCTTGCTCTGTTGCCCAGGCTGGAGTGCAGTGGCACGATCTCAGCTCACTGCAGCCTCTACCTCCCAGGCTCAAGTGATACTTTCCACCTCAACCTCCCAAGTAGCTAGGACCACAGGTATGTGCCACCACGCCTGGCTAATTTTTAAGATTAAAAAAAAACAACAACTGTATAGATGGGTCTCACTATGTTTCCCAGGCTGGTCTCAAACTCCTGAGGCTCAAACAATTCTCCCACCTTGGCCTCTCAAAGTGCTGGGATTACAGGCATGAGCCACCGCACCCAGCCAGAATGTATTATCTCACCTAAGAAAAGGGCTTCAGGCAGGGTGCTCCAGGGTTGGATAATTCACAGCTCAACAGCTTCCAGGTTCTTCCTACTCTGCCATCTTCAGAATGTAAGCTGCATTCTCAGGTGGATCCCCTCATGGTGAAAGAATGGCTGCCACAGTCCCAGGCCACAAGCCCTCACACCAAGACACGACAACTTCTGGTAGAAAAAGGGGATATCTCTTGTGTGCCTCATTTTGAGAACCTTTCCCAGAACGCTACCCCCAACTCAGCTGACTCTTTCTTTCTTTTTTTTTGAGACAGAGTCTCACTCTGTCGCCCAGCCTGGAGTTCAGTGGTGCAATCTCGGCTCACTGCAAGCTCCGCCTCCCAGGTTCATGCCATTCTCCTGCCTCAGCCTCCCGAGCAGCTGGGACTACAGGCACCCACCACCAGGCCCGGCTAATTTTTTGTATTTTTACTAGAGATGGGGTTTCACCGTGTTAACCAGGATGGTCTCTATCTCCTGACCCCAGGTGATCCGCCCGCCTCAGCCTCCCAAAGCGCTGGGATTTCAGGCATGAGCCACTGCACCCGGCCTCTCAGCTGACTATTTCTAAGAACACTTTGGCCAGGATGGCATCCCATGCCCACACCTACGCCAGTCTCTGGCAAAGGAAATGGGATGTGCCAAATTGACCAGGTAGTCAGGCTCCTGGCCCTATGGCAGAGGGAAGATTACCCAAGCCCAGTCAGGAAGGCGGAAAGGCTGTGAGGGTGACTGTATCTACACCTGGCTATCACATAAAAAAACGTGCAATAAAGAGTAGCTATTAGCTTTAAATGTAGACAGATGTGGTGGTGTAGTGAAACAAAAAAAAAAAAAAGCACTGGTTTAAGTGAATTGCTGACCAGGCTTCATGGCACCACTTAGGACTTGAAGACAGAGGGTCTTGTATTATTCCCTACTCCTGTTTTTCGTGCCTGGTGAGGTTCTCTCCATCTCAAGCTTGGGCTTCTCCAGAGGCCACATTTTCTACCCTTCTGCCCTGACCCTGTCTACTGCAGAGCTAGGCACATAGTGGGCTCTCAAATATGCAGACACTGTGGCTGGAGAGCACAGACATGCCCCTCAACCGCCCAACTTCCTGGAAATAAATTGTTCTGCATTCCCAAGAAGCACCCCAAAAAGTTACCTTCTAAATCCTGTTCTGCTTGTCACTTTCAATCTGGTTAATTAAACTCAATACCTCCAGGATGATTAAAAGTTAATTTGGCATTCAACAGGCCCGGAAATGAAATTCCATGGGAAACACTCTTGGTGAGCCTGGCTAGATATAATTAGAACATAGTCCTGCTGGGGGAAGAAGAGTAAGTATGGCACTGGCGCAGCCACAGAGGTGACAGTAGGGAGGCGGGTGCCGAGGTTATATGGCAGCAAGCCTCTTCCCAGGCCTCTAATTACTTACTCAGCTGTTGCTGACAATTGCATCACAAGAGCAGTTGGTTTACACTAAGAGTTTTTACTTCTAAATTGGTAAGGATCCATAGGCACTGCTTCTGCCCAAACCTGCTTGAGTCTCCACTCTGCTGTTTGTACAGTTCCTGCTTTCCCCTCACCCTGCTGCTGAGAGCCAAGGCCTTCTCTTCCCTCCCCCTCTGTCTTCCCATCTGCACCAGGCCCCATCCTGGCCCCTTCCACCCCCAGTACCTCCGGGTCTTCTGCCCCTGATGCCCCATTCCATTCCTCCCTTTGCTTCTGCTGCTGTCCTCCAAGAGTGGTCCCTGCTGCAGGCTGGCCACCCGCTGGGAGGTCTTTAGTGCTCCTCGTCTCCCAGGCAACAGTGCCATTGCTTTAGATGCCAGGCTGGAGCCTGGTATTCCAGGATGCCGCAGAAGGGCATTTCCTTTTTCCATCTCGGAAGCCACCAGGAGGCCTTCACACCTCCCAACCCATCCAACTTCCCCATCTGGTACCTTCGAACACTGTGGGAAGCAGGAAATATCTAGTTAACCCTCAAGGGCTAGAACGTCTCTTAGTGAGGAGCTCAGGAGCCTGTGGGGAGACCGTGTTTCACTCAAGATGAGCCCTAGCCCTTACTGTGAACTGTTTCAAATGAGAAGATACTGCAACAAGGTCGGAGGGCAAGTTTTGGGTTTTTCTTTGGCCTTCCGGAAGGACTAGGTCAATGCTATTCAATATGGTTGCCACTAGCTATATGTGGCTATTAAATTTAAATTAATTAAAGTTGAAGAAAATTTCAAATTCCATTCCTTAGTTCACTTGTGTCTGGTGGTGGCCACACTGAACAGTGCAGATAGAACGTTTCTGTTATCACTGAAAGTTCTGCGCTACAACATGAGCTGTAAGCACGGGCTTGGAGGTCAGAGCTGCTCTCTGCTGTTGACTCTGTGGCCCTGGGCAACTTGCTCAACTTCCTGATGCTTCCCTCATTTCTCCTCATTTCTGTAATAGTAGCTGTCTTAGAGTGTCCTGGGGGCCAAAGGAGATAATCCAGGTACATGCTCAGCACGGCATCTGATAACCGAAAGGGCTGATAAGTAGAAGCTCCTGGCTCCTGGAGAGAGGCTGCCACTTGGTAAAGTAGAAATACTTAGGATGAAGGGGACTGAACGCTAGCCTCCCTGTAAGTCCCATGTGAAGGCTGTGAGCTACATCACCCAAATTAAAAAGAGTAAATCAGAATTAATCACAATAAAATGGAAAACTCCAGCACAGATTTTTCTCTGGAGCCTGGGACCTAACATTCAATAGTCTGCTGAGCCGCCCAGTTAGATTCCTTCCAGGATCCATTAAGTCAAGAAACCCAAATGGAATGGACCCTCTTCCACACAAACCCCACCCATTCCTCCTGCATTTCCTAGCCCAGGAGTAGCATCTGGTCTCCAGAAAGCTAGAAACATAATTTATAACCCTATGATGTAATTGGAGTTATTATCACCATTTTACAGACAAGGAAATTGAATCCCAGAGATATTACCCACCTTGCAAGTTAGTGGTAGAGTCAGGCTCTTAACCCACAGACTCTGCTGCCTCGATCCACCCTCAAAGCCACTTGACTTTACCTCCTCAATCTGTGCACTTCTCTCCAACCCCATGGCCAACACATGACACTGGCTCCTCACCACAGTCCCCTTACCAGCCCTCTTCGTGGCCCAGTTCTGCAGTGTGCCTAAGGCAGTCACTTCTGAAAGCTCAACCTCGAGTCTGTTTCTTCAGCTCTCCCAGTGATTCTGCAAGCCATTCAACACCCTGTCACAAGCCCTCTCCTGTTTAGAATAGCAAGAGTGTTTCTCTTCTCAGTTGAATCTTAACTGATGCCACTAGCTCAGAGCTAGGTGCATTGAGTTCTGAATAAATACTTAGGTCCATTGAAAAGCACATGTTTGGTGCCCATTTTCCAGGTGCTCTATTAAGGGCTCAGGGTCATGTACAGGGTCTTTGCCCTCAAAGAGTTTGCTGCCTAGCAGAGATGCCTACCAGGAATTCAGAAAAGGGAAAAAATTTCAACAGGGGCTTGTGGACATCTTGCTTTGTGGTCAGCTTCCATTCACCTATGTCTAGTAAGCATACCTCAATTGGTAAAGCCAGCTCCACCAGGAGCTCCAGAGAGGTGAAGGAGATTTAGGTCTAAGTTAATCCACTAACTCCATCCCCTGGACACATTGATTGGTTTGGGAATGGGAATCTGACCCAAGTTAGACCAGAGAATGACAATACATCTCAATTCCAAGACAAAGTTTGAGGAGCTCTGGAGAAATAAGACTCACTCCTTCCGCTATACCAAAAAATTGTAAGGACGTGAGTGCCAGAACTGCTGTGCCTTTTGCTACTCTGTAGAGCCTGAAACCTCCGCCTTCATAAAAACGGGTAGACGAAGATTTGGAGAGAAAGAAAATACTGATGATGTTGTTTGAGCTCTGAATCCAACTGTAACTAAATAAGATCACCTGGGTTTTTGGTTTCCTTGAGCCCCAAATTCCCATTTTTTTCTTAAGCCTCTTTGGGAGGGAGGTTTCTGTCACTTGCAATCAAAAGTGTCCTCACTGATTTAGAAGGTGTCCTGGAGGAGATGGAAGGAATGAGACTCTGAATGACTGACGATAATTAGGGGGAGAGATGGGAGGACATTCCAGGCAGAGAAACAGTCCATGGAAACCTGTGGAGCTGGGCTCCTGCTGGAATTTGAAGCCCAGGCATCGAATGCTGACTCTACACCCTGGTAGCCTCCTAACTCTTACCCTTCCTCTGAGCCACAGGATACTCTTGAAATGGGCTTTACGCTTTAAGCCTCACAGGGATGTGGGATGAAGATAATACATGCCAGTGTGTGATGGTGCCTGACTCTCAACACATGACTGCTGAGCAAACAAACCAGTCATTTCATAGGAGAAGAGAATGGAATAGGAAAATAACATGTGGTAAGGTGTGGAAAGCTGGGGAGGTTCATCTACCAAGCCCTGCCACGAGCTTTGTCCCTCTCATCCCTGCCCTCATAGCAACCTGTAGGGTATTGTCATTGCTGCCTAGCAGAGATGCCTACCAGGAGAGCAGTGATGCAGGAATTCAGAAAAGGGAAAAAATATCCAGATAAGAGAATTGAGGCTTAGAGAAGTGAAGTAACTTATCTAAAGTCACATAGCTAAGAAGCACAGAAACTAACGATTCAAACTCATATTTTCTCCACCGTAACGACTGTTCCCTGTGGGCTGGAGCTGAGATCTCTGCTGGCCTCCAGTGCAGGCTGAGCAGAATGGCCCCTCTCCTGTAAGTCCAGGCAAGCTGCCTGGCCTGGGGCAAATACGGAAAGGAATGTTTCTAGTCACTACCAGATGATGAATAGGTGGACCTGAAAGGCCAAGCATGGTACAGAGAAGACATTTCCACCAGCCAGCTCTCCAGGACACTGACTCGGGTAGCAGGGGTGAGAGTACAGACACCTCCCTGGGAAGGAAGCAGAGGAAACCCAAATTTGGGGAGTAGAGAGTCTAAGCTACCCAGAGGGGCTGGAGGAGGCCTGGGTCCCTGCAACCAAGACCATTCTGGAAAACAAGCAATCCCTGCCCAAGGGCCCTGCTATGTGGGCGGTAGGGAGAGGCTAGGGGAGGAAGTGTGGATGAGGCCTGGGGAGCTCTTCCCTAGTGCGGAGGTGGTGACTTCACTTTCCCAGGCCTTGATTTGCATCTGTGCCCTGGGCCTCTAGGAGGGGGTTGTTTGTGGAGAGGGTGGGTGTGTCTGTTGTTTGTGTGTTTTTCCTTCTGCCTTTAGCCCTCCCCCTTCCCCTCCTCAGTAACTAGTAGAACCTGCAAGGCTCATGCCCAGCCTGGGTCCCTTCCTCTGACTCAGTGGAAGGGCAGGAGAGTGCCCCGAGGAGCTGCCCACATCCCTGGCTGAGTGCCTCACCCCCAGGGCCTCCACGAGGAGCAGCTTCCACAGGGTGCCTGTGGGGCTCGTTCCTCTGGATGCTTTTCCCTTTGCTGTGAATGCCTCTGGGGCACGAATATATGGCCCTTGGGTCTAGGCCTTAGGGCTTCCGGTGACCAGGATAGGAAGTGTTGCAGGCCCTGCCCCGAGGGCGGCGCATTAGCTTTTCCCCCACTGCTTTCATCTACCCATCTCACCAGATTCCCCCATCAACCAGAGGTGGGTGTATCACCCCCATTTCACAGAGGAATAAAGTGAGGCCAGAAAAGGGAGAATGACTTGCCCAAAGTCATATGGCTAACAAGTGGCCTGGCAACTGGAATCTGCCTTTTTGGTCCCCATTCTGAAGCTCTTTCCATCACAGGCTACTAATGTTCCCACACAGGGTGCAGGGATGCTGCTTTCCTCTCTGATATGGGACCTCACTGGACTCGCTCCCGAGTCTGCCCAAGTCATCTCTGGAAGTCCCTCGGGTGTCTTGTAAGTGCCCGCAGCCAGCCTGCTAATGTGTCTTCCACTTGACCTCTTTGTTGCTGTCGGCTGTGCACTGGGCAACTGCGGCAGGACCTTGCCTTACTCCCTGCCTGGGCTGCTCCATGAGGCCCCTGTTTCTCTATTTAAGGTGTGACCCCTGGTGCTGGCCAGTATGGCAGTCCTCAGTGCCTACCGAGGCAAAACGGTTTTGTGCTCTGAATTGAAAGAGGCAGAAAGCTCCTCTCCCTACTGTGTGTCCCAATTTGTAAGCTGGGCTCCAAAGAAGCCTTTTCAGCTTTTCCCTGCAGCCTCCTCTCTAAAGGGAGTAAGGGGCCAGTGTTTCCTGCTAGCCTGTCCCCATTCACTCACTTGCAATAAAAGCCTCAGCTCAGTTTATATGATTCCGGTGAAACTGCCCCCATCAGCACCATGACCAGGCTCCCTATACACATCCCCTTCCCAGACACTCAGATCTGGGAGTGGAGATTATGATCCTGCAATCAGTACCCTCTACCCCCCTGCCACAGTTATTGGTTAAGGGATGGGTACATGACCGAAGGCAGGCAAATCAGAGCCAATGAAACTCAGTTCCAGAACTTTTGAACTAGTTCTTTGCCCTGGTGAGAGGGTGTGAGGCCTGGAGCTTCTGCAGTCATCTTGCCCCCATGGGGTGGAACCAGCCAGTGATCGAGCTGTCACCTGGAGAAGAGCTGAGCCGAAAGATAACAGAGAACATGAAGTTTTGGTGACATTGTTTAGAGCCCCTGATTAAGTCTTGTCTGAAACCAGCCACACCCCTTGGACTTCCATTCTAAAGTCAGTAAATTCCGTTTTTGCATTAAGCAAAAAAAAAAAAAAAAAGAAAGAAAAGAAAGAAAAAAAAAATTTTTTTTTTCAGTCACATCCACCATTCCAGCAATACAGAGAATGAGACTCAGGCCCCTTGCTCCTTTGTACTCCATGCTTAACCTCTCACCAAACTTCCTCCTTAGAGGCCTATCTACCCTCATGCAAATTAACTCATACAAACAGATACCGAGGAGGCCCACTACTAACCCGTAAGTGCCTTTGCCTTTGTGCTATTTGGAACTGTTTGATCTATACAGAAAAATTTGTCCCAGATACAGTCCATACTTGGCTTGGTGAGGTAGGGGTGGGTGGGAGGAAAGAAAGGTGGGGAGAGAGAACAAGGCACAGCGGCCAACACTCGCTCTGCCCAAGCAGATGCTGAACCCCAAGTTCATCCTGTCACTCTGAAGGGATGGTGTCCACACCAGAATTGGCCTAGGGCTGGATGTGCAGTAGAACTCAAGAAAGGCTGCCTGCCTTGGTCTTTGGAATTCCTCCTACTGCTCCCAGTTAGAAGGATGAGTTAGAAGAAAGAAGAGACCGTCAATCAAGTTGCTGGGTTTCGTAAACTGGCCCCACTTCCCAGGAGGATTTATCCGTGAGCCAGAGGCACCTCATTTCTCACTGCACCCTTTGGCCTGGCTCCAGCCACACCCCCACCCGCAAATAAGTCCTTTTCCTTCCTAGAGCAGGAGCCAGAGAATGAGTCAGTACCTCATTCTCTTCATTCTTTCATCACTGGTCAGGCCTCACCCTTCCCTCGGCCATCCCCTCCTCTGGGCAACCATCTGGATCATGTGTGGGCAAGGCTGTTCCCATACAGCCAGCTTGGAGGGTCCTCTGTGTGAGACAGGAGTGGGCAGGGCTGACCTCTCAGCTCCTGGGGACTGGAGAGAGAGCTGGGGCCTCCAGGGATGGGCCGCAACTACTGGAGTCTCTCCCAGCCCCTAAAGAAGGGTATTTCCTGGGGCCCTGTCTTCCTCCTCGGGCATCAAGTTTATTTCTGTGTCTGTCCTAGCAAAGAGGAATGAAAACTCCTTTAGGGAGTCCCCGCCATGCCCCAGACCCCACCACGAACTCTGAATTCTCGTGGCAATCCTCTATGTGGCGACCATCAGCCACACTGGAATGGAGGGACAAGGCTGTCGGGAGGAGGCATTTCTCACGCCTGTGCCGTGAACGTGCTACCTCTGCATGCTCAAGCCCATGCTGCGCCACTCACAAGGGGCTGTAGCATTCTGGGCCAGCGCCCTTCTCTCTCTGCCTCCTCGCCTACAGCAAGCTTTCTTCAGGCCTGCGGCTGGTGGGCCCCAAGCCAAGAGTGGATTCTTTCATACTCTCTGGTCTAAATCAAGCTGCATCAGGTGGCACTCCCGGTGACCCTCCTGCCTTATTTGGAAGAAGAGGAGGAAGCCAGATAAGAAACCATCCAGGCACCATGGGCCCTTCTTATGGGTCACCCCACAGATGGCATCATTCTCCAGAGAGTGGGGAATATGAGCTCCGAGAGGCCCTGAGCAAGGTGTCAAAGGAAGAGAATAAAATGAAGGAGCTGCCTTATAGGGCCCTAGAGGAGGACAAATATTTGCAAGTGGTAGTCATTTTCTCCCTGCAATTAAAGGAATTCTCCACTTTAAAGCAAATGAAAATTAAAGGGAATGTGGGAGCCAGAGGGAGCCCCTGGGAATGTTACGGGGGGAGGGTAGTCTGTGAGGAGGGGTCTACTGGGCCTGTTCAGTCAGAGCCCCGTCTGGAGCAAAGGTTGACCTCAGGCTCTGTTCTGGGTCTCCACAGTATTAAATCACCAAAGGGAGAGCTTCAGAAGCCCCAGATAGCCCTGGTGTCTCCAAAGAACTAGAGAAAAGCAGCAGCCTTGGACCTTGGAGAATCTTCCAACATCACTTCCCAGCCCTGGTGTCTCCAAAGAACTAGAGAAAAGCAGCAGCCTTGGACCTTGGAGAATCTTCCAACATCACTTCCCAGCCCTGGCCACACATTAGAATCACCCAAAGAGCTTTTAAAAATATTCACTCCAAGGCCGGATGCGGTGGCTCACACCTGTAATCCCAGCACTTTCGGAGGCCAAGGTGGGAGGATCTCCTGAGGTCAGGAATTCGAGAACAGCCTGGCCAACATGGTGAAACCCTGTCTCTACTGAGCTGAGATCACACCACTGCACTCCAGCCTGGGTGACAGAGTGAGACTCTGTCTCAAAAAAAAATACCCCAGACCAAATGGATCATAATCTCTCTCAGAATGGGGGCTGGGCAGCTATTTTGTTTAATCTATTCACACGATACTACTGAGCTGTACTTCTCAAATTTCCCTTATGAGAAAAATCAGCTGGGGGGCACGTTTAAAAACGAAAAAGAAGGCCGGGTGCAGTGGCTCAAGCCTGTAATCCCAGCACTTTAGGAGGCCGAGGCAGGCGGATCACAAGGTCAGGAGTTGGAGACCAGCCAGCCTGGCCAACATGGTGAAACCTTGTCTCTACCAAAAATACAAAAATTAGCCGGGTGTGGTGGCACATGCCTGTAATATCCTAGCTACTGGGGAGGCTGAGGCAGGAGAATCGCTTGAACCCGGGAGGCAGAAGTTGCAGTGAGCCGAGATTGCACAACTACACTCCAGCCTAGGTGACTGAGCAAGACTCCATCTCAAAAAGAAAGAAAGAAAGAGTGAGAGAGAGAGAAAGAGAGAGAGAAAGAAAGAAAGAAAGAGAGAGAGAGAGAGAGAGAGAGAGAGAAAGAAAGAAAGAAAGAAAGAAAGAAAGAAAGAAAGAAAGAAAGAAAGAAGGAAGGAAAGAAAAGAAAGAAAGAAAGAAAAACAAAAACAAAAAGAATTATCAGGCTCCCAATCAAGCAAAGCCAGCAAATCAGAATATCTGGAGGTGACTGGTGAAAATCAGAACCTCTGGGGAATTAGGCCCAGGTCTTTTTTGCATTTCTACCAGGCTTCCCAGGGGACATCTATGCTGACAGAAATTGCAAAATCACATTCTAATCCTCTGGTCTTTGCCCCAGCTCGCTCAGCTGGTTGCCCCTTTGACCCTCGGGCCTCCCTAGAGGCCTTCTCTGTGAACACACCGTAGCATCTGTCTTCTTCCTAGCACTCATCAATATTTGTGATTGTATATTTATTTCTGTGTTTCTTTAATGCCAGTCTCCCACCTAGATGATAAACTCTGTAAGGGCAAGAACCAGGTCTGTTTGGTTCTGTGTAAGGTGGTGGTGAATTACCAGTGTAGGCTCTGAAGCTTGGACTGCCTGGCCTCATATCCCAGCTCCCCTACCCAGCTGTTCTTTGATCTTCAGCAAGTTGCTTCTCCTTCCTGTGCCTCAGTGTTCTCATCTGTAAAATGGATATTTGAATAGTAGTACCTGCCTCACATGGTTGATGGGAGGAATAAATGAAATTATATATGTAAAACATTTAGCATTGTCAATGGCACATTGGAAATTGTCAATAAACATTAATTATATCAATAACAAGCCACCACCACAACTTAATAGCTGAAAACTGCAACCATGTAATTGCTCACAATTCTGTGGGTTGACAGTTTGGTCAAGGCTCAGCAGGGTGGCTTGTTTCTGCTCCAGATGGTTTTGGCTGGGCTCACTCTTACATTTTTGGTCAAGTGGCTTGTTGACTGGGACTGCATAGTCTAACTTGATGGGCTGTTGGTGGAGGCTGTCAGTGAGGGAGGCTCAGTTCTCCTCCATGTGGCCTCTCCAGCAGACTAGCTGGGGCTTCCTCATGTGGTAGCTGGGTTCCAAGAGGGCGAGAGCAAAAGTCAAGAGTCACTTTCGCAGCATTAGTCAAAGCAAGTTACAAGGTCATCCTAGAGTCAAAGGACAGAGAAGTAGTGCTAGTTTTTGTTAGGAGGAGGTGCAAAGACTTCCTGGACATTTTTCATCCTCCATAGTTGCTTGTTCCTGAATCTAGCATGGTATACTCAGGTGCATGGCCCAGTATGCATTTAATAGGTATTTGTTGAAGAAATAACAAATGGATGTGCAGAGGAGAAAGAAACTAGAGGCTCGAGAGGAAAACTGATTTGCTCAAGGTCACAAAGCAAATGAGCGGCAGCACCAGGACGAGAAACTAGGTCCTGGCGCTCAGTCTTGCCTCTTCCCGTTGCATCAATCTGCTCAGACAGCTGCCTGAAGTGGGGTTGAATTCTTCAAATAATTGCCTCACTCCTCAGCTTCTGTTGAGCCTCTGGAGATATATCTAGAAGGTCAGGACTGTGCTTGCTTCCTGAAAAGTCTGGGGATGGAAAGAAGGGAGCACTTTTCATTTCCCAGGGCATAACGCATTGCAGAAAATGATCAGAGAGCATCAGCAGTCCTCCTTGGGTTCCACTGTATGTGGCCAGCGGCCAGGTTGGGAGGTCAGAGACAAAGGCAGACTCCAGTATAGACGCTCTGTGGCCTGCTTCTCATGTACCTGCTCTCACACACGTGTGCACACACACATACATGCATGCACCTTCTCTCGCCTCTCTCTTTAAGGTCTGGAAGAAAGCTACCATAAGTTTGAGCAGTTGGCCACATGGTCTCATTTGGGCTCTCAATTGGACTAGCAATTTCAGGAATTTGAACAGCAATTTTTGAACAGGGAGTTTGGGGAACGGCAGCAGGGGAAAGTTGGGAGGCGCAGAAGGGGTTGTGAAATGCATGCTACAATTCCGTCATCAGCCCCTTCCTGTTGTTCTGGTACCGGGGGGAAACCTGGGCTGGCAAGACTGCGCTTCCTCCATCTAGAAGCTTTCCTCAGGCCTGCTGAGTCACCCACCTGCTGCGGGGAATGCACCTATTTTTAGCCTGAGGTAAATGAGCCCTGTAGTCACCCAGACCACATTCTCTTGGGTGTCTTTGTCACAGATGGTGTGGCCGGATGGGGACCACATTGAAGAGACCTCACCCCCACCCCTAACAAGGTCTCTTCCTCTCCTTCCTCTGAGAAGCCTCACTGCACAGCAGTGACTCACATAACCCCAGGAGAGAATGCGGCAGAGGGTGGCAGTGGGTGGCATACCAAGCTAGTGGGGGTGTGGCGGGGACAGAAGTAGTTTATCACTGACGTTGATTAGAATTGCTGGTGCATCACTGTTAGTCAGTTTATTATTGTTTGTAATTTTTCTGTAGATGATATGACCTCTTATTGTACCCATGTGCACCATTCCTATGGCCCCGTCCTTGGGGACACCACTGCTTGGGAGTTAAGATGGTGGAGATCTGGACCCCAGCAGCCTGACTAAAGGAGGCTTTACTACTTACTAACTGTTTGACTCAAGCAAGACCCTTTACCACTCTGAGACCCAACCTTGGAGCTCCTGGTCTGGTACTCAGGTCACAGAGGCTGGTAATGGATTCACAGGATTGAGAGCAGGAAGGGCACCAAGATGTCATCCCTTGCTCTATTGAGGTGAAAATGGAAGCAAAGAAAGGGGCAGATGCTTGCCTGTATCAGATGTCCAGAGACCCCTCTAAGACCTTGTTCAGGCAGAGCCACCTGTTAGGTAAAAGGTTGGTAAAAAGCAGGTGCTGATGACAAGGCCACTGTTGGTCAGAACTATTTCTACTTCAGTCTGTATCCAGCCCCTGCACCCAGTATAATGTAGTAGAGTATTTCTCGGAGAAGGGTGTGTGGACCACCTGCATCAGAATTACCTGAATCCCCTGGGGTGCTCATTAAAACTGTGAGTTTCTGATCCCCATCCCAGACTTGGGGGTTTGCTCCCAGCACTGTCACTCACTAGCTAGGGAATTTGGGGGGTGTCAAACTATCTGTGTACCACTTTCCTCACCTATAAAATGAGGCTAAACCTCCTTATGTACATGTGAGGGACAAATGTATTTGCATGGGTGAGAGGTGCAGCCCGTCGCCTGGCACATTGGAGCTAGGCAACTTGTGATTTGAGTTCTTAGTATTTGTTTCTTATCCCCAGGCAGCTCCTGAAAGGCTTCACTCTTCTGCCCTGGTGCAGAAACGGGCCCTACCTCTTTCAGATTGGCCTGGAGCTGTCAGCTACCAGTGACTTCCAGAACCAACTTGCAAATGTCTGCCAATCAGTGGCACTGCTCAGACCAGAGCTCAGATAAGATGTTCTGCAGTCTGCTGAGAAAATCTTCCAACACAGTTGTGGGACACAGAAGTCACTCACCAGAAACACTGGTCATATCACTTCTCCTTATCTCTCTTCCTGGTGACGAAGCCCAATGCCTGTGAGATCTTTTTAAACAGAACCCTTTTTCCAAATAAGATTTGACCCGACACAGGGCCCCAGTGTATGTGAACAATAAAAGCTTCACTCCACTAGTTTAAATATATTTTCTAAGAAGTTCAAGTTTCCAACATGTTACTGTGTTACTTATGAAATCAGTGTGAACACAACTGAGGTGAGCTCCAGTGTGTGAAAATCACGTATCACTTCTAAATGTGCATGGTGCTGCTTATTACAAATATTCAAGTAGTTTAAAATACATTTTGGGCCAGGCACAGTGGCTCACACCTGTAATCCCAGCACTTTGGGAGGCCAAAGAGGGAGGATGGCTTGAGCCCAGGACCAGCCTGGGCAACATAGGGAGACCCCCATCTCTACAAAAAAATTAAAAATTAGCTGGGTGTGGTGGCATACACTTATTGTCTCACCTACTCAGAAGGCTGAGGTGGGAGGATCACTTGAGCCTAGGAGCTTGAGGCTGTAGTGAACCATGATCCATGCCACTGCACTCCAGCCTAGGCAATAGAGTGAGACCCTGTCTTAAAATAAATAAGTAAAAATAAATAAAATACATTTTGGGAATTATATTTGAATTGAGTATTCACAAAAGCCATGAAGCTCCCTTGGAAAAAGCCAAGATTTTGGTTAGCATGGTTTGCAATCCCTGGAGGATTCCAAACACCTTTTACTGGGTAAGGACATAGAGGCCTGGGTGGGAGAAGGGCTACATCAATCCAATAAGTGGCCAGCTTTGAGAATCAAGGCCTACTGGATCTCAAGCCAGGGTTCCTCCCATCTGCCCACATTCCTAGCCTGGCCCACCAAGTGGGACACTTACAGGGGTGGGGAGCCCCCTTAGGTGCTCTGGCCATTGGCTGAATTGGTCTTGAGTGACAAAGACTATGGCTCTCAGTGTCTGTGGCTGAGCAGGGGCGTGGCAGGGACAAAGCCAGGCCCCCAGGCCTGGGTGAGTAAGGTAGCGAGTGTGTGAGCCCCAGTTGTGAGCAAGAGGGCTTCAGCTGGTCTTGACTTGGGCTGCAGAGCTCTTGGTCCAGGCAAATTCTCACTCCACAAACAATATCTGAGCTTTTCAGTGCTTTGAGATCTGCAGATAAGAGGCTATAAAGATGTATAAATTATTATTATGCTGAGGACAATTTCCTCCCTGGCTGGCAGCCTGCAAGGCTATGCCCAGTCCAATCTCTGCCCCCTAAGGGAGGACCTGAATGCAGGGGGAGATAAATGATGCCCAGAGCCCTCTGGCCAAGGCCAAGCCCACAGTATCCCCACCGGTGGAGAAGCCAGGCCAGGCCAGGCTGTCTTTCCCACCACATCCCACCCATCATGCCCAGCACGTGCCAGCAAGGCTTTTTCCTCTGGAGGAGGAGCTGCTAAGGTGCTGAGTCACCACCTTGATGTCAGCTGGTGCTCTCCACCCTGAGAAGAGTGCCCAGCAAGGGCGCAGCACATCAGCCTGTGCCAACAAACCTGCGGTGACCAGCCTGCTTTGGGGAGGAGTTATTTCCCCTAGGAGAGGGCACACGGTGAGCTGGGGGAATCTGTCCCTAACTCAGCCTGGGGTTCCTGCTGGGGACCATCTCACGGGGCCTCAGTGCACAAGGGTCCTTGTTGGAATAGGGCCCAGACTCCAGCTGCAGGGATGGATTGGGGGGATTTTGTTTGGTATCCCCCTGCCCCGGGAAGGAACCATTAGAAGGGAAAGGGGAGAGAGGAGGCCTCAGAAGTGGTACAAAGTGCCTGGGGGTCCTCCCACTTCATGGCTGTGGGCTTCTGGGTAGGTTACGCACCTACCAATCGTAAGTTGCTTTTTGTTGTTTTTCTTTTTTTGTATTTTTTTGTTTGTTTGTTTTTTGGAGACAAGATCGTGCTCCGTCACTCAGGCTGGAGTGCAATGGCATGATCACAGCTCACTGCAGTCTTGACCTCCCAGGTTCAAGCGATCCATTCACCTTAGCCCCCTGAGTAGCTGAGTCTACAGTCACCTGCCACCACACCCAGCTAATTTTTTTTTTTTTTTTGAGATGGCATTTCCCTCTTGTCATCCAGGCTGGGGTGCAATGGTGTGATCTTGGCTCACTGCAACCTCTGCCTCCCGAGTTCAAGCGATTCTCCTGCCTCGAACTCCTGAGCAACACGCCCAGCTAATATTTAAAAATTTGTAGAGATAAGGGTCTCAGCTTGTTGCCCAGGATGGTCTTGAACTCCTAGGCTCAAGCCATCCTCCTGCCTCGGCCTCCTAAAGTGCTGGGACACAGGCATGAGTCACCACGCCCAGCCCCTTTGGTTGTATTCTTCTTTTAAAGGTAAATGCAAACAGTTTTTTAAACTGAACAGAAACAATGCTCATACCTCCTCTGATGTTTTTTATCCAGCTCCCCTGTCCCCCATCCCTTTCCCAAAGCAATTGCTCTTACCAGTTTGAGGATATCCTTCCAAAAAGTTCTTCTAGGTATCTATACATACATATATGTGTGTGTATGTGGCTATCCTTTTATTTTTTAAATAAATAGGAACATTCTATGTACATTTTACTGGATTTTTTTTTTTTAATTTAATACCATCTTTTGGAAGTTGGTTCATATTGGCAGCTGGGATCTATGACTTTCTTTTTTTTCAACTTTTATTTTAAGTTCAGGGGTACATGTGCAGGATGTGTAGGTTTTCTTTTCTTTTCTTTTTTTTTTTTTTTTGAGATGGAGTTTCGCTCTTTCGCCCAGGCTGGAGTGCAGTGGCGCGATCTCGGCTCACTGCAACCTCTGCCTCCTGGGTTCAAGTGATTCTCCTGCCTCAGCTTCCTGAGTAGCTGGGATTACAGACGCCCACCACCACGTCCGGCTAATTTTTGTATTTTTAGTAGAGATGGGGTTTCACCATATTGGCCAGGCTGGTCTCAAACTTCTGACCTTGTGATCCATCTGCGTTGGCCTCCCAAAGTGCTAGGATTACAGGCGTGAGCCACTGCGCCCGGCTGGGCAGGTTTATTACATAGGTAAATGTGTGCCATGGTGGTTTACTACACACTATGTCTTTCTTTCTAAGGGGTATAGGCAAGCCCCCAGACCTCCCATGTGCTATTTAACAAGGCCTCTCTGGATAGACATTTAAAGGGTCTCCAGTCTCTTACTTCTTTGATGAATATTCTTTTGAATATGTCTATTTTAACTACTTCTCCTGCATTTGTGGGGTGCCCCGGTACACCCAGGGCACTGGAGGAGGCTGCAGGGACCAAGCGGATCATCGTGTGTGAACAAATGCCCAGCTCTCAAGTAGCCAAGGCAGCCCCAGTGGGACCTGAAGGAGGTGTCACGTGAACCAGGCTACAGACGGGGTTCAAAGAGGAAGTGGGCAGGGCAGATGAATAAGATTAATTTCTGAAATTATCTTAACAAGTTCTTTTCTGATTATAAAGTAAAACATCCTCATTATAGGAAATTTGGAAAATACTGAACAGATGTGAAAATAAGTCACCTGGATCCCCCTCATCTGGAGGTAACCACTGTTGATGTTTAAAACATTTCCTGTCCGCCTATTTTCTAGATACGAAGGATTTCTAGTGGTCAAAGGGAAATGAAGGAAGGGAATCCAGGGAGGGTCCTCTCTCAGCAGAGAAGGAACTGCAGGGAGCACCAGACTGTTTCAGAACACACAGAGAGGAGGTCAGACGCAAGAGGAGACAGGAGGAGATCATGGCAGACTGGGCAAGGGGCAGGGATGGGGGCTGACAATGCAGGTGAGCCTGAGGGTGGCAGGGAAGGATTTGCCCCTAGATCAAGAGAGCAAAAGACCTGAGGAGTCTGGCTTGGAGATTTTAAAGGGATATCTAAGAACAAATTTCACCAGGACTTTGGAAGAGCAAACCTGGCATTCCAAAGGGAGGTTCCTTTTAAAAATACTAACTTGAGAGTTGTAAAAAGAGATGCGAGGCCTGAGTGTGGCTGAGACTGCTAAGAAAAAGTTGTGGCTTCGCAGCCAAGAGTACAGGCTTGAAAACAGCAAGATTTTATTCGAGTCCCAAAGATGCCACTTACCAACTGTGTAGGATTGAGTGATTGACTTATCTTCACTGCTTCTCAGCTTCTCTACTTGTAAAGCATGGGTGACACTAATACACCTGTGTCAGAGGGTCAGCGTAAGGATTACACAAGGTAATGCAGCCAACAGCCTGGAATGGCACCAGGCACCCAGAGGCACTCAGTAATGTTGAGAGAATACAGAATGAGAGCAAAGAAGGGGCTGAGGCCAGAGCTGTGGTGGAAGGTGCTAGAAGGAAGAGGTGCCATTAAAGGTCCCAGAAGAGAGCAGCCTTCTGGACAGGAAGAGTGGCCCCTGTGCAGAGCAGTGCCTCTGGGGTTCAGAGAACATGTGGCGACAGTGCCAAACACTACCTGGGCCAAGGAAGGGCTCCAGGCCTAGAAGGTCTCTGGTGAGTGGCAACTTCAGAGCTGTTGCCATGGTGATGTGGACAGAAGCCAAAAGCTAGAGGTCCAGGGATAATGGGAGATGAGGAAGTCCAGTGGGTGAATTTTGTAAGATCTTCAAGAAGTTTGGCAGTGAAAGGAAAGGGGGAAGTCCTAGCTCAAGGGAAAGGTTGTAGGGAAGAGAGAAAGAGGTGTTTTGTTTTGTTTTGTTTAGAGTGAAGGATATTTCAACATGTTTATAGACTGAAAAGAAAAAAAATCAATATAAGTTCTCAAAGAGAGGAAGTGACTAAGGATGTACTCCACCTCTCTTACACTTCAGTTTCTCATTTGAAAAATCAGAGTGAGAATAAAGGATCTCTGAGGCCCTGCTAGCTTTTTTAGCTCTTTCATCCATCCATCCATCCATCCATCCATCCATCCATCCATCCAACCATCCATCCATCTATCCATCCATCCATCCATCTATCCATCCACCCATCCATCCATCCATCCATCCACCCACCCATCCATCCATCCATCCATCCACCCATCCATCCATCCAGTATTTTAATACACACATTCTGTAGACCTCTGGCCTGGCCTAAGTGCTAAGACGGAGGCCATGGGCTGCAAGGAAGTAGGAAAGAAAAGTAGAAGCAAAGACTCCCTTCTCCAGGGGCCTGTGTTTAACAGGAACAGTAGAGAAGACAATCAGGCAATGACTTAACAACATCACAAAAGGACCTTGAAAGCCATGCCCTTGTAACCATTTGACATCACATTCTAGCACTTACCCAAACCCCTGCCTGCCTCATCCCTGGCTTGCTAACCCCCAGCCTTTGAGAACCTGCCCTTGTTGTGTTAATCCCCTGAGTTCCCCCATGCCCAGCATTGTGCTGGCCCATGTAAGCAATCAGATAATTAGTACTTACTATGTCCATACATCCAAGTATTTATTGAGCATCCACAATGTACCAGGCACTGGGAGAGGATACTGAGCAAAACAGAGCTCTGCCCCCTTAAATTGTTTAGTCTTGAACTGGATGGTTTTGGGAAGCAAGACACAAGAGTCAGATGTGAATTTAAAATTGCAGCTGTGACAAGAGGAAGCAAGGCTTTCCACAAGCAGGGGGATCTGAGAAGGCCTCTCAGAGGAAGTCATTTGGGATCTGAAAGGGGAGCAGAAGGTCACCAGGTGAACAGCACTCCAGGTGGGACAGGGGCTCCACCTGTGCAAAAGCAAAAGGGAAAAGAGAGGAAGAAAGAGAAGAAAAGAGGTGGAGAAAGAGGGAGGACAGGAGCCTGAAAGCAGGCAGTGTGGCTGGGAGGGGGAGGCTCTAGACTGAAGCAGAGGCTGGTAGGGCCTGATAGCCAAGATCAGGAGTGTACTTTATCCGAGAGTGGTAGGAAGCCGTGGGAGTAATTTAAACATGGAAGGGACATGATCAGTTTTTGTTTCAAAGACATCTCCTTGAAGAAATGAGGTGCAGGTCAGTCTGTGTAGTTTGAGCTTATCATACAATACGGTATGTCTGGGACTGGGATGGGGGCTGGTTTTCTTCCTCTACTTTAGATTTAGATATTTCTGCAATCTTTTCTTTTCTTTTCTTTTAAGAAGTGAGTGCCAGGTGCGGTTGCTCACACCTGTAATCCCAACACTTTGGGAGGCTGAGGCAGGTGGATCCTTTGAGCCCAGTAGTTCTGACCAGTCTGGGTAACATAGCAAAACCCCATCTCTACTAAAATTTTAAAAAACTAGCTTGGTGTGGTGGCACCTACCTATAGTCCCAGCTACTTGGGAGACTGAGGTGGGAGGATCACTTGAGCTGGAAGGCAGAGGTTGCAGTGAGCCAAGATTGCCTCACTGAACTCCAGCCTGGGCGACAGAGTGACGCCTTGTTTCGAAAACAAAAAAAAAAATAATAATAGGGTCTCTCACTATGTTGCCAACGCTGGGTTCTAACTCCTGGGCTCAAACAATCCCCCCACCTCAGCCTCCCAAGTAGCTGGGACTATAGTAGTGAACCACTGAGCCCAGCTTGTAATATTTTTTTTAACAGTAAACCTGTGTTGCTTTTATTAGAAAAAAATGATACTAAGAATTGGAAAATGACAGAACAGCTTGGGGAAGGGCAGGAGAGGAGACTAGAGAGCTCTGGCCAGCCCAGGGTGGTGCAAAACACCAAAACAGGCAGAGTGGGTGGAGCTGGGCATTGGAGCTTGAGGGTAAGCTGGGTTTGTCTGAGGGGCTCTGTCTTCCAGGAGCTCACCTTTTCAAAAGGTGTGAGGGAAGGAAGGAGGCTATAGGCCCAATAAGCAGTTGGCATTTCCTGACAATTGTTTCAAACACAAAGCCAGCAGGAGCTGCTCCCAGCGAGCCCCGCTTCTCCCCATAATCTAGCCTTGGGTAACAGGCTTCTCCCAGGAGATCACTGTTCTCAGTCCCTGGCAAGAGCTGGCCCCATGGGGAGTGCTTTGTTGATAGTGCCCAGTGCCCAGCAACCAGGCTGGGTTTGGGAAGGAGGCTGGAGTCTTCAGGAGGAAGGTCCTGCCCAAGATGGTGCAGAGGGTGAGTGAATGGGGGAGCCCAGGTGGGCCTTCCTTTAGCCCCAGCCCTTTAGGCTGCTCCAGAGGAGCCTTCGCCCCTTTCCCCAGAGCACAGGCTGATCTGTCAGCCAAGGAGTGGAAAGGAGAACATGGAGGTTCTTCCTGCCACTTGGATCCTACCCTGCTATGTGATCTTTGAGAAGTCACCAGGGTTGCCCACCCAAGGGTGCAGAGGCCAGAGATCCACGTGCTCCAACCCTGTTGGAGGTGGGAGTCTGTCAGGCTTTCTGCAAGTCTCACAGCTGTGTGTGGAGGGGAGACAAAGCATCCAGCAGCCTGGCTGGGGTTCTTCAGGTTTGGGCCCTCCTGGAAGAGGAGCCGGGCTCCTCATGGGAATTGCGCTCCTGGGGAGGGAGGAGGGCAGGAACACCTGGAAGGGCTGTTGGTTACCTCAGACCCCCAAACCTGGGAGCTACATCCCAGATCTCATATTTTGGAAATCAGGGGAAGATGGATGGGGAGTTTTAGAAGTCTGACAGTTCTAGTTTCACACCCAGATCTGCCTCAGTTTCCTCTTCTGGAAAATGGACATGATGCTGCCTCCATCTCCTAGCATGGCTATTGGGATTGAATGGGAAATCTTGGCAGAGAGCCAGGTGCATAGTTCTGCTCCCTCACCTCTGTAACCTATTTCCACCTCCCCACTCCCGCCCCGACTGCCCGTGTCCAGAAACCCAAATTCTGACCCAGCGGCCAGGGGCAGGCCCTGGGTGGGCCACTTCCCTCTCTGGGTTTCAGTTTCCTCTTTGTATGAAACTGGGAGCTCTGTGGAAAGGCCAAAGGCAGGAATAGTAATCATTTCTGATCTGCAAGCAGTTTTACCCTCACACGAGGTAAAGGCACAGCACAGGCTCGGTCATGGGCTGAAATGAAGATGTGCACCATAAAATCCCGGTGGCTGAATTAGTTGTGTCTTCCATGACAGCCAGTAGCAAAGGAAGGTTTCGGGCTTTCAGCCACACATGAAACGTCCTGGTTGCCTCGGCCTAGCCGAGATTAGACATTTCCTGGGAGGAGTGGTGGGTTAGTGGAGGGAGGTGGGGGTAGTTAGGGGAGGTGGGGGTAGTTAGGGAAGCTGGAGAGGGTCATCTGGGAGGAGGGGGCTAGGCCCCAGAGAGATGGCTGAGGAGTAACCCCTGAGCTGTTTTCCTCATCTTCACTCTGTAGAAACCTACTTTCAACAGAATATTAGCACAAATGCAAAAGGATATATGCAAGAGCAAGACTAGCACAGGATTGCCTGTCTTGGTAAAATGGAAGGCAACCCACAAAAACATACACAGCACACTGCCAAAGATATCTAGAGCAAACTGGAATGTGGCCCATGGTACATTATTGTATGAAAAAACAAGTCACAGAATTGAAAGTACAGTGTGATCTTATTTTATTACTATATATGCATTATATTCATATACTGTAACTGAATGTAATACTTGAACTAATTCTACACACACACACACACACACACACACACACACATTTATTTTATTTTTATTTTTTTGAGACAGGTTCTCACTCTGTCTCCCAGGCTGGAGTGCAGTGGCGCGATCTCGGCTCACTGCAACCTCCACCTCCCAGGCTCAAGCCATCCTCCCACCTCAGCCTTCTGAGAAGCTGGGACTACAGGTGTGTGCCACCATGCCCAGTTGATTTTTATAGGTTTAGTAGAGACAAGGTTTCACCATGTTTCCCAAGCTGGTCTAGAACTCTTGGGCTCAAGTGATCCACCTGCCTCGGCCTCCCAAAGTGCTGTGATGACAGGTGTGAGCCATGGCGCACGGTCCCCCATGCACATTTAAAGCATGGAAAATAAAATCCTGGAAGGACACATGGCAAACTGTTAACAGCATTTACCTCTAAGGTAGAAAAAAGATCTTAAATTTTTTCTTTTATACTTCTGCACTGTTTGAATCTCTTAAAATTAGCACATACTATATATGATGAACACCCCCTCCCAAATAAATATGAAAGGGGCTGGAAGGGGTCAGGTGGTCAACTCTCTCCAAGGTGCAACCAGAGGTAGCTGAGACTAACATGACATAGGTCCCTGTTGGAGGACGATGTCCCCAGTAAACCCAAATTAATTGAGTGACACCATAAAAAAACAGAATAGGGAGGAGTGGGGAAGACCAGTCCCTTTCCTTGTGTCCAGGGATCCCACCCATCTACACCTCCATCCTCCAGTGCCTGGCTAAGGCCCTCCTTAGTGCCCGGGCACAGACTGTGCTCTTCGGAGATGGCTCAAGTGGGCTGTGTGCTTAGGGAGATGGGGCACATGACTGTTAACTACTTTAAAAGTCCTCAATGGGTTTTTTGTTGTTTCTGTTTTTGAGATGGAGTTTTGCTCTTGTTGCCCAGGCTGGAGTGCAATGGCGTGACCTCAGCAACCTGCAACGTCCGCCTCCCAGATTCAAGGGATTCTCCTACCTCAGCCTCCCAAGTAGCTGGGATTACAGGTGTCTGCCACCACACCCAGCTAATTTTTTGTATTTTTAGTAGAGATGGGGTTTCACCATGTTGGTCAGGCTGGTCTCGAACTTCTGACCTCAGGTGATCCACCCTCCTCGGCCTCCCAAAGTGTTGAAATTACAGGCGTGAGCCACCGTGCCCGACCCTGAATGTTTCTGAAGCATGCTGTTTCTTCATTCTGGAATATTCACTAAAAGAGCCCCTACGAATAATTAACCCAGTAGTAATAATAATGCCCACCATTTGTCATTCTTTCTATGTGCTCTGTACATTACACGTGCATCTCAGTTTATCCCAATCAGTAGGCGGTTCCATCCTTCAATTTCATTTTACAAATGAAGAAACCAAAGCTCACAGGGGACATGTAACTTGCCGAAGTTCACATAGCCACAGAGGGCAGAAGCTGAATTCAAACCACTCACTCTGACTCAGCATCCACCTCAGAGCAGCCATTCAGTGGCCTCTTGTGACACATAAAGCAAGAAGATACCAGTGAGTTTTTGGACCATGTCTTCTTGGTAAAGTTACCATTAGTCTGACCACAGATGTTTCTCAAGAAGCAGTGAAGGGGTTGGTTTGGTGATGTCAGTGGCCGGGGTCAGATGAACCAAACCATTGCTAGGCTGTGATGTCTGAGGCTGCCCACGAACTGGTTATTGCCCAGATTTAAAAGAAAGGTGGAAAAAATTATCCTAGTCTACCATATGGCTCAGCCAGCCATAGTGTTTACATAGTCAGAAAAGGTCAACACAGAATAGCGATATAATCAAAATTACCCTCTACGGTGTGGCTGTATTGGGAAGAGAGAGGCGGGGGTGGGTGTGAGGCAACAGGAGCTAAAAGAACTCCTGGTCTCCCAGGGCAGGAAATCAAGAAAAAACTCCTAAAACTACACAGATCAAGAAGAAACTATGTGAGATGTTATTTAGAGACATGAAAGTGAACATTCCAAAGAATCCGTTTCAAGAGTCGAAAGTGGCCACCCTGGAGATGGGTCAGGGCTGCAGTTGTTCATGACTAACTTTGTACATTTCTGAGAAATCTATGCTTATGTGTAACTTCTCTTAAAATAAAAAATTTAATAAAATCCAAAGCAAAAACAAACAGAGCAATTCTGGCCCCATTTGGGGAGGGAGTGGGCTGTGATTACGAGAATGAGGGCCCAGCGGGTGGGGATTCCTCTGTCAGGCATGCAACGGGAAGCTGGTGGGGTCTTGGCAAGGCTTTGGTGGAGAGACGTCATTGGAATGGTGACCTCATTTGGAACCGGTGAGGGCAGGAGAAGGTAGAAGGGTTAAAAAGAAGAAGAACCACCAAAGGAGAAGAAAAGGAAGCCTGGTCATTCTACAGCCAAGGTCATACTCCCAGGAGACCTACGGCCTTTTGTCGGGGTTACACAAATGTAAAACAAAGGTGTGGTCTCTCCACTAAATGGGGAAGTTTCCACCAGGAGGCCAGTGTGTCATTGAGTAATGTGAATAGTGGAACCCATCCCCAGCTAGTCAGGCCCACACATTCCATACCAGGACCCACGGGCCTCGGGGGTAGAGGCAGGAAGGTAGCATTTGTCTATTGTGAGAACAAGCAGCTTATGTAGACATCAAAGGTCTCAGGATAGCGTATATTCTTCCAGATCTGTGAGGCCCAAACACACACACATGGAGGAGGATCCCAGGGTCTCAGCCCCTCCCCAGATTCTCAAGACTCAGGCCTTGTCCCCTCTCCCATGGGGGTCCTATTGAAAGGAATCCAGAGACCCTGGGAGAATCTGAGTAGGAAGAGGGAACTGGACTTACTGCCATAGGCCCAGGCCTGGGTCAGGACTGTGTCTCTCTGGAAAAGCCACTCTCTTGGGAACTGAGAAAGCCCAGAGCTTGGGCCCAGAGCAGCCCAGGCCTTGACTGGCCTGCCTGTTCCGTCCTCCTGTCTTCTCCAGGAAGCATTTTCTCCTTCCTTCCTTCCTTTCTTTCTTTCTTTCTTTCTTTCTTTCTTTCTTTCTTTCTTTCTTTCTTTCTTTCTTTCTTTCTTTCTTTTTTCCTTCCTTCCTTTCTTTCTTTCTCTTTCTTTCTTTCTTTCTTTCTTTCTTTCTTTCTTTCTTTCTTTCTTTCTTTCCTTTCTTTCTTCCTTCCTTCCTTTCTTTCTTTCTTTCTTTCTTTCTTTCTTTCTTTTCTTTCTTTCTTTTTCTTTCTTTCTCTTTCTCTCTCTCTTTCTTTCTCTCTCTTTCTTTTTTCTCTTTTCTTTTTTTTTTTTTGAGACAGAGTTTTGCTCTGTCACCCAGGCTAGAGTTCAGTGGTGCAATCTTGGCTCACTGCAACCTCTGCCTCCTGGGTTCAAGCGGTTCTCCTGCCTCAGCCTCCCGAGGAGCTAGTATTACAGGCATGTGCCACTGCGCTTGGCAAATTTTTGTATTTTTTAGTAGAGACAGAGTTTCAGCATGTTGGCCAGGCTGGTCTTGAACTCCTGACTTGAGGTGATCTGTCCACCTCAGCCTCCCAAAGTGCTGGGATTACAGGTGTGAGCCACTGCACCCAGCCCAGGAAGCATTTTCTCGATGAGCTCACCAACTCACACCCTGCCTTTACATAACTAGTGTCTCAGTGTTCTGACCTCCAGATATTTGGTCTATAGAGGACACCTCAGCCTGTCTGAGGAAAGACTGATTTGGTGGGGACAGGCCCAGCCCTTAGTGTTATAGGCCTGAGTTTGAACCCCAGTTTTTCACCTGCTAGTTGTGTGGATGCTTTGTTTTTGTTTTTGTTTTGTTTTGTTTTTGAGACAGGGTCTTGTTCTGTCACCCAGGCTGGAGTGTACTGGCAGGATCATGGCTCACTGCAGCCTCAGCCTCCTGGGCTCAAGCAATCCTCCCACCTCAGCCTCCCAGGTAGCTGGGATGACAGGTGCATGCCACCACGTTTGCCTAATTGTTGTATTTTTTTATAGAGACAGGGTGTCACCATGTTGCCCAGGCTGGTCTTGAACTCCTGGGCTCAAGCATTCCTCCTGCCTTGGCCTCCCAAAGTGTTAGGATTATAGGCATGAGCCATGGTGCCTCACCTGTGTGGACTCTTTGAGGCCCAATTTCCTCATCTGAGAACGTTAGGATGAAAACTCACTCCCAAGAGTTGCGAGGCTCAAAAGTGCTACCCTGGGTTAAGCACTGGCCCAAAGTGGAACTGGATTGGAAGAATGGTTAAGACTCAGGCTAGGATGGGGTTGGAGGGAGGCAGGGCCTTGGCAGCCCTCTCCCTTGCAGCAGTGATTTTTATTAAGGCAGGAACTGGACTGGACACACTCAGACAATCACCTTCATGCTGGAGATGTGGCTGGCGCTGGCAAAACCTCTGTGAGATGCTGACTCAGGACAGGTGCCGCTGAGGCCCTTTAGGAAACAGAATTCCACCCATTAGAACCCCTTCAAATGGGGAAGCAGCTAAGTTTGTAGTCCCGCTTCAGGTAGGTTTGGAGGGGTTTCTCATTCTCTCTCAATTTGAGTTCAGATGCAGATGCCTCCTGGGAACTGAAACCCCTCCTATGCTTGGCCTGTATCTTGTTTGGATGCTGCTGTGTCTTGTAGCCATGCCACTGGGGTCACCAGCCAGGGCACATCATTGTCACACAGCCTCCAGCTTCCCAATTCTGACCCTTACCTGCAAAGCCCTCCCTCTGTCCCCTGGGGCTCACCAACACTGTTTCCCATCTCCCTTTTTCTTTCATCTTCACCACAGCCTGGGACAGATGTCAGGGAGGGATAATTATCTACATTTTAGAGAGGAACAAACTGATCCAGAGAAGTAGAGTGACTCACTGTTCTTGCCTGGCTGGATCTAGTCATCTCCTAACCCAGCTACCATCTCTCTAATCCACCCAGCCCTGTCACCTGTCACCAGGGTTACCTTCTTAAAGCCAATGCCCCATTCAGACTTCTGGCTATTTTCCAGTGAGCACCCAGTAAAGAGTCCCCAGCTGCCCTCTCCTGCGTCATCACTCCCGTGTCCCTTTCTACACCCCATGCTGTGACCACATCAGCCCACTCACTCTTCCTACTATATGTTCTCCCCATCTCAGTGGCTCCCCTCATGCTGCATTCTCTGCCTGGTATTCTCTCCCTTCCCTCCCTTCCTTCTCTGAATGTCAAAGTTGAATTCCTCCACCAGGGTCCAGCTCAAATGTTACCGCCTGCTTTGGAGCCTCCCCCGCCAGTCCCCAGTAAGCATGAATCTCTTCTTTCTCTGCACTCGCTGAGTGCTTGGCTTTTACCTGCCCTGGTGCATCGATTTCATTCCACCTGGAGCTAGCGGTGTTTTGCACCATTTGCCTCCCCCAGGGTCTGTAAGCAACTTCAGACCCAGAACCCCAACTTAGTCATTGTGTTCTATGACCTTGGCAAGTAACTTGACCTTTTCTGGGCTATAAAATGGGGATGACAGCAGCTTTACCAGGGTAGGATAAGGATTGAACAAATCACCAAGGTCAGTGCTTGGTGAATGATGGGGGACGATGATTGTGAAGCCAGTCAGAGCCAGCTGTGGCTGAGTCTTCTGAGCCCAGAAACTTGTTTCTGTTCACTTCCTTCCTTCCCCAAAAAGGCATTAAACCCACCTGAGGAAATTAGACTGCTGTGATTTTGTTTGTTTATTTGTTTTTGAGACAGAGTCTTGCTTTGTCACCCAGGCTGGAGTGCAGTGGCGTGATCTTGGCTCACTGCAACCTCTGCCTTCTGGGTTGAAGCAGTTCTCCTTCCTCAGCCTCCTGAGTAGCTGGGATTACAGGTGCTTATCACTACACTCGGCTAATTTTTATTTTTTTAGTAGAGACAGGGTTTTACCATAGTGCCCAGGCTGCTTTTGAACTTGTGACTTCAAGTGATCCACCCACTTCGGCTTCCCAAAGTACTAGGATTACAGGCGTAAACCACCACGCCCAGCCTAGACTATTGTGATTCTTAAAGGCAGCTACACACTAGAATCATCGGCGAGCTGTTGCATCAGAATCCCTTGAGGAACTGGCTGAAAATTTAGATTACTGGGCCTTACCCTGGACCTTCTAAATCAGATTTCCAGGGTGGAGCCCAGGAACCTGCATTTTTAACAAGCTTCCTAGGGGATTCTGCTGCAACAGTTCTGGCCACACTGGGCCATAGGAAAGACAGAGGGTAGCTGGGGTGGGACATGATGATCACACCTTCCCCTTTGCTTAGGTGATCGTGGAAGTGGCTTTGGGGGATAACAGTGCCCACAGCCAGCCACCAGTACTCTTCATCTAGCTCCTCTTTGAGCCCTAGTCCAAGGCTAGGGTAACAGGGCTGGTCAGTAGCCAGACTTGGTTACTAGATTCGCAACTGGCAAAGCACCTGACCCAGTCTGGGTGCTCGGCAAATATTTGTGGAACCAACTGAATTCCCCTGGGGCTGGCTCTGGCAGGGGACCTGTGACCTAGCCTGCTGGGCTAGACCCTAGCCCCTGCTCCTCCTTCTGGGCCTGGCTGCCTCCCCAAGGAGCCAGCAGGGAGAGGTTTGACTGGTTCCATGGGGAGGAAACCACTGCGGCTCAGCCCAGGGAGCCGCACCCTGAGGAAGGAGAGCTGGGGCAGGAGTAAACATCTGGAGACCCCGTCCTCCCACCAGCAGTAGAGGAGGACCTCCGTCAGCAAGGATCTACTGAGCTGAGACCCAGTGAGCTGAGTCTTAGTGCTCACTCAGGGCTTCTCAATCCCAGCTGCACATAGAATATTGGAAAATATTCAGAAAGTACCACTCTTGGGCCCACCTCCAACCAATGGAATCAGAATCTCTGGGATGATGCCTGAGAATTGATACATCTGGAAAGCAGCACGAGCGATTCTGTTGTATGGCTAGAACTGAAAAACTGCCCGGCCAGCTGGCCTTTCTTTTACTCTCCTTTTGCCCCCCAATGCTTTGTAGTCTGACGTTGCTCAGAAATTTAACAGTAAAAAATCACAGCTCATAACTGGTGAGCCCTTCTGTGTGCCAGGGCCACACTGGTTACTGCAGATAGAGCAGTGAATGTGCCCCTGCCTTCACAGAAGCCACTCGCAGAGAAGACTAGCAGAGAAGGCAGGCTAGCAAACAAAGCATCAGAATAGAGTGTTCTGGGGGTGTCCAAGAGGAGCCCCCACTTCAGAGCCTGAGGGTTGGTAGGGATGAGGGGAGGCTTTCTGGAGGAAGTGGAGCCTAGGTGGAGGTCTGAGGACAGGTAGAACGGGTAGAGGTAAGCCTGGGGAAGGTGAGGTGGGAGGAGTGAGGAAGGCAGACGGAACAGCCTGTGCTAGCAAGAAGAGCCCCAAGCAAGAAGGAGCTCGATTCACGTTCAGATCTCAGATCGGCTGCAGTGTGGATGGAGGGATTCCCACAGGAGGGATTAGACCTGGGAAAGGGGACAGGGCTAGATCGCACAGAGGTCTGTATGCCAGTAAGGCAATTTTGATCCTAAAAATAAGAAGCCAGTGATGGATTTAGAAGATGGGAGAGTAGAGATGGACAAGAGTGGAGCTGTGTTTCCTCTGCGGCTAGGTGCAAAATGGATTGGAGAAGGGAAAGTGGAGGCAGGAGACCAGCCAGGAGGAGAGCTGTCTGGCCTGGGAGACGAGGGCCACCTGGCTCAGGTGGCAATGAAAGGGTGCAGACAAATTGAGGCGCTACAGAGGAAGTGGCTTTAACAGGGCTTAGTGACTCACAGGAGAAGGGACAGGCAGGAGTGCCCAGTATTATGGGCTGAACTGTACACCCCCAGAATTCACTTTTTGAAGCCCTAACCCCCAGTGCCCCAAATGTGATGGTATTTGGATATATTAGTTTGGTGCAAAAGTAATTGCGGATCTTGCCATTACTTTCAATTACTTTTGCACCATAATAGAAGCTTTGAAGAGGTGATTAAATTAAAACAAGGCTGTTACAGTGGACCTTAATCCAATCTGACTAGTGTCTTTATAAGAAGAGGAATTATTATTTTTTTTTTTTGAGATGTAGTTTCCCTCTTGTTGCCCAGGCTGGAGTGCAGTGGTACAATCTCAGCTCACTGCAACCTCTGCCTCCTAGTCCAAGCGAGTTTCCTGCCTCAGCTAGGATTACAGCCGCCCACCACCATACTCGGCTAATTTTTGTATTTTTAGTAGAGACGGGGTTTCACCATGTCAGCCAGGCTGGTCTCCAACTCCTGACCTCAGGTGATCCACCTGCCTCGGCCTCCCAAAGTGTGGAATTACAGGTGTGAGCCACCATGCCCAGCTGAAGAGGAAATTTGGACACACAGAGAGACATCAGGGGTGCACATGCACAGAGGAAAGGCCATGTGAGGATGTGAGGACACAGCCAGACATTTGCAAGCCAAGAAGAGAGGCCTCAGGAGAAAGCAACCCTACCAACACATTGATCTTGGACTTCCAGCCTCCAGAACAGTGAGAAATACATTTCTGTTGTTTAGACCACCAGTCTGTGGTGTTTGTTACAGCAGCCCTAGCTGACTGATACACCCAGGATGAAGCTGAGGTTTCTAGTTTGCACAGCCAGGTGTGTGGGTACCATGTATTGAAGGGGGAGTGATATAGTTTGGATCTGTGTCCCTGCCCAAATCTCATGTTGAATTGTAATACCCAGTATTGGAGGGAGTGATGGGATCATGGGGGTGAATTTCTCATGAATGGTTTAGCACCATCCCCTTGGTGCCGCCTTCATGGTAGTGAGTGTGTTCTCAGGAGATCTGGTCCCTTAAAATTGTGTAGCACCTCCCCGCCCCCCGACTCCTACTTGTGCCACATGATGTGCAAGCTCCTGCTTTGCCTTCCACCATGATTGGAAGCTTCCTGAGGCCTCCCCAGAAGCAGATGCCAGTGTTATGCTTCCTGTACAGCCTACAGAACCATGAGCCAATTAAACCTCTTTTCTTTGTAAATTATCCAGTCTCAGGTATTTCTTTATAGCAATGCGAGAATGGCCTAATACAGGGCAGATGAGAGGTTGAGTTTGAAACCTGTTGTGTTAGAGGGGCTCAGTCACCAGTTGCACTGGCCACAGCTGCTCCTCTCCTGATGGCACAGAAAGGCAGCCACGTAGGTAGGGGATGGGAACGGGAGGTCTGGAGACCACGCTCTAGGTTTACCTGCACACTGTGTGGCATCGGAAAAGCCCTGCACCTGCTCGGGGGCCCTCCTGTAGCAGGACCGATTGGTCTTCCAGGTCCCAACAGGCCGGGCCTCCGAGGCCTATTCCCAGCAAGGTGCTCCTGGAACGACTTCAGCACCTCTCCAGGGAAGGTGCTGTTGTTCTTGGTTCTCCCATCCAGGATGTTAACCAGGAAGGGGGCCAGTGCCCCAGGAGGCCATGAAGTGCAAACAACTCTGAGTTGGCAGCAGTGCCCTGTTCCGCCCGCAGAGCCTCCCTGCAGGAAGTTGGCTCCAATAGGTCCCCAGACACCCTCACCTCAGACCCAGGAGGCCCAGAGAGGAGCTCCCGGTGCCAGGGCTCAGAGAGAGCTGGCCCTACCAAGGCCTGTGCCTGCTCCTTCAAACACTTGGGCTTTCCCTCCTCGTCTCACACTCCAACATGCCCGACAGATAGGACTGATAGATTCAGGGGGAAAAAACAAACAAACAAACAGGATGCCCAGTTAAATTTGAATTTCAGATAAACACCAAATAGTTTTTAATATAAGTATTTTCCTTGTAATATTTGGGACATGCTTATTCTAAAAAAGTATTTGGTGTTTATCTGAAATTCAAATTTAACAAGGGTGTCCTATATTTTATCTGGCATTCCTACCCAGAAAAGACCCCAGGAGTCATCCAGTGATCCCCAAAGAGGAATGGGGTGGTTCCTCTGCCCCCCAACTCAACCCACTTGCTTCAGCCAGAGGCTGATGACAACTTGTCATTTCCCAAATCCTTGTCAAGCTGCTCACCAGATGTTAGGGCTGGCTTTGGTGCCAAGGTATCTTTGGAAAGGTGTTGTGTCTAATTAACCTAATAAGTAGGTTGTAAGCTCTGACCGGAAGTGGTGGAGGATTCACCCTGACAGATGGGGAGGAGTGGGTCATGCCTGTTGCAGGCACCTGCCCACAAGCTGCCGGCTGTGGCCTGCGGAAGGGCTAATGGGAGGCTTCAGCTTCACATGAGACACAGGGCAAGCAGAAGTTACACAACATCATATTACCAGTGACAATAGCTGCCATTTATAGAGCCCTTACTATGCCAAGCATGGATCAAGCATTATCTCATTTAATCCTTACAACAATTCTAGCAGGCAGAAGCTGTTATTATCCCCATTTAATAGATGATCAAACTGAGGCCAAGAGGCTGAGTAACTTGCCCAAGTTCACATAGCTAGAAAGGGATAGAGACAGGAATTAAAACCCAGTACTTCAGACTCTGGACTCTGTGCTTCTAGCCACTGTCCCCTCCGTCCTTTCCCCCAACCCCAAATCGTTTTCAAGACATTTGGTGAATGACATATACAGTACACGGAGAGATACAAGGAAATACCATTTATGATTCCATCAATGTTGATCAAGCATTTTCTGTATGTGAGACATTCTCCCTTTCCTCTGACCTCACGGACATCATAGTCTGGTAGGAGACACAGATATCAATAAATTATTGTATGAGAAACAGAACAAAAACAGTTCAATGAAATATAATTGCTATTAAGGAAATATAATTGCTATTAAGGATACTGCTGTTAGGGAAGGCAATAGACTTGGTGATCAAGAGCCTGGGCCCTAGGGCCAGGCTGCTTGGACACAGTCTCCCTTTACTAGGTATGTGACTTTGGCTGGATTTCTTAGTTTATTTCTGCCTCAGTCTGCAAAATGGGTGCAATATTACTCACCTCACAATGTTGTAACAATTAATTAAACCGATCCTTGAAAGGCACTTAGATAGTATCTAACAGTAATTACTTTAGTCAACAAATACTTACTGAGAACCTGCAATATGCCAAGCACTGCTCTAGGTTATTGGGATCCATTGGCAAACAAAATGGAAAAAATATCTACCCTTGTAGGGTTTATATTGTTGCTTACATTCTAGTGATAGCCATTATTGTTATTATTATTATTATTATACATTTTCACTGCTCCTTGTGGAGCAGGGCTACCCTATAAGCAGTGAGCCCAGAGTAACCAAGCCATTATTTTAAAATGAATTCTTATTATGTAAATAATGTTAGTTCATATTTTAAAATTATTATTAATTTTTTTATTTATTCTTTTTTTTAGAAACAGGGTCTCACTCTGTTACCCAGGCTGTAGTGCAGTGGCGCAGTCATAGCTCACTGCAACCTTGAACTTCTGGGCTCACATGATCCTCCTGCCTCAACCTCCCAAGTAGCTGGAACTACAGGCATGTGACACCATGCCTAGCTAGTTTATTTTATTTATTTATTTTTTTGTAGAGATGGGATCTTGCCATGTTGCCCAGGCTGGTAAAATTGTTATTTTTAAGTGATTTGTTATTATTTAATAATTTTTTCTTGGCCTTAAGAGGGCACAAAACAGGAAGATATTTCACCCTCTGGGTTGGCACAAGAATATTTCCTATGGTTTTAAATTCCCACTGGGTTTGGGGATGGGAGTTGATACTACTGATAGCTGACCAGCTTTGAGGCAGAATGGGTTAAAAACTTGGGAGTGGGCCGGGCACAGTGGCTCACGCCTATGATCCCAGCACTTTGGGAGGCCGAGGTGGGTGGATTACCTGAGGTCAGGAGTTCGAGACCAGCTTGGCCAACATGGGGAAACCCTATCTCTACTAAAAACACAAAAATTAGCCGGGTGTGATGGCATGCACCTGTAGTCCCAGCTACTTGGGAGGGAGGCTGAGGAAAGAGAGTTGCTTGAACTCGGGAGGTGGAGGTTGCGGTGAGCTGAGATTGTGCCATGGCATTCCAGGTTGGGCAACAGAGTGAGTCTCCGTCCCCCCACAAAAAAAATTGGGAGTGGACCGAGGAACCATAGGAAGGAGTGTAGGGGGTCTGCCAGGCTGGGGCTGAGAGGATGGTGCCTGTCTTTTTCTGAGAATCCTTTGTGAAAGTCTGATTCCAAGAGAAAGCCTGGCCCTGGGCAGGTGGCTAAAGTTCACAAAGGCTAACATGGAGAGTGAACCTGGCACTGGGGCAGGGAGGGAGGCGGTCAGCGGCGGCTTCTGACAGCCCTGACTAACTGCCAAAAACAGGGTTTCAGCTGCGAACCAATGACACCCCAGAGCCCCAAAGACTTCTAGGAACTTTACCCTCCCCACTCCCAGCTTGCCCCAGCCCTGGTCCACACCTGTTCATTAGAAAATGACTTTTAAAAAATTTACTTATTTACTTTATACAGATGGGGTCTCACTATATTGCCCAGGCTGGTCAGAAACTCCTGGGCTCAAGTGATCCTCCCGCCCCGGCCTCCCAAAGTTCTGGGATTGCAGTTGTGAGTCACTGTACCCAGCTGAGAAAATGACTTTTTATTTTCTTTATAAGAGATGGGGTCTTGATATGTTGCCCAGGCTGCTTTTGAATTCCTGGGTTCAAGCAATCCTCCCACCTCGGCCTCTCAAAGTGCTAGGATGACAGGTGTGAGCCACCATGCCTGGCTGAGAAAGTGAGTTTTCATTTGTCACTTGTCATGCTGCCTGCCTGCCTGCTTCAGAGGGTGGGAGGGACGGGGGATCCATGGGAAAACTGAAGCTCTTGTGAAGATTACAGAGGAGGCCTGATTGGGGAAAGGAAGGTGCCCTCCCAGGAATGCCTGGGAGACCCCGAGAGTAGGTGCTGTGTTCTCACGTTCTCATTGTCCTGAGAGACCAAGCCTCTGGCTGAATGCAGAGGAAGGTGATGCATCCAGCTGGGTGCCCCCTCCCCCAGCCCCCATGCAAGGTGTTGGGGCTCACGGTACTTCAGGGTGTTCAGTTTGTAGTCAACAAGGGATAGGGGGACCTGAGGGTTGATTTTGTTCAGCAAGATACACAGTTTAAACTTTCAGCTAACGGAAGGTATTTTTGGTTTAGGGGAACAGGGATGAATTCTGGGCCACCTGCACATGTGTAAGTACAGCCATGAGCCTGCACCCATGAGGGCACGTCTGCTGTGCGTGTCTGGATGCCTGTGTGTCTGCTCTCCATCTCTGGGTAGATTCACATATGAATACATATGTGAATACGGTTTGTGTGTCTGTTTGGATGGGCAGGAAAGAACTTAATCAAATGAGTCAGGAAATGAGGATTCCCTGGGGTCTGCTCCCAGCTGGGCCTCTCATGCAGTGGGGCCTTTGATCTGTCCCTTCTGCTCTCCGGGCCTCCCCTGCCACACAGCCTGTTGCCCAAGCTATACTGGCTGATGCTAGTGCCCCTGAACGGGCTGGGTTCTTGGTGCCTCAGCCTGGCATGGGGAGAAGATCTGGGACTCAGGGAGCCTCCGAGGGTTGGCAGCAGGGTCCTGGGATGCACCCCATGACTGGCTAATTGGTCCCTTAGCACCGAGCTCAGGTACCGTCGCCCTGGTGCTGCTGCGCCTGCTCCCTGCCATGCCCTTCCAACTGGGCTGCACCGGGGACAGGAGGAGGAGCACCCAACAACCCTTCGGCCCACCCCTGCACAACCAGGCCCAGCGATAAATTAGCATGTAGTGCCCAGGCTGGCCCCAAGCTACTCTGGCCACTTCCTGTTGGAGGTGGCCCCAGGCTCCCTGACCTCAAGGTGAGAAAATGCTGTTTCCAATGAACCTGCCCAGGATGACTGTTAACAGGGAGGAGGTCAAGGGCGGTGGCCATCCCTGAATCCAGTCAGCCCAACAGGGTCTACAAAAACAAACAAAACGTCCATGCCACCCACCCAGCTGGGCTCAGGCTTCCTCTGCCCCCATCTCTCCCTCTCATTTCTGTCGCCAGCTGTCCTATTGGAAAAACACTAGGGCAATGCTGACCAATGGAACTTTCTGCAATGATGGAAATATTCTCTATTTGTGCTGTCCAATATGGTGGACACCAGCCACATGTGGCTATTGAGTACTTGAAATGTGGCTCATGAGAATGAAGACTTGTGTTTTTTGGTTTTTGTTTGGTTTTTGTTTTTTGTTTTTTTGTTTTGTTTTGTTTGTTGTTGTTGTTTTTGAGATGGAGTCTTGCTCTGTCACCCAGGCTGGAGTGCAGTGACGTGATCTCGCCTCACTGCAACCTCTGCCTCCCAGGTTCAACTGATTCTCCTACCTCAGCTTCCCGAATACAGGCATGTACCTGGGACTACAGGCATACACCATCATGCCCGGCTAATTTTTGTATTTTTAGGGAGACAGGGTTTCACCATGTTGGCCAGGCTGGTCTTGAACTCCTGATCCTGACCTCAGGTGATCCTTGGCCTCTCAAAGTTCTGGGATTATAGGCATGAGCCACCGCACCCAGCCTAGACTTGTGTTTTAATTTTAATTTTATTTTGGACAGCATAGCTCTAGTGAACCAATTCCTACTGAGAGGACCAAAAATGGTGTCATCATTGAGATGATCACACTTGATCCTATACCAGTGGCAAAGTTCTTTCATGTCTGTGGGTACTCACTGGAGCCTCCCAGTAACTCTCTAGGCCAAGGCAGGAACCACTGCACATGGGACAAGCTACTTGCCCAAGGTCTTCCAGCCAGCAGGTGCAAGGGCTAAGACTAGAGCCCAGATCTTCTGATTCTAGAAGTGAGGCTTGTGCTGAGCATGGTGGCTCATGCCTGTAATCCCAGAACTTTGGGAGGCTGGGACGGGAGGATCCCTTGATCCCAGGAATTTAAGACAAGCCTGGGCAACATGGTGAGACCCCATCTCTACAAAAAGAGTAAAGTAAAAAAATTAGCCAGGTGTGGTGGTACATGTCTGTAGTCCCAGCTACTCTGGAGGCTGAGATGGGAGGATTGCTTGAACCCAGGAAGTCAAGGCTACAGTGATCCCTGATCATGCCACGGCACTCCAGCCTGGGAGACAGAGAGAGATCCTGTGTCCAAAAAAAAAAAAAGAAGTGCAGCTTACTACATCACCAGCCTCGCTCCAGCAGACCTGCTGTTGGGTGGAAGCATAACCAAAAACAATGACTGATGCCAGAATTTCAGGCTCAGGCTTGACCTGTGGAGAAAAGGTTTTTGAGGTGGACTATGGAGGGGGACATTGGAACCTAAAGTTGCTCACTCGATTTGTAGATAGAAGGGGTGAATGTGGCTATGTATGGGGACACATATGCCAGGCACTGTTAGGCTCTTTACAGATGTGATTTCATTTACCTTCACAAGGTGGGGCATTGTTCTCCCCACTTTATGGATAAGGAGATAGAGGCTCAGAGAGGTGACTTGAGTTGTCCAAGGTCATACAGCAAACAAGCGGCAGAGCTGGGCTTTGGACCAGGCACTTTGGCTCCAAAGGGTTTGCCTCCACTACCACCTCACTTGGGATGAAGGCCTGAACTAGAAGCTGATTTGTGTGCATCAGACAGCACTCTGAACTGGGCCTCCGCTACCTGCAGAACTCTCACTGAAGCTCTGCAAAGCAAAAGAACATGGCTCTCTAGGCCCCTTTCCCGGTGAACCTGCGGCCAGGGCTTGGGAAACAGACACTTGTTAGTAATTAACGGTGGCTGAACAGGCCGGGCGCGGTGGCTCACGCCTGTAATCCCAGCACTTTCGGAGACTGAGATGGGCGGATCACGAGGTCAGGAGATCGAGACCATCCTGGCTAACACGGTGAAACCCTGTCTCTACTAAAAATACAAAAAATTAGCCGGGCGTGTTGGCGGGCGCCTGTAGTCCCAGCTACTCGGGAGACTGAGGCAGGAGAATGGTGTGAACCGGAAGGTGGAGCTTGCAGTGAGCTGAGATCGCGCCACTGCACTCCAGCCTGGATGACACAGTGAGACTTTGTCTCAAAAAGAAAAAAAAAAAAGAACATGACTCTCTAGGCCCCTTCTCCCGTTGAACCTGCTGCCAGGGCTTGGGAAACAGACACATGTGAGTAATTAATGGTGGCTGAACAAAGAAAAGTGGCCAAAGTGGCCTGGGTGAGCCAGGCTGGGCCCGATCCACCTAGAAAAGCTTCCCTGAGGAGGAAAAAAAGCATCTCAGTCAGTAGTTCACCAGGGTTTCATGTTTTCATTCATTCAGGATCTCCAAGGTCAGTTTCCTTCCCAATTCCTGGTTCAAATATCTATTGCTGGCCAAGCATGGCAGCTCACACCTGTAATCCCAACACTTTGGGAGGCCAAGGCAGGAGGATCACTTGAGGCCAGGAGTTTGAATCCAGCCTGGGCAACATAGGGAGACCACCGTCTCTACTAAAAGTAAAAAAATAAAAGTAAAAACAGTTAGCTGGGTGTGACAGCACATGCCTGTACTCAGGAGGCTGGGATGGGAGGATTGCTTGAGCCCAGGAGTTCAAGGCTGCAGTGAGCTATGATTATGCATTATACTCCAGCCTAGGCAACAGAGGGAGACCCTATCTCTAAAAATATGAAAATAAAAATAAATCTATTGCTGAGTTAAAACAAAAACCCAAAACTTAGTGGCTTAAAATAATTATTTGTTCATGACTCTGCAGTGTGGACTCAGCTTGGAGGGGTCAGCTCTTCTCCGCTTATGTGGCAGTTTTTTTGCTTGCCTTGCTGGGGGTCACTCGTATGGCTGCACTCAGCAGGCTAGTGGCTGGCAGAGGCCTGGGCTCAGCTGGAAGACAGGGATCGCTAGGCTTCTCTTCCTAGCCATCAGGGCCACCCTCTCTCCACGTGGCCTCTCCAGCAAAGGAACTGGACTTTTTACCTGGAAGTTCAGGGCTCCTAAGATGCTCCAAGGCCTTAAGGAGCTCCTGAAAGAAAGAATACCAGTCCTTGGCTGGGCATGGTGGCTCATGCCTGTAATCCCAGCACTTTGGGAGGCTGAGGCGGGCAGATCACTAGGTCAGGAGATCGAGACCAGCCTGGCTAACATGGTGAAACCCCTTCTCTGCTAAAAATACAAAAGATTAGCCAGGCTTGGTGGCAGATGCCTGTAGTCCTGTAGTCCCAGCTACTCGGGAGGCTGAGGCAGGAGAATGGCGTGAACCTGGGAGGCGGAGCTTGCAGTGAGCGGAGATCGTGCCACTGCACTCCAGCCTGGGCAACAGAGGGAGACTCTGTCTAAAAAAAAAAAAGAAAGAAAGAAAGAAAGAATACCAGTCCTCGTCTCGCAGGACATTCAGAGGGTGCAGCGACAGAATGGAGGTGGAGCACTTCTCCCAGGGCCTGGCCACCACTGTGACACTCAGCTAGCTGTCACACCACTGTGTTTAAAACACTAGTCTCAGCCTCCACCACCCAGACAAGTGATAAAGCCCTAATTCTCTATGCATGACACTTCCGGTTTTATCTTTCAAAACTCCTCCCCTTTACACATCACTCTCTAGCCTAAGTGAAGGGAGCACCACGAAACGCACCACACCACTGTGCCTTCACACACTCTGCTCTTGTCCCCCAGTGTCCATCTGGCCAACATCATCTTCACTGGGGCTCCTCCTCCCCCAGCCCTCCTGACCCTTCCCCAGAGCTGGCTTTCTCAGCTTTGTCCTTGAGCTGTTCACAGATGACCTTGGCTCACCTGGATGGTGGAGACAGGCAGGACTTTTCTAAGAGGCCATACAAAGCAGCCCTGTGGGAAACGCGGCTGTGAGAATAACGGTGGATCCCAGTAGTCAAATACAAGGGCTCTGGAGCCAGGCTCTGCAGTTCAGAGCCCACTTTTTGGTACCTCCATTTTCTCATCTGTAAAATGAGATGAGAAAAATGCTGATTATAGTACTTACTTCCTAAGTGTGTTGTGAGGGTTAAATGAGACTATTACACGGAATGCACCTGTGTCTGATGCATGATGAATGCTCCCTAATTATTGCTCTTAACTGTTATCAAATATGTGCTCCTCCCGGGCCAGGCTTCTATTTTTTCCTTTTTTTTTTTTCTTTTTTTCTTTTTTCTTTTCTTTTCTTTTCTTTTTTTTTTTTTTTTTGAGATGGAGTCTCGCTCTGTCGCCCAGGCTGGAGTGCAGTGGCATGATCTCAGATCACTGCAACCTCCACCTGCTGGGTTCAAGAGATTTTCCTGCCTCAGCCTCCCGAGCAGTTGGGACTATAGGCGCCCACCACCATGCCCAGCTAATTTTTGTATTTTTAGTAGTGACAGGGTTTCACCATGTTGGCAGGCTGGTCTCGACCTCCTGACCTCAAATGATCCACCTACCTTGGCCTCCCAAAATGCTGGGATTACAGGCGTGAGCCACTGTGCCCGGCCAGGCCAAGCTTCTTTATGGACATGTGACTCTCTCCAGGAGCTGGGACTCTACCTCCACACTGGGGAACAAAGGCAGACCTGCTGTGACCTTTGTTGCACTCCTCCCTTCCTCTCTCAGCCCTGAGCCCTGGGCGGTCCTCCAACAGCCTTCAGGCTTTAGTGCCTTCCCAGCCCCACTGTGTGTTACAGGGAAGAAAGCACAGCAGATGGGGGGACAAAGTCAGTCCCTAAGGTCAGCTGGCAAGAAGAGACCAGCCTGGGTCTGGCACCCCACTTTTAGCTGGGCGCTGCTCTTCCATCCCTTCTAGGAGGCCTGGCAAGAAGCTACTGAATAGAGTTGGGTCAGCGATTCTTTCCAAAGTCTGCCTAGGAGCTTGGTACCAAGCTCGTACCCCTTGTCACAGAGCCCTGAGAACACATCAAGTTAGGGAGGGTCCACCTGAGAGTATGGGGTGGGCCAGTCTAATTAGACCAGCAGGCATTTTTGTTGTCCATTCCCTTCTTCGTTCCACAAAGACTTCCTGAGCACCTACTATGCGCCAGGCACTGTCCTAGACTCTGAGAATACAGACAGAGCAGGACTGGCAGAAGTGGACCCCGGGAGAAGTGTGTCTGTGCCTGTGAGTGGGCAGCCACTTTGTGGCCCAGACCCTAGGTGTCCTGTCTGGTGCCCTCCCTCACGTCTACCTGTGGCCAACGTAGTAAAACATAAGTGCTGGACTACGCAGGTGATGCCAGTCCTGATTCTGCCATTGCCTCCCCAAAAGGCAAGGTGGCTTGCCTCTCTGAGTCTCAGAGTCCTCATCTACAAAGTGGGAGTGCAGCTGGGAGGTCCCAGCAAGTAACACCTGCCAAGGACCCAGCACTGTGGCCAGTGCTTCCCAGCACACAACAAATGGTCTTCGTCCACCTTCTGCCTCATCTGCCATCACCACGGCCCCCACCTCCTCGGACTGGAGTCCTGCCCTTCTTTCTGGCTTCCTGGGGCTGGTCACAGCTTGACAATAGCCAAGCCGCCCCTGGTCCCAGATGATACTGGAGACCTTTCCTGTAAGCCATTTTCCCTCTGAAGCTGGAGTCACACAGGTCTTAAAGCCTCAGCTCAGAGAAAGAAGAGGGGGAGGTGACAGGGGCTATATATCAGAGGCCTGTCTCAGCTGTTGGCAGAGATTCCTTCCCAGCCAGGGACAGATGGCATCAGTCTCCTGGGGTCTGGATTGCCTGAGCTCCTGGGGTGGGTGCCAACACCAAGGGTGAGGAATTTGTGTGACCCTGTCACCTCCAGTCAGGGGACTCCCACACTCTTCTTCTTATAGCTGGGAACAAAGTGACAGGTCACTCTGAGGGGCAACTGATGACAGGCCCTTCTGTAACATTTATTTAGAACTGGCAGCCCCTCCTCCTTCCAAAAGGGCCTAAGGGAAAGCACTGACCATTTATGGAAGGCCTATTGTGTGCCCAGGCCTTTCTGCATTGACACTGCCATTGAGTCCCCACAAGAATGAGGAAACTGAGGCTCAGCAAGGTAAAGTAACTTCCTGACATCTGTCCACTAGTCCAAGGCAGAGGAGCATTAGAAAATGAGTTCCTTGACCAGGCATGGTGGTTCACGCCTGTATTCCCAGCACTTTAGGAGGCCAAGGCGGGTGGATCACTTGAGTACAGGAGTTTGAGATCAGCCTGGGCAACACAGTGAGACCGTCTCTACAAAAAATTTTTTTAAATTAACTAGGCATGGTGGTGCATGCCTGTGGTCCCAGCTACTCTGGAGGCTGAGATGGGAGGATTGCTTGTGCCTGGGAGGTTGAGGCTGCAGTGAGCTATGACTGCACTGCTTCACTCCAGCATGCCTGGGTGACAGAGTGAGACCTCATCTCTAAAAAAAGAAAAAAAAGGAAAATAAAGGAAGAAGGAAGGAAGGAAAGAAAAAAAGAAAGAAAGAAAGAGAAAGGACTTTCCTCTGTTATTTTTTAAAATGCAGATCAACAGGGCAAAAAGCATAAAAACAGACAATCATGCCTAGAGAGAGCAATAGTTCTTAACCTCCGGGAGAAGCTTTTAAGAATAGGATGTACATAATGCATTTATAATGCTGATAAGTGCACTAAGCATTTTCTAGAGGGATATATAAGAAACCATTAGTAGCACAAACCTTTAGGAAGAGAAACGGAAGTGGGGAGGGAGCAGTGAGAGAATTTTGCTTCTCATTTTGTGTCTTTCTAGAACATGAATTATTTTCCATATGCATTTAAAAAGTGAAAACAAGGGGTTATCTGGACAGTAGGATTATGGGCCATTTTAATTTTCTTCTTGACTCTTTTCTGAACTAAAAAAGAAAAATATGATTTTAAAAAAACCTTACGAAGCTAATGAAAGCTATGGACCTAATCCCAATAAAATTTTACAGATATATTAATTCATATAATTAACAACCCTTTATAGGAAAGATTGGAGGGAATGATTATACTTAAAAGCCAGGCTAAAACAAGATTTTCATGACTAGAAGGATACATTCCTCTGATATCTATATTGAAGCTACTGTCATTAATAATTAAAAATGGAAAACAAAAACCTAGGCTAATGCGGTTTCTGGAACCAAGCATTTAATTTTACTTTGAGCCCCGTGCCTTATACAGAGCTTGAACAGAGGAGATGCTCAAAAAATCCATTGGTTAGTGGACATTTTGTGCTCACTGGATCCCGAAGCAGGTACCCAGTCAACACTTGTTAACAGAAACCAGTAGTCAAATACTATTGGTCCCAACCACTGTCCCTGGACCCCAGCTGGGACCCTTATCCAGGTGAGAGTCGGAGGAGTGTGGTCAGCCTTGGGCTGAGTTGTGAGATCCTCTCCCCTGCAATGGGGTGAGGGTAAGGAGAGCACTGACCACTGTCACTACCGAGTGTCTGGGAGTGGTGGACACAAGCAGGGTCTTCCTTTCCTGACTGCCCTTTTAATACAGTATGCAGAGGATGTGTGGACTCAGCCTCATTAAATATTTACTGCCTGTCCCCAGCCTACCTACCCTCCTCCAAACACGTGCAGGTGTACAGGTGAGCAGAGGCCAGGGCTGAAACTCTCGTTCTCACATCTCTCTAGGAGCCAGAATCCAACCCCCTAGGATTCCTTTCCTCAGACCCAGGATATGAAATCACACCCAGAACACTGTGGGCACACCATGGCCTCAAAGGCAACACACGTCCATGTGTTGGCACCATCTTCCTCCAAACCAGATGACTTTTCCAGCTTCCCTCTCTGACATAGCCCCACATTCGCCCCATCACTCAAGCTCAAGGCCTCCATTTCCTCCATCTGTACCCCACTACCCCCAGTCCCGTCTCCAGACACCAGATGTTAGGAGCACTTCCTTCGGCAGCAACCTCCAGCCTTCCATCCCCTCTATTCTCCCCAGCAGCCCTGCTACCAGCCAATCAGTGTTCATGTCTGGGCTATTGCAGTAGACTCCTAACTTGTTTTCCTGATCCCAGGCCGTCCACCTCCAATCCAGCCTGCACCAGATGAATTAGAGCAGAGCACTCTTTTCCTCCATGCATGGCACAGCCCAGAAACATCTGAGAGCTTCCCATTGGCTTCAGAATGAGAGTCTCACTTGCTCACCAGCATTCATTTAATTTAGCCAACACTTACATCATTCTGGGCCAGGTACTATTTATTCTAAGTGCTTTGCAACTATTCACTCATTTAAACTTTATAAAATGAATTTGGTACTGTTATGATCACTGTTTTACAGATGGAGAAACTGAGTCACAGAAGGGTTAAGTAACTTGTCAAGGTCCCAGCATTAGTAAGCAACAGAATTCAAATTTGAACCCAAGTAGTGTAGCTCCAGAGTCCTCATTCCTGTCTTTGGGCATTTGTGTCCAGAATGCTCCATGCCACTTCGCTGACTACTTTCCCAAGGCTGAGTGTCTCCTTCGCCTTTTCCAAGCTTCTCTTCCATTTCTAGTGGCTCAGCCCAAGGGCGAGACAAACTGATCTGAGTATGATTGCCTAGTCCTTTCCTTCCCATGAGGACTCCTTTGCTCTACCTTCCTCCTATGTGGACTGCCATCCACACCCCATCTCCAGCTCGTTCTTACCCTCTGTCCAGGCTGAGCTCTTCTCACTTCTCTGACACCTCCACCCTCCATTCTCAGTGGTCATGCACACCTCCCAAAACTTCCCCTCAGCCCTCACCTGGTGCTCTTGTCTAGTCTGTAGTATCAGTCGTCTTGTGGGGTCCGTAGAGATTCTATCTTTCTAGTTCCTTGAGGGTAATGAGAGAGCATGTTGCAATTCTCACTTATCTCCCCCAGTAGTCTGTTGCCAGAGGAAGCCGGAAGTAGCCAGAGGGAGCCAGAGGGACTAGTGAGACTGGACCAGTGAGGCAACCACAGGAAGGGACACAGAGTCAGCTAGGGGTAGGCTCTGCCTTCCTGGAAAAGGCCCTACACAGACTTGTTGGGCCATGCAAGGTGAGAAAGGATGGTCCCAAGATTCGGCTTCTGCCTGCCTCTTCCACAAAGCTCCTGGCACTCTGGCCTCCTCATTCCCATCCCAGGGCATCTGTGCCAAGAATGCTGTGTTCCCATGTTGCTGCAGAGCCAGATTCCTGTCTCACAGCAGATGCTGCCTGAGTCACTTCCTCTTTGAGGCCTTCCCTGACCACTCCGTCCAATTTGTTGCCATTTCTCTTCCCCTATCTCTAGAGCCTCTCTCTCAGCATTGCCTTGTTTTATTTTTCTTTTTAATACTTACCAGTTTCCAAAGATATGACTTGATTCCTCAACCATTGTCACCCACCACCCCAATTAAAATGTAAGTTTCATGAGACATATCTCCCTTGTTCACCTCTGAACCGTAGGTCCTCACACATGCCTGGCACAGAGTAAGCCACTGATAAATATTTATTGAATGAAAGAAAGTATGGCCAGGGTCAGTAGCTCACGCCTGTAATCCCAGCACTTTGAAAGACTGAGGCAGGAGGATTACTTGAGCCCAGGAGTTGGAGACCAGCCTGGGGAACATAGTGAGATCCCTGTCTTATTTTAAAAAAGAAAAAAAAAGAAAAAGAATGCATGAAGGACCAAATGAATGAATCTTGTTTGTTGCAAACCAATGCAGCCACACATGGGCCTGCGCTTCTCCTGTCTTTCTTTGGCTGGAAAAGACCATCTGTGTCCACAGGCAACTGCAACAAAGAACCTCATCCCAATGAGTGCTTTTGTCAAGATGCCAAAGAGGCCATGTGGGCAGATCTGGAGAGGTCAGGAAATAGGGACTAGGGATGAGAGTGGTCTTGGTCCCCAGAAATTCCCACTTAAGTGGAGATGAGCTGCAGAAACCCTTTTTTGGTTTTAATCTTAATGCAAATCTTTAAAATGTGTACATAATTTTTACCATTGTGGTAGGCAAAATAGCTTAATGTAGGCATAACTGCCTTAACCAACCATTTTCTTACTGAGCTCTCACATGAACCCTAAAAGGTAACTAGAAATCTGTTTTTAATGGAAGACATAGTTGAGGTTCAAAGATATTAAACTACTTGCCAAAAATTACTCAGTTCTAAATTTTGTCCTAGACCAGAACATTACCGAATGATGTTTGACCTCCTCACTCATATTGCAATGAGATCCTTTGTACAGAAGAGACCCTAAGTAGGGGTGGGAGAATATTGATAATATTTAACCCGTATTGAGCTATTTCTATGTGTCAGGCACTTTTCTGAGACACTTAAATATAGAAACTAATTTAATCCTGACAATGTCCTTTTAAGAAATGAACTCTTGTATGGGGTGGGACTGTGCAAGGTGGAGCAGCAACAGAGGTGAGGGCTCAGCAGGCAGTCACAGGATAGGGCTGTGGGAGCCAGGCCACTGAGGTTGGGGCTGACTGAACTCACGGACCTGATACTTTTCTCGAGAAACAAACCAGCTCAAAAGAAAAATGGCATTTGTTGCAACACAAGGAGCCGTGGTGGTTGACCAAACCACTCTGATGAAAAAGTACCTTCAGTTTGTGGTAGCTCTCACAGATGTAAATATAACTGATGAAACAAAGTTAAAAATCATGCAAGAAAGTATTTGCAAGCCTCATGGTGACCTCAAACCAAGAAACATGCAATGGATACACAAAAAATAAAAAGTAAGAAACTAAATCATATCACCAGAGAAAATCATCTTCAGTAGAAGAAGACAGGAAGGAAAGAAAGAAGAGAAAACCAGAAAACAACCAGAAAGCAAATAACAAAATGGCAGGAGTAAGTCCCTACTTTCAATAATAACACTGAATGTAAATGGACTAAACTCTCCAATCAAAAGACACAGATTGCTGGAATGGATGTAAAAACAAGACCCATTGATCTACTGCCTGCAAGAAACACACTTCACCTATAAAGACACAGACAGACTGAAAATAAAGAGATGGAAAAAGATATTCCATGCCAATGGAAACCAAAAAGAGCAGGAGTCACTATACTTATATCAGACAAAAACTATAAGAGACAAAGAAGACCACTATATAATGATAAAGGGGTCAATTTAGCAAGAGGATACAACAATTTAAAATGTATATGCACCCAACACTGGAGCACCTAAACATATAAAGGAAATATTATTAGAGCTAAAAACAGAGATAGACCCCAATACAATAATAGCTGGAGACTTCAACACCACTTTCAGCATTGGACAGATCTTCCAGACAGAAAATCAACAAAGAAAAATCAGACTTAATCTGCACTATAGACCAAATGGATCTAAGAGATATTTACAGAACATTTTATGCAAGAGCTGCAGAATATACATTCTTTTCCTCAGCACATGGATCATTCTCAAGGATAGACCATATGTTAGGTCACAAAATAAGTCTTAAAGCATTCAAAAAAGTTAAAATAATATCAAGCATCTACTCTGACCACAATGGAATAAAACTAGAAATTAATAACAAAAGGAATTTTGGAAACTATACAATATATGGAAATTAAACAATCTGTTGCTGAATGACCAGTGGGTCAATGAAGAAATTAAGAAGGAAATTGGGCCGGGTGTAGTGGCTCACACCTGTAATTCTAGCACTCTGGGAGGCCTACGTGGGCCAATTCCTTGAGCTCAGGAGTTCAAGACCAGCCTGGGCAACATGACAAAACCCTGTCACTACAAAAAATACAAAACTTAGCTGGGTGTGATGGCACATGCCTGTATTTCCTCCTGTATTCCCAGGGGGCTGAGGTGGGATGTTAAGGTTGCAGTGAGTCGAGATCACACCACCACACTCCAGCCTGGGTGGCAGAGCCAGACCCTATCTCAAAAAAAAAAAAAAAAAAAAGAAAAGAAAAGAAAAGAAAAGAAAAGAAAAGAAAAAAAGAAAGAAAGGAAAGAGAGAAAGAAAAAGAAAAAAGGAATGAAAAAACTTCTTGAAACAAATAATAATGGAAAAACAACATAACAAAACCTATGGGATACAGCAAAAGCAATACTAAGAGGGAAGTTTATAGCTAAAAGTGCCTACATTGAAAAAGAGGAAAAGCTTCAAATGAACAATCTAACAATGCAGCTTCAAAGACTATAAAAGCAAGAGCAAACCAAACCCAAAATTAGCAGAAGAAAAGAAATCATAAAGATCAGAACACAAATAAATAAAATTGAAATAAAAAAATACAAAAGATCAATGAAACAAAAAGTCGGTTTTTCAAAAAGTTAAACAAAATTGAGACTAGTGAACAATACAGTCAGGATGGCTAAAGATGACCCCACAAAACCAAAGAGCAAGATGTCTGCTTCTGCCTTTTTGTGTAGACGTGCAGAGAAGAACATAAAAAGAAAAACCCAGAAGTTCCTGTCAATTTTGCAGAATTTTCCAAGAAGTGCTCTGAGGGGTGGAAGACAATGTATGGGAAAGAGAAGTCTAAATTTGATGAAATGGCAAAGGTGGATAAAGTGCACTATGATCAGGAAAAGAAGGATTATGGACCAGCTAAGGGAGGCAGGAAGAAGAAGGATCCTAATGCCCCCAAAATGCCACCGTCTGGATTCTTCCTGTTCTATTCAGAATTCCGCTCCAAGATCAATTCCACAAAACCTAGCATCTCTATTGGTGATGCAGAAGAAAAAAAAAAAAAAAAAAAAGCTGAGTGAGATGTAGAGTAACTTAAATGACAGTGAAAAGCAGCCTTACGTCACTCAGGCGGCAAAGCTGAAGGAGAAGTATGATAAGGATGTTGCCGACTCTAAGTCGAAAGGAAAGTTTGATGGTGCAAAGTGTCCTGCTGAAGTTGCCCGGAAAAAGGTGGAAGAGGAAGGTGAAGAAGACAAGGAGGGAGAAAAGGAGGAGAAGGAGGAGGATGAATTAAAAAAAAAAAAAAAAAAAAAAAACCTGTTTATCTGTCTCCTTGTGAATACCTTAGAGTAGGGGAGGGCCGTAATTGACACATTTCTTATTTGAGAAGTGTCTGTTGCCCTCATTAGGTTTAATTACAAAATTTGATCACGATCATATTGTAGTCTCTCAAAGTGCTCTAGAAATTGTCGGTGGTTTACATGAAGTGGCCATGGGTGTCCAGAGCACCCTGAAACTGTATCAAAGTTGTACATATTTCCAAACATTTTTAAAATGAAAAGGCACTCTCATGTTCTCCTCACTCTGTGCACTTTGCGGTTGGTGTGACAAGGCATTTAAAGATGTTTCTGGCATTTTTTTTTTTTTAATTTGTAAGGTGGTCTTAACTATATGGTAATTGGCTGGAAACCTAAGTTATCAACTGTATATATCTATAGTTTGTAAAAAGAACAAAACGACCAAGACAAACTCTTGAAGCTCTTTGCTTGGGGTTGAGGCTGTGGGGAAGTTGCCTTTTGGAAGGGCCATAGCTCAGGGCATGCACTGTGAGGCTGGACCTGTTGCCTCTGCAGAGGGCATACATTTAGCTTCAGGTTGTCTTGTTTCTGTATATTGTGACACAGCATTCAGTGGCGCGATCTCAGCTCACTGCAACCTCCACCTCCCAGGTTCAAGTGATTCTCCTGCCTCAGCTTCTGGAGTAGCTGGGACTACTTTTTAAACAAACTGTAGAACTATTCATTATTAGCAAAGTGAAGAGCCACTGCATCAATGAAAGTTCAAGAACTTTCTGTACTTAAACACGGTTTGAAACGTTGAGTGTTTTGTTTTTTTTTTGTATGTTTGGAATGCTAAAATGTTTTTGAAGTTAAAGTCTTACATTTTAAAAAAAAGTTAAACAAAATTGACAAATCTTTAACCAGACTAAGAAACAAAGACAGAAGATACAAATAAATAAAATCAGAAATGAAAAAGGAGACATTACAACTGATACTTCAGAAATTTAAAGGATCATTAGTGGCTACTATGAGCAAGTATATGCCAATAAATTGGAAAATCTAGAATAAATGGACAAATTCCTAGATACATGCAATCTACCAAGATTAAATTGGGAAGAAATCCAAAACCTGAACAGACCAATAACAAGTAACGAGTTTGAAGCCATAATAAAAAGTCTCCTGTTAACCCATTTATGCCAGAGGTTGCAAATTTTTTGTGTGTGAAAAATCAGACCTTGACAATGACCTTGAGCAATAGGGTATAAATAACTCCTACAAACATAGCATTCCAATAATGGAACACTAGGCATAAATTGGTTGTTGAAGAAAAGCCGGGGACTTGATGTCTTCACTACTCAATTCTACCAAATGCTTAAAGAACTAATACTAATCCTCTTCAAAGTATTCATAAAAATAGAGGAGGAGGGAATACTTCCAAACTCATTCTACAAGGCCAGTATTACCCTGATACCAAAACCAGACACAGACACATTAAAAAAAGAAAAGTACAGGCCAATATTTCTGATGAATATTGACGCAAAACCCTCAGCAAAATACTAGTAAACCTAATTCTACAATACATTAGAAAAAAAATCATTCCTCATATCCAAGTGGGATTTATCCCTGGGATGCAACGATGGTTCAACATATGCAAATTAATCAATGTGATACCTCATATCAACAAAATGAAGGATAAAAACCATACGATCATCTCAATTGATGCTGAAAAAGCATTTGATAAAATTCAGCATCTCTTCATGATAAAAGCCCTCAGAAAACTGGGGATAGAAGGAACATAGCTCAACATAATAACAGCCATATATGACAGACCCACAGCTAGTCTCATACTGAATGGGGATAAACTGAAAGTCTTTCCTCTAAGATCTGGAACATGGATAAAGAAAATGTGGCACATATACATAATGGAGTACTATTCAGCTATTAAATAAGAATGAGATCCAGTCATTTGCAACAACATGAATGGAACTGGAGATCATTATGTTAAGTGAAATAAGCTAGGCACAGAAAGACAAACATCACATGTTCTCAGTTATTTGTGGTGATGGCATTAGGTGGGGCAAGAAAAAATTTTTTTTTAATTTAAAAAATTAAAATCAAAATGGTAGAACTCATGGACACAGAGAGTAGAAAGATGGTTACTGGAGGTTGGGAAGGATAGTGGGGGGCTGAGGGAAGTTGGAGGTGGTTAATGCTACAAAAAAAAAAATAGAAAAAATGAATAAGACCTACAACTTGATAGCACAAGAGGGTGACAATAGTCAATAACTTCATTGTACATTTTAAAATCACTTAAAGAATGTAGCTGGATTGTTTGTAACTCAAAGGATAAATGTTTGAGGGGATAGACACCTCCATGCCCCATGGTGTGCTTATTTCACATTACATGCCTATATCAAAACATCTCATGTACTCCATAAATGTATAAAGCTATTGTGTACCCACAATAAAATTTTAAACTTTTATAAAAAGAAAAATTTTTAAAAAGAACTATTGTAATCCTCAGTTAACAGATGGGGGGTCGGGTGTGGTGGCTCATCCCGTAATCCCAGCACTTTGGGAGGCTGAGGTGGGTGGATCACCTGAAGTCAAGAGTTCGAGACCAGCCTGGCCAACATGGTCAAACCCCGTCTCTACTAAAAATGCAAAAATTAGCCGGGTGTGGTGGCAGACGCCTGTAATCCCGGCTATTCGGGAGGCTGAGGAAGGAGAATCGCTTGAACCCAGGAGGTGGAGGTTGCAGCAGGCCGAGATGGCACCACTGCACTCTAGCCTAGGAAACAAAAGCAAAACTTCATCTCAAAAAAAACAAAAAACAAACGAACAAAAAAAAAAAACAAAAAAAAAAAACGGGGCCGGGGGGAACTGAGGCCAGGCAAAGTGGTTCATGCCTGTAATCCCAGCACTTTGGGAAGCCAAGGCAGGAGGATCACTTGAAGCCAGGAATTCGAGACCAGCCTGGGCAACACAGTGAGATAGCCCTTCAAAAAACAAAAAAATTAAGAAGGCTAGTAGTCCTAGCTACTCAGAAGGCTAAGGCAAGAGGATCACTTGAACCCAGGAGGTTGAGGCTGCAGTAAGCTATGATCATGCCAGTGCACTCCAGCCCGATGACAGAGCAAGACTCCGTCCATAAAAACAAACAAACAAAAACAGACGGGGAAATGAAGACACAGAGAGGTTAAGTACCTTGCCACAGACACACAACTAGTGAGTAAGTGTGGCAGCAGTGGTAATTTTCTTTGACTATCCCATATGCTTTCCTTTATACCTACCCTCTTCCTGGGAGGCTGGGCTATGACTAGTTCTAGCCAAAGAAATATGAACGGAAGTAATGTCTGTCACTTCCAAACTGAGGCAGTGAAAAGTCTCCAGGCACAATTCTCCAGTCTCTTCTTTCCCCTGGCATGGAGGAGATATGCAGGCAGTGCAGCTGCAAGATAATGGTGCCTCCAACCACCTAGATCCCTAAGTGACCATGTGGAGCAGAGCCCCCACTGTCCTGCATGGGGCATGGGGCATGTGGAAGAAACAAATGGTTACTGTGTTCATCACAATTTTTAGGGTTATCTATCACCATGAGTCTACTAGCCCATCCTGACTAACACATTAGTGGAATTAAGGCTCAAACCCCGCTCTGTCTTAACTGTGGATTCTAAGGTTCAACCTTTAGAGCTTCTGGGTATGTATCTCACCTAGTAATGGTCACAAATATCAGGACAAATTGGGCCTCTTCTCTCCTTCCCCAGCACCCTCAAGCATGGAAGGGACATATCTCATAGAGCCTTTGGGTATCTTTAAGCCTTTATTAGTGTTCCTACTCTCCATCCATTTGGTTCTGGTGAAGCCCATGACCCAGCCTGGCCAATCAGAGAACTGAATCCTTCTAACCTCAGCAACTAGTCCCAAGACTCCAGTTGGTGCAGACAGGGCAAATCCCGGGACTTGTGTAGGATTTACCAGGAAAAGAAGGGCGGTCTCTTCTGCTTATCCTTAATGGGGTATGAACTGATAGCCATTCTGCCACCCTGTGGGAACTAAATGTGAAACCAATATAAGGTGAGCTAAAAGACCAAGAGTAGGTAGAACCATTTGAACCACCGAATTTAGCTGTGTCTGAGCCCAGCTCTACTCAAAACTATCTGTTATTGATCAAGGCAGTCTGAATAGAACTTTTCTGTCACTTGGAACCAAAAGAATTCAGAGTGGTCTCCCCTTGTACCTTCTGTCTGCTGTGTGTTCCAGATTGGGGCAGAAGAGAGATGTCTTGGCACCTGGGTAACCGGGAGCAGGGGGCACCATGCATAGTCACAGAGAAGTATGGAAGAGATGGTGGGCTTGGACACAGCAGGGTTGAGGTGCTGGAAGGGTGCCCACGTGGAGCTGCTCAGCAGGCTGGCAGGAAGTGTGTGTGCAGGTCTGGAGGGTGCAGAAGCCTCTGACCCAGACACAGGAGGTGGCAGCTGAGTGTGTGGGAGGACATGAGATCATGGAGGGGTGACAAGAAAGAAGACAGAGAATGGAGACCAGAACCTTGGTAAGCAGGAATCTTGCCACAGTGGTAGAGTTAGGAGTGAAGGGCATTCAAGGGGCGGAAGATGTGTGTGGCCTGGGGAAAGCTCCTGAGCCACTCTCCCTCAGTTTCTTTCTCTGTGAAATGGGTTCACAGTGTATACCTGTGCTGTGTTGTAGTGAGGATGGAGAACACATATTGAGCTCTTATCTGAGTGCCCAGAGCTCAACAAACATAAACTGGTATCAGCTATTGGGAGAAGAGAGACAGAATGCCCAGGGTGAATGTGGAAGAGAGTTCTCAGAGTTGCTTCCTTCCTAAAATTCTCCAGCCACTGCACTCACAGTCTGCTGTGCTGAAACTGCCAGTTGCCACCTTGCTCTCTCCACACCCTGGAAGCTCCTTGAATAGGAGCTGGGGCTCATTCCCTTTGTATCCAAGAGCTGGCACAGTGCCTGGCACAGAGCATGCACTGCATGAGTGCTTGTCAATCATTAGAGGAAGGAAAGGACTCACCCCAGTGCAGACATCTGCAGAGATGGAGGAAGAGAGAGGCCTGAGAAGGGGTTATTGGATTTGTTCATCAGAAGTCCCTAGTGACTGTTGGCAGTTGGGCGTTGAGGGGTTAACAGGGATCCAGAGCTGCTCCAGGTGTCCCTGTCCCCTCCACAAGTCACTCCCCACCACCACCTGCCCCCCCAGCAGGTGAAAGAAATTGGGGGAAAGGGAGGATCGGGCTGATTCCTCAATGAGTTTTCTAATGGACAGGCTCCCTCTCTTTCTCTCTCTCAGGCCCAGACTCGCCAACTCTGCCACCCCCTCAATTTGGCAGGGGCTCTTATCTCAGAAGCTGCTGGAAGAATTTGGCATTTTGACCCTATTTCATCACTCCTAGGGCAGTCTGGCAGACAAAGATGCTCCACACAGCAGCTGAGCTCATTCACAGAAGCACCGCACACACACAAGGCCCCTCCAAAGTGAGTCCCCCTCCCCCAGTGACCTGCATCTTTATGACACCTGCGCAGGCCTAAGGCACAGTGCTGCAGGGTGGATCTGACATGAGTTGGGGGTGGAGGTCTGGACTAGAACTCTGCCTCTCCTGGATCCTGGCCTTGCACAACTTCACTTGCCCTGAGGCCTGACATTGCATCCTTGGGGTTTAAGTCACCTGGGCTGGGAGTGCTCAGTTAAGATGAAAATGCCCCCAGGGTGAAACACAGTCACTGCAGGGAAAAAAGATAAGTCCCACAGCTGAGTCCCTTTGAACCCACACAACTGGGATTTGCTGGAGGGCAAGATGCAGAAAGGGAATGGAGTGGAAAAGTACTGCAGAAACCTTTCCTTTCTTCACACTTTGGAATTCCACCTTTCTTTCCTTCAGTAAACATTTACTGGGTGCCAATTCCACACCAGTTGCTTAGCCAGGTGCCAGGGGCACCTAGTCTGTTCAATCCAGTCCCTTGAGGTGTGAGGTGAGATTGTGTATTAATGCCTGAGAACTACAGAGGTTGGAAAGGAGTCATGGGGAAGCCGAGGGACTGGAGGGTCCTGCCCCTGCCTTCCCAACCTCCAGCCACAGCCTTGCTAGCCCACAGTAAGCTGTGATCATACCACTGAACTCCAGCCTGGGCAACAGAGTGAGACCCAGTCTCTAAGAAAAAGAAAAAAAAATGGTGAGGGGTGAGGAGAGGCTGAGGGGGCACGGAAGGGTCAGAGCTCAGAGTCCCAGGCAGGCCAACACCTGGTGAGAGGGACTTGAAAGGACCTGCTCACGCCTCTCAACCCTCCAGTCCCTGAGGAGTAGGAGGTGACTGGGGGGCCTCCCGGGTACCTTCTCATTGAGGCAATCACAGTCTTCCAGTGCAAAGCATCTCATCAGCCTCACTCCTAAGAGAAGGATTTTCCCTCTTCCCTGTCCCCAGGTGGTTCCCATGGATGCTCCTCTCCTCGCCTCCACACAGGAGAGGAATGAACCTTGTTCCCAGCTGGAACCCCTCTCTGGATTCCAGGTGAACCTCGGAAGGCACAGTTAATGCCCTTCACCTAGATCATTGGTTCTGAAAGTGAGGTGGGAGGATCCATCATATCAGATACCTGGACGCTTATTAGAAAAGTAAATCTTAGAAAAGTAAAGGGGTGGTCCAACACACCATTTCAACGAGCCCCCAATTGATTCTGATGCCATCCGCCTGGGAACCACTGGTCGGGAGAACAATTCAGCTAGAATTTTCTGGGTGCCTGGGTGTGGAGTGGGGAGAGGGGAAAAGGAGCATCCCCGTGGCCTGGCTGGTGGCAGCAGGTGGGCTTCTCCGGAAGAAGGAGCTGGTCTGCTTCAGGGCCTGGGGCCTGCCCCTCCCTCGGGCTGGGGATGCTCGTGGTGAGCAGGTGCAGTGGGGAGAGATAGACCGTGGTTTTCAGGAACTTCTTGAAGGGATCTGAAACTCCCAGAACATCAAGAGCCTTTCTTTGAGAAGATTTTAATTTAACACACAATTATCACTTGAATCCACTTTCATTGGAAACATTCAAGCCACACCAAAACAGAGGTAGCAACAAGGAAAAGTCCTTCCTTGATGCCCTCAATGCTAGATCCTGTCCAGAAGCAGCCACTGGTACCTGCTTGATGTTTACCCTTCAGGACCTTTGGGGACATTTATATGTACACACAAAAGGACAGAGTCTGGGTGCTTTTACATAAAGAGGCTAATGGGAGGAGGTTATGCTGGGCAACTCCCTACTTCCTCCCTTTAATAACACATCTGAGAACCTCTGCTTTAAATGCCCGGAGATCCAGCATCAGGCTCTGGGCCTCTTTTCAACAATATCTGGAGGGCGGTGGTTACAGGGGCAAGAAAAAAAACATTTTAACACCACAGCAGAGCACCCCACCCTTTTCCTGAATACCTCCACCACCCGCTTTCCATTGCCTACCCTATGACTGCACACACAAACACTGACGCTGGTCTGATTTAAGGAAACCCTTCCCAGTCCTCGCCCAGCATGGCAACCCCTGACCTCACAGGCAGCACAGTGCTGAAGCACTGGGGCCTCCTTTTGCTCCAGACAGAAATTCCTTGGCCCGGAGAAGGCCCTCTCTGGAGTCCCAGGACAAATGGGCATTGGAAGGGCTGTGTCACCACTGAGAGCTGTGCGTGTTTGCATGTACATTTACCCTGGGCGGGAGTTCAGAGCTTTCCTTTCGATTCCCAAAGGCCTCTGATACTCTGTACAGGATAAAAACCAAGTTGTACATTGATTGCGTCTTAATGGGTTTTCTAATTTACAGTCGAATGCTTGGGAGTCAGCCAGCTCTTGGGAAAATGGTGGCCTCACCTTCCCCAAAAGCTCAGGCCCGGGTACAGGGTGTCCTCTCTCTAAATGGCAGAGCAAGAGGGAGGAAAAGCTGAAGATGAGAGAAAGAATGAGGCAGATGGGCAACCCAAGTGTCCTGGGTGGAACAGTATCCCCCCAACATTCATGTCCTTCCCCAAACCTCAGAATGTGACCTCATGTGGAAATAGGGCATTGCAGATGTGATTAATTTGAGGTTATACTGAGTGGGGTGGGCCCTTAATCCAGTATGACTGGAGTCCTTATAAGAAGAGAGGAGATGCCCGACACGGTGGCTCACACCTGTAATCCCAGCACTTTGGGAGGCCAAGGTGGGTGCATCATGAGGTCAGGAGATCAAGACCATCCTGGCTAACACAGTGAAACCTCGTCTCTACTAAAAATACAAAAAATTAGCCAGGCATGGGGGCGGGCGCCTGTAGTCCCAGCTACTTGGGAGGCCGAGACAGGAGAATCATTTGAACCCGGGAGGCGGAGGTTGCAGTGAGCCGAGATCATGCCACTGCACTTCAGCCTGGGCGATAGAGCGAGACTCTATCTAAAAAAAAAAAAAAAGAGAGAGAGAGAGAGAGAGAGAGAGGAGAACGGATGCAGAAGACACCGAGGGGAGAACGCCAGTGAAGATGGAGGCAGAGACAGGAGTGATACCTCTACAAGCAGGGAATGCACAGGGTTGCCGGCAACCACCGGAAGCCAGGAGCATGGCCTGGAACAGCCCCTCCGTCAGGACCTCTGGCAGGAGACTTGCTGACACCTTGCGTTCAATGCTGGCCCCAGAACTGTGAGAGAAGACATCTCTGTTTTAAGCCACTCACTTGGTTAGTGGTACTTTGTCACAGGAACCCCAGGAAATGCATACACCAAGGTAGGGGTGGCAAAAAGCAGAGCTCAGCCATGGCTTCTGGGGAGACCCTGGAGCCCCCACAGAGTCCCCAGCACTCAGCGCCTGAAAGGGCCAGGTCCCTTTGGGTCAAAGAGTCTGCCCTGTGCTCACTCAGCTGTGCAGGCAGCTCCCAGCTCAGAGAGAGAGTTCCCTAATAAACAGGCAAACCAAACCCATGTTCCCTCCAGGCCCTCGAGTCACCTGCCACTTGGCAATGAGAGGACGTCAGCCCAGTTCCTGGCTGGTGGCTCTGACAGGCGCCCATCTGCTCCGGAAGTGTCCGGCCTGGATAAACAGAGCCAGGCTCTGCCTCCCACGGCTGACCCAGCCAGGTCAAGCGGAAGCCCAGGGCCTCAGGCCTCAGGTCTCCCAGGGCTCACTTTCCACACTGACCTGGTCACAGCTGGCTACCCCAGCAGGAATGGGCATCCCTGGAAAATGGCTGTGAAGACGGGGGGAAGGAAGAGTTGGGGACCTACCTCCCAGGCCACTTCCCTGGATCTCTGCTGGGCCCAGGGTCACTGCCCCTCCCATCTGCCCCCCTCCTCACTCACGCCCACATGAAGCCATCTGCCACCCTCGCCCCCTGGCAGGCACCACAGCCTCATGACTCAGCGCCCAGCCCAGAGCTGCTCTGTGGGTGGCCACTCCGGAACCTTGCAGAGAGGGAGGTGCTGGGAAGGGGGTTTGAGCGGGGGTGGGTGGAGGCAGAAGACACGTGCAGACCCCAGGTGGCTGTTCACGGAGCACCAAGCCCTGACAGCACTGCCTTCATCCGGTTTTGCAGGCAACAACCTCTCCAGCAGAGGTGTTGCCTAAAATACCACGGCCCAATTGAAATGCACCTGATCAGTTCCATTTTTCCCTCCAGGTTTCCCCACCTGTTCTCGAGGTCCTGATCCCAGGCCACGCTGGGACCCTTTCTCCAGTTCCATCTTTGCTTCTTCCTGTGCCTTCCCCACCTTCTTGCAGCCCCTGGAACACATCCCTGGAACAGCTTATTCACCCCCACACAACCTTGAGTAGATAAAGGCCCACAAAGGTATTAGAGACTTCGTGTCATCCTTTGAGCAAGGGGCTTGACCCCAAGTGCCCACCCCAAAACGCCTGTGGTAATGGTGACACCATAGGTGCCATTCTGGGGAAGGGAGAGAGTGAGGGTGGAGGATGTCATCCCCATAGTGGCAGGGCAAGAGACAGGTCCCCGCCCCAGGCATCTTGGGCAGGTGGCTCCAGGTTCCGTTCTGAGTCAGGCGTTTTTTACACCTGCTGCTTTCGCTCAAGGTGGCTCGGCACCTGGAAGATCAGGATTTGAGGCCAGGCTCCAACCCTGAGGGTGAGGATAGGGCCCGAGTGGGAGCTGTGTTTCCTCTGTTGTTGCTGAGACCCATCCAGAAGTTCACTGCCCCTCTAGAGCCTCTCAGGCCAGAAGGGAGATGTAGCCACTTGGCCTCATAGCTGAAGAGAGGTCCTCAGGATTTGGCCCTGGTTCTGTCCCTTCCCAGGTAGCCCCCTGTGGGGTCAGATTCTCCTGGAGAGCCAGGCAAGGGTGCCCCTACTTCTTCCCAGCCCTGTTCCTTCCTAACCAAGTCTGTGGTCTCCTGTCATTTCTTAATGGTTATTTTAACTGCTGGGAACCTCAAGGAAACAGGCACTGCCTAACAAAAATAAAGAATCCTGGGAAATTTCAAGACACTTCAAAATTCTAGCAGGAAGAGCCCAACCACATTTGAATCCCAGTTCTGCAGTTATGTGTGAACCTGAGCAAGACACCCTCTCCGTGGCTGGGTTTCCTCAATTCTATGATAACAAGGGTACCTGCCCCAAAGGACTGTTATGATGCTGAAATGAGGCAGAGAATTGTGAAAAGGCACAACTTGAGATAGTCCGTTTCCTTTATAGAAATGGACACAGTTCAGTAACAGCAATAATTAATAATAATCACTGCGACCGTTCCTTTACATGTGCTGTGTTGACATGAGCGTCAAGCATTGTGTGGAGGGTTTCAGCTGCACTAACCTCCCTAAAGTCTGTGTACTTTGATCCAGTCTTTCTTTCCACACTCTATTTCAGGAGACAGTTCAACTCTCCCAGAGGAACCCCTTTCCCGCATTTACACCCTCCCTTTCCCGCTAGGCATTGGGCTATTTTCCAGGCCAACCCCTTCCCCCGACTCCAGGGAGCATCTCCCAGGAACTTGCGCTGCTTCCCAGAGCAGGAAGGTGGGCAGAAAACAGCCCCAGCTGGAAAATCAGAGTACATGTTTCCGTACAACTTCTTCAGAATGATAGACTTCTAGAACAAACAAAAAGCTCCATTCAGGAGCCGCTCTCTATTTTGCCCTGGTACTCCCAGCCTGCCCCACTGCACAGCTGCAGAAAATGTGATTTTCCTGAGGCCACACAGAGAGTAAGCAGCAAAGATTCCAGCAACATGTGGCACTTGCAATGCATGTACTGCATCCATTCACTTAGTAAACACCTGCGGTGCTGACGTTATGCTCCACAGATGATCGATACCAAAAAGGCCCATGTGCTCAGGGCATTGACATTCAATGGAGAGGGCTCAGAGCCCAAACAAATCAACAAGGCAATCGCCAAGACTGAGAAATGCCATGAAGAAAATGCATCCTGGTGGTGTGGGACGGAGGGATAGGTGGATTCAGGGGAGGGAGGCTTCTCTTTACCTAGAGTAGTCAGAGAGGCCTCTCTGAAAGGTGACACTGAGCTGAGAACTGAACCATGAGACACAGCTCAGGGAGGTCTTGGGGAACGGGCGTCATGCTAGGGGAACAGCGAACGCAAAGGTCCTGGTGCAGGAATGTGTTTGTTCTCTTCGAGGAACAGGGCAATCAGTACAGTTGGAGCAGAGCAGATGAGGAGAGGTGGGAGAGGCAAGGAAGACAGCCTCGTAGCCACAGTAATGGGCTTGGATTGGATCCTAACAGCGACGGGCTAGGAGGGTTTCAGGTAGGGCAATGACCATTATGCCTTATGGCCTAGAAAGATCACTCTGGCGGCTGGGAATGGCTCAAAGGGGGCAAGCAGTTCCAAGGAAGCTGTGGTGGCCTGGACCACTGCGCCAGCTGTGAGGTGCAGGGAGGTGAGAGGCAAAGACCTTCAACCTAACGCACCTGAAGCACTTAGCACCGAGCCTGACACCCACTGAATTATGAGTGATGGCCCCTCCAGAGATGGGGCCTGAGGAGGAGGTGCTGGGGGCTAGATGCGGCCACAGGTAGCAGTGACAGGGGCTGGGGAGACTGCCTTTCCTGGGCTTAAGACTACAGGCAGCCTCCAGAGGTAGCAAGTGGCGGCCGACTCTGTGGAGCCCACATCCTACTTTGGTCCTCTGAAGCCTGTGTCATCTTCCCATTCTTCAAAGGTCATTCTCAGAGCCACTCTCTGTGACATAGAAGCATTCTAGAAATAAAAACTTGCCAGTAATTAGAATGGAAGTAGCTTACATACTTTTTATATTCCAAAATTGTGTTTAAATTACACAAACGCATAAAAATTTCAAGTGCAAGAGCACACAGTGAAAAATAATTCTCCCTCCACCTCTGCCCTCCCTCCCTGGAAAAAATTCTGTTTTCTACACATTCTTTTTCCAGAAATATTCTCAGCACACACACACACACACACACACACACACACACACACACACACACACACACACAATTACATCCTATTTTTAAACATAAAGATAAGATCACATATATACTGTCTTGTACCCTTTTTCACACACACAAAAATATTTCTTGAAGATCATGTCATATCAGTCCATGGATCACAATCTCATTCTTTTTAGTGGGTACCTAGTATACCATAGAATAGCTGTGTTAGAGAGGAAAGTGGGCATTTAGATGGCTTCCGGGATTAACCACTGTAAGGAATGTCACAGACAACCTCCCCATATGTAGTCTTTGGTATTTTCATTGCACAAATTCCTAGAAGTGGAATTAATGGTTCAAAAGATAAATAACAATTTTTGTTTTCACAAATACTGACAAATTGCTCTTGGGAACAGTTGGATTAATTCACCCTGACCCCCACCGCCAGCTGACTCTGAGGGCATGCCCTTCACAATGTCAGCATAGGCATGGTCCAAATGTTTCATCGTTGCCAGTCTCATGACACCTTACAATATTTTTTTTTTGAGGCAGAGTCTTGCTCTGTCACCCAGGCTGAAGTACAGTGGCTTGATCTTAGCTCACTGCAACCTCCCACTCCTAGGTTCAAGTGATCCTCCTACCTTAGCCTCCCGAGTAGCTGGAAATACAGGCACACGTCTCCACGCCTGGTAATTTTTATTTTTGTATTTTTGGTAGAGACGGGATTCCGCCGTGTTGCCCAGGTTGGTCTCAAACTCCTGAGCTCAAGCAATCCTCCCACCTTGGCCTCCCAAGGGATTGCAGGCATTAACCACTACACCTGGCCTGTAACCGTACTTTTTAAGTGTAAGCACACCTGTATAGGTGTTGTGGGAGTTATCACCCCCATTTTGTAGACCAGGAAGCACATGACGCCCACCCCAGGGCACAAAGCCAGTGGGGTGGAAAGCAGGGGCCAGGTGAGGGAGTGGCTGCCTCCACAGATACTAGGACTCTGGCAGTCAAGACAGTGTACACAGGTCGGAAGCCAAGAGACAGGGCAATGGTCAGGTCCGTAAACCCACTCCACCAGGACCAGGGACACAGAACTGTCTATTCTGTACCCCTGCCTGTGCCAGCCTGAGGCCTGTTTGTGGGTGTCGATTAGCCATACCAGGGCAATGGGAAGTAGGCCACTTGCTGGAGGAGTAGAGAGCTTAGGAGTAGAGATAAGAAGTTTCCTTTCTTCCCACCATGAACAGGTTGGCGGTTGCAAAACAGGAAAATGCAGGCTCCATTAAAAGGAGAGACAGAAAAAGAGAGGCCCCTGTCAATAAACCACAGTAGCCAAATAAACCTAAGTTTAGCATCACTCTCTAAGCCTGTATGGGAGCCTCTTGACTGCTGATTCTTCTAATGGGCTCCACTTCCGTGAACTCAAAGGTAATGGAATGAGTTTCAACAAAAACTATGTTCTAAATAAAGCAATACAATCAGAGCTGCTGACCTTCGACAGAAAACTCTTCTTATAGGCCTTGGACTTGAAGTAAAGAATGTGCTCTTTGTGAGGGTGCATTTGTGTGTGTGTGTGTGTGTGTGTGTGTGTGTGTGTGTGTGTGTGAAGACTGAATTTCAGGCATGGCTGAAAACAGTAAAAAAAAAAGTTCTATCATGTTACTAGGACTTGCTTGTTTGAAAAAAAGAAAAAAAAACCTTAAAGGAAAATGTTAGTGTAAAGAGGGCAGGGAAACATGGCTGTTTTGAAACCAACATCAGGGCCATATGGGTGTAGGATTTATTATTCATAGATAGGATTTCCGTGGGTTTTCAAGGCTGGCCTCCAAGGCTCATGCAACCTCCCCCTCCTGGGTTTAAGTGATCCTCCTACCTCAGACTCCCGAGTAGCTGGAACTACAGGCATGAGTCCCCACGCCTGGTTATTATTATTATTATTATTATTATTGTTATTATTATTATTTTGTATTTTTGGTAGAGATGGGGTTTCACAATATTGCCCATGCTGGTCTCAAAATCCTGATTTCCTGATTTTTAGCAATCAGGAAAGTCTCCTACAGAGTGCTCCAGCAGAGCCAGGCATGAGGCCCCTAAAACAGGCATACTAGAAGCTTGTGTCCAGGCAGAGAGGGCTTGCTGAGCACTGCGGGTCACAATCAAGGGGCCATGAAGGCCCTCAGGGGTCCCAGATGATTGGATCAAAGAAGCCCAGAGCCTATGTCCATCACTTGCCAGTCTGAGATGCTGGAGTTTCAGTCGTTCATCTTTCTGAGTGAAGATGGTGTCCATTCATTCCACTGTCTCAGGCAGTCAATAAATAAATTATTTTTGAGCCCACTACAAATCAGAGACTGTGCTGGGGCACTAGTGGTGGTGAGAGGTTGGTGATGGGGGCTTTTACAGGGGTGGTGGGGAGTATAAGTGGCTTTGGAAAACAACTGGGCATTATCTTGTAACACTGAAGTTGCACACACCAATGACCCAGCAATTACTTCCACTCCTAAGATTATGCCCTGAAAACTCTTGCACATGTATGAAAAGCCTTCACAAGGATCTTCAAAGAAGCATTATGCATAATTGTAAAATTATGAAAATCCCAGATGTCCTTTGACTGGAGAAGGAATGAATTGAGATCTCTTCCCACAATGTAATATTATGCAGCAGTGAGAAATGAATGTACTAGAGTTACATGCAATCAGATGGATGACAGCCAGGCGTGGTGGCTCACGCCTGTAATCCCAACACTTTGGGAGGCTGAGGCAGGTAGATCACTTGAGCCCAGGAATTTGAGACCACCCTGGCCAACATGGTGAAACCCTGTCTCTACAAAAACTATGAAAATTAGGCCAGGCACAGTGGTTCATGCCTGTGATCCCAGCACTTTGGGAGGCCAAGGCCGGCAGATCACCTGAGGTTAGGAATTCGAGACCAGCCTGACCAAAATGGTGAAACCTCATCTCTATTAAAAATACAAAAATTAGCCAAGCGTGGTGGTGGGCACTCATAATCCTAGTTACTCAGGAGGCTGAGGCAGGAGAATCGCTTGAATCCAGGAGGTGGAGGTTGCAGTGAGCCGAGATCATGGCAATGCACTCCAGCCTGGGTGACAGGGCAAGACTCTGTCTCGAAAAAGCAAACAAACAAACAACAGCAACAACAACAACAACAACAACAAACAAACAAAACAAAAAAAACCCCAGAAACTTAGAAATGCTGGTTCCTTGGGTTTTTTTATAATTAAAAAAATTCTTTTCAAGATGAATGAATCTTGAAACAAATGATGCATGAAAAAAACGAATTTCAGAAGACAACAATACACTATGCCATTTTTTCTAAAGCTTAAAAATAAGCAAAGATAAACCTTTTCTAAAGAAATCATATAAACGTCTTAAAACGTTTTTAGAGCAAGCAATTTTGAGCATCAAATTTAGGACACTTGTTACCCCAGAGGGGCAAACAGAATATGGGATGGGGAGGTGCCAGAATATGGGATGGGGAGGTGCCCACAGGTAGGGTCAATGGTTTCAGTCACATTCTAGTTGTTGGGCCACATAGTATGTTACAAGCCTTTGTTTCATTATGTTTTATTAATTACAAGTATTCTTTTATACAAAAAAAAACTTCTTTTTTTTTTTTGAGACAGAGTCTCGCTCTTTCACCCAGGCTGGAGTGCAGTGGCGTGATCTCGGCTCACTGATAGCTTTGCCTCCCCGGTTCACGCCATTCTCCTGCCTCAGCCTCCCGAGTAGCTGGGATACAGGCGCCTGCCACCATGCCTGACTAATTTTTTGTATTTTTAGTAGAGACGGGGTTTCACCGTGTTAGCCAGGATGGTCTCGATCTCCTGACCTCGTGATCCGCCCGCCTCGACCTCCCAAAGTGCTGGGATTACAGGCGTGAGCCACCGCACTCGGCCAAAAAACAACATTTTAAAAGAAAGAAATACTGCATTACTCCTGCTGTGAAGGAGAATGCTATCTATTTGAGAAGCCAGATGCACAAACCAACAAAAAAGGCATTTTGTATGTCAAAATACAAGACTAGATCTCTATGAATGTCAATACATGTTTGGACTCTGTTTTTTTTAGACATTTGCAACATTTAATGTGAAACTATAATTGTTTCATATTGTTTCCTGAAGATATTGATACAGTATAGGTCAAATGAAACACCAAAAGTAGAATAGAAGAGGCAGTATATGTACATCCTTTAGTATAGCGTATACCTTTAGAAGTTTTTTTTTTTTTAGACGGAGTCTTGCTCTGTCGCCCAGGCTGGAGTGTGATGGTGTGATCTCGGCTCACCGCAAGCTCTGCCTCCCAGGTTCACGCCATTCTCCTGCCTCAGCCTCCGGAGTAGCTGGGACTACAGGCGCCTGCCAACACGGCCGGCTAATTTTTTGTATTTTTAGTGGAGACAGGGTTTCACCATGTTAGCTAGGATGGTCTCGATCTCCTGACCTCGTGATCCGCCTGCCTCGGCCTCCCAAAGTGCTGGGACTACAGGCGTGAGCCACCGCACCCAGCCTTTTTTTTTTTTTTTTAAATATATATACATACTTTAAGTTCTAGGGTACGTGTGCACAGCATGTAGGTTTGATACATAGGTATACATGTGCCAGGTTGGTTTGCTGCACCCATCAACTCGTCATTTACATTAGGTATTTTTCCTAATGCTATCCCTCCTCCAGCCTCCCACCCACCGACAGGCCTCAGTGTGTGATGTTCCCCTTCCTGTGTCCAAGTGATCTCATCACTCTCACCTAAGAGTGAGAACATGCGGTGTTTGGTTTTCTGTCCTTGTAATAGTTTGCTCAGAATGATTGTTTCCAGCTTCACCCATGTCCCTACAAAGGACATGAACTCATCCTTTTTTATGGCTGCATAGTATTCCACAGTGTATATGTGCCATATTTTCTTAATCCAGTCTATCATTGATGGACATTTGGGTTGGTTCCAAGTCTTTGCTATTGTGAATAGTGCTGCAATAAACATAAGTGTGCATGTGTCTTTATAGTAGCATGATTTATAATCCTTTGGGTATATACCCAGTAATGGTATTGCTGGGTCAAATGGTAATTCTAGTTCTAGATCCTTGAGGAATCGCCACACTGTCTTCCACAATGGTTGAACTAATTTACATTACCACCAACAGTGTAAAAGCGTTCCTATTTCTCCACATCCTCTCCAGCATCTGTTGTTTCCTGACTTTTTAATGATTGCCATTCTAACTGGTGTGAGATGGTATCTCATTGTGGTTTTGATTTGCATTTCTCTGATGGCCAGTGATGATGAGCATTTTTTCATGTGTCTGTTGGCTGCATAAATGTCTTCTTTTGAGAAGTGTCTGTTCATATCCTTTGCCCACTTTTTGATGGGGTTGTTTGTTTTTTTCTTGTAAAGTTGTTTGAGTTCTTTGTAGATTCTGGATATTAGCCCCTTGTCAGATGGGTAGATTGCAAAAATTTTCTCCCATTCTGTAGGTTGCCTGTTGACTCTGATGGTAGTTTCTTTTGCTGTGCAGAAGCTCTTTAGTTTAATTAGATCCCATTTGTCTATTTTGGCTTTTGTTGCCATTGCTTTTGGTGTTTTAGTCATGAAGTCCTTGCCCATGCCTGTGGCCTGAATGGTATTGCCTAGGTTTTCTTCTAGGATTTTTATGGTTTTAGATCTAACATTTATTTATTTATTTTTATTTTAGTTTAGTTTTTTGAGACCGAGTCTCACCCTGTCACCCAGTCTGGAGTGCAGTGGTGCAGTGGCGTGATCTCAGCTCACTGCAACCTCTGCCTCCCAGGTTCAAGTGATTCCCCTGCCTCAGCCTCCCGAGTAGCTGAGATTACAGGTGCCTGCCACCATGCCCAGCTAATTTTTTGGGTATTTTTAGTAGAGACAGGGTTTCACCATATTAACCAGGATGGTCTCATCTCATGACCTCATGATCCGCCCACCTCGGCCTCCCAAAGTGCTGGGATTATAGGTGTAAGCCACCATGCCCAGCCAGGTCTAACATTTAAGTTTTTAATCCATCTTGAATTAATTTTTGTATAAGGTGTAAGGAAGTGACCCAGTTTCAGCTTTCTAGATATGGGTAGCCAGTTTTCCCAGCACCATTTGTTAAAAAGGAATCCTTTCCCCATTTCTTGTTTTTGTTAGGTTTGTCAAAGATCAGATGGTTGTAGATGTGTGGTGTTATTTCTGAGGCCTCTGTTCTGTTCCATTGGTCTATGTCTCTGTTTTGGTATGAGTACCATGCTGTTTTGGTTACTGTAGCCTTGTAGTATAGTTTGAAGTCAGGTAACGTGATGCCTCCAGCTTTGTTCTTTTTGCTTAGGATAGTCTTAGCAATGCGGGCTCTTTTTTGGTTCCATATGAACTTTAAAGTAGTTTTTTCCAATTCTGTGAAGAAAGTCATTGGTAGCTTGACGGGGATGGCACTGAATCTATAAATTACTTTGGGCAGTATGGCCATTTTCATGATATTGATTCTTCCTATCCATGAGCATGGAATATTCTTCCATTTGTTTGTGTCCTCTTTTATTTTGTTGAGCAGTGGTTTGTAGTTCTCCTTGAAGAGGTGCTTCACATCCCTTGTAAGTTGGATTCCTAGGTATTTTATTCTCTTTGTAGCAATTGTGAATGGGAGTTCACTCATGATTTGGCTCTCTGTTTGTGTGTTAATGATGTATAGGAATACTTGTGATTTTTGCACATTGATTTTGTATTCTGAGACTTTGCTGAAGTTGCTTATCAGCTTAAGGAGATTTTGGGCTGAGACGATGGGGTTTTCTAAATATACAATCATGTTGTCTGCAAACAGAGACAATTTGACTTTCTCTCTTCCTATTTGAATACCCTTTATTTCTCTTTCTTGCCAGATTCCCTTGGCCAGAACTTCCAATAGTATGTTGAATAGTAGTGGTGTGAGAGCACATATGCCATGCTGGGAGAACCACTGCTCTCTTCAGAGCTGTCAGACAGGGACATTTAAGTCTGCAGAAGTTGTCTGCTGCCTTTTGTTCGGCTATACCCTGCCCACAGAGGTGGAGTCTAGAGGCAGTAGGCCTTGTTGAGCTGCAGCGGGCTCTGCCCAGTTCGAGCTTCCTGGCCGCTTTGTTTACCTACTCAAGCCTCAGCAACGGTGGACGCCCCTCCCACAGCCAGGCTTCTGCCTCGCAGATTGATCTCAGACTGCTACGCTAGCAGTGAGCAAGGCTCCATGGGCATGGGACCTGCCAAGCCAGGCACAGGAGAGAATCACCTTGTCTGCTGGTTGCTAAGACCTTGGGAAAAGAGCAGTATTTGGGCAGGAGTGACCCGTTTTTCCAGGTACCGTCTGTCATGGCTTCCCTTGGCTAGGAAAGGGAAATCCTCTGATCCCTTGTGCTTCCTGGGTGAGGTGATGCCCCACCCTGCTTCAGCTCACCCTCTGTGGGCTGCACCCACTGTCCAACCAGTCCCAATGAGATTAACCAGGTACCTCAGTTGGAAATGCAGAAATCACCTGTCTTCTGCATCAATCATGATGGGAGCTGCAGACTGGAGCTGCTCCTATTCGGCCATCTTGGAATGCCTCACTTTTTTTTTTTAAGAGACAGAGTCTCACTCTGTCGCCCAGGCTGGAGTGCAGTGGCACAATCTCAGCTCACTGCAACCTCCACCTCCCAGGTTCAAGCAATTCTCCTGCCTGTGTCTCCCAAGTAGCTGGGATTACAGTGCACCACTACACCTGACTAATTTTTGTATTTTTGGTAGTTATGGGGTTTCATTATGTTGGTCAGGCTGGTCTTGAACTCCTGGACCTAAGTAATCCACCTGCCTCAGCCACCCAAAATGCTGGGATTACAGGCATGAGCCACTGCGCCCAGCCTAGAAACATTTTTTTTTTTAATATTAACTGTAATTTAAAAACTAAAGTTTGCAGTTTGCTCCAATGTATCTCAAAGTCAAACTGGCAGGAACAGACTTATACAAACCTAATACACATACCTAACTTGGAAGGCTTATATTCTTATGCCATATTTTATCATCTGACTACTTAAAAAAGGGACTGAATTACAAGAATCCATCTCAGCATGCTTCTCCAATACATCAGTAGTAACACAATGCTAACATCAAGGGGCCGCCCCCACACAGGCCTGGAGCTGACTCAAGCAGACATCTGGGGTCATGGAGCAGGCAGACTGGAGGCAGGTTGGGAAAAGAACACAGCTCTGGACCAGGAATTCTTCCTTTTCGAAGGGGTTGCCTAGAAGGGTGGTTTCCATGCATGATCTGTGCTGATCTGGCTCACCACCCCCAGACTGTAGCTCTCAGCAATCCCATGCTCAGAGGATGTGCCAGAGGGGTGCCCTCAGCATGGGACCAGTGCCCAGCAGGCACTTTTTTACAGTCTAAGGGGAGGCTGTGACCTCCAGATCCAAGAGTTCCTGCCTTAGAGAAAAGTAGGATGTGGGATAGCGGGTACCAAACCCCATTAGATCAACAATGCCATGTGTCATTTAAGAGTCCCGCACTCTAGAGTTCGCCCTGGATTAGAATCCCTGTTCTGCCGCCTAACAAATAAGTGACCTGAGCAACTTGCCTCAACTCTCTAAGTCTCAGCATCCCAATTGGTAAAATGCCCCTAATACAGCAGGAGCACCTACCTGAGAAGTAATTGTGCAGCTCAGGTGAAACGAGGTTATGATTGGCATGACATTCTCCATTGAGGTTTGCCATAGTTATAGCCATGATTTCATTATTTAAAGAGTCTCTGAGGTCACAGTCATGAGCCCTCAGACAGTACAGATGGCCACCCAGGGGCTAGATGATCTCTTGTTAAGAACGCTGTACAGCAAGCTTGTCCAACCTGCAGGATCTCTTGTTAAGAACACTGTAGAGCAGGGGTGTCCAATCTTTTGGCTTCCCTGGGCCACACTGGAAGAAGAATTGCCTTGGGCCACACATAAAATACACTAACACTAATGATAGCTGATGAGCTTAAAAAAAAAATCACATAAAACTCATAATTTTTTTTTTTTTTTTTTTGAGATGGAGTTTCGCTCTTGTTGCCCAGGCTGGCGTGCAATGGCATGATCTCGGCTCACTGCAACCTCCGCCTCCCAGGTTCAAGTGATTCTCCTGCCTCAGCTTTCCTAGTAGCTGGGATTACAGGCATGTACCGCCATGCCCGCTAATTTTGTATTTTTAGTAGAGATGGGATTTCACCATGCTGGTCAGGCTGGTCTCGAACTCCTGACCTCAGGTGATCCACCTGCCTCAGCCTCCCAAAGTGCTGGGATTACAGGCGTGAGCCACTGTGCCTGGCAAAAATCTCATAATTTTTAAGAAAGTTTATGAATTTGTGTTGGGCCATGTTCAAAGCTGTCCTGGGCTTCATGCAGCCCATGGGCCGTGGGTTGGATAAGTAGCTGGGACTGTAAACATGAGCCACCATGACCAGCTCCGTTACCCTTTTATGGTCTTCCTCTATCTCTCTCTTTTTTTTTTTTCTTGAGATAGGGTCTCACTCTGTCACCCAAGCTGGAATGCAGGGATGTGATCATGGCTCACTGTAGCCTTGACCTCCCGGGCTCAATCAGTCCTCCCACCTCAGCCTCCTGAGTAGCTGGGACTAAAGGAGTGTGCCACCATGCTGGCTAATTTTATGTGTGTGTGAGATAGGGTTTCACCATATTGCCCAGGCTGGTCTCAAACTCCTGGACTCAGCGATCTACCTGCTTCAGCCTCCCAAAGTGTTGGGATTACAGCCATGAGCCATAGCTGCTCCTGGACTACGGTCTTCCTCTCATTACCTTCTGATATTAATTAATGTATATTACCTTATTGTCTGATCCCTCTCTGGAGTATAAGCTCACTGAGTACAGAGACCTGTCTCACCATGGTCTCCCTAGCGCAGCCTGGCACATGACAGAGGCTGAAATATTTACGGAATGAACAAACGGAGAATGACCTGTAACACTCAGGCCTTGCATTTCATCTGAGGCTCAAAGAGATGGAGTTTGTCCAGAGATTGCAGGCTCTGAGCCCTCACATCTCCTATGGCCTTATTTCCATCTGGCTTCTCTGGGGTCCTGGGTATGAGGTCCTAGCTCAAGTCAAGACATGGAGACATCAGAGCTGGGTACCACCTCTTGCACCCTCATTGCACCCTAGCCCTCTCTGGGGTTCCTGCAGTCCTCCCAGAACCTCTGCATGGGACTGAGGCTAGCCAGCTGGTGCTTGGCTAGAAAAGCTATCGGTTGATCAATGAATATTTGCAGAGAGCCTCCTGCAGGTTCACCCTAGGCCTAAAGTGAAGGCAGAATGCCTTGAAATCTGCTGCTGGGGAGTGTCCCGGGATAACCTGGTAGAGACCAGGCCTGTTGAATTCCCCAGCTGTCCTGAAGCCTCCTCCATGACACTTACTGGGTAGTATAAAGTCTAACCCTGAATGATAGTTTGTGATTTCACACTGAAAAATGTCAATGACACACAGTGTGACATTCCAGTTTGCTGGTTAGCATGACCCTTCCTCCCTGAAGGCCACAGCTTTTCAAGGCATGGTCTGTAGACCCTCTGCAATAAACAATAACATGTTTGTGGAACAACGAAGCAGATTCCTAGCCAGCCCAGACTTGCTGGTTTGGAATCTCTGCAGTGAGTCTTGGAATATGCGTTTATCTCAACAGTATATCACTGGTACGACATCACACAACTAGTAATTGGTAGAGAAAGATTCAACCCAGACAGTTGGGCTCCAGAGCCTGTCCTCTTAACTTTTACTCAGTGGTGTCTCTCAGTTCATCACAGGCTCACAGCCACCTGTCCCACTGGGAATGTCTGGAACAATCACCTCTCTAGTTTCCATTTGCACCCTTCCAACAAGCAGGTCCAGTCCCCCTTCTGGTGGCCACCTTTTTACTTTGGTTACATGTGATGAAATCTCTTGTGAATATGCAGGTATGTATGTCTCCCCCATAAGTTCAGAGGGCAGGAAGTTATTCGATTCACTTCTGCATCCCTGGAAGCCAGGGCAGGGCCTGGCCCAGACCAACATCAGTTTCTGTGGGTTGCAAGAAGTATATATTCAACCAACCAATACTTCTTGTGCCTACGACCTGCCAGGCCCTTTCTAGGCACTTGGAATTCAGCATTATAAAACCAAGCAAAAATCTCTTCCCTTAAGGAGCTTATATTCTATGGGGGAAACGTATCATATGAAATAATGGTTTCTGCAAGGTCTGCTAGGAAGTAAATGAAACAGATTGTAAGTGTATAGAGAAAGGTAAGAGCGCTGTGGACTGAAGCAGTCAGGGAGGGATTCCTGCAAGATGCTTCACTGGCATTGCCTTCTTTGTTGAAATCGACTACAAAGCCTCTTAAATGATTTTCTCCCTCACTCCCATGGCCAATGCCGAGGCCCTAGTGTATCAGGCACTATTTGTATGTTCACAGCTCCTTGACTAGGGTCAGCAGGGAAGGTGTGGGAGTAGAGAAATGAGCCAGGAGGTGCAGAGAGACAATTAGTAGTGATGTTATTTCAAGCAAAATCCTTGTTCTGGAATTCCGTCCTGATCTGCTTTTCTCATGTTGCATTATCTTAAGCAAATTAATTAATCCTTTGAGCCACAGCATCTGCATCTGTAAAATGAAAAAAAAAAAAAAACTAACAATGAGGTTGGTGTGAAGATTAAATGCATAACTAAGGGAAAGGGGGACAGGTCAATGAATGGAAGGCATTGTTGCTATTTTGGTAAAAAACACTCTCAAATAGTCCTCAGCCAAGAAGAGGGGCATGGCAGAAAGAGCAGCACCCTGGGGACATCTAAAGCTCATTCAAACTTGGTGGATTCCTGGATCTTCAGTTCCCTGCTGGCGTTATTTTTATTTTTTATTTTTTGTTTTTTATTTGAGACAAGGTCTGGCTCTATTGCCCAGGCTCTAGTGCAGTGGTGTAGTCTCAGCTCACTGCAACCTCCAGCTCCCGGGCTCAAGCCATCCTCCCACCTCAGCCTCTCGAGTAGCTGGAACTACAAGCTCACACCACCATGCCCAGCAATTTTTGTATTTTTTGTAAAGACGGGGTTTTGCCATGTTGCCCACGCTGGTCTTGAACTCGTGAGCTCAGGCAATCTGCCTGCCTTGGCCTCCCAAAGTGCTGGGATTAGAGGCATGAGCCACTATGCTGGCCGTCCTGCTGGTGTTATCTTAAAGAAGTAATCTGATCCCTCTGAGCCTCAGTTTACCTATTCACAAATGGGGCTTACAGCTCCCTGCCAGGGTTATTGTAAGGTTTAAAACCACAGATAAAAAGTCTCTAATTTGGTGCTTGTGACTTAGTAGGAGCTAAATAAACATAATAAACATTTCCGTCACTCTCCCATTTTCCTCCCCACCTAGCCTGGAGGCATCTGAGACAGCCTGATGGGAGTGTCCCTCAGAGTGACAGGGTCTTTGGACTTTCACTCAGGGCAGGCCCATCCAGCTCAGGCCCCACCCAAGACCCTTAGGCCAAGCTAAAGATTCTCTACTTAGGAGAGAAAAGCCAGCTGCCAAAGTTTGCCTGTATCCGGCAGAGAGGACAGGAATTAATCACGGGCCCTGCAGCTCACTCTGGGCCCTGAGGTGATTCGAAGCCTCTCAGATTTAAGTTCCAACTGTAGGCTGAATGCTCTCAGGATTCCAGTGCCAGCCTCTACCCTGGGCTCTGGCCAGTACAGCCTGCCTGCTGCCCACCTGTCTTTCCACCTGGACGTCCGTAAGGCCAATGTGTCCATTTCCTATTGCTTCCGTAACAAATGACGACAAACTTAGTGGCTTAAAACCAACCACACAAATGCATGATTTCACAGTTCTGGAGGTAAGAAGTCCTAATTGGGTTTTCTCTGGGCTAAAAGCAAGGTGTCAGCAAGATTGTGTCCCTTCTAGAGTCTCGATGGGAGAAACCATTTCCTTACCTTTCCCAGTTCCTAGAGGATGTCTTAATTCCTCACCTCGGGGTTCCCTTCCTTCACCTTCAAAGCCAGTTCAAAGCAATGGCAGGTTGATTCCTTCTCACATCGAAGCACGCTGACTCTCCTGCCTCCCTTTTACATTTATAAGGCCCCTTGTGTTTACATTGGGTCCTCCAGGATAATCTCCCAACTCAAAATTCTTGACTTAATCAGATTTGCCATGTGAGGTCATATATTCACACGTGCCATCTTTCGAGGACATTATTTGGCCCAGGAGCACACCAGAATGCTCAATCTCACCACCCAAACCTGTTCTTCCTCTACCTTCCCCATCTCAGACAATGACACCCCCATCTACCTAATCCAAACCAGGGCATCCTTCGTGATTCCTCTTTCCCTCATGCCCCACCCCTGCCACATCCACTACATCTGAAGGTCTTGTCTGTCTACATCTCTCAGCTTCCTCTTCTATTATCTTTGTCCAAGACCCCATCACCTGTCACCATGACCATGGCAGTAATTTCCTAACTGGTCTCTGCCTCCACTCTGTCCTCCCTACAGTCCATTCTCCAAGCAGCTGGGGATCTTTCATCATCACCCTGCATAAAACCCTCCACTGATTTCCCACCTCGGTTAGAACCAACTCTAATCTCTTCACCATGGTCTATGAGGAAGGCCCTGCATAATCTGGCCTTGCCAACATCTCCCAGCTCATCTCTGACCTCTCTCTCTTGTCCACTAAGTTCCAGCCATAGCTGCATCTGTGAATCCTCAGACAGGCCACAGTGGTCCTGTCTCAGGACTGGAATGCCCTTTCCCTGATTCAGACACAGCTGGCTCATTTTGATTAATCCGTTGTCAGTTCAGATGACACCTTCTCAGAGAGGCCCCTCTGGCCTCCAGTTCTATTTGTTCTCCATCTTCCCCAGCCACCACAGTCAAGCTGGCTTTGCTAAGAGTTTGTATGTTACCTGTCTTCCCCACTAGAAGGAAGCCCTAGAGAGCAGGGAACTCATTTACCTTGTTTACCACAGAATTCCTAGTACCTGAGCCAGTGCCTGGCACACATTAGATGCTCAATAAATTAAATACCAATGAATGCAATTTAGAGAAAAAAAATTATGGTCCTTGATTTATATTCACAGAAGTCTGAGATCTGAATGCATATAAATCAGCCCTCCTTGAATTTATTGAGCCTACTATGTGCTGCTTTACGGAAGACAGATGGTAAGAAGCCAGCCTTACTACTTCCAGGACCTCACAGCCCAGGAAGAAAGAATATGCCAAAAAGAAGGTAAAGTTGAGAACTCAAATACAAGGCCTTTCTGGTAAGCTCCACAGGGCAGGGGGCTTAGAACCCTGGGTGATAGTAGGGTGCAGTGGTTCATGCCTGTAATCTCAGCACTTTGCAAGGCTAAGACGGGAGGATTGCTTGAGGCCAGGAGTTCAAGACCAGACTGGGTAATGTCTGGTCCATAGTGAGACCCTGTCTCTAAAAAAATAAAAATAAAAATAACTTAGCTGGGCATGGTGGTGCACACCTGTGGTCCCAGTTACTCGGGGGGATGGCCTGAGTCTGGGAATTCGAGGCTGTGGTGAGCTATGATCACTGCACTTCAGCCTGGGTGAATGCAAGAGCCCATCTCTTTAAAGAAAGTCCTTGATTGCCTAGTGGGTTAGGAAATAAATAAATAAATAAAAGAAGAATGCCAGGCACAGTGGCTCACACCTGTAACCCCAGCACTTTGGGTGGATTACTTGAGCCCAGGAGTTTGAGACCAGCCTGGGCAGCATGGTGAAACACCATCTCTACTGAAAAAAAAAGAAAAAAGAAAATTAGCTGGGCATGGTGGCAGGCACCTCTAATCCCAGATACTCAGAAGGCCAAGGCATGAGAAGTGCTTGAACCTGGGAGGCGGAGGTTGCAATGAGCCGAGGTCGCGCCACTGCACTCCAGCCTGGGTGACAGAGACTCTGCCTTGAAAAAAAAAAAAATTAAAAAAAGAACCCTGGGAGCTCACTGAGCTCCCCTCTGGAAGAGAAAGATACTGTTTAAGGGGAATGGGAATCCAAAGACCAGGGAGAAGGGTCCAGAAAGAGCTCTCATGACTCTTTTTGAGAAGCAACCCCAGTTATTTCAAGAAAATTCTGTCTGAGGAACACAAGCAGCCTAAGATCCAACTTTTGCCCCAAGTAGTTTGCAATCTAGATGTGGGGACTAGCAGCAGAAAGCACAGGAGGGCGTCTGAAGGGAGGCGGTGCAGGAAACTGCTGAAGAGCTTGAGTTTGGGGTCAGGCAAGCCTAGGTCTGTGTCTTAGCTCTACCACTGACTGCTGTGTCTCAGTTTCCTTATAAAAATCTTTCTCCTTGGCAGGGCGCGGTGGCTCATGCCTGTAATCCCAGCACTTTGGGAGGCTGAGGTGGGCGGATCACGAGGTCAGAAGTTCGAGACCCTCCTGGCCAACATGGTGAAACCCCGTCTCTACTAAAAATACAAAAATTAGCTGGGTGTGGTGGCACGTGCCTGTAATCCCAGCTACTTGGGAGGCTGAGGCAGGAGAATTGCTTGAACCAGGGAGCCAGAGGTTGCAGTGAGCCGAGATCATGCCACAGCCCTCCACCCTGGCAACAGGGAGAGACCCCATCTCAAAAAACAAACAAACAAACAAACAAACACAAAACTTCCTCCTTTGCCAGGTTGTTGTGAGACTTTTTCTTTTGTTTTTGTTGGTCTTTTTTGTAGAGATAGGGGTCTTGCTTTGCCGCCCAGGATGGTCTCAAACTCCTGGCTTCAAGTGATCATCCCGTCTCAGCCTCCCAAAGTGTTGGGATTACAGGCATGAGCTACTACACCCAGCCTGTTGTGAGACTTAAAGGAAGATTATGAATGTAAAGTGTTCAGCACAGAGTTTTGCACTCAGTAAATGCTCAATAAAAGGCAGCTATTGTGATTAAAATAAATAGATGGGACAGTGTATGGGGCTTTTAGTGTTTTTGAGATTCTAGGGGCTGGAGAGGAGCTGTGTGGCCAAAATGTGTCTCAGTTATAGATAGGCCACAGGGCCAGTGAGTCCCCTGGTGGGGTCCCAAACAGATCATCCCAGAAGACTGAGGCAGAGAGTCTATGGTGTGACCCAGATATATGTTTAACAAGCTTCCCCAGTGATAGGTCACTCAAGGTTGAGAACAACTGACTTCATGTGGCCATGCTTGGCAGGCCAGCCACCCCTGGTTTTTGCCTTTCAAAGCAGCAGCATTTGGACACCTTTCTCTTGGAAGCACCACACTGGGCTGGATGCCTGAACCCTGCCTTCCGTTTCCTGGAGCAGAGCTTTGCAAGGTGCAGAGAAACACCTGGTTTGCAGGTCCCAGGAGCTGTGTAAAATGCAGATTCTTGGACAGGATCCAGGCCTTCTGAATGAGAATCTGCAAGAATGTAAGGCTGGGTGCAGTGGATCATATCTGTAATCCCAGCACTTTGGGAGGCTGAGACCAGTGGATTGCTTGAGCCCAGGAGTTCAAGATCAGCCTGGTCAACATGGTGAAACCCCATCTCTACCAAAAAAATACAAAAATTAGCTAGGCGTGCCTGTAGTCCCAGCTACCTGGGAGGCTGAGGTGGGAAGATCACTTGAGCCCAGGAGGTGCAGTGAGCCAAGTTAGTGCTATTACATTCTAGCCTAGGTGACAGAGCCAGACTATATATATACATACACACACACATACATATATAGTGTATATAAAGTATATACCTATATAAAGAATATATGTATGTATATAAAGAAAACATATACATACATAAATATACGTGTGTGTGTGTGTGTATGTGTGTGTGTATATATATATGTAAAACAATCCAGAAGTATGTGGTCCAGAAATCTACAGAGGTGAGCTCCTGAGAACACTGGCTCTCTGCCCTTTGCTTGGACACCTTCCCTCATAATTTCATCACCTGCACTCTTTTGTCCTCCAAGGCCTAAACGCCACCTCTTCTGTGCCACTGGCTGCCATGGCTGAGCCAGTCCTTTTGCCCAGTGGCCCCCCTCTGTAACTGCACTTATGTCACCACATGGTGGGATGTGTGCGTATGCCATTTCCTCCCAGAACATCCTCCCTTCCCTACCTGCTTGCATTCATTCCCCCTCTAATCTCAGCAGGTGCTCCGTGAATGTTGGTGGTATCAATCTGGGGGTTAATCTTTCTCTCTTCTCCTATCCTTCATTACATTAAAAATTCTTAGAAGGTGACTCTCACCTGTAATCCCAGCACTTTGAGAGGCCAAGGCAGGTAGATGACTTGAGGTCAGGAGTTTGAGATCAGCCTGGCTAACATGAAGAAACCCCATCTCTACTTAAAATATAAAAATTAGCTGGGCGTGGTGGCGACCGCCTGTAGTTGCATCTACCTGGGAAGCTGAGACAGGAGAATCGCTTGAACCCAGGAGGCGGAGGTTACAATGAGCCGAGATTGTGCCATTGCACTCCAGCCTGGGTGACACAGTGAGACTCCGTCTAAAAAAATAATTCCTAGAAGGCAAGGTTTACATCCAAACACTAACCTTGCACTTCAACCAGCCTTCAGGAAACATTTGGTGAAATGAAACGTTGACTCCTCTGTTGTGATCAAGTCCAGACTATGTATGGTTCCTAGTAATTCAGGGAGGCTGGGTTGGTTATTCTCACAGAATCAAGATTAATGATCTCCCAGCAAAGCAGTGATTTTACCTGTTGATAGAGTCCTGCTTAATGACTAAAAATCACCTATCTTATACTTTCCAGCCCCTGAAGTGTGGCCCCTCCCAGAGGAAGCCAGAGGGAGTCAGCGCCTGGGACCAAGATCAAGGACCACCTGGTATTCCTCTCCCTATGACTTGGAAATTCCACCAGCTAAACACTGCCAACAACCAGTGGCTTCCCATCTGGCCTACAGTAAAAACCTAAGATCCTTAGGATGCCTACAGGGCTCTTGGTGATCTCCTTCTCCACAGCCCCTCCTCCATCCCCCACCCCACTTCTTGTTATCTCTTTGACATCATCTCCTACAACTCTTCCTAAGTCTAGATTTGAGCTTCTCAAACTTGGCACTCTGGACGTTTTGGGAAGGATCATTCTTTGGAGAATGTGGAGACCGTCCCGTGCATTGTAGGATGTTGAACAGCATCCTTGACTCTCATAGTGCACACTCCCATCCCAGCTGTGACAACCCAAAATGTTTCCAGACATGGCCAGATGTCCCCTGCGGGGAGAGGAGCAAAATGGCCCTGTGAGGACCACTGGTCTAGACCACTCCCGCCAGCCCTGCTGCCCTCCTTGCTGTTCACACTACTACTTCCAGGTCCTTGCACTTGCTCTTCCCTCTACAGGGGTCTCCCCTGCACTTCTTTCTGGTCTTTACTCAAATGTCACCTGCTCGGTGAGATCTTACCCAACCATCCTATTTAAAATTGCAACCCATCCTAATCATCCCTAAAACATTTCCCTCCTTAATTTTTCTCCATAGCATTTATCACTGTTAGGCATTCCACAAGTCTTACTCATTTTTAGTGTCTATTTACTTCCATCCAGTAGGATGTAGCTCTCTGAGGGTGAGATTTTGTTTGTTTGATGTTTTGTTTTGGTCTTCTCTGTCCACTGCTGTATCTCTGGACTTAGAACAATGACTGGCACACAAAAGGCACTCAATAAATATTCAATGGATGGGTGGATGGCTGGGACAGCTCAAATTCCTTTCTACCTCAGAAGCTGGTGGGTCAAGAGAGAAGATAAGCCTGTGTCACTTCTCCAGTGAATCCATGGTGTCATGGATTCGCTGAAGCCATGTGTCGGGGTGGACTCTATACTGGGCCTTTAAGCACTTTACCTCCTCCCACACCAGAGTTTTTTTTTTCTCTCTCTCTCCTTTTTCCTGTCTTTGTTTCTTTTCTTTTTCTTCTCTCCTCTCCTCTTCTCTTTTTCCTTTTGCTTCTCATAGTCTTGCTCTGTCACCCAGGCTGGAATACAGTGGCATAATCATGGCTCACTGAAGCCTCAAACTCCTGGGCTCAAATGATCCTCCAGCCTCAGCCTCCCAAGTAGCTGGGACTACAGGTGTACACCACCACGTTCAGCTAATTTTTTTTCCCATCTTTTTAGAGACAGGGTCTCCTATGTTGCCCAGGCCGGTCTTGAACTCCTGGCCTCAAGTGGTCATCCCACCTCAGCCTCTCAAGTAGCTGGAATTACAGGTGAGAGCCACTGTACTTGGCAAGAGTTTTATTTAATTGCCCTTCTTGAGAGAATAGTGGAAAATTATGTGGGACAGGGGCTTTCAGAGCTGGCTATGAAAAGCAGTCATTTCTTCTTTTCTTTTTTTCCCCTCTCACATTCTTTTTATAGCTGTATGTATCATGCATGTGCAACCTCATGTTACCCCTGCCCTTTGGTAAGAAGCCTATGTTTACATATATATATATTTTACTTATATAATAATAATCGTTTATCTTTTCTGAGTGCTTCCTGAATGCCAAGTATTGTGCTAAGTATAGGGACCCCTTCATTTAACCCTCCAAACAACACTATAAGTCTAGTTTTATTGTTATTGTCAACTGCTTCTGCAGATAAACTGCCATAGCTTCAGTATCTGATGCAGAAACACATAGACACATATCTGAATTTGAAGCCAAACAAGGCTGAGCATGGTGGCTCATGCCTGTAATCCCAACACTTTAGGAGGCCGAGGCAGGAGGATTGCTTGAGCTCAGGAGTTTGAGACCAGCCTGGCCATGCAGTGAAATCTTCTCTCTGCTTTTTTTTTTTTTTTTTTTTTTTTTGAGATGGAGTTTCGCTCTTGTTTCCCAGGCTGGAGTGCAATGGTGTGATCTCAGCTCACTGCAACCTCCACCTCCTGGGTTCAAGCGATTCTCCTGCCTCAGCCTCCCGAGTAGCTGGGATTACAGGTATCCACCATGCCCAGCTAATTTTGTATTTTTAGTAGAGACGGGGTTTCTCCATGTTGGTCAGGCTGGTCTTGAACTCCTGACCTCGTGATCCACCTGCCTCGGCCTCCCAAAGTGCTGGGATTACAGGTGTGAGCCACCACACCCAGCTCATCTCTGCTTTAAAAACAAAACAAAACGAAACAAAAAAAAATTAGCCAGCTGTGGTGGTATGTGCCTGTGGTCCCAGCTGCTCTGAAGGGTGAGGTGGAAAGATGGCTCGAGCCTGGGAGATAGGGACTATAGTGAGCTATGATCACACCACTGCACTCCAGCCTGGGTGACACAGCAAGACCTTATCTGAAACAAACAAACAAACAATAAAAAAGAACAAGATGGTTTGACTCTGGTATTCCTCTCATTCTTAACCACTACAATAACTGCCTCTCTTGAAAGATAAGCTCATATCAGACAGTCAGGCAGTAAAGAAGGTAAACAGGTAGAGCTCACCACACTCCCCCAAAGGAAAAGCTGTTAGCTGATAACACTTATACCAGCAGAATTTTTATACCAGTAAAATGTATAGAAGCATATAAAAAGATATGAACACATATACCCATGTAGTTAAGTGGGTTTTTAAAATTTTAATATTTATTTATTTTAGAGATAAGGTCTCATTCTGTTGCTTAGGCTGGAGTGCAGTAGAGCAATCACAGCTTACTGCAGCCTTGAATTCCTGGGCTCAAGCAATCCTCCCAACTCAGCCTCCCAAGTAGCCAGGAATATGCCTAGCTAATTATTTTTATTTTTATTTTTGTTGAGACGGGGTCTCACTGTGTTGACCAGGTTGGTCTCAAAATCCTGGCCTCAAGCAATCCTCTTGCCTTGGCCTCCCAAAATGTTGGCATTACAGGAAGTGAGCCACAGCACCCAACTTAAGTGAGTTTTTTCTTTTTCCTACAATAGTAGTGTCAGACATTTTGTCTCCCTTAGTTTTTTCACTCTCCAATAATACATTTTGAACCAGATCTTTAAACTCCATTAAGTTGTTGCCTCTCTTCTTTTTTTTTTTTTGGTGAGACAGAGATTTACTCTTGTTGCCCAGGCTGGGGTGCAATGGCGCGATCTCGGCTCACCGCATCCTCCGCCTCCCAGGTTCAAGCGATTCTCCTGCCTCAGTCTCCCGAGTAGCTGGGATTACAGGCATGTGCCACCACGCCCGGCTAATTTTGTGTTTTTAGTAGAGCCCTGGTTTCACCGTGTTGCCCAGGCTGATCTCGAACTCCTGACCTCAGGTGATCCGCCCACCTCAGCCTCCCAAAGTGCTGGGATTACAGGCATGAGCCACTGCACCTGGTGTTGCCTCCCTTGTTAAAAGGCTTATGTGGATGTTCTGGCTGCTGGAGCTAAGGATGAAGGTAAACCTTGGGATGAACTGCCATTTTGCATAATGTGCTGGCTACAACAGCGGCTGGACGGGTTTAGACTCTCATTTGTTCACGTGCTACCTTCAGTTGGGGTGTTTGTTTATTGTTTTTGTTTTTTAGCTTAGGTAGCTTCAAGGTACCAACCCACCGGCTGAGAAATGAATAGGTTCATCTCTCTAATAGATCAGAGGTCTTCAAAGAAGAGCTTTCCTGGCAGCCCCAGGTAATCCTGGAGATGGGGCTGAAGGAGCCCAGGGGCTCCTTAGGTGCCTTAAGGATTGGACCCAGGATGCATCGCTCATTTTCCAGGTATGGACACTGTCCTAGGGGCCAAACTCCTGGTAGCAGTTCATTTAATCTATACAACTGTACCAGGTAGGTCTCACTGCCTGGTCTTACAGATGAGAAACTGATGCTCAGAGATGTTAATAACTCACCCTGAATCTCACAGCTCATAAGGTGTAGAGCTGTATCTTTCTTACTTAGATCTCATGGAATCACAGCAGAAGGTTGGAGCTGTTTGAAGTCTTCTAACTCCAGCCCCTGATTCCATATAAATGAAGCACAGCAGCCTAGGGCTCTCACAAAGTTGGCTGCAGGCCACGCAGCAGGTGTGAAGAATTGGCTGAGGTTCCCCAGTTTTTCAAACTATATTTGCTATAAAAGACCTCCAGGAAAGGGGTAGAATTGAATGGAGTAGATTCTGCATCCTGAAGCCCCACAGGCATTAGAATAACTGTCTTCCTGAAGAGGATTTGCCCACAGCTCAACCGAATTAAGCTGTATGTCAATATGAATCAAGGGTGGGAACCATAATCTATAACTTCTCCCAAAGAGACAAGCCCTAGCCTGCTGATAGAGCTGGCCCTGGCAGGAAGTGGCAGGAATGAGGGATACTGTTAGAGAACTGAGACTTCAAACACTCCCACTCACACCAGCCCTCCGTTTTTTACCAACAGGGACTTTTTTGATTCTAGAGCCTCTTAATTAAATCCCTCCATCCGCAATCTCCCAAAGCCAAAAATATAGTCACCCATAAGTACACTTTTTCCCTAGTCCAGTCTTTTCGGTTAAAAACAAACATCAAGGCTGAGCGTGGTGGCTCATGCCTGTAATCCCAGCACTTTGGGAGACCGAGGTGGGCAGATCACAAGGTCAGGAGTTCAAGACCAGCCTGGCCCACATGGTGAAACTCCGTCTCTACTAAAAATACAAAAATTAGCTGGGCATTGTGGTGGGCGCCTGTAATCCCAGCACTTTGGGAGACCGAGGTGGGCAGATCACAAGGTCAGGAGTTCAAGACCAGCCTGGCCCACATGGTGAAACTCCGTCTCTACTAAAAATACAAAAATTAGCTGGGCATGGTGGTGGGCGCCTGTAATCCCAGCTACTCGGGAAGCTGAGGCAGGAGAATTGCTTGAACCCCGGAGGTGGAGGTTGCAGTGAGCCGAGATTACGCCATTGCACTCCAGCCTGGGCAACAAGAGCGAAACTCCGTCTCAAAAAAAAAAAAAAAAAAAAAAAAAAACAACCGTCAAAACCCTCTGCCCAAACGGGTGTAACAGGGATGCTCCTTGCAGGATTGACTGTATTCGTGAAGAGTTAGAAACTTGCTAAATGTCCTTCAAGGGGAGATCCAAGTAAATAAATTGTGCCAAATCTGAACTGTGGTGTAGTCTGAGCACCCCCCACCCCTAGTAAAGAATAAATTGCATCCAAAGATAACAAGGTCACCAAGACCTACTAGTAACTGCATCAAACCAAGTTGCAGAATAAGCACAATAAATAACTAAAAATTAGGAAAGAATACAGAAAGGGTATCACAACTTCATAAGGAAAAATTTGAAAAACACAGAAAAATTGGAAGTAGAATCACTCCTCCCTCCACCACCCATTTCTGAAAAGGAATCATTGTTAATATTTAATGTCTTTCTCTCAGTTTCCTTGCTGGATGTGGTCCTGTCATAGAAAGTGGTGGTCAGAACACACTGGAGTGTGACCAGGGCTGAATCGCACGCAGCTTTTTCACCCCCTGCCTAGGTGAGCTTCAGTCTCCAAATCTGTTACATGGAAGTGATTCCACGCTCCAGGGTTGTTGTATGGATTAAATGAAACCAAGTATGGAAAGCACCCAGCCTGGTCCCTAGGAAATAAGATTAATACATGACAGCTATTGTTCCATTTCCCTTAACGTTTTTACGTAATTGATTCTGAATGTTCTTCGGAGTCTTTAAAAACACCACATCGAATGGCTAGTTTTGAATGACTAGATTCTAGTGTCTTCGCCATTCTCTTAGGAGAAATGTTTGGGCTGCTTCCATTTTTACTTTCTTATAAATAGCTCTGTGATGAACACTGTTGTGAATATAGCTTTACCTCCCCCGCATTTTGAAGATTTTCCTTAAGATCATTTCCCAGAAGTGGAATTACTAGGCCAAAGGGTAATAAACATTTTTAGACTTCATATGCATAATGCCTGATTGCACAAAGCAGGTGTTACTTTCCATACTTACCTCCGCCCCGCCCCCACCTTTTTACCATTCCCAAAACCTCCCTGCCCCCTCATCCTCCCTGGAAATGACACCTGGCTGCTTCCTACCTCCCACTTCCTGTGCTTCCGCCTCCCCTGTCTCCTTCAGCTGCAGAGCCCTTCCCCCTCCCTCTGCCAGAGTAAATCCTCCCTGGTTTTCAACCCTCATACACCTTTCCCCAGCCCTTCCTGAGGTCAGGAATGAAATCTTGGGCTTCTCTCCCTTCCCTACTCCACCCAGGAATTTCACGTATTCACTGGGCAAAATATCCTACTAGGGACAGGCTAGGGAATGTGGCTGCGGGGCTTTAGGAGCTGACTCTTTGGTCACGGGGAGAGAGGGAAACATAAATAATCAAATGTAAACACGAAAGACAAGGGCATGGACAAGTTCATAACAGAGAAGAGAAAAGGGAGGGTCAGCTCAGCCTCATGAGTGATACTTGTTGGTGCTGTGTGACTCTGAGCACGTCACTTAGCCTCTATGAACCTGGGTGCCCCATCTGTACTCATCTCTTCACTGGGAAGCAGAGGTTAAGTAAGTTATTCAGGTGAACTTGCTTAGCCAGAAGTATGCAGCAGGTGCTCAATAAATGTGTGTTCATGGTGAGGACTTAGTATAGACTTGTGGGTTAATACACAGGCTGGGGCTGGACTGGGAGGGTGCTTGTGGCCAAGAGGCTCACTTATCTCAGGGGCCTGTTCTTCCCATTTGGGGACTAGGCTGCTGCATGCTCATTTCTTCCACCAAGAGGCAGGTTTCCTGCAGGGTCTGGTTGCTTGGGTCTCAAGTCCCTAGAGTCCAGAGAGACATGCCAAAGGGATGGAATTGGGGGTGAGGGGGAGATGACATGTGCTTACAAGGAAGTGAGTTTACTCATGAATCATCTTTGCCTCTGTGTGTTGAAGTGGTGGGATAGAATGTGCACAATGCCTCCTTTTAACACCATTTTTCTGGACATGCTGCAGACTTTCTCCTGTTCAGTCTGCAAATCACTCTGCCTTAACAAGGAGAACTTTGCACGAGGCCCAGAGAACAGAGGCTTCTGGGACTGATGTCACCCGAGGTTCGAGGAATGCCAAGGGCACCAGGCTGGGCCGTTCAGTTATTCATCCTCCCCATGGTCAAGGCAGGCTCAGAGCAGCCCCATCCCTGCCACAGATGAAGTTCAAGGCTATGGCCAAAGTCAGGCTTGCTAAGTGTCTTTTGGTGGTGGGGATGGAGCAGGGACTATAACCCTCAAATTTCAGCAATTTAAAGCTGAGAGAACCTTTAGTCACCATCTAATTCAAACTTCTCCCCTCTTTTTGTAGAGGGGAAACTGAGGCTCAGAAAGTTTGAGAGACTTGCCTAAGCTTACACAGCTCATGGCACAAATTATAAAGCTAGGACTTGAACCTTGGTCTCCTGATTCCTAGCACATTGCTCTTTTCAAACCCCACAGGTACGATCCATCTAGGGTTACCTCTCAACCCACCCCACATCCTATAAACCCATAAATCACTGTAATATTGACAATGAGCTACTATCTATGATAAGTACCTGACATAAGCACCAGGCTAAATGCTTAGGATGTATTGTCTAATTCAAGCCTTTCAACACCTCCAGGAAGTTAAGCACTAGAACCGCCTGCTACTCAATGTGTGGTCTACGGACCAGTAGAATCAGCATGACCAGGGAGCTAGTTGGAAATACAGTCTCAGCCCCAGAATAGGAACCTGCATTTCAAAGGCTCCTTGGGATTTTATGCACAATAAGGTTTGAGAAGTGCTGCCATAACAATCCCACTTTAGAAGACAGGAAACTGATGCATAGAGAGGGGAAATAACTCCCACCGCAGATCAAGTGGTAAAACTCCGGTGGGACCTTGGGCAAAGCCCTTGCTCTGAACCCTTGAGATTTCGGAAATTTCCCCCCACTAGTTCTAGGCCAGGAAGGATAGGATTTCAGACCCCCAGGAGCAAGGAAGTTACTGGAAAAAGACTATCATGAGCATTTTACAAGGTATTTTCCCGTCTATTATTTTGTTTCTACTTTACAACTTAATAATTATCCTAACTTAAGAAGAAACTGTAATTCGGAAGCATTTAAGCCATGTCTCCAACGCTGGCTGCACTGCTGTTCATTTCTAGAGCCTTCCCCTTTACTCCAGAACCCACTTACTGTTTCCCCAGGCAGCCTTAGAGGCAGAAAAGGCAACTGTAGGTGATGCATAGATAAAAGTCTCCCATTTGAATTGTCATATATTTTACTTTCCACTACCAAACAAACAAACAAATAATAACAAAAACAAAAAAAACTGAACTAGATTAATAAACCACAGATATTAGTGCCTAAGAATAAGAGGTTTGGGGCTTTTTTTTTTTTTTTTTTTGAGATAGAGTTTTGCTCTTGTTGCCCAGGCTGGAGTGCAATAGTGCGATCTTTGGTCACTGCAACCTCTGCCTCCCGGGTTCAAGTGATTCTCTTGTCTCAGCCTCCCCAGTAGCTGGGATTACAGGCGTGCACCACCACGCCCAGCTAATTTTGTATTGTTTAGTAGAGATGGGGTTTCTCTGTTTTGGTCAGGCTGGTCACGAACTCCGCACCTCAGGTGATTCGCCCGCCTTCGTGGCGTGAGCCACCGCTCCCGGCCGATGATTTTTTCTTTTAATGAGTCTCCATAAAGTCAATTTTGGGAATGATAAAGGAGGTGATAATACAATAGCAAAATCCGTGAGGGTGGTAAGAAACTGGAGTCTGGGAAATGCCTCCAGACACCAAAGTAGAGAAAAGGAGAGAAAGGAAAGGAAACCAGCCAGGGGCTCTCTACCCAGAGGCTACTTACATTTAATGTATAGTTCTCTCCCAGTGGCCCACCCAGGCTCTTACTAAGGAGAAAATACAATGCTCAGTTGATGGCACAGACTTCCCATTTAACAAATAAAAACCTTAAAAAAAAAGAAAAAGAAAAAAGAGGCCAGCACAGTGGCTCACGCCTGTAATCCCAGCATTTCCAGAGGCCAAGACAGGAGGACTGCTTGAGGTCAGGAGTTTGAGACCAGCCCGGGCAACACAGGGAGACTTCATGTCTACCAAAAAAACTTCAAAATTAGTGGAGCTGTGGTCCCAGCTACTCAGGAGGCTGAGGTGAGAGGAATGCTTGAGCCTGGGAGGCTGCGGTGAGCCGCGATCACGCCACTGCACTCCAGCCTGGGCAACAGAACAAGACCCTGTCTCAAAAGAAGAAAAGAAAAGGACCAAGTGGTACTAGCCATTTGTCTTCCTGGCCAGAATCTCTAGGGCAAAACAGGAGAGAAGACAAATATTCCCCTAAACTCCTCCCACCCCAGCCTACTTCCCGCCTGAGCACCATCCAAATTGGAGTCAAAGCACAGAAAGGAAGTGCTGCCTGGGGAGGCCGAAGCTGGGGGATAAAATCCTACTCCTATGCTCCAGGGATAGCCGGTGGCTACTCAAGGGAGAGGGAAGACCCGCATCTCTTTCCTTTCAGGTGTTTGCACTCTTCTATCTCTTGCTTTCTCTAATGCTGTCCAGGACACTTAGTGGCACCACTTTTTATTTTTTATATATTTTTAAAATTTATTTTATTTTATTTTAAGATGTGATCTTGCTTTGTCATCCAGGCTGGAGAGCAGTGGCGTGATCATGGCTCGCTGCAGCCTCAAACTCCTCAGCTCAAGCAATCCTCTTGCCTCAGCCTCCCAGGTAGCTGAGGCTACAGGCACACACCATCATGCCAGGCTAGCAACTATTTTTTGTAGGACCTTTGAACTTTGAGGAAATGGACATTCTCTGCTATACCCCCGGTGTCATTCAGGGATCACAAGTAAAGAGTTATGGAAAATAAGCAAAAAGTCTTCTAAGAATCTGGAAAACAGACATTGTAAGGAACAAGGACTGTTATTTTAGAAAACAGAAAGTGAGGAAGGGATAAGATTACCATCTTCAGTATTTCAAAGAGGGTCTAGGTTTACATTGCATTTTTCCAGACCTGAAAGCAAAAGTTAGAAGACACACAGAAGTCCGTTTCAGCTATGTGACCTTGGCCAACTGTAAAATAGGGACAACAGATAGTACTTACATCATAGGGTAGTCATGAGGATTAAGTGCTAAGGACATACCTAGCATCTCGTAAAATCCCAGGATACACTTGTTTCCTTTTTTGGCCTCATTCAAAAATGTCTCATGAGGCAGTCAGCTCCCCTTCTGGCAAATTTCAATGTAGAATCATAATTCCTTACTGCCAAAATTCTGAGCTTTGGTGCTGCCCATGACTTTTCATTAAAAAAAAAAAAAAAAAATAGTGGTTCACATGGAGCCCTTGCCATGCTCCAGGCACGCAGAGAAGGGCTTTATGTAGGTACTTTTTAATCTTCTCATCAGCCCTATGAGGTAGGGAGGTAGGTATTATTATCACCCTTGTTAGTTTTTTTGTTTTGTTTTGTTTTCCAGATGAGAGAATCATTGCTCACAGAAGTGAAGTAACTTTTCCAAGGTCATACAATCAGTAAGTGGCAGGCAAGGACTGAAATCCAAGTTGTTACCCTCCAAAGTCCCTGCTCTGAGAACTGGAGGAATTCTTTATCAAATCTAAAATCCTCTTTTAGGCCTGTCTGCTTTAATATTCCGGTCTTTATTGATCCTTCTCTTCTCTAAAACTTCAGCTGTCAGTATAAAAATCAAGGAATTTAGCACTTGTTATTGTGTGAACAGCTTCTTGTCTCTCCTGTACTGTAAGTGGGTCTAGGGATTTTTATTCTTTAAATATCCCCCTGTACTCAGTAGATCTTTGGGAGAACAAGCTCATAGGCTTCTAATAATTCTTTCTTTGACTGCCAGCTGAATTAGACAGAAGGTAAGTCCTGCTGCCGTGTCGTGCCTAACCCCATCTTTATTTCCTGTGCTGTTAGAGAACAGTCTTTTCTTGGCTGGAACAAATACTACAGCCTGCTCAACTAGCTAATATGTATTGAGTTCTTAATATGTTCCAAGGACTGCTCTAAGTATTTTATATATATTAACTCACTGAATCTTAAATACCCTATGAGCTAAGTCCTATTTTTATCCCCATTTTACAAAAGAGGAAACTGAATGTACCAGTGCATCAGTATTTGACTGAGTAAATGAATGACTGCTTTGCTGATGGATAGTATTATTAGCAACAACCCTACAAATATGATGTTATGTTTGCATCATGCAGTACAGCTTTATGTACCTTATGTCATTGTCACTCATGATTAGCAAATAGGCACGAACATCCCTATTTTATAGAAGAGGAAACCATGGCTCTAAGAGGGTGAGTGATTCTCAACAGTCACATGCCATCTGTATCCTTCAGTAAACAAGGTATTTGGTCCATTCCAGGATCGGGGGCAAGAGAGATGGGAGGGCCTCGGTGAGAAACACTCATATTCACAAAAGGTACTAGATAGATAGACAGATAAATAAATAAATAGAGATAAAAGCTAGTAATAGCAGAGATTTGATGGGAATTCAGATCTTTGATTCCTAGTCCAGTGCTCTTTCTTTTATGTAAGGTGATGGGAAGCAAGTCTTAGGTCCAGATCTGGCAGCTGCTTTGATTTAGGATCTTAAGCCAGAAGCAGCAGCGCCCTAAACAAAAAGCATCATTTTAACTTCTCTGCATTTCTCACATTTTCAACAATGACCATGCCCTACTTTCATAATTAAAAACAAACAAATAAACAGAGGGGGCAAAATGCATCCTTCTGAGTGGGCTGGGGCTTGTAGAGGGATTCTTGGGTTTGCTCTGGGATGTCTTTGGGCCCCTGCACTTGTGGGCACTCTGATTTATCCCCACAGGCCACCTGGCCCACCTTATGGGCTGAGGAGGGCTTGATGGGCGGAGGGAAGCAGAGCTGAGGAGCTGGGGAGGAGCTGGAAAGGACTGCTAGAAGGTTCCACTGAAGCTACAATGAGTAGAACCGGACATGAGAGTTTCCAGGATTCTGTAGACCTGTGAACTCCCTGAATTGTAAGCTGCATGGTGTGTGTGCAGTTTCCAAGGAGAGGGCCCATAACTTTTGCAAAAGGGTACCCCATGACCTTCCAAAAGGTAACCCCAGATTATAACAACAATGACCCAAGACATGAGGGTTAGGACGACTGGTCAAACAAGGGCCAAGAACCCTGAAACACTTCTTGCCCCTCTGAAAATAACTGTTGAGGGGCAAGATTAATGAATAGGACAAGGTCCTGCCTCATGGACTCACAATATTAATTTAGATTTTGCTTTTTTCCCTGAGCCAATTCTCACACTCATTCCAAAGTATTTGGGACACAGGCAAGAGATTAGTTGCTCCATTAAGCCCTTCCAGTCTCAGACACTCTCCTCTTCCTCCTAGACCTGTGGCCGATGGACTCCAGGTCCTGAATCTATGGACTGTGCACCTCCAGTTTTCTGTTTCGCCTTTTATCCAGTGTCTAGGGCCCTGATTTGTGCTGTTACCAACTTTCTCCCCAGGTGCCTCCTAAAAAGCTGGCCACTCTCATGTCTCAGCAAGCACTGAATTCCATTCCACCAACACTGATTCAGCCCTCACCATGTGAGGGTGTTGTGAAGGAGACACAGATGGTCGGATAAGGCCCCTAAGTCTAGCCTGGGAGACTGCAGGTTAATGGCAGGACAGATAACACTCACGGACCAGGCTAGTGGGGAAGGGAAGTGAGAACCCCTAGGAGGGTGACGGCTAACAGGCTGGGGGATTAAGTGGTGGCATCCTGAATGTGCGACAGTAGCTCCAGAGCTGTATGAAGGTGGAGAAGGATTGCTTTACAAAGAATGGGGGCGGTGTGCGGAGGGGTGATGAGAAGGAAGGTGAGAAACGTTAGAGGTGGGTTGTGGCCAATTGGCCAGACCGAGGACCTTAGTGTTCACTAAGGAATTTGGATTTTATCAAGACAGTGCGTAGGTGGCATTGAAAATTTTTGAGCAGAGGAGGTGGGCTCTGTGCTTAGACGTAAGCTTAAGACCACACTGCAGAGGATGAGAGAGCAAGGAGGGGGCTTTGAGACTGGGATACAGGATGCTAATGTAGGGTCCAGTGGGGATGGGGGATAATGGGGCCCTTTAACTACAGCGATAGGCAGGACCACCTACAGAGTTTGTGGGGTCCAGTGGGAAAGGAAAATGCAGGGTCTCTTGCACAAAATTATTAACAATTTAGTAACAACAGAGCATTAAAACAAGTGGGGGTCCCTTCTAAGTACGGGGCCCCGTTTGGCTGCACAGGTCACATACCTGCAAAGCTGGCCTTGGCCATGGGACAAGACAGGATGAGTCAGATGAGAGCTCTGGGAAGCAGGGTCCCAGGACTTAGTAATCTGTTGGATATGGGATGTGAGGAAGCAATCCAGCTGACAGATGACCCTCCTACACCGGGTGCCATGCCACCCTTCTGCTTTCTGGGCACCTTCCTTGGTGTGACCAACTCTAGCTTATTAATATGAATAAACTTCACCCACTCCTCCTTTTCCTGCTACCCTCACCCCAGACCTGCTCCTGTAGAGTCCCTATCTAAAGGTTAAAAACTATGGTGTTGGCCAGGGGTAGTGGCTCATGGGTCATACCTGTAATCCCAGCACTTTGGGAGGCCAAGGTGGGCGGAGCACAAGGTCAGGAGTTCGAGACCAGCCTGATCAACATGGTGAAACCCCGTCTCTACTAAAAATACAAAAATTAGCTGGGCGTAGTGGTGTGTGCCTGCAATCCCAGCTACTCAGGAGGTTGAGGCAGAAGAATTGCTTGAACCTGGGAGCCGAGATCACGCCACTGCACTCCCGCCTGGGCGACAGAGCGAGACTCTGTCCTAAAAAAAGAAAAAGAAAAGAAAAATGCTAACCGGGTGTGGTGGCTCAATCCCAGCACTTTAGGAGGCTGAGGTGGGAGGATTACTTGAGGCCAGGAGTTTGAGCCCACCCTGGCCGACATAGTGAGAACAAGCTTTTTTTTTTTGAGACCGAGTTTCGCTTTTGTTGCCCAGGCTGGAGTGCAATGGCGCGATCTCGGCTCACTGCAACCTCCGCCTCCCAGGTTCAAGCGATTCTCCTGCCTCAGCCTCCCAAGTAGCTGAGATTATAGGCATGCGCCACCATGCTCGGCTAATTTTTTTGTATTGTTAGTAGAGACGGGGTTTCTCCATGTTGGTCAGGCTGGTCTCGAACTCCCGACCTCAGGTGATCCGCCTGCCTCCGCCTCCCAAAGTGCTAGGATTACAGGCGTGAGCCACCGCGCCCGGCCCGAGAACCTATCTAAAAAAAAAAAATCCGGAAACAAAAAAATCTTTGGTGTCCCTCTCCAGTTCTCTCTCCCCATCTCACCCCTCCCAGCATCTCACTTCCTCAATGTGCTCCCATTCCTATGGCCTCCCCATAGCTGCTGTCACTGCCAAGTTCTGGCAAGTCCATATCAGCTCATGTCTAGATTACCCATGAAATCCTCCCATCCATCCCCCAGACTCCGGACCCCACCACCACTCTCAAATAAAGCACCGATCCCGCACAGAGCCGCCTCAGCGATGTTCCCAAATGCTATCCGGATCTTGTCACTGAGTAAGATCCCTCGTTGGGGACTGCCCGGCCAAAGACTAAGACCCAAATGACTCAAAACAGCACAAGGCCCTCTGTTGCCTGACCCTGCTTAATCTGCTAATAAATACCAGAAGGGCCTTAGTCTCCCACATACCTCCAGTACGCACCATGCTGGGGGGGTTGCGTTTTTTGTTTTCTTTACCCCAAGCAGTTTCCTCTGCCTGGAATCTCCCCTCCTGCTTCGCAGCCTGGCTTACAATTCATTCCTCGGAGTTGGCCTCAGCTCTCCTCTCCTCGGGAGGCCTTCTCCAGCCCACGCCCCACCCTGCCACACCCCTACTGGGCGCTCTTCCCCACGGACTACAGGCCTTCCCCTTCCCTCTGGGCTGGGGGCAGCTGGGGCTGAGTATAAGTCTTACTCACGTTGGTGCCGCCAGCCCCAAAACAAAGCCTGGCCCACGTGGGTGCTCCGCGTATGTGTGTGGCTCTAGGCGGAGATGCCGGGGGTGGAAAGAGCCGGTAACAGAAACAGAACGTGCTAGAGGAAGAGCAGCCTGCAGGGAAGGCTGGCACAGATAACCACAAAAAGAAAGAAGGCCCCCGCATCACGTCTTCACCAAGACCCCACTGGCAAGGCGAGGACAGCGCCTTTGGGTGGATGCATCTGTGACCCAGAGGCAATGCTGGCTGTCCTGGTGTCTGATTTGATTGCATCTGATTTCAAAATTTGATCTCTGCTTCCTTCTGAAAACCTCATTCCCTTATGTCAGTTGTCAACAAGCCCTTGTCTAGTGCGGGCAGACTGTTTTCCATCAAGCAGTCCCAGCCAGGCTAACAATAAAATGGTTGGCAGTGAGCTTGGGGGCAGAAACCTGTTTCCATCCATGTGTCCCCGCAGCTAGCAAAGCCCTGGCACACGGCTGACCCTCAATAAATGCTTGCTGAATGGGTGAATTGTGTCTGCTTCCCCAGGAATAGGGGTGGGAGGCCTGAAGCCCCTGGGGACCGGTGGGGGCAGACAGCCTGAGATTAAACTTGATCCATAGATAATCCCCCAAATCCAGAAGCCACCTGGACAACAGTTGGCTGAACTGAGCTCCATCGTGGGATACATGCTGATGGTACTGCTGAGTTCACCAAGGGTCTCCCCGGGACCAGAAAACAGCTCCTCAAAATACAACTTATTATTCTAATCATTATTGGAGAGTGACAGAGAAAAGAGCGTCAATCCTTTGAGGGCAGAATCCATTTAGGAAGATTAAATGGCTATTCTCACCGCCGACCCCCAACCCCCGTTTTTACTTTTACAAACTTTATTATGAAAAATATCAAACATACAGAAAAGTGGAGAAAACAGTATAACGAATCCGGCCACCCATCACCCAGCCTCAGCGATGACCAACCCGCGCCTGACCTCTCCAGTCATCTATACCCCACCCCTCGAGGCAAATCTCCGACGTCCTCTCCTTACACGCGCAGACCTCGGTAGCGACGGGAATCCGTTCCGGACTCCTCTGGGGCCCTGGCCGGCTCCCTCGGCCCTGCTCAGCGCGGCGCGGGCGGGTTCTCAGCCCACGTCCGTGAAGCTGAAGGCCGGATCGTGCGGCGCCGCCCCGCCCCCCACGGCGCTTCCTCCTCGGTCCGCACCGCGAGGGTCACCGCGGCCCCGGAGCGCCTGGGACACTCGACCGGCAGCCGCGGGTGATGCGCGAGTGAGTCCCTCAGCGAAGCGCGGAAGAGAGAACGAAGAGGCGCCTTCCACTTCCTCTCGCTCTAACGCCGGCACCCGCCCCGCGCGTCCCTCGCCCCCGCTGCCCCGCCCCCTGCAGGGCGTGGCCACGGCCCGAGGGGCGGGGAAACACCCATATTTGGCCTTATATGGGCAGCCGCGTCACGGACGGCACTCATTCACATAAAACGCTGCGCGGCCGGCGGAATCCCCGGCTTCTAGGGCGGCGAGCGGCCGGGCTGGCTATCGAGCGAGCGGGGCGGGAACGCGGAGTTGCGCCGCCGCTCGGGCGCCGGGCTCCGTCGCGGCCGCAGCCCCGCGGGTCGCCCTCCCGTGCCTCGCCCGCGGACACCCTGGCCGTGGACACCCTGGCCGTGGGCACCCGCGGGGCGCGCGGCGCGGGGCCGCTGGCCGGCGGCGGCGGCGGCATGAAGGTCACGTCGCTCGACGGGCGCCAGCTGCGCAAGATGCTCCGCAAGGAGGCGGCGGCGCGCTGCGTGGTGCTCGACTGCCGGCCCTATCTGGCCTTCGCTGCCTCGAACGTGCGCGGCTCGCTCAACGTCAACCTCAACTCGGTGGTGCTGCGGCGGGCCCGGGGCGGCGCGGTGTCGGCGCGCTACGTGCTGCCCGACGAGGCGGCGCGCGCGCGGCTCCTGCAGGAGGGCGGCGGCGGCGTCGCGGCCGTGGTGGTGCTGGACCAGGGCAGCCGCCACTGGCAGAAGCTGCGAGAGGAGAGCGCCGCGCGTGTCGTCCTCACCTCGCTACTCGCTTGCCTACCCGCCGGCCCGCGGGTCTACTTCCTCAAAGGTGAGCGCTCGGGGTCCCTGCCACGCTCGCCCCTCCGGCGCCCCCGGGTCCCCTCCCTGCGCCGGGGCGCCCTCCTACACCCTGGGACCGGGAGAGTCACCACCTGCAGGAGTCTGCACCCTGTGGCTTGTTGTGCGCTTGGGAGGGCACTGCAAATGTCAGCACTCAGAGCTCCCCCTCTTCCCCACCCGCGTTCCTCGAAAGCGCCCGGCAGCGGGTCTGCCCGGTGGTCTGGGTGGAGTTGGTTATGCTGCGGGGGCTGCTGCTGTTTAGCAGTTTGGGGGCCGTCGGCTCGTGCCGGGCACGAGCCCCCTTTCCAGACGCGAGCTTCGCCGCTGTCGCTGGGGTCAGGGCTCGGGGCCTTCCTGATAGACTGATCTGGCGGGATCAGCAGGTCGCGATCCACTCTCCCTTGGTGTGGCGCCGTGGTGCCCCCCTTCCTCCCGCCTAGCCAGCTGTGGTCTTCACCGACCCCCTTGCCTTTTTGACCTGGCGAGTCCCTTCCCTTTCCATTTCATTTTATTGCTTTTTATTGTTTCCCTCCGGCCTCTTCTCCCCTCCTAGGTCTTTTCTCTAGCTCAGTTTGGAGCTCACATCCTTTCCACCCTTTTCACCTCCTCCTTCCTCCGCCCCAGGATTATCCCTGGGACCCATCCTGAGCTGAGCCTACAGCCAGCCAGCCACGAAATAGAGGTGCGCGGGGGCAGGGTGGTATGGAGATTCTGCGGCCTTTGATTTGACACCTCCCGGAGCTACCGCCACAGGCCTGCCCATTTCACCTGCCGGGAAGATAACTTTGGCTTCTGGTGGTGGGTGGGTGATTGACTCTCAAAATCCAAAGCATTGGTTTTTTCTGGGTTACTTCCTATGACTGCTCCTGCTTTGTGTTTGAGTCCTTTGTAACCTCAAATGACACCCGGGGAGACCTGACCCACATGTAGAGATGAGGGTTTAGCCCCAGCAGGGCCCCAAGGCCGTGCCAGCCCTGGCGCGGACACCTTGGGATGTAACAGTGTTGGGGATCAGAGCTCGGTGCAGAGAGCCGGCGCCGAGTTAGGAGCCTGTTTTAAAGCCATGCAACTTGAGTTTCACACAGTCCGGGCCAGGAAGATTCTGGAGACAGTTCCCCTCTCTGCTAGCACCTCCTGCTGACTGGTCCCCTGTTGATTTCCTGTTGGAGAGTTAACAGAGGTAGATGGTAATCGTCCTTCTTCTAACAGCCTATCCCCCAGGGGATAGAGGGTTGGCCCTCTGGCTCTGCAGAGGTTTCAGCGTGCCTCCTGATTTCTTTCTCTTCCTAATATGGTTTTTATCTCCTGTGGTTTGGAGAAGTTTCTGCCTCAGTAGTATGAAAGAGGTTCCAGGAGACCCTCCCTGGTCCCACCTCTCCTCCCCATGCTTCTCTAAGCTGGCCCTGCTGACAGTTTAGAAGTTGTCGCCACAAAGTAGGCAGCTCTATAGACTCACATCTCAGGAAAACTGGGTTAAAATGTTTTTTAAAAGAAGGTAACATATACACAGGTAAAAATTTGAACAGCATGAAGGCCCTGTGATGAGAAGCGGGTCTTCTGCATATCTTAGAACCCAGTTCCACTCCCCAGAGACAGTCGTCAACTATTTTTTGTTTACCTTTAGATAGTTTTTCATAAGTATCTTAGAAATAGATTGATTTTGTATAGTCCCTGTCCTGCCTCTTGTATCTATCTAGATCTTGGAGACTTGTCCATATCTGATCATACATGTCTGTTTCACATTGAACCGGTCTCCTGTAATGACCATTAGGTTGCGTCCCGCCTCACTGCTCCAAGCAATGCGGTAGATGTCCTTCTCCATGTGCTCTTGCGTGTGCAGTGCCTTTCAGTAAATCATGAGAATTGCCAGGTCAAGAATTACATGCATTTTAAGTTTCAGTAGAAATTGCTTCATGCCTACCCTTATAACACTACTAAACTTTAAATTGTTGCCAGAGAAAATTTTTATTTCTTTACGTAATTCATGTGCAGATAGGAGTTCAGGTTTTAATCTGGTGGCATCTCAGATCTTGGTGGGGGCAATGCCTTTTGACACTTTCCATAATCCCCTGTCTCCCAAACAACCACTAAAATGAAATGGTGATGACTGAATTGCGTGGTCAGTGCTTATTTATATATAGTATCTGTGCTCTCTCTGTTCCCTGGTGATGTGGTGGTGATTGAAAGCAGACTCACTCCAAAAGAAGTAGCTCTAAGAATTGCCATGGCTTTTGCCACTCGAGTGAGGCACCAGCGAGGAATGTTCTGTCTCTCCACACCTCTGATGGGAGTGGGTGAAAGACTGAGACCATTTAATCTGGAGGATTCCTCTGAATCCCAGCTTGAAGAGGCAGGACCCTGTTTATCTGTCCCTCAACTAAATTTTGTCAACAGCATGCAGGATCCAGCCCACACCCGAACCTCTTATCTGTCCTCCTGATAGCCAACTCTGAAGTAATATATTTAAAGCCAAAAGATGGGGTAGCCTGAAGATTCCTATTTCCCCAACCTTCGTCCTGAAGTTTGGGAGGGCCCAGGTCATTCTGAACTCCAAATTCCCATCCAAATCCTTGTTTGTCTCCTGGAACCCATAATGTCGAGGTCCAGGCACGGGAAGTGATCAGGTGGTTTACTGACTAGGGATGCCTCTTCCAAGGAAGCTGTGGGTCATTGTGAGCCTGCCTCATTCTCTCTTGACTGCTGGAAGGGAAGGGGCCCAGGGGCTATGGCAGAGCATGGGAAGCTAAGCTGCCTATAGCACCATCTTGCACCTCTGCCGTGGCCTCCCGTTGTCGTGGGGAGCATGGTCATTGAGGAGGACCAGGAGCTCATGGGCAGGCGCAATGGGCTGCTTGTGAGGTGACCACAGGGGAGATCTGGGTGTACTAAGTGGGGGCGGGGCAGTTCCAGTGAGCTGAGAGGAAGCGGTAATGGCAAGATGACTCATTCTAGGAATTGGCTGCAGCTTCTGGGAGGGAGTTGGAGACTGCCTTGTAATCCATTAACCATTTGTCTACTGCAGGGCTTTAAAAAAGCCAGCATCACAACACCCAAAGTCAGAAAAGAAAAAGGGGGTTCTTTGGAAAATTCATGGTCTCAGAATGCATGTTTAATGGATTTGACTCCAAGTGAATTCTCTGGGCCAGAAAAAGACAAGTGGGCTTTCTGGAGGCCCTAGGAAATGTCTCAGGTTGCTCTCTGGGTTACCAGCAAAGGAGTTTCCCAAGCAAGGCTGGCCTGTTGCACCTGGCAGCCCTTGGCATTCTGAGGGTTCCAAGGCCACCTTTTCATTCGGTTCTTCCCCACTGAAATGGGCCCAAGAAGGCTTACTTATATTTGCAAGTTTCCGTGACTTGCTCAGAGGGTCGTTTTTACCTTATATCCATTTGGAGAGGTGTAAATGTAATATTAAGGATTCTGAGAGTCACACATGCCGTAAGTTGACTTATTGATTGGGGGGGGGGTGCAGGAGGAGTAGGAGAGAAGTAAGAAAAGTGGGGATAAGAAGATAGGGTGGTCATGAAGGGGACAGAGACAGTTTTTGCTCATGAGGGCTGAGAATTAAATTCAGAAGTCTTTATTCTTTCAGTTGATTTAGAAGGTAATTAACTGGATTGATGACTCCAAATTGGACCTAGAAAGGATTGTCAGCAGTGTTCTTCTTAGCACCTTGGGAGTGAGAAGCAGTGAGGCTGTTTTACTGCCCTGAGTCGAAATGAAACCTCGTATCAGCCCCCATTTCCTTATAAATGGAGGAGGTTCCAGCTAGAATCCTGCTTAGAGCAGATGGGCTGGGGAAGAAGCCACTTCAGGAGCCTGTCTTCTCGCCAATTAATGAAATTTTGGGTAATCACACCTTCCTTTTAGATAAACAAGAGAGAAAATAGCCTTTGTTTTCTGGAGGGATTTGGTTAGTATTTGCCAGATGCTAGACACTTTCTTTCACAGTTTAATCTGCTTCTGATAGACACAAAAAGTTAATCATTGCCTCTGAAAGAGTTCTTTTTAGAGGTTTGTATGTGTGTACAGCCCCTTTCTATTCTAAATCTGTTTGCTGGTTTTGCTCAATTTTTAATGACCAGAATCTGTACTGGCTTATTTTTTTTCTTAACTGTGTAACACTCAGAGTATTGATTAACTATGGGTATTTTTGACAGCGTGAGAAATTGATGCTTACCATCTGTCTCACCTTTTTGTTTGTTTTTGTAGGGGGATATGAGACTTTCTACTCGGAATATCCTGAGTGTTGCGTGGATGTAAAACCCATTTCACAAGAGAAGATTGAGAGTGAGAGAGCCCTCATCAGCCAGTGTGGAAAACCAGTGGTAAATGTCAGCTACAGGCCAGCTTATGACCAGGTACGTGATGTGATGGGGAAGAGGTATCCTGAGTGGTATTCTGGGCTCCTGTCTCCCTTCCTTCCTCAGCACCTGACTGTTCTCTCCCCACTCAGCAATGATGGTTAGTTCTTTTGTGGATCAGGGTGTTGGCAAAATCCCCTGGCTTTAGGGAGCTTCTGTTGCTTGCCAGCTTGAGCTTCCATCCAAGAGTAAATGGGCTTCCTTCCAGCAAACGAGCTGACAAGAGCAAACCAGCCACAGGATGCTTGGCAGCTTCTGGGGAAAAGGGGAAGTGAAAGATACATTATTGTCATCTGGCTTCGGAGGTTCAGAGAAGCTTTGAAATACTGGTCTAGGTTTCCCTGAAGACATTTCAGAGTTGACTTTCAGGCTTCCTGTGTTGCTTTTCTTTGTAATTGTCCATGCTCTGCAGTTTCTGCAAACCATCCCGGTACCTGTCAAGGTGTGTCTTATTGGTATGTTTAACTGAAACTGGTGTTGGTGGGGGTGCTACAGAGAAAGTCCTGTTTGGGTGGCTAAGTAGGCTCCTCTAAGGGGTTCTTATGCTTACAATTCCACAGATAACTGAAACCAGAGGAAATCAAAAGATACTAGAGGGCTTCATGTTTCTGTAAACTAGTGAGTTTTTGTTTTTCTTCTAAAAATGAGTGCTTTGTGATAACTCATTAAAGGGAAAAATAAAGTGGAAGGGGGTTACGTAGCACCATCCAGGAAGATGAAAAAGCAGGTGAGAATCCAAATCTGGCAGAAGCCAGAGATCAAAACCTAACCATTTTACGGAAGGGAAAAGAAGTGTTCTGTGACAAGTGAGATGATTGATTTTGCAGAGTCCTACAGCTGGTTCAAGGCAGCATCAGGCTCAGAACCCCTTTCTCTCAGCTCTCTGTTGTGATTATTTCAGGACCTTGTTCTGTTTTCCACATGGCCTCTAATCTAGACACCTGACCTGGTGGGAGTAACCTTTCAAACTTTTCACATAAACCAAGAACATACCCAAATCATAAGAAGAAAGATTGCTAGATGCTAAAATGCCAGCTCCCTGCCATGAACAAAACCCTGTCCCTGGGGATAAACTTCAAAGTAAAGCCAGATGACCTTTTCTTGAACGGGCTCCTTGGTCAGGAATCCTATTAGCTTGTCCAGATGCCAGGGTTAGGATTTTGTTTGTTTTCCTTTAATAAACATCCTTACAGTATATGACGAGCCTGTGGCTTTCAAGCTGTGGACATCTGGCCTAGCTAGATTTCTACTTTTGTTTGTTTGTTTGGGTTGTGTTTTCCCCCCATTTCTCAGAAAGTGAAAGAGAAATAAGAATTGGCAGAATGTTGCGAAAGCACGGCACATCTTTGGCCAAGTGAGGGGTGAGAAAGCCCTGATGTGTCTTCAAGATTCATCTGGGGAACCCCCTAATGCTACTTCTTAGAAATGCTTCTGCATTTAGAGCAGCCAGATGAGGTTGTGTTAACTTTTGGGGTTTCTGAAGGCCTTTGGCTTCTTCCTCTTGGTCTAAACAGAAGTTCAAAAAGGGAAAGAAATGTAGTTTCAGGGGTGTGTTGGGCTGAGCTCCAAAAGAAACTGGATAGGATCCCAGGTCTGGTGTATCAGCAATTTCCAGGCACTCAGGAGAGGAAGAGATCTTGAGTCAACCATCCAGCCTGCTCCTTAAAGGGCGAGCCTGTTAGTGTCCATTGGTGGGGACCCATAAGTCATCAGTGGCCACGTGAATCTGGACTTGGAACTCTGACTCCTTTCCAAAGAACTTTGTACCACCTCTGCTGTTTTCCTGGTTTCTAGCTGGTGGGGATGCTGTGCCCAGGGAGTGGGTCCAACTCAGGTCAGGACTAGACCTGCTTGGATTGCCTAAAAACCTGTGTCTTCCCCATGGAGAGAAGCCATGTTCTGTTCATTCTTCAATCTCTATGACAGTGGCAGCTATGTGACGTGCCAGGTTTTAATGCATTCATTATCCCATTTACACCTTACCAATTATCCAGAGAGGATAGGTATTATCCCCAGTTTAGAGACAAAGGGTCATAGATTAAAGAAGCTATCCAAGATCACATCAGGTAGTAAGCATGGAGCTCTGGAACTTAACCAAGAGCTCCGCTGTCTGACGCCCAAGCCCAGGTTGTTAACCACTGCACCACTTTGCCACCAGGAAGGCTGCTCTGTACGCATGGAAGTTTGGGAGGTTTCGAGGAGGTGATGCAGATGGACATTTTATCTCTAGAGGAAGAGAGGAAAGAGGGAATTTTTTCCTTCCTGTCTTTACCTGAAATACTTACTTTCTCATATTGATCACTATTGAAATGGAGTCAGACAAGGCCTTGCATCTCATGCTACGCAATCAGTTTTGGGTTTCAGCCCAGCTCTACCACTGACTAGCTCTGACTTGGACAAGTTATTAAATGCATCTGAGCCTCAAGTTGCCCATCCGTAAAATGGGAATAATGTTACCTACCTCACAGATTTTGTGAAATTGGTATGATGTAGGCACATCTAAAGGGTTAAGCCCCCAGAGGCCAGCCATAGTAGATGCTGATAAAAATACCAGTTGTTATTACCGTATGTAAAATCTTGTGTAATTTTCTTTCAAGTGACTGAACTGGCCTTTGCTTAAACACTTGACTTCTCAGGAAACAAAAAGCTAACTCCGGGTGTGGGGTAAATTGAGAATTGCCTGTGGCTGGCCCCTGTCCCACGCACCCTTCCCTGTTAGGGATCTGGCTGAGAGTTTCCATTCCGTTCTTATTCCAGGGCAGGAAATGGAAACACAGGAAGCAGATGGTTGGCATGGGAAAGGCTCCCAAAGACACAGCCACTGTCACCCAGCCCCTTGTTTCCCTCTCAGTCTCTAAGGGCTCCCATTTTTCCAACCATCACTAGCTTTTCTGCCACCTTCAGAGCCCTGTAAATGCTGTGACTGCCAGAGTCTAACCAGCGGTTCATTTTAGTTTTGCCTCAAGGTGGATGGTCTCTGGTTCCCCCTTGACTAGAAATCTGGGGTGTGGGTAGCCTCCCAAAAGGATGGCTCTGTAAGCGGGTCTCACCAGCACCTTCAACAAACCCCCGTGTGAAGAAGGTCAGAGGCGGGGAAGCCCCTCTGCTTGTGGCCTGACAACATTTTTTATCTAAAGATTCTGAGTAGGTAGTGGTTATTTTCATTTCTAAAAAGCATACTTTTTTGTGGAGGTGGAGGTGCATTTTAACATCTCTAAAACCTGGGTGCATCTTAGGATCAACAGTGTCTTAGGTTTGATGAAATACACCATATAGGCTAGGCTTGGTAGCTCATGCCTATAATCCCAGCACTTCAGGAGGCTGAGGTAGGAAGATCGCTTGAGGCCAGGAGTTGAAGACCATTCTGGGCAACATAGCAAGAACTCATCTCTACCAAAAAAATTATAAAATTAGCCAGGCATGGTGGTACATGCCTGTAGGCCCAGCTACTCGGGAGACTGAGACGGTAGGATCTCTTCAGCGTAGGAATTCAAGATTACAGTGAGCTATGATTGTGCCGCTGCACTGCAGCCTGGGTGACGGAGCAAGACTCTGTCTTTCCAAAAAGGAAAAAAAAAATACACTATGTAAAATGTCAAGGCTGTAAAGGAGGACACACACCATGTTGAGTCCTGGTCCATTTTATCTGTAAAGAAAGCAAGACTGTCCCAAGGCATAGGAGATTGCCCTGGTACTCTCAGGGCAGCTGTAACTTCAACACAGGCCTGTCAATTTTTCCCATATTACCACATGGCTTCTCATCCTTGTCAGCGCAGGAAGGCTGTCGGCATATCCTGCCTCCTGGATATGTGCAAAAAAGTGAACTCTTTGCTGTGTGGATTTTGCTGTCATTGAGTCACAAGGCAGTCACATAAGGTAGAGAGTTGGCCAGGATGGAGATACAACCACACTTGGTTGAACTGCCCTGGCTCTGAACTCCACTTGGAAACCAGAAAGGGAACCACCCATCTTAAGAAACAAATAGGTCGGAGTTGTTTTTTCCTCTCTCAAATGAACAAGCTAATCCAATATTTCCTGATTGTCCTTTGTCCCTGCATCCAGGGTGGCCCAGTTGAAATCCTTCCCTTCCTCTACCTTGGAAGTGCCTACCATGCATCCAAGTGCGAGTTCCTCGCCAACCTGCACATCACAGCCCTGCTGAATGTCTCCCGACGGACCTCCGAGGCCTGCGCGACCCACCTACACTACAAATGGATCCCTGTGGAAGACAGCCACACGGCTGACATTAGCTCCCACTTTCAAGAAGCAATAGACTTCATTGGTAGGTTTAGCCATTCCCCTTCAGTTATTTTGGGAGCCCCTTTGGGGCATGTGTTCTTGACTTTTGATGCCCTGATGGAAGCTACCTTCACTGAAAGAAAAGTGTCTTGTATATGCCGCTGCTGAGAGTTGGAGCCAACATGGGATGCAGCTACCAAAAAGGTGGAAGGGAGGATTTAAGTTGCTATGAATAGGAGCTTTAATTTGCAAGATAAATGAATTAATATAATTTTATGGCAGTACTCACTGTCGATCTTGTTATTGTTTCTAGCTGGGCAGGAGCTGAGTGTATCCCTGCGTAATGCTCCACACAAGGAAAGCAGGGGGAAGAACCTCCCTAACTGTGCTTCTACGTAGGTTGGGTTTATTTTTAAAAGCAAACAGAAGGATTCAGAGAGCACTACTTACGCACTGAGCCCCAAGGGCCCCCAGCAGCTTTCCATACTCTTGGTGAACGGCTTGGGGCAATTTGTTTTGCATTTTCAGCTAATTTTGGATTAAAGATAGCACTTGACTCAAGCTCCATGCTGTATGCACAGAAAAGTTGGCATCTTTTGCCTGCTTTCTGCATTCTTGTTACGCAGTTATTTATTCCATTGCATAGACCTGAAAACCGAGGCCTTGGCCTCTGGTCCCTCTGCCAGGAAAGGGCTGTGGCCTTAGGGTTTCCAGGTCCTCTGTGTTGCCTGGATTGTTCTCCCATTTGGCATCTTCTCCTCCCCCATCCATCTTCCTAGGAGGCTGGCCTGACTTTTTTCTGTTTCAGATTTGCAAGTACCAGTCTCTAACCTTGTGATCATGCCCCGTTTTCCAGCTCCCATCTTCCTCTTTAACATACGTAGTTGTTGAAACTGACGCGTGATTTTCCTGTCTCTTGTTCCAAGGGATGTTGGAGGAGGAAAGGCAGGTGTTAGCACAGCAATAATTACTTAGTGCAGATAGCAATTAAAGGTCCCCCTTGAGCCACATAGTGGCCCTCTGTTCACCACACAATTTCTGCTCCCCAGGAAACCCTGACGAGAAACTCATCAGAGGCAAAAGGCCGAGCCTGTCCTGCTTGTCCCCTGAGCCTCTGGGCTGAAATGATTCCTTTGGAGCTTGAAAGGCAGCCAAATGATGGGTTCAGGGTGGGAAACCCTTGACTTGTTCTCCCTGTCCCTGGGAATGCCTTGCCCTTCTCAGCCTGTTATTTAATTACCTGGGTAGCTACTTCATGAGGTCATGAAACACGCCCCCATCCAGTTCTCAGAACCCTCCCTCCCCATCCTGTGTGTGTATTGTGTCTGTGTACGCACAATCCACAAACCCACAGCAGTTTGAAAGCACAGGATGCTTTTTCTCCGATTGCTTGCCCTGCTAATGGAAGGAGAGACTGGGTCTCCCCAGTGAGCCATGTGCTGAATATATGCTGACCCCTTCCAAGGGAAGAGGGCCATGTGGAAGGCAGGCTCCGAGGTGTCGAGTGGGCTCCAGAGGCAATACACTCTGGACCCTTTGCATTCTTGGATGTGGCACTAGGCCAGTTAAAAGCTAAACTTTGAAGGAGGCCAACAGAGGAGCGAAGGGAGATAGGAGCCCGACTCTGTAATTCTAGGGACTTGGGGGTCTCCCCTTTGAACTAATTTAAAGAGACTGTTTTGTTGTTTCTTTTGAGTCAGACTGAATTGGAGGACACCCCTATTGAACTGCTTTGGGGTATGCTGTGGGGTTTTTGTTCAGATGGGGAAACTCTAGGATTCCTCCCTGATGCCTCAGAAATTTTATCTTTTAGATCTTGCAGATTGATTTGCATACTTTGACCTTGGGGCAGGGAAGTGGAGGGTGGTAAGGGGAATGACTTTTTCTTTTGGCCCTTCAAAATCGTAAATGTTTTTGCGTATTGTAGCCTGCGTAGTGCCAGCTACATCTAACTTCCTGTGATGTAATTGTTTCCTCACTAGCAAGAGAGGGAATTGGAAAGACTGTATTTTTTGTGGATTTGATGTGTACGTATCTTTAACCTTTCACCCCTTCCCATTTTTAATAGTTGTAGCTGGTTTTCTGGGGGCAGGGGGCTGGGAGGTAGAACAGGAAGGGAGGCATCCTCCCCTTTTTGTCATATTGAGCTAAAGAATGCTAACTGATGGTGGTAGCTTTATAGCAGCGACTCCCATTGTTGAGCAAGATGGAATTTGTGAAAGCCATTTATATCCTCCGTCTAGTAGGCGTCACTTAGCCAGGGCTATAATTAGTGGCCATGCGCTATTTATTGTGTGTTTGGTGGTGAGAACCCTGGGAGCTGAGCCAAGCATCCTGCCCTGGCACAGCCAGACAGGGTGCCCGGAGAGACCGGAAGGCCTCTACCAGGATCGGGGTTAGGTTGTTACCCTTAGAATCAGACCTGGAGAGACAAGAGTTGCTTCTCCAAGTCAGTCTTTGAGCCTGGGATGCTCTCCTTAGAAAAATGTATGTGCCCAATAAAAATGTGCACAATTTCAAGGATTTTCCAATGCCCTCTTGGAACCATCAGTGGAACCTAGGTTAAGATGGCATCCCCAGGAAGGGACTGCTCCAGGTCCATCGCCTCCAGAGGCAGAATCTGCAAGTATCTTGGGAACTGTAAAGCTTCTGTGTGCTTATGTCTCTTGTGACAATAGCTGCTGTAAACTGTAAAGGTCCTACTTGGGGATAGTCTTTGCTGGGACCCCAAAAGCTCTATCCTCACCAGTGGGGATTAAAGACTGGCAGAAGTGTAGTGTAGGGCCGTGGCTCTTAGGCAGGCACAACAGTTTCATATCTAGGTTACTCCAGTGTTTGATTCTTGTGTTTTGCCATTGCCCTTAGATTCTAATCCCAACTCACTCCCACCATCTTTTCTTCCTTCCAGACTGTGTCAGGGAAAAGGGAGGCAAGGTCCTGGTCCACTGTGAGGCTGGGATCTCCCGTTCACCCACCATCTGCATGGCTTACCTTATGAAGACCAAGCAGTTCCGCCTGAAGGAGGCCTTCGATTACATCAAGCAGAGGAGGAGCATGGTCTCGCCCAACTTTGGCTTCATGGGCCAGCTCCTGCAGTACGAATCTGAGATCCTGCCCTCCACGCCCAACCCCCAGCCTCCCTCCTGCCAAGGGGAGGCAGCAGGCTCTTCACTGATAGGCCATTTGCAGACACTGAGCCCTGACATGCAGGGTGCCTACTGCACATTCCCTGCCTCGGTGCTGGCACCGGTGCCTACCCACTCAACAGTCTCAGAGCTCAGCAGAAGCCCTGTGGCAACGGCCACATCCTGCTAAAACTGGGATGGAGGAATCGGCCCAGCCCCAAGAGCAACTGTGATTTTTGTTTTTAAGACTCATGGACATTTCATACCTGTGCAATACTGAAGACCTCATTCTGTCATGCTGCCCCAGTGAGATAGTGAGTGGTCACCAGGCTTGCAAATGAACTTCAGACGGACCTCAGGGTAGGTTCTCGGGACTGAAGGAAGGCCAAGCCATTACGGGAGCACAGCATGTGCTGACTACTGTACTTCCAGACCCCTGCCCTCTTGGGACTGCCCAGTCCTTGCACCTCAGAGTTCGCCTTTTCATTTCAAGCATAAGGCAATAAATACCTGCAGCAACGTGGGAGAAAGAAGTTGCTGGACCAGGAGAAAAGGCAGTTATGAAGCCAATTCATTTTGAAGGAAGCACAATTTCCACCTTATTTTTTGAACTTTGGCAGTTTCAATGTCTGTCTCTGTTGCTTCGGGGCATAAGCTGATCACCGTCTAGTTGGGAAAGTAACCCTACAGGGTTTGTAGGGACATGATCAGCATCCTGATTTGAACCCTGAAATGTTGTGTAGACACCCTCTTGGGTCCAATGAGGTAGTTGGTTGAAGTAGCAAGATGTTGGCTTTTCTGGATTTTTTTTGCCATGGGTTCTTCACTGACCTTGGACTTTGGCATGATTCTTAGTCATACTTGAACTTGTCTCATTCCACCTCTTCTCAGAGCAACTCTTCCTTTGGGAAAAGAGTTCTTCAGATCATAGACCAAAAAAGTCATACCTTCGAGGTGGTAGCAGTAGATTCCAGGAGGAGAAGGGTACTTGCTAGGTATCCTGGGTCAGTGGCGGTGCAAACTGGTTTCCTCAGCTGCCTGTCCTTCTGTGTGCTTATGTCTCTTGTGACAATTGTTTTCCTCCCTGCCCCTGGAGGTTGTCTTCAAGCTGTGGACTTCTGGGATTTGCAGATTTTGCAACGTGGTACTACTTTTTTTTTCTTTTTGTCTGTTAGTTATTTCTCCAGGGGAAAAGGCAATAATTTTCTAAGACCCGTGTGAATGTGAAGAAAAGCAGTATGTTACTGGTTGTTGTTGTTGTTCTTGTTTTTTATAGTGTAAAATAAAAATAGTAAAAGGAGAAAAGCACTTCTTCATGTTGTTGGTGAATTGGGATAAGGTAGGAATACCCTTGGGTGGGGACCCAGCCTGCTTCATTGGGATTTATTTGTAAATGAACAACAGGGTGATGGTGGTGGAGGTGCAGCTATAGGCATGACGATACAGAATGTTGCTTTCCAACTGAGGGGTTTCCCTAAGCTAACCGGCAAGAGAATTCCTTAGTGCAGGCCTCATAGGGAGGTGGTGAGAGTATCTGCCCACTCAGGGCCCTTCACTGCCATCGCACTAGGCAAAGAGCTCTACTTGAACCTCAGATTCCTCACCTGTGAAGAGTGAGCTGAGTTAGATGATCCCAAGAGTCCCTTAAAGCATAAGGCCCTTGGTTCCAGTAAGCCTGAGTGCCAAGCTTGTGGCCAGCTACCTCCCTCCAGTGCCTGGCATATGGCAGACTCAGAAAAGGCTGGGTAAGTGGCCAAGGGATGGAGAAGTGAATGAGGTGAAAGTTTGCCCTGCCAGCCTGCCTGACGCCCTCTTTCCACTCTTGCAACTAATTCTAGATAATTCCCCAGGAGTTCCAACGTAAATCCCTCAATGAGTAGGTTTAAATCCAAGGCTGAATCGACTTGCTTTGTGAGTAACTTCCTCTGCGTAGGTGGAGGAAGGAAGGGGCAGTTGTCAGCTTCTCCCCATGATTGGCTCTGCCTGGGCTCCAGCCTAACTCCTGGGTCCTGTTCCTAATCTGAGGGAACAGGGAGCTGGTTGGGGTTTATGCCATCCCAGTCAGCTGATAAATAACAGGGATTCCAGCCATACTTCTCAATGCTGGAGGGTCCAAAGGGTGTCCAGTTCTCCCGACATGCATTGTGTCAACAAATAGCAAGATGGTGGCAGAGCACAGGCAGCCCAGCTCTCTAAATTCCTCACCTCAAAGGCTTTGCGTGAGGTCTTTCTCTCCACCTGTCTTTCCTTTCCCCAACTGTGTTCAGAGGTTCCTTGGAAAGTCCACAGATGAGAAGGTCACCCAGGGTTAGGATGCTGAATTTCTTTCAGCCCACTCCCCTCATCTGTGTAACCAAACAGCTTCCACAGTGAAGAGCACTAGACCAGATGGTGAGAAGTTGTGGGTTCTAGCCCTTGCCCTTCCCCCAGCTCTCCAGTGGTTTGGAGCTAATCTCCAACCTCTGTGGACTAGATTTCTCCAGGGCTCTTATCTAGCTGGTGCCTAATCCCTCGTGGTGTCCCATCTCTGAGCCTCTGACCAGCCTTGGAGTGTGTCCCTGAAGCCTGCCCATTGTGTGGGCCTATGCAGGTGCTGAGTGGCTAAAGGAACCTTGGGTAGGGAGAGCCGGGGAGTAGGAAGCTGGATGCAGGCTGGGGTGATGTGCTAAGCTCAGCCCACTTGCTGACATTTGCTTTATTGCATTAAAGTCTTTCTCTGAAGGGTGAGTAAGTCCTCTAAATCAGGCATATGAGGATTGCTCATCGGCGGGTGAGTCACTGGAGGGTAAGCCAAGTGAAGCCCCACAGCTGGAGATGGCTCTAGAACCCTCACTCCACTTAATAGTCTCTTCATTGATTACATCTCCATTCTTGCCAAGACCAACTCTACACTGGCTTCCAGTGCCAAATGGGGAATTCAAGCTGATGGCGTTTAGATCCTTCATCCCCAGGTTTTGAGAAACACCTCTGTCGGTCTCCAAGCATCATCGCACATAGAGATGTGTTCAGGAGAAGAAAGATGTTAGTTCTCTCTTTCCCGGCTGTACCTGTAGGAAGCCCCCTCAGATCCACCCTAGCTAATGAGCTAGGCCAGATGGGGCAGGAGTTGTGTGAGCAGTCTCTAACCAGGATCCAGTGTGCTGGCAGGAGTCCTGGGTACTGTGGATCTTCACTGTGTGAGGCCCTCAGGAAAGTGCCTCACCAATTTCAATACTCTGAACAGCTCTATCTCTTTGAGTTACTGGTTGTTCTTCTGAACACCATAAAGCTCATGACTGCTCTGTTTCCCTTCCTTGCTAAGGCCACCAGGCAGCTCAGAACTAAACTCTTAGCCCACTTCTGGCAGTTTTGTAGGAACTTAACATGAATTTTGGGTGTTGATTCCACCGTTTCCTTTAAAATTTCCCATCTTTATTTTTCTTTTACTTCCATTTCCTCATCATTCTTAAAAAGAACAGCAAAACTTTTACACCCTCTTTAAATAGACTCCACTGCATTTATGGAATGAAATAGGGTATAAATATATAGAGAGTAGCCTGTGCATCCTCAGTGTTACTATTGTTCAACTCACTCTGAAGGGTTCATCCATAAGACTGGGTTCCTTTACCTTTTCAGTGAGTCTGCCAAGTCCTGTATTACTTCTGAAATAGATTCTGTACAGAGCCCAAACCTCATAGCTGGGGCCCTGGATCCTTGCCTCAGAATCACTAGCACTGCCCTATACTTTCAGCCTTGTATTCTGCTGCCAGTACCATTCTATGGAGAGTGTTGGCACTGATGGACGGATGCTCAAAGCTACAGCGCAGGCCCTCCTGACCCCTAACCACTGGATGGGATGGAGGGGACTCCCATGCTTAGATAACCATCACCCTTCCATCCACTTGACAACCCCTGCTAGAACCTGGAATTCAGGGGAAAACAGCCAAACAGCCATATGGCCCCACCCTCATGGGTCCATGAGTACTGATGACTGTTCACTGGCTTTCTGTCCCTGCCTGGAGCCGACCTCCTTAGTTGGACCAATGTCGTTAGCCCCACACAATCCCCTTCTCCAGCTCCCCTCTTCTAGGCTCTAGCTTCATCTTCTATCTGTGGTTCAGCACAACCTTGTACCCAAGCTCCTCAGATTTGCCAGCCTGTGGTTATGGCTGTGTTACTGTGCCAGCAATCCACACCCTACTCAGCCCACCCCTTAGTCTCTCTTGCATTGTTCATTAATTTTTTTTTTTTTTTTTTTTTTTTTTTTTTTTTTTTTTTTTTTTTTAGAGGGAGTCTTGCCCTGTCGCCCAGGCTGGAGCGCAGTGGCCCCATCTCAGCTCACTGCAACCTCCACCTCCTGGGTTCAAGCAATTCTCCTGCCTCAGCCTCCCAAGTAGCTGGGATTACAGGCATGTGCCACCATGCCCGGCTGATTTTTGTATTTTTAGTAGAGACAAGGTTTTACCATGTTGGCCAGGCTGGTCTTGAACTCCTGACCTTGTGATCCACCCTCCTCAGCCTCCCAAAGTGCTGGGATTACAGGCGTGAGCCACTGCGCCTGCCTATAAATGTTTTTATATCTCATTTTTACAGATGCACAAACTGAACCTCAGAAATATTAAGTAACTTGCCCAAAGTCACACAGTTAGCAAAAGGTAGAGCTCGAATGAAGCTATTTCATTGATCTTGTACCCCTCTGAACACCTGGGGTATATAATAGGTACTTCTGTCCATTGGGCTTTTGTTTGCAAGGAAGTCTCCTCAGTCTACTTTAAGGAAAAGTGTTTGTGGATAAATGCAAATAGCACTGAATCCCCAGTTATATTCCATTCCAGCCACATTGGCTTTCTGACAATCCCTTAAACATGCCAACATCCCTCCTGCCTCAGGACCTTTGCACATGCTGGTCCCTCTGACTGGAATCTTTCTCCTATAAATTCCCCCTCCAACCGATTAACTCATACTGGTTTTTCGCCTCTCAGTTCAAAATTCACCTTGCCAGGAAAGCCCTCCCAGACTAGGTCAGATGTCCCTATTGGCTCTCATAGTCTTCTATATCTTTTCTTCGTATTTCATCAAAGTTTAAAAATTTTTCATTTCTCTGTGATTATTTTATTAACGTCATCTCCTTCAGACTAGAAACACCGGGAGAACAGAGATTACATTGCATTTCAAGAGTAACCAAGGACAGGGTCTGACTTATCCTAGGTATTCAATGAGTACTGGTTGAGTGAAGGAGTGAAGAAGTGACAAACAGAATGAAACGCTGGTCAGAAGCAGAAGCTGTTCTCTCCGTTTCTCTCAGAGCCCCTATGACCCTCCAAACGTGAGTTTCTTTATCCTGGACCTATTTGCCAGTTCCTCCCCAATCCTGGAGGAAGCAGATTCCCAGCCTTAGCTAATTACTGCTACCTTATTGGTCAGAGGCCATGGTACCCCCTCACCTCGTTGGTCACTGGTCAGCCTACGGCTGGGCTGCCCTTGGGTCAGATGCCCACCCTGGGATCAATCGGTTTCCTCTAAGTTCAGAGACCTGCCTCGCTCAGACTCTGAGACTTGAGCGTTCCATAAGAAGTCCCCAGAAAACTGCCATAAAGAAAAACCCTACCGATCACTTGAGCCCAGGAGGTTGAGGCTGCAGTGAACCATGATCACACAACTGCACTCTAACCTGGGCGATAGAGCGAGGCCTTGTCTCAAAATAAATAATAAAACAACCCTTCCCTGCTTGCCCCAAAGTGATCAATTGTGGTAACTAAATTTTATTTTGTTTTCTTTTTTTATTTTTTATGGTTTTTTTTTTTTTTTTTTTTGAGACGGAGTCTCGCTGTCGCCCAGGCTGGAGTGCAGTGGCGCAATCTCGGCTCACTGCAGGCTCCGCCCCCTGGGGTTCACGCCATTCTCCTGCCTCAGCCTCCCGAGTAGCTGGGACTACAGGCGCCCGCCACCTCGCCCGGCTAATTTTTTGTATTTTTAGTAGAGACAGGGTTTCACCGTGTTAGCCAGGATGGTCTCGATCTCCTGACCTTGTGATCCGCCCGCCTCGGCCTCCCAAAGTGCTGGGATTACAGGCGTGAGCCACCGCGCCCGGCCTTTATGTATTTATTTTTGAGATGGAGTCCTGCTCTGTCATCCAGGCTGGAGTGCAGTGACACAATCTTGGCTGACTGCAGCCTCCGCCTCCCGGGTTCAGGTGATTCTCATGCCTCAGCCTCCCCCAGTAGCTGGGATTACAGGCGTGTAGCACCATGCCTGGCCTTTTTTTTTTTTTTTTTCGGTATTTTTAGTAGAGACGAGGTTTCACCATGTTAGCCAGTCTGGTCTCGAACTCCTGACCTCAAGTGATCCACCTGCCTTGGCCTCCCAAAGTGCTGGGATTACAGGTGTGAGCCACTGTGCCCGGCCATGGTAACTGAAATTTAAATCCTGGTTCATTTGTACTAGTAGGTCCGATCCCTTCCCACTATTCCATCACCCATCCCCAGTACACACCCGTTCACTTACGAAGTTTACAGAAACCAAGAAGCCACCAAACAGGGGCTTAAAGCAGGCCCTTGAAGTATCTGTGCATTTTTCATTCTGGGCTTCTTCCAGAGGTGAGGAGAAAATGTTTTGGTTAAAAGGAACTAACCTCCCAAATGGTGAAGCCTCATATATGTCACCATGGTAGAAAGATGAAAAACTATCCCCACAAGGAAACAACAGTGGACTTAGAATCAGGAAGCATGGCTTCTGGTGCCAGACACGAGGGAACCCTACTGTCTGGGACCCACAAGGGAAGCTGCTCCCAAAGGCAACCTGTATGTACGTGAGTGTAAGTGTGGAAGGAGGAGGGGGAGCCAGGAGCAGGTCCTGTAATGCCCTAAAGTTGCCAGACTGCAAGTAATTTCAAAAGTTCACATAGTTCTATCTCCTGCTTCAGAAGAACCATCCCCAAACTAGGCCAGAATGACCTGTTTTCTATAGAAAAGCAGGGGAGAGAGATAATGTATTGAATATTTACTATGGTCCAGCTGTGTGCTGGGTGCTTTGCATATGTTCTCTCACTTAAGATCTGCAAGAACCCTGCAAGATGGATATTGTTAGCCCTGTTTTACAGATGACCTATCCTGCCCAAGGCTACATAGCTAGAGTCTGAATTTTAGAGCCAGGATACCCAACTTGCAATGGACTTCCAGGGCTATACTCTTTCCCATAGACCAGGGTTTCCCAACCCCTGGGCTGCAGACTGGATACCAGTCAGAGGCCTGTTAGGAACTGGGCCGCACAGCAGTAGGTGAGCGGTGGGCAAGTGAGAATTACCACCTGAGCCCCGCCTCCCGTCAGATCAGGGGCGGCATTAGATTCTCATAGGAGTTCAAACGCTATTGTGAATTGTACATTCGAGGGATCTAGGTTGTGCGCTCCTTATGAGATCTTATGCCTGATCTGAGGTGGAACAGTTTCATCCCGAAACCATTCACCAGCCCCGAACCCCGTCTGTGGGAAAATTGTCTTCCACAAAACTGGTCCCTGGTGCCAAAAAGGTTGGAGACCGCTGATCTAGACTACAGTATGTTCCAGAAAAGGAAATTTAACAGCTTCTCAGTATGTGTCTCCATGTCTATACCCCTTAAATGTGGTTATGAAATCTGTTAGGCCAGGTGTGGTGGCGCATCCCTGTAGCACTTTGGGAGGCCAAGGCAGGGGGATTACTTGACACCAAGAGTTTGAGACCAGCCTGGGCAACATAGTGAGACCTCATCTCTATAAAGAATTAAATTTTAATTCTACAAAGAATTTTTAAAAATTAGGCATAGTAGCACACACCTGTAATCTCGGCTACTTGGGAGGCTAAGGTGGGAGAATGGCTTGATCACGCCACTGCACTCCAGCCTAGGCAACAGAGCAAGACTCTATAACACTGAGCATTGAGGATTGGACAAGCAGAAGTGGGATTTCTATGGGAAAGGCTATTGTGGGAAGGATTCAAGCCTCGGAGACTTTGCACAACTCCCTCCCTCTGTCTCATCGCTTCCCCTGATCACCCTGCTCATTTATAGCTGTCCTTTGGTCTCACTCTTTATTCCCCTCCTCAGCCTTCTCGGATTTCAGGATTCCATATTACGTGTCTTTCTGGTACCTATACCTTTCCTTCACAGTACTATCATGTGGGAATTAAATAATGATGCCTGTAATTTTTAAAAATCTGCTTTATTGAGGTATAATTTTCCTACAATAAACATTTACTCATTTTACCTTACAGTATAAAGTAAATTAAGTAAACAATATTAACTCTTCTGATCTATGAATGTGGATGTCTTTCCATTTATTCAAGTCTTCTTTAGTTTCTCAACAATATTTTGTAGTTTTCAGTGTACAAGTCTTTCACTTCCATTGTCAAATTATTCCTAAATATTTTTGGATGTTACTGTAAATGGATTAATTCATTTACATGTAATTTCATACATAAATTGATTTTTGAGTGTTGATCAAACCCTGCATTTCTGGGATAAATCCCACTTTACCATGACTTTTTTCGTTTGTTTGTTTGTTTGTTTTTTGAGACAGGGTCTCGCTCTGTCACCCAGGCTGGAGTGCAGTGGTGAGATCAGGGCTCCCTGCAGCCTCCACTTCCCGGGTTCAAGAGATTCTCCTGCCTCAGCCTCCCTAGCTGGGACTACAGGCGCACGCCACCACGCCCGGCTATTTTTTTTGTATTTTTAGTAGAGACGGGGTTTCGCCACGTTGGCCAGGCTGGTCTCAAACTCCAGGCATCAGGTGATTCACCTGCCTCGGCTTCCCAAAGTGCTGGGGTTACAGGCGTGAGCCACCGTGCCCGGCCTATCTTTTTTACTTATTTCTGGGTTTGATATGCTGATATTTTGTTAAAGATTTTTGTACTTATGGTTGTGAGGAATATTTGCCTTTGGTCTTTTTTTTTTGTGATGTATTTGTCTGGTTTTGGTATCAGGATAATGCTGCCCCCATGAAATGATTAAGAGTTCTTTCCTCTTCCAAGTTTTTGTAAGAGATTGTATAGAATTGGTAGTGTTTCTTCCTTAAATATTTGAGAACTTACCAAGAAGTCATTTGGGACTGAGCTTTTCTTTTTGTGAAGCTTTTTAGCTATAAATTTGATTTTTTATAGATAGATGAATAGAGATAGAGAGCTATTCCAGTTACTTAGTGTTTCCTTGAGTGAGCTTTTTTCTTTTCTTTCTTTCTTTTTGAGATGGAGTCTTGCTCTGTCACCCAGGTTGGAGTGCAGTGGCACGATCTCGGCTCACTGAAACCTCTGCCTGCTGGGTTCAAGCAATTCTCCTGCCTCAGGCTTCCAAGTAGCTGGGATTACAGGCATGCGTCATGATGCCTGGCTATTTTTTGTATTTTTTTTTTTAGTAGAGATGGGGTTTCACCATGTTGGCCAGGCTGATCTCCAACTCCCGACCACAAGTGATCTGCCCACCTTGGCCTCCCAAAGTGCTGGGATTATAGGTATGTGCCACTGCACCCAGCCTCCTTGAGTAAGCTTTGGTAATTTGTGTCTTTCAAGTAATTTGTTCATTTCACTGAAGTTGCTGAATTTGTTTAACATAAAGTTTTTAATATTTCCTTGTTATCCTTGGAGGTCTTAGGATCTATATTGATGTTCTCTGTCTCATTCCTGATAATGGTAATTCTTGTCTTTTCTCTTTTTTTCTCCTGATAAGTCTGGATAGAAATTTGCCAATTAACTAGCACTTGGTTTCATTGATTATTCTGTATTGTCTATTTTCTACTTACTAATTTTCACTCTTTATTTTTTCCTTCTTCCTCTTTACTTTGGGTTTAATTTGCTCTTCTTTTTAATAGTTTCTTTTTTATTTATTTATTTATTTTTTGAGACGGAGTCTCGCTCTGTCGCCCAGGCTGGAGTGCAGTGGCATGATCTCGGCTCACTGCAAGCTCTGCCTCCTGGGTTCACACCATTCTCCTGCCTCAGCCTAGCTGGGATTACAAGCGCCCGCCACCACATCTGGCTAATATTTTTTGTATTTTTAGTAAAGACGGGGTTTCACTGTTTTAGGCAGGATGGTCTCGAACTCCCGACCTTGTGATCCGCCTGCCTCGGCCTCCCAAAGTGCTGAGATTACAGGCATGAGCCACCGAGCCTGGCCCCCTTTAATAGTTTCTTAAGGTGGAAACTTATCATTCATTTTCTACTTTCTTCTTTTATAATATAAGCACTCAAAGGTAAAACTTTTCCTCTAAGCCCCCATAAATTTTGATATGTATACTTTCATTTTTATTCAGTTCAAACTATGTTCTAATTTCCCGTATAATCTCTTTTTTGATCTACCTGATTAATTGCAAAAATTGAGGCGTTTTCCAGATATCATTCTGTTGCTGATGTCTAATTTAATTCCATGGTGATTAGGGAACGTACTTTGTGTGATTTCAGTACCTTCAAATTTACTGAGACTAATTTGATGGCTCAAAACATAGTCTGTCTTGGTGAGTATTTCATGTGCCCATGGAAAACAAATGTGTAATATTCTGGTTTAGGGTAGAATGTTATGAAATGTCAATGAGGCCAAGCTGATTGATGATGTGGTTCAAGTCTTCTATATACTTACTGATTTTCTGTCTACTTTTCCATCGATTACCAAGAAAGGAGTATCTTCAACCAAAATTAGGATTTGCCTATCTCTCCTTGCAGTTATATCAGTTTTTGTTTCGTGTATTCTGAAGTTGTTAGGTGCAGCAATGTTTAGGGTTGGTGTGTCCTCCTGATAAATTGACCCCTTTATGATTATGAAATACCCTTCTCTTATTTAAAAATTTTTTTAAAACTTTTTTTTTAGTTTTTTGAAACGGGATCTCACTATGTTGCCTGGGCTGGTCTTGAAGTCCTAGGCTCAAGTGATCCCCTGCCTCAGCCTCCCAAAGTGCTGGGATTACAAGTGTGAGCCATTGTGCCTGGCCTGAAATGTCCTTCTTTGTCCCTGATAATATTCCTTGTTCTGTTGTCTATATTGCCTGATATTAATATTGCTACTCTTTTTTTCATTTTATTTTATTATTTTATTTTATGCGACAGAGTCTTGCTCTGTTGTCCAGGCTACAGTGCAGTGGTGAGATCACAGCTCATTGCAGCCTCTGCCTCCTGGGCTCAAGCCGTCCTCCCTTCGCATCCCAAGTACCTGGGATTACAGGCACACATCACAGTGCCAGGCTAATTTAAAAAAAATTTTGTAGTGATGAGGTCTCACTATATTGCCCAGGCTGATCTTGAACTCCTGGGCTCAAGCAATCCTCCTACCTTGGCCTGATTACAGGCAGGAGCCAACCATGCCTAGCCCTTATATTAATAAATTGAGGTCGGGCACGGTGGCTCACGCCCGTAATCCCAGCACTTTGGGAGCCCGAGGCGGGTGGATTGCCTGAGGACAGGAGTCCGAGACCAGCCTGGCCAACATGGTGAAACCCCGTCTCTACTAAAAATGCAAAAAAATTAGCCGGGCGTGGTGGCATGTGCCTGTAATCCCAGCTACTCAGAAGGCTGAGGCAGGGGAATTGCTTGAAGCAGGGAGGTGGAGGTTGCAGTGAGCTGAGATTGGGCCACTGCACTCCAGCCTGGGTGACAGAGCGAGACTCCATCTCAAAAGAAAAAAAAATTGATTGGAAAATGAAGAAAAATGTTTCTTCACCCTTGATTTGTATAATAAGTGGCTGGCCCAAGGAATATGAGGATGGCCTCACTGTGGCTTGTTGGGGGGGACTTCCAGTGAGAGTACTGAACAGTCCCTGAGTCTCCAGTCGCTTACAGCTCCATCCTGGGCCACATGTCCTCCTTTGGATGATGATGATGTCTCTTAGTTACTGTACTTTGTTGGGCTTCCTTCTGAGTCCCCTTTCCCTATAGATGTCTGCAGCCAAGGACAGCTATCATATGACCTTAAACTCCTTTTAAAGTTTACAAGGACATTGGCCTTTATGCCAGAGCATTAATAATCATGATGGCTCACATTTATTGAGCCCTTTCTATATGCCAAGCACCTTGTTAAGCCCTTTGTGTGCATTTTCTCTTAATTCTCACTGCAACCTGATGAGGTAGATACCACTCTTATCTCCTTTTTAAAGATAAGAACATGGAGGCTAAAAAGTTTATGTAAATTGCCCAGAGGTACAGCAAGATCAATAAGCGAACATCAGGGCCAAGCACTCCTCACTACTGAACTCTGCTGTCTCGTCAGTGGCCTGCCCAGGGACACTTTGCTGCTCTCTTAACACACACCCCTTCGGCAATGTTATACACCCAGAGAACCACTGGATCTAGGGCCGCATCACTCCCTGTTCCATTCTGCACATCAGTTCATGTAGCTGAAGTGCACATACATTGTTGATCAGTGTGGTTTGGTGGTAAGAGCACTGGACTGGGAGTCAGGGGACTTGGCTGTCATCCTGGCTCTGTGGTTTACCAGTCATAGCACTTTAGGCATGTTATTCAATGTCTCTGGGTGTGTAGTTTCTCAATGCTGAAGGTAAGGGGATTGATTTAGATAACCTCAAAGGCACCTTCAAGAACCAACATCCTATGAGTCTATGAATTAGTGGCCTTGCTGATAGGGAGCTAATCATTACCTAACCTGGCAGGGCATTTAAGTTTTATTTACTTTAACAGTATTTATCAAAACCACAGAGCTTAGCTGCTCATTTTATGTTCATATATCTTCTCTGGCTTCCTGTTTATCCCAAAGGTTATCTTTTCAAACTGCCCTTTGGGCTTATAAAAACTCCTTTGTGTTCATAACATGTTATTAAGTGAACAAAAGCAGGTTACAAAACTGTATGTATCTCATTTTATTAACAACAGATTGTGTGTATGCTAGTGTATATATATTATATATATACACACACACAAGTGTATATACACAAGTATATACATGATACGTATATTGTAATATATATACTATAATATATAAAATATAAGTGCCTCTACTTATTTTACATTTATGATTACTTACATAGTCTGAAAAGATATACATCAAAATATTAGAATGACATTTTCTGGATGGTGCAATAACTGGTGATTTTAATTTTATTTTTTATACATTTTTTTGTCCTTTATAATTTTTGCCCAGGGGAATTGCTTATATTTTTAATACTTATTGCTTATAAGTAATAAACTCACAAACTGATAGAAAATATCTCCTTTGGATTCAGAACTTCCCTGCCCCTTTGTCTCTGGCATCTTCTCCTGGGTTGGCTACCTGACTTTCTGTCTTATATTAGAAGACAGTGGGACACAGAGTAATCTAATCCCTGCGAGGTTGTCCTCTCCAGGCCCAGCTTTTAGTTACCCCCTCTTCCCCCACTTCCATTCACTTGTTTTCCTGTTCTTTTCTGTCCTTTTGTGTCAACATGGTCTTCCCTTTTTCAGTTTTTCCTCTACAATCACTCTTGAGTACTCTTTCATTCATTCATCATAAATTATGGACAAATCAGAACAACAGTGGAATGAGAATAACAACAGTAAGTTATTTAGAGTTGAAGACTGAGGTTCAAGTCCTGAATCTGCCCTAGGTAGAGCAAGATGATGTGAAAAATTCTTGGAAAATTGTAAAGGCTGGATCAGTGAGAATTGTCATTGCCAAGACCCTGTGCCGAGCCCCATGGGGGAAATGTCGGTGAGGAGCCTCTGTTCCCAAGGAGCTTAGAGAGTAGAAGTGGAAACGCAAAGGGGGAGGGCAGGGAGGGATGCAGAGATAATCTCCATAGACATGGAAATTACTAGATTCTGCAGAGGAGGAAGAAGGATGAGTCAAGTATCACCATGGGGTTGGGGACCAGGTAACTGAGAAAAGTGGTGTCATGAATCCATTTATCAATCCATCTATCCATTCATTCCACAAATACACACTGAGCATCTGCCATCAGCCTGGTACTATCAGAGGTGCTAGAGATGTAACAGTGAAGAAAACAGGTAACAACCCCCGACCTACCCCATTTTGTTTACATTCTATGAGATGACAGAGAAAAAGGAAGCAAACAAGTACATAAACAAAATCATTTCCGAAGGTGACAAGTGCTATGAGAAAAATAAAATTGGATAGTGTGTCAGAGAGCACCAAGGGGAGGTGACATTGGTGCTGATGTGTCATTAGCTGAAATAGAAGTCAGGGGCTGGTCTGAGGAGGAAGATGATGATTCCCTGTTAGAGCTGCTGACTCAGAGATGCTAAGATTTACCTTCTGGTGAGATATTTTAACCTCCTCTCAAACTCTACATCCTATCAATCTCTGGCTGGGAAACTTCCAGTGGGTTTTCACTGCCCTCTGGACAAAAATCCCAGTTATTTAACTTGGCATTCAAGGGCCTCCACAATCTTGCCCAGTCTGCTTTCCTGCCCCCGTCCCCAGGTGAACCTTCAATTCTGGCTGTGATGGGCTCCTCACAGTCTCCACCTAGGCTACATCCCTTTGTGCCTCCTTACCTGGGTCCTAGGAGAGTCTCCTGAACTCTCCAGTCCACAGCCGTCCTGCTCTTCTCAGGACCCATGCCTCTTTTTCTGCCTGCTTGCCCTCTTAGATTGTTTAAGTGTCTTATAAGCAAGGGCCCAACTCTCCAATAAGAATGCAGTCTCCTCAAGTGATAGGCTGGCCCCTTCAGGATCCTCTCTTCATTGGATTTGCTCCATACACTTGCCCAGAATTGCACTGAGGGGCTTTACAGATAAGTATCTTCTTGTGTGAAATGAAGAAGGAGAGACAAAATGGAAAGAACCCAGAAGACAAAAGAGCTTCCCACCCAAATTCAGGAGTCAGATGACAGAATTCAGCTGTGGTCAAAAGTGTTTGGAAGCTGGCCAGGTGTGGTGGCTCAAGTCTGTAATCCCAGCACTTTGGGAGGCCAAGGGGCAAAGATCACTTGAGGCCAGCAGTTCGAGACTAGCCTGAACAACACAGTGAGACTCCCATATCGACATTAGTTAAAAAATAATTTTTAAAACATAAAAAATTACAAAAATGTGTTCTGAAGCAATTAGCAAAGAATTGATTCATTTTGCTGGAGGAATCAGCAATTGGAATGAATTCTATTTGCCTTGAGCATATAGGGATAAACCTGCCTAACACTGGTGAGCAGAGCAATGGCCTGAGACCAGAAGTCCTAGAATTCCTCCCAGCCCTCTATCCAAAAGAAAGACAGAGTCCTGGGCTCCAAGATGATGGCACAATCAGGAACTGGCCCAGAGTAATCCATTACCCTTCTCTCCAAGGCTTCCTTCCTCTGCTTCCTAGGCTTTGTCACAATTTCCTCCATTTAACCCGTGGGGGGATGGAACACCTGTTTACCCATCTGAAATGCAGGATGATAGGAGATCACCTGCCCTCTGCTCCTCCCTCCTTCCCTGTCAGGACTGAGTCAATACCGATGTTCAACTTCTGGTGATTAGAAGTCAGGATGTTCAGGTGGTGGGAGGTTAGGTGAGGGACACGTGATTGTCATGACGGGCATTTGGGATGAAAGTCAGAACCATAAACACATATTCATTATGACTCTCCTTCTGCCGGGTCTTTCATCTGGGGAATCTCAAAGCCCTGGACAAATGGTAATTAATTTTCACAACAGCTTCCACAAGAGGATGCAGTGGTGTCTGCCAAAGGCCAGGGGGTATTTTCCCAGTATTCTTCCCTCAACCTTTCCTGCTCACTCCCAGCCCCTGCCAGCCCCAAGGTGACGATGCAGAGTGGGTAGGATGCCTGGGCTAAAGACTCCTTCCTGGGACCTCTCTGTCCAGAAGGCTACAGGGGCAGATGGAGACTCCTCCCAACTAGCCTCCTGCCCCTACACCCTACCCTACTCTCCCAGAGCGTGACTAAGAGTGAACCAGGCAGGAGTGGGAGCATTTCCTGCCTCCACTGGCAGGCTGGGACCAGACAACAAGTTAGTTGACTCAGGAGGAACCACATGGCTCCAAAAATACATCTGCCTCTGCCCGGTTCCATCTCATGCTCCCTTCGCCCTTTAGATATAGTCACTTGCTCCTTCCCCCAATCCCACCCCTGGGGAGCCACTTGAAGTCATTTTTGCCCTTAATTCTGATTATAAAAGAACTATAAGTGCATCATAGGAAACCTAGAGAATGTAGAAAAATACAAACAAGCATTTGAATAATCCTATAATTCCACTACTCCCAAAATAACCACTGCTGAAGTCTTGTTATATTTCCTTTCTATTTTTCTGTCCTCTGAGTTTCATTTATTTATTTATTTATTTATTTTTGAGACGGAGTCTTGCTTTGTCGCCCAGGCTGGAGTGCAGTGGCGTGATCTTGGCTCACTGCAAACTCCGCCTCCCGGGTTCACGCCATTCTCTCGCCTCAGCCTCTGGAGTAGCTGGGACTACAGGCGCCCGCCACCACACCTGGCTAATTTTTTGTATTTTTAATAGAGATGGGGTTTCACCGTGTTAGACAAGATGGTCTCTATCTCCTGACCTCGTGATCCACTCGCCTTGGCCTCCCAAAGTGCTGGGATTAGAGGCGTGAGCCACCGTGCCCTGCCCTTTGAGTTTCATTTAAATATTAATATATACTCACAACAAAACCACAATTATACATATATGTATGTATATATGTGTGTGTATATATATATATTATATATACATATATATACATATATATGTGTATATATATATTATATATACATATATTATATATATATGTGTGTGTGTATATATATATATATATATATATATATGCTCAAATAGAACAAAAAGTTATAAAGTGAAAAGTCAAAGTCCACCTCCAACTTTCTACTCCCATGCAGGGGGAAACCATGGTTAAGAGTTTCTTGTGTATCTTCCAGAAATTGTCTATTACATGTTCAAGCATGCAAATGTTATTCATTTTACATGGCTGAGGTCATACTGTATGAACAATTTGGTCTTTTCTTCACTTTACATGAATATATGAGCACTTTCTATGCCATTAAAAATTATTGGTTGAACTATTTTTATAGGCCAAATAACATTTTATCTTATTGATATGCCATAGTTTATTTAACCTTTTCCCTCTTGCTGGACATTTACTCAGGAGAGGAGCAGGAAGAAGGAATTGAGTCAAGATGAAGTGTTGGAGGAGGAAGGGGGCTAGCCTGTACTGAGGGCCTACTGTGTGCCAACCACTTTTCACATCTTCCCAATTGCTTGGTTTTAGAGTTAGGCACTGTCCCCATTCTTCAGATGAGAAAGCTGAGGTTCAGAGAGGTTAAGGAGGAATTTGCTCATATGTAAGAGAGCCAGGGTTTGAAGCAAGATTTATCAACTCCAAAGCCCATGGCTGTTCTATTTTGCCAAGATGCTTCGGAAAAGTCCCAGGGTTCATGGTTGCACACTGCTTGGCATGGGGATGGGGAGAGCCCTTCCGGCATTCCTTCTCTCATTCACTCTAATAACATTTATATGCCTGGCATCAAGAATTTGGGTGAAAAAGCTGCAGTCCTTGTCCTCTAGAAGTTCACAGTCACATGGGGGTGGACATGAAAACAAGCTCTCACCACCTAGAGGAACATGCAAGGTACAAGGGGGTCCAACCAGAGTTTCCACTCCCAGACTCCAAAGGTCGAGAGGCTTCCTGGGGGAGGAGACCCTAGGCTGAGTCAGTCCTCTGGCACCGGTCAGGAAGTGCCAGGGAGGCCTGAAACGCCTCTGCGTCCTCTCCTCCCCAGATCCAGTCTATGCTCCAGTCACTGGAGCCTGGGTTGGTTCCTCCCTGACCCAGGTTTCGCCTCAGCTTCCTGCCTTTCACAAGATGGTTTTCCAGGCTCCCACGACAGTAGGGTGGGCAGTGGGCCGCCAATTTCTGAGAAAATCTTCAAGAACATGTTTCTGGTTTGTTTTCCAGAAGTTCAGGAAATGTTTATCATACTTTTGGGGAAGAGTGGGCAGCACGGGAGGTTTGGGTCAATGCTTCGGGCTCTGGATGGACAGATCGGGATTGGGGTCCTGCTCCTGCCATTTGCTCTGGGACTGCTGGAAAGTCACCGAGAGTTGTCAGGACCCTGGGTAACAAGCCATAGAAAATGGACCCTGACTATCTTAAACAAAGAAGGGAATCCACTGCAATAGAATTGGCAGAGGTTCAGGAGGGAACAGTCTTGAGAAAGGGGCAGAAACTTAAGCAGCTCTCCAGGCCTGGAGCAGCAGGAGGCAGAAAACCATCATTTGAGCTGGAAGAGTCTAGTCATGACGCTGCTGCCACTGCAGCCAGATATCACAGCAAATGGAGTGCTAACCCCCCAGCATGCAGTGGGTCCAGGAGCCAGGCCTCAGGCAGGTGCATCTGATGGACTGAGCCTTGGTCATGCACTCATACCCATTGCCAGGAAACAGGACGGGGAGGATTTGCCTTTGGGCTTCAGTGGTATGAGGCAGGTGCTCCTCCCTCCAAGTCAATACCCAAGGGGAGTTCTGCCCCCTGGATGAGGGGCTTTAGAACCTGTACAGCCAAAAACTCAATGCCTACGACATGGCCTAATCTCTCAGAGCCTTTATAAAACACAGACAATAATCATATCCATTTCACAGGATTACTACGAGGGTTTTTTTAAAAAGCAAATAAAGTGCTTAGCATGGTGTCAAACACCCCATAAATTCTCAGTAAATGTTAATTTACTACTACTACTATTAATATTGTTATTACTAGTGTTATTCACTTTCTCTCTTTTCAAATAAAATCCAGATAGTTTTCACTGTAAAAGTAATAGATGTCATACATAGAAAAGTTGAAAAATGCAGAAAAGTTGAAAGAAGAAAAGAAATCACCTAACACCCACAGAAAACCACTGTCAGCATTTTGGTATTTCCTGCCAATCTATTTTCTATGTACTGGTGTTGGTTGTTTTGTTCTTTCTTCCTTTTTTCCTTTCAAACAGCTGTGATCATTCTGTATGTGTACAGTTGTGTACCCTACCTTGTGGTATATGGATTTCTTTTTTGGGGGAGAGGGGGAATTTCCCTCTGTCACCTAGGCTGGAGTATAGTGATGCAATCTTGACTCACTGCAACCTCTGCCTCCCAGGCTCAAGCGATCCTCCCACCTCAGCCTCTTGAGTAGCTGGGACTACAGATGCACACCACCATGTCCGGCTAACTTTTTGTAGAGATGGGGTTTCACCATTTTGGCCAGGCTGGTCTTGAACTCCTGAGCTCAAGAGATCCGCCTGCCTCGGCCTCCCAAAGTGCTGGAATTACAGGCGTGAGCCTGTAATTATTCTTAACGGCTGCGAAATATCCTGTGGAATGGATAGTGTTGTTTCCACTGTTTGGCGGGTGTGTGTTGGGCGGCGGGGTTCATATGCATTTATAAATTATGAGCGTTTTTTTCAAAAACGTTTTCTGATTCTGGAATGCTTCTTTGAATACTGATGAATGCTTAACTGACATCAGTTAAGCACTTTGTTCTGAAGGGCCCTTAGGAAGCCATTAGCCATTTCCTAAAATGCTCACAATTCCGATGCAGGTGGGGGGTGGGGCATGGCCCACATGGATGCCTATCACCTCATTGTGTTTTGAGGGGGGCATTCTCACTGCTGCTGTGAACGTGAGAGTCCCATAGTCCCGTGACGCCTTGACACCACTCGTCTGCCCACAGCTTTCTCACGTTCCCAATTTGCTCAACCACTGATTAGGCTGGGGTGGTTTATCCTGCCTGTGAAATTACCTGCCATTAGTGTAGTGGAAAGTGCCCCAGCTCTGCCTCTTGCCAGCTTAGGACTTGAGGCAATTTTCTTACATTTCTCAACCTCTTCTGTAAAGTGAAGAGTCATGTCTATCTTCCAGGATTAAAGAGAGAGGGATACATGAGCCTAGATAGTGAGCTTTTCTTCTTTCTTCCTCGACGGTTCTATAGTCTCGTCCTCTCCCTTACTCCCACCCCCCCAGCCCCGCCCCACCCCCGACCAGCCTCCCTGCCTCTTCAGGTCCCAGGCTGGGTTCCAGGAAGTGGCTCGCGCCTGACGCTGGCTCCCAGCGGCTGGGGTATCAGGTGACCCGGCTCCCCACCGAGGTGACTAAAATCCCAGTGATGCTGATTATTTGGATTTCCTGGGCAGGGCCGGGCACCCGCCGCTGGTGGGGCTTTGGATGCAACAATAATTAGTATTTTGACGATGCGATTCCGATCGCCCCACCAAGTAGGAGGTCCCACCCTGAGTAGGGAGCCCCGTGGGAACTGACCCGGCCACATTCCCAACTGCAGCGATTGTGAAATGGGCGCCCGGGCCCAGCCAGGGCGGGCTCCGAGGGAGGAGCGGGGCGGGGCGCGCAGAGGATGCTCCAGGAGGGCGGAGCGCTCACCCTTGCTCCGGGATCTCCTGGCTCAGGACAACCAACGTGGTCCTGAATCCACCCTGGACCTGCCCAGGATCTCAGGCTGGGCGGCCTGGCTCTGCTCTGGCTACGGATGCGGGAGTGAAGTGACCAGGGCAGAAAGGACATCTGAGGGGGTCACAGGGAAATGAAATCGTCCTTTCCCCTTCCACTCACCCCTCCCGGCCCTTCCAAAGCACCATTAGAAATTGAAAGGTGCAAGGCCAGGAAAGACGCAGGGGCCAGTGCAGAGTCTCCTTTCATGGAGGTCCAAGGAGAAGTGAATTGCTCTACCCCAAGTTTCTATAAGAAATAACCAGGCTGGGCAAGGTGGCTCACACCTGTAATCTCAGCACTTTGGCAGGACCAGGCAGGAGGATTGCTTGATCCCAGGAGTTCGAGACCAGCCTGAGCAACATATGAGACCCTGTCTCTATTAAAACAAACAAACAAACAAAAAAAGAAACAAACTTTAAAAATTAGCCGGGTGTGGCAGTGCAAGCCTGTAGTCCCTGCTACTGGAGAGGCTGGGTTGGGAGGATTGCTTTAGCCTTAGGAGGTCAAGGCTGCAGTGAGCCGTGATTGCACTCCTGCAATCCAGCCTGGGCGACAGAGCAAGACCCTGTCTCAATTTTAAAAAAAGAAAAAGAAGGAAAGAAATAGCCAAACAAAGAGAACAGCTGGAGCTTTAGAAAGCACTGTCCCTAACACTGTGTGATTTCAATGACTCCAAAAGACTCTCTGACCCCCAGGTTCTCCTGTGACTCACCTGAAATTCCTCCACAGGCCGGACGCGGTGGCTCAAGCCTGTAATCCAAGCACTTTGGGGGGCCGAGGCAGGCGGATCACGAGGTCAGGAGATCGAGACCATCCTGGCTAACATGGTGAAACCCCGTCTCTACTAAAAATACAAAAAATTAGCCGGGCATGGTGGCGGGAGCCTGTAGTCCCAGCTACTCAGGAGGCTGAGGCAGGAGAATGGCATGAACCCGGGAGGCGGAGCTTGCAGTGAGCTGAGATCGCGCCACTGCACTCCAGCCTGGGCGACAGAGCGAGACTCTGTTTCAAAAAAAAAAAAAAAAAAAAGAAATTCCTCCACACATCCTTTACTTTAAGGTTTTGATGCCAAGTAAAAACTTGCCTCAGCTTCCACAGGAAAGGATCAATCCTGTGACAGAAAGAGGGGAAGAGAGCATATAAAACCTCAAGGTGGCAGGAGCCCTCCTATGGCCTCTCAAGTACAGCTGTATTCTGTTTTTAAGGCACTTGTACTGCAATCTCCAGTGGCCTTTGAAACAATGCTGTGAGCTGGGGGTACTGTTAGCTGTCTTTCCCATTCAACAGAGCAGGAAATGAAGGCTCAGAGAGGTTAAGTAACTTGCCCAAGGACACACAGTAAGTGCCCACGTACAGTTGAAATCATGGCACTCAGCTGCTTCCCACAGCCCAGCATTAACAGTGTGGTGTTCGTATTTTGGTCAACTAGTTTTTTTAAAGTATGAAACAAGTCTTTGGCTAAAGTTCTTATTTTTTCTTTCTTTTAGAAAATATTTTGTAGAGACTATGTTGCCCAGGCTGTTCTCGAACTCCTGGTCTCAAGCAATCCTCCCAGTTCAGCCTCCCAAAATGCTGGGATTAACAGGCATGAGCAACCATGCCTGGCCCTTTGGCTCAGGTTTTGAGAAGACTTTTAGTAATACGAGAGAGAACACTTACTGTCTCTCATAAGCTTCACAACAGCCCTAAGCAAATAGCACCCTGTTTTACAGGGGTAAAAACCCAAGGCTCAGAGATTTATTACATCCACTCAGTTGTGAGTACCTCCAGGGTAAGGAATGAAGTCGTGTCCATCTTTCTATGTATGATCCATAACTTTATCTATGAATGTTGGTTGAGTATTTGCAGAGAGAGCCCTGCCAGATCATCTAATAAGGCCTGTGTGTTTTACAGATGAAAAAACTGAGGCCTGCAACAGGTAAGGGATATGACTGGATCACATAATTATGGCAGAACCTGGACCTCACATCTCCCAATTCTGTCTGCTGTCCTTTCCGGACAGTCACTCATTTATCCAACTACAGGAACTGAGCTGACATACCTCCATATGCTGGGCTCTAAGAACAAAAACAGTAGGGAGAGGATAGGGACACACTTGCTTTGAGGGAGGGTTCCAAAAACCTCAGTATTCAAAACACATGATATTTTATTTTACTTTATTTTTGAGACATGGTCTCACTTTGTCACCCAGGCTGGAGTGCAGTGTCGCAATCACAACTCGTTGCAGCCTCGACCTTCTGGGCCTAAGTGATCCTCCCGCCTCTATCTCCCAGGGAGCTGGTACTATAGGCACATGCCACCATGCCCAGCTAATTTTTGTATTTTCTGTAGAGATGGAGTTTTGCCATGTTGCCCAGGCTGTTTTCAAACTCCTGAGCTCAAGCAATTCACCCACCTTAGCCTCCCAAAGTGCTGGGATTACAGGGGTGAACCACTGCGCCTGGCCCAAAATAACATAATATTGTAATGCAATATTTTAAAAAATCAAATTAGGAAATGATATCCCACAGGCCTGCAGCCTAGTTTTTTTTTTTAATTTTAAATTTAAATTTTACTTTAACATCTGCATGCACAAGGCAAGTTGCAGCCTGTTTTTATAAATAAAGTTTTATTAAGAGTAAATCTCAGTCCTTGTTTTGAGGAGCCACAGTTTACTCTGGGGAGACAGACTTGAATAGGGTATATGTAATCCTCTGTGATTATCCTCAGGCAGCAAGCAGGGGCTGAGGGGAAGCCTTTGAAGCAGGGAGGGAAATGTGCAGAGTCCCAGCTGTGTGGGCTCATTGCAGCAAAACTCGTTGGTGTAGGAAAAACAGGGGCGGGAGCCAAGGGAGGAAGTGGTGAGTGACCAGGTCTCAGAGATTAAGGGGAGGACATGGGGACGGTGGAGAGATCACCAGGCTGAGAATGTCCCATAAAGGTTTTGGACTTGACACCATAGACATGGCTAACTCCGGCTGACACTGAAACTGGGGAAATCAAACACAAACCGAAGGGTATTTAAAATATATTTAGAAATATATTTCTATATATTATAAAATATATTCAGAAATACATTTAAAACCACAATGATAGAAAGTAATAAAAGAAGCTGAGCATGGTGGCTCACGCTTGTAATCCCAGCACTTTGGGAGGGCAAGATAGGTGGATCACATGAGGTCAGGAGTTCAAGACCAGCCTGGCCAGCATGGTGAAACCCCGTCTCTGCTAAAAATACAAAAAGTAGCCGGGCATGGTGGCGCGCTTCTGTAGTCCCAGCTACTCTGGAAGCTGAGGCATGACAGTCGCTGGAAGCTGAGGCATGACAGTCGCTTGAACCTGGGAGGCGGAGGTTATAGTGAGCTGAGATCGTGCCACTGCACTCCAGCCTGGAGGACACAGCAAGACTCTGTCTCAAAAAGAAAGGAAGAAAGAAAGAAAGAAAGAAAGAAAGAAAGAAAGAAAGAAAGAAAGAAAGAAAGAAAGAAAGAAAGAAAGAAAGAAAGAAAGAAAGAAAGACGGAAGGAAGGAAGGAAGGAAGGAAGGAAGGAAGGAAGGAAGGAGAAATCAAGTTATAAAAGACTACTGAACCTTAAAAAATGATAATAATAATAATAATAGGAAAGAAAAAAAAACTCACAATGAATGTGTTTGGCTGGTTGGTCCCTCCATGTACTGGGGACATTTGCCCACCTGTAGTCCTTTGCCCCCAGCCTTGTGCTCTGGAGGTCTCACCCGTGACTGGACCCTTCCTAAAGGTAAAAGCTGCCCCAAGCTGCTACTGCCTTGGTTGAACTGCTGGAAGCCAGGGAAACCCTCGGCAGGACATAAGCTGCCAAGGAATTCTCTTCATTTCTTGAGAATATTATAGGATGCATATTTAAAGATATCCCATGTAAATCACTTAGAAGAGAGGCTGGCAGAAAATAAATACTCAGAAAACTTTCTGTTATTATGTTCTGTTTATTATTAAAGTACTTTTTATAATTTTCTAGAAAGAGTTATGGTTTGAAAGACCCTTCCTTATGTTTAAAGGACACTGTCCCCTTCCCCATATGTCTGTGGCAATTGTTGATGGTTGTAGAAGTATCTGCTAGATCAGGATGTGGGCTGACAGCTGAGAGGGTGTGATGTTTGGGAGAGATTAAAGTCCTGGGGGGAGGTTTAATCCAGGAGGCCTTCCTGGAGGTGGAGGAGAGTTGAGGGCAGAGTTTTAAAAGGATACTGTTGACAAGATGAATGGAAGCATTATGAATGGCATGACATCTGGAAAATGGAGCAATTTTGCCTACCTGGTGTGAGAATTAATTGATATATCACAAACGTAAAATGATTGGCACATAACAAGGACCCAGTGAAGGTCGATGATGAAGAAGGAGGAGGAGGGGAGGGGGCAGAGAAAAAGAGAAAGGGGCTGAGCAGGAGACCCTTGTTCTAGGTACGGCTGTGCCTCTGGTTAGCTATGTGAGACCTTGGGGACATCATGCCCCTCTTGACACCTCAGATTTCTTTTCTTTTCTTTCTTCCTTTTTTTTGAGATGGAGTTTCGCTCTTGTTGCCCAGGCTGGAGTGCAATGGCATGATCTTGGCTCACTGCAACCTCCGGCTCCTAGGTTCAATCAATTCTCCTGCCTCAGCCTCCTGAGTAGCTGAGATTACAGGCGCCTGCCACCACGCCTGGCTAATCTTTGTATTTTTAGTGGAGACGGGGTTTCACCATTTTGGCCAGACTGGTCTCGAACTCCTGACCTCAGGTGATCTACCCACCTCTGCCTCCCAAAGTGCTGGGATCACAGGCATGAGCCACCGTGCCCAGCTTCTTTTCTTTAAAATGGATGACTTACGCCTAAGGTTTCCACCTCTGAGAGTCTCTGATTATAAATATAAAATAATGACAGTCTCTGGGCGCAGTAGATCATGCCTGTAATCCCAGCACTTTGGGAGGCAGGTGGATCACCTGAGATCAGGAGTTCGCGACCAGCCTGGCCAACATGGTGAAACCCCGTCTCTACTAAAAATACAAAAAATTAGCCGGGCATGGTGGCGGGCGCCTTTAATCCCAGCCACTCCAGAGGCTGAGGCAGGAGAATCACTTGAACCTGGGTGGCAAAGGTTGCAGTGAGCTGAGATCACGCCATTGCACCCCAGCCTAGGCGAAAAGAGTGAAACTCTATCTCAAAGAATATATATAAATAAATAAATAAACATAAGATAAAATGACAGTCATTGTTTATTGCCACTTACTTTATACCAGTCTCTCTTATAAGCCATGTACATGTAACATCTCACTTGATTTTCGCAGTGACCCCATTCATGGATTCTACTAGTATTCTCATTATATTGTTAAGAAAACAGAGGCTCAGAGAAGTAAGGTAACCTGTCCAAATGGTTGATCGAGTAAGCAAGGTTCCCGACTGCAGGAAGGCAGAGAGATGCTGCCTCCTGGGGGCTGTCCCTTTCTACAGAGAAGCATTTTCTTCATGACTGAGATCGGGGGTGGCCCCAGTTCCCTGGAGACACCAGTGTTGCAGGAGGCTACTCTTCTTCCTGATTTCACTGCCCAGTTCTGTGGCAGCTCCAACCCATAACTTGAATGTCCCCCCACCCACACACACACCCCCACCTCAGCACAGTGACTTTCCCCCAAGGCTGTGTCACGCTTAACAGATGACACTCAGGGAAAGGCTCTGTGGTTGAATCACAGTGACCACTTCCTGTTCCATTCAGGGTCCCTTGTTCTCCAGAGCCCTCACTCTGCCATGCCCTATTTAGTAAATGCCACAAAGTTTATGACTCCTGGACTGCTAGGGGGGCTTAGTCACCCCTTCCTATACCCTGATTCTACTAGACTTAGAAGCATCAACTCTCAGTTTCTGCACCATTTCACTACCTTGCAACAGGAGCCTGGTGGGACACCCCGTTTGTCCCGGGGCTGCACAAGTAGGCAAAAGGACGATCTCCATTCCTCTAGACTGGTGATGTAAGGCTGACCGGACAGGTGGGCAGACGTCCAAACCTCAGCCATGAAGTAAGGGAGGTAGTCACTGACCCGGTGGGCTCCTCAGAGGCACCTACTCACTGGATGTTGTTGTCTGCAAGCACATGGGTCAGAACACCAAGTGGAAAGAAATGCCAAGGGGTTTATATGTCTTTGAGGGAAACCCCAATTCTCTTTCATTTGCTCAGAAATGCCTTCCTGGAGGCTGACAGCTGTAGCTAATGTTGAGTCCTAGAGCCGAGGGAGTCATTAGATACTAGGGGGCCATCCGGAAGAGGAGACTTCCTCTGGGTAAATGCACAGAGCAAAATCTGGGACCATCATGGCTGGATTAAGATCTTTAGCAGTACTCAACCTCTAAAGATTATGCTACAAGTATTTCTTGCCCCACACAAATCATCATAGATAACATAAAATAAAACAATCTAAATCCTAAAAATAAGTATGTCCTTATCAAAATATCAATGATGTTACTTATGAAAATGGAAAAAAAAATCTACAATTCATATGGAACCCAGGAGACTCCAAATAGCCAAAGCAAGTTTGAACAAAAAGAACAAAACTGAAGGCATCACACTACCTGACTTCAAAATTTACTACAAAGCTGTAGTATGGTTCTGGCATAAAAAGAGACACATAGATCACTGGAACAGAATAGAGAACTCAGATATAAATCGACACATTTGTAGCCAACTCATTTCGACAAAGGTGCCAGGAGCAAACACTAAGGATCATCCCTTTAATGAATGGTGCTGGGAAAACTGTATGCAGAAAAATGAAACCAGACCCCATCTCTCCCCATACACAAAAATCAAATCAAAGTGGATTAAATACTTAAATCTAAGACATGAAACTATGAAACTATTAGAAGAAAACATTGGGGAAGTGTTCCAAGACATTGGTCTGGGCAAAGATTTTCCATGTAATCTTTTCATGTAACCTCAAAAGCAACAGGAAACCAAAGCAAAAGAAGACAAATGGGATTACATTAAGCTAAAAAGCTTTTGTACAGCAAAGGAAATTATCGACAAAGTGAAGAGACAGCCTACAGAATGGGAGAAAATACCTGCAACTATCCACCTGACAGAACATATAAAAAGCTCAAACAACTCAATAGGAAAAAAACAAATAATCCCATTTTAAAATGGGCGAAATAGGCCAGGCGCGGTGGGTCACGCCTGTAATCTCAGCACTTTGGGAGGCCGAGGTGGGTGGATCACGAGGTCAGGAGATCGAGACCATCCTGGCTAACACAGTGAAACCCTGTCTCTACTGAAAATACAAAAAATTAGCCGGGCGTGGTGGCGGGCACCTGCAGTCCCAGCTACTCTGGAGGCTGAGGCAGTAGAATGGCGTGAACCCTGGAGGCAGAGCTTGCAGTGAGCCGAGATGGCACCACTGCACTCCAGCCTGGGTGAGAGAGCGAGACTCTGTCTTAAAAACAACAACAAAAAAAGGGCAAAATATCTGAATAGACATTTCTCAAAAGAAGGCATACAAATGGCTAACATGTATGTGCTCAACATCATTAATTATGAGAGAAATGCAAATCAAAACAATGAAATATCATCTCACTCCAGTTAAAATGGCTTTTATTTATTTAAAAAAAAAAACAATAACAGATGCTAGCAAGGATATGGAGAAAGGCGAATCCTTATACACTGCTAGTGGGAATGCACATGAGAACAGCCACTATGGAAAATAGTATTGAGGTTCCTCAAAAAACTAAAAATAGAATTACCATATGATCCAGGAATTCCACTGCTAGGTGTGCATCCAAAAGGAAGGAAATCAATATATGGAAGAGATATCTGCCCTCCCATGCTTCCTGCAGCACTATTCACCATAGCCAACATATGGCATCAACCAAAGTGCCCATCAACAAATGAATGGATGAAGAAAATATGGTACATACACCCAATGGAATATTATTCAGCCATAAAAAGAATGAAATCCTGTCATTTGCAGCAACATAGATGGAACTGGAGGACATTATGTTAAGTGAAATAAGCCAGGCACAGAAAAACAAATACTGCATGATCTCACTCAAATGTTGGAGCTACAAAAGTGGATCTCATAAAGAGAGAGTAGATTGGTGGTTACTAGAGGCTGGGAAGGCAAAGGGAACTGGGGATGAAGAGAAATTGATTAATGGGTACAAATATACCATTTGATAGAATACATAAGACCTAGTGTTTGATACATAAGGAGGGCAACTCTAATTTATTATAATCTATTGTACATTTCAAAATAGCTAGAAGAGAATCATTCGAATGCTTCCAGCGTAAGGAAAAGATAAACATTTAAGGTGATGGACATCACAAGTACACTGATTTATCTTTATAAATTACATGAATGTATGAAATTATCACATGTCCCAAAACTATTTACATGTTATACATTAATACGTAAATATCATAGATTAATACACAATAAAAAGTTTAAAAAAGAAAAAATCAATAAAAACAAGCATAAGGAAGTCCAGTAATGTTCTGATTATTTCCATCATGACCACTTCAGTCCTTTTTTGTCAGTGTCTTTTTTTCTCACTTTCTGTCGCCTCCACTTTGCTGGTGCCATTGCCCCGTAGGGTCTACCCGTTGGATAATCCTGCAGTGAATAGAAGTGACTGGACCACATGTGTTGGCTAATATAGGGAAGATCTTTCTAATGATTTATGTTGTGTGACCACTAAGTGGGCTTCCCAGGGAGGAAGTGCCCAGTCACTGTTGTGTTCCCACAGAGGCCAGAATTCCCTACGATGGGGACAAGATGTGTGAGAATCTGGAAAGAAAGTGGCTTACCCTATAAAGTCTTTTCTGGTCTGATGATGCTAGGGTGGGCATTCCAAGTACTTTGGAAGGAACTGCAAAGGCCTGCTCCAGGCTGGGGGGAGTCACAGGCTGTGGGATGGGCCTCTGGGGTCTTTTTGGGGACTTTGAGGAGAAGAGTTACCGTTTTCTCCAGGAAGGCAAGCTTACCCCTGCCTTGGAGGTCTTGGACCAGCCCTGCAGCTACATCTGGAAAACCAGCCACACTGTCACAAGATAGCACCAGGGATGACTGGATTAGGACCAACTGGGGGGCACCAAGGGGATTTTAGCCACCAATCAGAGCACTCTGTGTTCAGTCCCATTTACACGTATGTTCCCCTGTGCTCAACTATGAGCTCCTTGAAAGGCACGACTGCCTTATTGGTTCTTGTATCCCTGGTGCTGGCCCTTGGTTGAATTAATTGAATGAATAAAGTCAGGAAGAATGAAATGGCGTATTTCTTTAAGGCAGTATATAAATGCACATTCTATAAACAATAAATAAAATGCCTTCCAGTTGTTTAGTGACTTTGCACAAGGATACTCAGGATACTGGTTATGTGTTCACTTCTGGAGAGGCGGGCCAGAGGACGAGGGTCTTGGGTGAGAGGGACACTATTCATCACTTAATGCCATTTTTATCATGTATATGTATTAGTTATAGAAACTAAAATAAAAACACTGGGGTTAAAAAGTTCCCAAAGTGCTTCCAGCAACACAGTAGGTGATTTAAGTGGCGTAACAGAGTACTGGATGTTGCAAGTGTGTGGTGCTTCTTAGAAGAGGCTCTTGACCTTTCTCTCAGATTTATAGACTTTCAGTTTACAAACCCTTTGCATAACACTGAAATGTTTACTTTCCAGTATAGAGCTCAGGAAACTCATCAATTAAAATGAAACTTAGGCTGGTGATAAGGGCAGGCAAGAACACTATCCCCCAAGAGAGGAGTCAGAGAAACAACTCTGTTTCATTTTGGGTGCAACAATTGACAGCCACAAAAGGAACCAAGAGCTATTGGCAAAAGATTATATTGTATTCACCTTTTTTTTTTCTTTTCTTTCTTTCTTTCTTTTTTTTTAAGAAAGTGAGACAAATACTGCTTAGTTAAAATCAGCTCTTCCAGGCTGGGCAATGTGCCTATGCCTGTAACCCCAGCACTTTGGGAGGCCAAGGCAGGAGTTCAAGACCAGCCTGGGTGACACAGAGATCCCATCCCTACAGATAATTTAAAAATTAGCCAGGTGTTGTGGTGTACACCTGTGGTCTCGGCTACTTGGCACAGTAGCCGAGACCACAGTAGCTGAGGTGGAGGTCCAGGCTGCAGTGAGCCATGATCGCACCACTGCACTCCAGCCCAAGCGACAGAACAAGACCCTGTCTCAAAAATAAAATAAAATAAAAAAATCAGCTACTCCAGATAAGCCATATATACCTTGAGATAGGGCAGTTAAGTGAAGAGAGTTAACTGTTGGGCCCAGCTAAGTTCTAAATTCCCGGAAGCCTTTCTTAAAGTCTACAAAGTAGACTTCACCAATGCCAAGAAGTTTGCAATCCATGGGGAAGAGAGGAGTTCCACTTCAAGGACCAGTGAGGGGCCACAGAGTTTTCCTGAGGTCCTCTCACAGACTCCACGGCTAAACCCATATTCCCTTTGGCCATCTGTGTTAACACAGGACAGGTTGACTTTGGGGCATCAAAGTCATCAAACTGTCTGGACCTTGATTTCCTCAAAGTCAATTGGAAATTAAAATTCCCACACTTTGTTCTGTATCCTGATTGAGATGCTGTTTACAGGAATCTATACATATGTTAAAATGCATAGAACCATACATCAGAAGAAAAAAAGTCAAACGTTCCTATATGATCATTTAAAAACTTAAAAAAAATTGTATGCTTAAGGATCATGTGAGAATTAAGTAAGAAGCTTCTTACACAGCATCCTTGTTTACCTGTTTATTTATCTCTGTCACCCAATACAAAGCCTAGCCTACAGTAGACATTCACCAAGTAATGTATTTGTTGGATGAATGAATGAATGAATGAATATGGAAAAGAGCAGAGTGCTGACCCCAAACAGGCACTCAATAGTTGTCCATTTCTGTCCCCTTCCCTTTAGTCATTTCAGGTAACAGGACATAGTGCAGATGTTCAGAAAATACTAACAGCTTGCTCATGTCTCTGATCACCCAGGCAACTTTTGACTTAAGGGGAAAGAAAAGGCAACTTCTGGCAGCCTGCTTTGATTAATAATAAATAGGAGCTGTATCAGGCTTTAATATGATCCTTACAACAACACAGAAAATTAGGCCGTGGTACCTCTTCCTGCTTTATAGATTAGGAAAATGAGGCCTGAGGAGTTTAAGCCACCTCCTTAAATCTCTCAATGTTAAGTGCTGGAGCCAGGAATCCAACCCAAAGTACAGTGGAGATATAGATAGATATAGTTCGATTTATCTATCTCTATATATATGCAGATAGATGTATCTATATTGATCTATAGATAGATACAGTATTAGTTCATTCTTGCACTGCTATAAAGAAATCCCTGGGCCGGGTGTGGTGGCTCGTGCCTGTAATCCCAGCACTTTGGGAGGCTGAGGCAGGTGAATCACCTGAGGTCAGGAGTTCAAGACCAGCCTGGCCAAAATGGTGAAACCCTGTCTCTACTAAAAATACAAAAATATTAGCCAGGCGTGATGGTGGGCACCTGTATTCCCAGCTACTCAGGAGGCTGAGGCAGGAGAATCGCTTGAACTCGAGAGGTGTAGGTTGCAGTGAGCCGAGATTGTGCCATTGCACTCTAGCCTGGGCAACAAGAGAGAAACTCCATCTCACACACACACACAAACACACACACAAGAAAGAAATCCCTGAGACTCGGTAATTTATAAAGAAAAGAGGTTTAATTGGCTCTCAGTTCCACAGGCTATACAGGAAGCATGGGTGCATCTGCTTCTGGGGAGGCCTCAGGGAGCTTTTATTTATGCCAGAAGGCAAAGTGGGAGCAGGCATCTTACATGGCAGGAGCAGGACCGAGAGAGAGGGGGAGGTTGCTGTACACTTTTAAACAACCAGATCTCACGAGAACTCCTATCACGACAACAGCTCCGGGGTGTTAAACCATGAGAAAACACCCCCACGATGCAATCCTCCCACGAGGCCTCACCTCCAACGTTGGGGATTACATTTCAACATGAGATTTTGGTGGGGACACAGATCCAAACTATATCATATATATTTATATATCCATACAAATACATATAATATATAAAAATACACATGTATTATGTATGTATATAATACATGTTATGAATATGACATATATACACATGTAATACACATGTATATTACACATGTACATATACATGTATACATACATAATAAATACAAGAATATATATTTTATATAAATACACATGTATTATGTATGTGTATATAATACATTGTTTATACATGCACACACAACACACACATATATTTTCTGCCAAATTTGCACGAGGAAACAAAGGGTACCTGTGGGCTCAACAGAAGCAATTTCTTCTAGGTTTCCCCACAGGCAGGGGCAGGGAGAGTTACCTGGCTGATTTCCTATGACCACAGATTAATTCAGCCCACATTGACGGAATATCTTCTCCATGCCAAGCACCGTGCTAAGTGGTGTGGGTACCGAGTCCCGTCAGACACGTACCTTTCCTTGGTCAACTTGAGCATTGGAAACTGAACATTCCTCCCAATGCCCTGGGTTAACATATGCTGGGGCATCATCCAGCTGCTGGTATGTACCAAAGATAGAGCTTCTTTCAAATGACCCACTCCCTTCACTGGAGGCCAGAGTGAAGGAGGCTGAGCAAGAAACCAGCCAGGCTAGCCGGAGCCCACAAGCATGGCCTCGGGTCTGGCTCTATGTTAATCCACCAGTTCCTACAGCCCTAATCAGATCCTGAGAGACCAATTTATTCTAAGTAATCAACAAGAATGGGAATAATGAAACAGGAAATGAATGTGTTAGTTTATAAGCCAATTCCTTGAGTCCAGCAGCAACAAGATTACTGCTGCTGCACTACTGTTCTCTCCTGATGGATGAGGCAAGTTGAGACCACTGCATAAGCAAAAGGTTGCTCAGAACGTAGAAAGACCACAAAGGGACGTGGGAATTATTTAGAGGGAGGCTAGTGGTATAGTAAAAAGAGGGTGGTCAGATGACATTGGTTGGAAATCATGGCTCCAGTACTTACTATGTGACTTTGGGCAAGTTACCTAAAAGTCTGTGTCAGTTTCTCCACAAATAAAATGGGCACCATAACACCTAACTCACACAGCTGTTTTAAAGAGTAAATGAGATAACGTATGGAAAAGTCCAGGCACAAACTAGATATCACCAAATGCTCACTTCCTTTTAATTATTTTTATAGATAATTTTCAACTGCAAGGTGATACATCACGTTAATTACTGAATATGGAAAATGTTTGATAAGCCAAAAGGAAAAAACTGAAATCTCCCACAATTCCATCAGCCAGAGATAACTGTTAGTAGCATTGGTGGACTGGGGAGAAGAGCATTTTATCAAGGCTCAAAGTAGGAAATTTGGTCCTTGGGACAAATAGCAGGAAATGAGAGCTCAGATCAAAGGAAGGGCACCCCGGAGGAAGGAGATGTGGTACAAGCAAAGGCATTGGTCACTCATGTGCCTTGGCTCACTGGCCTGTGTCACTCCAACCTCTGCTTCTGTCGTCACCTCTATTTTCCCAACTCCCCTGTCTTCTTCTTTCCCTTATCAGGACTCTTGTGATTACGCTGGGCCACTCCAGATGATCCAGGATAATCTCCCCATCTCAAAATCCTGAACTGAATCAGTTTTGTCATGTAAGGTTTCATATTCATAGGTTCTAGGAATTAGGGTGTGGACATTTGGGGGATTATTATTCTGCCCACCTCACCTGGGCAAGCCACTTTCTCTGGCCTGAGTTTCCTTATCTGCAGACCATGAGTCTCTGACACAAAACTCTTCACGATCCCTTCCAGGTTTTGCTGGTGGAAATATTTTGAGTGAAATCCAGGGGGACTGAGGTATAGAAACTGTACTCAATTTCTTATGGGTTTCCTTACTTCCTCCTCTAGAACTATACTCTCTCCTCTGAATGCTACCAATGTCATTTGTATGTAAGCTTTTATTTTATTTATTTATTTATTTATTTATTTATTTATTTATTTATTGAGATGGAGTCTCGCTCTGTCGCCCAGGCTGGAGTGCAGTGGTGTGATCTTGGCTCACTGCAAGCTCTGCCTGCCAGGTTCACGCCATTCTTCTGCCTCAGCCTCCAGAGTAACTGGGACTACAGGTGCCCGTCACCACGCCTGGCTAATTTTTCTGTATTTTTAGTAGAGATGGGGTTTCACCGTGTTAGCCAGGGTGGTCTCGATCTCCTGACCTAGTGATCCGCCCGCCTCGGCCTCCCAAAGTGCTGGGATTACAGGCATGAGCCACCGAATCCGGCCTGTATGTAAGCTTTTATTCATTGAAGGAGCCTGCATAGAGTGCTTACTATGTGCCAGGCCCTGTTCTAAGCAGATATGAAACCACTGAACTTTCCCTAATAGCCCTATGAACCAAGTGCTATTGCTATCCTTATTTTATAGAGGCACAGAGAGGTTAAGTATATCTTGCACAAGATCACAGAGTGGCAGGACTGAGGTCAAACTTCAGCTGTCTGGCTCCAGAATCTGTATTCTTAACCACTGGCCACCCAGCATCTCATCAAAGCCCTTGACCACAGTCATGAGGCTATTGCTTAAGTCTCTTCTCCTAGACTGTGGGCAGCTCAAGAGCAGGAGTCTTGTCTAACTCTGTGAATCCCAGCTCTGATAACAGCCTAGTACACAAATAAACCAAAATATAAGCATACTACTTATCTACTTGAGAGCCTCTTGATTAGGGCCATGATTGCAGGACATAATAATAAACATTTATGGGACACTTCAAAAGAAAACATAATCCTCATGCCAGCACTGGGAAGGAGGTACTATTATGATCTTCATTTTACAGACTAGGAAACTGCAGCAGAAAGAAAAAAGCTAAGTAATGTGCCCAAGGTCAGGAACTGGATTTGAGTTGAGAGCTGCTTGACTTCCAAGCTTGCATTGTGAAGGTGAGCATGAACTCCTTGAGGGCTGCAATTTTAAAGTTAGAACCAAGTTTGACTCTGGACAACCACAGAGAGGAACAAAAAAATGAACATTTTACTGGACAATGCAATATGCCAGGTTCTGGTGCCAGGTGCTTAACATAACTCAGGTAGTCCTCAGAACAACCTGGTTGTTCCGTTTCACAGATGAGAAAACGGAGGTTTAGAGAGACTAAGTGAGTTTCCCAAAGTCTACTGGGAGAGCCAAAACTGGGTATAATTCCACAATTCATCAACTTTCCACTATTACTAAGCTGCTGGGCCTCAGTTCTCTCATTTGAAAAGATGGAGTCCAGCTCAGCTTTTTTTTTTTTTAAACAACATTAAGTGTGTGCTTATTGTGTGCCAGGCACTGTGCTAAGAACTTCACATTTATTATGTAATTTCATCCTCATAACATTCCCTGAGGTGCTATATACTATTAGTATTATTTCTACTTTACAAATAGAGAAACTGAGGCTCAGACAGACATATGTTGTTACACAGCGACTCTGAGGCCCAGCCCGAGTTTAACTGAAGCTTGTTAGAATCATAAGCCAGACTCTTGCCTATTTTCCTGTGCGGCCTCCAGCAGTCTCTGGCAGCCTTTGGAGTGAGGACATCCTGTGTTCCTCCAGAATCAGAACAAGGCTGGGATGGACGTGGGATGAGTTCCTCAGTGCGTGGGCCTCTCTTCCTTTGGATTTCAAAGACTCACTTCAGTGAAGTCCTGTCAAAGTCAAAAGGTGACATTGAATGGACAGTCGGCCCAGGCTCAGAGTCCAGTCCTGGCACCTCAAGGGCTTGGCTATTTCCTCTGATCCTGTTGTCAAGGCAACCTTGGATCCCTTTGTGGTTCTGTGGTTATTCTCCCTCTTGTGTCCTTGTCTTCCTACGGTTTCAAGAGAATACTTTAGAGACAGCGGCTCCAAATGGCCTACTTGTCACTGATTGAAGGAGATGCTGACTTGAGATAAAAACAGTTCCTAGGACCCTTCAAGGCCTCAACTAGAAAAGGCAATTCTCTGTAAACACGTTGAGGGCAGAGGTTGTCTGTCTTATCATAGCTGTACCCCAGCACCTCACAGGATGCCTGGAACAGAGTAGGTGCTCAGTTAACATTAAGCAAATACATGAATGAATGAATGAATGAACTGATTATGCAAACGAGCTCCCTAAGCTTTTCAGGGGTTGAAAAACTGGGGCAGAGTGATGGGCTAAGATATGTGGCAGAACTAAGAATAAAAGTGCATGTGTGTGTGTGAGTGTGGGTCCCACGGCAAAGGCTCCACAACCCCTGTGATGCATTGGCCTGTGTACCTCCACCTCTCCTCTCCACGTCTTGTGAGCTAGAGCTGTTGGTTGGGTATAGACAGTTCCTGCCCACGCCAGGCTAAAGAAGCAATCTCTCTCTCTTTCTCTTCCTCCCACCCCCGTAAATTGTGGCAAAATACACATAACACAAAATTTACCATCTTAAGCATTTTTAAACGTATGTTGATGTTATTATGCAACTAATCTCCAGGACTCTTCATCATGCAAAGCTATCTCTTTAATCTTGTGTCCATCCCAATTTTACCTACTATTTTGAATTTTAGCTACAAATAGACCCTGGGTTTTGACCTCTGTATTGAGTCTTAGTGTGTTACAGGACAGTATTGGCGACCAACAAATGTTCACTGGGTAATTGATCTTACTCTGTGTTTTATTTTTTTCCTGCGTGCTTCAATTTCTCGGTTTACAAGCAATTTTGGCTTTGTGATGCATCCCACAATTACAAGAACTTCTTCACCGCCCTCTAGTGGTAAAGATGAAGATGTGACACTCAGAATAACCATTCGCCTTTCCTGCTGATGTTGAACATGGCCCCTTTTTTTCTGATAACTCGCTGGACTTTATATAATCCAAAATTGTGATTGCTCCAAAGTTGGCAGTTCATCCTCACTTTACAGATAAAGTTGACCTGTAGAACAGTGCTTCTCAAATTGGCTGGCGAAGAACCAGTTTTTAAAAGAATTTTAATCTGCAAACCAATCCATTGTACAATAAAAATGAATTATTAATACTGGACACATTACATTAAAAAACAAAGATATACAAAATTGAACCAAATTTTATTATCATATTCAACAGACAAAATTGCATTTCAATAAATATAATCAGAATAAACATAACGGGAAAAATAATTGCAAAATCTGTACATGTTTATTGAATGTGTGTATTATATGATTAATATATAAATTGCTATTGCATTTATAATTTTTGTTGTTCTGCAATTATAACTAAATGAAAAATTTTGAGTAAAATAGTGTTTCTCTACTTTGAATGAACACCATGCATATAAATATTGAGCATTCTTAATGGACAAATACACAAGTTATGGCTTGCCAACCTATCTAACCCAGCCAGAATGGACTATAATGCTACTTGCAAAGTAGAATGTGTGATGAGATTGCTTCTATTTTTGTTGTTGTTGTTGTTGTAATTTAATAAAGAATAATTATTTTATTTATTTGTTTACTTATTTATTTATTTTAGAAATGGGATCTCACTGTGTCACTGAGGCTGGAGTGCAGTGGCAAGATCATAGCTCACTGAAGCCTCCTGGGCTCAAGCGATCCTCCCGCCTCAGGACTGCCCCCCTCCGCCACCCCCATCCCCTGCCTGTAGCTAGGAAGGACTGCAGGCACGTACCACAGCACCTGGCTTCTATATTTTGTTTTAATAAGAGGTTAGTGGAGAACCAGTCTCACAGAGCTTTGTTAACGGGAAAGGAAAAAGAGATTTTAAGACAATTTTAGGAAGCTCAGGATTTCCATCTTTCACTTTTATTCAAAATGAAGCAAATGATTCTGTATTTTCAAAATTCGTCAATTATTCAATTGCCAGTTCCAACAGTTTATCCTGTAGAGTTAAATTGTCTTTCAATGAAAGCAACAGATTATGGATCTATGAATTTCCCATGCACGAATCTTCTTTTGATGGAAATAAAATGTAAATGTCCCATAACTTGTTTGACCATAACATTTTACAGATATGCAATATCAAGATTATCACTAACATCACTGATAATTGTTGCTAAACTATGGGGCATGTTGTAACAGTCTCTGGATATTCTGTTCTTCCAAGCTTCTGTCATTTTTGCCCTTCAATCTTCTTTGCCATTGAAAATCATGCTGCATTTTTTCTCCCTGCTTAGAAGTAGTAAAAGCATTTAAAATGCCAAAAATATCACACAAAGAAGCATGCCTATTGTCCCAAACCACATTGGGACCTTATAAAGATGTTTGTTTTACTTTCTAGGAACACTAAGAGTTTGTTTCACAGTCAAACATTCCTAATAGTACTTTTCTCTTCAGTAAGCATCGTATCTCACCTACAACAGTTGTTTATGATCAGCTTCCATATGAACACATATTATAATAAAGAGAATAATCTCGAATTTCATGCATTATCCTTTGCATAACTATTTTTTTGCTATGTAACTACACAACTAGACACTGTTTAATTCAGCTAACATTTTTTCATTGTAAAACTTTCCTGATTAAAAAAAGCAGTGCATTGATTTACATTCTTCAAACTTAGTATGCTTTTCTGTCAATGAAGCTGCACATTAAAGCATCTTCCTACAGCAGTCTTAAACCACATTCCTTGACAGTGTAATCCTTTATAGTTTTATACATTTAGGACTAGTTGTGCTTGTCATCAATGAAACTGAAAAAAATTCTTCCACTATGTTTGAATTGCATATATACTACATTAATTGTCATTTTAGCAGTATGTGGGCATTCAATAACTTGCAATGAAAACGACTTTGCTAGCCGTGTATCTGTGAGTTAATCTGCCATGTCATTAGCTAGTTACTGAATTCGTCTAGTTATGAAAAACGACATTTGAGTTACTTTATTTGCCACAGTCACCCATAATTTCAAAGATCTTTGATACAGTCTTGTGCTAAAGTCTTCTTTTTTAAATTTTCGCATCCCCAAATGCTGCTTTATAAGATGCTCATACATTACTAATGTTTATATGTGAAATATTGAACATCTGTTCTTATGAGTTTTTTAAATTCAACATTCTTTCAAGGTATTCTTTAGGTTTTGAATTTACTTCTTTTGTTTTCTATGTAAATGCTACATAAGGTTGATGGTCTTATGAGCTTTATTAGCTAGCATATCTCTACAAATAACATACTATAGTTTTAGAATATTAGTGTCAATTATGGCTACAAAACTGAACTCAATATGTGAGGAATTATACTTCTGAGTAAAACTAGTACAAACTCTTTTCGTAGTAGTTTAATTTCCTTGGAATCACTTCCATAGACATCATCTGTTTTACTATTGGTGCTGCTGTGCATTAGCAAAGGTGTGTCTTTTCTTGATGAAAACAAGTCTAGTGAAGTTTGCTTTGTCACCTCTAAATTACAGTTAAAAATTATTATGAAAGTCTGCTTCCTAATTTAGCTAATATTTTTGTTATTTATTTTTTCAATTTGAAAGCAATCACTGTTTATTAACTGATCAGATTACAGAAATAATTGTGGCACACACCATAGTTCATCCTTCTAAGGAGCTTTTTGATCTGGTTGTCCCTGTTGCCAGCATCTCCACCTTCTACAAAATAGGTGGTCTTTTCCTTCATTCCTCCTCATGGAGAAGATAATTTGAAAGGCCTGAGGAAGTTATTTGCTTCTTTGAAGCATTTTCCAACAGCACAGACCTCATGAATCAGATCCTCTGCACAGATGATTCCATATTTACCAAGAGATCAAGCCATCAAAGTGTTATCTGTCAAGACAATTTGCTTCATATTGATTTTGCTGTAACCACACTTGGAGACTAGTTCATTTACTGAATTCAGGTTCGGAGACTCTCATGCAATATATGGTTCTACAATCCTCAGCATGTAAATTGAAGCACTGTTGAACTTAACAAAGTTTCTGATGAAGATCTGACAAGGCAAAGAAGCTGCCACACCTTTCGGACCCTTGGGCTGCCACCACTGAGACCTCTGATCCTAATGATCAATGCCAATTTGGGTTCTGCAGGTACACAGAAGTTGCCAGCTTTTCTTGCCATTCTAGCCATTCATATCTCAGTTCTATACATCTGTCTATATTCCTAGTGATAGTGTTTAGCTTCTTCATAGATAAGCTTCCTTCCTTCCTTTCGAAGCATCCTTTGGGCAAACTTTTTTCTCTGGCACTTGATCTTCAGCTCTGCAAAATGCCTTCACTTTTACTTAAAGGTTTCTGGCACAGCAGGAGCCTTCTTTTTCTTCTCTTCAACACTCTCCCTGGTTCCACCCAGAAAACTGAAGATTTTAAAATTATAAACTAAAAAAAATTAGTTTTTACAAAAACATTATATGTAATAAGTAAAAACAACAAAATATCAAAAGAAATAAATGCTTTTGTTTTCTCAGATTTTTACATGCCTTTGGCTTTCAGTTGACCGACTAACCTTAAAGTACCACACACTGTAGCATGGTCCTGCTGCCACACAGCTCATGGCCAGCACCTGAACTGGTCTATCCCTTGTTCAGTGAGACAGGTTCCCTAATGCACTTGAATGTAAAACTGCTATAAAGGTTTCTAAATGCCTGCTTTCAATTAGGTACTGCTCTCCTCATGAACTGGTAACAAACAGTTTGTGGACTACAGGGTTCTATGGAGCACAATTTGAATAGTGCTGACAAGAAGACCTAAGTGGTGAGTAAGTGCTGGATCACCTTTCTCTTAGTCTAATGCCCTCTTCATTTCCTATTTTAATTCAGTTTTTTCATCTATCAAATGGGCTTTTGTAAAGATTAAATGAGATTACTCATGTGAAGTGTTTAGCATAGAGCCTCGTACAGAGTAGATGCTATGACTATTATCACTAACTCACTAGTGTAAGGTAGGCTGATGACTTCCCAGACACGGATTCCCAGCCTTCACTATCTTCCTCAGGACCAAGCCTGGGGGAGAGGGACAAGTGCATCATCAGCATTCAATGAGCATAGACACCCCCCAGTGCTCTCCTTTCTCAATCCTTTCCCATTTGAGGAGCTTCCATCTGAGATCCTTATCTATGGGTCCGCATATCACACCACTCTGGGAATTGTGCACCCAGGAGCTATGCAGTGCAGTCTACACAGTCATACACAGCAGCACTGTCTTGATTAGCCAGAGTCAAGCCTTGGCACTGAAACACAGTCTTTCCTTCCAAATAGTAGAACCACCAGCTTTCTTCCCAGGGAAGTTATTATGGTGACCGCAAAACCAGCTTAGATGATATAATCAGGACCCTCACTGTCTATCCTTTATCCCCTTAACAAAGCAGTTCAGAAGGAGCTGTAACCTTGGACATTATCTGCAGATAGCAGAGATTTTATTTCATGACTTCCAACTCTTTAGCTCAATGCATTTCTATAGCTAATGTTCACCTGGATATCTGGCCCAGGGCTGATAAGTTCTGTGTGGCTTCCTTTTCTGGGATGTACAAATGCAGGGATGAAGGCAAATTCAGTGCCCTGGGCAACAAAAGGCAAGGTCAGGTAGGTATAAATTTCAAAGCACTTAAACATGTCTTTCTTCCTTTTCTGCAGAACCATAATTACCACTTTGTCAAAAATGAAAAATAACCAACAAATGTATAAGTCACTATGTAATTCCAAGGGACTGTATGATATACCTTAGACTAGCCAACAGTCTAACCTTTAAGGTGTGTGAAATCCAGGTGAGGAGACAAGACAAAAGTATGAGGAAGCATTCAAAAGCACTGGTAGTCTAAAGAACAGCAAAGGAAGGGCTACACACAAGCCCTCAGCACAACAGGCTGTGGATACTTTCATGCATGTTAACAGACTCCCTGCCCAAGTGCTATGCCACCTACCTGATTTTCTGCCTCCATTCCTTCTCTGAGGCCAAGGAAATCGGCACAGCCAAGCAGAGGTGCAATGACCTCTGAGGGCAACCTCCAGTCATTGGGAGATGAGAACTGGTGGACGAGAGCCTCTGTGTCCCTGTGCTTTGGTGGGACAATTCTGAAGTATTTATATGGTTTGGCTGTGTCCCCACCCAAATCTCATCTTGAATTGTAGCTCCCATAATTCCCATGTGTTATGGGAGGGACCTGGTGGGAGATAATTGAATCATGGGGGGTGGTTTCCCCCATACTGTTCTCACGGTAGTAAGTCTCACGAGATCTGATGATTTTACAAGGGGCTTCCCCTTTTGCTTGGCTGTCATTCTCTCTTGTCTGCCGCCATGTAAGACATGCCTTTTGCCTTCCACCATGATTGTAAGGACTCCCCAACCATGTGGAACTGTGAGTCCATTAAACTTCTTTTTCTTTATAAATTACCCAGTCTTGGGTATATCTTTGTCAGCAGCGTGAAAATGGATGAATACAGGTATGCTATTGACATTTCCTCAGAAGTTTCCCAGTGGGCTTGATTCTCAGTGTTCATACTTCTAACTGGTTCAACAGAGCATAAGTTATTGGCTTTTCTCTCTTCGCTGTCTTACTCTTCCTACTCCATCACTTCTGTTCCCTGGGATCTCCTCCCATTTAAACCACCGGCACCCAAATCCTGACGTCAGGCTTCATTTGTGGAGGAAACTAAAATAAAGTCCATGGGCAGATGCTGAGTAACCTGCACATTTCAGATCCCTTTCGATTATTATTATTACTATTATTATTATTATTATTATTATTGAGACGGAGATTCACTCTTGCTGCTCAGGCTGAGGTGCAATGGTGTGATCTTAGCTCACCGCAACCTCTGCCTCCCGGGTCCAGTGATTCTCCTGCCTCAGCCTTCTGAATAGCTGGGATTACAGGTGCCCACGACCACACCTGGCTAATTTTTTGTATTTTTGGTAGAGACAGGGGTTTCACCATGTCGACCAGGCTGGTCTTGAACTCCTGACCTCAGGTGATATGCCCGCCTCGGCCTCCCAAAGTGCTGGGATTACAGGTGTGAGCCACCGCGCCCAGCCGATCCCCTTCAATTATGAAGACTCCTTTTAAACATCAAGAACTTTTATGGAGCCTGTCTTCAGCAACTAGCTGTTGTGCTTTTGGTATTCATGCTTCATTCGTTCAACAGGCACTTTTTTAAACTCTAATAAAGTACAGAAGGACCAAACGCTACTGTGACATCTATTACTCTTGTGAAAGGGTGTATATATATTTCTTATGATAGCATCTATTGAAAACAATGGTGTTTCTAGAGATAGAAATAAAAATGATTTTCAAATGTATGAAAAGGTGCTAAACCTCGCTCACAGGAATAAGAATGCAAATTAAAAGACATTAAAATGCCATTTTCCACGTTTCAGATTGGCAAAGACCAAAAAGTTTGATAACATTGTGTTGGTTAGGATGTGGGGAATCACTAATTTAATAAATGATTATTGATCACCTATCACAAGTCTGTGCTAGGCACTGAGTAACCAGCAGTTAACAAAGTAAACCAAAATTCCTACTCTCCAGGAGCACACATTCCAGTGGGGGGCTGGTAATGCAATCAGTGAAAATGGCTCCCTGTGTCACACAGTGAGTGCTCTGAAGAAAGACAAAGCAATATAAAATCTGCCGAGTGACCAAGGGGTGGTGTTACTTTAGATAGGGTGGTCAGAGGCGACCTTCCTTATATGGTGACAATTGAGCAAAGGCCTGAATGAAGTCTTGGGAGTATTTCTCATAGAAGTATTTTCCAGGCAGTGTGAAGTAGTCAGATGAAGCCTTTCACAGATACCAGTAATAAAAACTGGACCAAATATTAAGCAATGGCTTCTCAGATAGGAAAACCACAAGCAACCAAAGAAAAAAAACCAGATAAGTTAGACTATATTAAAATTAAAAATGTATGTGCTTCAAATGACATTATTAACAAAGTAAAAAGATAATCCACAGAAATGGGAGAACATATTTGCAAATCATGTACCTGATAAGGGTCTAGGATCAGAACATATAAAGAATTCTTACAACTCAACAATAAAAGGAAATAACCTAAATAAAAAACGGGCGAAGGCTGGGCATGGTGGCTCACATGTGTAATCCCAGCACTTGGGAGGCTGAGGCAGCTGGATTGCTTGAGCTCAGGAGTTCGAAATCAGGCTGGGCAATGTGGTGAGATCCTGTCCCCACAAAAAACACAAAAATTATCTGGGCATGGTGGCATGCACCTGTAATCCCCGCTACTCAGGAGCTGAAGTGGAAGAATTGCTTGAGCCCAGTAGGTTGAGGCTGCAGTGAGCTGTGACAGCACCACTGCACTCCAGCCTGGGTAACAGAGCAAGACCTCATCAAAAGAAAAAGAAAAAAAGAAAAAGAAGAAAAAGAAAAAGAGAGGAGGGGAGAGATAACTGATACATGCTACAACATGTATGAGTCCTGGAAACATTATGCTACGTGAAAGAAGTCAGACACAAAAGGCCACATATTTTGTGATTGCATTTACATGGAAAATGAAGGCTGTGAGGATTTGGTACAAGTATAAGAGCAATATATGGAGGATTACCAAGGTTTGTTTATTCAGGCAATTATTTTTCCAGTGATCAGCTTTTCATAATAGTTGCAATTTTCCTACTGTGATTAGCTCAGTGGAGACAGAATTATTGTAACCCTTTCCAAGGGTATAAGGGTTTGGTCTTTAGTTTTTAGGGAATGTTTAAGGTTACCAAGAAAGTTTCTCTCTAATTTTTCTTTTATTCTCAAGGTCCTTATTCAGAAAAGTAACGCAAAACCTGGAACTACAACAACAACAACAAAAATTTGCATGGCCTTTCAATATAATTAATGACTCAGTATTCACGATTGCTTAAGGCCCAGATGGTTTACAATGCTGTAGAAAATGGAAGAAAACTGATACGGTATGATGAATTTCTTTTGACCCTTAGAAAAAGATAACCTTAAAGGTTATAGTTTATCACGCTGTAGAATATTTACTAGTTTTGTGTGTTTTCAGCACTCTTTTTTTCCAATGCCTAAATTTGAGTTTCTTACATTCTCTTTTAAACCAGCTTTGTCATTTTAGTGATTCCCTCATTAATAAGTTAAATCAAACTATGACACATGCTCATATGAGAATTGAGTTTTTTAAAATAAAAATTTGAAGATTATGGTGGCACAAAGTTAATTTTAAGTGGAGAAGCAAAATGAAGGTTATTGAGAGTTTCTTGGGCACTTCTTTTTAAAATTACTGGGTTTTTCCAATAATGACAATTTTCCTGGCATCATTCAGTGGAGGGCTGAGGACCTGTATTTCCTGTGAGGTATGAGTCTGGTCTTTAGTTTTGGGGGCTTGTTACAAGCATCTGAAAAGGCTCCTTTGTAAGGTTTTTCTCTAAAGTCCCAAAAGAGGTCTTGCAATGTCGCCTAGGTATCTCTCTTCTGTGAGAGAAGCAATGAAAGAATTTGTCTCTTTTTTCTAAATCTCATCTTCTCACAAATGTTCTTCTTCCATCTTCCAGGATGGGAGTGTCCTAGGTTTTCTCTTGGATGATTTGACAGTCCCAGGCATCACCAAGACAGAACTGTAATTTGGGAACATCTCTGGGGTGCCAGTTCTATCTCTTGGGTACCATGAGAATTGAATAGGAACTGGGCAATAGTGAGGTATCTTTCTTATTCATGAGACTGGGAAGTATCCATAGAAAGTCTGTCCAGCCTAAGAGTGAAAACGGATAGGGCACACATAAGAAAAAAAAAAAGAGAGGAAGAGAGCGAAAAATATTTTTAAGAGGTGGGGAGGAATAACAGAGAAATTAAACAAAGAGATAAAATCAGTCCATGATCCCTTCCTGAGATGATAAGAGAAACTGAACTGAAACTAACTTCAAGATGGAACTTTCCCATGGAATCTCATAGCAGTAGAGGGGAGATAAGGAGGGCAATGAGAAACTATGACATCAAGGTGCATCATGTGTGCACTTTACCCTTGCCCTGTACCTCACCTTTGCTGGCTTTGGAGTCTTTATTGCACCAGGTACTTTATTGCACCAACTACATTGTTGTTGTGTGAAAGAGTCTACAGCCTCAGAATTTTTTTGAAATATGGCCAGAAGTCTGGGCACAGGTAACAACTCTCTGCCCGGTGGCATCAGACTGAAATCAAGGTGTTAGCCAGGCTGCAGTTTCATCCAAGCCTCAGAACCTCTTCCAACCTCCCTGGATTTGGCAGAACCCATTACTTGCAGTTGTAGAACTGTAGAACTTTTGGGATGCTAAAGTCCCAAAAGAGGTCTTGCAATGTCTCCTAGGTATCTGTGAGAGAAGCGATGAAAGAGTTTGTCTCTCTTTTCTAAATCTTTCCTTGAAGCCACCTGTCATTCCCTGCCACATGGCCTTCTCCACAACATGGCAGGAGGCCGGCAGGAGAGCATCTCTGGCTTTGAATCTCTCTAACTTGACTTCATTTCTGATACCTTCTTGTAAAGGGATCACTTGATTAGGTCAGGCCCACTGAAGATAATCTCCCTCTTCATTAACTCAAAGTCACTTGATTAGGGATCTGAATGACATCTGCAAAGTCTGTTCTCCTTTGCCACATATGAATAACATAACCTAATCACAAGAGTGGTCCCCCATCATACAGTCACAGGTCCCAGCCACATTCAAAATGAGAAACGTATACAGGATGTGCACCACAAGGGGGCAGACGTCTTAGGGCCATCTTAGAATTTGGCTTGCCGCAGAAGATTCGGCAGAATGTTAAATAGATCTAACAGAGAAGAGACTTGCAGGCTCAGGAGGGGCAAATGCAAAATCCCTGCAGTAGGAGACACCTGGTGCACTTCAATGTGGCTCGAACTGAAAGGAGAGATAGCAAGAGACGAGATCAGAGAGGTAAAAATGAGCCAGATTGTTTAGGATCTTACAGAACTTTTATCTCTAAACATGTTATAAAAATGTTCAAACTACGAAAAAGTTTAATTTTTTTTTTTTTTTTGAGACTGAGTCTCACTTTATTGCCCAGTCTGGAGTGCAGTGGCACAATCCTGGCTCACTGCAATCTCCACCTCCCGGGTCCAAGCGATTCTCCTGCCTCAGCCTCCCCAGTAGCTGGGATTACAGGGGCCTGCCACCACATGTGGCTACTTTTTGTATTTTTAGTAGAGACAGGGTTTCACCATGTTGGCCAGGCTGGTCTTGAACTCCTGACTTCAAATGATCCACCTGCCTCGGCCTCCCAAAGTGCTGGGATTATAGGCATGAACCACCACACCCCACCTTTTTTTTTTTTTTTTTTTGAGACAGAGTCTTGAGCCCAGGTTGGAGTGCAGTTGCACGATCTCAGCTTACTGTAACCTCTGCCTTCTCGGTTCAAGTGATTCTCGTGCCTCAGCCTACTGAGTAGCTGGGATTACAGATGAGCACCACCACACCCAGCTAATTTTTGTATTTTTAGTAGAGATGAGTTTTGCCATGTTGGCCAGGCTGGTATTGAACTCCTGACCTCAAGCAATTTGCCCACAGTGGCCCCCCAGAGTGCTGGGATTACAGGCCTGAGCCACTGCACCTGGCCAAAATTATTTTTTTCACTTTAAAAAAGTATTTTATCACTATTTTTAGACACAAGGTCTTGCTCTGTGCCCAGGCTAGAGTGCATGGTGCGATCTCAGCTCACTGAAGCTGTGATCACTCCTGGGCTCAAGTGATCCTCCCACTTCAACCTCCCAAGTAGCTGGAACCACAGATGAGAGTCACAGTGCCTGGCTTCCTTTTCTTTCTTAAGCAACAACCCATATTGCTAGTTGCTTCAAACTTTTCAGTTTCCAAACTTCTCCGCATCAACACCATATTTTCTCACTCAGACTGGGCTCTGCACTAGTAACATCTTAAATTTGTATAACCATGTAGTTTAGGGAGTTTTCCTACTTTTTAACTCGCTGGTAAATGAATTAAAGAAATAAAGGGATATGATTTCCACATGGCCAACAGGGAAACTGAAGCACAGACAGAGCCATTATGCCCATGGTTCTGCAGCACAGGTGACAGATCTGGGACCAGTTGCTGATTTCCAGGCTGGGGCTCTCTCACTAGGTGAGTGGCTTATCTGGTTTGCTTTTCCTGCCATTCCTCCCTCACCAGAAAGCAAGACTCCTGCTTTCATCTCCAAGGGAAGAAAAAAGAAGGAAGGGAGAATTCTGCAGCTAATCACTCTGCACTCTTGTTTCCACCAGCAATTCCCCTGAATTAGCTGTCACAGATTTCGTTAGATAGGATTTTTTTTTTTTTTTTTTTTGTAGATGGAGTGTCTGTCGCTGAGGCTGGAGTGCAGCGATGTGATCTTAGCTCACTGCAACATCTGCCTCCCTGGTTCAAGTGATTTTCCTGATTCAGCCTCCTGAGTAGCTGGGATTACAGGTGCACACCACCACGCCTGCCTAATTTTTGTATTTTTAGTAGAGACAGGGTTTCTACTTGAACTCCTGACCTCCTGATCCGCCTGCCTCGGCCTCCCAAAGTGCTGGGATTACAGGCATGAGCCACAGCACCTGGCCTTAGATAGGATTTTTAACACACACCACCGGCTCCTACTCACTTCAGTGCCTTCAGGTGAGTGGTTCTCCTCTGCTGAAATACCTTCATCCTTCCTCTTCGTGAACCCAAATCCACCTCAGTCTGCAGACACCTTCCAAGTCACTTTCCTACCTGACCCCACTTCACCCCACCAGGACTGTGACTCAACCACGCTGACCAAGAGTCTACGATGGGGCCAGTCATTGTTTCTAGGGTCTTCTACCTTCCTCATCTCATTTCAACCCACAGAAAACATGTGAGGCAGATTTTTTTTCCCCCATTTTAGAGCTGATATAACCCAGGCTCAGGAAAGTTGAGAACTCCAGCTTCTTGACTCTCCAGGTTTTGTGCTCTTTTCTTTTCCCCATAACTCAAGGTGTTTTTTCCCTCATCAATGTCTTTTCCTTTATAAACATTCTAGTATTTCTGTGTACCATTCAGAAGAACTGCAAGAATTTTAGATCCAGGGTTAGGTGAGTCTCATGTAACAGTCTGTGGGAGGTTGGAAATGGAATAATTTCTACTTCAGTTATGCTGGATATTAAAATAAAGGTTGCCAAAAACATATTTCATTGCAAGCATCCAAGTTACTGGATGTCCAGAAATGAGAGGTATAGGGGCCAAGGCTCTGGCCCCCCTGGAGGTTGGAAAATCACTGACACGAGGCAGATTAATAAGAGAAAAGGCATACAAATTCATTTAACATGCACATGCTCAGGGAGAATCACAGAGTAACTGCCCATCCCCTAAAAGGTTTCAGAAGCTCCTCCAAAATTCTTAACTGAGTTTTGAGAAATGCATAAATCGTGGAATCCAAATCTCTATAAAGATACAGAACATTATCATCAGCTCTCAGAAAATTCCCTATGTTCCTTCCTGGTTCTCTCCAACTCTCCCTGAAGCTATCACTTTTCTGATTTTTTTTAACCTATATGCCCTCATTGTCAGACAGAGTTGATTTTTTTCCACCATAGATGCTTTTCACCTGTTCAAGAACTTCATATACATAGAATTACACAGTGTGTATTCATCAGGGGAAAGCTGTTTTCACTCAGTAGAATACATATATTTTTTCCTTTTTGTGGAGAATGGGGTCTTGCAATGTTGCCCAGGCTGGTGTCAAACTTCTGGGCTCAAGCGTTCCTTACACCTCTCCATCCCTAAGTGTTCGGATTACAGGCATGAGTTACCGCCCCCGGCCACACTCAATATAATATTTTGGAGATTCAGCCACGTCACGGCATGTGTCTGTAGTTCACGTCTCTTTTTTTTTTTTTTTTTCTTTTTTGAGATGGAGTCTTGCTCTTGTTGCCTAGGCTGGAGTGCAGTGGCACGATCTCGGCTCACTGCAACCTCTGCCTCCCGGGCTCAAGCGATTCTCCTGCCTCAGCCTCCTGAGTAGCTGGGACTACAGGTGTGCACCAGCATGCCCAGCTAATTTTTATATTTTTAGTAGAGATGGGTATTCACCATGTTGGCCAGGATGGTCTCGATCTCTTGACCTCGTGATCCACCCACCTTGGCCTCCCAAAGTGCTGGGATTACAGGCATGAGCCACTATGCCTGGCCAAACCTCCCTTTTCCTAGTAACTTGTTTTTTGCATTTCATTGCTTTCTCCCAAAAATACTTATACTAGATTTAGGGATTTTGTATTAAATATCTTTTAAATTATAAAAGATAATTTAAACCAGAAAATGTATCAGCTTACGTTACTGTTAAATAATGTAGTTTTGTGTTTAACTTTCTAGTGATACAGTTACTACTGAGTGAAAAATTGGGAATCTGGAACCTGGCATATTTGAATCTATGCCAGAATTTGGATTTCTGCATTAATCTAAATAGCTGAAGCTTTGTGTAAAGACGATCTAAACCTGAGATTTCAATAGCACATTTGAAATTATGATGTATTTCAATTATATACAGCACTGTTATATTTTATGAAATAGTTCAAGAATGACTTAGATAATCTACACATTATCATCTGTACATGGTCTAAGTATCGGTATGGTTCAAAGATTCACTGTTGAAATATTTTCCTAGGTTTTTCCAGCTTTATTAAGATATATTTCACATACAATAAAATTTACCCATTTAAAATATGGAGTTGTTATTTTCACTATATTCAAGAAGTCATGCAACCATCATTACAATATAATTTTAGGATATTTTCAACACTCCCTTTCCTCCCCTAAAAAACAAACCTGTACTCCATTTTCAAACCTTCCCTTCCAATCCCCAGCCCCAGGCAGCCACTGAACTGTTTTCTGTCTCTGTGGATTTTCCTATTCTGGAAAGTGCCTAAATGTTTTCCAAAGTGGCTGCATCATCTTACAATCCCACCAGCAACATACGAGGCTTTCAATTTCTCCATATCCCAGCCAACACCTGTTATTGTCTGCCTTTTTATTTTAGCCATCCTAGTGGGTATGAAGTGGTATCTGACTGTGGTTTTGATTGACATTCCTCTGATGACTAATGATGTCGAGCATCTTTTCACACGTTTATTGGCCATTTGTTTATCTTCTTTGGAGAAATGTGTATTCAAATCTTTTGCCCATTTTTAAAGTGGGTTGTTTGTCTTTTATTGTTGAGTTGTGAGAGTTCTTTATATATTTTGGATATATATATACACACACACACACACACACACACACACACACACACACACACGTAAATTGTCAGGTATACAATTTGCAAATATTTTCTCCCAGTCTATATCTTTTCACTTCTGTTAGTGAACAACAGTTTTGAGGAAGTACAATTAATCTTTGTGTGTGTTACTTTGCTTTGGCAATGCATTACAGAAACCACTGCCAACACAAGGTCACAACGATTTACTCCTATGTTTCCATCTGGGGGTCTTGTAGTTTTAGCTCCTAGGTTTGCTAAATAAAATTTATAGAAAGTCATTGGTTTTCATGGAGCTCCTGCACTAGACCCAACAGACCAAACCAAAATGGATTTACTCATATTGAAGTTCCACAACACCATGCCAAAACTAAGTTGTTTATCTGAACTTTCAAGAAATCAAGAGAGAGAGAAAATAGCCAAATTCCCAAATAGGCCTGTTTTAGCCAGCATGATGAGGAAGCTTCCTCTGCTTTAACCTTTACAAGGAGAGCAACTTTGAAACAGCTGTGTTTTGTTTTCTGTCTGCTTTCCTCAGCCCTTTTCTATCTAGAAAGCCATGATCTTCTGCTCAACTCACCAGAATGTGCATTCTTTTTCATAGAATGAGGTGTTGCTTGATTCTAGAATCACAAGTAAAGCCAATTAAGATCTTTAAACTAAATTCATTATAATTTTGTCTTAGGACGTGTTTAAGTCTATAACCCATAGGGGTTTGTGGCTATGGTTCATAGACCATGTTGTTCTAGGAGTAAGATAAGTTGGCAGCCAGTGACGGTGTGTACATCTTCACTTACATACCAAATTAGATTAGGCTTGAGCGAGCACAAGCTGATGTCAGTCCCTGCAATGGAAAGTCTCAACCCCTCATCCAGTTTATGTACGGGAGGCAGATCTCACACCACAGCCCATCAACTGAAGGGGAAGCTGAGTCCCAAGGAAGGTGTATTTTCTCCTTGGGTATATTCAGTATCATTTCTTTCAATCTGACCCTAAAACTTAACAGAGTAACTGAACCCTAGGAAAAGGGGAACACCCAGATCTTTTGAGTGCTGTTGGACATAGGATCTGAGCTGACACTGAGCTCAAACATGTTTATGGCTCCCCTGATCCAGTGGAGGTGTACAAAGGCCAGGTGATACATGAAGTCCTGGCTCAAGTCTGTTTCACATTCGTTGCACTAGGTCCATAAACCCATCCTGCGGCAATTTCCCTGACCAATGAGCACACAGTCAAAATGGATTTTTTTCTCTTTTTTGAGATGGAGTCTCACTCTGTCACCCAGGCTGAAGTGCAGTGGTGTGATCTTAACTCACTGCAACCTCCGCCTCCTAGATTCAAGCAATTCTCCTGCCTCAGTCTCCCTAGTAGCTGGGATTACAGTTGCAGGCCACCATGCCTGGGTAATTTTTGTATTTTTAGCAGAGATGGGGTTTTGCCATGTTGGCTAGGCTGGTCTCAAACTCCATTTGGGTTATATAAGCCCCAAATTGTAACTGCCCTTTTGAGTCACATTTCTTTGTGAACTCCCACATGTACGTATGTGATTAAAATCTGCTTTTTCTTTTGCTAGTGTGTCATCCAGGCTGGAGTGCAGTGGCACAGTCATGATTCACTGCAGCCTTGAACGCCTAGGTTCAAGCCGTCCTCCCACCTCAGCCTCCGGAGTAGCTGGGACTACAGGCGATCGCCGCCAAGCCTTAAGCTCCTGTCCTCTTATGTTCATGGATTCCCCCCACTCCACACCTCACCCATAAACATAAAAGGGCAGAGGAAAAGTTTCTTTCTCCTCAACGCTATTAGGACACATTCATGCTAGAGGTAATCAGTAAATATCTGTTCAATGAATGAATGAATAATGGGGGGTGAGGTGGTCCCAGAGTGTTTGGTCAGTTTTCTCCTGGCATTTTGATCTTTCAGTTTAGCTCTTTGCTGTCTTTTCCCAGGGATTTGCTGACTACAAGTTTGGCTATGAACTAATAACAAAAATAGCTAACACTATGTCTTGTGCCAGTTATTTTAAATAAATCATCCTAATTTACCTGCAAGGAAATTTCCATAGATATCATTAAAATCTTTACTTATAGATGAGGAAACAGGCTTCAGGAGGTTAATCTTCCCCAGGTCATACATCAGCAAGTGATAGAGCCAGGATGTGACCCGGCTCTCCCAAAGTCTGACCACTGACTGTTGGGGCAAATGTCTATCTGCATCTTTGCTGCCTGGAAAGGCAGAGAATATTCCCATTTTATCTACAGAAAGTCACATGGTAAAATGACATGTCCCAACTCATGGAATTTGTCAAATGGAGTCAGCATAAGACCCTTGGGTTTCCAACCCAATGCAAAATAAGTACCCTTGCTCCTCACAGCATCAGTGAGAAAAATCTAAGACAGACCATACACATGATAGCACTTTGAAGCTGGGTGAGGAGCTACACAAATATACGGGATTATGATTGTTGTGTGTCTGTGCTTTGAGCATTAGAGACTCCCTTCTTAAAGAGACTTATGATTAGTGTCTCTTTTTCCCCTCCTCCCACTCCAGTGTGTCTAAGTGATCATGCTGAATCAATCTGAGGTGGGGTTGGGGGAGAGAAATAAAAACACTGAGGAGGTGATGCCATGTGTTGTTAATGGGATGTTTAGATGTAAAATGATGTTACCAAGCAAAAAGGGCTCAGTGCTTGATGTGCTAGAAGCCAATACTATGATACCGGGTTTTTGAGAAAAGAAAAGCTTTTTATTGCAAGTTGACTAAAAAGACAGGAATCCAGCTCGAATCTGTCTCTCTGTGCTAGGTTTAAAGCAGTAATTTTATTAGAAAAAAATTCATGGGTGGATTCTGGGATTAGTAGGTGATTGGCGGAAGGAAAGCGGAGGTCTAGAAAGTGCTGAGGCATGCACAGTTACCTCTTCATGCCACCACATGGATCATATGTCAAACTCGGGGAGTTTGTATGAACCATGCACTGGAAATTCAGGCTGTGATGTTAGCAAACCATTCTGCACAAACTCCAGTTAGTCATGTTGATTGCAAGCAATTTCAGTCAGTTTTTTAATATTACAAGTGGAGGGAGTTTCAGCAAGTTGTTTCTTTTCTCATCTGCTATCCTGCAAACTCAAGAATTTGTTAGTCACAGACTTCTTTAACTCTTTGGGGCACTGTTTCAAGGCTGCAGTTCTCCGTTGTTTAGCTATGAGCTAGTAGGCACTGTGCGGCTGGCATTCTGCTTTATGGTGGCAATTTCTTTCAGGAATGTCCCTTTGCTTCCAGATAGTTCATAGGTTTGAATAACTATTTATCCTGGCTAAAGGAGATCAATATGTTCGACTCCTACGTACTTACCAGAAGAGAATGATGCTCCTAAGGGGGATGAAAGGTGGGTGGAATGGGGACATAGGGAGCTTTTAAACACCAGTAGCTGGCATATGTAAGCCCTGCACGGTGGTAAGTACTTTGCTTCTGTGCATTTTTCACTCATAAATATATACTGAGTACTTTCTGTGAATTAGTTACTAAGTAACAGCAGGAACAAAATGAAGTCCCTTCTCTCTTGGATTTATATTCGTGCAGAGATAGACAATAAATACATAAATATAAATAAAAGCATTACATTCTCAAAATCACCTTTTGATTATTTTAGGTTTTTCGCTGATCTTTTTTTCTGCCTATATAAATTATATAAGCTAATTGTATAAGCTTCATTTAATATGGAAAAGCCTAAGGAAGAAAGTAAAACTCCCATCACTGTGAAAGCCATTCAAATGTTTTAGTCACCATCTTTTCATATTTTGCCTACATATGTATAAACAATTTTAGGTAGATAGGATTATCTTATACATCCTGTTTGTAATTCTAAATATGATGGAGTTTTATCATCTTCATTTTATAGACTAGGAAGTGGAGGCTTAGAATTTTTTTTTTTGAGACAGAGTCTCGCTCCATCACCCAGGCTGGAGTGCAGTGTCAGTCTCGGCTCACTGCAACCTCTGCCTCCTGGGTTCAAGTGATTCTCCTGCCTCAGCTTCCTGAGTAGCTGAGATTACAGGCGTCTGCACCACGCCCAGCTAATTTTTGTATTTTTAGTAGAGACGGAGTTTTGCCATGCTGAGCCTCCACTTCCTAGTCTATAAAATGAAGATGATAAAACTCCATCATATTTAGAATTACAAACAGGATGTATAAGATAATCCTATCTGCCACGTTGGCCAGACTGTTCTGAAACTCCTGACCTCAAGTGATCCACCCACCTGGGCCTCCCAAAGTGCTGGGATTACAGGCGTGAACCACCATACCTGTCCTAAGCTTTAAATAATACAACTAAAATCTAGAAGTAAAATGTTTAGATTGAGTGCAGTGGCTCATTCCTGTAATCCCAGCATTTAGGGAGGCAGAGGTGGGAGGATCGCTTGAGGCCAGAAGTTAGAGACCAGCCTGGGCAACATAAGGAGACCTGGTCTCTACAAAAACAAAAAAAAGCTGGGCTTGGTGGCCACAGCCTGTAGGCTGAGGTGGGAGGATGGCTTGAACCCAGGAGTTTGAGGCTGCAGTGAACCATGACCGAGCCACTATGCTCCAGCTCCACCCTGGGTGACAGAGCAAGATCCTGTCAAAAAAAAAAAAAAAAGTTAGAAATAAAGAAAAGAAAATGCTTACATATTTATTTAATTTATTTTGAGACAGTCTCGCTCTGTTGCCCAGGCTGGAGTGCAGTGGCGCGATCTTGGCTCACTGCAACCTCTGCCTCCTGGATTCAAGCAATTCTCCTGCCCCAGCCTCCCGACTAACTGGGATTACAGGCACCCGCCACGACGCCCAGCTAATTTTTGTATTTCGAGTAGAGACGGGGGTTTCGCCATGCTGGCCAGGCTGGTCTTGAACTCGTGACCTCAGGTGATCCTCCCCCCTCAGCCTCCCAAAGTGCTGGGATTACACGCTTGAGCCACTCGACCAGGCCTATTTATTTTTTTAAACCAAGGGCTGGATAGGATTTGATCCGGGCTCCAGATAAAGGACTCCTAGGGAGATACCCTGGTTAGCAGAGGCAGTTAGGAGGCTACTAAAAATAGTTCAATCTAGAAATAATTAGGGCCAGAATTGTCTCCAGCAGCGGGCGGGGGTGGGGCTGGGGATGATTTGGGTAGTTATTTTGTTCTCTTCCCAGCAAGTAATTTCAGAGCAGCCCAGAGATTCATTTTCTAAACAAATGATGTTTTTCTCCCAAGACTGACAAGGATCAGACAGACCTAGGGTTGCCACTAGCACCTAGTATCTTTCAGGCTGTTTTCTTTTGTTTTTAAAGTGGATTAAAAGCTTTCAGCCTTACCTAAATCTTTGTTGCAATTGTACAGATCTGCCTAGATTTATAGCAGATGGTAGAACAGAAACAGTTCCCGACGGAATTAATCATCACATTATTAAAACAAATTTTCGAGCATTGACAAATCCCTTCGGGGTTGTCCTCCGAGTGGGCAATTCGTAACCAGCTTGGGGCGTGCTAAGATTGTAAACGTTCCTATGGAGAGCGATAACAAAGGGGCAGCAGTGACTCCGCACACAGAATTCCAAGAATCACCAGCATTCCATGTGTTCCAAGGCTAGCACAGTGCGCGCGAGGTCCGCTTTTTTAAACAGCGCGGAATCACGTGGCCGACAGCCCGCGGCGCTACTGGCCCTCGGAGTCTCCCTCTTGGCTTTGGCGCGGAACCTTTCCCCCTTTGTGGACGCGACCATTGGCCCCGCGCTCGGAGGTGGTACGGACCAACCCTACGGTCATAGATTTTCCGAGTGAAGCTTTTGACTAAGTCTCAGGAAAGCGTTAGCTACAGAATTCTAGATTCAAAAGAAATCCACCAAAAAACGCTGTGGAGGACTGGTTTTGCCTAAAAGAAAGAGCAGACCTGAACTTGACTCCTCCTACGCCCTGTGAAGGCTGCAAGGTGGTTCCGTCCGAGGCGCGGACTCCGCCCCCACGAGCGCCGCCATTTTGTTTGGCTGAGGGGAGCGAGCGGCGCTTTGGGGGAGGGGTCGCGTAGGCGCCTCACCTGACCCTGCGGCCGTGCGGTTGCTGCTCCGGGGCAGGTCTCCTTCCAGGCCAGGGGCCCGGAATCATGTACATAAAGCAGGTAAGGCCTTCGCGTCCCTCCACCCCGTCATGGGCCGGTAAGGGCCGCTCCTTGAGGCGGGAGTGTTGCGGCGCCACCCGCAGCCTCTCCCCTGTCTCCACAGGCTGGACCAGGGCTGGGCGGGGACTGTGGGGGAGGAGGGAGACCCGGGTCCCGCTAGTGCCCCGGCTGCGGGGTCGCGGAGAATTGGGGCACTCCTTTGCAGCCCCGGCCTCCCTGCTGGCGCTTGTCTGGGAGAGGCAGGATCTCCGAGAGGTGTGGAAGGGCCGGCGGGCGGGCCGCTGGGAGGGACTGGGCCTTCCTGGGTGGCCCCAGAGCTGGCGGGGGGCACCCCGCCGGGGCGGCCGCGGGCGGGAAGGGCTGTGTGGTCCTGCAGGGGTGGCCTCACACGGCCCATGTGCCTGGGATGTGTGGAAAGGTGGCTTCCCCGGCCCGGGGGCGGCCCTGGGGGCATTGGCTGGGGTGTCGTCACCTGTCACTGCGGGGAGCCGTTCTTCTCCCCAGTTAACCCGCGAAGTGAGCGGGACCCTCCTGCTTGCAGGATACGGAGCGCCGCCTCCCTCGGTTGTTTACTTCTGTCAAAATGGTCTTCCCGCGCGGGACTCCACCACAAAGATGAGCCCAGGCACACGGCCTTGGAGACGGTTTTCTGTTGGGTCTGTCGGGCTCTGAGCACTCCTTCTTTGGAACGTGGGTTCTTTCAGGCTGGCCGGCGTGAGTGACTGAAAGCAGCACTCGGTGGTCTTGGAGTCAGGAGAGCTGGGGCCCGTCGGCCTGCTTTTATAGACTTGCTATTGTACTGCAGCGTTTAGGGTTCAGTTAAGCTCACACAGTGTTTTTGATTTTGAAAGGTCCTTAACAGGTTGACAGCATAACTCCTAAAAAAAAATAAAACCCAGCAGCATTGCCTTGGCAAAGATTACCGATAAAAGTACCTTTTTTTTTTTTTAGCAGATTTTTAATCACCACTTTCCAAAATGAATTTTTCTTATATGAAATTTCGAGTTTTCTATATTGCATTAAATGAAAAACAAGAAAGAAATGCAAGAGAAAAATGTTAATTTTTTTTGTGGGGTGGGTTCTCAAAAATGTTTTTTATTTACTAGGTGATTATCCAGGGTTTTCGAAGTTACAGAGATCAAACAATTGTAGATCCCTTCAGTTCAAAACATAATGTGATTGGTAAGTGTTCTTGGTTTACTCGGTCATATTTATAGTCTATACAGATAATGTAAATTCTGTCCATTTCTATATTGGCTTAAGGAGACAGGAATTGTCTTTGAATATTAAGTTATATTTTTCTGCGTGAAATAACTTTTCTGTCTTATTGCACTGATGAATTGCTTATTTTTATAAACTTAAAATGTTTGGATAAGACACTCATAAGTTATCCATTTTTTATCTAGGTAGCCTTGTATGTGTGTGTAAGAGTGTTTTAAAGCATTTCCGCTCTTCTGTTCTTGTTATATATCCTAGTGAAAATGCTGACTGTTGCCTTATTTCAGAGACAGACAATTTTTATTCACAAAGTAGATGCCAGGATTCCCCCCCCACCCCGGCAGTCAGTGTCTCTAAGGACAGACCATGTAGCTAGATTGGAAGAGCATAAACTTTGGAGCATAACAGAATGGGGTTCAAATCCCAGTTATAGGGGGGTGGGGGCCTGGGGGAGGGATAGCATTAGGAGAAATACCTAATGTAAATGTCGAGTTGATGGGTGCAGCAAACCAACATGGCACATGTATACCTATGTAACAAACCTGCATGTTGTGCACATGTATCCTAGTATAACAACAACGAAAAAAAAAATCCCAGTTGTGGCACACGTTCTTTTTCACTTTCTGAGAAGCTTCAGTTTTCTCATTTGTAAAGTGGAGATGATACCTGTCTCATAGGGCTGTTGAGAAGATTAAATGAGAAACCTTATGTAAGTGTGAAGATAAAGAGCTAATGGTGATTGCCATTAACAATATGTAGTCATTATAGATTGCTCAGATTGTAGTGTGCATTTTGCTGATACAGCTAACAAAAATGTTTTCTGACACTCTGCTGAGTATTTTACAGGATAGATGAAAGGAGTGCTTCTGGACACCAGAAACACAGACTGCTGTTGACACAGTTTTGCTGTACAGAGTCCAAACTAAGTGGTGTATTAGTTTGCTAAGGCAGCCATAACAAAATACCATAGACTGGTGGCTTAAACAAGATATTTTTTTTCTCATAGTCTGGAGGTCAGACATCCATGATCAGGATACCTGCATGGTTAGGTTCTCGTGAGGCTCTCTTCCTGGCTTATGGACAGCTGCTGTCTTGCTGTGTGCTCACATGGCCCCATCCTCATGTCCTCATTTAACCATAATCATCTTCCAGGGGTCCCCATGTCCAAATACTATCACATTCGGGATTAAGGTGTCAGTTGTTTCAGGGTGTCAGTTCAATTCAGTCTGTGGTGCGTGGGTGAGATTCACATTACTAATGTTTCCAGAAGACCTTTAGAGAATCATACTTCATTTTGTATAAAATGATAAAATTGAAGGCAGGTTTTTTTGCCCTCGATTTATCAATAGCAGCCTTGTAGTTGGGAATAAAGAAGGCATACTTTTTTTTTCCCTGCTTGTGCTCTGTCTACTGAAGTCATTTAATTGAATTGACATGCCATAGGGTGGCTTAATTGTACTGGGGTTTTGCTTACATATAAGTACTTTCTGATTTTTTTCATCAATCAGAAAATCTTTAGAAATGTAGAAAAATAAGAATTATTAGATTTCTGTTTTCTTTAACTTGCACCTTAAAATAAGTACCTTAATATTTCATTTGTGTGATTTTATAAATGATCTGTAACTTACTAGCTAGAATGATTACATTTTGTCTATAAGGTCCATCAAATACCATTGTTTTAGCTGTTATCAGTTAGTTGTGTTACCTCTGTGATTGCAGCATTAGATTTGTTAATAGTCACTGTTACAAAGGAAAATGGTTTTGTTTAACTAAAACAAATGAACCCAAGATAACAGTACTGATTAAACATATTTTAAAACCAGACACGTTGTAAGACATAATGTAAGAAAGACCAAAAGTAGTTAGGTACTGAGATTTGCCTTAAAAATATCTGGTGAAAGCATACCACTTTGATTGATGAATGATGTTGACTATTAAAAAATATCTCTTGTACTGATGTTGGGTATATGCATCAAACATATACGTTTTTAGGGATTTTTTTCCCCCTAACCTTTAACAAAAGAAATACATGTTATAGAACATTATGGAAAAGCTAAAAGGAAGAAAATTAAGATAAACTATAATCCTTTTACTCAGAGATAACCATTCTTTGTTTTTTACTGCACACCATGATTCTTCAGAGATAACCATTCTTAATAATAACAGTCTATACTTGTGATTAGTCCTGGTTTCCTAGAAAACAGCACAGACAGGATTAGCTGCTAAGGCTTTGATGGGAGGTGCAGTTTGAGGGCAAGAATGAAGAGAAAAGCTGGTCATAGATTTCTAAAGAAGAGACAGGTGGTTTGCAGTCATGTTAAATAACTCACAGACTTTGTGGACCCACCATACCTTAGAAAGGTCAGATGATAGAGGAATGGATTTGGATTCTGACAAGGATTTGTTTGCAGGCACCTGTCTTTCATTGGTCAAAGTTTTCTACATCTGGCATTGATGCCTCCAAGCTTTTGGATTGTGGTGCTCTGGGAACTAACACCCGGAAGTAGTCAGGGAGTTATAGCCTCCTTTCCATGTTCACAATTCAGGAGTACCTGAATGTACTCCCAAGGTAGCTTGAATCTACCAGAGGTATTAGGAGACTGAGCTTTTCCATTGATTGGCAGCCAAGGCCTGGGTTGAGAAAGGTGAATCTGGGGCCACATATAAACTGTGTTTACCTCAGTACGTTTTTAGTCTTTGTATACATCTTTTTAATATATATTTAAATAAAAATGGGTTCATTTTTAAATAAAAATGGGTTCATTTTTAAATAAAAAATGGGTTCATCATATAACTTACTGGTAATCTGTTATTCTCCTTCAGGATAAATCTTGAAATATCTTTATTAAATATTCAGCATCCTTTAAAATTGCTATATAGTGTTCCACTCTAGCAGTAATTCTTAAAAGGAAATTCTTAAAATTTCAGTTATTTATAGATGGATTGTGGTTTGAAATATTTATTCATTTAATGATAAATTGTCATCTTAAACTTTTATTTAGAAATAGTTTCAAATTTACAGAAAAATTTCCCCAATAAGAACTGTTCAGAGACTACTCATAAACCCTTTACCTAGATTCACCTGTTGTTAACATTTTCCCCACTTGCTGTATCATTTCCACTTTTTACACACCTTTTTCCTTAAAGTTATTTACACCATGGTCCTTTACCTCTGACTTTAATGTGTACTTTCTAAGAGGAGGGATGTTCTCTTTCATAATCACAGTACAATTTACAACTTAAGTAAATTTAATACATAGTAATCTGTCCATTTTCCAGTTATGTTGACTGACCCAGAAGTGTTCTTGATAGCATTTTTCCCCCTCCAGTACAGGATCTAATTTAGGAGCAGGTATTGCATAGTTGTCATGCTTCTTTAGTCTCCTTTAATCTGGATCATTTCCACAGCCTTCCTTTGTCTTTTATAACATTGTTATTTTTGAGAATTAAGACATAAGTGATGTTGTGTCCCTCTCAGGATATCACATCTGGAGGCACATGAGGTCTGTCTGACTCTTATTGATGATATTACTTTTGATCACCCAGTCAAGGTCTAATGTTTCCACTGTGTAGGTATTATTTTTTCCCTTGCAGCTAATAAGTAATATAGGCAGATGCTTTTGGACCATGTAAATCTTGTGCTCCTTTTCAAACTTTGTGCCTGCATTTACCATCTGTTGATGACCCTTGCCTTTATTCTGACGGTCACAAAATGATTTTTCATTTCCAGCACTCCTTTCACATTTACAACTTGGCATTTGGTAATTCTCCTCCTTCCTTACCTACTTATTTATCTTTTTATTATTGGTATGGATGCATGGATTATTCCCCCCACCAATAATTTATAATTTATTTGGCCATTTTGATGCTCAGATTACCCCTAGTTTTAGCTACTGAAAGGCCCCTTCAAGCTGGCTCCTGTGTCTGTCATATGCGTTTTTTTAAAAAGTACATCCTTTCTGGCATGACATGAATGATCTTTTTGAGATTTACTTTGCATTAAAGGTGGTAACTTTGTGGTTAATTTGCTCAGGATATTTCTGGCTCAAGAGTGAGAAGACTGACATAGTTATTTATGAGTCTTAACACTGAAAATTTCACTAAACACACTTAAAAGGATTTGATACCCTTTTACGTATTGAATTGCTTATATTTGAATTTTGTTAGTCAAAAAGTACCTTAAAATTATTTATATTTTTGTGGTTCTGTGAGACTACACATGATAATATAGGGTTGATTTTAAACATGAGAACACTTTAAGGATTTAAAATGATTATTTTAGAACGTTAGCAATATATGAATCTTTAAATTGTTAAACATATATAGTTAAAATAGAATTATATATCCATTGTAATATGATATAAGAGCCAGGTAGTATATTTAGCTATTCCTATTCATTTTAAACTATTGGGTAAGAGCAAACGGATCAACTGTGAAATATCTTTAAAGAAAAAACTATTAGAAGTCTGTACAAAAATTGAATTTATTTGGTGATTATAGTTGTTTTATTGGTTTCTTTTGTTCACTGTTTAATTTCAGATGTTAAGATGTATTAGAAAATTGGATTTTAAAAATATTGAGTATTTTTAAAAAGGTAAACAGTTTTAATTTTATTGGTTTTTATGTAAAATAACTTGTACTTTTTGAAATTTTCCAGTGGGCAGAAATGGATCTGGAAAAAGTAACTTTTTTTATGGTAGGTGTTGCTTTTTGAATTGTAAATATATTAAGACCTGGGTATCTTAGGGTAGATTATTAAAATCATTAATTTTCTGAGGTTATGTATTCATGAAACCCAAGAAATACTTTATATGGGGTTGCAGCTTAGTGTAGAGGGTTTAGAGTATACAGATCTGAATTCTGCTTTATACCCAGTGGCTGATTAGCTGTGTGAGAGTGGGCAAAACACGTAGCCTCTCAAATTTTTCTTTTCACTTTAAAAATGGAGATGTTTGGATGTTTGCCCTGTCTACCTTAGATGGTTTGTAAGAATGGAATGCAATAGTATGTATGAAAATGCTTTTTAAACTTGAATGTAATATATAAATGTTATAAATGCATATTTTAAACGTATGTAAATGCAGTAGAATAGTTGATAGTATTGTTTTGGAAAATTGTTCATCTTTCTTATTTCACCTTTTTGAAAACGTTTTCTAAACCAATCATCTTTGTAAAGGATGAAGAGGTATAAAAAACTTGAAACTGAACAGACTGTTGTCACTTTGAAGATAGTAAATAGAGCTTCAAAAATTCTCTCTAAATTGCATTTAAGTGTAAATAGCAATGCGTCTGTTAACAAATCCTTTGAGGAGAAAAACATTTTAACAAAATTAGACAGTTAAGGAGTAGGTTGAAAAATTTGAACTTTTTAGTTGGGTAATGCTTGAGGGAAAGGGGCATTTAGTGGACTGGCTTAGTAAGAACAAAGGTTCTATCTCTTCTGTGCACACGAATCTGAAAGGCACTCTCTAGCCTGTATATCCTATTGTGGTTGTAATTTGGCAATGATGAGAGAATGGACTGAAGTGGAAGTATTTCAGAATCTCCAGGGCAGTGTGAAGTCTCCTCACCTCGACCTGTGTCCACAGCACACACATTAATGCTTATGCACGTACTTGCTGATGTGGGCACCCCCACCACCTCCACACACACACAGTGCCAGAGGTCTCTTGGGTGGACTGGGACAAGAACAGCTGAGTAAAGAGTTCCACTTCCTAGGCAGGGTGGTCCAGTTAGGTACTCTATACCGAAGTAGGAACGGCCCCTTCTTACAGAGCTCGGTATAGTATAAGAAGTGTAGTATAAGTTGGGCATCTCAAACATTTCCCTGTATTTCCTTAGTTTTATTTCTTTTGGTAAAGTATCCACTTAAGCATATTCTCAAAATACATCCTATTTTGTTAAAAAGGATTTTAACTCATATCATTTATGTCTAGTGGGGAAAAAAGCAAATACAGTGTTAACCTAATCCAGTCAGTGAACACTTTGAGCCAGAGGTATACCTTAGTTTTGCTTGTCTGTTTTCATGTATTTCGGTGGTTTCTCTTTATTTCCTTACCTTAAATGTTTCAATGAAAACTTCTCAGTATTTTTCTTATATCATTTCCTACCTGATTAGTCTGATGTGCAGGCACATTTTCTGCATTTCCTTTTGTCCATATGAAACAGATAATTTATTTGCATTGTCTATTACCAGACACACTATGTTCTATTGAGGTGTGGGAAGTTATAAATAAGTTATAAACACTTTTTTAGGGTATACTAATAGTTGTTTTTGTATTTCCAGCAATTCAGTTTGTTCTCAGTGATGAGTTTAGTCATCTTCGTCCAGAACAGCGGTTGGCTTTATTGCATGTGAGTGAGACTGCTTTAAGACATTATTGATATTACATATATTTTAAAAATAAATTTTCCATGCTGGTTAAAAAAGCATTTGTTCAAGTTTCAGATTCTTTGTGAACAAGACACAATCTTTCTCATAAGTGTGTTACTCTGCTGTGAAATTTAGCCTAACATATTAATGCCAGATAAAAGCCCAATTTTTATACAGTGGTTTAGGAGAAAATTATAGGATTTGCCTATAGATGGATATGTCCTCCATATAAATGTCTTAAAGGAGACATGATATATATCATAAGTGTTTTATTCTGCTGTGAAATTTAGCCTAACATGTTAATGCCAGATAAAGGCCTAATTTTTATGTGATGGTTAGGAGAAAATTATAGGATTTGCCTATAGGTGGGTATGTCCTCCATGTACATTTCTTTAAGGATGTGATCTGCAAAGGCTTAAGAAGCAGGTTTGCTGAGGAGAAAGAAGAGTTTGAGGTTGCAGATTAGGAACTTTAAGATGCAGAACCAAAAATTAATTGGGAACATAGAGAAACAACCATTGCAAACTAAACAACATACAAGTTGTTTGTTGTTTTAGCCATATTTGTACTTAGATAGTAAACATCATTTTCCAGTATGAAAAACAGTAGAGATGTTCTGCAACTTACAGCGGGGTTATGTCCTAATAAACCTATCATAAACTGAAAATACCATAAGTCAAAAATGGACATTAGCCTACAGTTGAGCAAAATGATCTAACACAAAAGTCTGTTTTATAATAAAGTGTTGAATCTGTCATATAATTTATTGAATACTATGCTGAAAGTAAAAAACAGTGATTTTATGGATACTCAAATTATGGTTTCTACTGAATGTAGACTGCTATCACGTTGTCATTCAGCCATTTGTTGAACCATCGTAAGTTGGGGACCACCTGTATATTTACAGTAATGTGAGTTAGGATATTTTATTAAGTGGGTCCTTTTGTAATGCATAAGCACGATGATTGGGTTTTCGTGTTCATGTGAGTCATGCCTCCCTCAAACCTTGTTAGGACATTGGCACATTACCAATGTGATGTGGAAAAAAATATGAGTAATGGACTAAAGTAATTTTAGGATAGAAAATCATGAAAGACTACAATAAAACGATTAATCCTTCTGATTTGAATATTGTTTATTAAAGACTAGAAAATGAAATTCCTCAACATGTCTTAACAGTGTTTCTCACACATAGGAAATTGTTTTGTTTAGCTCTTGTCTGTCTTTTCCCCTTGTTTAGTTTGAATTTGTAGCCCAGTAATCAGAATTGATTTCCTTTAGAAAAATTCTTTTTAGGTTTTTCAGATTGGCATTAAAATAATTAATAACCTCTTTGGTACAGTTCTTCATTGTATTTACTACATAGTTTCTATAATCTGGAAGGTATCTGGACTTGGTACCATAGTTTTTGTGTCATAGATTGGTTTAAATGTGACACATGTTAAATGTGTATATTTCTATAATAGATTTAAAACTGTAGAATGTCTCAATTTTTCTTAAAAAACAGACTTTTGGTAATTATCCCATGATTTATTAGGATTTCTTTGCAGCATTAAAATGAGACTGTAAGAGAAAAGCCTCATGGTGTATTAGATATTAGCAAATAGGTAGAGTTAAATGTCCCCAGTCTTGCAGTCTAATAAAGTGGTCTGTAGAATCATATTTAAGGATATCTAACTTTGACATGTCTTGCATAGCTCTTATTTTTTATTTAGAATCAAAAGCTATTTGGTTGAGAAGTTTTGTTGTCCTAATCTAACGTCTCTGCTGTTTTGGCAAGAGGGATATATACTATAACTCTGGGGATATCCCCAAAGTATGTATCCCTCTTGCCAAAAGAGCAGAGACGTTAGATTAGTGTGTGTGTGTATATATGAATCTAGCAGAAATTTTTCTCCATTGAATCAGACTTGTTATTATGCCCTAGACTTTAAGAATCCTTTAAAGGATATGAATATACAACTTAAATGGCAAATTTCTCACTTCTTTCATTTTTAGGAAGGTACTGGTCCTCGTGTTATTTCTGCTTTTGTGGAGATTATTTTTGATAATTCAGACAACCGGTTACCAGTAAGTAACTTTTTTTTTAAAGTAATGTTGAGAATTTAATTGGTTTAGCTGATTTTCTTCATACTTTGAAACTTTTTAAGCTTTTATAATTTGTTATAATTACAGTTTATATACTGATTTTATCTTAAAATGACAATGAATACTCTGTTAACAAATGGGAATGTACAAACTGTTGTGAAAAGTGTCTTGGTTAAGAGTATTGAGTATTTGTAGTATTATTTTTAGTGAGATAATTGAAATTTTAAAATAAATACTTATGGGCAAGGACTTTAAAATGACCTTATTTAAAAAGTTTTCTCCTTTACTATTAAATTAACTGTGGGCTTTTACATTTTTTCTTAGATCGATAAAGAGGAAGTTTCACTTCGAAGAGTTATTGGTGCCAAAAAGGATCAGTATTTCTTAGACAAGAAGATGGTCACGTAAGCATTTTTCTTTTTTTTAAAAAAACTGAATATGTACTTAAATAGAGATGGGGTATTGCTGTGTTGGCCAGGTTGGTCTCGAACTCTTGGCCTCAAATGATCCACCTCGGCTTCCTAAAGTGCTAGGATTACAGACATGAGCCACCACGCCCAGCCAGCATTTTTCTTTTTCTCAATACGGAGTCTTGCTCTGTCGCCCAGGCTGGAGTGCAGTGGCGCAGTCTCGGCTCACTGCAACCTCCACCTCCCGGGTTCAAGCTATTCTGCTGCCTCAGCCTTCTGAGTAGCTGGGATTGCAGGCAGTCACCACCACACCCGGCTACTTTTTGTATTCTTAGTAGAGACGGGGTTTCACCATGTTGGCAGGCTGGTCTCGAACTCTTGACCTTGTGATCTGCCTGCCTTGGCCTCCCAAAGTGCTGGGATTAGAGGCATGAGCCACTGCGCCCAGCCCGCAATTTTATGATTTCCTTACAAAAGAGTAAAAAGTATTCTTTTACCTGCTTCATATATGAGGAATATTTGCTTCATCTTCAACAAGTCAACATATAGAGGATAAACATAAGAATCAGAAAGTTCTGAGGATGATACAGATGGTTTAATTACTGATCTTTCCTCCCTAATGCTATCAACCAAGGGGCTACTCTACTCATTGCTTAATGGTGCTTTAAAATTATTTATCGGAAAGTAATTTCATTGTTTGTCAACAGGAAAAATGATGTGATGAACCTCCTTGAAAGCGCTGGTTTTTCTCGAAGCAATCCTTATTATATTGTTAAACAAGGAAAGGTAAAACAATTGTATGTCCTTTTTAAGTAGAATTTGTTTTCTGAGTAATTCTTGAGTGATGAATTTGGTTTATTGATTTGAGTGGTTAAGCTGAAGCAAAAATGGCCATATTCTTTTACATGGCCATAAAGTACCAAATAGGTCCATTGCATGTTGAGATGGAAGTATTTCAGCATATTAAGTGGATCTTGTTTTCCTAGTGACTGGTATTACTTACTGAGGTGAAAGTATGGGAAGACATTATTGGCTTATGAATGTTGCAATAATTAAGAATATTGTAGGAATTCTATAAAAATCACATTTGAAAAACTTTCTAAAATTAATATTTTGTGTTACCTAATTATTTATCACAATTAAAATACTGAAAAGCTAACATTACCAGAAATCTGCCATTTTGCCACATGTTATTTTCCCTAATAGGGATTATGTTTTTACATTTTTTCAGCAGCCAAACTACAAACTTTTTTAGCTGATTGTTCTGCTCTCTTCTCATATACTTTCACTTTTTTTTTGGACTAGGGAAAATTCTCAAAGAATATTCACTTATTTTATACTGTAGGCCTTTTTTTCTAGATATGTATTGGAAAGTTAGCATTTAGAAGAAGTGATTAGGAAGAATATGGAGTTTCAGTTTTAGAAAATGTGTTACTGGAAGAACACGTTTTTTTCCGATTTAACTATTTGTGGGAGATAAATTTTTTTAAATGGAGGCTGATTTGAAAGAGCACTTTTCTGAGATCCGTCTGCTGTCAATCTAGGCCCTTTTACTTCATTTCAGTTTCTGCCCGTATGCCATCCTTGATTGCCTCATCTGAAAGCATTGCCGTCCCCTCAACCCTATGTGCTTTATTTCCTTAATCTGTTTTATTTTTCTTCATAACACTTACACTGTTAGGATAGTACTTATTTTCTGTCTTTTTCCATTAGAATGTAAGCTCCATGAGGGTGGGACCTTTTCTGCTTTGTTTGCTCTTTTCCAGTGCCCAGCAGTGGCACATATGTTGTAGCCATTTGAAAAATAATTTTTAAGTGAGGAAATTGCATGAACCAATATGTATAATTGGAGCGTTCAATAATGAGGATCTGAAGGATGATTCTTTGATGTAGATACTTTTGATAGACCTATTTTCGTAGAGATAATTTCAATTTTTTAATGCAGTGATATCATTTTTGACATTTAGGGATACTTGTTATATATTAAGTTGCATGGCACTTAAGTTGTACCATTCTCTCTATATTTAAAGCATACCATTTTTGTCATATCATTAGCCTTCTGTATCTGTAGGTTCCACATCTGCAAGTTCAGCCAACCATGGATCAAAAATATTTAAAATAAATAAAATTTTAAAACAGTACAATAAGAAATAATACAAATTTAAAAATACAGTAAAACTATTTACATAGCATTTACATTGTATTATTATAATTAATCTAGATATTAAAGTATATGGAAGGATGTGCATAGGTTATATGCAAATACTATGCCATTTTATATAAGGGACTTGAGCATCCTTGGATTTTGGTACCTGCAGGGGGTCCTAGAACCAATCCCCATGGAAACTGAGGAAGAATTGACTTTTAATATATTATTGTAGCTTTAAAAAAAAGTGTAGTCAGTGATGGTTTTCCCTTATAAAAATACTTTGTTTTTTGAGAATGGAGCTCATCTTTTATACCTTATCATATTGACTAAGAAAAAGATGGTGGTGTGAGATACTCCTTCACTTGTTAGCCCTATTCATAAAGGAGAGTTATGACCGTAACAGTTGTATTTGGATTTTATTTGGTAAATTTCATTTAAGTAAAGGAGACATAGATATGTAGGCATGCGTACTATACAAATGACATTAGCCAAATCATAATCTGTTTAAAACTTGGCATGTCCCAAATTCAAAAGTCTGAAATACAGAATGCTCTACAATCTGAAACCTTTCGAGTGTGGACATGACATTCAAAGGAAATGCTTGTTGGAACATTTTGGATTTCAAATTTTTGGATTTGGGTTGCTCATCTGGTAAGTATAAATGCAAATATTCCAAAACTTGAAAAAATCTAAAATCTGTAACACTTCTGGTTTCTAACCATTTTGCATAAGGGATACCCAACCTTCATGTGTATTAAAAACCTTTCAACGTGGAGTTCTTCTTCTTAAACGGAGGCTACAGCTATGTAATGATTATTTTTCTAAAAATTTTAGATCAACCAGATGGCAACAGCACCAGATTCTCAGAGATTAAAGCTATTAAGAGAAGTAGCTGGTACTAGAGTGTATGACGAACGAAAGGAAGAAAGCATCTCCTTAATGAAAGAAACAGGTAAAATAAATGTGATTCTGCCTTATTTTTTTGTTGCAAATTACTGTTTTTGTGACAGAGTGGCTCCATGATGGGAATATAGTAGGTGTTTAGTATATGACAGCATTAGATAATGCTGTTATTAATAAAAATTGAGAATCCATAACACCAATGATGTTAGTAGCTTTTAAAAATATTGTGGAAACGCACACTGACTTTTTTTTTTTTTTTTTTTGAGATGGAGTCTTGCTCTGTCACCCAGGCTGGAGTGCAGTGGCGCGATCTCTGCTTATTGCAACCTCTGCCTCCCGGGTTCAAGTGATTCTCCTGCCTCAGCCTCCCTGAGTAGCTGGGATTACAGGTGCCCACCACCATACTCAGTTAATTTTTGTATTTTTAGTAGAGACAGGGTTTCACCATGTTGTCCAGGCTGATCTCGAACTCCTGACTTCAGATGATCCACCTGCCTTGGCCTCTCAAAGTGCTGGGATTACTCATGAGCCACTGCGCCTGGCCGGCACACTGACTTTTTAAAAGGAAGCTTAAACTGAGGCCCTTACTACATGTTATAAAAGAACCAGTGTCACCATGTGTAAATTTGTTCTCTGGTGCTTTTCATAATAAAGGATCTTAACCCATTTATGCCTAGCATTCCATTATTGGAATCCTAAGCTTGTGGATGTTACTTATATTCTACTGCTCAAGGTCATTGCCAAGGTCTGATTTTTCACAGAAAAAAATTTGCAACCTCTGGCATAAATGGGTTAATTGCTATTTTAGTATTTTAAATTGGGTTACCACATCACATCAAAGAAATAATGCTACAGTTCTTAAAAATAATTTAATTCAAGGTATATTTAAGAAGTGATATTACATAAAAATCTTATTCAATTCTTCCACCTCTCTCCCCATTTCTTTTAAGAGGGCAAACGGGAAAAAATCAATGAGTTGTTAAAATACATTGAAGAGAGATTACATACTCTAGAGGAAGAAAAGGAAGAACTAGCTCAGTATCAGAAGTGGGATAAAATGAGACGAGCCCTGGAATATACCATTTACAATCAGGAACTTAACGAGACTCGTGCCAAACTTGATGAGGTAAAATATTTACCTGTGACACTTAAAATCAGATTAATTTTGTTTTTATGAATTTGTTAAACTCAGGCCATAATTACACTTTTCAGTGATTTTAAATAGAAACTTAAAAAAAACCTCTCAATGAATTTATTAGTCAGCAAGTTTTTTTAGTTCAAGGAAATTAGCCATGTGGTCCTTGCTATATAGTATTATCTGAAATATAATCAGATGGTGGTATTAGGCAGACAAGATGAGAGGAAAGCCATTTTGAAGGCTTCTTGTAGTTGTAGTATATCCTAAACTACACATTTTGTACAAAAATTTAGTGCTTCAGTTTTCTAGTTTAAAATCATTTTTAAAATTTTTGTAGAAAATTTGAGCAGTTACTTTTGGTTTATTTTAATAGAAAAATTTTTATTAGATGTTATGAAATATTTAGTAATTACAAAATGAGTTAGATATGATAAGTTGTTTTTTTTCTTAGCTTTCTGCTAAGCGAGAGACTAGTGGAGAAAAATCCAGACAATTAAGAGATGCTCAGCAGGATGCAAGAGATAAAATGGAGGTAAGATTATAAACAAGGTTCATGTTAACTTACTTTTTACTTTTGAGACAGGGTCTTGTTCTGTCATCCAGGCTGGAGTACAGTGGTGCCATCATGGCTCATTGTAGCCTTGACTTCCTGGGCTCAGGCAATCCTCTTGCCGCAGCTTCCTGAATAGCTGGAGCACAGGTGTGTACCACCACACCTGTCTAGTTTTTAAATATATTGTAGAGACAAGGTCTTACCATGTTGCCCAGGCTGGTCACAAACTCCTGGGCTCAAGTGGTCCTTCTGCCTCAGCCTCCTGAAGTTTTTTTTTTTTTTTTGGAAGACAGGGTCTCACTCCATTGCACAGGCTGGAGTGCAGTGGTGAGATCACAGCTCACTGCAGCCTTGATCTCTCAAGCTCAAGTGATCCTCCCACCTCAGCCTCCTATTTTTGTTATTTTTTGAAGAGATGGAATCTCAGTATGTTGCCCAGGCTGGTTTTGAACTCCTGGGTTCAAGGAGTCCTCCCACCTGGGCCTCCCAAAGTGCTGAGTTTACAGGCATGAGCAACCATGTCCAGCCATCGTATGTTTTTGACCATAGTAAACCCTTTTGTACCAGAATTATGGAATGATTACACAAGGGAGAGTTAGAGGAATTGAATATTGAAAGGACAGAGTATTACTAAACATTAAGTGAAAGAGAATTAATGGTGTCACAATTCTGCTATTGTACTTCTAATTGCCTTATTTTCTGTTTAATACTTTTGAATAGGATATCGAACGCCAAGTTAGAGAATTGAAAACAAAAATTTCAGCTATGAAAGAAGAAAAAGAACAGCTTAGTGCTGAAAGACAAGAGCAGATTAAGCAGAGGACTAAGTTGGAGCTTAAAGCCAAGGATTTACAAGATGAACTAGCAGGCAATAGTGAACAAAGGGTAAGTTAAAATGCTAAAAATGAAAGATGTGAATGTTCAGGTGAGTAGCAACTGTAGAAGACAGCCCTTTCTGTGACTGGTGTGTGTTGGAATTTTTTTTTAAGCTTTGCTACGTTAGCATAATTTGTACTCAAGTAACAACTTGGTACTGTCCCTTTGTTTCTTACATTAAAAAAGAGTTTCATGTTACAGGTGGGTTTTCTCATGAAGTTTTTTTCCTGAGAAAACATTTATGCTAGACCTAAATTATGCAAAAAATTTAAAGCAGTTTGCATTTTTACTTTGTTTACAGAAACGTTTATTAAAAGAGAGGCAGAAGCTGCTTGAAAAAATAGAAGAAAAGCAGAAAGAACTGGCAGAAACAGAACCCAAATTCAACAGTGTGAAAGAGAAAGAAGAACGAGGAATTGCTAGGTCTGAGAACTTTCACCAACACTTTAACTTTCTACATCATATTATGTAAAACTAGGTTGTCCGAGGAGCTCAATTATATAGTAGCTGCTTTTTACACTTAATTCTTTTTGTATCTTTTTGAAAAATGGCTTTATGTTTCTGTGTGCAGTTGACATTATTGGTTGCAATTAAACTTGGTTATTATTCTCCTTTTCATCCCATTTGCTTCTATTTTGTGTAGATTGGCTCAAGCTACCCAGGAAAGAACGGATCTTTATGCAAAGCAGGGTCGAGGAAGCCAGTTTACATCAAAAGAAGAAAGGGATAAGTGGATTAAAAAGGAACTCAAGTCTTTAGATCAGGCTATTAATGACAAGAAAAGACAGATTGCTGCTATACATAAGGATTTGGAAGACACTGAAGCAAATAAAGAGAAAAATCTGGAGCAGTATAATGTAAGAACTTCTATAGCTGCTTTGTAAAAATCTTTCAGAAGAGATAAATGTGTTTAGTTTTATCTACTTCAAGTTTTCTTTTTAAATAAGTCTACATGTTGCTCTTAAAATATATGACAGATACTTATTTAGAAAAGGCCTGCACAGTTTAATATACATATAGTTCTTTTTTAAAGAATATTCATGTCATTGAGCCTTTATGTAGATTAAGTATATTAAAATGTATGTATGTATTTTTAATTTTTTTGAGATAGGGTCTTGTTCTGTCACCCAATCTGGAGTGCAGTGGTACAAACACAACTCACTGCAGCCTCCACCTTCCAGGCTCAGCGATCCTCCATCCTTAGCCTCCTAACTGGGACCACAGGCATGTATCACCAGGCCCAGCAAAATTTTTATTTATTTTTTTGTAGAGACGAGGTCTTGCCATGTAGCCTAGGCTGGTCTCGAAATCTTGGGCTTAAGCAATCCTCCGACCTTGGCCTCCCAAAGTGGTGGGATTAGAGGCATGAGCCACTGTGCCCAGCTTAAAATATGTTTTTATGAATTGGTAGCATGTGTCTTACATACCCTTAATTTAACAAGATGTCACAACATATGTCTAAAATAGCTTGTTGGTAACTTTTTTTTTTTGAGATGGAGTTTGGCTCTTGTTGCCCAGGCTAGAGTGCAATGGCGCAATTTCGGCTCACTGCAACCTCAGCCTCCTGAGTAGCTGGGATTACAGGCATGCACCACCAAGCCCAGCTAATTTTGTATTTTTAGTAGAGATGGGGTTTCTCCATGTTGGTCAGGCTGCTCTCAAACTCCCAACCTCAGGTGATCTGCCTGCCTCAGCCTCCCAAAGTGCTGGGGTTACAGGCGTGAGCCACCGTGCCCAGCTGATAGTAACAATTTTTTTTTTTTTTTTTTAATACGAGTCTCACTGTGTCACCCAGTCTGGAGTGCAGTGGCATGATCTCAGCTCACTGCAACCTCCACCTCCTGAGTTCAAGCAATTCTCTGCCTCAGCCTCCCGAGTGGCTGGGATTACAGGTGCCTGCCACCACGCCCGGCTAATTTTTTTGTATTTTTAGTAGAGGTGGGGTTTCACCATCTTGGCCAGGCTGGTCTTGAACTCCTGACCTCGAGATCCACCCACCTCAGCCTTCCTAAGTGCTGGGATTGCAGGCGTGAGCCACCATGCCCGGTGTAATTTTTTTTTTTTAAAACTTCATTTTTTGGTATTCCAGCATCTTATGTTACATTTAGTTGTCATGTTTCTTTTATCTGCTTTAATCTGGACCAGTTCTTCAGTTTTTTCTTGACTTTTGGGACTTGACATTTTAAATTATTTGTTATAAAGTACATATATTAATATTTATGTACTTATTAATTGTATATTATATATAATTATTTGTCCCTAATCTCTTTTTTTTGGAGATGGAGTGTTGCTCTGTCGCCCAGGCTGGAGTGCAGTGGCGCGATCTCGGCTCACTGCACCCTCCGCTTCCCGGGTTCAAGCAATTCTCCTGCGTCAGCCTCCCAAGTAGCTGGGACCACAGGCACATGCCACCACGCCTGGCTAATTTTTTGTATTTTTAGTAGAATGGCGTTTCACTGTGTTAGCCAGGATGGTCTTGATCTCTTGACCTTGTGACCTGCCTGCCTCGGCCTCCCAAAGTGCTGGGATTATAGGTGTGAGCCACCATGCCTGGCCCCTAATCTGTTATAGTGATTTGCCCACTTTAAGTTTTTGGTGACTCACCTTTAAATGTATCCAAAACCTCAGTGAAGTTTTAAAGAAAGAGCTGTTTACTTTGTACTCATATTCTCACTTTACATAAAGAAAAAAATATATAGTGGGGAGAAAACACAACAGCCTCTGTAGGCATAAACAATAGGTAGGTAAAATTGCGAGGAGTGTAGCCTGCTGTTTTTGGAAGTCCAGTCGTGCTGTGGGTTTTAGTTGTGATACTTTGTGGAAGGAGTGGAAAAGTTGGGTTAATCCAGGCAGTTCTTTATATGGTTAGTATAGTCTGAACTGATAGTTAACACCTCCTTTCTTGAAATAAAATGAGTTTTCTCTTGAGTTTATGAAACCAACCTCAGCAGATGCCCTTTTTGAAGGTGCCTCCAGTGAGAGAATTTATTCATTTTTTGTCATGCTTGAAGTTCATTATTTTCCAGTATTCCAGCCACACTTTTGGTTATCAGAATGACCACTTGTAAAGATGAAGCCTTTCCTTTGGACAGAGATGATTTTATGGCGCTGATTTTGTTATGTAAATAGCCTTTTTTTTGAGACAGCCCCACTCTGTTGCCAGGCTGGAGTGCAATGGTGCGATCTTGGCTCACTGCAACTTCTGCCTCCTGGGTTCAAGCGATTCTCCTACCTCAGCCTCCCATGTAGCTGAGATTACAGGCGCCCGCCACTGCTCCCGGCTAATTTTTGTATTTTAGTAGAGACAGGGTTTCACCATGTTGGTCAGGCTGTTCTCGAACTCCTGACCTCAGGTGATCCGCCCACCTGAGCCTCCCAAAGTGCTGGGATTACAGGCGTGAGCCACCGCGCCCGGTGTAAATAGGCTTTTGCCTCTTGGTATAATCCTAAATTAATTTTTCCACAGTGTATTTTTAAAACCTGCAGTATGAAAAATAAAATGTCTTTTTGGTGGTTTTATTATGCTTTATTACAGTTCATTTATGTGATACATATCCTACATACTTATCAAACTTAAGTTTTTAGACTTTTCTAACTTATGTCAGTGGTATCTTGGCCGTAGCAACTGCTGTGGAGAAGGGGAAGCTCTTAGATAGTTTCAGTGCAAACTAAATGTTTTCTCTTTTCCAGGTTGTAATGCATTTAATAAAGTCTACAAAACATTATATTTTGAATTTAATATAGGTAGCTTACTTTATTACTGGTTCTGAGTAGCATCATGGTGTCAGAAAGGGAACCATTAGTGTTCAGATACACCTGGAAAAAAACAAAGTATGTAGGACTTAAGAAATACTGTAAGCTGCCAGGCGCAGTGGCTTACGCCTGTAATCCCAGCACTTTGGGAGGCCGAGGTGGACGGATCACGAGGTCAGGAGATCGAGACCATCCATCCTGGCTAACACGGTGAAACCACATCTCTACTAAAAAATATAAAAAATTAGCTGGGCGTGGTGGCGGGCGCCTGTAGTGCCAGCTACTCGGGGGGCTGAGGCAGGAGAATGGCGTGAACCTGGGAGGCAGAGCTTGCAGTGAGCCAAGATTGCACCACTGCACTCCAGCCTGGACGACAGAGCGAGACTCCGTCTCAAAGAAAAAAAAAAAAAAAAAGAAATATTGTAAGCTGTAATGCTAGTTAATAACACAACAGTCTGAATTGTTTAGGACTGTAAAAGTTGAAACATTAATTTAGGAAAACTGACTCTTCAAGGTTTATACTCTTCTTTTAGCATGTGTTCAGATAGCCTGGGGATGAATTAAGTAATTGCTGCAGAAAAGTTAAATTTTACCTAGGGAATTTGTTAACTCTTTTATGGTTTCAGATACCACTGAGTCCCAAATTCCTTATGTGTAGAATTAAAGGGTTTAATTATCCAAGATGTTAAAAGTCATTCTGATTATCCAAGATTTTTTGAGACAGAGTCTCGCTGTGTCACCAGGTTGGAGTGCAGTGACACAATCTCAGCTCACTGCAACCTCCCCATCCTGGGTTCAAGTGATTCTCCTGCCTCAGCCTCCCCCAGTAGCTGGGACTACAGGCGTGTGCCATCACGCCTGGCTAATTTTTGTATTTTCAGTAGAGACGGGGTTTCACGATGTTGCCCAGGATGGTCTCCATCTCTTGACTTCATGAGCTGCCCACCTCGGCCTCCCAAAGTGCTGGGATTACAGGTGTGAGCCACCGCGCCCGGCCAATCTAAGATTTTGTGACTCAGTAGTAACATTGACTTTTTGTCAGTGGAATTAGTAGTAACATTGACTTTTGTCCATTAAAATTTTGGACAAAAAGTCAGTGTTACTACTGAGGATGAATAATTGTCAGTACTCTGTGGGAATATTTACAATTACTTTGATATCTGACAATAATTAGTTATAATACAAACAGATGAATGTAATTACTTTATGAAGCAGTTTGAAGCCCTTCCCCTGAAGGATGATCTTCAGCTTTATTTTGCTTGTCTTATTGCTTCCCAGTAAGGCAAGGATTTTTGTTTGCTTTGGTCTTTTATGATTCCCCAGCTCTTCTAAGAATGCCTGGTACATACTGGGGTTTTGGTAACTTCACTAAGTGGATGAAGTGTCAGCTTCCTTAAACTCTAGCCAGTGAGGCTATTGGATTTTTTCAGCTCAGTATAGTCTACTAAATTAATGAATACAGTTCATTAATTCTCCTTAAGGAAACAGCATCTTACGTTAGGTTCTTAGAGATTTGTTATAGGTTCTGCCAAGATTTTTAACTCATTTTTCTTGAATGTAAAATAGTTGAAAATAGTTTTTGTGTTCTGTTGTGTGTGTGTGTAGAGGGGGCAGTATGAAAGTATATAATGGACTATTATGAGAACTTAGAATTTTTTTTCTAAAATTCTGGAGTGTATATTATAGAAATAGGAAGATTTAGATCACTAATGAACAAATTAACTTTTAGCAACATGTTTTATAGTATTTAATGGTTTGTGTTTTCTGGTGTGGTATGCTCTTTTGCCTAAAGACAACTTTTAAAAACTGAAATGGGGCCGGGCGCAGTGTCTCACGCCTGTAATCTCAGCACTTTGGGAGGCCGAGACGGGCGGATCATGAGGTCAGGAGATCGAGACCATCCTGGCTAACACGGTGAAACTCCGTCTCTACTAAAAATACAAAAAACAAAAAAAACAAACTGAAATTGGATTTTTCAACAGCATCATTGAGGTATAATTCACATACAGTAAATTGTACATATTTAGTGTACATCATTTTTCCTAGTCAGGAAAGTGGCAAAAATAAAGTATATAATTTGATGAGTTTTGACATACGTATACATCTGTAAAACACCACACAGTTAAGACACCACACACCACAGTTAAGACAATAAACACGTTTATTACCCAAAAGCGTTTTCCATACCCCTTTGTAATTCCTCCCTCACCTTTTGTCCGCCTCCCCCATCCATCTGCAACCACTGATCTGCTTTCTATCAGTGTAGATTAGTTTCATGAAATTGAATTTTAAATTTATTTTTATTTCCATAGAAACTGGACCAGGATCTTAATGAAGTCAAAGCTCGAGTAGAAGAACTGGACAGAAAATATTACGAAGTAAAAAATAAGAAAGATGAACTACAAAGTGAAAGAAAGTTAGTATAGACTAAAATGTGCATTAATGTTTTCAGTAATGTTCGTTACTAGCTGTTATGTGGTCTTTAAGTTACAAGTTAACCGGTCAGGCTTGTTTTCTGTATTTTGATTCTAAACTGTATACTGTTAATGCATCCTCATATGTGTTTAAAATTAAAGACAGTCTACTTTTTATTTATTAGCTACTTGTGGAGAGAAGAGAATGCAGAACAGCAAGCACTTGCTGCTAAAAGAGAAGATCTTGAAAAGAAGCAACAACTTCTTAGAGCAGCAACAGGAAAGGTGGGCAGGTTCTTTTCATCACCTCTGTTTACACTGAGTCATTGAGTTAATCGTTATGTAATAATTTTTTACCTTTCAAGGTGTAGGTCATGGGTTCCAAGTGATAAATAGGAGTCCAAATTATCTTCTAAATATGAAATGATAGAGATTAAATAGTTTTATTACTACACATACTATTAATAGCACTTTTGATGTTCAGATAAAGAGCCCATTTTTAACACTACTGTTATGGAACAGAGCCTATCATATAAGGTGTTACATGTAGTTGGCATATTGTGAGGAGGTGATGTGTTTGTTGGAGAGGATGTTTAGTTTAATCACTGGTATATTTTTAAAATGTATGGTGTTGTGGGCTCATTCCTTACCAGGAGTGCCATTGATGATATTATTTTAATATTTTTCATTTCTGACAACTTACAGGCCATTTTAAATGGAATAGACAGCATAAACAAAGTGCTAGACCACTTCCGTCGAAAAGGAATAAACCAGCATGTTCAAAATGGCTATCATGGTATTGTAATGAATAACTTTGAATGTGAACCAGCTTTCTACACATGCGTGGAAGTCACTGCTGGAAACAGGTTAAAGCTTTTGCTTGATATTTAGCATTTTTAGAAGAGGGAATAAGAATAGCTTAAACAACTTTTGTAGTTTTTGTACAACATATCTTCCATTATCTTTTTATATCTCGGTTCCTTAACTTTCTAATTAAAGAAGTAGATGCTAAGTATTTGTTCCTAATTATAGAAGCTAGAACTTTCCTCTTTTGGGAGTTTCTCCCTCCCCGCCATTGGAATTTTTAAAGTAGTCTTATTTTCCAAAATTATTTGGATTATATAGGAAAAAACTGTTTGATGCTTAAGTGTTTATAACATTTTAAAAGTGCACACCTTTAGTCCCAGCTATGCAGGAGGCTGAGGTGGGAGGATTGATAAGTTTGGGCAACATAGGGAGACCCTGAGTACCAATAAAGATTTGTCTTACTCTGTTTATATTTAGGTTATTTTATCACATTGTTGATTCAGATGAAGTCAGCACGAAGATTTTAATGGAGTTTAATAAAATGAATCTTCCTGGAGAGGTTACTTTTCTGCCTCTTAACAAGTTAGATGTCAGGGATACAGCCTATCCTGAAACCAATGTGAGTCATTGTGTGATAAGGTGTATTTCTCTTTTATAATGTTATTTTTTATCACATAATCTAACACATGCTAGTGCCCAGGCACTATACACTGGGATTCAGTGGTGTATGAGATAAAAATATCTGTCTTCCCATGGACCTTAGTGCTGAGTGGGTTTTGGGGAGGGAGACAGAAGTCACAGCTATGATTGGTGTGGTGATGCACGCCTGTAATCCCAGCTACTTGGGAGGCTGAAGTGGGAGGATCATTTAAAAAGAAGAGAAAAAAGCTAAGATATGAAACAAATCATTGCAAATGTGCAGTGTTAAAAGCGTAAGTACAGGATACTTTGAGAGCATATCTGGGAGTGACATAATTAAGGTTAGGGAGTTGGAGAAAGATTCCCAAGGAACTGTCATGTATAGTTTAAAAGTGTCTTGACGTACTTAGGATTAAATGAAAAAAATGGCTAGTAAGGTGATAGACTTCGGAAGCATAACATTGCTTTTGTTGGTAACAAAAGTGCACTTTAGGTGGATTAAAAATATTCTTCAGACACCATTCTTAGAACAGTGTAATTGCTTTGAGGTACTTGACTTCAGAATGTTGATGGTAGCATCAACTGTTTTACCATCCTCTGAAGTTAAAGCTGAAACCCCATGAGAATGATCAATAATTTAAGTGGAACATTAAGAATCTTGTAAGCTATCAAAGGGTCTGACTTTTTCTGCTATCACATCTACAAATTGTCTTTGAAGTTTGGGTAAGAAAAATTGAGTCTCAAAAACATGATGTATGAATGGAACGAGACACAAAGGAGTACATGGAGCGTGGTTCCATTTACGCTGAGTAAACAAAACCAAACTTAGGGCCAGGCTCGGTGGCTCACACCTGTAATCCCCTCACTTTGGGAGGGGGAGGTGGGCGGATCACCTGAGGTTAGGAGTTCAAGACCAGCCTGGCCAACAAGGCAAAACCCTGTCTCTACTAAAAATACAAAAAATTAGCTGGACATGGTAGTAGGCACCTGTAATCCCAGGTACTTGGGAGGCTGAAGCGGGAAAATCGCTTGAACTGGGGAGGCAGAGGTTGCAGTGAGCCAAGATCATGCCACTGTACTTCATCCTGGCAACAGAGCAAGACTCCATCTCAAAAAAAAAAAAAAATTTTATAGAACTGGGAAGTGCAAGGAAGTGATTAGCACAGTCATGGCAGTGGTCGTTTCTCGCAGGTAACCACTGTAGGTAACTGCTTTGTGATTAGGAAAGGAGCACACCCATGACTTCTGGGGTGTCAGCAGTGCTCTGTTTCTTGTGGTTATGTTGGTGTTCTATTAATTTACACTGAATACTTAACTACATTTTTCTATATATGGGATATATTTTCATAATTTTAAAAACCCTGTTCTAACAGTTTAGGAGAGAGGAAATGAAATTTTATCTGACAAAATATTTTCCTATCTAATTTAGATATATAAAATATGTAAAATTAAAACATTTTGAGGAAGTACTATTTATATTTAGCCCTTTTATGTGAGAGATACTATCGTAAGTTTTGCATATATTAACTCATTTAGTCTTCACAACTTTATAAGGAAGGTATGTATTGTCTACGATTTTGTAGATAAAGTAACTATTATCTGAGGAAGTTAAGCAACTTGTCCACAGTACACATCTGATAAATGGTGAAACGAGTGTTTGAATTTGGGCAGTCTAGCTTCAGAACCACTAAACTCTTTAGCACTATTAGGCTCTACTATTGAAAACCTTGATTACAAGAGCAAAATTACCAGGATATTCTAGTGGAATGAGTCTTCTAACTACTTCAGGGAAAACGCCAATCGTTTTGAAATATAATGGTGTTTATGGTTTATTTGTATTTCATAAAGATGTAATTTCATAATTCTAAGTTCTTAGTTAACTGTGTTGTGATCTCTCTGTTGACAAAATTTCATTTTTAGGATGCTATTCCTATGATCAGCAAACTGAGGTACAATCCCAGATTTGACAAAGCTTTCAAACATGTGTTTGGAAAGACTCTTATTTGTCGTAGCATGGAAGTTTCAACCCAGCTGGCCCGTGCTTTCACTATGGACTGTATTACTTTGGAAGGTTTGTAATACTAATTCTTAGCTTTAAACAGATAAATTCTAACAAATCATTTAAAACATATAATCTGGCTGGGCGCAGTGGCTCATGCCTGTAATCCCAGCACTTTGGGAGGCTGAGGCGGGTGGATCACCTGAAGTCAGGAGTTCAAGACCAGCCTGGCTAACGAGGCGAAACCCTGTCTCCATTAAAAATACAAAGATTAGCTGGGTGTGGTGGTGTGCACCTGTAGTCCCAGCTACTCAGGAGGCTGGGGCAGGAGAATTGCTTGAACCTGGGAGGCAGTGGTTGCAGTGAGCCGAGATCACGCCACTGCACTCCAGCTTGGGTGACAGAGCGAGACTCTGTCTCAAAAAACAAAGAGACATATAATCTGTATAATATGTCAGTTGAGCTGTATGCATGTCTGATTAATATATCTTACAGTATTTTGGAGACATTCTGGTTTTGAGAGTATTCGAAAAATTCATCCTTTGCCTTTGGCCGGGCATGGTGGCTCACATCTATATATAACCCCAGCACTTTGGGAGGCTGAGGCAGGTGGATAACTTGAGGAGGGAATTCAAGACTAGCCTAGCCAACATGGTGAAACCCCATCTCTACTAAAAATACAAAAAATTAGCTGGGTGTGGTGGCGCACACCTGTAATCCCAACAACTCAGAAGGCTGAGGCATGAGAATGGCTTAAACCTGGGAGGCAGAGGGTGCAGTGAGCCAAGATCACACCCCTGCACTCCAGCCTGGGTGATAGAGCAAGATCCTGTCTCAAAAAAAAAGAAAAATTTATTTTCAATTATTTTATAGTTTTTTAAATAGTTGGTTTGTTCAATTAAGAGTCCAGACAGGGTTCGTACTTGATATTTAGTTGATGTCTCTGAAATGTGATCATATAGCAGGGGTTCTTAACCTTTTTTGCAGTGTGGACTGCTTTGGCTGTTTGAAGCATATGGATCCTTCACAATTTTTTTTTTAATTTTTAAATTTATTTTTTTTTTACTTTTTTCCACAACAAAAGCCACATTCAACACAATTTTTAATGCATAAATTAAAATACTTTGGATCACAAAGGAGATGAATTGTATTCGCATGGTTATTATTTTAAAAAATATTATATAATTATTTAATGTATTCAAAAAACAAGATAGTAGTGGGTCTAATAGCTACCATAAGTTTGAAGTACTGATACATGTAAACAATATTTTGACATCTGACAAGTGTTACCTAATATGAAAATAGCTCTTCTTTTGGTAGTCACAGATACTAATACTACTACTGTGGTTCTTGTCGTGTTCGTTATAGAAGGGAAATGCTAAATCTCATTTTGAGGTTAATAAAAATAAAGATGTAAATTTTTTTCCTACTCAGATCACAGATCTTCTGAATTTTATCTTTGAAATCCAGGTTAAGAACCTCCAGTATATAGGTTTAGTTTACCTGCCCTCAATTTTTTTTTTCCTCTTTATTTGTTGAAGAAAGCAGGTAAACCCATCTCCCCCCAAGCTTTGTTTCTGTATATGTACGTTTTGTTGTGGTTGTTTTTGAACCATCCAAGAATAAGTAAAACATCATGTCATGTCATCTCTAAAATTTAAGCATGCATCTCCTAACAATAAGAACATTCTTTTGTATAGCCACAGTATCATTGTTACACCTAAGAAATTTAACATTAACCTAATATCCTCTAAAAAGTATCCATATTCAAGTTTTCTCAATTATCCTAAAATATTTTTCTATTTAGGATTAAATCAAGTATGCATATAGTGTCTTCTCTTTATTTTTTTTTTTTGAGATGGAGTTTCGAGCCCAGGCTGGAGTGCAGTGGCATGATCTCAGCTCACTACAACCTCCGCCTCGCAGGTTCAAGCGATTCTCCTGCCTCAGCCTCCCAAGTAGCTGGGATTACAGACATGCGCCACTATGCCCGGCTAATTTTGTATTTAGTAGAGACGGGGTTTCTCTATGTTGGTCAGGCTGGTCTCGAACTCCTGACCTCAGGTGATCTGCCTGCCTCAACCTCCCAAAGTGCTGGGATTACAGGCATGACCACCATGCCCGGTCTAGATTCTTTAAATATAAGACAGTTCCTCCTGCTCCCTTCTCCCCACCCAGAGAAATCCAGAAAAGTTCCATTTTCTGGATTTGTCTTATTGCTTCCTCATCATTGTTTAAATATTGTTGGCATGAATGCTACATGAATGATATGTACTTATGGTGTCATATAATGTGTCCCATTGTTAGTGATACTAGGTTTGATCACCTGCAGATCTCTCCGTTGTAAAGGTATCCCTTTGCCCCTTTGTAATTTAATAATATGTGAGATTATTCTTCAAGTCAGGTTCTCCCAACAACTTCAGTTGCTTTAGCACTTTGTTGACTCTTGCCTGAATCAGTTGTTACACTGGGGGGTTTCAAAATGGTGATTCATAAATTCTGTTATTGCTGCTGCATTTATTAGCTGTCACTCTTCTGTAGAAAAGAGTCTCCAATTTTCATTTTTTAAAAAAGTATCACTGTGATTCATGAATTTTTTTTTTTTAATTCAATATGTTATTACATTGGTATTGTTATTTTGATGCTCAAATTTTCCCAAATATGGCCAGTGGAAATTTCAAGCTAGGTCCTGTGTCCTACTAATATTTCCTCTTTAGTCTTCACTTCCTTCCCCTCTGGTAGATGTTCAGGTTCAACTGGAGGTTCTTTTTTTTTTTTTTTTTTTTTTAAAGACTGCAAATTTTGGCTGGGCACAGTGGCTTGACTCTGTAATCCTAGATACTTAAGAGGCTAAAGCATGAGGATCACTTGAGGGCAGGAGTTCGAGAACCGCCTGGGCACATAGCAAGACCTGGTCTCTACAAAAAAGGTGTGGTGGTGCACACCTGTAGTCCTAGCCACTCAGGAGGCTGAAGCAGGAGGATCACTTGAATCCAGGAGTTTGAGGTTGCAGTGAGCTATGACCGCACCACTGCACTCCAGCCTGAGCAACAAGAGCAAGACCCTGTCTCAAAAAAAAAAAAAAAAAAAATCTAGCATTGAAAAGCAAAATTTTTTCAGGGTGGTTTAAATTACTTTCAATTCTCATTATCTACTTAAAGCCTGTAGGTTAGTTTTTTTGTTATAAGTCAATTTATCATTGAATAAAAAAGTTGTACAGACCTATTACATATGTTTTGTTTATAGGTGACCAAGTCAGCCATCGGGGTGCTCTAACTGGGGGTTATTATGACACAAGGAAGTCTCGACTTGAATTGCAAAAAGATGTTAGAAAAGCAGAAGAAGAACTAGGTGAACTTGAAGCAAAGCTCAATGAAAACCTGCGCAGAAATATTGAAAATATCTTTTTGTTTTGTGCATAGTGATAGATATTGTGGGGGAAGAACTGTGTTTTGGTTGCCATATATAATCTTTTGTTTTTTCACATATTAAAAATTTCTTGTGTTTTAAGTTCAAGAGCTTATGTTTGTTTAGCTTTTGAAGACTAAAAGCTATTTTAATGATTCTTTGCTTAAGTGTTAAGTAGCTAATACCATGAAGTCACTTGGAAGAAAAGAACCCATAGAACACAAAAATAAAGGTTGTATCAGGCAAAGAAAGAGGAAACTGAGAAGGATCAGTTTGTGAATTGTACAAGTAAAACCTTGGTAGTTTTTTTTTTTTTCCCTTCTTCCCTGTTGAATTTATGTAAGCAAGAGATACTGTTTTAAGGAAGAGAGTGGGGGCGGCATCAGTAATGTTACATATTGCTTAGAAGTCAAATATATAAGGACTGGCATTTTATTGTACTTGTACAGTGGCACAGGCCTGTAGTCCCAGCTACTTGGGAGGCTGAGGCAGGAGGATCACTTGAGCCTGGGAGGTGGAGGTTGCGGTGAGCTGAGATCACACCACTGCACTCCAGCCTGGGTGACAAAGTGGGACCCTGTCTCAAAAAAAAAAAAAAAGGTGACAGGGGAGGGTGAAAAATGTTAGATTTTACTGTCTTGAAGTTATTTGGTGCAGATTTAATGTTAGTGGAGGAAATGGCTGTCAGATAACCAAGTCGGAGTAGCCATAGTTTTTTTTTTTACATAAAAATGGTGCTGCATGAGGAGTGGTTAGTTCAGTTCACAAATGAAACAATTGTATATGTGGATTTTCTTAAAACCACCATGGTGCTTTGGTATAAGAAGTACTTTATGTGTGCTTTCCATTTTGCCACACAAGTTGAAAAATATAGGTACTTGAGCATCAAGAATAGATATAAAGTTAATGATTTTTAACTGCTTCAGGTGAAACTGGAATTTTTTTAAAACTGCAGATTTATAACTTCTGTGCCATCAGTGCAAGCACAGAAAAAGAAAAATAAGCACCTGAGCTTTGACCTTGCAGGGGTCTGCATATCGCACTTTAAAGAACTGCCTGAATTTGGCAAGATGTTAACACAAAGAGCGTATGGGGAAATACTGAGGAAAAGGAGGATGTTGACAGTGTATACCAGCTGTCTTCCTGTGTTTGATAATCCAGCTAGATTGAATTATTCCACACATGGCAAGAACTCTTCATACATAAACCCTTAACATAGTGCCTTAAGCATAGTAACAGTAAACATTTGTTGAATGAAAAGATATTTAAAAGTATGTAATATTGTTAGATTTCACCTAACCTCCTTTATGGTTTTCCAAGAATTTGTTTTGTATAACTTTTAGTAAAACAGTATACATGTTATTCTGAGAGTGAAATGGGGTGAAATGTTTCAAGCTTCTTTATGATTGAATGCATTTTGGGTAATATAGTTCAGCATTGTTTTGGTCCATAAATTTGAGGACATAAATGTTATTTGGGGGTAAAGAAAAGGAAGGGATACATGGTGTTGTGTCTAAAAAGAATTAAGAACATACGATATATTTACAACCTGGAGATAATTTTCCTTAGCCTTGTATATGGATTAATAATGAAATTGATCAGTTGATGAACCAAATGCAACAGATCGAGACCCAGCAAAGGAAATTTAAAGCATCTAGAGATAGCATATTATCAGAAATGAAGATGCTAAAAGAGAAGAGGCAGCAGTCAGAGAAAACCTTCATGCCTAAGGTTCGTAAGTATATCTTTGGTTATAGATCGATTGTTACAGATTAATAATATGGAAATATGAATCATACATTATATGGGTTATCCTTGAATTTTATGTTTCATTTTTGTTTGGACCCATACTTTTTTTTTTTGAAGACAGAGTCTCTTTCTGTCTCACCCAGGCTGGAGTGCAGTGGTGCGTTCTCAGCTCACTGCAGCCTCCACCTCCTGGGTTCAAGCGATTTTCCTGTCTCAGCCTCCTGAGTAGCTGGGACTACAGACATACGCCACCACATCCGGCTAATTTTGTGTTTTTAGTAGACATGGGGTTTCACCATGTTGTCCAGGCTTGTCTCAAACTCCTGACCTCAGATGATCCACCTGCCTTGCCCTCCCGAAGTGCTGGGATTACAAGTGTGAGCCACTGTGCCCAGGCTAGACCCATACTTTTGGATATCTACATCTATTTTACCATTCTTAAACCCATGGATACCCAAAGTCTCCTATTGTTGGCACGTTCAAACTTTCCACCTTCATTGAACAAATAGGCATTTGAAGCTGTGACATAAGAGTACTGTCTGATGGTCAGTTTTTGTCAGTAACCATTTTTATCTGAAGCACAATGGAATTAGTTGAATATTTGATTCCGTTTTGTCCAGATTGTATTAAAATTAGAAAGCAAACTTATAAGTGATAGTGTGTTATTGGTCTCATAAACTTGACAGTTTTGACAAATCTTTTACTTAGTATAATACTAAAACTACAAAGAGCTTAAAAAAAAAAAAAAAGATGTGCCTACAGTTGTACCATCCCAACCATATTCTGACAACTTTTTATTTTTTGAGGGGGATGGAGTCTCGCCCTATCGCCCAGGCTGGAGTGCAATGGCGTGATCTCGGCTTACTGCAACCTCCACTTCCTGGGTTCAAGCAATTCTCCTGCCTCGGCCTCCAGAGTAGCTGGGATTGCAGGCGTGTGCCTCCACACCCAGCTAATTTTTGTATTTTCAGTATAGACGGGTTTCACCATGTTGGCCAGGCTCGTCTCGAACTCCTGACCTCGTGATCCACCCACCTTGGCCTCCCAAAGTGCTGGGGTTACAGGCGTGAGCCACTGCGCCCGGCAACTTTTTGTTCTTATAATATGCCTGAAGATTTTTGTATAGTTTAATCATGGAATATGATCTGCCCCACCCTGCCCCACCTATACTATTACATCATATTTTTCTTGTTGCTAGAGTCCTAATTACCAAATTAATAGGCACCTAATATTTGAGTTGATATGTCTATATATTTAGCTCAATCAAATATAGATTGTTTTAAAATTTTCACTATAAGTAATACAGTGGCTAATACCTTACTAATAAATGGATAATGTCATATAGCAACGTAGCTTACAGAGTTTGGAGGCAAGCTTGCATGCTATGGAGTCTACCAGAGAGTCATTGAAAGCAGAACTGGGAACTGATTTGCTTTCTCAACTGAGTTTGGAAGATCAGAAGAGAGTAGATGCACTGAATGATGAGATTCGTCAACTTCAGCAGGTAAGTAGACAGCTGACTGGAAAAAGAATTCGTTAGTAATTGGCTATTGTGAAAAGGGCCTTTCTTGCTAACTAGGGCAATATGAAAGAAAAGAACTGAGAAAATATTAAAATGAGGCTTGGACTTTTAATATACATAGGAGTAAATAAGATTTTGTTTTTCTAAACCAATCTAGCTAGGTTAGGATTATACAAGAAATTTTCATTTCCTTAAAATTTAGTTAATTAGCATTACTTATTAGTTGTAAGTATTGCTATGAGTTTGAGCTTGTTAGCCTTACCATATTTATCTTACTGCCTTTACATATTTAATGTTTTGATCAAGCATTTTAATTGATTTTTAAAACTGCATAGATGTAAACTACCAACACCGATTCTAAAAAATGAAAAGCATTTAAAGAAACTGTTTTTGACAGCATGCGTTATAAAAAGGGCCAGCCACAAAAATTTAACATTATGAATTGATAAGAGAAAAATGAAGAAAGTATAGGGCTTTTTTGAAGAATATAACATATTAAACTTCATTTCAGCTCACATGAGCACAAGTACTAGAGAGGACAGCAAATGAGCACCATTCCTGTGTGTGAAATGTACATGCTTATATAGACAACTTTTTCTTAATTCTAGGAAAACAGACAGTTGCTAAATGAAAGAATTAAATTAGAAGGTATTATTACTCGAGTAGAGACTTATCTCAATGAGAATCTGAGAAAACGCTTGGACCAAGTAGAACAGGTGTGTATGTGTTTTTTTTTTTTTTTTTAAGGGCTCCTTGGTGGCCATGACCTATTGCAAGTGGTTATATCAGAGGCTCTGATTGAAAGCATGGGCTTTGGGGACAGAAAGCTTAGTGTCTTGTGGGCCTTGGGTTGGAATTCTGCCACCTAGTGTGTGATTTTGGACAAGTCACTATTTCTAAGCCTCAGTTTCTTGTGTGAATTAAGCATTATCATACTTGTTTTATATAATTGCTATCCTGACACATTCTAAGTACTTTGTTAATATTTTTTCAGTGGTGGTTAGATGCTTAGAAATTTTCTAGTAATTGTGTCTTTTTTTTCTTCCCTTTAATGGATACTTCTAAGTATTTGTAATTATATGATGTATTTATATTTTTTTGTTTTCTTGAATGTTTATTCAGACAATAGCCATAGAAAATGTTGGCAGTCATAACATTTGAAACTAATGGAATTTGTATTTTTTGTTACAGGAACTTAATGAGCTGAGAGAGACAGAAGGGGGTACTGTTCTCACAGCCACAACATCAGAACTTGAAGCCATCAATAAAAGAGTAAAAGACACTATGGCACGATCAGAAGGTGAATTTTTATGTAGTAAAATTTTGTTTATATGCATGTTTTATAAAATTGTTTACTACAGAATGAAATGTCCAAATAGGCAGAAGCATATGCTAATGATTTTTTGTTTTCCATTATAAACAATGTATAGCAAATGGAATTTAGGAAGTTGACTATAAATAGTAACTTTTGTTTTACTGAAATGTTTATGACAATTTTGAGACCATAAATGATTCATTTTGTTGATAAAATATGAAATACCTGACGAAAGTTTCTCATCACTTAGTTGTTAGAAAATAACTATAGTTTATAAGCATTAACATTGAATAATGAAAATTATATATTTGAGTGACTCATATATACTTCTAATTTTGTACTGACTTAACATGGTTCATAAATTTTCACAGAAAATTTTAAACACAAAACCTAAAACCTATTTTGGTAGGTTTGATCATAAAAATCTATACTCAACATATAACACTGGCTTTATAGGTATTATAGCCTAATTTTGTTTCCCCCCATCTTAGATTTGGACAATTCCATTGATAAAACAGAAGCTGGAATTAAGGAGCTTCAGAAGAGTATGGAGCGCTGGAAAAATATGGAAAAAGAACATATGGATGCTATAAATCATGATACTAAAGAACTGGAAAAGATGACAAATCGGCAAGGCATGCTATTGAAGAAGAAAGAAGAGTGTATGAAGAAAATTCGAGAACTTGGATCACTTCCCCAGGAAGCATTTGAAAAGTACCAGACACTGAGCCTCAAACAGGTTGGTTTTAAATTTGAAGTCTTGTTACAAATTGCTCAGTATATAAATTTATTTATATGAATACATATTTTCTCTTTATAGTTGTTTCGAAAACTTGAGCAGTGCAACACAGAATTAAAGAAGTACAGCCATGTTAACAAAAAGGCTTTGGATCAGTTTGTAAATTTCTCCGAGCAGAAAGAAAAGTTAATAAAGCGTCAAGAAGAGTTAGATAGGGGTTACAAATCAATCATGGAACTGATGAATGTACTTGAACTTCGGAAATATGAAGCTATTCAGTTAACTTTCAAACAGGTATGTTTCGCTTTGTAGTTAAAACATACACACAGAGGACAAAAGCTTCCAGCTCTTTTCAGTTTGTAAAGATTTTAAAGCTGTTTTCCTCATTACCAGGTGAATCTAATACATGTGAACAAACCTAGCATATAGGTTTACAGTAACTTGAATGTTTTACACAGCCCTTAGAAGGATCTAGTCTGTTATCCTTGTTCTTAAGATTAAAAAATAATTGGTTGCTTTTAAATATTTTACTTAAGTGTTATATATAATTCTAAGCAAAATTTATATTTCAATCTGCTTTTGTTTTAAGGTATCTAAGAACTTCAGTGAAGTATTCCAGAAGTTAGTACCTGGTGGCAAAGCTACTTTGGTGATGAAGAAAGGAGATGTGGAGGGCAGTCAGTCTCAAGATGAAGGAGAAGGGAGTGGTGAGAGTGAGAGGGGTTCTGGCTCACAAAGCAGTGTCCCATCAGTTGACCAGTTTACTGGAGTTGGAATTAGGGTAAAATACCTTTATATTCCATTTTCCTCAGAGCATTACCATAATAGAATTTATAGTATCTTTTGCAAATCTGATTGGTGCATTATATGCAAGTTACTTTTGAAAGATGGTGGTGATTCTGCCCTTTAGGATATTAACTCATAATATGTTTATTTTTAGGTGTCATTTACAGGAAAACAAGGTGAAATGAGAGAAATGCAACAGCTTTCAGGTGGACAGAAATCCTTGGTAGCCCTTGCTCTGATTTTTGCCATTCAGAAATGTGACCCGGCTCCATTTTACTTGTTTGATGAAATTGACCAGGCTCTGGATGCTCAGCACAGAAAGGCTGTGTCAGGTACAGTTTCAGTACAGTTTTGGTTTTGTATTTAACAATAAGCTGGTAATATTTGCTGATGTATATATGAAAAAATCAAACTCAGGCAGTTTTGAATTTTAGTAAGAGTAAAGATAGTTGCTTTTTAAATTTTCAGATCTGCTGAAAAGAAATTTGTTAAAGCACAATTTTCTTTTTACAGATATGATTATGGAACTTGCTGTACATGCTCAGTTTATTACAACTACTTTTAGGCCTGAACTGCTTGAGTCAGCTGACAAATTCTATGGTGTAAAGTTCAGAAATAAGGTAATTTTATTTTACATTGAGTTTAAGTTTGTATTTATTCAATTATATTTGTTGAATTCTGATTTTATGTTACTTAAATAGTGAAAGAAAACTTAGAAAGTCTTTGCTTATCTGATGTCTTTGTAAAGAAAGAACTTTTCCTTCAAATAACTATGAAGTTTAGCAGTATTTTATGGCGTTGCATTGGTTTTATTTTCATTGGCATTAATAAACAATATCTTTCTGTCCAGTCTATTCAATGCTTCTGTAATGCACAGTCTTTAACAATTATATATGTTCATTTGTATAGACTGCATAGCTCTTCCTGGGTGTCTTCCCAACCTTAAAATTCTTGATGAAATAGCAAAGTAATAGAAAGTGAACAAAAAGGTAGTTTAGATGTTTAGGCATGATATTTATTTCTTCAGAGCATTAAAATACATATTTTTTAAATCTATGCATTGAACAAACACCACTGTAAATAAAGGTTTTATAAGTCAGTGCTTCAGAATTATTTTCCTTCATATGTAAAATATAGGTGATAGGCCGGGCGCAATGGCTCATGCCTGTAATCCCAGCACTTTGGGAGGCCAAGGCAGGTAGATAACCAGGTCAGGAGTTTGAGACCAACGTGGCCAGTATGGTGAAACCCCCGTCTCTACTAAAAATACAAAAATTAGCTGGGCATGCTGGCGTGCACCTGTCGTCCCAGCTACTTGGGAGTCTGAGGCAGAATAATTGCTTGAACCTGGGAGGCGGAGGTAGCAGTGAGCCAAGATGGTGCCACTGCACTCCAGCCTGGGCAACAGAGCAAGACTCCATCTCAAAAAAAAAAAAAAAAAAAAAAACTAAAAATTAAAAAATGTAGTTAAATGTAGTTGATAGGCTGTATATATTTACCCTATACAATGTAAACACTGATGTAATTAACAGATTTTTGTTTTTAACATTTATTCTTCAGGTTAGTCATATTGATGTGATCACAGCAGAGATGGCCAAAGACTTTGTAGAAGATGATACCACACATGGTTAATTGGAAAATACTACCTACTGGTTTGGGAGATGTATATAGTAATATGATTCTCATACCCAGGAACTGTAAATTTAAACCTAAATATTTGGCCAATAGTTTTCAGACTTAAAGCATCATAGTCCTTTTATATTTGTCTTTGTATTTTATAAGATACTCTGTAATGTCATGTTTGTACTGATAGTTTAAGAATTTAATTTCCTGTACAACTTTTTGTAAAATGTTCTGCTCCTATTTTAAATGTTTTGAAACATGCTAAATATTCTTTCCTAATTATTTTATCACTTATACTACCTTTTTTATAGCTTCAATTAAATAATCGGTTTTATGACTAATATAGTGTTTTATGTGGCTTTTCATTTGTCATAGTCTCTTCCAGTGAGAACACTAATCAGATTGGATGTAAGGCCTCATTTTAACTTAATCACCTCTTTAAAAGACCTGTCTCCAAATACAGTTAAATTTGAGGTATTGAGGGTTAGGACTTCAACATGTGAGTTTGGGAAGGGAAGCACAAAATCAGCCCCTACCATGGTATATTTATCATTGATACATTACTATCAACTAAGCTCAAGATTTTATTCAGATTTGACTAGTTTTTCCACTAAGGCCCTTTTTCTTTTCTAGGATCCCACAGAGGATACATTACATTTACTTACATCTCCTCTAGTCTGTGACAATTTCTCTGTCATTGTTTATCATATCTTGACAATTTTGAATAATATTCACATATTTTGTAGAATGTCCCTCAAATTAGGTTTGTCTAATATTTTTCTCATGGTTAGATTGGAGCTAATACCACAGAAGCGAAGTATTCTCATTACCTCATATAATAGTACATATTATTAACATGTTTTATCACTGATGTTTACCTTGATCACCTACCCAACATTGTACTTGCCAGGTTTCTTTGTTGTGAAGTTACATTTTTTTCCCTTTCCATACTACTCTTTTCTTTGAAAGTAGGTCTTTAAGCACTGGGGGTCTCCTGTGACCCTGGAAAACTACCTCAATAGTCCTCGTAGCTTTTTGTAGATTCTTTGAGATTTTCTACATAGACAGTCATGTCATTTGCAAGAAAGAGGCAGTTTTATTTCTTCCTTTTCAAATATTTACCTTTAATTTCTTTTTCTTGATTTCCCCTGGCCTGAGTTTATACTGGTTATCTGCAGGAGAATTTGTTAGGAGCTACTCTTCCATCATTGGAAACCAGAAATACCTAAAGAGATACTTTTAAAATAAAGAAATAGTAATGGGACTTTAAATTGAATTTAAAAATGTGAGTTTACTTTGGGTTTTCATTTTGACTGGCTGAATCTTTAAATGTTCGGTGTATTATTTATACTTTGTAGCTTTGCTATAACATAACTGATCTATAATAGAGAATTTGGTATATGTTCTATCTATGACTACATTCAAAGGGTTACGTAACTATAATATCTTTCTAATATTTCTACCATTTTTCTTACACATTTACCCAAGAATTTTTCTCAAACAACTACCTAAGAATATTCATCATGAATGCTTGGTGTATAGTTTACGATTTGTAGAGTTGCTCTGATATGACCAACCCCTTATAATACAGAATTTGGTGTAAGGTAAGTTCCAGGATTCAATTCAAGGGATGTTACAAACATAACATCATTCTAGAACTTCTTAATATTGTTCTTAAGCATTTCCCCAAGGATATTAGTATAATGAAATGCCAGTAAATTTATAACAATAAAGCATCTAAATAATGAAACAAAATTTTTGTAAAAGCCTATATTCTTTGCGATATCTTAGTCATGAATTAATTCTAATGAGACTGAATAGAAAAATGTGACAATCCTGAGCATGCTTAACCCAGAAACTTAGAGGAAGGACAGACATTTACCCAAGGAGTTAGCCAGTGATTCATAAGAAAATCTATGCTTCTCTTTGGCTGGATAGTCCTTTCCTCAGAGTAGTACTGATTCTTCCACTTTGAGATTTTGTTAATACTGTTACAAATACATTACATTCACCATAGTGGAATTGAAGAACATATATTTTAAGAGATGGTGGGGGGGGTCTCATCCCATCACCCACGCTGGAGTGCGGTGGCAGGATCACAGCTCACTGCAACCTTGAACTCCTGGGCTCAGGTGATCTTCTGCTTTGGCCTGCCAATATTAATATTTTGGGGCATTTCCTTCAAATCTTCATAAAAAGTTTTGTGGTTTATGTTTATTCTAGGTGTATAATTTTATATCTTAGATTTTTAATTTAGTAATAATATAAAATATTCCTGTTTTAATGCTTTGGAAACAAGATTTTAATAGTCATATACTATTCTGTCAAGTAGAAGTAGCATAATTTACTTAAATATCCCACTGGAGGCTTAGATCGTTTTCTTTTGGCTAAAGTACCAAAAATGAATTAAAAAACAGATCAACATTTTTATACATAAAACTCCCAACATTTAGGATTATTTTCCCAGCGTAGATTCCTAGAAGTCAGAGTGTGAATATTTGTAAGGATTTTTGTATACTCTTTATGCTCTTTTTGAAAAAAATGTAAAATATGAAATGGTTAGTATGTAGGTTAAGGATTTGTCTACTCAAAATTAGTGAAATAGTAATTTTAGAAAATGATGTAATTTATAGAAATAATTTTACTGTGAATAATATAATCAGTAGAAAAGGGAGAAATAGAAAGGGAGGATTTCTTTTTTAAGAGTAAGCAATAGCCGGTCGGGCACGGTGGTTCACGCCTGTAATCCCAGCACTTTGGGAGGCCAAGGTGGGTGGATCACAAGGTCAGGAGATCGAGACCATCCTGGCTAACCTGGTGAAATCCCGTCTCCACTAAAAATACAAAAGATTCTCCGGGCGTGGTGGTGGGCGTCTGTAGTCCCAGCTACTGTGGAGGCTGAGGCAGGAGAATGGCGGTAGCCCGGGAGGCAGAGCTTGCAGTGAGCCTAGATCGTGCCACTGCCCTCCAGCCTGGGCGACAGAGCGAGACTCCATCTCAAAAAAAAAAAAAAAAGCAATAGCAAACGGGTCTTTGGAAATATTTAGTTAATTCTTAAAAGGTGTTTCTCTTTTAACAACTATCTAGGCCAGGCGCGGTGGCTCGGTGCCTGTAATCACAGCACTTTGGGAAGCTGAGGCAGGCGGATCACTTAAGGTCAAGAGTTCAAGACCAGCCTGGCCAACATGGTGAAACCCTGTTTCTACTAAAAATTAGCCGGGTGAGGTGATGCGGGCCTATAGTCCCAGCTGCTTGGGAGGCTGAGGCAGGAGAATCATTTGAATCTGGGCGGTGGAGGTTGCAGTGAGCTGAGATCGCACCACTGCACTCCAGCCTGGGAGACACAGCGAGACTCCGTCAAAAAAAAAAAAAAACAAAAAAAAAACCAAAACTCTCTTAATAAAAGGACTAGTACTTTGATTCAGCTTCCCACAAAGGGAGAATACCAGTGTTTAAGTAAAGTGAACAGTATTCAGATTTCACTATCACCCAGCAAATGGTCTTACACAGGATACAGCTTCCAGTTGTTGGGTGCTTGCCACAGAGGTGCAGAGATTATGTTCTGTCTTAAAGATTTAAGAAATCATTTTCTTAAAAATTCTGCTAGGTATAGTGGTTCATACCTGTAATACCAACATTTTTAGAAGCTGGAGCAGGATGATCATTTGAGCCAGGAGTTTGAGACCAGCCTGTGCAATGTAGTGAGACCCGATTTCTACAAAAAATTTAAAAACTAGCTGGGTTTGGTGGCTACACCTGTAGTCCCAGCTACTTGGGAGGCTGAGGTGGAAGGGGTCACGAGCCTGGGAGGTTGAGGCTACAATGCGCCATGATCATGCCACTGCACTCCAGCCTGGCAACAGAGCAAGACCCTGTCTCAAAAAAAAAAAGTGTTATATTTACGAAATAATATTCATTCTGTATCTTTTTACTTAGGCGTATCTCCTTATCCTGGAACACTGATAATCCAGGTTTGTGTATTTATGCTTAGTCAGCTATCTTAAATGGAGGGAAGTGCAAATGGAACCAGTTGCACATTAATGCAGTTTAAATGGTAACAGCAAAGTGTTAGCCTGCTGTTAAAAGTTAGGAGGATCTTTCCTTCCCTACTTGGTATTTTTTTCTTTTTTTTTTTTTCTCTTTTTTTTTAAAGAGAAGATAGGGCCTTACTCTGTCGTTCGGGCTGGAGTGCAGTGGTTCAATCATAGCTCACTGCAATCTCCAACTCCTGGGCTCAAGGGTTCCTCTCAGGGCACCTTCCCAAGTAGGTAGCTAGAATTACAGGTGTGTGCTAACACACCGGCTGATTTCTGATTTTTTAAGTAGATGGGGGTGGGGTCTCACTTTGCCCAGGCTGGTCTCGAACTCCTGGCCTCAAGTGATCCTTGGCTTCCCAAAGTGTTAGAATTACAGGTGTGAGTCACTGCAGCTGGCCCTTTTTTGTTTTAAAATTATATGTAATTAGGTGGAAATTATCCTCTCCTTTTGTGTGAAGATTGAACAGTGATATCCTTGTTTCCTTAGTTTTATCTTTTGGAAGAAACAATTCTTCTTTTCATCCGGGAAAAGTAAGAACAGAATCTGTTTCAATTGCCTATTGCCTAGAAGTGTTACAGCTTTTATTTTGGTCACATTAAGTAATTCTTGATAAAGTGGTTAACATTTCTAGAAGGAATATTATTTTGGCAAGAGCTCAGATTTCACAAAACGTGTCTTAAAAATGGCTTTCGGCCAGGCGTGTTGGCTCACGCCTGTAATCCCAACACTTCGGGAGGCCAAGGTGGGTGGATCACGAGGTTAGGAGATCCAGAGCATCCTGGCTAACACGGGGAAACCCTGTCTCTACTAAAAATACAAAAAATTAGCCGGGCCTGGTGGCGGGCGCCTGTAGTCCCAGGTACTCGGGAGGCTGAGGCAGGAGAATGGCGTGAACCCGGGAGGCAGAGCTTGCAGTGAGCTGAGATTGTGCCACTGCACTCCAGCCTGGGCGACTGAGCGAGACTCTATCTCAAAAAAATAAAGTGGCTTTCATATCTCCACTTTTTCTAAGTTAGGACTTTGAAGGATATATTTAGATCCAGAGATACAAAATTTTTTAGTTTAATACCTTAATTTTATAGACGAGGAAATCTGAAGCCCAGATTAGGTAAGTGACCCAAATGAATAAATGAGCACACACAGCTTAATAACCCACAGAGCCAGAACCAAGTCCTGGCTTTCCTTCGCAAGCAGGACAGACTCTAATACATTAGCTCTTTTTTTCTCCCAAGTTAACTATGAAAATGGGAGAGAGATAGTACAGTGTTGATTGATCCTCCACATGACACAGAGAAACAGATTTTAAGGGCACAATTCACCATCTCTGGTTTTCTTTGCCTTTTGCCTCCCCACTCCTCCTATTTTCTTTAGACTGCACTTATTTAGGTACACTCTGATCACTTATCTCAGTGTCTTAGGGGGACTGGATTACTCCTGGCTGCCAGTCTTCTGCATGAAAGATGCCAGCGTTGCTCCATAAATCTGCCACCATGTGGCACTCACTCTCCCCTTCCTAGACACAGAGTCTCCTGGGTGTAAGAGCCCTTGTGGCAGCCAGTAATTGCTCAGGGACATGAGGCAGCCTAGCGATTAGGTTTGCAAGAAGCACATGGATTTATTTCCTCTCTCAAGTCCTCACATTGGTTGGTATAACTCTATTATTGGAAAGAGACATTAAGGTTTGAATGTTATCTCATGGATACTTGTGTGTTCAGATCAGTGCCTGGAAAGTTGATTATCAAACATTAAAGTGTACAGTGATCACAAGTCCTGCTTTGGCTTTATAAATATACACCTAAAATTATTCAGTAATTAACAATGATGGCGGTAAAGGCTGGAAACATGGAACTACATATGGGTGGAAAAAACCCACCACCATAGAAAATTGAAGGACACGGGTTTAAGGCAAATCATTTGGGACTAAGTTAACAGAGGCAGTTAAGGTATAATGTACTAAAGGTCCCTGACACTTCTGAGGCAGAGGCCTTTGCTAGGAGAGGTCTTCAAACACAGGAATCTATCGTACCACTTCAGAATTAGAAATGATGGCTGCAAAGGTAGATAAGGCTGAGGCTTTCTTCATCATTGGGCTGCTGCTTTGTCTCCCAGTAATTACTTCACTTTTTTCCCAGAGCCACTAGAGGGGGCCCTTGACACATGCCAACCCCTCCATTTTTTCAGTCTAGTTTTTCAAACTCTAGTTTCTTAGAGTAGAGTTCCAGGAGCAATGAGATGGTCAAGGTGTGACATTCTTGAGATTTCTCTGTTGCAAGAGTTTGAGCTACGTGTTAACTGCAGCTCAGTAATTGGATGCTTTTAGCCAAGGTACCTAGTGCTTGCAACAGGTTGGATTGCTGCTTAGAAAGGTATGCAGCAGCTGTTTAATGGGATCTTGTTAACAAAATTTGCAGTCTGTATTAGGGTTCTCTAGAGGGACGGAATAGGATAGATGTATATATGAAGGGTAGTTTATTAAGGAGTATTGACTCACATGATCACAAGGTGAAGTCCCGCAATAGACTGTCTGCAAGCTGAGGAGCAAGGAAACCAGTCAGAGTCTCAAAACCTCAAAAGTAGGGAAGCCAACAGTGCAGCCTTCAGTCTGTGGCTGAAGACCTGAGAGCCCCCGGCAAACCACTGGTATAAGTCCAAGAGTTCAAAAGCTGAAGAGCTTGGAGTCCAATGTTAGAGGACAGGAGGCATCCAGCACGGGAGAAAGATGAAGACTGGAAGTCTCAGGAAGTCTGCTCTTTCCATCTGCCTGTTTTATTCTAGCTGCACTGGCAGCTGATTAGATGGTGCCCACCCAGATTGAAGGTGGGTCTGCCTCTCCTAATCCACTAACTCAAATGTTAATCTCCTTTGGCAACACCCTCACAAACACACCCAGCAACAATTCTTTGCATTCCTCAATTCAATCAATTTGACAATATCAGCCATCACAGTCCTTTCTTGCAGTAGCCCTACTTGTTTCTCCTCAGAGCAGTTTTTTCCTCTATACTTTCTCAATCTTCATATAAACCCAGAAGAGTTTGTTCTATTATAATTTTCCTCATTTGCTCTGTCTCTAACCTTGCATCCCTTAATTGAAACAGCTTCACCTATGTTGCTTTTCAGTTTATCATTTTTAAGTCATCTCCCCAACAAGACACTCCGAATCAGCGTCTCTTATGTTCTTTCACAGAGTGAAGGGAATACTTGCTTCTTTTCTTGTTAGAAATCTTATTAGAATCCCTGTAGCCTTGCGATTATGTGGCTGTTATGTGAGATTATTATGTGCTTTAGGATTGTTCCAGAAGTCCCATTTCCCTACTGCTTAAGAATAAAGGGTTCATCCCCATGGTGAGCAGGCATGTGGGAGCCCACACACAGCCCTGCCCCTGTACCTCAGCACAGGGGTCACACAGCAGGCTAAATCTCATCCTCTGAGATGCAACATCTGCCTTGACACTGATGGGAATGCTGGCATGACCGTGGAGCATGGCCTTGTGATGGACAGAGCTCATCTCATTTGTGAGATTCTGAGAAACCTCAAAAAAGAGAAACCACTGAAGCTGGTGCCAAACAGGTCTTCTCAGTGATCCTTGCCTTTTAGTTTTTCTTTTTCTTATGCACATGCTTCTAGGCAGGGGGTCTGTTCATCTAACTTCTGCCCTTGGCTAAGTAGATGAAAAAGAGGGGTTCATTGATTTCAAGTAATTTCTTGATCCCTTGGGGCAGAAGGATTACAGTCTTTCAGAGATAGTTTCTTTTTGTATATCAATGTATGCACCTTGTGCATAATAATTACCTACTAGCTACCAGATGTGCGCTTTTATCGTCTCTCTTAAGGGCAGTGACTTTGAAGTGGGTGGTGGTAACCCCAGTTTGCAGAAGAGGAACTAAGTTTCATGAGGGCAAAGTAACTTGTCTAACAATTTCTGTTGGAAAGCAGTGGAACTGAGAGTAGAGTCCTGGCTTATCTTAGTCCACCAACCTCTCTAGTTGCCATTTTAAAATTCAAAATGAAACCAGTGCCAACACTTGTAGACAGACCAGCCACAAGGAAGGGCAAAAAGCACCTTTGAACCAGATGGTTTCAGAGCTGTCTACAAATCTGGGCTGTATTGTTTCCTGCTGTCTCCATCCTCACAGCCTTGGGACGCCATGCCACAAAAGCAGGAGGCTTTGTTTGAACAAGATCCTGGGTGATGGAGGCTCTTTCAGATGGCACCTGAGGAGGAGCCCCTTCTCTTGCGCTGTATGCCCCACGTGCATCTTGGCAGAGTAGTTGCCAGCTGAGTGCCTTTGATTCTGCTATTCTCTAGCAGTTAACTTTCAACTCCTCTCACCTGGCCCAACCCTAGTCTCTACTCCCAGTTTTGAAAAGGAAAAGACTAGTGGAGGATTGGTAGTGGGAGGACTGGGAAAGGTTGCACGCCGAGCACTACACTACCACTGCCCTGTGCCTGTTCCTGACCCTGCCGCTTAGCACTCTGCTTTCTCGCAGGAGCCTGGCCCAGCCCTGCTTCATCTGCCCACTCTGAAGAGCAGGATTGTGGTTCTGCCCCCAAGCATTTCATTTCTCTTTTGGTTCTCACATCCAATTAAATGTGTTTCACTTTGTAGTTTGTAGGTATAAGAGGGTTTTTTGTTTGAGAAAGAGTCTTGCTCTGTAGCCCAGGTTGGAGTGCAGTGGCATGATCTCAGCTCACTGTAACCTCTACCTCCTGGGTTCAAGCAATTCTCCTGCCTCAGCCTCCCAAGTAGCTGGGATTACAGCCTCCTGCCACCATGCCCGGCTAATTTTTGTATTTTAGTAGAGACGGGGTTTCACTATGTAGGTCAAGCTGGTCTCGAACTCCTGGCCTCAAATAATCTGCCCCCCTCGGCCTCCCAAAATTCTGGGATTACAGGCATGAGCCACTGCACCCAGCCATAAGAGGGTTTTTAAGGAGACACTTGGGACATTTGACGTAGGGAGGTGTATTAGTCTATTCTCACACTGCCATGAAGGGAATACCTGAGACTGGGAAATTTATAAAGAAAAGAGGTTTAATTGACTCACAGTTCCACATGACTGGGGAGGCCTCAAGAAACTCACAATCACGGTGGAAAACACCTCTTCACAGGCTAGCAGAAGAGAGCCTAAGCACCCAGTGAAGCGGGGGAAGCCCCTTATAAAATCATCAGGTCTCGTGAGAACTAACTCACTATCACGAGAGCAGGATGGGGCAAAACCACCCCCATGAATCAATTATCTCCACCTGGTCCCTCCCACGAGATGTGGCGATTATGGGAACTACAAGATGGGATTTTGGTGGGAACACAGAGCCAACAATATCAGAAGGGATATGGATGTTGACAACTCAAAACAGTTCCAGGTAGCCAAGCTGTCAGACACATTAGGGCAGGTGCAGGGGTAACAATTTGCCGCAAGGCTAAAGGCTCTGCAATGTGTAAGACACACCCCTTTTCTGTGCCCCTGTACTCTATTTTAGCTCCAACAGACTTAGGTCTAAAGAACGTGCAAGGTCAGAACTCTCTTCCTCTTTTTTTTTTTTTTCCCTGCTTCTAGGGGTCAGAAAAAAACTCATTTCTGAATCAACCCTGTGCTTTTCCCCAGTTATTTTCCTGTCACTTTAAAAACAAATACCCATTGTCTTCTATTATTTTAGAGTGAAATGTCCCTTTAAGACCCTGTACTCTGTAAGTTCTGTGCTGGGGCCATGCCTATCCGTTTTTGTTTTTCTTATTTTTACCCAGTGTTTGTCGAATATACAGTAGCTGGCACTTACTGAGCACTGACTATGTGTCAGGCTCTATGCTGAGTAATTTCTGTTCTTTGTGGCAGACAAACCTCACAACAACCCTGAAAGAATTACTGTTCTCTGCATGTTCCAAAGGAGTGGACTACACCTTAAAGAGGTTATTACCCATCATGGCCATGCAGCTGTAAGTGGTGGAAGCCAGCTTCACCGCAGGCCTCGTCCACCTCAGAGGTCCACAATGACGGGGAGCCTCTCTGGCGATGAGTGAGTGTTCCACCTGTGGTAGGCTAGCTCCCACAATACCCTGGCTGCTTCGCCCCTCAGAGACTGCCCCACAGACGACTGCCGTCTTCACCATGGTTCTCTTTAACTAGATTCTACCCATAGAGAAATGAGGAATGGGTGCTGGAGAGAAGCTGCACTCTGTGGAGCCCAGTTCATCTGCCCCCGATCTCCCCACCCCGGGGTGAACCTAGTGGTGAGGTAAGATTCTGGAATAGCCTTGCCAGAACTTTGTCTAGAAATGTGTGCAGAACCCAGCGTACTATCTTGTTAGCAAACTGGAGAGGTTCTAATCTAAACCTACCCAGTCCTTGCCTCATTATCAAATTCACTTGAAAGAGTGATTTTTCTAGTCTCTCCCCTTGGAGATTCTACACTGGATCTCGGGCAGGGCCCAGGAGGGCCACAGGTGAGACCTGCTAACCAGGGAAATGTATTGACCTCAAAAAGTGGAGTTAGGTGGGCTAAAATTTTGACCTTTGGAAAGGATGGTTTGTGAACCTGGGAGACATCCTTTTTGAGGCATCTATACAAAAGAAAGCAGCAGAGATTTTTTGTTTTGTTTGTTTTTATCCAATGAGGAAAGTGGAATTTATCTTTGGTAAATAAACAGTGGCACAGCAACTGGGTATAGAGGGGAGTCTCTGAAACTGGCAGAATTTTAGACAGAAAGGCCCCCAAGCTGGAGGGCTGGGGTTACAGAGATGAGTGAGCCAATGTCTGCATCCTGACCAGCCACAGTAATGTGCTACTGCCCCATTTTACTTGGGGCTATTAAGCTCATTCCTTTCTTGAGTGGAGAGTAATTTTAAACCAGCCAGTTTGATTCATCAGCCTCCTTATTAGAAGAAACCTGAAGCTCACAGCTGATGAGTCTGTGCCAGCAGCAGCTCTGAGGGTGGGACTTGCTGGTAATCACAGCCCTGGTGGTGCAGATATGCTGCTGGGGGGCCTTATGGCTGCTCCTTGCCACCTGATACTGTCCTTGTACCAGTGGTTTCTAGGGTGCTTCTGTTAAAAGCTGCTGTGGTCACACATGAAGTGTGACCAACTCCATAGTTGTCTCCTCTAGCCCAGCCCACCAAGAAAAACCCTAATGGTCCCTGCCCAGCATTCAGAACTCAGACTTGAAGCATCCCTGATCTCTGAGTCCACACCAGGCCCTGTTCCAGTAGGAAGCCCCAGGTCTGGTCAGTCTGTCACAGGCCTCATTATGATTCAGCTTGCCTTCCAGAAGGCTTCCCACCCTGCTGCCTTCATTCCTGGACCTGAGGAGCTGCTCCTTGCAGTCTGCCATCTTCCATATTCACCCCCACCTCCTTCAAAAAACTCGTATCACCAAGACTTCTGGAACGTTCCTTTTACTACATGAGAATTTTTTTGAGGTTTCTTTTCTTTGAAACACTCTCTCATAGAGACCAGACTTCCTCATCCACCTTCTCTCTCAGGTTTAGGAAGAGGGACCAATGAGCTCCTGGCTTGGTGGCCACTTTGCTTGACCACTGTTGTTTAGCCATCACCTCTTCCAGTTCTGTCTGCTCCTCTCCCCCACCTCCCCCACACACCCCCACCCCACATATTCCCACCAGCATCCTCAGCACCATTTACTCAGGACACAGGGGCACTTCCTGCCTTAAGCTCAGTCTTCTTCTCCACCCTACAGCCTGTCATCCTTCACAGTGACTTCAACCTTCTTCCTCCCAATTTCCACCCTCAGAGGTCCTCTCACCCCAATTCTGACATCCTCTGGAAACTTGAGATCAGCGTTGAAGCATAATTTTTGCAAAGTTGAAATCATGATTCTCATACAGGCTATAGTGAGAATTTGTCAGGGACTTATTAATGAGGGAACCAGCAGGATGACAAAAGTTGTCTAGGACATTAACCTTTGGGCTTATCTTTTCTTTTCTTTCTTTCTTTTTTTTTTTTTTGAGATAGAGTCTCACTCTGTCACCCAGGCTGGAGTCAGTGGTGCAATCTTGGCTCACTGCAACCTCCACCTTCCAGGGTCAAGCGTTTCTCCTGCCTCAGCCTCCAGAGTAGCTGGGACTACAGGTGCCCACCACCATACCCAGCTAATTTTTGTATTTTTAGTAGAGAGGGGGTTTCACCATATTGGCCAGGCTGATCTTGAACTCCTGACCTCGTGATCCACCCACCTTAGCCTCCCAAAATGCGGGGATTATAGGTGTGAGCCACCGCGCCCGGCTCTGGGCTTATCTTTTCTAGCAGACAAGAGTCACTTCCAATTTACCAGCCTCTATTTCCCTGTAAGTTAACATCTCATTTACAGAGTCTGGGTCTAATCAGTAGAAAACAGTGGGTCAATTGAAGCTACTTTCCCCTGGAGAGTCAGATGACCCTTAGAGGGTCTGTTGGACCATGCTCTAGTGTGGCTTTGAAAGAACATCCAGTGAGCTTGTCATGTCTTTCCAAGTATTAGATACATTTCCAAAACATAGGAAGCTCCTCTGACCACCCACTTCAGGCCTCAGAGCATGGCCATGAGGAAGGCAGCTCATGGACTCTCAGGGTAGAAGGCAGGCCTGATAAGGAGCAGCTCAGGTCAAGGTCCATGTGTGTGTGGGATGGTGGGAAGGAAGGGAAAGTGTACAGGGAGTGGGGTTAGGGACCTGCACCATAGGGATGAATGATAGATTTGGGGAGTGACTCTTTGGTTTTATTCAACAATCATTTGGTAAGGACCTGAAATATAAAAACCTGTAAGTTTGATGCTTTGATTAACCAATTTTTCTGATGGGAAAACTGATTAGGAACAGGGTCGAGCATGGTGGCTTATGCTTGTAATCTCAGCTACTCAGGAGGCTGAGGCAGGAGGGTCACCTGAGTCCAGGAGTTCAAGACCAGCCTGGGCAAAGTGAAAAAAGTCTTGACAAAAAGTTAAAAAAAAATTATCCAGCTGTTGTGGTACACGCCTGTAGTCCCAGCTACTCGGGAGGCTAAGGCAGGAGGATCCCTTGAGCTCAGGAGTTGGAGGCTGCAGTGAGCCCTGATTGCAACACTGCACTCCAGTCTGGGCAACAGAGCGAGGCCCTGAGACTCTGAGACCCCATCTCTGAAAATAAAAATAGATTAGGAAAGAGTCACCAACTAAGCGGGAAAGACCAGTATTACCAGGCCTATGTGGGAGCTTCCACATCACTCCACACACTGACCCAACTGTGTGGGAGGCCGCTGAATGGGTGGTAGAGGTGACACTGGATGTGTGTGTGTGTCAGTACACACTGAACACTGAAGTGGGAGGTAGAAGGGACACTCTGTGTGTGTGAGTGTGTATTGTGTATAAACACACCCTGAGTGGGAGGTTGAGGTGACACTATGTCAGCATACGTATGTGTATGTGTGTGAGCACACACTGAAGTGGGAGGTAGAGGAGACACTCTGTGTGTGTGTGTGTGTGTGTGTGTGTGTGAGAGAGAGTGAGCGCACCCTGAGCGGAAGGTAGAGGTGGCACTGTGTGTGTGTACATGCTCATGTACTGGATGGGAGGTAGGAGGTGACTTCCTCCAGCAGCAGGTGCAGAGCCCAGGCCTGGTGTGGTCTGACACATCTAAACAAAGGCAACTGCAGGATTCCACACATCCTCACTGCAGGGCCCTCATTCCTGTCCTTCTTCAGCACCAGCTGCCTTGGACCCCAGGGAATGAGCTCAGCAAGCGGGGGCCACAGCAATGACAGCAGCTGGCACGGCCTTTGACAGATTTGTGCTCCAGCTTTAGCACTGTTCCCAGGAAGGATGGGTCTCTGCCCTCCTGTGGACTGGAAGGAGGAGGAGGAGGAGGTAGGGAGGGGGGTAGTCTGGGGCTTGTAATTGGATAGGAGGCTGTGATGGTGGCAGCTGTGGCAGGGGCCTGAGGAGGGGGCTTGGGTGGATGGAACGAGGTTGGGCCTGGGGTTTGGACTCATTCATCACCCTGGAGGCAGCTCTCCTGGGCACTGGAACTCTCACTCTCACGTCTACTCCAGAGTCCCTCATGTCACCCACACAGCCTGTGCAGGCATGATGTTTCCTAAGTGGGGAGAGCCCCAGGAAGCACCCACTCATCGAGGGAGACAATACACATAGACTCTGGAAAAAGGCGTGGGTTTTGAGTCTCAGCTGTGCAACTTGTTAGTTGTGTGGTCTTGGGCAAGTCTGTTAACCTTTGCCTCCATTTCCTCTCTGGTAAAATGGAGACATCACACGAAACTATCTAAAAAGGTGGCTTGAGAATTATGTGTGAACAGAGTGCCTTGCGTGCAGTGCTCGCTATGTGAGACTTAGGTTTAGCTTTTTGTGCCAGTTGGCAGCCAGGTTACCTTTGTAATATTTGGGGCTGGGTAAGTTTGCATGTACTCACTCTGGAATGGGCTCAACAGCAGCTCCTGAAGAGGGAAAGTTTTCCTACAGTTATTTATTATTGTGTAACAAACGTCACCAAAACTCAGGTAGATTAAAACAAGCACCATTTGATTGCATCTTATGAATTTGAAGATCGGAAATCCAGGCAGGACTCACTAATGAGTGGTGGTTGCCTAAGTGGGATGGAGAGGGCAGATGGACTGGAGGGCCCAAGACGGCATCGCTCCCGTGTCTGGTGTGTGTTTAGGGGAAGTGAGAAGGCTGGACTCAGAGATGCTGTCAGCCAGAGGCCTGCAAGTGAGTTCTCTGGCCTGGCGGTCTCAGCGTGGCTGGACTTCCTACATGGAAGCTCAGGTTTACAAGAGGGAGTGCTAACTAATGGCTAAAGTAGAAGCTGCTAAGCTGCTTATGACCTAGCCTTGGAAGTCCTAGAACATCACTTCCACATCATTCAATTTGTCAGGTGAGGTACTAAGCCCAACCTAGTTTCAAGCAGAGGGGAATTTGGCCCCACCTCTCCATGGAGGAATAGCCATGATTTTGCAGCCGTCTTTAATCTACCACAGCTACCCTCAACAAGGATCTTACAAAGTATTTCTCTGCATAGAATATTTCCAGGGCCATCTTGGGAGAGAACTAGATCAGTACTGGATCAGCCATCAGGAAACCTGGTGTTTGAATCCAGCCAACCATCACTTTGAGCTCCCATTACACTAAAGACCCTATGCCTGATGCTGGGAACTTGAAGGGAGGAAAGAGTGTGCTCCTGGTTTCTAGATCTCTGCCTGGATTTGCTTCTAATGTAGTGACCTCAGGCAAATCATATCCCTTCTTGGTGCCCACTTCCCTAGTGAGTAGGACAAGAAGGAGCATGGATTTGCTGCCCATGAGCCCTTTCCTAGCACCAGAGCCCTGTGAGGCTGACTGGCACTACTGGGGAAACAAAGAGACCTCCCTGGCCTCATGCCAACTTTCCAGCTGGTTCCAGAGGTGTCTATGCACCTCTCATCTTTAGCAAAGTCAGAGAAAAACAGCTTCACAAAGCTCCACAGGGAAGAGGTAACCTGGTCTGCCTAGAAGATTCTCAGCAGGACTTCTTTAAACTGCCAGCTCTCCCAGAACTCTGGAAGAATTGGATATACAAAAAGGGAATTCCTGGCCCTTTCTCAGCAACACTGAGACATAAAGCCCCACTTGCTCTGTGAACTCCAGTATGTTGAGGAATGAGATTTGCAAGTCTGGCTGAGCCAAGGTGTCAAGGGGGAGAGCCCCAGGCCATGTGGAGCCCCTCTACTCACTGGCTGTACACTGATCTCCTTGCCTGGAGAGGTCCCCAGAGCAGGCAATCAGTCCAGATGGGGATCTCCAGAAGGCTTAGCAGACCACCAAGGCCCCAGCCTCTCCCCTTCAAGACCACCCTGGAGTCTCAGATCCTCTGGGTATCTATGGGCCAGGCCATCCCAGTGAGGGAGTAGGGGAGCCAGGTTCTGACCACCAGTGGAGGAGGTGGGGGAAGGGAGTGTAGGCAGAGTGCTCTGGCCTGGAGCCAGGCTGTGGGATTTGCAATTATCCGGGGGCCTGTAAATACTTGGAGCCGCTTTTTAATCTTGAGGCCACGAGTAATTGAGCCAACTGTGTGTTGTATCCTACAGCTGGGCCCTGCTTCCTCCCACTCACAGACACACACACATTTATTTACACCTGTTACACACACACATACACACCCCATTTAGAGAGAGAGAAGTACCTTGTATGGAGTGTTTATACTCTGTGCTAGCTGTGCGTTAGGTGCTTTTCGTACAATATCTCATTTAATTGTTACATCAACTCTGTAAGGTGGGCCCTAATATCCCCATTTTGCAGAAAAAGAAACTGCCCCAATGGGAGGTAAAGTAACCTGCCTAAAGATCCACAGCTCATAAGTAGCAGAAAGAGGACTTGAGCCCCTATTCCCCTCCCTACTAGCTCAGGCCCTTCCATAGGCTCAGTCCAAGGCGGCTAGACATTGCCTGACATCACCTCTCTTTGGTATCTAATGGGGACATTGGACGTAAAAATGACTACACATCTAAAAGAAAAGGTTGATAAATTCTTTAAAAAAAAAAAGAAAAAAACCCTGCGTGGCCAAAAAGTACACCATAAGCGAAGCTAAAAGACAAGTGTCAAGCTAAGAAAAAAACATGCCATTGATATTAAGGCAAAAGGCTAATCTTCTTAATATATAAAGAGTTCCTATCATTTATATGAAATAATGCCAAAACAATTTTAAAAATAGGCAAAGGATAAAGACTCTTCAGAAAAAGAAATACAAATGGTTCTTAATAAAAAGATGTTCATCCTCACTTATAAAAAGAATAATACAAAGTTAAGCTATACTGACATTTACATTTGGCAAACAACTCAATTCCACATTATACAAAGAAATTCTACAATATAATCAGAAAAATACAGATAACTCAATTTTAATTTTCAAAATGGGCAAAAGGTCTCAAAAGCATTTCCCAAAGCCAATACACATTGGAAAGTCTTCAGAGAATGTGAATTAAAATCACAAATTACTACTACATATCCACCAGTGTGGCTAAAATTAAAAAGACTCACAGTATCAAGTGTTGAGGATATAGAGCAACTGAGACTCTTGTATACTGCTGGTGGGAGTGTAAACCACCACCATTGGTATAACCACTTTGGGAAAAGGTCTGATGGTCCATAAACCAGAACATACAACCACGCTATGATTAGTAATTCTACTCATAGTTACATACCTCAGATAAATTAGCACATTTTTACCACCCCCAAAAAGGTTTCTCATGCCCCTTTGTAGTCAGTCCCCTTGGTCCCAGTAAACCATTTATCTGCTTTTTGTCAACATAAATGAGATTTTTCATTTCTAGAAATTCAAATATATGGAATAATACATTATATACTCTTCTGTATCTTGCTTCGGTTGCTCCACACATTTTTGAAATTCATATGTTGCTATTGTACTCCTTTTTATTGCTATGTAATATTCCATCATATAAACATACCACAATTTTTAAAATCCATATACTACTGATGAATATTTAGATTGTTTCTAGTTTTTGGCTATTATGAATAAAGCTGCTAAGAGCATTTGTATAGTGGTCTTTGTGTAGATGTATCATATTTTAAATTCTTCTGGAGGAATTTAATTTCAGTAGGTGAGCAATTTCTGGGTTGTATAGGTTGTATAGTAAGTATATTTGAACTTTATTAGAAACTGCTAAACTGCTCTCCAAGTGGTTGCATCATATTATTTTCCCACCAGCAGTATATGAGAGTTCCAGTTCCTCTGTACCCTCACCAACATTTCATATCACCAGTCTTTTAAATTTGAGCCATTTGGTGGGTGTACGATGCTCTTATTATGGTTTTACTTTGCATTTCCCTGGTAACTAACAATGTTGAGCTTTTTAAAAGTACTTCTTGGCCATTTGCTTATCTTCTTTTATGTTTTAAATTTTTGCTCATCATAAAAAGTCTCCTGATTTGCATTCTTAATATAGAGTTGTAAAGTTCCTCCTATATTCTGGATGCAAGCTATTTGTTAGATATATGTGCTATGAACATTTTCTTCCAGTTTGTGTCTTACCTTTTCATTTTCTTAATGGTGGCTTTTGAAGAGCAGAAGTTCTAATTTTAATGAACTCTAATTTATTAATCTTTAAAGTTTGTGCAAAGATTTTTTTTCTATTTTTTATTTGAAATTTTATAATCAGCATTTACATTTAGGTCTATGATTCATTTTCAGTTAATTTTTGTGTATGGTGTGAAGTGAGGGTCAAAATTTATTTTATTTTATTTTATTTTATTTTATTTTATTTTATTTTATTTTATTTTATTTTATTGAGATGGAGTCTCACTCTGTCTGGAGTGCAGTGTCACAATCTCTGCCTCTCAGGTTCAAGTGATTCTCCTGCCTCAGACTCCCAAGTAGCTGGAATTACAGGTGCCTGCCACCACACCTGGCTAAGTTTTGTATTTTTAGTGGACTCAGGGTTTCACCATGTTGGCCAGGCTGGTCTTGAACTCCTGACTTCAAGAGATCTGCCCACTTTGGCCTCCCAAATTGCTGGGATTACAGGCATGAGCCACTGCGCTCGGCCCAAGGTTTAATTATTTTTCATGAAGCTATCCATTGGATTCAATACCATTTGTTAAAAAGATTGTATTTCTCCCATTGAATTATCCTGGCACCACTGAAAATCAATTAACCCTATATGTATAGGCCTATTTCTCACTCTATTCTCATCTATTGATCTCTATATCTGTCATTCCATCGATACTAAGCTGTCTTGATGACTGTAACTTAATGGTAATTCTCAGATTTAGTAGTGTAGGTCCTCTGGATTTCTTCCTTTGTCAAAATTGTTTTTAGCTATTTTAAGTTTTCTTTTAACTTTCCATTTATATTTGACAATCAGAATATCAATTTTTATTTTTTTTAACTTTTATTTTAGGTTCAGGGGTACATGTGCAGGTTTGTTATATAGGTAAACTTGTGTAGCGGGGATTTCTTATACAGATTATTTTATCACCCAGGTACTAAGCTTAGTACCCAACAGTTATTTTTTTTCTGATCCTCTCCCTCCTCCTACTCTCTGTCCTTAAATAGACCTTGGCGTCTGTTGTTTTCATCTTTGTGTCCACATGTTCTCATCATTTAGCTCCCACTTATAAGTGAGAACATGTGGTATTTGGTTTTCTGTCGTGCATTAGTTTGCAGAGGATGATGGCCTCCAGCTCTATCCGTGTTCCTGTGAAGGACATGAACTCATTCTTTTTTATGGCAGCATAGTATTCCATGGTGTATATATACCACATTTTCTTTATCCAGTCTATCACTGATGGGCATTTAGGTCTATTCCATGTCTTTGCTATTGTGAATAGTGCTGCAATGAAGATACATGTGAATGTGTCTTTACGGTGGAATGATTTATATTTCTTTGGGTATACCCAATAATGGGATTGCTGGATCGAATAGTAGTTCTGTTTTCAGCTTTTTGAGGAATCACCACACCACTTTCCACAATGGTAGAGCTAATTTACACACCTACCAAGTGCACTTGTACACCCAGCTGCCCAGATGGGAACTCTGTTAGCACCACTGTTAGCTTCTCCCTTTCTCTCATTCCTCATATCCAAATAGCTACCAAGGCCTGTGGGTTGTATTTCCTGAATTTTATGAAACATGCCCCTGCCTCTCCACTGCTGTGCCATTATCTCAGTGAAAGCCACCACTGACTCTAGTTTGCACAAATGCAGCAGCATCCTAATGGCTTTTCACAGAATTCTTACTGATTACAAAGGAGTTACTAATTACAAAGGAGTGGAGAAGACTAGCAGACACCATCTTAGTCAACAGACCAAAATGAACATCATTATTAACAGGACAAATTGAAACCATGAACCACTTGATAAGATGCAATGAGAAAAATCACTTCTGTGATACTCCTGCCAAGGATGCATAACCTGAATCCAAGTATGGAGGAAACTTAAGGGACATTCTACAAAATAACTGAACTATTATCTTTTTTTTTTTTTTTGAGATGGAGTCCCACTCTGTGGCCCAGGCTGGAGTGCAGTGGCATGATCTCAGCTCACTGCAACCTCTGCCTCCCTGGCTCAAGTGATTCTCCTGCCTCAGCCTCCCAGATAGCTGAGATTACACCCGGGTGGCTGGGGTGCACGCCACCAGATCTGGCTAATTTTTTTTTTTTTTTTGTATTTGTAGTAGAGATGGGGTTTCACCATGTTGGCCAGGCTGGTCTTGAACTCCTGACCTCAGGTGATCCACCCACCTCAGCCTCCCAAAGTGTTGGGATTACAGGCATGAGCCACCACGCCCGGCTGACCTGTTATCTTGAAAATTGTCAAGATCATGAAAGTCAAGGGAAGATCAAGGAACTATTCCATCTTTCAGCATTTAAGGAAGCTGAAGAAACGTGACAACTAAATGCACCATGTGATTTGGAGCTGGATTCTTTTGCTATAAAGAAAATGATTGGGACAACTGGCAAAATTTTGTCTGAGGATTAAAAGAGAGTAATGCAACTATGTGAAATCCCTGCTTTTGAAGGTTGTATTGAGGTTATGCAGGATAAATCACACACTAGAGACCAACCTGGGCAACACAGGGAGACCCTTGCCTCTCTAAAAAAAAAAATTAGCTGGGCATGGTTGGGCACATCTGTGGTGCCAGCTTCTCAGGAGACTGAGGTGGGAGGATCTCTTGAGCCCAGGGCTTGGGGCTGCAGTGAGCTGTGATTGTGCCCCTGTATTCCAGCCTGGGTGACAGAAAGGCTTTGTCTTAATACTCCCCCACTGTCCTCATACCCCACCAACCTCCAAAATAAAAAAAAAAGTCAGTAAAGTGTTCAGGAATAATGAGGCATCAGGTCAGCTTCTTACTCTCAAATGGAAGAAAAGAAGTTACTTGTACTTCCAAAGTTTCTGTAAGTTTGTGCTTATTTCAAAAATCTTCAAAAAAGTACACATAAATGATACATATTTACTTCTAGATTTATTTATATTCTCTATATAAGAAATAAATATAGATAAAATACATACAGAAATAAATTCACACTGAAACTTCCAGTTCCAGTTTCACACCATAGAATTTATTCTCATTTTCTCCCTTTACATCTTTGCAGCCCATTTCTCCAGTGGCAAGAATTCTGGTTTCATTATCCTGAATGTGTTGCCTTCTTTGATTAATCCCTCTGTATGTGACCAATGTCCATGTCCTCCACTAATCCTTCCCTCATCAAACACTCTCCTCTCCGCTTGGGCCCCAAATCCCCCATTCCAGGCCACCTGTCACCTACGCATAGATGCTCTCATCAGCTCGGGAACTCAGCCTCCCCACATGTGGACGCCCTCTTCACTCCACTTGGACTCTGACACCCATGCTAGGCTGGGCCTCTGCCCCTCCCAATGAATGTTCTCCTTGCCCCACCCGTTCTATGACTCTCCATATTGGGCCACCACTTCCCCACACCAGCAGATTCCCTTCTCACCCCACTTGGTCTCTTACCTTTCGTGCTGGGCTGCCCCTCCATGGGACAACTGCTTTGTCCTCTTCCCATTCTGATTCCCATGACTTGCCACCTCCCAAATGGATGCCTCCTCACCCTCCACAGACTCCAACACCCTCACTCTGGGTCACTGCAGTGTTATCCTCCCCAGTCCCCACCCCCATGAATTGTTCAGCAAGGAAAGGAGAGGGAAGGAGAAGAAGCAGTTTCCCATTTTCTTTTTTTTTAGTAAATGAAGAAACCGAGGCTTGGAAAGGCCACATTACCAGCCTGAAGTCAGACAGTTGATAAGTGATAGAGATGGAATTTGAACCCAAGAAGTCAGTCTCCAGAGTTCCTGCTCAGGCCTGCTATGCTGTGGCCTGTTCACAGGGCGCCCTTGACACCACTGCTGCCTGAGTTGACTCAGTTCCAGCCCTATGAGTCTAAACTGTACGATAGGTGTTATTTCATTTCACAAATGGGAAAACTGAGAGTTGGAGAACTTAAGTACCTTGCCCAAGGCCATGCAACCTGGAAGCAGCCTGGATTTGACCCCGTGCCTTTTGGACTCCAGACTTATGAGGGTAATCACTGTGCCAGAGGGCCCAGAGGGAAGGCAGTTGACTCTGACTTTCAATTCCTGTCTCATCCCAGGAATATCTGACTCAAGGCAGGGTCCTTGTCTGACTTTTGGGGGTCTCCTGGCTCACTCTCAGCTGACTAAGGCAGTGTGGCTCAGAAGCAAGTACATGCAATTTGAGTCTTTGCCACTTACTTGCTGTGTGACTTTGGGAAAGCCACCCAATCTCTGAGTAGACACAATAATGGCACTCTTCTGGGTGGCCATGAGGAATCAGCGAGAGAGCAGGTCATTTGCTTGGTATGGGGCCTGGCCCAGGGTGGGCTTTCAGTAAATGGAAGCTCTTACTGTTGTAAAAACAAACCTCAGAAGGCAGTGAGGGAGGTCTTGTCCAGCACCTAATAGAGAGAAGGTGTCATGGAGAGTTCAGAGGCATGGAGACTAGGAGTGGGTGGAGAGCCAAGAGCTTTTACCCTGAGTTTGATCATCAGGCCATGGAGGGTCATTCCTTTACTGCCTCCAAGCAGGAGTTCTTAATTAAGGCAAAGCAAATTATTATTTTGTTTGTTTCCTTTTTTTTCCCCCAATAAGCCTTTTGCACTCCTAAGACAAAATAAATAATTACTGGTACATTTTATTAGGGTCATCAAAGGAAGCCAACAATCTGTCAGTGGGATGTGGAATGCAGGAAGCACTACCTCCAGGGACACCAAGGTGTTGTTGGAGTTGGCTTCCCTTTTTCGGGGGTGTTAGAGAGGTAGAGCTGAGACCAGTGGGATGAGCTGCTCTTGTGGGATGGGAGTAACTTTCACGAGCTCCTTCATGGTTCCAGCTTGTGGGGCCTGGGCTCACCTGCATGCCCCAGACCTGTTGGATAGTGGTCTCAACTTTTCACTTACTCCTTCACTGACTCCCTCAGCCTGAGGATTCAGGTTGACCATCTAAGGATCTGGGCTCTTAGCTGCCCAGACAGAGATCTCCAGATGCCAGGACCCTCCCAGAGAGAGGCTGGACCCTCTGGTCCACTTATTGCTGGTGCCCCCAAGAGATTTGCATACGAGGAAAAGATCACACCCTCCAAATTCAGACAAGCCTGAACTTGAACCTTGGCATGTGTGTGCCCTAAGCTAAGTTTCTTCACCTTCCCAGGCCTCAGTTTCTTCATCTATAATGTAAGGCCAAGTCATGCATACCTTATATGGGTGTTGTGAAGGTTAAGTGAGTGTCCTTCGTTATTCCATAAGCCAATGTTTGTTGAATGTTTGCTGTGGTTAATTTTATTGTTTTCAAATCCTGGCTGTGCTCCTAATTGGTTGAGTGACCTTAGAAGATCTTGCTTTAACATCTCCTATAGTATGGGTCTGGTGGTGATAAATTATTTCAACTTTTGTGTCTGAAAATGACTTTATTTTATCTTCGTTTGGAAGTTATTTTTGCTAGACGTGGGATTATAGGTCAACAACTTTTTTTCAATACTTTAAAGATGTTACTCCAAGTCTTCTCACTTGCATTGTTTCTGAAGAGAAATCAAGAAACCTGCTGTCATCTTTTTCTTTGTTTCTCTGTATAAAATATGTTATATATAGAATATGTTTTTTAAAGATGTTGTTTTTAGAGACGTTTTAGATTCAAAGCAAAATTGAGAGGAAAGTACAGAGATTTCCCACATACTCCCTGTCCCAACACATGAATAGCCTCCCCCATTATCTGGTGAACATTCTTCACTAGAGTGGTACATTTGTTAGAGTTGATGAAACTACATTCATGTCTATTATTTTCCTCAATCATTGTAATTTTTATCACTACAAGTTCTATTTGGATCTTTTTATATATCTTTCATGTTTCTACTTAACTTTTTAAACATATGGAATGCAGTTTTAATCATGGTTTTAATGCCCTCTACTAATTCTAACATCTGTGCCATTTCTGGGTTGGTTTTAATTGATTATTATCCCCATGATGGATTGTGTTTTCCTGCCTCTTTGCATGCCTAGTAATCTTTGACTGGAAGCCAGACATTGTGAATTTTACCCTATTAGGTACTGGATATTTTGTATCCCTGTAAATCTTGAACTTTATTGAACTTTGTTCCAACTATTACTTGGAAACAGTTTGATGCTTTTAGATCTTGCTTTTATGATTTTTAAGGCAGACTCAGAGAAGTACTCAGTCTTAGGCTAATTACTCCTCAGAAGATCTTCCTAAGGCAAGATCTTCTTGAATACACTACCCATTGAATTTGGAGTTTTTCCATTCTCTCTGGTGGGAACAGGTATTATTGCCGGTCCTGTGTGAGTGCTGAACACTGTTCTCTCAGATCCTTTCAGATGATTTTTCTCCTGACCTCACACACGTGCACTGATTAGTACTCTGCTGGATATTTGAGAGGGACCCTCTGGAGATCTCTGGGTTTCAGTCTCTGTGCAGTTCTCTCCCCTCTGGTACTCTGTCCTGCGAACACTTGCGTCTTGGTCTTGCTAGATTCTCAGCTCTGTCGCCTCAAATCAGAAACGCTACTGGGCTTTAGTTGCCTACACCCTACCACCCCCCTACCCGCCCCCGCCACCCCCTACCCCCAGATTGTGCCCTGGAACTCTTCTCAAGGCAGTAAACTGTAGCAGTAACAGGGCTCACCTTGTTTGTCTCCCATTGTTCAGGGATCATGTTCTTTGTTTCCTAATGTCAAGTGTCTTGAAAACCATTGTGTCATGTTTTTCTGTTTTTCTTGTTGTTTCTGGCAAGAGGGTAAATCCGGTCTCTGTTAATCCATCGAGGCCAAAAGTGGAATACTCTTTTTTGTTTATTTATTTTTTTGCCAAGATTCCTACTTGGTTCTTTTTCATTACTCACCTGTTCCCTTTTTTTCTGCCTATTTCACCTTTATTTTGTTCTTATATACATATTATTTCTTAGTTTGAGCAACTTAAACATATTTTAAAGTATCTGTCAGATAATCTTATTATTTTAATTTTATCTGTATTAAATTTTTCTTCCTGTTGTTTGATTTTGTTGGCTTTTTTCTTAGGGTTAGATTTTTTCATTTGCTTAAAAATCTTGTTTTTCAGGTTCATTTTCAGTAGTCCATGGAGATGTTCATTGTGCTTTTGAGCAAAGATTACCTTTTTTCCCCATATTTCATCTATTATTCTTACATGCTTGGAGCAGCAGTAGTTCTTCAAAGTATAAACTTACAAAGCAATCTTTAAAGTCCCAACATTCTATGTTTATAATCTGGTGTTGTAGAAAGGTTCAGGCTTTCAGTAGGCCAAAGCTCTAGTTTTGAATCCTGGCTCTGCCGTGTGCTCCTGTTCAAGTTTTTGAACTTCTTTGAAATTCAGTTCTCTTGTTCCTAAAATGTGCATAATGCCTATCTTGTATTATGTAGAGTTTTTATGAGGATTAAGTGAAATTTCCTGGCAGGGTTTCCCAAATGTTGTTGACTTTGTAATTGAAGCTATGATTGACTCTCCCATGCAGCATGAATGAAACAGAGAAAGTTGACACTGTGCCAACAGGTGCAAAAGAAGCTGCTGGACTTTTAAAACAAAAGGACTCCAAATACACCCAACTGTTTACATTTAGCATGAGTGGTCCCTGATCCAACTTCTGTCTGTGTATTCTCAGAGGGAGTGGGTAGAACACACAGAGGCAAGGAATGCGTGCTATTTCTGGAGCCAGAAAGCAACACATCCAGCAGCAGGAATAACCTTCGTGGTGCTGATCAGTTGCTATGACTCTGTAGATGCAGAATTTAACCAGCCAAGACCTGTGTTTTTCTTAGCCTGGGGATAGAGTCAAAGAAAGGCTCATGTCATTCGGAACCAAACTGCCAATACTAATAATAGGCTGGGGCCTGTGGGTGGCTTAGGTATGGGAAGTGGGAAGCTAGAGCTAGTTTTGAACAAAAAAATGCCTCAGTTGAGCCCTGGTGGTATGAGGATGCTCTCCTTGGGTATATATATTTTACATTCCTGGGTCTTCCTGTCTTCCTTCCAAACCAAGAATCCAGCGCGGTAGATTTGTCTCCACTTCCCAGTCATCTCCAGGTTCTCTTTGTGGGAACCCACTCCCTGGGCTTGCTCCCTAGATCCTCTCTAGGGCTGGCCACTCTGACTCTCTGAAGTCATGGGCAACCCCATACTGATTTTCACTCCAATTACTGACTCCCTTTTTGTACAGAATTTCCCTTGTGGCCAGTACACCCATCACAAGGATACCAGAGGGGAAAACTAAGGCAGGACAGAACTGGAAAAAAGTAGGTGACTACTTTCAAGTCACTTTCACATTTAGAAATTTATTTGATTGACTGAAGACCTATAAAGCAAGTACGATATAATACTTATTTTTACTTTATTAACGGGGCTCAGAGAATTGGTAATAAACCCAGGTCACTTTGACTTTAATGACAAAATAGAAATATTTGTGATAGTTATTTTTATAGAAATAGAATTTGAAATTATAGAAACTTTGAAGTTGTAGAATTATAGAGCTATCATTTTATAAGCTCTAAAATAACTATTTTCATTCTGTTTTTTTCTTTCACCTACTATTATTGTAAACAACAACAAAATGACTGCCATTTATGAAACACATGTTCATATTGGGCACCATGCTAAATATTTTACCTATTTTCTCTCATTTAATTATAACAACAAACCAATATTACAGATGCTGCTAGCCTCATTTTCTGGATGTGGCCAAAAGGAGTTTAAGTAACTTTTCTATCATTTGGCATTCTTACATAATTGTCTTCTTAAGTTCCTACATAATGGTTACAATTATCATTTTTAATTGCTATGTACTAATAATGCCCCTAATTCACTTAATTCCTTCTGCCTTGTTAGGTATAATGATTAAAAGAGCTGGGAGACATTCATTCATTCATGTATTGAACAAGTATTTAATTAGCACTTGCTATGCTATCATATGCTGTGTTATATCCAGGGAATACAATGGTGAGTAGGACAAAAACACTCACCTTCAGAGAGCACTCACAGTCTCATGGAATATGTAGCCAGCAAGAGGCAATTAGAAGACAGGGTGGTGATGAGGGCAGTTCTTGTTGCTGTGGGAGTGCAAAGCAGGGAGCCTACCTCATCCCAACAATGTCAGAAGAACAGCTATCAATTAAGACGAGAAAAGTAGAATGATTTGAATGGCCACTAATTTACCATATGCAAAACCAATGAGGGTGCTATGGTTTGAATGTTTGTCCCCTCCAAAACTCATGTTGAAGTTTAATCCTAAACGTGGCAGTATTTAGAGAGGTAGGGCTTTAAGAGGTGATTGGGCCTTATGAACAGGTTAATGAATTAATGGGTTATCATGAGAGTGGAACTGGTAGCTTTATAAGAAGAAGCAGAGAGACCTGAGCTAGCACACTCAGCCCCCTTCCCAAGCGATGTCCTGCACTGCCTAGGGACTCTGCAGAGAGTCCTCACCAGCAAGAAGGCCCTTGCCAGATGCAGCCCCTTGACCTTGGACTTCTCAGCCTCCATAATTGTAAGAAATAAATTCTCTTTCTTTATAGATTCCCCAGTTTCAGTATTCTGTTATAAGCAACAAAAAACAAACTAAGAGGGCCACCAAACACATACCACCCATGATGCTTTAATGGAACTTGGGTCTCCAGGGATCCCAGGAATTCAGATACATTAGGATTTGGAGCCCCAAACTATTTTCATTTCCATTGTTATTTTACCAAAGGCTTGTCATTCTCTAGGCCAAAGAGGCCTAAAACAGCATTGTTCATGTCTTCATTGTTCTGATGATGATGATGATGATGATGATGGTGGTGGTGGTGGTGGTAGAGGTGCTGGTTTTGACTGCTTTCATTAACTGAGCATCTCCATGTGTCAGGTACTTTATAAGTGTTATTTCACTGATGTTCACAACAGCCCTATAAGGTGTTATACCTTTATTTTTTTAGATCAGGAACTAAAACAGAGAGATTAGATAGCTTGACTTGCTCAAGCACAGCCTGCTAATAAACAGAGAAGGAGCCAATTCTCTAAGCATAGGAGTTATATCATTTAGATTGTGAGGAACAGTGAGTGTGCTGGATTTACTCTAAAGGTTCTAGTGGTGGGTTCAAGTCTCTTTCAAGTATAAGCGGAATTTGATGCATTGTTGCTTGCTTGAAGATGGTGGAGCCACTTGAGAGGGAGTGTAGTGGCCTTAAGAGCTGAGAGAGGCCTTCTGTTGATAGTCAACTAGAAAATGAGGACTCCAGTCCTACAACCACAAGAAACTGAACTTGGCCAACAACTTGAATGAAGTTGGAATCAGATTCTCACCTAGAGCCTCCAGATAAGAGCCCAGCCTGGCCAATATCTTGATTTTGGCCTTGTAACATCCTGAGCCGAGAACCCAGTTGAGCCATTCTGGATTTCTGACCTGCATAACTGTGAACAAATAAATGTGTGCTCTTTTAAGCCCTTACATTTACAATAATCTGTTACACAACAGTAGAAATGTAATGCAGCAGCTCTTGCCACATAGTCACTTGATGTTCCATGGTTGGCAAGATCAGAGGCTCTGTCTCTACCAGGGCCAAGTCACCCACTAGGAACTATTTTCCAAATGCTGTAAATTTCTGCTGCACATGTCATGACTTGCTCCAGAGCTCTAGGTGTCTACATTGTGATCCCCCTACTGGGGCTTGTAATAGATTCAATATGTCTTTCCTTCCATAAATGCCTCTCATGCTATAGGATCCTCTGTGTCACATGGTCCAGGTAGCAGAGTTACTCATGCCCAGCCTGGACTTTCTGCAGAATCCTTTCCCAGGCAGTGCCTCATTCCAAGAAAGCTGACAGCATTTCCTATCACTTGATAGATGGACCAAGGCAGTATCTCTATGTTTCCTTTTGGATGATGGATGGTATAAGATGCAGTGAGCCGAGGTCACATCACTGCACTCCAGCCTGGGTGACAGAGTGAAACTCCCCCTCAAAATAAATAAATAAAATAAAATAAAATAAAAGTAATAATTTATTCATTTGACTTCCAAATATGAGGCTCAAAAGTCAATCCACTGGAATACAAGAAGAAAATATTAGAGCTTTTGGTTTTCTTTTATCCATGTCATCAAAAATTTTTCAAAGTTTTGCTAATATTTCACATATAGATTGATCCTGATCCTCACCCAGTTTACATCAGACACTTATAAGAAGACACTCACATCGTACCAGCTATTCAGAGGGGAAAGTAGAATTTTGAAAGGGGAAAGAGGTTGATAAGGCCACTGCAAAAGATTTACCTTTTACTTTGGAGGGGATGACAGACCCTAGACCACTGGGTCCTTACAAATCCACTAATGTGCAAGCTCCTGAATCTTCATGAGGTTTAAGTTCTCACCCTCTGGAGTACAGACTTCCAATATAATTCTTGCTCATCCGGTATTAATACGGTGTTATAAAAATAGAGGACAATTGGCTGGGCACAGTGGCTCAGGCCTGTAATCCCAGCACTTTGGGAGGCCGAGACAGGTGGATCACCTGAGGTCGGGAGTTCGAGACCAGCCTGGCCAACATGGCAAAACTCCATCTCTACTAAAAATACAAAATTTAGCCTCCTGGGTTCAAGTGATTCTCCTACCTCAGCCTCCTTAGTAGCTGTGATTACAGGCACCCACCATGCCTGGCTAATTTTTGTATTTTTAGTAAAGACGGGGTTTCACCATGTTGGCCAGGCTGGTCTCGAACTCCTGACCTCGTGATCTGCCCGCCTCGGCCTCCCAAAGTGCTGGGATTACAGGCATGAGCCACCGTGCCGGGCCTTTTCCTTGTCTTTTTAACTTTCCACACAATGCCAATGTAAGAATTCATTTTAATACAATAAATGTATATATAAGGATGTAAACATATATAATAAATGTACATATTAGGAAAGTCAGCATCTTAATAGATAAACACATGAGATCAGAAAAAAGGCAAAGAAGCCTATATATCCACTACTATTATTTAACACAATCGAGATATTAATCAATACAACTAGACAAGAGAAAACTATTAGAGGAATACAAATTGACAGGGAAAAAAGTAAAACTCTATTTGTAGATAACATGATAGAATATCTGGAAAACTCAAAAGTTGTAATGATAAAACTAAAACAAGCAAAATAATTCTGTGCGTATGCATGCATTATTTTATGTATAGATTAAATAATATAGAAATATAAATAGGCAAATATACATTTATATTTATATAAACAATAACCAGTTAGAGAAGATAATAAAAGAGAAAGCCTTACTTATTATACAAACTAAAGAGCATAAAATATTTAGGAACAAACTAAGAAGAAAAGTGTGAATTGTGTGGGAACTCCAACATAATACCTTAGGGAGTTGTTGATCCCATATCGTGGCACTAAGCATGGAATAAATGAGTTAGATAGTCACGAATAAGAAAACATGGTATGTAATAGACAAACTTGGCTCTCAACATAACCACCCATAGAACGACTTTAGAATTCCGAGGGTCTTACAAGCCCAGGTACTATGAGGATGGTGCTTAGTTCCAGGGGAGGTGCTGTGGGTGCCAACTTCCGGCTTGGCTCGTTGCCCGTCTGGCTCCACGTCTCTTGTCCCTCTGGGCTGTGAGTCTGGCAGCTGGTGTCAGTGTGATGATTTGCTTGGCTCTGTCCTCCCTCCTAGTATTACTTTTTCTGTAACAAAGCTTTTGCTTTGATCTGCTGCAGTGTCAAGTGTTTTATTTGATACCACTAAAACCACCAAAACTTCTCTGAGGAAAACTTTAAGATACTCCCTAAAGGCATAAAAGTAGACTTGAACAAAGCAAAAGACATCCCTTGTTCTGTGATGGGACTAACTCATCATCGTAAAGGTCTAATTCTCCTCAAGATAATATATAATTTTAACAAGATCTAATAAAAATACCACGTATTTATTTATTTAGAGACTGAGTCTCGCTCTGTCGCCCGGGCTGGAGTGCAGTGGTGCGATCTTGGCTCACTGCAACCTCTGCCTTCCAGGTTCAAATGATTCTTGTGCCTCTGCCTCCTGAGTAGCTGGAATTACAGGCATGTGCCACCACATCTGGCTATTTTTTTTTAATACCACATTTTTTTTCTAGAAAATTGATTGCAGAGCTCATACGGAAAAATAAAAATGCAAGAAGAGTTATGAAAACCCCCAAAAAGAAGAGCTGTGAGAAGAAAGAGTTCTTGTCAAATAACAAATATTATTATAAAGGATCTTTAATCAAAACTAATAAGTAAACAGGAAGACTACTAGGAAAAAAATAGAAAGTCCAGAATTAGACATAAGTACATATGGAAATTTAGCGTATGATAAAGATGGTATCTTATATCTTGCAGGAAAAGCCAGCCCTTTCAATAAGTGGTGTTGGGACAACTGGATGGCCATTTGGAGAAGATAAAATTGGATCCATGCCTCACACTGTGCACCAGAATGAACTCCAAATGAATCAGACATCTAAGTGTAAAAAAATTAAACCATACAGATGCTACAAAAAACATGAGAATTTAAAAAATAATCTCAGTGTTTAGAAGCTTTTTCTAATTCCGATTCAAAATGCAGGTGCAACAGAAGAAACAATTGATAAATTTTACTATATAAAAATAACATTGGCATGGCAAAAACAATAAGAAAAGACAAACAAGTAAAACAATAAGAAAAGACAAATAATACACCATCTTTATCAAAGGTCTAATCTCCCTAATTTATAAAGAGCTCTAAAAATCGAGGGGAAAAAGACATTAAGAAAACAATATAAAGATGGGCAAAAGGGACAGTTTAAAGATATACAATGGGCCAGGCATGGTGGCTCACACCTGTAATCCCAGCATTTTGGGAGGCTGAGGTAGGTGGACTGGTTAGGACCAGGGTCCTTACCAGTCCACTAATGTGCAAGCCCCTGAATCTTTGTGAGGTTTACGTTCTCACCCTTTGGAGTACAGACTTCCAATATAATTCTTGCTCATCCAGTATTAACATGGTGTTACAAAAATAGAGGACTATTGGCCAGACTGGGTGGCTCAGGCCTGTAATCCCAGCACTTTGGGAGGCCGAGGCAGGTATCTTTCCCCCTGGGATTTATAAGTGCAGAAGGTGACTGACCTCCTGACCCAGAGTAAGCTCTTTTAAGGGACTGTGTATTATCATTACTGAACGTTCCTAATGGAAACGTTCTTTTCCCCCTGGGATTTATATGTGCCGAAGGTGGCTGACCTCCTGACCCAGAGCAAGCTCTTTTAAGGGACTGTGTGTTATGATTACTGAATGTTCCCAATGGGCAGTCCAGTAATCACAATAAAAACAGCCAATGACAATTTACTGAGCCCCAGTCATATGCCAGATGACACTGGCTTAAGTGCTTTACATATAATCCTCACGGTAACCTCATGATGTGGACACTATTATTCCCATTTCTCAGATGGGAACACTGAGGCTCAGGGAGGTAGAGTAAGTTGCATAACATCATGTGACTAGCAGACCTTGGGGCTGGATTTCTAAAGGAGTCATTCTGACTCCAGAGTCTGGGCTGAGAGGAAGCGGGGCAGGGTCTTCTGTATGGGGTGGCCCTGGGATGACCAAAGGGGCCACACCAGGAGTGGCATTAGTCTACTCCCAGCCAGCTGCATGGGTGCCCACTCAGTGAGGTCAGCACATTGCAGGCTCTCACTGTTCCTGGCGTCACTCTGGCATGCAGAGGCCTCCGGTGTTGCCTTCCATAATGGTCACCTGATCCTGGAGCTGGTGGGCAAACAGCCTGAGATGTTTATTCTCTGATGCCCAACTGGCTTGACAGGCGGGGTGATAAGAGAGACAGAGAAGGCAACTGGGGGACAGGGTGGATAAAGGAGTCCCCTGCCTCTGAGAAGTGCTGTTTTCCTTGGCTGGGGCCTACAGTCACACCACTGGCCTCTGAATGACAGTGACATTCCCCAGGGATTAAGCACGACTTGTGGAAGCTGGGTCTCCACAGGGGGTGCAGAGCCCCACGGAACTTCAGTCATGCAATTAGCTACCTCTAACATTTCTCCCACATTCATTTCGTACCTCCATCACTTCCCATCCCCCCTCCAAAAAAATTCAGCTGCAACTTGCTTTATAACACACAGTAAGATTGTTGTATTATGTGTCCTGGAAACAGCAAATGAGAGAAAGTCATTCTCTGGCTCTTTGGAAGCATAGCTCAAAACTCCTCTTTTCCAGGAAGCCATGCCCAGGTTAACCCTCCCCCTTGCTGCTCTGGGCCCCTGTGATTCTGGACGCAATCTGCAGTTGTTGATTTGTCGCCAGGTACCGAACAAGCGGTGGCAGAACAGAGCTCTAGCCACCCGGGGCTCGGAGCAGTGATGCTTTTAGGAGAGGCAAAGATGCTGATGTCATTTGTGGTTGGGATAACTGCTTTCCTGTTCAAGGACATTGGATGTATACCTAAAGCTCTAGAACCACGGTTTCCTGACTTCCAACCAACTGCACTTTGACTACAATACAACACCTGCAGGGCTTATTAGAGGACAAGAGGCCTGGCTGATAAATTCCTGACCAGAGGGATGGAGGCTAAGCCTTTCCCTGCAGCCAATGCCGGAAGTTCCCAGTGAGTCGGTCGGGCAGAAAAGAGCCTCCTGGGTCATGTCCTCACTTTTCCTCAGCTAAAGTTCCCTGACTGTCTCCTTCAAATTCAGATGTGCATCCAGTTCCATGAGTAACCACATTATTTTTAAACAGCATCCTTCAGCCACTGTCTCTCCTGGGTTTTCAGGGAGTGGTGACCCTTTGTGAAGCCAGGACAGGATTTTATTTTCTGATTGTTTTCAAACATCTGCAGAGATTCCATGGACTTCAAAGTCAAACAAAAATCATACTCTGGTCGAGGCACCAGCCAATAGGTCAAGCTGAGGTAAATATTTCTACCTCGGGGGGTAGAAAAGAGAAGCCGGGGAGTGTGGAGAGATGGGAAACCAAGGGATGGGATATTGGAGACAGCAAAGAGGTTCAAACGCTGGAGATTTACCAGAGGAGTGTCCAGTCTCAAAGCCCCATTATATCAAGAAACAACATACAAAGTAGTTTAAAGCTCAATGCTAGGAGTAATGGAAACTAGGGTTAGATCCGCAGCTCCTCTGCTTACTAGCTGGCCAGGTGGCTGGACTTCATGAGCCTTTGTTTCCTTATCTGTAAAATGGGTATAAAAAAACCAACCACCTACTAAGGTGACTGTGAGGACTAAATGACAAATATGTGCTCAAGACAGCCTGGCAGATTAATACTCAAGAAACAGAACCGTTGGCTGGGTGTGGTGGCTCCCCTGTATTCCCAGCACCTTGGGAGACTGGGGTGAGATTACTTGAGGCCAGGAGTTTGAGACCAGCCTGGGCAACATGGCAAAACCCTGTCTCTAGAAAACATAAAAATTAGCTGGGCAGGCGTAGTGGTACATGTCTGGAGTCCCAGCTACTCCTTGGGAGGCTGAGGCAGGAGGATCGCTTAAGCCCAGGAGTTCAAGATTGCAGTGAGCCATGATCGTGCCACTGCATTCCACCCTGGATGACAGCCTGGGTAACAGAGTGAGACTCTGTCTCTAAAGCAAGAAATGGCAACTGTTATTATTAACACCCAGATAACAGTTAATATCTTATGGCTAAGATGATCTATGATAGACTGCTTCATATGTATTCATAATTGTCAGATTAGTAGCTTATAACTGTGTCAATGTGACTGGTAGCAACTTAATGATTTACTTATTTAACTGTCTCTACTGGAGTTGCTAGGATAAAAGGACAGTGTTTAAGACTGGACAATATATTATCCAGTGTATTTCTCCTTCATTCCTTCACATGAATTTTTGCTTTAAAAATAAAAATTTTGGCCGGATGCGGTGGCTCATGCCTGTAATTCCAGCACTGTGGGAGTCTGAGGCAGGGAGATCACTTGAGGTCAGAAGTTTGAGACCAGCCTGGCCAACATGGTGAAACCCCGCCTCTATTAAAAATACAAAAATTAGCTGGGCGTGGTGGCAGTTGCCTGTAATTGGGAGGCTGAGGCAGGAGAATTGCTTAAACCCAGGAGGTGGAGGTTGCAGTGAGCCAAGATCGCGCCACTGCACTCCAGCCTGGACGACAGAGTGAGACTCCATCCCAAAAAATAAATACATAAACAAAAATCTTATTGATGTACTAAGTGTTGTTAATGATTACTAGTTGAAAAAACAAAATTTTAAGTTTTGTTGTCACTGGTTAATTTAACAATGACATGTGTTCATAGCAAAAACTCTAATAGTATATGTACTTCAATAAAAGTTTATTTCAAGTATTCAAACAATATAAAAGGTCATACAAGGCCTTGTATCCTAATTTCCAGAGGTACTTACTGTTAAAAATTACTTGTATAACTTTTCCAGAAATGTTCTCTTCTCTTTGATTTTATAGACATTTAGTCATACTGCAATACTGTTGAGAAACTTGCACCTTCTCCTTAATAATACACCTTGGGTCTCTTTCCCTAGCAGTGCATACAGACCTACCTCCTTCTTTTTCAGGGTTACATTGTACTCTTTTGTAGTAGAGACCATCTTTTGTAAGGCCACCCTTCTGTGCAGCACTTTGGTTGTTTCTAGTTTTTGCTATTATGAACAATGCCACAATAAACTCCCTTGTCCATGTAGCTTTGATTATTGCTACAAATAAACCGAGAGTATAAATTCCTAGGAGGATAATTGCTGAGTCAGTTTCCCTTGTTGCAATTTTAGTAGTTCCAATTTGGGCCAGGAACCATGGCTCATGCCTGTAATCCCAGCACTTTGGGAGGCTGAGGTGGGCGAATCACCTGAGGTCGGGAGTTCAACACCAGCCTGACCAACATGGAGAAACCCCGTCTCTACTAAAAGTACAAAATTAGCCGGGTGTGGTGGCGCATGCCTGTAATCCCAGCTACTTGGGAGGCTGAGGCAGGAGAATCACTTGAGCCCAGGAGGTGGAGGTTGCGGTGAGCCGAGATAGCGCCATTGCACTCCAGCCTGGGCAACAAGAGCGAAACTCTGTCTCAAAAAAAAAAAAAAAAAAGTTACAATTCACTTCCAAAGAGTTGCTGCAACTGACACCTATAGTATATGAGAATGTCTGTGTCATCAAACTTTACAAAGTAAACTGTTGTTAAAAAATAACAGTGATAGTATACATATGCTGAACAGCCACACATACAAATCAGCTCATCTGCAGAGATGAATGCTCACAATCAACTGAGAGGTAAGCTATTATATTTCCCCTTTGAAGAGGGGACAGAAGGTCACAGTGATTCAGAGCAGGGTCTGAATCTCAGCTCTGCTATTTATTATTCCAGTGACTTTGGGCAGGTTCTTCGAGTTTCTCCAAAATGGTGATATTAAATGAAATAAGGTTTGAGAAAACTCCTAGAGCCAGTGCCTGGATTATTTATTAACATCATGGGACAAGCCAGAGTGCCAGAGTCCCCAGTAAGTTTGAGAATGACCCTAGTATAATAGAGACTTGGGTTGTATTTCCACCCTTTTCTACCACCTCCCACCAGGTTGCATCATTTCTTTGAATTTTCTTATTTGTAAGGGTCAGTTTAGATATTTCCTATTAATTGACCGATGTGAAAAGATATGAGTAGCAGAGTTGCATCACAATGCAGGTGGCATTTTATATTCACAGCAGCATCACAGCAAAAGAAGACAGGTAAGATCTCAGTTCCACTTCTGTCACTGAGATAGTGTAGAGAGTGGGTGAGCTTTGGGGACAGACCAACCTACCTGCAGTCTTGCTTCTTTCTGGCTCTTAAGAGCTGGGTGACCTTGAGCAAATTCTTGTAGCTATCTGAGCTTCAGTTTTCTTAATTATGAAACATAGTTAACAGTTGCTACTCATGGGGTTATTGTGAATATAAAGTAAGATAAACTATGAAAATACTTAGCAGCTTGTTAAATATTCAACGTATGCACAAACAGCAATAACCTCACCACGTGACTGTAGTTCACTTGTAGGTCAAGGAGGGACAGGATGCTTCTGTGGAGAGGAACAAAGAGAGATGTTACCAGTCCTCACCTCTCAGTCACACTCCCATTTGTCAAGTCAGGTGACTCACACAGCATTTGTCTGGCTTCTCTCACTGTGAAGCGCACGCTTGGGGGAGGGGAGTGATGAGAGCCCAGGGGCAGATCAAAGCAAGGGCTGCAGCCTCAGCTATGGCTCTTTATGCTTTTTCATTCCTCCGGGAGAGAAGTGAGAAACATTTAGAAATATTTATCATTGCAACTTTTGAATATACTTTATGTTTGACTTGCAAAATGGAATGCTTGTTCAATGTCATCCTGGAAAACATTTTGTGGGATCTGAAGAAGGTCATGAACTACCTCTAGGTTTTTGCTGTCGTCTTGCCCTCTCCCTTCAAATCTGTTCTAAGTTCAGTTATTATGTAACATGTCGGTTGCAAATATTAAGCTATAATCATGGAGATGGCATTTCTGAAAAACAACTGTGAATCGTTCATTTTTTCCCATTTTTTTAATTTTGAAAATTTCAAATTTACAGAAAGGATGCAAAAAAAGCCCAATGAATATCTAGATTTATCCATTGTTTCTTATTTTATCACATATGCTAGGATATTATTTTTGAGATTCAGACAGCTTCATTCATATAACATGGTCCTCTTTTTTTTTTGCCAATAAAAATGTAATGGGAATAGACTCACTTATATCGATGTTGTGACTTCCAGGCTCTCAGCTTTCTGGGGTTTGAGATCTATTGTATTAATATTTGGCTATATGGTTGGAATATAAAGAGTCATGTTTGTAGTAAGTGCCAGATTGAACATCTTATGCACAAAGTATACAAGAGACATTATCTCTAACCCTAACAGAGACTCTCCAAGCCAGGGTCTCATCAATTCCGATTTACATATTTGGTAACTGACACTCAGAGAGGTTGAATTACTCCACTGGTAAATTACAGAGTCTGGACTCAAAAACAGGTCCTTTTGATCACAAAGCTCTTTCCATCCAGGTTTTGGAGGATTCTGAGAAAAAGACTTCCGTACAAACATAGAAAAACTTTTATTTCTGGGAGAGTTGCAATGTTAATTTTAAGTAATTTCCTTTCACTAAGGAAGTCTGGGGGTGGGAATATGGGGTGGAAGATGGAGATTTAAGGAAACCACGGTTAGGAATTTAGTGATAGAAACTGAAGATGATAACGATTCAGAGAATGGACTTGGTTCTTACAGCCTCTTACTAGCCGTGGATCCTCCCGACAGATCACCCTAATGCCTCCACATTTGTGAAATGGGAAAAACAATCAACACCTCTTTACCAGGTGTTTTTTTTTTTTCTTGTCAGCTGCATTAAGGAGAAGGGGGAAAGAGTAGAACAAGGAGTTCTATGTGTAACGAACGGAACAATCTATTGAGCTAACTACCTACCTTCGGACCAGCCTACCTGTTTCATGTTTTTGTTTTGTTTGTTTTGTTTTTGTTTGTTTTGGTGAGGCTCAATTTTGCGAACTGTGGCAAACTGATCTTTATGAATACGAGGAATTGATAGTGTCATTTTATATTAGAGGAGGGAGAGAGGAAGATAAAAAAGGGAGAGGGAAGGAAGGAGAGAGAAAGAGAGAATGATGGCAGAAATCAACGGAGGCGGAGGCGTAGTTTCCTGAGGCTAGAAACTCAGTCTGGGGAGACATGAAAGCGTCTTTTGGGGAATTCAAGTAGTTGCTAGGTCTCAGGGAATCCATCTTCAGAATTTTCCTCCGCGTGGTTGCGGGAGGAAAATGAGTTGAGTGGAGACCCTGAGCAAACTCCTCTCCAGGCCATGCGGCATCCTGGGCTCTGGTTTCCCAGGCACGCAAGGCACGCTTTTCTCTACTTCCCGGGGACGCTGGCCTCAGGACTTAGAACTCCTGTATGCCGGACAGCCGGTAAGGTCTACTGGGCGGCCGCTTTCTCTGGTCTTTCTCTGCTCCGTAGACATTTCTGTGTCAGGTGCCTCGCATATTCGCACCCACGCGCCAGGGCATTAAGCCGAACCTTGCTTGGTGGCTCTCAGCCTTGAAAGGCCGCAGGATGTCCGCGTCCACAGCTGTGAACCGGTGAGTGCAGGTGGACGGGCGCACGCGGGCGCCAGGGTAATTAACAGGGCTTCAGAGGGCGTGACGGTGACCGTACGTTGTCGGCGAACTCTCTTTTCATCCTTTACATTTCCACGGAGATTTGGCCAATAAATAACAAGAATAAAATGTACGCATGGTTTTGTCTTTGCGCTCGTGGGGTCGTGGCGGGGTCTTTTAAGTGAAGAGAAAAAGAAACCAGAAACCCACGGTGGCCCCACCGGCTGCTTCCGGGGACACCTGAAATCAGCAGCTGGAACTGACAATTTGGAGAGCCCCGGGGATGGTCATCTGAGACCTGGGTTACAATACAAGTCTGACCTCGGGGCGAGTCCAGGCTTTCTTCCCCTCAGGGTCGGGTGCCTCAAGAGCCAGTGGCGCTGGCCGGGCTCCAGCCGCGAGCAGATGCCAGGCCCGGCACACTTTGCACGGGCGATGCGCGCGGACGTCCCGGGCGCGCTCGGTCCGCCCGGCTTGGCAGGAGCTGCGAGAGGCCGCGCGCACCGTCCCCAGGGACAGCCGGAGGACTCAGGGCTCCCGGGTGGAGCGAGAGCGCGGCGGCCGACCGCGGGCTGCGTGTGTCGCCTTCCTCACGCGGTATGCTGCGCCGTGGAACGCTGGGCTACGGACCCTGAGGGTGCACTGTGGCGGGTGGCGTACGCCGCGCTCCCTCCCCGCTTCCTGCGCCCAGGGTCGGCGGGCAGAGTTCCTGGGTCCAGCTTGGCGCTGAGCAGCCCCCGGCCGCAGAGCAGCTCCCGCCGGTCGGGAGACGCCCCCTGGCCCCCGCCCCCGCGTGGCCGGCCGGGACGAGCTGGAGCAGCGGGAGGAGGCGGCGCCGCCAGGACTGCCTCCTCCCCGCCCCTCGCGTCTCCTCCCCGCGCCACCGGGAAGGACAAGGGGACTGGGCACGGGGACCCCGGCCAGTGAGCGCCCGTGGCCCGGGACCGCCCCTCCCTTGAGCTCTCTCGCCGCGATCCCGGGCGGGTCTCGCCCCGCATGGTGCTGGCAGCAGCCATGAGCCAGGACGCGGACCCCAGCGGTCCGGAGCAGCCGGACAGAGTTGCCTGCAGTGTGCCTGGTGCCCGGGCGTCCCCGGCACCCTCCGGCCCGCGAGGGATGCAGCAGCCGCCGCCGCCGCCCCAGCCACCGCCCCCGCCCCAAGCCGGCCTACCCCAGATCATCCAAAAGTAAGAAGGGAGAAGGGAACAGGGACCACGGGTGCGCCTGGGGACACGCCCCGAGAGCCCCCTTTGTGGCTTCATTTCCCGTCCCTGCTGAACTTCGCTCGCCCCCCTTGGGTTTGAAGTTTTCTCGTACCCCCTCTGGGCAGAGTCGGTGTCCTTCTGGCTGTTTGTTAGGCTGGAAAGAGGGGAGCCAAGTTCTTTAGGGAAAATTATTTTGTTTTTCCTTATCTCCTTTCTCTTCTCTTCAGGAATGGTACTAGATATTTTGAACTAAAATAGCTCAGATTGGGGGGAAATGGCCCAGCGACTGTATTTCATCTTTCTGGTCCCAAGAGGACGCTGGAATGGAGAGTCGTGCGTGAGTGTGTGCGCGCGCGTGAGGGTGTGTAAGTAAAATGCCAAAAATTAAACCACCCTTCATGGTGCCCCTGAAACCAACCAGTGGAAAGGGAGGTGACAGTTTGTAAACAACATGTTTTACTTTGCCCTGAAAGTGTAGACACTTTTCAAGAAGGCCTTTTCGAAGAGTTTAGCTACGCAACCGTTTTCCATTAATGTTACCATCTTGTGACTCGGGTGACCTGTGCGACTTGGGTCGTGAATTCTCAGGTCGGCCTTCCCAATGCTTGAGAAGGTTGGGGGTGGTTAATAAGCCCCGAGAGGCTCTTTCAGCCCGTTTGAGGAACATACAAGTAAAAACAGTGATGCTTTGTATTGTTTGTTCTTTTGAGATTTCGTGTGACCGTTTAAGGCCTAGAATGTTGGTTTATTTGAAGGATCTCTGCTCTCCTAAGGGTTTACCCAGTTTGTAATGAAGTCTTCAAAACTAGTTTAATAAGTGTAGGAAAGTGAATGATGCGCACCTCTGCGAAACTGACAACACTAAATAAATACACGCAAGTACAGCAAAATTTACCCTTATGGAACACAGCAGAGGTTTTCTGCTGCTCCGCTGATGCTTTGAGTCCTGTAAATTTAATAAAACTTAGTAACAGAAAGAACCAGTGATGGGTGTAAATGGAAGTAAATAGCAGTTAAGTATTTATTGTTTTGAAGACTGATTTATCTAATAGAAAGAATTGTGAAAATTCAAGTTTAACATTAGAAAACGCTGGTATCATATTTCAGAACAAAATGGTTCCCTATGTTGACTGGTGGAATACTGAGTCTCCACTTGTGACAACTTTTTGCTTTAATTGGATATTTTATATAACTTTCAACTACAAACAGTTTCCAACTATTCCAAAATGAAAATATTTCATATTATTCTTTTCTATTGTTTTGCAAATTATTCAGCCAATACTAAATATGATTGACAATTTATGTACATCAATACTTAAAATTTCTCTTTATTCCTTAATATAAATGTAAAGCAACAGAGAAAAACTATTTAAAATTTAAAGTTTACTTAGTGAAAAATCCAATTTGGCCAATTATTAATTTGGAAACATCTGATGTGCTTCGTACGGAGCCAGTGTCTTGCGGCTTGAAATCAGGCTGCATATGAAGTTAATTGAAATTGCTTCGGTATTGTAATTACCCTGCACTTTTCTATTACTTACTTTTAAGTAGAAGAAAACTGGGAACTTTATATTCACAGAAAAGTCTTTGTAGAAGGGCGTCTGATTATGAAATACTGCCAGGTTGAAAATAAATATCATTTTATGGAAATGGATCATTTAAAGTATATTTTATTTGCCTCACATAATAAATAATTTACCCTCTAAATTCATCCCCCATTTTGAAAATCCCATCTTTGGAATATCTAATTTTAAAAGAAAAGACTCAGCTTTTCAAAGATGGCCCCTTCTACTTGAAGGGCAGGATGGAGACCTCAAGAAGCGCCTCATGGCTTTGCTTGCTTTACATTGGTGACGGATCAGTGTTCAGGGACCAGGTCCCAGGGCTGTGAATGTGCCCATAGGATTTGATGTTTGCGCACTGACGTTTCAGTCTTTCTTTACAAGGATGATTTGGAGCTTGTGCTCTCCTTAGTACCCACTGAAATTCCGCTGGAACCAGATATAATGTCGCAAACGCTTTGTAGGTCCATCTTCAATGCGCCGAAATTTGAGCAGGTTATTTTGAAACTGCATTTGCATAAGTCCATCTGAGCAAACATTTTTATGGAGTTATGAGGTGTGGTTTGCATCAGCCATCTTTGAGAAAATATAGTGGAGCTACTGTGCTCGGCTGCAAAACAAGTTGTCTGCCTGTTGATTTGGGGAATTTTGTGAGCTACAGCTTTGGATGAAATTCTCCTCTGGTGGAACACATATTAAATATTATTAGAGAACCTCTATTTTTTCTAGTTATTTTAGTGAGGTCGTTATGTAACTGGTAAGAGGAGAAGTTTTGATTGCTTTCAAAATGATGGCGACATCAATCTTCTTCATGTTGCATAGTGCGTTTGAAGATTACAAACATTTTTCCACTTACTGTCTATGTTTACTGATTTTTATTAGTAATGGCTTTTATTTTAGATCAAAGTCAATGACTTTGGAAAAACCATAGTAACAATTATAATAAAAATCAGTTCCTGTTCACGTTATATTTGGTGTTTAGAGAACTGCCGTATACTACATTTACAAAGATAAACACATGAAGCGTGATGACTAATAATGAGACTGATTTTGTTTGTTTTATGGACCCAGTCTTAGTACTTATGAAGATTGCATCTAGAGTTAATTTCTCTGGAGTACAATGATTTCATTTCCTTGTCATTGTATTTTTAGCTTCCATTAAGAATCATCCATACCTTTTCTGCTCTTGTTTACTGTAAAGATTATCAGCCATGTATAGACACAGATAATTAATATTTTATAAGATTTTTATTTTAAATATGCATTCTCCAAATTGGCTAATATAGAGGCATTATTGTATATAAAACACGATTTAGGCTATTTAGGAAACAAGAAATATAAATAATACCCTAAGAGGAGATTTGGGATAAGTTAGGAAATCAGAATAATTTGAGAACTTAACAAATATATATTTTTTCCATACTAGCAGAAATAAGAAAACATTGACATTCTGGTGAATGTTTTATAAGGATTTATCTCCTCCAACATTTACAATGTTTTATTTTTAAAATTATTTTGTTTTAATCGTGAGCTTTAAAGTCAAACCTAATCCTTTATTTATAAGAAGTTATTTATTAACCTTGATGAACGTCAGAAATTTAAGTTTTAGGTTGCCAGTTTTAAAGCACTCATTAGAATGAAAACAGAGCCACTCAATTCCGTGTGAAATGTTGAAGTTAGCTGTCAGATGGAACCACGAAGTATACCACTAGCCATGGAGGAAAGAAACCAAACACGTGCACCCCTCTTATGAAGTGAATGTAGAGGTGATTTTCCTAACTTATTTGATTTGCAGCAAAATATTCCTGGGTAATGCGTGGCATCAGGTTGCATATTTAATTTGAGTATAGATGACACTTTTTTCTGTATTATTTTTTAAGCAGTGAATAAAAATAATTATAAACAATAGAAAAAGTTTTGGTTTAGCATTTGATGGCTAGTGTTACCTGCGTGTAAATGCTTGTAGTTAATGAAAACATGAATCCAGCTTTGATCTCTTTGATCTATAGTCTTCCGTATAGCATTAGAACACTGGCTGTCTATATTTTCAGAGCAAAGTGCTCCCCTCACTCGGAATAGAAAATGTTGTAAGTAGCAACTCCGATTTACAGACTCTAATTTTACAGACATTCTGCAGAAGGATCTCCGTGTAACTGTTAGGGAGTCATTCGCAGGCAAGTTGTGTATGATGTTCACCCACTTTGATGGGTATGCTGACAATTACATCCAGAGTCAGAGAGAAGAAATAAGAATTTGCTAAAAAGGGACATTCCCTTTCATTCATACTTGGTCCTTTCTGGAAAGAGGATGGAATTTCTAACATCTGTGCCAGTTAACATCAGTTTGAGCCCAATTTTAGGGGAAATAGGAATACACTTGTAGAAGGAATTTTGAAAATTTTAAATACCATCTTAAACTGCACATAAGACAAGCATTCAGCAGGGAAAACATCTGAGAGGATTAAGCCTTTACCCCAACAGGGAAGAAAAGGGGGGGGTGCTATTTTCTTAGCAGCCTGAATGATTCTTTTGCTTATCTAGAAAGCTTTCCAAAGTTTTATCAGAAAAAGAAATTTTGCTTGAGGGTTTGTTGTGATAAGTATTTTTAGATAGTATGTATAATCATTTAGTTGTGAATTTTTCTCAAATTGCCAAAGAGATCAGTATTATGAAATGTAGTACATTATTCCCATTAGTCACAGTAAAGGACTATGCATATGGTGCACACAGAGCTGTTCTAATGCCAGTGCTGTAGGGGGGAAAAGAAGAAGAAGAAGAATTTGATCACCCTTTTTATTTTTCTATCCATGTATTCTTTTGCTACCTCCTTCGCAGTTTATCTAATTAATAATTTAAAAAGCCCAAATCTGTCCATTGGAATGTGAACTCTGATCTGTTAAGATCTCTTTGCCAGTCCTAATAGTCACCAGGGGGCAGAAAAAAACCAACCAGGATTGACTCACAGTGAAATGATTCCACATTATCCAGTTTCTTTCTTTCCTTCTGATTTATTTATTTATTTATATATTTATTTATTTATTTTTGTGGCTTTAAGTTCTTGACTCCAGTTTAAACTAATATTCTTCCCCGCCCACAACAGCCGGTCCTCAAGTGAACAAATTGATATAGCTCAATTCACAGGTTTGATAAACAAGAATACACAAAATGTTGGGAACTGGGGTTTAATCAAGGGATAGAAATTAAAATGGACTGAACTAAATATGGAAAGTAAGAATTGAGGAAGCTTGAGATACTGGAGTTAAAACCCAAAAGAGAAGTTCAGAAGTAGGACACCCCTCTCCCTTCATCTGTCCTGGTCTCCCTGCCAGACAAAAGCTTGAATGGTCTCCTACACCACAAAATCCTACTTAATCTGATTTTTATTTCCTGCCACAGTGATTATTTAATTGGGGATGGTCTAAATGATATTATTTGGTATATTTTAACAGGGAAAATTGCTGTGGATCTGCAGCTAGTGTGAGTGACTGGTAGCTGCGTTTAGAGTGTTGAAAAGTTTTGCATTAAGTAAAATGATCCATATTACAGAATCATGGCAAAGATGGTAATTAGTGGTTTGCAGAAAGGAGCACACGGCAGTTCCCTTTCTGTTTAAAGAACCTGGCTGGATCTTGAGAATATGCGTGTTATCCTGGATGCCTAATACTGCATGTTCCCACCAGTGAGTAGACTGGCAGATTCTGATCCTAATTAAGAAGACATGTTTTTGAATCAGGAATGTGAATTTGGTTTGCAACACCACCACGGGGGTATTGTTGGTGAGCTGATAGTTTGACTGGCTCCATGGGTGGTCACTGTTTAAATTCCACCCAACTAAAGAGCTGTACAAGATTTTAGTCTTCAAAGTTTACACACAGCAAGTGTGGGGAGAAGTTATCACTGCCAGCTGTTGGGGGAGGAAGTGAAAGTGAGAAGGACCCCTCCCCCCAAATAACTTGTGTGTGTTTTGGATATGTTGCATATATCCATTTAATATGATAAACTCTTTACCGCGGTGGAAGTTACAGTCAAGTTGATTGATCTTCCTCTTCCCCACAGCTCCTGATGGATTTTATAAGATAAGTAAGTCCCCTGATGGTTTCTAAGGCAACTTTTCCAACTTGCTGACAGCAGATCTGTAGGGGAGATGGCACATATTGGTGCTGATGTACTTTATGGGCAAAAAGGGAGCAGTTAAGCAACTTGCATGAGGATGTGTTCATAACTCACAGCTCAGTTGGACAAATCAATCTTTCCATGTGTTCAGAAACAAAAGGCAGGGGGGTCATGCATGTGTTTGGGAGTGGTTATCACCCCATGAAGATAGTTTCCACGCCAATTTTGCCTTCTTTAATGTGGTATTTGCTTTAAGGCTGTACCAGGGCCACTTGCTTCTGCCTTTTCTTTGCACCTGCTTTCTCTTGATCACACTAATGACCCATCAGTTCTCAGTTACCACTTCCCACTCTGACCCAAACCTGGAAACCTCCAATTGCTGCTGTCTGGACATCTTAAATACTTTTTGGTTTTGCAACTTGTCTGTGGACTCCTTCCCGAATATGTTTTTAAGTTTTGTTAGGCCTGCCCTTCAACCTGCCCTCCAGTGTCAGGAGTAGACTAGGTAATATATATTTTAAAGATGCATTGGTTTCACTAAATCTCCTCCTTTGGTTTATTTTGAATTAATTATTGAACAGAATGATTTAAGATCAGTCTGATATTTTCAGGTGTAAAATGAGCATCTTTGCTCTAAGTTAATTACTGGGCTTCTGTCGAGGAGTGCCACAGAGGAAAAAACTCTGGACTGGGAGTCAGTGACCTGGACAAGCCAATTAACCTTTCTAATCTAGCCTCTCCAGGGATTGGAAATGATCAATTGCAGTTTCTTCCAAGAATAAAATTAGGTGGCTCTTGTGCAAATCTTAGCAAAATTGTGGAGTGATACCCAATGTAGAATGCCTCCCTCCATCTACTTCCTCCATCACCTGATACGGAATATGTCCCACATCAATTAAATTTAGCCATGGACACAGGTACATATTTGTGACACTGATCACCCATGAATACAACAATAACCACAAAAAGAGAATGAAATACTTTCTCTAGCATTCACAAAGAATATTTGGATCAGTGACATAATTTTAAAAGTCAGAAAAATAAACACTAATGTCAGTGAACAGGAAAAGGTTTTATACTGTTCTTCAATCTCTAAAAATGTTTTTGGTATAAGAATAATTTTTTGGAATGTTAAAGTAAGTACTTTAACATTTACTTTAACAAACTGAAAGTAGCACTTTCAGCTTGGGAGACAGAGATAATAATTTTCATGTGTCTGAATTGGATTGTGTTAAACACAGGCCAACAGGAGTGTGTTTGGTGACATCGATGGTTTCAGAGTCAGAGAATGTAAACATAGGACCCACAAACGTTTTACAGGAGCACGGCTGTGGCTACTGCAGGGACTCCTGAACCGTGACGCACAGTCAGTTGGCCGCAGAGACCAGCCTGGAGCTCGCCCTAAAACCTCTTTGCAGCCTTGCAGATGTCATAGTTGTCCCAAAGCTGGGCCTCATGCTTCCGTGTAGCCTCACTGAATCAGGAGACCGAGTGTTTCCAGAGCCAGGATGTGGGCGCTGTGGGGCCAGTGCTGCATCCTCCTGCGCTGGCAATAGCAGAGTTGTGGAGAAACTTTATTTGGTATTTGAAATGATCAATATTTTAACCTTCTGCATAAAAAGAGAGAGAAGTCTGTGATTAAATCTTGATTTAAAGTCTTCAAATATGTACATACATGAGGATGAACATAAGCATATTTATTTCAACACTGTCTAGAAAAGTGAAAATTAGAAACCACTTAAATGTTTCTCAGTTGGAAACATAAACCATGTGTAGGTATAAGGTCATGTACTACTCAGCCATTAGAATGATGCTGCTATTTTGCATTGATTGATATGGAAGGAGAACCATATAATATTAACTAAAAAAATTACAAACAGCATGTATGCAAAGATCTCATGTTTGTTTTTGAAAAGATGTGTATGAGTGTGTGCTGGTGCCTGCCAGCCTTAAAAAACATCTGAAGAACAAATGTAAAGAACATTAACAGTAGTTCTAACTCTGGGTGGGGCAATTAGACTGGTTTGTCTTTTTTTCTTCCTTTTTAATATGGTCTATTTTTTTAAAATTCAGTGAGCATGTATTACTTTTACAATAAAAGAAAACAATAAAACTATTTTTTTCTTTATCTATTTCTTTTCCTAACCGTCTGTACCTGCGAGTATTTCATTTTTAAAAACAGCAACAGAAGGAGTAGACATTTCACATTGGTATTGCACTGTCTTGAAGACTGAGCTGCCCTTTAGCATCTTACATTTTAGTCCTGGAAGGTAGCTGAGAGCTGTTTTAGCCCAGCCTTCCTGTTTTTCTAGGTAAGACAAATGAGCATCAGAGAAGTCAAGTGAATTGTTGAAGGTCACACAGCGAGGGAGTCATCAGGCTGTGATGAGAATCCCTGTATTTCTGTCTTATATTTTCTGCTAAGCCACCATTTTGTCATCCTGGGAATGGAGGAGAGAGAAATGGAGGCATTCATAAATTAACCGTGTATGTACCAGCCTTAGTCTACTCACTTCCCCTAAGAGGGTTGAGAAAAGCATCCTTGGTTGTGTTATCTCCTCTCACCCCATCCTGCTCACCCACCCACACGGGACTTTTATGGGAGTGGCAGTAGACTGGGTCTCTCCTGGGCATCTCATGCTCTGTTCCTTCCTGCCAAACAGAAGCCAACCATCACATTTTCTTCTCTGCTCTTCTTTGTTCAAGGTTACTCTTTTTCCCCAGATCCTTAATAGAGGAAAAACCCAGTACCTACCTTCCTTTCATACCCAGAAACGTCCTCTTAACACCTTCAAGCTGTGGTTTAAAGATGAACCTTTTGAGATGTAAAAGCATAACTAATATTTAAAGGAAACAAAACACATTTTACTTCTTACTCCCAAGCCAGTTATAGGAATGCCCATTATTATTTCTGCCACCCCAATTCCCACTCTGCTTCAAATTTGTTTCAACCAAGGATATAATTTGGACTGTATTTTTAAAAAGTAAACCTTGCTTTGCGGGGACTATATTTGCATTCTTGCTTGCCCTTGAGTGTGCTCTCTCTTGCTTTTTCTTTTCCTGAACTATTTGAAAGTAATTTGCATAACTATAATTTTGTTATCATAGCTCAGGAAATTAGTCTTATTTAATTTTTTTCTAATAAACACTAGGTTTTTAACTTTCATTTGTCAGATAATCTCTCATATAGCTGATTTTTTTTTTTTTGCATTTGTTTATAATGTCTTTCTCTTTTTTTGAGACAGGGTCTCACTCTGTCACTGAGGCTGGAGTACAGGGTGCAATCACAGCTCACTGCAGCCTTGACCTCCCTGGCTCAAGCAATCTCCCACCTCAACCTTCCAAGTAGCTGGTACTGTAGACGTGCACCACCACGCTCTCCTAATTTTTGTATTTTTTGTAGAGATGGGGTTTCACCATGTTGCCCAGGTTGGTCTCGAACTCCTGGACTTGAGCAATCCTCCTGCCTCAGCCTCCCAAAGTGCTGGGATTACAGGCATGAGCCACTGCACCAGCCATTTCTTCTTTTTAATCTACCAAGTATACCCACCTCTTTCTACTTTCCAATACTGAAGATTACAGGCTAGTTGTCTTGGAGAATGAACCATGATATGGCTGTGACTGTTGTTTCTTCATGACCAGATCCAGGTTAAACATTTTGGCAAAGATAGGCTAAGAGTTTGACCCCTTGTTTAACATGGCGGCCACCGGATTGCTCCATTGTAGACAGACATTTTTCTGTTTGTGATAAGTAGTAAGTTGTCTGCAGAGGTGCTACCATGAGACCCTCTGAATATCTATGTTCCAACAGACTTTCATCTGGTGGCTTTGTCTTTTAATTTGATTAAATATTTAAGGAGCAATTGTAATGAAATATGTGGATCACTTTAGAATGCATGAGTTTGGACACACAGTTTATATCAAACAGCCTTGCAAATATGTTTGCGTTGTATCACCCCATAGATATTATCTAGAGCCTCTGGATTTTTCTAGTCCTGACTTCATAGGACTTGATCCATGGGTCAGCTACTTCCCATTTAACTCTATAAGAGACATTCCATCTCTTGAGTTGCAGTGCTTTTAATGTCCATTTTAATGCTAATGGAAATAAGTGGATACTGATGTAATTTGTACTGCTCATCAGATTTTTTTGGGTATCCTCTTGAAGTTATGTTGGTTCTTTGCAGAAGCCTTTTAACTCTGTTTTCAAAATCACTGTATGAAGCAGGCTTTAAAAATGACTGATGACTTGCCCTGGTGCCTAAACTGGGTGAGTCTTGGGGCTGGTCAGTGACTAGCAGTTTGTTCATGTTTTTTAGATTTAAGTTACACAGCTATTTTTGCCTGTTCCACTTTGGTACTCCTATTTTCATACACAAAATATGTATGGGTGAAAAAGGTGGTGTGGAGTAGTGAAAAGGAGCAGGAGCAGGCATGATCTATGTTCTGGATTCAGCTTTGCCACTACTAACCCTGAGCATCAGTGTTCTTATCTGTTAAAGGAAGCAGTAATAATAAAGTGAATAACAACTAACTCGTACAGAGTGCTTTCTGTGTGCCAGCCACTATTCTAAACAGTTGAGGTATTTTCAATCCATTTACTTCAACAATAATCCTGTGAGGTAAGTGTTGTTATTCTCCCCATCATGCAGATGAGGAAACTGAGGCACAACCTTACTAGGACCCAGGAAAGCTAAGAAAAATAGTATTTATGAAAACATGGTGGAATGGGGCTTGGAATAAAGAATGTTATACTAATTCAAGCAATCCTGTCTTCTCTGTGTAAATATCTGTTTCCTTAATTTATAGAAAATCCATCACTTACAAGAAAATATTATAGAAAAAAATGACTAAAATAAATCTGAAAGTAGGTCAAATTTAAGACAAACTAAGCAATCCAATTAAAACTTTTTTTTCCTGTTTCCGTCCCCCACCCCCGCCCTTTTTTTTCCCCTTAAAACTTTAAGTACAGCTTTGGTTTAAAGTGAAATCTATATCCCAATTTAAATTCCATGAACAAATCTGACTCTGGCATTTGATTCACTGTCTTACTCTGCTTGTTATGCATGTTAAACAAGACCTAAATTTGATGCTCACAGAGAGCACATAAACACTTATAATCCTCTCAGCATGTGCTAAAATAATAACAGACACGATAGTTTGATTTGCAAAGTGTGTCTGCCAACTTCCACCAGACCATTTTTGAACCAATTCAGAAAACCAGGATTCTGCAATGATTAAAGTGTCCAAGGCTCCTATTCATAGCAAAAGGAATTCCTGACTTGAAACAAGTACACATGAAGCTCAGCTAGTCTCTGCCAGACATACTTTTTGAACCATCTTTGCAGACATTGTTACAAGTGTTCTTTTGCTTTAAGAAACCATGGTCTGTAACAACCAGACTGAACAGAATCCATAAACTGGGGAAGGATTGTGCCTTTTGATCTGCGACAGGGTTTACAGTAAAAATCCTTTAAACCATGAGTTTCTCAGTGTATTTCAAATAGCAATTCAATAATGCTAACAATTCAGAGGTCTAATAATAAAATTTAAAACTTTTTTTGGTCTTTTTTTTTTCAATTTTAAGAGGTATAATTGAAGTGTGGTAAGCTGCACATGTTTAAAGCATCCATCAGGATCCATTAAACCATTAAACAATTGAGATAATAATAAACATTGTTGGCTGGGTGTGGTGGCTCACGCCTATAATCCCAGCACTTTGGGAGGCCGAGGCACGTGGATCACCTGTGGTCAGGAGTTCGAGACCAGCCTGGCCAACATGGTGAAACTCCATCTTTACTAAAAATACAAAAAATTTGCCGGGCGTGGTGGTGGGCGCCTGAAATCCCAGCTACTCTGGAGGCTGAGGCAGGAGAATCGTTTGAACTCGGGAGGCAGAGGTTACAACAGTGAGCTGTGGAGATAGCGCCATTGCACTCCAGCCTGGGCAACAAGAGCAAAACTCCATCTCGAAAAAAAAAATTATCACCCCACAATGTTTCTTCATACTTCTTATAATTTATCTTTCCCTCTTCTCCTTATCCCCCTCACATTCAGGGAACCACTGATCTGCTTTCTTTGTTTGCGTTTCCTAGAATTTTATACAAATGAAATCCAAGTATGTACTCATGTGTGTGTGTGTGTGTGTGTCTTCTTTCACTATTTTAAAGTGCATAATTTAGTGACATCAAGTACGTTCACAGTGTTATGCAACCATCACCACTCTCCAGTACCAAAATGGTTGCATTGCCTCAAAAGGAAACTTCATACCTACTAAGCAGTTGCTTCCCATTCCCACCTCTCCCCAGTCCCTGGAAACCAATCTGCTTTCCATCCCTATGGATTTGCCTATTCGGGAGATTTCATATAAATGGGATCACATAATATGTGGCTTTTTGTGTCTGGCTTCTTTCACATGGCATCATGCTTTCAAGGTTCATCCATACTGTGTCATGTGTCAGCACTTCATGCCTTTTCACTGCCGAATAATACTCCATTGTATAGGTACCGAAAACGTTTTCTTTGTCCATTCATCTATTGATAGACATTTGGGTTTTTCCACCTTTTTACTATTGTGAATAGTGCTACTGTGAACATTTTTGTACAAGTTTTTGTTTGAACATCTGTTTTTGGTTCTTTTGGGTATATATCTTGGAGTGGAATTGGTGGGTCATATGGTAATTCTTTTTTTTTTTTTGAGATGGAATCTTGCTCTGGCACCCAGGCTGGAGTGCATTGGCGTGATCTCGATTCACTGCAACCTCTTCCTCCCGGGTTCAAGCGATTCTCCTGTCTCAGCCTCCCAAGTAGCTGGGACTACAGGCCCATGCCACCACGCCTGGCTAATTTTTGTATTTTTAGTAGAGATGGGATTTCACCATGTTAGCCAGGATCATCTCGATCTCCTGACCTCGTGATCCACCTGCCTTGACCTCCCAAGGTGCTGGGATTACAGGCATGAGCCACCATGCCCGGCCTGTTCTTTTTTTTTTTTAATGGCCATCCTAGTGGGTGTATGAAGTACTATCTCAATGTGGTTTTGATTTGTATTTCAGTAATGACTAATGATATTGAGCTTCTTTTCATGTTGGCTTGTTGGCCATTTGTATATCTTCTTTTGAGGAATGTCTACTCAAATCTATCATCCATTTTAAAACTGGGTTTTTTACATTCTTGTTTTGGAATGGTAAGAGTCTTTGAAAATTCTGGAGAGTAGGCCCTTATCAGGTGTATAATTTGCAAATATGTTCTCCTATTTTATGGGTTTGCTTAGCATAATGATTTTGAGGTTCATCTATGTTGTTTCTTGTATCAAAACTTTGGGCCTTTTACTTTGCTAAGTAGTATTCTGTTTTGTGGATATAGTGCAAACTCTTTATCCATCTGTTGATGGACATTTAGGTTGTTTCCAGGTTTTGGCTATTACAAATGAAGCTCGTATGAACATTCCTTTGCAAGTCTTTATCTGGACATATCTTTCAGCTTCTCTTGGGTAAATTTCTAGGCCAATGATATTTTAACCTTTTAGGATCACAAATATTGTACATAAGAATCATTGTTTGGGTGAAACGTCTTCAAATTTTTATTAGTATGTCATTGAATGGAGCATGTTAATGTAACCCTTTAAGGTGTTTAAAGAATATACACTTTTTCATCTTTGTTTTCAGAATCAATCACTCATTAGTTTTTTTTTCTTCTGTTGATGAATCTTCCTTCAATAGTTTTTCATTTGGCAAGTAATTATGACCATGGAAGTCGGGACACAAGATGAAAAAGACAACAAAACTGCAGAACTTCAAACTGAAAGAAACCCTAAAAATCACCTGAGTCAGCTCTTTTATTTTACAGAAAAGGTGATGAGGTCCAGAAAGGAGACTGGATTTACCAAAGGCCAGCCGAGTATTAGAGCAGTTCGGTGGAGCAGGGGAAACTTACACACCTGTGAGGGTAATTTGACGTCTCCTAGCCATGATGCAACAGTGCTGGGGGGTGAGTGAATGGCGCTGTGTTTTACAGTCTGTAGCATTCACAGGGCACTTTGTTTCCTTCTAGGTTATCCCAGTTAATCCTCCAACAACCCTGTGAAGTAGGTAGGGACTAAGTAACTAGGAGTAGCTCAGGGTCACCTAGCCAATGATCGGAGATCCCGGGCTCAGAGCCAGGCCTTCTGACTCCTTCCAAGTTGCGTGCCCTCCTCTTTTTCGTTTGAATTTCCTCCTCCTTGTCCCTGCCCACTGCCGTCCCCTTAGTTCAGGCCTCCCAGCTCTACCCCCGGCCTCCTGCTGGATTGGGCTCCACTCCTTCTTTCTCTGCAGCAGCACAGTCTTGACCTTGTCCTCTGCTTGCTGGAAGCCCTGCTGTGGCTTCTCCTGGCCTTTAGGTTAAGGTTCAGACTGCATGGAAGGCCTTTCCAGATCTGCCCCACTCAGCCCTCCAGCTCCAGAACTTCCTGTCCTCTCTTGGCTGCCCTCTTTCCCTCTCCTCAACTAGAACATTCTGAATTCTGCTTAGACCTCACCTCTTCCAGGGAGCTTTCCCCAACCCTAAGCAGGAAGGAGGGCTGAGTGACCCTCTTCCTGTAATTGTCTGTGGCTCCCATAGTAGCATTTGTCCGTGCTCTCCTCTTGCTTGTCTCCCATAAAGACCATGCAAAGTCCTTGCAGTCAAGGCCACTGCCACTCACCTTTGCTATCCTCATCACCTAGCAGAGCCCCTGGCACATAGTGTGTTGAATATCTGGGAATGAGGAACTTAACTGCAACTGAACTTTCAATCTAACTGACTTGGTGATGAGAAATACTAGTCAGGATGCTCTCATGGGTGAGACCTGATGTGACGCCAAAGCTTGGTTTTCTCCAGCTTATGTTTTATTTGGACTGCCTGTCTGAAAGGGCTAGACAGACATTTATGTTCAGAGAGGCCATATAAGAAGAATATAAATGCGGAAAGTCATAAACTTCAGCTCTGCTCTGGGCTCCACTCTCAAGCCACTGTGTGACCAGAGGTAGCACTTAGCTTCTTAGAGTCCACATGGGTTAAAGGGGGACCAGGGTATGGGGCTTGTTCAAACAGTCAATGAGATGACAGGTGAACATGCCTTGGTAGGAAAGCAGTACTGAATACATGTGTCCTCATGTAAGCCAGCTTTTTGTCTCATGCTGTCATCTCCAGCCAGAGGCCAGATTGTGTGCAGGCAATTTCCAGGCTGAATTTCTGAGAGATTTGATCCAAATAGGATAAATGGTGGAAATGACCACTAGGAACACTCCTTAAAACCTGCTTGCATCAATGCTTTCAATGATACATTTCTGCATCTCAAAAAAAAGTTTCTAAGCCCTAAGCTAGCATCTGCCTATTTCAAGCAATTTCTGTTCTTTTTTTTCTTTTCTTTTCTTTCCTTTCCTCTTCCTCTTCTTCTTCCTCTTCCTCTTCTTCCTCTTCCTCCTCCTCTTCCTCCCGTTCCCCTTCCCCTTCCTCTTCTTCCTCTTCCTCTTCCACTTCTTCTTCTTCTTCCTCTTCTTTTTTTTTTAATTTTTTTTTTGACAGGGCCTTACTCTCACCCAGACTAGAGTGCATACTGATCCTCCCACCTCAACCTCCCAAGGAGCTGGGGCTACAGGTGTGCACCACCATGCCTGGCTAATTTTTTTTGTATTTTTTTGTAGAGTCCGGTTTTCACCATGTTGCTCAGTCTGGTCTCAAACTTCTGGGCTCAAGCGATCATTCTGCCTCAGCCTCCTAATGTGCTGGGATTATAGGTGTGAGTGACCATGCTTGGCCTCAAGCAATTTCTAAAATAACACAAATCAAGACAACAGCAACACCAAGATACTGCTTTATTATTGCCTTGACATTTGCAATAATGACAGTTTAACTATAGCAGTAATAATGACAGTCGACTTGTGGCAGCTTAAAAAAAAAAGAAGCTGCCTGGAAAATAAGTGATTGCTCACGATTCCTCAGGGAGACTTACTCCAACCACCCTATTTAAATTGCATCTTGAACCCATCTCTTCCCATCCAGGCTGTCTTATTTTGCTTTATTTCTTCCACTTGTTGTCTTCTAGCATAAGGATCCCCAACCCCCAGGCCATGGACGGGTACCAGGCTGTGGCCTGTTAGGAACGAGGCCACACAGCAGGAGGTGAGCGGTGGGCGAGCAAGCGAAGCTTCATCTGTATTTACAGCTGCTCTCCATCACTCGCATTACTGCCTGAGCTCCGCCTCCTGTCAGATCAGTGGTGGCATTAGATTCTCATAGGAGGGCAAATCCTATTGTGAACTGCACATAGGAGGGATCTAGGTTGCATGCTCCTTATGAGAACCTAATGCCTGATGATCTGTCACTGTCTCCCATCACCCCGAGATAGGACCATCTAGTTGCAGGAAAATAAGCTCAGGGCTCCCACTGATTCTATATTATGGTGAGTTGTATAATTATTTCCTTATATATTACAATAAATAATAAAGTACACAATAAATGTGATATGCTGGAATCATCCCTAAACCATCCCTTGCCACCATAGTCCATGGAAAAATTGTCTTCCAAAAAACTGGTCCCTGGTGCCGAAAAGGTTGGGGACCGCTGTTCTGACAAATTATATAATTTACTCATTTATTATGTTCTTACTGTCTATTATGGCTCCTTTCACCCTGCCCCCACCACATAAGCTCTCCAATGGCAGGAGAGTTGTACTCAGTGATTTACCCCCCAGGGCCTAGGAGCAATTCCTGACACCTGGAAGATGCTCACTAAATATTTGTTGAATGACTAAGTGAACTATAGGTAAAAATACTGACTTTAGTGATTGTTATGTGGTGGCATTTGTTCCCTCTCTGAGCCCACCTAGGATATGAACTATATGGGCTTCAGGGTCTGAGTTTTGTGATTCAGGAAACTGAAAGTGGAAGGTGTTAGAAGATTGTAGCCTCTGCTCCTGTGGGGTTCTTGGAAGTAAGACTCTCCCTGGGCACCCGTGACTTGGTGCTCTTCTCATGGCCCAGCTCCAGCAGTTGCCAGTGTAGCCAGAACCCCTTAGGCTGGGATCTGACTTGTGTATTTGGTGGGATCTTGATGGTGGAGGGAGAGCAGCAGGCCTGGGCTCAGTCCCTAGACATAGAGGCCAAAAAAGATTGGAACAACCGTGTGTCCAGCAATAGGGGATTCGTGAATAACACTTGGCTACATCCTCCCAATACTATTCGGACCATCTCTGGGTACGGATACAGAGAAGTCTCAAGAATATATTACTAAGGGCAAAAATCAGGGTGTGGAAGGTATATACAGTTGGCTGCCTTCTCTGTAAGAAAGCAGGGTGAGAGGAAGGTGAATATGTATTCATATTTGCTTCAGTGACCAGAGGGTGAGATTTGAGAGATGTTGAAAGTAGGGGCCAGGCACGGTGGCTCACACCTGTAATCCCAGCATTTTGGGAGGCCGAGGTGGGTGGATCACCTGAGGTCAGGAGTTTGAGATCAGCCTGACCAACATGGCAAAACCCCGTCTCTACTAAAAATACAAAAAATTAGCCAGGCATGGTGGTGGGCACCTGTAATCCAAGCTACTTGGGAGGCTGAGGCAGGAGAATCGCTTGAACCCAGGAGGCGGAAGCTGCAGTGAGCTGAGATCATGCCATTGCACTCCAGCCTGGGTGACAGAGCAAGACTGGTCTCAGGAAAAAAAAAAAAGATAGTAGCATTGAGTGGCAGAGTCTATATGCTGTCTAATCCCAGCTGCTGGGAGGACGCTCAAGGGAGATGATCTTCAGTGGTGTTGGTGTGGATAGGAGCCAGCACTTGAATGGTACCATTAAATTCCAAATAGATCTGTGCTTTGTTAGAAGGGCTGTGAAGGGATGAGGAAAGAAAAAAGCACTGAGAAGCTCTCCTTCCCCAGTAAACTTTCATTTCCAATTCAGGAAGCCACTTGCGGTTCACAAAGACCAAAACTAATCTATCATATTTTCAAACCGAATATTTAACACTGTGCTGACTTCTCTGACATCACTAGGGGAGACAGAGATTATGTGTAAAGTGCCAAACTGGGTCAGGCAGTTCCTTGAGAACATCACTGCCCTTTCTCAAAGAAATTTCCTCGGTCTAAAATGTAGAGAATTGAATCAGATGGCTTTCATTCACATTTCTCTCAGAGGTTTTTAATTAAAGCTCCCAAGATTTTGGAAGGATTAAAGAAAACTTGTCAGCATGTAAAACATATCACTTTTTGGTAGGGAACATGAAATGATACAACCTTTATGGAGAAGTTGGCAATATCTAGCAAAAGTACATGTGGGTTACCTTTTGACCAATCAATCCTATTATAGGATCTATCCCAAGATACACACACAAAAATTTTTTAAAAGACATAGGCACAAGCTTCTCCATCATGTCACTATTTGCAATAGCAAAAGACTGGAGACAACCCAGATGTCCATCACCAGGGAATGGGTTGAGTAAAGGATCGCCCTCCTTCCTCTATACTGATGTGTAGAACACAGTGTCTGAGATTAGGCAGCCTGTAGGCTCTGATCTTCCTGTTCATCCCTACATTGGACATCCCTCAAATCTGGCCCCTCTGGTCACTGAAGCAAATACAAATATATATTCACCTTCCTCTCACCCTGCTTTCTTTCTTTCTTTTTTTTTTAAGACAGAGTCTCACACTGTCGCCCAGGCTGGAGTTCAATGGCACGATTTTGTCTCACTGCAACCTCCGCCTCCCAGGTTCAAGCAATTCTCCTGCCTCAGCCTCCCAAGTAACTGGGATTACTGATGCACACTGCCACACCCAGCTAATTTTTTTGTATTTTAGTAGAGTCGGGGCGTTGCCCAGACTGGTCTCGACCTCCTGAGCTCAGGCAATCCACCTGCCTCAGCCTCCCAAAGGGCTAGGATTACAGGCGTGAGCCACCACACCCAGCCATCACCCTGCTTTCTTACAGAGAAGATAGCCAGTTGTATACACATTCCACACCCTGATACGTAGAACACAGTATTCTATGTATCAATGACAGGGAAGGGGGACGATCTCCGTGTACTGCTATGGAATGATCTCCAGGGCGTACTATTAAATGAAAAAGCAGAGTGCAGAAAAAGCGGATGGCATGCTATCTATTATTTAAGAAATATACATGTACTTGCTTATACTTTTTTAAAAATGGAAGAATAAACCAATAAAAATATTTACCTGTATGTGTAGGTAGGAAATGGAAGAGTGGGTCAGAGGTAGAAGCTAGACTTCTCCAAATGTGTTTTGTTTTGTAGATTTGACTTTGGAAGCTTATAGATGTTTGTCTTAATTATAAAAAAATTAAATTCACATGGACAAAAGTAATCCCCAAAAATCAAGACTAAAGTGAAACAAACTTATGTATCAAGTTGGTGGTTTAACCACACAATTATTTCAGATAACTTGAAAACACAATTAATTTAATTATACATCCCTAGTGTATATCTTACCGTCAACGTGAATGCCAAATTAATCTTGAGCTGTTTTCAGTAATATTGTAAGTAAAAATGTTGATAGAACTGTACTGACACTAATATATATCCACACACACCCACATAAACATATGAGTATACATAATAAGAGCAATTATGTTGCAATCATTAGAAACCAAAATTTTCAGTATACAAAAACAGTGACAATTTTACCATCAAGATATTAAATGAAAATCCTGTAATTCTAAATTTGAATTGGAAATATTAGTAAGAACTCCTGATGTATTTTCTTTTAAACAAATAAAAAAATTTTTCTAACCTTGTCTACTGAACAGCCTAGAAATAATGACAAACCTAGTAGCAGTAAGCACCTGTAACATCCAGATTATGGCCTCTAAGTACATTTTTTCTGCTAAAAAGAAACTAAGAATCCTTAGAAAAATGTTGATTCCAGGCCTGGGGCAGAAAGTGTACAAGATGAGCTGGAATATCTTGTTGTATCAGAAAGCAAAGAAGCTATCAAAGACCACGGTGTCCTGTGAGAAGTACTCAGAAGCTAATTGAAGGGGCTCCCCCTGTCCAAATATTGAACAATTTGGGCATTAAAAATAATAACTATAGTGGATTTACATACATCAAATATATTAACATGTGCAAAATCTATAAGTTAAAAAAATTCAGTAGTTTCGGCCGGGCTTGGTGGCTCATGCCTGTAATCCCAGCACTTTGGGAGGCTGAGAGGGAGGAATCACCTGAGGTCAGGAGTTTGAGACCAGCCTGACCAACGTGGTGAAAACCCGTCTCTACTAAAAATACAAAAATTAGCTGGGTGTGGTGGCTAACCCCTGTAGTCCCAGCTACTCTGGAGATTGAGGCATGAGAATCGCTTGAACCTGGGAGGTGGAGGTTGCAGTGAGCCGAGATGGTGCCACTGCACTTTAGCCTGGGCAACAGAGTGAGACTCTGTCTCAAAAAAATTTTTTAAAAAAGAAAATAAATAAAAATAAAAAAATAAAAATTCAGTAGTTTCCACTATAGGGTGCTGGGGAACCAACTTTCATCCCCTTTGTCTTCCTCCTGTCCTCCTTCTTCAGTCTCTCTCTCTCTCTCTTTTTAGAGACAGGGTCCTTGCTCTGTTACCCAGGCTGGAGTGCAGTGGCACCATCATACCTCACTGTAACCTGGACCCCCTGGGCTCAAGCCATCCTCCCACCTCAGCCTCCTGAGTATCTGGGACTACAGGCACATGTCACCATGCCTGGCTACTTTTTTTTTTCTTTTGTAGAGATAGGCTCTTCCTATATTGCCCAAGCTTGTCTCAAGCTCCTGGCTTCGGTGATCTTCCCGCCTCAGCCTCGCAAAGTGTTGGATTACAGGCATGAGTCACCATGACCAGTCAGAAAATTCTTCATAGAAGAATGCCGTCTAATAAATACAGAAGGAATGAATATTAGCATTTTGCAACCCCTGGTGAATAATGAGTTTAGACAATGTGGTTGTTAATGGCTACTAAGCTGTTAGGTGCAGCTGATGGCGTTCTTTATAATGGAGGGATCAGGCTGATAATATTCAAACCCACTGATCGATCTTAATGTCTTGGCAGGCTTGAGATTTAACTACCAGTTTATAGAAAATACAAGGGATGCAGGAACATGTACAAATGATATCGGGCAGATGAATCAGGTAATCAGAAAATGGGACATGCTGCAGGCCTGGTTTCCTTAACAAATAAATTTTAAGAATCAAAATAGCAGGAGGGGTTATCTGTAGATTAAAAAGGACTTAAAATACTTATCAGCAAAATGTAGTATATAATTCTTGTTTGGGTCCTAGCTCAAAACAAATCTAACTGTAACATGTATACATGCATGCATATACATATATATGATAATCTATGATATATATGATAACTAAGATATTATATTTGAATAGTGAGGTTAAAGAATTATTTATTCATGTATTATTTATTTGATTATGTGAACATTAAAAAGAATATTATTTATTAGTTACTTATTTATAGCTGTGGTAATGGTATTTTGATTATGTTAAAATACAGAAGTTGGCTGGGTGTTGTGGCTCATGGTCGTCCAGCACTTTGGGAGGCCAAGATGGGCAGATCACTTGAATCCAGGGGTTCGAGACCAGCCTGGACAACATGGTGAAACTGTCTCTACAAATAATACAAAAAATTAGCCCAGTGTGATGGCACAAAGAAAGAAAGAGAGAGAGAGAGAGAGAGAGGGGAAGGAAGGAAGGAAGGAAAGAAAGAAAGCAGTTATACTCTAGGGTTGTATACTAAAGTATAGATTAAATATGATATGTCTGGGATTAGCTTCAAAATAATGAAGGGGGGTGCAAAATAAACAAGATTGGCCATAGATTGATAATTTTTGAAGCTGGGTGGTGAGTACATGGAAATCATTATATTATTCTCTCTACCTTTGTATAATTTGAAAGTTTCCGTAATAAAAAGTTAAACAGAACAAGACATCAGCTCAGCCACTTGGCCAGTTCTGTTTTCAGATGTCCTTAAATTTAATATTGGGCTGTGGAGCCGACAGACCCTTCTTAAAAATCACCTGGGGGCTGGGTGCAGTGGCTCATGCCTGTAATCTCAGCACTTTGGGAGGCTGAGGCAGGACGATTGCCTGAGGCCAATAGTTTGAGACTAGCCTGGGCAATATAGCCAGACCCCATGTCTACAGAAAGTTTTTAAAAAATTAGCTGGCTGTGGTGGTACATGCCTGTAGCCCCAGCTACTCAGGAGACTGAGGTAGGAGGATCATTTGAGCCCAGGAATTTGAGGCTGCAGTGAGCTATGATTATACCACTGCACTCCAGCCTGGGTGACAGAGAGAGACCCTGTCTCAGAAAAAAATAAAAAACAAAAATCACCTGGCCAGCAAGTAGGAGGCTGAGATCCTAACTCACATCTGTCTGGCTCCAAAGCTCACAGTCTTTCCATCTTACCTTACAGAATTTATGTCTCTCTTGGGGCTCAAACTATTGTAGGATTGTTTAGATTGAGGATTATAGGGTTTTACAAGCAGCTGTAATATAAACATGGGAAAATTGGGGCAAGGCAAATCAAGAACAAAAACTGCCACCAAAACATCAGAGTCGGTCTTCCTTTGAGGGCGGGAAATTTATCCAAGGATAAGGGAAGAAAATGGAAATAGACCGCATTCCTCCCACTGTGGCCTTATTGGGCCCTTTCTGTTGCCACCATCCTGGGCTTTGGATTGAGAGAGATCTGGGTTAGGTAGCACAGCCTGTTACTTAGGATGTGTGTGGTCTTACTGTTCTGTGCCACAGTTGTTTCAACCAACCTCATTTGGCTGTTGTGAGGATGACATGAGATTGTCCATATGATGCTTACCACAGTGCCTGGCAAGAGGTGAGGTCTCTGATGTTCATTTAGAAAAGAAGACTGCAGTGCATTCACCAAGATCCTAAGAATCCCAAGGCTGGGCCGGAGCTTATGTGTTTGGACATCCCTGTGACGTGGGTACCCCCACTGAACCCCATGATATTCTCCAGCACTTTCTTGGGGACCTTGGGCCACCTTGCCTAAGTTTGGGATGATCATTTAGCCTGAATGAGGAGGCTCAGTGCTCTAAGGATGGCATTTTTTCTACCTGGCTCCATTTTATTTTGTCATGTGGCTTGATGGGCATGGACAGTGGGGAAGATCCTGCCTCGGTGGGTGAATGAAAGGTAAGTAGCTAGATGACTAGAAGCCAGCTTGAACTTTGCCAGCTTTGAGATTGGAAGGAAAAGGTGAAATTGCCTGCTCTTCCTGAAGCAAGCACCACATTTTCTCTCCTTTCTACCTTGTTTGCCTCTTACAGCCAGAACCCAGCCCCCTTTTCATCACTAATCTCGTAACACACAGGGCTTCATCCTGGCAGTGTCGATCTTTTCATTAGCCCTTTAAGAATGACTGGCAAATGCACTTGTTTGAGTCATTTGATCACCTGGGAAGTGTCTGGGAGCCATGCCTTGGAGTGCCTCACTGATCACAAAGCCATCCAGTGTGGCCTTTGATTCCTGGGCCCCTGGTGTCCTGCTCACTTTACCCCCCATGCATGTGACCTGCCCACTTTCTGGGGCTTGGGTGTGAGTGAGTGGTGCAGGGAAGCTAAGCCAGAGGGAGCCCTGATTTACGAACTGTCCGGATTTAACTGAGGCTACAGCACTTTTATTAATAGAACATGCTGCATTTCCTTTTTATAAAAATATGAAGATCACTGCGCTCAGGAAAATGCCTGGTGACTTTCTGTCTTTAGGGCATGTTCATCACCAGGCTAAAATTAAAAGTGAAGTCAGGCCCTTCTTGCATCTATTTTTAACTAAGTTTAGCATATGAATGTGAACGTGAAGTCTTTCTTTAGATCCCCCTAACTCAATTACTGACGTATGCCAAGCATCCCGCCTGGAATTCCAGAGCTGTGTCTGGGGCTACCTTGGGTGGGGAGGCCAAAAGGGAATTAGGGACCACTAGCCTAGCCCCCTGCTATCTGACTGTGTGCGTCTTCACCCATCTCAGCTTCACTTACTTTGGAAGGTTAAGGTGCAGCCAGTCATAATACTGAAAAGCATAAAACAAGGGAAAAACTAACCAAACCAACCAACCTATGGCCATTTTGTGATGCGTAAAGTCTCCCCTAATTGGCACATATTTTTCTAGGGGGCTCCAATTTAGAAGCAGCGACTTGGGTTGAAGGGGAGACACTGGATTATAGGGGAGACCTTGTCATTCAAGCAGAAATTGCGAATGGCCCCAACATACCAAGGGAGACTTGGGACAACAGGTGGAGGGAGGGAGAGGAAAAAAAAAACTGAACAAGTGTCGTTCCTGCCCAGAGAGTTTGCGATGAGTGATGAGAGTGCCAGAGAAACCTTTTAGAAACCCTCTTAAATTCCCTCTTTGAAATCTTTTTCATGTCTGCTCTTTGAGGACTGTGAAGAGAGGGGAGGGTAGAGGCAGAGTTGATCCCAACTCTTAAGATTCTTTGGCCTAATGTTTCACTTGAAGGCAGAGACTGACGAAGTTCTTTTTTGAACTTCTTAGGACAGTTCCCTGTGGTTACTTTTTTAGTATAACAATTAAAAAAAAAAAAACCAAAAAACCTACTGATCATTTTAAGTCCTGGCCCTTGCTTTGTTTTGTTTGAAAAGTGACTTTTAAAATGGTGACTTTTATGGAAAACATATTTACAGTTTGTTAAAGTTGTGTCATTTCTCTTTGCATGTTTACATGTATGTGTATTTAACTTAGTTGTCTTGAACCTCATAAAGGTGTTGTGGTTTTTAAGCAGAGGAAAATCTTCCTTCGTTTTTTCTGGAATAGCAGCAAAGCCATGATGGAGAATAAGCAGAAGATTAATTTAAAATACTGGTTACTTTGGCTAATCCACTGACGGTGAGCTTGCTTATGGCTGGAGAACTATGAAAGTGTTTCCAGATAGCCTGAGAGGGAAGCACTGGGAAGGAGTGTGGCAAGTCTGTATGCGTGTGGCGGGGTAGGGGGGACAGGGTTGTCTTTTGGGGAATAGGAATGATATTTAAACGACCAGCTCCTCCATGTATTATTTGGATTTTCTGTTAAAAGCAATAAACTTGAAGTAAGACGTGTTTACAGGCCACTACAATCTATCTGAAAAGCCTCTTATGGTTTTTTGCCTCCCATTCAAAAACCACTTACGTGATTGTATGTGCCTTTCAACAAAACTTTGGATTCAATTACAACACTTGTAGGCTCAGAAGATTGCTTTCAAATCTGAAAACTTTGCACCTTCACTTGGTTACAGTACTTTTTAAAAAATGGAGATACGGTCTTGCTGTGTTGCTCAGACTGGTGTCCAAACCCTGGGCTCAAGCGGTCCTCCAGCTTTGGCCTCCCAAAGTGTTGGGATTACAGGCATGAGCCACTGTATCTGGCCTGGTTGTAGTACATTTCAAGGGACTGGCTTTCCCAGCCAAACTGACATTTTTGGGTCTGTCCAGTTAGTAAAAGGTAGGGATTGGGGTGGCAAGAGTTGTACATTGACACAGTTCTTAAGCACACAGTGACTAAAAGGTACTCTACTGGCTTTTGGAGAAGGCTTAGAACTTGGTCAATCGACAAACTCCTGATTAAAGGTTGCTGAATTAAAAATAATATGCCATTTCTTTGAAACCATTCGATTTCACCCTATTTAGTTGTTCCAGAAATGTTTGCTTTGGTTTTAACCATGACCCAACTTTATTTAGTAAGTCTAATAATTCATCTCTTTGAAACCTTTTAGTTTCCACCTTATTTTTTTTTTGAAGAGTGATTTTTTTAGATGGTGATTTTTGTGTGAAATAATATTTACAGTTTGTTAAAGTGGTATCATCTCTCTTTGCACGTTTACATGAATGTGTATTCAATGCATGTTGTCTTGAGTTGAGAATTTTTGTCTTGATTTTTCCTTGCTTCAACTTGATTTCCTAGGGAGTCTAAAAGTTTCACACCTTGGAGTTTTAGAGTAGATTCAAGAAATGATCTAGCTCACTCTTGTCTCTTTCCCAGGGACTGTTGGTTGATATCTGGCACAGACAGATAGGAAGTGAAGAATGTGGCACATCCTTAGACTGCCCGTTGGTGAGATCTGAAACTAAGTTTCTCATGACTGGACTGTATTTCTTTAGCTGCTGGGTGTGAAAAGCCCCAGACATTGGCTTCTGCTTCTTTCACCATCATTATGATTTGTGGGCATTGATGCTAGGCCTGGAATCCCTGCAGCATTCATCTCTGCTGGGGTTCTCTAATACAGCGGCTGAGAACGGTGCTAATTCCAGCTGCCAGCATGATCCTCCTTCCCTGGCAAGAGGGAGCCCCGCTCAGAGAACATTTAAATACCGTAGAACCATCCCTGTTACAGGTTTCCTTTGGGATGCTCTTGACGCAGGAAATATGGCTTATTCTCATAAATACTTTGAGATGTACTTCAGTTTCTCCAAACTTTATGCATAACAACACGACTGTAACAACAAAAAGGGAAATTCTTGAAAGAAAAAATATTAGCAGTAATCTCTTTGTCAGATTGTTATTTTTCTCTTTTGTGTTCCTTCCTTTTATTTTTGGTCATGTGCATATATTTTAAAGTATCACACATGGTTTTACATTCTATTTTCCTGTTAACATTATGATGTAAAAAGACTTTTCTTGCAGTTGCATCCTCTTCATAATTTAATTTTTCATGATGGCATTGGCGCTGCCAAAGAAAGTCACTTTCCCATGCCAGGAGAAAAGACCATCTCTCCTGTGGCTGCCTCGAAGCCCCCAGGCCTAGAAACGTCTCCAATCAGGAAACAGAAGCCTCCAGTGGATCATCTTCAGGGATCGCTGGAGAACCACGTGGGCATGTACACATACCTCCTCACTGAGCTGACTTACCCAAAGTTATTATTCACCTACTGATGGACAATGATGGTTCTAGTTTTTCTGTCTTATCAATACTATAGTAATGGCTTTCTTCATGCATGTCATTTTGGAATATTTTCTCAGAATGGGATTATTATTTCTAAGCGTATGAATATTTTTATTGCTTTTGATATATTAGCCACATTGCTTTACAATAAAGTTGTACCTGTTTAAAAAGTTAGCAGTAACATAGGAGGATATTGGTCTCACAATAACTAAGCGGAACCACTCTGCCCAGCTTTGAATTCCAGCTTGACACTTGGCATTTACCAGCTGTGTGAACTTCTGCAAAGTATTTAACCTACCTGTGCCTCAGTTACTGCCTCTTTAAAGTGGGAGTGACACAGTACCCACCTCATAGGTCTATTATTGGGAATGAGTATTTGTATATTGCTCAGAACAGTGTCTACCAAAGTATTATGCATTGTGCGCTCGTGAAACAAACACCTCTCCAGCTCAAGATTTTTTTTAAAAAACTAATTTAATAGAAGTAAAATGACACTGTTTAAGATATATATATATATGTATATATATCGACATGCTTATTAACCGTATTTACAAGAAACACTCCCTTTAAATCTCTTTATTGGTAAAGATATCTTTTAAAATGTTAATTTACAGAAGAGATCCATTCTGGTGTGATTATTGATATTATGTAGGAATTCTTTTTCAGCTTTTACAGAGTTGCTATCCCTTTAGGGTGGAGTCTCATCACCAAAATATCACCTGGGACCCGAGGTGCTGAGGCTCATAATCAGCCACTTAGCTCTGAAGACTTCAAATTCACCCCAGAGGGACAAACTTAGGGGGTATTTTAGGGCCCTATTAGGGACTCTTCTTCCTATCTTGTCCGATGACGGCTCTCGGAGGCTCCTGGTTTTGATGTCTGGCATTGCTTTTACCCGGTGGGCTTCAGGGAGCCGTCCCTGCCGCGCTTTGCGTTTCTCCGCGCACTTGGACAGGGTTCTGCCACGAGGGAGGCGATGCCTGGCGCCGCGGGTGGGGGCAGTGGTGAGACTTCGGCCCCTGGTGGCCGGAGAGGTCGCAGCACTTGTCAGTTTATGGCTCCCTCGGCTTTCCCCTTCTTAATCCGCTTTCTGCTGAGCTCTCCGAATAATTCAACCCTCGTGTTTGAAAACTAGAAGCCTGAGAGGTCTCAGCGAGACAGTCAAAGGGGAGGCTCCCCTCGCCGAGTGTCACCCGGGACCCTGCGTCCCCGCTCTGCAGAGACCTTCTCTCCGGGCTGCTGCCGTCCTCCCTCGCCCGGCGGAGCTTCCGTGATCGTCAGCCAAAGCCCCCGGGGCGGTGCGCCGCAGGCGGTCTTCCCGGGTGTTCGCGGAAGCTGCGCGCTCGCGCCCCCACGGTTCTCCAGCGACCCCTGAAGATGCTTCCGTCCGCGGATAGGGGACGTTTCAGACCTGGGGTGGGCACAGCGGTCCCCGGTGAGATGGTCTTTTCTCCTGGAGTGGGAAGGCAACTTTCTTTTGGAGTGCCAGTGCCCCCAGAGTGCTAGGTTGTACCGTGGACTTGTACTTGAGTTTTTCAAATAAAGCTTGACACATACTTAGTATAGAGCAGTAGAAAGCAGGGAGGAAAAACTCGTCATGGGTCCACTATCTAAAATCAACTGATATTTGGAATAGTTCCTTTGCTTTTTTGTCTATACATACGTTAGATTTATTTTTTCTAGTTTTTAATTGTACTATGAAGCTCAACTTTGAACTTTGCATTTTTTCTCTTATTATTATTTTACAAACATACATACTGGCTGCATAATATTCTGTCATGCCATATACAGCCACTCTACTTTTGAATATTTAGGTGTTTTTTTATTTTCATTAAAAAATTCTGCAGTAAACATCTTTCTGGCTAAAACTTGTTTCCGTATTAGGTTATAGTCTCATTATCATAGGGCAGAGTGAGAATGTTTTTAAGGTTCTTGATACATATTCCTGAATGGCTTTTCTTTCTTTTTTCTTTTTTCTTTTTTTTTCCTTTTTTCTGAGACGGAGTCTTGTTCTGTTGCCCAGGCTGGAGTACCATGGTGCAATCTCAGCTCACAGCAACCTCTGCTTCTTGGGTTCGAGCAATTCTCCTGCCTCAGCTTCCCAAGTAGCTGGGATTACAGGCACACACCACCATGCCTGGCTAATTTTTTTATTTTTAGTAGAGACAGGGTTTCACTATGTTGGCCAGGCTGGTCTCAAACTCCTGACCTCGTGATCCACCCAGCTCGGCCTCCCAAAGTGCTGGGATCACAGGCGTGAGCCACCATGCCCAGCATCCAAATGGCTTTTCAAAAAATTTGTATAAATGTTTACTCCTGCTAGCTGTGCTTAAGTGTTTATTTCCGGCCAGCCTCACCAGCACCAGGAATTATGAGAATACTCTTAAGATAATGTCACTAAGGCCACAGGCGAGGAGAGCTTAGAAGGTACTGGCTGCTGAAGTCTGTGTGATCTGAAACCTAGATGTATATTCTGCAATCTGCTTGTTTCCAACTCCCCACATTCTGAGGACAGTGGCCTATATTGAAACTGGAGGAATGAGGTTTACTTGTGTTTCAGGGATTGAAGTGGTACTAGAGGTTGTGTTGGATTGCTAAGTTCAGAGAGCCATCAGAAATTGTTATGAGCTTGAGTCACATAAAAATGGAATATCCTTTACTGTGGGTGGCATAGCTTTTTAGGGTTGGCTTCCTAAACATTTTGGGGAGAATGAATCTACCAGCAGAGAAGCTTTCCTTTGGCAGTCTGAGGGTGTATCTTCCTGAGGCAAGGCCAGACTTGAGGATATTCTAATCCTCCTTCCTGCATTTTTATATTGCAATTTCTTGCCAAACTTGCTGCCTGAAGAGAGACGATATCTCTTTAAGGGTGCATTTTAGTTCATTTGTGTGTCAGGTGGGTGGGAAGTAATATAAAACTCATTTATGGCTACTCAGTCTGCAAACATATTGGAAGGAAGGGCTGGGCTTTAATATCTGTGTAGGATGGAAGTCATTTTTGAGTTATAGTCAATTCTTATGTTCTGTAAAATCCATTAGAAAACCTGTACCCGTATCAGTTCACATATTCTGCACCTGGCTCTCCTGTTCATGGGGAATTGCTTACAACAGGGAACTCTTAAAACCAAGACTGCTGTTTTTGCCCCACTACTTTCAGGTTAGAGCAGGATTCCAGTGTCCTGAAGTTTAAACACATTCTGAGCATCCTCTGAGAATCATTCCCAATTCCAAGCCCATTTCCAGACGATGAGCAGACTTGAATTACATAACCTGTAGCTGCACATTTTTGTCGTGACCACGCAAGCTCAATAATGTCTCCCAAGTCTTGTAGATCACTTTGAAGCTCACTGGATTAATGGTGTTGAATCTGTTTAATCCAAATAATTTGAATTGCATCAGGAAACCTGCATATTAACAAGCTGGTAATAAGTGCAGGCGTTAAGATTGATCACTGCTTAAGTCTTCAAGATCACATACAAGGTCTGGTGTTTTTGAGGCTGTCGATGTACTATATTTTTTAGATTCTTTCTTGATTTCATTCTGCACTCTTGACATTTAAAATAATTTAAATCAATAACTTCAGAATTCTCCCACCGGAGGATATGCCTATTTGATGTGATTGTGTGTCTGTGTGTGTGCACACACTAGCTCTGTATTATTGCCTATGGAGGACATAGAAATATATCATATACTGTCCTCAAGGAGCTTGCAACCAAGTTGTGGGGATAAGGCAAACAAAGTCAAAATATCTAATACACGTTCCAAGGCAGGATGCAATTCTGTATCCATGGTACATTGCTGATTGCTGATGATGCTCTAAATGCTGACTCTAAATGGTGGACTGCAATTTGTCTGGAAGAAGAACAATGGATCATCTGTGTTTGGGGGAGACTTCATGGAGGTGGGATTTGGGGGAGCCTTGAAGAAGTGAGCAAGTTTTGGATAGGTGGAAGTGAACTTACTGGCTATACCCGGAAAAGAGCAGGATGGGAATAAAGGAAAAGAGAGCCTGTTTTGGTGAATAAGTTTAATATTGAATTGTGATAGTCAAAAAAATAGGTAGGATGATGGGCTAGGTTTGGGAGGAGGCTCCAAAGTTAAGAAGCGAGGCTTATCCTTGAGATCATGGCCTTTACCACAACCAGCACCATCATCATTATGAGCAGCTGTGTCTTGCATTCTTATAATGTGGTTCTGAGGACTTTACATGTAGTATCTTATTTAATCCCCAAACAACCTTATGGAACAGATAACAATTGTTATGTCCACTTTATAGCAGAGGAACTGGGATATAAAGAAGTCAACCAACTTCCAGCGGGTAAGGTATGTGGGCAAGCAGGGGTTCAGATGAACTGAATCAGGCAGCTTGCTTTCAGAGTCTGTTCTTCACCACTGTATAATACTGTCTCTTGGTGCTTGTTGAAAGCCCCTGTTGAGATTAACATAGTCCCCCTCAAGTTCTAAGGGAGCCCCGCCTTTCAAGTCAGACAGACCTGGGCTCACATTCTGGCTCTACCACTTACCAGCTGTGACCTTGGAAATTACTTCTCTGAGCCTTGATTTGCTCATTTATGAAAAAGGAAGAATATTTACCTCAGGTTGTTGGGAGCATTAAATGTGATAATATATATAATCATTTAGCAGAATGCCTAGCAGAGAGTAAGCAGGCAGGAAATGATAGCTGCTATGGCTTATATTTCACAGATATATGTAGGGTTATAATGCAGTCTCTGAGAATGAGAAGCAGTGAGGGTGGACATGATTTAGGTAGAGTTTACTTGGTAGTCACCTGCAATGATAATTAGCTAACGGATAGTGGGCGCTGGATTTCTTCTTCTGGAGCATCCCAGGAATGGACTATGAATTCCAGATGTGGTTCTGCTTTGCTCCAAGAACTGACTGCATTTCCTTTTGTCTTCTAAAACCCAGAGGGTGAAACCAGGACATTTCCATTGTACTGAAATTTGGCATAAAATCTGGTGCCAATTGTACATCCCAGGGGCTGAAATCAGGATATGCTGAAATTCCCAGTGTCCTCGCTCTGCTGGTTCCCACTTCCTGACGGCGCTGACAGATAAGTGCCCTGCATCTCACAGAGAGAGAAAAATAGATATTTGGAAGTGGTATCTTTTATTGCCTATAAAGTTAAACAATGCACGAAACAATTATAACCAAGGCAGAGACGTTTAGACAACATGCATAAAAGGAAAAAAACAGTGGAAGAGAAACTTTGCTCTAAGATGAAATGCTAATTCTAACTATCGCTCTCAGAATTTATGGGGCAACATCACTTAGTACTTCTTACACTTGCGTTCCTGCACATTTCAAACTGTTCATATGGTAGTTTTTCTTCTGTATGACATTCTGCAATTGTAGAGTTTTTCTTTATATTACTTCATTCACAAATTTCAAAATTCACAAAGTGTCTATCAATTAGGAAGAACAACTTCTTGTACTTTTCTGATTTGCAGTCTCCTTGGTTGTGACAAACCTATTTGTTCTTGTCCCTGTATCGTTGATATAATCCAACTTGGCTTCTTTGGAAGCAACAAATGCTATTTTTTTTGCTTCAAATCCAATATTGGTTTTTAAATTTGTGGATGCAAGAGGCTATAAAGAGGTTTAAAATATATGTAGCTTGAAAATATTAATGTTTTTAAAAAATCTCAGAGTCACTTTAGAATTTTAAAATTTTCAAGTAAGGCTGCAATCAGATAGATACTTGTAGACTGTCTTAGGCTGTTTTCTGTTGCTTTTAACAGAATTCCTAAAACAGGATAATTTTTAAAGAAACCAAAATTTATTTATTATAGTTATGGGGGCTGAGAAGTCCAAGGTCAAGGGGCTGCATCTGGTAAGGGCCTTCTTGCTGGTGGGAACTCTGTAGAATCCCGAGGTGGCATAGGGTATCACATGGTGGAGGAGGCTAAGCGTGCTAGCTCAGGCCTCTCTCCTCTTATAAAGCCACCAGTCCCACTCTCATAATAACCCATTAATCCATTAACTATGAATATGTTAACCTATAAATGGATTAATCCAGAGCCCTTATGACCCAGTCACCTCTTAAAGGCCCTATCTTTTTTTCTTTTTTCTTTTTTTTTTTGAGACACAGTCTAGCTCTGTCACCAAGGCTGGAGTACAGTGGCTCCATCTCTGCTCACTGCAAGCTCTGCCTCCTGGGTTCACGCCATTCTCCTGCCGCAGCCTCCCGAGTAGCTGGGACTACGGGTGCCCACCACCACGCCCAGCTAATTTTTTGTATTTTTAGTAGAGATGGGGTTTCACCGTGTTAGCCAGGATGGTCCCTATCTCCTGACCTCGTGATCTGCCTGCCTTGGCCTCCCAAAGTGCTGGGATTACAGGCGTGAGCCACCGCGCCCAGCCAAAGGCCTCATCTTAAAGGGGACAAATATTCAAACCATAGCACAGAACTATTTGGTGCTAAATGGTATTTTGGGAAAACTGGAGTGTTACATATTGTTTAATTTTTCCAAATTTCTGATAAAACGGAAGATCTTAGATAGTTGGTGTGTTCGATGGGCATGTATCTCATGTTACTTGTCTTCATGTTGTAGACATCTCTCTAAAAATAATGATACCAACCAGGCTGGTAAAATGGCTTTCTGAATTGTTTTACTCGAGTCAGAGGGGATTTGCACCCTCTAGATGTTGCTCCTTCACAGCTTAACCCTCGGGGAACTTCATTTTTAATTCATTCAACTGAAAGAAGTATTTACTGAACACCTATTATGTGCTAGGTGCTGTCTTAGGTGCTGAGTGATGAATGGAATAGGTAATTCTTATGGATGGAGCTTCCTGTCTAGTGAGGAAAACTAACATAAACCAAAAAAATAGGTAACTATAAAACATAAACTGGGATAAATAATATTAAGGAAAAGAAAGGATTTCTTTCAACCTTATCTTTCTTATAGACAATGTGGGGAAATAGAGCTATGGGAGTACTCAAAAGTTTATCCACACAAAACAAATCCCTATAAAAACCTAACCAAAGAGCAAAGATTAAATGTAATTATGCAAAAAAATGTTTAGGTGTCAAGGCATTTAAATACATTACTTTGCCATTAAGTGGCTATGAGGGTGTCACTAAATGGAATTCTGTTTCAAGACGTACTTGAGCTCATAGCATGTTGAGACCATGATCTTCTCATAATTTGGTTCACTTTGATTAAAGCAGCATCATGCCCACTGCAGCATCATCAGAGAAAGGATCTCCTGAGTTAAGGACACCCATGGAAAGCATCCTATTGTGTGATTTCTCCCTTATTGTTCATTTCTGGGAAGGTACAGTTTGGTTTTGGAAAGCACTCTTGAGTGTGCAAGGCCGGGGGAGTCTGGGGTCTACTCTTCATCCTGCCACCCACTCCCTTGATCAATGAACTTGGCTTCTCTGAGACTTGGAGATTTGGTTTCCACATCTGGAATATAAAGGTGTTGAGCCTGATGACCTTGAAAGATTTTTCTAGGTCTAAATTTTATTACAGAAGCAGTGGGCAATAGGAGAATGTTTGGTGGTAGATTCACTTCATATCTAATGAAGATGTGACATTTTCATGATATGCTGCAGTAGAGGGAGCACTGGTCCAGGAGTCTGAAAGTTCAAGCTCAGCAATACAGAGACTTTTGGAATGACTTGGTTTATGTTCATTCAGGCCTGGAGCACAGATGGGTTCATGCTTTGCTGCAACCCACACTTGGAGATAAAGAGGCTCTGCAGTGGTTTAATATGCAGGTTCTCGGTTCAAATCCAGGATACTCTGCTGAGGAGCCATGGAGACCTGGGCAGGAAACTTGGCCTCCTGGAGCCTCAGGCTTGAATATATGAAATGGAGCCTCTGCTTCTTATTTATAAGTACTCCTGTCTTCCTCCCAAGGTTGGCACTAGGATGAAGGCTGTATAAAGTGATTAGCACAGTATCTGGCACATAGTAAGTACCCAATAAATGCTCATTGTCCTTTTTCTTCTTTTTTTTATTTTTAATTTTTTTTAGAGATAGAGTCTTGCTCTGTTGCCCAAGTTGGAATGCAGTGGTGTGATCATAGCTCACTGCGGCCTTGAACGCCTCGGCTCAAGTGATCCTCTTGCCTCAGCCTCACGAGTAGCTGGGACTATAGGCACGAGCCACCATGCCCAGCTAATTTTTATTTTTTGTAGAGACAGGGTCTCACTATGTTGCCCAGGTGATCTCAAACTAGTGGCCTCAAGCAATCCTCCTGCCTCACCCTCCTAAAGCACTGGGATTAGAGGCATGAGCCACCGTGCCCAGCCTCTTCTTGTTAATAATTATCATAGTTCCTGTTATTGCAGTTCTTAAGCTGGGCACATCATGTAAGCCCCTATGTTTTGGTTTCCTGCTTATGGTGTCTGCCTCATGGGGTTGTTTTGAAAATCAGGTGTGACTTTATGCAAGGGCTTTGCGAGCCCCTGGATCCTCTCTGAAGGGCTGGGCAGGCAAAGCCACAGGCTGGCAGTCTGTCTGTCTGCAGCGTGGCTGTTTCCTGAGAGAGGGCTTGGCTGAGGGCTGGGAGGCAGGTCCGCCTTCCTCTAGCCCTGATGGACTGGGGCACATGCAGACGCACTTCCCAGCCAGGCAGACAGACCCAGCACACAGATGGCCACAGCGGCATTCACTTGGTGATTGTCATTCACAGCTCATGCCATCTGGTGCCAGAGACGGTCGGCGGGCACCTCAATCTCAGTTTCATCCCTGGACTGACACTGCCCCTTTTAACCTGCTCTTCTCATATTTTGAGATAAGGGCACAGTAGGACAGCACTGTTTCTAAATGACTTTAAGAACAATTATTTAGGCTAATTAAAAACAATGAAACCCAGAAACTGTGAGTGGTGGCATTAGAGCCGGGAGCCGGGCACCTGTTGTCATGCAGGCTGTCCTGGGGGAGAGCAATTAGTTTGTTTGGCAAAACCACTGGAATGTTCTTGGTGGGGGCGGAAGTTCAAGTTTGGAGTGGGTGGTGGGTTTGCTCCTTGGATGTGTTGCCTCCTTCGGAGCAGATGGAGTCGAAAGAATTTTCAGAGTGGGGAGGGGTGGCACTGGCCAGGGAAGGCCCACAGGGCTGTTTTCCCTGTCTGAATGGTCCATTCATAAAATTGCCTCCTCTTTCTTCTCCTGATGGCACTGGCCACTGCCTGGTTTCCCCCATCTCAGGGGTTCGGTTCTCTCAAAGCTGGGGGAGGAGGAGCTCGGTCAGCTAAAAAGGTGGTAGGAGCCTCCTTCTCCAAGTCTCATCTGTTCTCCTGGGCTGGCATGATGGATGGCCTCGGGCTGCTGGGTTGTGTGTTCAGTGGCGAGCCAGGATTTGCCAAGGGTGTTTGGCTAGCTCGGGGACTGACACATACGGCTAACTAGCGTGGGCTGTGGTGCGCTGTCACGCAATGCGTGTCACCTGGGGGCGGGGAGGGTGCACGCCTGGGGGAGGCTGTGACCCACCTTTCATAGTGGGGCTTGGCAGGACCTTCTCCTTCACCCCAGCTTTGATGCACCTATACCAGGTTTGATCAGTAAGGTTGGAGGAAGACAGGTGCTTCTCGAGGGTCCGTTTGCTCAGCTGCTTCTTGCTGGGGACAGCTGCACCTCCATATTTCCTTCCTGTTTCTCTCGTGTGCTCCCCTCTCCCCACTCATTTCCATTTACTTCTCTTTCTTTTCCACTTCTTTCTTCTTCAGTCTGTCTCTTATTCTCTCTCTGTATTTTTGCGTAATTACAGACATGACTTGTTACATTCGTGAAAAATCTTAAGTCTGCCTGGATGGTTTCTGTCTAGGGGGCACTTGCTTGATAGAAGAGAAACAGGGGCACCTTCTTCTCGCACATTCCTCACTGACCATGCAGGGACAGCCTTTGAGCAAACAAGGGAGAGACCTCTGCAGAAGGCATTTCACTCCCTTGTCAGGGCTGTGCGAGAAGCTGGTGACAGAACTGGCCCGGAATCCCAGGGACACACTGTCTCCCCCTGCTGTTAGACCACGTCTCCTCGCAATAGGGTCTGCACCAAACCTCCTCCTGCCAACACTTCCAAGAAAATCTTCACATCCACCTATCTTTAAGGGTTAGTTTAAGCTTTGAGAAATGGCACAAGAGAGATTTAGATGTCTAATTTCATCCTCTTGTTTAGTACTTTATATTTAAGTACATGAAACCCTAAACTGTAAGGTATTTGTAAAGGCAGTATTGGTTGAGGCATGCTCTCTGCTAATCTTTTCTGCCTTCAGGTCACTGGCTTGAAGTGTCAGTGACCTTGGAATTATTTTTGCAGTTGCTTTTAAGCCCTGTAAAGACACCATTGGAAGGTTGAGGCTGGCCTAGAAATGGCAGCTGCTGCTGCTCCCCGTTAGCCTGAGGTCGGGTGAGGAGTTCATCACAATTACTGTTTAACTTTTTATTTTAAAATGATTTTAGACCTACAGAAAATTTGCAAAAATAGTGCAGAGAGTTCCTGTATGCTTTTTACCCAGCTGCACCTAGCGTTAACATCTTGGATAAGCCATGATACATTTATCACAACCAAGAAAAGAATATTGGCACACTATTAATAACCACACTACAGACATTTTTCAGATTTCAACAGTCTTTTCATTAATGTTTCCTTTTTCTTTTCCTTTTCTTTTCTGCTTTTTTTTTTGTTGTTGTTGTTGAGACAAAGTTTCGCTCTTGTTGCTCAGGTTGCAGTGCAATGGCATGATCTTGGCTCACTGCAACCTCTGCCTCCCGGGTTCAGATGATTCTCCTGCCTCAGCCTCCTGAGTAGCTGGGATTACAGTTGCCCATCACCATGCCCGGCTAATTTTTTTGTATTTTTAGTAGGGATGGGGTTTCACCATGCTGGCAAGGCTGATCTCGAACTCCTGACCTCAGGTGATCCACCCGCCTCGGCCTCCCAAAGTGCTGGGATTACAGGCGTGAGCCATCACATCTGGCCTTCACTAATGTGTTTTTCTATTTCAGGATGCAATCCAGGATCCCACCTGGCATTCGTTGTCATGTCTCCATTAGCATCCTCCAGAATATGACAGTACCTCAGTCTTTTCTTGTTTTTCATGACCTTGACATTTTTGAAGAGTATTGGTCACTTATTTTGTAGAACACAGATGGAGCCAACTTTTTCTATCTAGGGCCAGATAGTAAAGAGTTTTCGCTTTGCAGGCCACATGTTCTCTGTTGCAACTACCCACCTTTACTGTTGTGGCACAGATCAGCCTCAGACAATATGTAAATAAATGAACATGGCTGGGTCTCGGTATGACTTCATTTATGGAAACGGGCAAAGGTTCACATTTGGTCCTTGGGCTGTAATCTGCCAACTCCTGTTGTGAAAGATTCCTGGATTTGAGTTTGCCTGATGTGTCCTGATGATTAGATTGAGGTTATGTGTGTTGGAAGAAGATTCCCAAAGAGGGGATGTGCCCTTCTCAGAGCATCACTTAATTGCTTGCTTAAGGTGGTGTTAACTGTAAAGTTAAAAGCTGCTATTTTTTCTTTGTAATTAAGAATATTTCAGGGGAGCTACTGTAGGATTATGCAAATATCCTGTTTCTTTTCAAACTTTCACCTGCTAATTTTGGCATTCATCTGTGGAGCTTGCCTATAATAGTTATCATTGTCATATTCTAACAGTGATTTTCCATTTCAGTCATTCCTTCTCCATTTATTATTTGGAATTCTTCTGTAAGGAAGAGCTGTTGTTCCTTCTTCCTCGCTTGTTTATTTATCAAGTATTTATGTCAGTATGGAGTCAGATATTTCTTTTACTTTTTGGGTTATGATGATCACAATTTTTGATTGTGTCATTGATCACAATTTTTGATTGTGTCTAATTCTTGTGATCAAGAATTAGATGAGAGCAAAAAATCCAAAAGTGGTTGCTAAGTGTTGGGCTTTTTTTGTTCTCATCGAATTCTTGACCACCTTCTTGATTTCATAGTCAGCTTTATTCTAATTACAACTTTGTGGGCAGCCGGTGCCCTAAGACCTAATAGGTCTGAATTTCATGAACTTGTTAATGGCAGAAGGCAGTTTTATTTTTTGGCTCAAAGCACTGGTCAGATTTACAATTTCAATCTACAACACAGCTGGTGCTGGTTGAGTTGCAGTAAGAGTGTCCGCATTAGAGCGATTGGAGCTGGTAATTGGTTTTCATTAATTTTGTGTGCAAGAGGAGATTGGTAATGTTTTCTCGTAAATGCTAGGTCAGGTTTGCATTTTGAGAGTGGTTCCAGTTATTATCTCTCCCTATCCTCTTATTCCTTAAGAGCTTCCTTTTTGTTCTGTTATTTGTTGGGGAAGGTTATTTAAGAGTTTAAAACCTTGCTTCAGTGAAGAGTTAAAGCGAATTGAGTTTTGTAACTTTTACTTGCTCATTTCTAGATTAAATTAAAATGTCAGTCTAAATGATTTTGCCTCAATTGGAGAGCCAATCAAGACTTCCAATTCAACTTTCAAAAGCTATTTGACCTGTTTTAAAAAACAAAATGAATATGTTGAGTCAGTTTTTTAAAATAGGAGAAACTTCTATTTCTATCTACAGTTGAAATTATTCTTAAGGTAACTGTATGGAAGATTAGTGAAATGATTGATGAATGTGGCTTTTATGTTTTTGTGGGTTCTTTAGATGATTTCAGAAACTTGTAGCTCTTTGCTGGAAGATAATGGAAGAAAAAGAAAAATCAAGTTATATCCTGTGACTAAGAACAGAGTTGTATGCCTCACTCTGAAATATTTTTAATTAACTATATTTTGGGGCGGCGGGAGATGAGTAAATTCATTCAGCTCTTAAAGAAAGTCATGGAAATAATTTTTCTACAGTGTCAAGGAAAACATTGACAGACAAGAATTGTCATTTGGGATGGGCGCAGTGGCTCATGCCTGTAATCCCAGCACTTTGGGAGGCCGAGGCAGGTGGATCGCCTGAGGTCAGGAGTTCGAGACCAGCCTGGCCAGCATGATGAAACCCTTTCTCTACTAAAAATACAAAAATTAGCCGGGTGTGGTGGAGCACACCTGTAGTCCCACTACTCAGGAGGCTGAGGCAGGAGAATCGTTTGAACCCGGGAGGCAGAGGTTGCAGTGAGCCAAGATTGTGCCATTGCACTCCAGCCTGGGTGACAGAGTGAGACTCCATCTTAAAAACAAAACAAAACAAAACAAAACAAAACAAAAGAAAAAGAAAAAGAAAACAGAAATTGTCATTTGCCCAAGATATTGTTAGAACAAAACCAAACCAAAACAACACAAAAAACAACAACCAAAAAATAATATGGGGAGTTTCTGATTTGTCTTGGTACAGAATTAAAAGCCTCATAAACTACAGCTTAATTTCCACCCTCTTTAACTAAAGAAGTATGTGCTACAAAACACTGTAGAAGTTCAGGCCAGTTTCCACTCATAATGGGAAATTGCATGCAAAATTCAGGCATGCTGTTCCTACTTAACTTGTTCATCTTGCTCCATTGCAGCACTGGATGAAAAGTGAGGATTTTAATACTTTAAAAAAATTTACAAGAGAAAATCGTAGACTTTGTCACCATGTGTTTATTTCACTATCTGGGATGCAGCCTAAATAAAGTTATGAGTCAGATGTAGACCTCTTGAAGCTTGGGAGCACTCCGCCGGCCCTGCCCTGCCACCACGCACACACAAAATGTGAAGGAGACAAGTAAAGAGAACTGCTGGTGAAACAGCTGGATGATTGCGGTGGATCCTAACATCTTGAGAAGTGAATCTGTTTGCAAAAGCTTTAGCACAAGGAGAGCGATCTGCCTGAATTGCGGTAGAGAGTGTTGTTTGCGCATTTGTAAAACGAGGCGAATGACCCAGCTGTTGGCCGTAGGGGCCTTTGCTGTCCTTCCTGGGGTTTGTGGTCGCTGCCGAGGATCAGCACTTTCACACGCGACCTTACGCATTCCTTGTCATCTTGTCCTTGGCGGGCCTGTCAAAAAGAAGTTATTTTGAAAGCGTATCGCTGATTGCACATTTTATTCCATAAGTGCTCAGCGCGTTTCATGTAACTCCTGGAGGCCTCTGAGATAAGAGTGGAAAAGTGCCCTGTGCCCTTCTGAGTGGTGGGTGATCTATTTTCGACTTGGAGACTGGTGACAAAGCTGTCTTCTGTCAGGTCAGACTCGCAGGGACTTTCTTGTTTTCTGTTCCTCTGTTGACAGCTGTGCCTGTGTTCAGAATGGTCATGGGGTAGCTGGAAGATAGCTCTGGCATTTAAACACCTAGATAGGAAGGAGACGATGGAATGTATTTTTCTTTGCTATTTTGGTTAGCAAGTCCCTAGTAGTCCATACTGAGAGGGGAAGAAGCAGAGAGACCTTTGGGAGGGCGGGCAGGAAAAGATGTCCAACTTCAGGTTTAGAAGGCACAGAGGGAGTTCTACCGTTGGTATATGGTATAGGTATTTTTAATGCCTAGAAAGGGAATGGCTGGAAGGAACATGAAAAATAAAGGTTGGAATTGAGGTAGCCTTGGGCGGGAGGGTCGGGAGGTGGGTTCGGGCTAACGTGAGTAACAAGATCAGGGCAAGACTTTTTTTTTCGGTATGCTTTGTGAAACAAATTGAAACTAACACACTGAAAATTGCATTTTTATAATGCTTTTACATAATGCAGGATCTTTGTTTTAAAAGCACAGTGACGCAGGCTGACATGATAGGAGAACTTTTAAGAGACCCTTTAAATCCTCACAGGTATTTAACGTAAGCCTGAGCGTATAGCTCGGATGGGGATCAGTTTAAATGCTATATGTATTCCCAGCATCTTGCATCCACATTGAATAGCTGTGGAGCTTTGACAAGTTCTTTAATCTCACGGACCTTACTTTTCTCATCCGCAAAATGGAGCCCAGTCCATTCCTGCTTCAAAGGGCTCTTGTGAGGGCCCAAGGTACAGCGCTACATGACAATGTCGTCATGACTCTTTAAATATCCTATGAAACCTGTGATAGAAACTTGGGCTCTCACTCCCAGATCTTACTTTCCTTACTCTTTATTATTACTATTTATTTATAGTAGCTAGTGACTAATGATGAATGATTCTTCCGCTTGGCCCCCCTATAGTTAAGGTCATGGCTTCCTTCAAGAATCTGATGGAAGTATGAGCCTCCTTCCCCCGATCCCACCCCCACACAATTTAGCACAGAATGCCAGTAATTCAGTCTGAAGCCCAGTTAAAACTCTCTGATTTTAATGTGCTTTTTAAAAATGGAAATTACACATGGTAGCGCACGCCTGTAGTCCCAGCTACTTGGGAGGCTGAGACGGGAAGGTTGCTTGAGCCCAGGAGTTCAAAGGCTGCAGTGAGCTAGGATCCCACCACTGCATCCAGCCTAGGTGATGGAGCCAGATGCTGTCTCTAAAAAAAAATAATAAAATATAAATGGAAATTACAATTTTATCTAAGAGATATTTTTACAGATGTCTGGAATTTGGAAATTTCTGCTTATAGGCATTTCTATCCATCATTTATTTTTACAGTAAAAGAAATAGGCCGGGTGCAGTGACTCATGCCTGTAATCCTAGCACTTTGGGAGGCTGAGGCAGGCAGATCATTTGAGGTCAGGAGTTCGAGACCAGCCTGACCAACACGGTGAAACCCCGCCTCTACTAAAAATATAAAAATTAGCCGGGTGTGGTGGTGCATGCCTGTAGTCCCAGCTACTCGAGAGGCTGAGGCAGGAGAATTGCTTGAACCCAGGAGGCGGAGGTTGCAGTGAGCCAAGATCATGCCACTGCACTACAGCCTGGGTAACAGAGCGAGACTGTCTCAAAAAGAAAAAAAAAAAAAAAGAAAAAATTTGTGTTCCTTGTATAAGCACAGTGCTTTTCTAGTACTGTCCCAGTTCAGCTGCCTATGGCAAGATTGTAAACTATGAAAAGTAAGAATGTAAATTAAACACAGTGAAAAGCTGAGTCATATGGTAATGTCTAGAAAAGTAGTAAGATACTAAAAGTATGTAAGTCAAAGAGGCCCAAATTATATTTTCCTTTCCATCCTTAAAATGTCATAGCTAACTAGAGGGTTAACATTTTTTAAGTGCTGAGTCCAATCAATGTGATTTAAATCATCCATGATATATTCATAGCTGAATGATTAAGTTGGATGATGTGACAAAACACTTAACTTGTATTTATGGTCATTGATGATTTTACGCATTATTAGAGAGAAGCATAGTTACACCCAATTAAATATAGACATCTGATCCAGACATCAGTTCTGTAATTTCATGGGAAAAAGTAAATCTAAACGAGCAAAAAATGTCTGGGTATTAACTCCAGTCTGATGGTATTACAAGTTTTCCCAGTTAATTAGTAACACATATTATAGAACAAATGTTTGAAACAGAAATCTCGTGATTTTGCGTAACAAACCAGGAGTTGAGCTGGAAGTCTCTGTTCTCCCACTGCGTTGCTGTGTGACCTTGGGCAAGTCACTTGACCATTGTCCACCTGTGATACAGGGGATGTGACTACATATCTCGAATGAGAAAAGACTTCTTCCCATGTTAACATGTTTTGACTTTACATCAATTGTGTCATTGCTGCTTTTTTAAAAATGTTGCATCAACATTTACGATACATATAAAAAAGGTACACAAATTTTAAGTGCATAGCTCATTGAATGTTTACTCTTCTAACCAGCTCCTAGATTAAGAAATAAAACATCAACATCCTAGAAGTCCTCCTTGTCCTTCCTCTGGGTCATGAGTGCTACTCCTAAATGGTTTTGTGTGTGTGTGTGTGTGTGTGTGTGTGTGTGTGTGTGTGTATGTGTGTGTATGTGTTTTAAAAAGGAGAGAGAGAAATAATGAGTTGATAATTTTTAGAAATTTGGTGGTCTAACAAATTAAAAATCAAATATTATTCATTTGGAATCCTAATAATCCAGTCCACAATTCCTTATCTGCAGTTTTGAAATACAAATAGCTCTGAAAACAGAGAGGTTTTTCTTAAAGTTTTGAGCAAAAGTATTTGGCAACAAAATCTGACTTGATAGGATGAGAGGCTGTTTGCAGTCTTTATTTTTAATCTCACATAGTGTGACTATTTATGCATTTTACTCAAGAAATGTTCATGTGTTTAATGCTATGGTTCTGGCCTGGACTCTACTGGGTTCAAAGTCTAGCACATGCATCATACTTGTTTGTTTTTCAAAATAAAAAAGATTCTAAATTTCACCAAATTTGGCCCTAAGGATTTCGGATTCATACCACAACATAATTGTTTACACGTTGATGTCCCAACATTTTTACTGCTTAGATTTGTATGATTTTTATCTGAAAAGTAAAGCAGATATAGTTCTAGTTAACTGCTTGGTGCATTATCAAACATCCTTCTTCCAATCCTGCATTTAAAAAAAAAGCACTGTTACTTTGCAATAATTTTAGATTTACTAAAAAAGCTACAAATCAAGCACATAGAGTTTCCCTAACTTCCCCTAATGTCAATACCTTACATAACCATGGTACATTTTTCAAAACTAAAACATTATTAATGTTGGTACAATACTATTAACAAACTATGGACATTATTCAGATTTCTTCAGTTTTCCCACCAATGTCCTTTTTCTGTTTCATGATCCTACCCAGGATCCAACATGGCATTTAGTTATCATTTCTTCTTAGTCTTCCCCAGCCTATAATAGCTTCTCTGTCTTTCCTGTTTTTTTTTTTAATCTCCTTTACAGTTTTGAAGAATAATAGGATCTTATAGAATGGCTTTTAGGCATTTTTTTGTTTGTTTGCATGTATTTTAAAGTTTTTAAAAATTAAACTTTGTATTTTGAAATAATTCTACATTCACCTGCTGTTGTATGAAATAATATAGAAGGACCCTGTGTACCCTTTATTCCGTTTCCCCCAATGGCAACATCTTGAAAACCATCACCTGATATCATAACCAGGATATTGACATTGATAGAATCAAGATCAGTAGATCCTCCAACCAACTCAACTCTTGCACTCCCTTGGTTCAGCACGTGCTGACTGGGGCCTCCCATGAGTCAGGCTCTGCTGGAGGCCTGGGGACACAGGGGTGAGTGAGAGACAAAACCTGCCCTCATGGAGCTTAGCTTCTAGGAAACAGACATAGCAAGTAAACACATGCACAAACAGTATAATGTCAGCTAATGAGTGCTATGAGGAAAAATCAATCAGACTAAGGACTCAGAGAAAGTTGGAAATCCATGGGCCAGCCTTCCCTTTCAGCTCTATTGGCCGGAGCTCAGGGGCAGGTGCCTGCTTTTGATGGGAGAAAATATCAGTAACAGTTTAATTGGTGTTTTACAGTTCCATCATGTATAACTATTTTATATCTTTGTTGGAAATCCACACGGTTGTTCTGTGCTGGTAGTGCGGGTCTTTAAAAATCTAGGGAGTTTGTTTGTTGGGAAATTCCGTGGAAAGCCTTGTTTCCGATGCTTCTAGTCCCACAGTGTAGAGTCCCTCCTGTTGGTGATGGCATTTTGTACATTTAGTGACAATTGGCATAGAGTATAAAGCCTTTTACAAGTCTAAAGTAGCAGTGTTTCTATTTCTTGGTATTCTTCATATCATCAAGAAGCTGTGACAAAATCAGAGAGGTAGAAGCCAGGGAAGATTCTGGATTGCATATATTTAGATGGGCTTTTCATCTGATTGTCAATTTGTGTCACTCATAAAAGAGATATCTTAATTTTAAGTGCTTCCAGAAAATGGGAATGAAACAATGCTTAAATAGGGCCTTCAGATCAATTTATGGAATGATATCAGTTATCTTAAAAACCCTGGAAATGAGTGATTTAAAATAAACAACTATGGCCTTTTTTTATTGTGGTTAAATAGATACATAACCTAACTATTTTTAATTGTACAATTTGACTAGGCATGGTGGCACACACCTGTAATCCCAGCACTTTGGGAAGCTGAGGCTGGAGGATTGCTTGACGCTGGGAGTTTTAGACCAGCCTGGGCAACACAGTGAGCCCTCCTGTCTACTAAAAAAATTTAAATTAGCTGGGTGTGGTGGTGTGTGCCTGTAGTTCCAGCTACTTGAGAGGCTGAGGCAGGAGGATCGCTTAAGCCTAGGAATTTGAGGTTGCAGTGAGCTGTGATAGTGCCACTGCATTCCAGGTTGTGCAATAGAGCAAGACCCTGTCTCAAAAAAAAACAAAAAAACAAAACCTGTACAATTCACTGACATTAAATAGGTTCACAAAGTTGTTTAACCACCCACACTATTTCCTTAACTTTTTCATCACCCAAACAGAAACTCTCTACCCATTAAACAAAACTCCCCATGTCCCTCTTCCCCCAGCTCCTGCTAACCTCTAGGCTACTTTCTGTCTCTATGAATTTGCCTATTTTAGGTATCTCATATAAGTAAAACCATACAATATTTGTCCTTTTTGTCTGGCTTATTTCATTTAGCATCGTGTTTTCAAGGATCATTCATACTGTAGCATGTATCAAAATTGTATTCCTTTTTATGGCTGAATAAAATATACTTTGTAAGTACAATATACGTATATATCACATTTTAGTTATCCATTCATCTGTTGATGGCCAGAAGCATCGTTTTCACCTTTTGGCTATTGTGAATAATGCTTCCATGAATGTTGGTGTACAAATATTTGAGTCCTTGCTGGACTTGAAAGACCTGAGTCAATACTTTTGGGCATATACCTAGGAACAGAATTGCTGGATCTTATGTGTTATGGACTGAATGTTTATGTCCCCTCAAAATTCATATGTTGAGATACTAACCCCCCATGTGATGGTATTAGGAGATGAGGTCTTTGGGAGGCTGTGGAGCCCTCTTGAATGGGATTAGTATCCTTATGAGAAGAGACACGAAAGAGCTTGCTCTTGCTCTTGCTCTCTACCCATACCATGTGAGGATAGTAGGAGAATACAGTCCCAAGTTAGAAGGAGTGCTTTCACCAGACACCAGATCTGCCAGTGCCCTGATCTTGGACTTCCCAGCCTTCAGAACTGTAAGAAGTAAATGTGCGTGTTCAAGCAACCTGGTCTATGGCAATTTGTTATAGCACCTCGAATTGACTAAGAAAATATGATAATTCTGTGGTTAGCTTTTGAGGAACTGCCAAACTGTTTCCCACAGTGGCTGAACCATTTTATGTTCCCACCAGCAATGCAAGAGGATTCCAATATCTCTACATTCTCAAACACACTTGTTATTTTGTTTGTTTTTATTATGGCCATCCTAGTAGGTGTGAAGTAGTATCTCATTGTAGTTTTGATTTGCATTGCTCTAATGACCAATGAGGTTGAGCATCTTTTCATGTGCTTATTGGACACTTGTATATCTTCTTTAGAGAAATATCTGTTCAAGTCCTTTACCTGTTTTTGAATTGAATTTTTTGTTGTTGTTGAACTGTAGAATTTCTTTATGTATTCAGAATATAACCCTTTATCAAGCATATGATTTGCATATATTTTCTTCCACTCTGTGTGTTGTCTTTTTACTCTCTTGATAGTGTCCTTTAATGCATGAAAGTTTTTAATTTTTATGAACTTCAATTTATTTCTTTTTTCTTTTATTGCCTGCGCCTTTTGTGTCATACCCAAGAAGTCATTGCCAAATCCAATGTTACGAAGCATTCCCCATATGTTTTCTTCTAAGAATTTTATCGTGTAAACTGTAGTTTATAATCTCAAGTTCTGGTCTTTGATTCCTTTTTGCATATTGTGTAAGGATCCAACTTCATTATTTTGCATGTGGATACCCAGTTTTCCCAGCACCATTTGTTGAAAAGACTGTGCTTTCCCCATTGAATGGCCTTGGTACACCTGTTGAAAATTGATCATATATGTAAAGATTTTTTTTTCTGGGTTCTCTATTGTATTCTACTGCTCTATGTCTGTCCTTATGCCAGTACCACACTCTTTTGATTACTGTAGCTTTGTAGTTAGTTTTGAAATCAGGAGGTATACATTTCCCAACTTTGTTCCTCTTTTTCAAGATTTCTTTGGCTATTTGGGATTTGTCCCTTAAGATTCCATGTGAAGTTTAGGATAAATTTTTCTATTTCTGAAAATAATGTTATTGGGATTTTGATAGGAATTACATTCAATTTGTAGGTCACTTACAATATTAAGTCTACCAATCCATGAACATGGAATGTCTTTCCACTTATTTTATCTTCTTTGAGTTTATTCAGCAATGCTTTGTAGTTTTCAGTGTAGAAGCCTTTCATCTCCTTGCTTTATTCCTAGTTTATTCTTTTTGATGCTATTATAAATGAAATTGTTTTCATAATTTTCTTTATGGATTGTTAATTACTAGTGTGTAAAAATGCAACTGATTTTATGAGTTGATATTGTATCCTGCATCTTTGCTATTTGTTTATGAGCTATAACCATTGTGTGTGTGTGTGTAACTTGAGGGTTTTCTACATATAAAACCATGTCATTTGCAAACAGAAATAGTTTGACTTCTTCCTTCTCAATTTGAATGCTTTTCATTTCTTTGTCTTGCCTAATTGCCCTGTTTAGAACTTCTAGTATTATGTTGAATAGAAGTGGAGAAAGCAAGCATTCTTATCTTGCTTCTGGTATTAGGAGAAAACTTGCAGTTTTTTGTTTTGTTTTGTTTTGTTTTACCATTGAGTATGATGTTAGCTGTAGGTTTGTTGTATCTAACCTTTATCATGCTGAGGAAGTTTTTTCTTCCATTCCTAGTTTATTGAGTGTTATTGTCATAAAAAGGTGTTGAATTTTGTCAAATGCTTTTTTGACATCGATTAGATGCTCATGAGGTTTTCCTTTTTATTTTGTTAATGTGGTATATTACATTGACTAATTTTTTTATATTGAACTATCTTTGCATTCTGTGAATGAATCCCACTTGGTCATAGTGTATAATTCTTTAAATATGCTGCTGAATTTGGTTTGCAAGTATTTTGTTGAGGATTTTTGCATCATATTCATAATGGATGTTGTTCTATCATTTTTCTTTTCTTGTACTGTTTTTGTCATGCTTTGGTATCAGGATTATATTAGCCTCATAGAATATGTAGGAAATGTTTTCTTCTCATCAAATTTTTGGAAGAGTTTGAGAAAGATTGGTGTTAATTCTTCTTTAAATGTTTGGTAGAATTTACCAGTGAAGCTATCTGGTCCAGGGATTTTCTTTGTTAGGAGGTTTTTGATTACTGATTCAATCTCCTTATTTGTTATCGGTCTTTTCATATTTTCTACTTCTTCATGGGTCAGTTTTGGTAGATTGTATCTTTCTAGGCATTCGTCCATTTCAAACGTGACCATTCTAAACTAAACTGTTGGCAAATTTGTTACTACTGTCTGTTTTATTGAATTACTTTCTTGTCTTAGAGTGAAACTCTCATTTTAAATGACATGTTATTTCTTTCCAAGGTAAAGTACCAAGGAACATGAGGCTTTTGCTTGTATATATGATTGTTAATGTGTATTCAATTTTTGCCAAATATTTAATAAAATATTTTACTATATGTCTTTTGACTCATTAAAAGTGGGAAATCTCATTTGTGTATAAGATTATCAGGCTATATAAAAATGATTCCAACATACCAGAGACATAGTTTAGATTACAGGGCCTCTGTGGAGTTTTTGGTAAAATATCATTATTGACTCACAATTATCCTCACTCTTGGTAAACTGACTGCTTTTATATGGTCCTTAGCCCATTTAATTTGTGTAGCAGAATGAACCAGTGTTATATTTGGCTCAAATTTAAATTTCTCCATTTTCTTATCAGACACTGGGTCAGAGAGAGCTAAGAGAAGCAACCAGCATCAGTGGGGCACAAGAGCTTTGTGACTTTCCTGTGTGCTTCTACCTGGTCTTCAGGATGGGTGTTTCCTGGTAGACAGTCATTCATGCAACAAGCATTTGCTGCCCTCTACCAAGCACCGTCTTAACCATAGGTATCCCAACCATGCAGAACACAGAAGCGCACAAAGCAGACAACTCCCTGTGCTTTGGGAGAACCAATGAACCCAATGAACCGAATGAAACCAAAGCCAAAAGGCAGCCTTGATCCCCCAAAAGAAATTGATTCTGTAACCCAAATTGTAAAGTTTAGAGCTTTGTATTTTTGTCCTATTAAAGAACTGAATTCATTCTCAGGCACTGCCATCTTTGTTGGGGCTGGGCTAGCTCTTATGTCAAAAGCTTGAGCAGCCACTTTTAAGAGGAAGGGGACTACGATGATGCAGTCAGTAAATTTGTGCATGGCCTTGGAAACCTTCCAGAATTGTAAGTGAAAGCTGATATTCTCTCCACAGAAGAAAATATAGCAAAATGGGAATCTAACCATTTCATTGGAACAGGAGATTGGACTCAAGTTACTAATACAGGAAAAGGCAAGTAGAGAAGGGTTGAGGTTTGAATTCTGAGCAGTTCTGCTTGAGGTGCAGAGCTGATGATGGTTTGGGTTAAGATAGCAATTTCCAAACCACAGCCCTCTTGCTAACAGCAAACTGGATTATACCATAAGAAGGCAACTAGTTCAGTTAGAACATACCTTAGTATTACATTTTAATCAGACACCACAAGGAGCTGACTGACGTTTAACTCCAGAGTTGTAACAATTTTGAATTGTTGAATTCAAAATTCAACAATTTTGAATTTTGCCCAAATTTAGGAAAGAATTGGAGTAAGTCAGGCTAGTGGCCTCCTATAGCAAGTCAGGAAAGATATACTAGCAGAGTATAGTGTCATGTCTGTGGTTCAAAGGTTGTGTCCTTACCTCTTGAGTTACATTTTGATTGACAGGGCAAAACTGAATTTTTCAGATATTGTCACTTCAAAGGATTCTTAAAACTCTGCCACAGGATTGATTTTTGTTACGATATCGTCAGGCAGTGAGTGAGATGACATCCTGAGGTGCTGAAATCCTTAAGTTTTCTGGCCCCTGCTGAGTGGATGACCCAAAGACCCCTGCAGTTTAACTGAGGTGTTTATTCATCTGCAGACTGGAAGCCAAGGATTGGAAATTTAACATGAAATAAATAATTAAACCTCACTTCCACAGGTGCAGAGGGCATAAATAATCTAACTGCATGCTGCCCAGGCATTCCATAGCATGGGCCATTTAGATTTAATGCCCAGGCACTCACTTGTAACTGAATATGTCGGAAGGTGGCTCCTGCCTGGGATGGGAACGGGTGCTATTTCAGAGCAGTGTGTTTGTCTGTCTGCTGGAAAGCTGCCTCCACCCTCAGACTCTTCTGGAGACCCTTTGCTGTCTTGGACTCCAGGGGAAATGTGTCCGCCCCTTGCCCAGCCCAGAGTACGAAATCTACAACCAACTCCTCTTCTGGTTAAACAAAGGAGGTGATGTATTGAAGAGAGGCCCAAGAGAAATGATTCATTTCATCAGAAATGTTTGGAGAAACAGATGAGTTCGCTGATGGGAGTGGACTTCACACACTTTGTTCTCAGAGTCATGAGTTTGAACCTGAGATCATTTGAGCATTGGGAAGTGGCTGAAAGTGGGTGTCATTTTCTGCTTTAACAGCAAATCTTGTGACAGGCACTGAGAGGTAGCAATCCATTTTCTGGTGACCAAGGGTAAGGATGCAACTACTAGTTCTAATTATGTCTGCATCACTTACATGGCTTTGCACACAGTACAAATGTAATAAAAATTTGTTAAACGAGTCACTGAAAGAACACTGATGCATTGTGATATTTTGTTCTTCCTAATAGTGGTCTTGCCTGAGCCAGTGTCACTCACAGTGGAGGTCCCTGGACCAGCAGCATCAGCATCTACTTAGGAATGCAAATTCTCAGGCCCTGTTCCAGAGCCAATCAGTCTCCTTAGTGGGCCCAGGAATCTGTTTTTAACAAAGCCTCTGGTGATTCTGATGCCTGCGGAAGCGTGAGCCACACTGGGCTAGAGTTTCTTTGGCCAGGGAAGTGATTTAAGAATTGTACGCATCCTTATTTCCTCTCCTCAGTAGGAAGTCACCATAGCTGGTTGCAAGAGAATCGCATTTTAAATCTTTAGATGTACATGTCCCCAACCCTACTCCCCCAGGACTTCTTACCCAGGACTCAGCTAGTCCCCTGGCTTTTTTTTCTCTCCAGATCTCATGTTTCCAGATTCTGTGCTCAGTCACTTCTTGGGAAATACAGATGGGGTTGGGAGGGAGGCATCCTCCCCTTTGCTGATTGCTGGAGGGGATTGAGCTGTCACGTCAGACCTCTGCTGAATGCCCACTGTGTGCAATGCCTGCACCACAGTGAGCAGTGCACAGTCCTCATCCCCAGGACCTCAGAAACTCCAAGGGTGGCAGACCTTGGAAGTGATGAAGGTGGGGATGAAGTGGCACTCACTGGGCTGGATCTAGGAGCACCCAGATGGGCCAAGCGCAACCGTGGGCTGGGGTGGAGTAGGAGGGCTTCCTGGAGGAAGTACTGCCTGGGCCATGGCTGATAGGGCAAGTGAGTGGCAGCAGGGTAAAGAGAGGGAGAGCCAAAGGGAATTTGAGGCTGAAGGAGCAGCACAGCTTAAAGCACACTCTGGAGAGGGTTTCGTCCAACTCTGGGGGACCTTTTTTGCTTTTTATGTTACTAGATATAGTAAAGTCTGCAACTCTTACTTTTACAGCTTGATGAATTCTCAAATGTGTGCTCATCCCTGTTACCACCACACAGACCAAAAGACTGGAGATTTCCAGCCTCCCAAAAGGGAGCCCATCCACAGCTCCCTGCCACCAAAGGCAACCCCCATTCTTACCTCTGTCATCATAGATTAGTTTTGTTGGGGACTTTTTTAGACTATCCACTTCTTAAGGAAAAAAACTTATCCTGTAGAGCCAAAGATGGCTCAGGCTTGATATGACTTTGAGTTATGTGTTTTGTTTGGTCTATGCAGAATTTTTTTTTTAAGCTCATTGCTCAGATTTAAAAGTTGGGGGATTTCACACAACAAAAGCCCAACAACACTGGGCTCGTGAACCTCAGCAGCAGTGCTGGGCTGTAGTCAGGTAGGAACCGTCCCCCTGAAGATGGGTGTCCATGCGTCAGTATCCCTGGCTGTTCCCCACTGCTCACTCCTAGCCAGCTGCACTTTTGTTACTTGCCTGGCCCACTTGGGCTTGGCCCATGAGTTTTCAATCCCTGCCTTTAAATATGGTTTTGTTTCTTAGTTTGGGGCCTCCTGCATGACTGAGGGTGCTTAGTAATTTCCTTGGTTCACTCTTCAGTGTGTATTGAGCACTAACTATGAGCCAGGCCCATGCCAAGAGCTGGGATACAGAGGTGTGCCCAGGCAGAGGGATTGAGGTATTGTTTGTTGTTTGCCATGCAGGCAGCCAGAAATGTGGCACAGTCCTACCTGCATGAGTTCACTTCTCACCACCTCCTTGGATGCCACCCATGCTGGTTGTTTCCTGGCCCCTGAGCCCACCTTGTTTCATGATCATCACACATCCACTGTCACTATCCCTTCATTTCCTCCCTGTCTGGTCCTCATCCTTCCCTCAAGCTTTTGCTCAAGTCTCACCTCTTCCAAGAAGTCTTCACTGACCAGCCCTTTCTCTTGTGATGCCTCCCTCCCCTGATTTTATCAGCGTATTCCCCACACCACAATCCCATCAATTCTCAATTATTTATTCCCTCACATTGAAGAAACAGGGGCCTTGTTTCTTTTTTTTTTTCTTTTTTTTTTTTGAGACTGAGTCTCACTCTGTCGCCCGGGCTGGAGTGCAGTGGTGCGATGTCGGCTCACTGCAAGCTCCACCTCCCGGCTTCACGCCATTCTCCTGCCTCAGCCTCCCGAGTAGCTGGGACTACAGGCGCCCACCAACACGCCCGGCTAATTTTTTTGTATTTTTAGTAGAGACGGGGTTTTACTGTGTTAGCCAGGATAGTCTCGATCTCCTGACCTCATGATCCGCCCACCTCGGCCTCCCAAAGTGCTGGGATTACAGGCGTGAGCCACCGCGCCCGGCCCTTGTTTCTTATATTAGTTATCACAGGCCCTATGGGCAAAGACTTCCCCTATACTTCCCAGCATTGCTCCAGCATGCCCTGCACAGTTCTGAGCTTATGGCAGATACCCAGGACACACAGGAGGTGGGCTGGGAAGGGCAGGGGAGCACCGGAAAAAGAGGCTGTGATGGCGGCCCCTGGGGAGGCCAGAAGGAGAGCACCAGGAGTTGCCCTCGCTGGCAGGAGCCTGGCAGGAACCCTGCCTGTCCTTGAGGGCCCATCTTCCTTGCAAGAGTGTTGACACCCTGTGAGGAGGGTGCAGAAACTCCAGCCACAGGGCCACAGACGTTCTGGACAGTGTCATGTGAGGTGGCATTGGAGCTTCTCCTCTTACAGCCTGACAGAGTGTCCCTTGGGGTGGCAGGTTCATTGAAGACAGCGTGGAACTGGATACAGAAGGTGTCATTTTGATGGCCATTCCTTCAGCTTTATGCCATGCTCCATAGACAGCCTAGGGTACCCCTCTCTGTCCCACTTTTAGTTCCTCAGTGATACAGATTGCTAAAGGCAACTCAATTGCAAATAGCCCCGCACCATGTGACACTGCCTCCTTGAAAAGTACTTCAGATGCTGGCAGAGGATGGTGACCTTTCAGTGGTATATGCCTGCTCTCAGCCCAGCCAGACAGACCACTGCCACAGAGGTGGGAGAGGCAAGAAGAGCCTTTAACTTAAGGGCACTTGGCAAAGGGCTGTCTCATTTGCTAGGGTTCTGTTATATGTCACTTGGTGTGCAAGCTTCCAAGAACTACTTGGCTTCCTGACAGGGAACATGATAGAATGTCAGGACCTAAGCTAATGTAAAATATGCTTTGGCCAGCCAAGTCATGCACAGGCAATGCAAGAAGCCATTGGTCGTTCACACGTCTGCGCCATGTTAGACGGGGGCTCCACTGATGGACTTAACCTTTCCAGACCCACGTGATGATGGAGATCCGGCAGGCAGTGGCTTCTTACTCAAGGCATGCTGATTTTGAAAAGTATGAGGGCATCTTTAAAAAAAAAAAGTGCATTCTTTTTTTTTTTTTTTTTCCTGAGACGGAGTCTTACTCTTGCTCTGTCTCCCAGGCTGGAGTGCAGTGGTGCAATCTCGGCTCACTGCAATGTTTGCCTCCTCCTGGGTTCAAGTGATTCTCATGCCTGAGTCTCCCAAATAGCTGAGATTACAGGCGCTGACCACCACGCCTGGCTAATTTTTGTATTTTTAGTAGAGATGGGGTTTCACCATGTTGGTCAAGCTAGTTTTGAACTCCTGACCTCAGATGATCTGCCTACCTCAGCCACAAAAAGTGCTGAGATTACAGGTGTGAGCCACTGCACACAGCCGTTTAAAAAAACAAAACAACAACAAAAAACAAAAAAAACCAAACCTGCATTCTTAAAGGGTACTTGTTTCCTGTCGCTCTTTTTTCCTTTATACGGTGGTCCCCCCTTATCCATGGAGGATATGTTCCAAGACCCTCAGTGGATACCTGAAACTGCAAATAGTACTGAACCCTATATATATATACTATGTTTTTTTCCTATACATAACATGCCTATGATAAGGTTTAATTTATAAATTAGGCACAGTACTCTTGTGCGTTGGGGCCATTATGAAGCGAAATAAGGATGTCTTGATCACACGCACTGCCGTATCATCACCGTTTATCCTATCATTGAGGTGGCTACTAAATGACTTGCGGGTGGGAAGTATAGACAGCATGTATATGCTGGACAAAAAGGTGATTCACGTCCCGGGTGGACAGAGCAGGATGGCCCAAGACTTCATCAGACTACTCAGATCAGTGTGTAATTTAAAACTTACGAATTATTTATTTCTGGAATTTTCCATGTAATATTTTTGGACCACGCTTGACTGTGGGTAACTGAAAGTTTGGAAAGCGAAACTGTGGGTAAGGGGGGACTACTGTATTCCCCTCTTCCTGTTTTTCACCTCTCCCATGCCTCCCCCTAGTCCCTCCCATTTCTGTGTCTTTGTGTTTATCTGTTGAGCCTTTGGCATGAACACCAGACAAGGTTGGCTGGGTTTATAGGTGCTACATTTTTTCACTTGGGCGCTTCAGATTTAGATAATAGGATACAGAGACCTAGAGGTTTCATCCAAGTTTCAGCCTTGGGCCAGTTAGGGAGTGTGGAATTGGCAACCTTTTATGACTGTTAAGCAAAATCTTTGCAGAGGAGCTGTACCAATTAAGAAATCCTTGGCTGCCAACAGGAACCCCAACAGTGGCTTAAACCAGAGGGACATTTCTCATCTCAACATGAAACCTGGAGGCAGAGGCCTAGGTTTGGTTTGGTGGCTCAACAGGGTCTTTAGGGACCCAAAGTCTTTCCATCCCCTACCTTGCCACGTTCCATGATGTTTTTGTTCTTATGCCTATGGCCTCCTCTTCACAGGACAGTGACAGAGGCCCCAGGATTACCTACTTACATGCCAGCAACCAAAGCAGGAAATGGGATGGGCAACAAATAAAAACCCTCTTTGGGCCAGGCACGGTGGCTCACCCCTGTCATCCTAGCACTTTGGGAGGCTGAGGCGGGCGGATCACCTGAGGTCAGGAGTTCAAGACCAGTCTGGCCAACATGGTGAAAGCCTGTCTCTACTAAAATAAAAAAATTAGCCAGCCATGATAGCGGGTGCCTGTAATCCCAGCTACTTGGGAGGCTGAGACGGGAGAATCGCTTGAACCCGGGAGATGGAGGTTGCAGTGAGCCGAGTTCATGCCACTGCATTCCAGCCTGGGTGGCTGAGAAAGACTCCGTCTCAAAAAAACAAAACAAAGCAAACAAACAAACAAAAACCTCTCTTTGCTTCTGCCTTATCTGGGAGGGGAAATTTTCAGACTCATTGCAAAGGAAATGTCATTTAAATGTGAAAACTGATGCACAGAGCTGAGTCATTTTGGGATACCTGTGTGAGCCGGGGGTTCCATTTTCCTGGTGACCCTTCTCAACTCCGTTCCCAGTGGTTCTTTCTCAAAATTACAGATTGTGAAGAATTTTTTTTTTTCCTCCTAGTTTCTTCCAGCCTGGAGTTCACAGTGGGGCTTACTTCTCACCTGGTCAGCCAAAGCTTAACTGAAAATCTCCAAGAGTTCCTGTCTTTAGAAACCCATAAAGTCCGGTCCTACTCCCTGGTACTGATTCTCCTTTTTTTCTGAATGGTACTCGCATCAGCCTGGACCACGGGGAACATGCTGTTCCCATCATTTACCCCGTGTATGAGCCGGAGATTTCACTGTTAGTGTTAAGTTACAGTGCCTTGCTGGTTGGGAGCTTGCCTTTTGAAAAGTTCAGGTCCAGCCCTCCTTTGCCTTATCTTGGGAAATGACTTTCTGCTAAAATAATTTCGGTTTGTACATATGCATGTCCATGCACACACCCCAGCTCCACACCATCCAGTGGGAAAGGGAGTCAGGGATTTCATGGTAGCTGTCATTTTGATGAATGTCCCTGTGTCCACCCACAGAGGCCGTGACATTCCTGCCTTTCCCACTTGATAATCTGAAAATCTCCCAAGCCTGATTGCCTTGCTATAGGCCTGCAACCTGGAATGCTGCATAGGTTCTGAGTTTCAATCCCCAGGGTCCGCACTGGCCAGGATCTGTAAGAGCCTGTGGGCTTGATGCTGATAAGGCAGAGAGCTAACGGGGGATTATCAGAGAGGGAGAGTGCCAGACAAGGTGCATTCCTCTGGGGATAGAGCAGCAGGACTTTGGGAGCTGGGACAATTGTGTGAAGCAGGACGTGATTGCGTGGTCTTGTTTCAGCCAGCCTCAGCTATCCCCTTTTATCTGCCCCCAGAGGCACTGTGCTTTTTAGGCCTCCTCACCTTCCCTCTGAAATGTGCTCCCCAATGTGCCCACCTCTTCTTTCTGTTTTCCAGCCTCTGCTGGGCAAAAGTGGGAAGTTGCTCTCAAGTGTTAAACGTGTTCACTCTCACCAAGTGGAAGATTTTACATTAGAATTCAATCATTCTGTTTACTTCCTTTAAAGTCGAGAGCGTATCAGCTGAGTGTGGTGGCTCACACCTGTAATCCCAACATTTTGCTAGGCCTAGGTGGGAGGATCACCTGAGGGCAGGAGTTCAAAAGTGAGACCCCCCCATCTCTACCAAACAAACAAACAAACAAACAAATTTGCTGAGTGAGATGGTACACACCTGTAGTCCCAGCTAGTCTGGAGGCTGAGGCAGGAAGATTACTTGAGCCCAGGAGTTTGGGGCTGTAATGGGCTCGGATGGCGACCGTGCACTGCAGCCCGGGGCGACACAATGAGGCCCTGTCTCTAAAAAATACATAAATGAAGTTGAAAGCATGTGAAGTTTATGATTGGCTTTGTGATCGGAAGGATGTGTCATGCTTTCCCCTGGGTGTTGGGAACCTTCTGAAAGAACTGCTGTCGGAATTCAGGGTCTTCTGTGCCTGTCCACCCACTAGCCCTCATGGGCGTAATGCAGAGATCTCAGAAGGGAGAGCTCTGGATCCAGACTGCTTATGTTGGAATCATCTTCCACCCACTTACTCACTGTGTGCCCTTTGGACAGTTATTTAACCACTCTGCACCTCAGTTTCTTCATCTGTAAAATGGAAATTATGGTACATACCACATATGATTGTTAGAAGGAGTCAATGAGTTAACCTTTAAGTACTTAAAATGGTATCTGGCAATTAGTGAGCACCATGTAAGTGTTTGCTTAATAAATATTAAGAGTTTGGGGTTTGGGGTGGGTTTTTTTTCTTGTTTTTTTTTTTGTTTTTTTTTTTGGTTGGCTTAATACCTTTCTAACTGAAATTTTTGTTGAGATAATTGTAGATTCAGATGCACTTGTAGGAAATAATTTAGGCCAGGTATGGTGGCTCATGCCTGCAATAAAGCCTCACTTTGGGAGGCCAAGGCGGGTGGATCACCTGAGGTCAGGAGTTCGAGACCAGCCTGGTCAACATGGTGAAACACCATCTCTACTAAAAATACAAAAAATGAGCCAGGCATGGTGGCAGGCACCTGTAATTCCAGCTACTCGGGAGGCTGAGGCAGGACAATCGCTTGACCCCAGGAGGCGGAGGTTGCAGTGAGCTCAGATTGCGCCATTGCACTCTAGCCTGGACAACAACGGTGAAACTCTGTCTCAAAAAAAAAAAAGAAAGAAAGAAAGAAAGAATTTAGAATGTATCAGTTAAAAATAAAACTAAAAAAGGAAATAATGATGAGATTTCCCATGTACCATTTATCCAGTTCCCCCAGTGATAACAGTTTGCAAAACTGTAGAAGAGTATCACAGCCAGGATATTAACATTGTTACAATCTACCTCTCTTATTTATCTTATAAAAGATTTCCCATTTTACTTCTACTCCTTTGTATGTGTGTATATATTTAGCCCTATACAATTTTATCACACATGTAGGTTCATGTTTCCAGCACTACAGTCGAGATACTAAATAGTTCCATCACAAGGATCTCTTGCTTTGCCTTTTACAACCACATCCACCTCCCGCCCTTTGACGAAACACCTGGCAGGGACTAATCTGTTCTCCATTTCTAAAATTTTGTCGTTTTTAAAATGTTATATAAATGAAATCAGGCCAGGCATGGTGGCTCATGCCTATAATCCCAGCATTTTGGGAGGCCACGGTGGGTGGATCACTTGAGGCCAGGAGTTCGAGACCAGCCTGGCCAATATGGCGAAACACCATCTCTCCTAAAAATACAAAAATTAGCCAGTTGTGGTGGTGTGCACCTGTAGTCCCAGCTCCTCAGGAGGCTGAGGCAGGAGAATCACTTGAACCAGCAAAGTGGAGGTTGCAGTAAGCTGAGATCACACTACCACACTCCAGCCTGGGCAACAAAGCAAGACTCTGTCTCAAAAAATAAAATAAAATAAAAGCAATAATACAGTGTGTAACCTTTTGGGACAAGCCTTTCCACTCAGCATAATTTCCTGGAGATTTATCTAAGTTTTTGAGTGTATCAATGGTGCATTATTTTTCCTTGCTGAATAGTATTCCAGGGTATATATGTACCACAGTTTGTTTAACCATTCACCTATTGAAGGATATCTGGCATCTTTCCAGTTTTTGGCTATTACAAAGAAAGCTGCTATGAACATTTGTGTACAGGTTTTTGTGTGAACATAAGTTTTCATTTCTCTGGGAAAAATGCCTAAAATGCCTAAGAGTGCAATTGCTGGGTTATATGGTAATTACATGTTTAGGTTTACTACTTTAATAATTATAAAAAACACTTTGTTATTTAAATTTGTACCTCCCAACAGTAAATGGATGTTCCACTTTTTGACTTGCAGCTAACATTGTATTAGTATTTGTTAAATAAATTAAAACAGACCACTGGCTTTTACAATGTATCCAGGACTGTGTAAGAGGAAAGGGAGAGGAGGGGATTCAGATGGTTTGGTGACAGTTCTTGTCTTTAAGACATGTGTCATCTTAGCTCTGGGAATTGAGTGGCTGGAAAGAAGAGCCATTAGACTGTGTGCAGGCAAATTATAGAAGGCCTGAAACAGCCCAGAGGACAGCCATGTGGGAGGTGGGAGATGAGGACAGAGTGGAGGTTTGGAGAAGCCTTGTCAATGTTGGTGCCACCGATGGCTGAGTTTGGAAATTTTATGGTCTTTTGTATTTGACAAAAAATTGGAAATATTTGAATTTGAAGAAAAGCCATTGATTTTTCATGGAATATTATATGTTTTTGGTTAAAGGTAAGGATTATTGCAGTGATAAATCCCTTTGAAAGGGTATACTTTTCTTACAAGAAGAAAACAGAAGCATGGCCTTGCTGGAAAATGGCTGGTTTTAGTGACTCACCATTGTGAACAAAAAGTTCGATTGTTGGCCAAGTCACAGAGTGGTTTTCCCGGCCTCCAGCACGATGCTGGTTCTTTCTGTGGATTGGGTCATTTTGATGGAGTGCAGTGAAAGTTCACATAATGTGTTTGACGCCTGGAACAGATAATTTTTCACATTACTGTCCTCTATATGACAACATTATTTTCAATAAAAACCATGCAGTCAGCAATAATTTTCTTGATTTTTTTCTTCAGTTTGTAAACAATGAATGATTGAAGAAGAATGGATATAAGTTTTAAATATACTACTCAGATCCAATAAAATATTTCACATCTGAATTAGCATCTGATTTTTCATTTTTATAATCACTGTGCTATCACTGTTTATACCAAATCTGTTTTAACCAGTGAATCGATAATACTGCAGGGATTGGAGATACAAACTGTGTTGGAAATGGAATTGAAAATGAATTGATTCTAAACTAGTATGAATTTATTTTCTAAATCTGTGTGTGTAGGTGAGTCTGGATTTGCATGAGCAACTACAAATCCAAGAGTTCTCCAAATAAATTTCATGTAAATACCATGCTTATGAAAGCGTAAGTAATACACATATGCTAATTTGAAACTTACATATATATTAATCTCAACAGTGGTTGCAATAATTGTTTGGAACCTAAACCAACAAAACAATTGTTTTTGTGAAGGAGTAGCTTCTCATTGACATTGTTTAGACTACTGACGCTTGGCCGGATGCAGTGGCTCATGCTTCTAATCCCAGCACTTTGGGAGGCCAAGGTGGGTGGATCACTTGAGGTCAGGAGTTTGAGACCATCCTGGCCAACATGGTGAAACCCCCATCTCTACTAAAAATACAAAAATTGGCCGGGTGTGATGGCAGAGTCTTGTAATCCCAGCTACTTGGGAGGCTGAGGTGGGAGAATCGCTTGACCTGGGAGGTGGCGTTTGCAGTGAGCCAGAATCACACCACTGTACTCCAGCCTGGGTGACAGAGTGAGACTCCATCTCAAAAAAAAAAAGAAAAAATAAAAGAACTGCTGATGCAGATGACTTTTAGTAGTTTTATTCCTGTTGTAAAAATCTCTAGAGACAACATCCTACCTTATTGCCTGCACTGGGGTAGCAGTTTGGTTGTGTAGCTGTGTGACTTTGAGCAAGTTGCCTTCATAGCTATAGTCATCTTCCTTATCTGCAAAATGGTAAAGCTTTCTGTGGGTTAATAATATGATCCACACAAAGTGTCTGGAGTGGCATTGGCATACAATAGGTTCTTAAGAAATGTGAGTTGTCTTCACTTCTCCACCTGGAATGGGCAATATCTGTGTGTCTCTGGGACAGCCCTGGACCTTGAGGTTGGAGCTCAGCGTGACCAGTCACAGAGCTGCCTCCCTTTTCATTCTCTTTCTGATATCCGCCAGGAAATGCAACGGTTCTGTTTAAGCAGCATTCATTGAGTGACTACATTGAACTCCAAAGGAAGCTTGAATAAATTCTAGAGTTTCTTTGCTGTGTCCATGCAAGCTTGGATGGGAGAGCTATTCTGGTCTCTCTTGGGATGAAAGGGTGGGAAATTTCAGGACGGAGTGGTGGGCTGTCTGTCTGGAGGGTGAACCTCAAAACCAATGGCGATTCTCCTTGGCTTGAGGGTAAAGAGGCTCTGCAGCTGTTTCTCCTAATCAAAGAGGGTTGGTTGTAGTCAGGCCATTTACAAATCACTTTCCTTTTCTTTCTCTGTCTTGGTCTTGCCTCCTCCTCATACTGATAATTGCCAAAGAATGTGGTCCAGGCCTTTTTGTGGCTTTTGTGAGCCTTTTATAGCAGTAAGAAGGAATTCTCGGTATTCTCATCGTGTATAAAAGATCAAGCTATTCTTATGCATGACATAGCTCATGTTGAACGTGGAAAAACGCTTAAATGACCCAGGGAGGCTCTAGGATGGCTACTTTACATAGCAATTGTGTGCTGTAAAATGAACCTGTTGCATTTTAAAGGGGCTAAAGAGAATTCTTAATTTTGTACAGTTTAATCTGCCAAGTGATAAGGCTTTCTTTTCCCTTTTTAAAGGAAAATCTATTTAGTGATGGCTATAGGGAATATTGGGAAGGAAGCTCATATTTTTAATTTAAACAATTAGAAGTGTATTAGAAAATCTATCCTAGAAAAACATCTCATGTTGTAAATAAGCTCAGATGTAGATTGTTGGATATAAAATGGAGCTTAAGATTTTATTTTTGCTAACCTGATATTCCAGAGTGTATATTGTATTTTTACAATATTGGCTGCATAGCCAATTCATTTCAACTGGAAAATACATCAAAAAGCATATAAGTTAATCAAGATCAAGCTAAAATACACTTTAAAAAAATGTTTTTTCTGGTTTTATTGCCTGCCATTCTGCTGATTTATTTCCTAGAGAAAGTTAAACATTTTTAAAACACAGAATGAATGGTTTTAAAAGGCAAAGAGCATAGATCTGAAGCCTTAAAAATATTACTCAGCTATAAAAAGGAGTGAAATCCTGCCATTTGCAATAACATGAATGAAACTGGAAGACATTATTTGTGTTAAGTGAAATAAGGTAGGCACAGAAAGACAAATTTTGCATGTTTTCACTCATATGTGGGAGCTAAAAATTAAAACAACTGAACTCATAGAGAGTAAAATGATGGTTACCAGAGGCTGGGAAGAGAGGGTAGAAAGTGGGGATGGTTAATGGGTACAAAATATAGTAAGATAGAATGAATAAGACCCAGTATTGGATAGTGCCGCGGGATGACGATAGTCAACAATAACTTATTGTACATTTAAAAATAACCAGAAGAGTGGAATTGTAATGTTCCTAACACAAATAAATGACAAATGCATGAGTTACCTGATATGATTATTATATGTTGTACCTCTGTGTCAAGACACCACATGTACTCCACAAAGAGGTACACCTATTATGTACCTATAACAATAAAAAATTAAAGAAAACATATGAAGTAAACACTCGGTTATAAAAAGGTTGGATGAATGAGCATTGGCAGGGCTAGCTTCACTGGCAGGTGATCTGTGCTGTCACATAGGGCCCCATGCTTAAAGGGGCTCTGTGCTTGGGCGTGATGCTCTGGTAATCACCATTTTGAAATTCTTACTAATTTCTGAACAAGGGCCCCACATTTTCATTTTGCAGTGTGCCCTGCAAATTATGAGCTGGTCCTATATATCAGCTACCCAATAATTCAGCTCAAACTAGCTTTGGACTTTTGAATTTTAATCCTAATCTTAACTAACGTTTATCAGATTGTTTTTTTCTGTATGTGAATTTGTGAGGACCAGCGTGATGAACTTTCATGTAGATAATTTTTTTCAACTATTTTCAAAGGGCTAAGTATTAGATAAGTGGTGTTTTTAAACATTTTTATCTTGTTTCATACAGTATAAAGCTAAATCCCACTTATTTACTAGTTTCTGGTAAAATACGTAGGTTCTATATATTTTTGCTAGATAAAAACAGGTGAAATAAAACCTTATTTCTCAAATTATTAATAAAGTATTAATAGTGGCTATTGCTGAAAGCTGGGATTTCAAATGATTTTCACTTTCTAAGTTTTATAGCTCTGAGTTCAAGTTTTTACAACAAGGCGGAATTATTTTTGTATTTCAGGGGAAACAAGAAACAATAAAGAATTTTTTGAAAGTCTGTTCATTGTTTCCCATTCTGGAAGGTGGTGTTGGGGCATTGAGGATCCTGGGGTTCCTATTCCTGAGGGCAACCACAGAAAATTTAGTGAAGTTCAAGAAATGGCTTGGAATGATTGAGAGTGTGGCTGGGGTGGCAGGACTGTGGCAGAAACGTCCAGTGGGGTTTGTAAACTTAGGAATAATCTGGGCCTGGCGTCCAATTTCACGAGGCAGTGATGCAATTTTATTTTATTTTGAGTCCTTGGCTATCAATTGTAGTGTGTCTTTGTTTCTCATTTCTTTTTCTTTTTAAATGTTCTCCTCACCTCATCCCTCAATAGCAGGTCAGACGTGTTGCTGTGAGCCAAAGCTGCATGTTGCCTTTGAACCAGGACAGAGCTATCCTGATGCAGGGTCAGGTTCAATGTGAGACAAACAGCTTTGGATTCTAAACCCTTGTTGACATCTCAGCCCCGCTGTACAATGTGGCATGGCTAATGCCCTCCTGCTGCTTGTGAAATGGCCAGGATTTAAATGCTGGGATCGGGAGTCAAAGACCCAGGGGATGACCCTGGCATTTTGATGCTGGACGCTTGCCTAGGAGAGGGCAACCCCGCAGGCATGCTGGGAACACTGGAGCAGACAGCAGGCCATTCTGGGAGCAGCCCACACTGGCCAGCATTGCTGCCTGTCTGTTAGAGGGAGTGTCTGCCCTGACCCTGGGAGGAGGGACCATCTCTTACTTTTCTGTCTGTAGGCAGAAATGTTTTCACTAAAGGCCCTGGCACATCTTAAACATGATTTTAAAGATCAGTGATAATTTCTTTTTTTTTTTTTTTTTTAATTGGGATGGGATCTTGCTTTGTTGCCCAGGCTGGAGTGCAGTGTTATGATCGTAGCTCACTGCAGCCTTGAACTCCTGAGCTCAGGTGATCCTCCCTTCTCAGCCTTCTGAGTAGCTGAGACTACAGGCGTGTGCCACCATGCCTGGCTATTTTGTTTTTTTAATTTTGTAGAGATGGGGGGTCTCATTTTGTTGCCAGGCGGGTCTCAAACTCCTGGACTCAAGCAATTCTCCCACCTTGGCCTCCCAAAGTTGGGATTACAGGCATGAGCAGTGGTGCCCAGCCTCAATTATGATTTCAAAAATCATAAAGTTCAACTAAAAAAGTCAGAACCCATTAGAGATGAACAGAATGTTTGTTTTTTTAAAACCTTTGTCCCTTGGAGCCCCAGGGACTCCAAGACATGTGCCCTCCTACACGTCCTCCAGACCAGCTTTGCTCACATCAGCGTTCTGTTTTAGGCTTTCACCTAGTATTTCATATGAAGAAAGAGTTCATGTCTAAAAAGCAGTACCACTGAATTCGATCAACTTTTTTTTATCATGCTATTTGATCCTTAGTGTCCAAGGTCCCTTTAGTGCTGACGAGTGAAAACAGATACCAATAGTTGGACTATGATCATATTGGGCAGTTTCCTTTGTATTTGAGGTGGGTTTTCGCGCAACAAGCTGGTGGTCATGCTGAACTGGATATTCCGCAATAATCTGGAAATGTAGCCAAGACTGCAAATTATGATGACAATAATCAGACACTTCTGTAGCATATACTGTGTGCTCGCACTTGCCTGAGCACTTCCCATGTGATTGCTATTTAATCCTCTCAACAGCCAGGAGGTAGGCCCTGCTGCCAGCCCCATCTCATGGTGCCTCCGGTTCTCAGGTTGGAGAACAACTGAATATTGGGGCTGCCCCACTGGGCCTCCTCAGAGAGCCACTTTTCCATCTTCAGTTCTCTGCCTCCCAGTTAAACTCCCAGCCCCAGTAGGAAGGACTGAGGCGGGAGAAGGAGCTCACAGTTTGGAGAATGCAGTTTTCTTGGAGAGAAGCTGGTCCTTCCCTCCCCCTTCCCCTTTGGGGGCAAATGATGGGGCTTCCTTTTTCCAAAGTTTTCTGTGCAGATAGGGCACCCTGGCATCCAGTTTTCCAGCTAGACACGTGCGTCATCAGGAACAGCTGCCTGCCCTGGGCTCCTGGCACAGGAGAAGGAGAAGTGAGGTCAGGAACCCTTATCCCAAAGACAGGCTTCATGTGAGTCCCAGGCTCTGGACTTGTGGAGCCGGGCAGGTGACGTGAAGGCCACAGTTGGCTGGGACTGCTTTTGCTTGGGGAACCAGAAGGCTCCTACATGTGGAGGTTGTCATGAGACACACCCCTAGAAGGGAATCCGGATTTCTCCAGGGTCATCTAGAGGAGTGGTTTGGGAGGAGGCTCTTGTTACTGTCCCCCAGCCCAAGACCATGGAGGACTTGTGGGGTGCGTGTGTGATTAGACTCCAGCCGGGCGATTGTGGCCACCCCTATCCAGTGGTGCAGGAAAGAGGCCAGGAAAACCAGCCTGGCTAACATGGTGAAATCCCGTCTCTACTAAAAATACAAAAATTAGCTGGGCGTGGTGGTGGGCACCTGTAATCCCAGCTGCTCGGGAGGCTGAGATAGGAGAATTGCTTGAACCTGGGAGGCGGAGGCTGCAGTGAGCTGAGACTGTGCCACTTCACTCCAGCCTGGGAGACAGAGTGAGACTCCATCTCAAAAAAAAAAAAAAAAAAAAAAAAAAAAGAGTCCAGGAGAGGGGAGGTGTGGGAAGGACAGGCCACTGCCACCTTTACCCCAAGCTACCACCACTGCAATAGCTCTTGCCTGGCTGGGAGGAGGGGACAAAAAGAATGTGGAATCAGCTATGAGACTGAAGTTTTGAAATGAACTGAGCTGAGTCTTAGAAATCTAAATGAGACTGGATAATTGCAAGTGACTGAAAAGTCAACGGATGACTTTAAGGAAGTCCCCACTAATGGGGAAAGTCAGAGAAGGGGTTGACATTGCCCAGATGGGGTAGTTATGTAAAAAACGAAGGCATTCTATGTTTGTACTCTGTGAACTGAGACTGCCGCATAAGCCAGCCTCCTTTATCTATCAGTCTGATCCAGAAGAATTATTGATTTATTCATGCATTTATCCCACAATGCTTAGTATCATCTGCGTACAATGCTAGGTACTAGGAAAACAGGACTTCAGGGTTTTGCAAATGTGCTCTCTTCCTACCCACTAGGATTCTGAATTCCTACACAGGGATTGTATCCTTTTTTTTTCTCTGTCCCTCACCTCTGTTTATTGTTGTTACTCATTTAATATTGTAAGGTAATGTGTTGTTGATCTACAGTGGGAAAGTGCTAGCATTGTTTCAGATTCAGGAAGCTTATTCACATTAGTAATGGTAATTTCTTATTAGAATCAGTAATAGTAAGAAGTGATAAGATCCAAGTATGGAAGTAGCATTTTATTTTCTTTTTTCTCCAATTGAATTATCATATATTTTAATTAAGATCATGTTTTATATTATTTTGTGTCATTCTTCAGTAGGAAATGATGCATCAGACCAAACAAGGTGCTCAGTTACAGTTAGTTAATTGTGAGTTCATGTATGGTTTTCAGGTAAGTCATATGCCAGCTCTGGCCCTCATTTTTGTCATCCCTAAGATATTGTGTATGTTTGATTGTGTGGTTGTGTATAGCAGTAGCAATAATAGTGGTGGTATCAGTAGTAATCATTGTGAACAGAGATGATTCTTTTAAAATTAAAAGCTACTGCAATTTAATAGCTACTGCCATAGTCTGAGCATGACATGAGGAGGTTGGCTAGAATATTTCAATCTTTATTGATTGAGGCCAATAAAAACTGATCTAGAGGCTGGGTGCGGTGGCTCACCCCTGTAATCCCAGCATTTTGGGAGGCCAAGGCGGGTGGATCACTTGAGGTCAGGAGTTTGAGACCAGCCTGGCCAAAATGGTGAAACCCCATCTCTACCAAAAATACAAAAATTAGCAGGGCGTGGCAGTGCCTGCCTTTAATCCCAGCTACTCGGGAGGCTGAGGCAGGAGAATCGCTTGAACCTGGGAAGCAGAGATTGCAGTGAGCTGAGATCGCACCACTGCACTCCAGCCTGGGTGTCAGAACAAGATTCTGTGCCCTGCCCCCAAAAAACTGATCTAGAGACCCCAATAATTACCTTTCAGTTATGTCATGAGTGTGTACTTAATCACCTGGACTCCACTATATAATCTGTTTGGCATAAACTGTTTTTGCTCTTTTCTGTGATTCCCCAACACATCTATTACACCCTCTGTAGAGTATCTTAAAATGGTTGCCGTCATCCTGGGTCACCCCTAACTTTGGCGTCCATATTTGTAAAGTGTCTTTTCCTTCCTCTTTGACTGCCTCAGTTTCCCCCAGAATACCTCTTGTGATGCTTCTTTTGTTCTGTCCACTCCCTCAGTGCTTGCTCTATTCTCCCTGCTCTTTAGGGCTTTTAGTGTGAGAATCACAGAAGATAAGTCATTGACATACATACAGGCTTGACTAACGGGGCAGATGCAGAGAAGTGGATTTTTATGGAAAATATATGGAAAGAAACCTGGCCAAAGAGCCATCACTAGGATTCCAGGTCTGGCGTGGCCACAGATCTGCTGTGTGGTCCTAAACAAGTCTGCTACACAGAGTAACGTGCACTAGGCTTAGCTAGTATTATAACTGTTGCTGGTTATTAGATAATCTTTCCTGGCCTCAGTTTCCTTGCTGTTAAGTAAGGAACATGGCTTGAGTGATATCCTGAGTCCTCTCCACTCTCATTTTAGGTGCAATACGATTATAACCCTGACTAGGATAAATCACTAGGGAACAAAGATGAGGCCCTAAATCTCCTGTGTCCCTTATGACACTTTGCACGCTACAGGGGCAGAGTAGTCATTTAATAATTCAGTACTGCAACTGGGTTTTTAGGGCATTGCTGAGGAATTTTTTATTATCTAAATATATGCATTACTGGCAAATTAAAGAATAAATGGACAAATTCTACTCAGCATTTGTACAGTGTTTTGAAAGAGACTCACATTCATCAATTTAATGTCAGCCTCGCAACCATTCCCTAAAGTAGGTAGAGCACATCTGACCTCAATTTATGGATAAAGAAATGGAAGCTTAGAGAGGGGATTATTTTTTTCAGGTTTCCCAGCTAGTAAGTGGCAAGTCTGGAACCACAATCCCGGGCTCCTTATCCCTGTGCCAGTGCGTTTTCCAGCCTACTAAGGACTACGTTTTTGGGCTAGTTGGGAACAGTAAGAAATACTTCATTGTGAAGACTGATAATATTCAGATGTATTAATCCCTAGAAGATACATGGCCCAAAGGATCATCACCCAGGAATGTTATTAGAATGAAGCTTACCCATCTCCTGTGAGGACCTGGCTAAGCAGATCTGTGCCTGGAGTTACAGTCATGGCAGTGCTCCTGATTCTGAAGATGGGCTATGGGAAGAGGACTTTGGGACATGCTAAGCCTCCTGAGTAGACACTTGAGCCTTGGCATAGTTGGGATTAGGGAATGGTAGGAGACCCTCTTAAGAAAGAAAAGAGTGTTCCCTGACTCAAGAGCCTCATGAACCTGGGTCTTGCCCATGCTGGGTAGCTAGAAATGTAACCATATCTGCAGTTCTTGGAGGTCAATGAAAAGGTTGTGTAAAGGAGTATTGTTTGGCAGATGTCTCTAGTACCATTGCTGCAACAAATAAAGCTGGCTTAGCACTGGCCTGTCTGAAGCTGTGCTCTGCAGTGGTTGTAGTCATACTGAGCTGACCACCTGACCATCTAGGCTCCTAGGAACTGCTAGAAGGGCCAGACAATGAGGACCCAAGAGCTTCCAACCCAAGGTACTCCTAGAAGATCCCATTACTTGACAGCAGCAACTTCTGCTTCTAGAACTTGCTGAGAGACCTGCTGATGAGAGCAGCTGCTGTCAGCTGTCAGGAGGAGCTGCTGCCCCAAGAGAGCAGGAACAGCCTCTGGGAGCTGTGGGTGGCCCATGCCCAACAGGAGTCACCAGTAGGAGCAGCAGATAGAGTACCAGGTGAGGCAGTCCTTCCTGGTTGTCCTCAGCCCCTTAGAATTGTTGAGAAGGGGCAACATGGTCCATCTTCCAAGAAGAATCCTTCCCTAGTAGTTGACCTGGTTGGAGACCCAGCAGCTCAGGGTGGAGGCTCCAGCTGGCTTGAATTGTCTCCTGGTCTTCAAGTCACTTGTTGGAGGGGTGGCCCAGGGAAAAAGGATTGCCTTCCCAAATGATGTTGATGAAAATAATATCTGTAATCCAAAAGGTTTTTAAAATGTAATTTATTGCCTGGGAGCATTGGTTCAAGCCTGTAATCCCAGCACTTTGGGAGGTCGAGGCAGGCAGATCACGTGAGGTCAGGAGTTCGAGACCATCCTGGTCAACATGGTGAAACCCCAACTCTACTAAAAATACAAAAATTAGCTGGGCATGATGGCAGACTCCTGTAATCCCAGCTACTTGGGAGGCTGAATTGGGAGAATCGCTTGAACCAGGGAGGCAGAGGCTGCAGTGAGTCAAGATCGCACCACTGCACTCCAGCCTGTGCGACACAGTGAGACTCTGTCCAAAAACAAAAACAAACAAACAAAACAAACAAAGAAAAAACCCATAATTTGTGAATATTCGTACTTCTATACTCCATCACTCTTTACTGACTAACTCCCAAGTGGAAGTGAATGTTTCCATCTTGTGTCATCACACTGTCTGCAGCACTTTCATATCAGCCATGCATGTACTCCTTCATCAGATGTTGGTTGAGTACTGTAGATGGCTCAGGCCATCAAATGTCAGTTTTCCTTTGCTGCATTGTACTTATGTACATATCTTAGCCCTCCACTAGACTAAAGTCTTTTTTGTTAAGTCCTGATAGGTTAGGTTTATGCTGTAGCCACAAAACCCCAGAGGTTTAATACAACAAAAATTTTATTTCTCACTCATTCACAAATCCTACATGATTTGGTTGGGTGAATATTGAGGGGCTGCTCCATATGATTCCTCAGGGACTCAGGATGACTGGGGTTCCACCATCTTATAGCTGAGCTAACTGGAACATGTGGCCTTGATCACTGAGATGGGGAAGAGAGAGTACTGAAGGGTCTCACCCCTGCAATTACATTGCAATTACAATTACAGTACTGAAGGGTCTCACCCCAGCCTGGAGATAGCATCACGTCTACTCACAGCCCATTGGCCATAACTAATCACATGGTCCCCACTTAACTACAAGGGAGGCAGAAAGCGTAATCCCCCTGTGTGCCCAGAAGAAAAGAACTAGATGAGCATGAGCACTAGAAGTCTCTCCACAAGCTTTTGATTATGTTCTTGGTTCCCTCACTCACTTGCAGCAAAGTTGTCTCAGGAAGTATCACATTCTTCATTTGTAAAAAGGGGATAATGTAAGTGATGAAAAGTCAAGTATGTATTGCCAATTTTCCAGTTTGGAAAAGACTAATCAATAATTTAGGCATCCTCTGTGTGAAGGTCTTGGTCTTTTCTCTTTCCTAGTAATGAGGAGGTAGAATGGTAGGTGCGTAATTAGGGGCAGAAGCAGTCCCCTTAGAAGGCCCCAGATGTCTCCCTCCAGGGCAAGGCTTAGCCTCATTTCCTGCCATAGAACAACTCCTGCAACTGCATACCACCCTCACCCCAGAGCCTCAGGGCACCTGGCTTCTCCTGCTCTGTAGGCCTATATGGAGGCCCATTGACCAGGTCTCAATTATGTAACATCTGGCCTAATTAAACGTGTACTGTTTACCTTTATTCATGCAATTGCCATTGAAAGAGTAGGATTTGGGATTGGGGTGATCTGGGTGATCTAATATTGCAAGTTATTATGTCCTAACTTGGAGTCAGTGTACAAGAAACAATGATCAGAGTTCAGAAGACAGTGGGTATTTCAGTATGCATATTCATGGGGAATAAATGACTGGAGTATAGAGTAAAAGAATTATGGCTGGGCGTGGTGGCTGATGCCTGTAATCCCAGCACTTTGGGAGACCGAGGTGGGCAGATCCTGAGGTCAGGAGATCAAGATCATCCTGGCTAACAAGGTGAAACCCTGTCTCTACTAAAAATACAAAAAAAAAATTAGCCAGGTGTGGTGGTGGGCGCCTGTAGTCCCAGCTACTTGAGAGGCTGAGGCAGAAGAATGGCGGGAACCTGGGAGGTGGAGCTTGCAGTGAGCCGAGATCGTGCCCCTGCACTCCCGCCTCAGTGACACAACTCCGTCTCAAAAAAAAAAAGAAAAAAAAAAAAGATTTAAAACATGGAAAATTTGAATTTACAACTGTGCTTGTTATCCTTCCTGTAATTGTGTTTTAAACATCGGTTGATTGAGTTTTTTTCATTGTTTGTTTGGTTTTTGCATAAAGAAATGTTTGATATCACATTTGTCTTGTCCGTGTTTCTTGTGACAGGCCCCAGCACTAGTGTGGCAATCCTCAACTGCAGGCTTCTGAGGACAGAACTGTGTGCTGCCTGCTTCACTCTCTCTCCAAGCTCCTTTTGCAATGCAAAATAAGGTGTTTAATAAATGATGAGGCTGGTGAAGGTGGTCTGCAGTGACAGCCTTCATATTTAATTCACTACACCCTCATTCTTTCCTATTCTTTAGAAGTACTGTTGGGACCTTCAAATCTCATAAATATTCTACTGCCCTCCTCCCCCTCCTCCTCCCTCCTCTCCAGAAAAATTCCATCTGTGCAAATCCCATTTTGTTCCAAGGGTGATAATCTTCAGGGAAACTTATGGAATGTGATGGGTTTACTGGAGTTCCTGGGTGACAGGCCCCCAAGAACCCCCTTCAGTTCTGCAGAGCTTACTGTAGAGATGACATCAATGTCCCCTGGCCATCTGGAATGAACTGAGTGTGAGGTGGAGAGAGTGTGGGCTTTGAAGTGTCTCCCACCTGATTTGAATCCCACCCCTGCCGTTGACTGGTTGTGCGACATTGGGTCTCAGTTCAGATCTTGTTCACTTGTGTTCTGTAGTGGATCCTGGCATCTGTTGCTCCATCTGCCTGCCACAGTTTCCCATCCCTCTTCCTCTGGTTTTGATTCCTTGAGGGGAATTCCTCATCCACCTCACATGGTCCTACTGTGGCTATCAGTCATGGAATCACAAAGGGATCTTCCTCACTCACTGGAGTGGGCAGGTGACCCAAAGCGCTCCATTGCACTGGCCCCACTCACTGTGCGAGGGAGGAGCCTCATTCTCAAGCAACCCCAGTTAGCATTTCTCCTGGGACTAGTGCATGGAGAGAAACAATCCCTTTTGCACATGGGCTGCCTAGAAAGAATGTGAGTCTGGGGCTTCGGGCATCTGTTCTGTTTGACATGTGGCAATATCCTTTGAGAATGAAGAAAAACAGACAAGCAGCCTGAGAGCTAGGGCGGGGGACAGAGGCTTGGCCACATGGCTTCCACCCTTGCATGCAGTGGGCCTGGAGTCAGCACCACCCCTGACTTCCCAAGGACAGAAGCCAGCACTTCCCCTTTTTGTTTCAGCAACTTTGGGTTGGGTTTCTGTCACATGCACTTAAAAGAGTTTGAATACAAATACCTTTATCATCCTCTAGTTTTTAAAACACATTACATTTTATAAGCAATATATAAATTCATAATTACAGACATTCAGGCATCTTAGTTTTTCCTTAGAAGACCAAGTACTCAGAGGAGGGCTCCATGCTTCCCCACCTCTGCCCAACTGGACTCTCCCTTGCAAAACATGTGTCACCACTGACAGCTGTTTGGGGTATAAACTTCTAGCCCTTTTTCTGGTATTTCTATCTGTATGTTTGTATACATGCATAGATAGTTTGTTTTATTTTTTAGCATATACTGTAGGTTATTACATGTATTCTTCTATAACTTTTTTAGTTTTTTTTTTTTGAGATCTTTGATGTTAATACATATAATTCTACTCCATTCTTTTTTTTTTTTTCTTTTTTTTTTTTTTAGTCTCACTCTGTTGCCCAGGCTGGAATGTAGTGGTGTGATCTCTACTCACTACAACATCCGCCTCCGAGGTTCAAGCTATTCTTCTGCCTCAGCTTCCCAAGTAGCTGGGATTACAGGCACCCGCCACAATGCCCGGCTAATTTTTGAATTTTTTTTTAGTAGAGACAGGGTTTCACCATGTTGGCCAGGCTGGTCTTGACCTCCTGACTTCAAGTTATCCACCCATCTCGGCCTCCCAAAGTGTTGGGATTACAGGCATAAGCCACCATACCCAGCCTAATTCTACTTCTTTTTTATTAAAGACTTCACAGATTTGATAGCATAGTTAATCTGCTTAAATAATACGCTGTTGATGGACATTGAGTTATTATTGTCCTGTCTTTTTCTGTAGAGGGAAAGTTTGTGTTTGTTTTCCTACATACATTTGGAGACATATCTGTAGGTAGAGTCTTCTAATAGAATGGCTGAGTTGCAGAGCATGTATGTGACACATTTTGGTAGATTCTGCCAAATGGTGTTCCAAAAAGGCTTTTCGGATTCAGACTCCCACCTGCAGAGCAGGAAATATTTGTTTTCCCACATCCTCACCAACACCGAAGGTGAGCCTGTTTCAGTTTTCCTAGTCTTGAAAATGAAAACACATGAGATTGTTGTTGCTGTTCATTCCTCTGAACACTGGCAGAGTGGGCACCCTTCACAGAGGTCTTGGTCTCTTGCATTTCCCCTTCCATTAATTGATACTCATTGATTTCACTTTCTAAACATGTGATTGTGTGTCCTTCTTATTGACTTGACAAATTCCTAATTCCTAACAGGTCTCACTGCCATGCTATTGATGTTGTAAATATTGCTTTTGGTTTTGTTTATAAATGGGTTTTATTTTGTTTTTGTTTTTGTCTCGCGGGTATATGTATGTATAGTTTTAGGTTTTGTTTTTGTTTTTCTTTAATCAGGCCAACATTTTCAATTTTTATGACTTTGAACCTGTTCATCTTTTTCTTTATGGCTTCTGAGTTTTGTGTCTTTCTTGGGAAGACCTTTCCCATCCCAGATTACAAAGAGTTTCTCCTATGTGTATTTTTTATTAAAGTTAGAGATTTCATCCAGTATTGTCATCTTTGTCTTAGTTTCTTCATCTGTAAACAAGGATTGTAATATGTGCCTCTTAAGGATTCAATGAGATAATGTGTGTAAAGCATTCCTCCTCCTTCTCCCACCTCTGTCTTATTCTGTTTGGGCTGTCTTATTGGGTAGCTTAAATAAACATTTATTTTTAACGGCTCTGGAGGCTGGGGCATCCAAGATCAAGGCACCAGCAAATTTGATGTCTGGTGAGGGACAGCTTCCTGGTTCTTGGAGACGCCTTCTTGCTGTACCCTCCTATGGCAAGAGGGGTGAAGGAGCGCCCTGGCGGTGATCTTTTTTATAAGGGCACTAATCCCAGTTATGAGGGCTCTGTCCTAGTGACCTAATCACCTCCTAAAGCCCTCAACTCCTGATACCATCACAATGCAGGTGAGATGCCAACATATGGGTTTTGGGAGAACTCCAATGTTCAGTCCACCCTCCCACCTTTCCAGTCACTGCACTGACAAGCTTGCTTCATTCCTAGTGGAGTCCTCAGGGCTGTTTCTTTGATGCCAAGGAGGTTGGCACAATGTCTGGGAATCCTGTGTCCACCCGGCCACCAGCAGGGGACTAGCTGCTTCCTGGGAGTGCTCAGGCCCTCACACCACCTTTGCTCTCCTGGAAAGTGACATTCTTCTATCTACTTTCTAGTCCACATTTTGCAGTGCAACCGCGGGACTGGAACATAGCCATGGGCCAGAAGTCTTGGCATCATCCTGGACTCTCATCTTTCTTTTCTCCCCACATCCAGTCCATCAGCAGATCCTCTCAGCTCTACCTTAAGACACAGTCAGAATCACTTCTCCACCCCTCCTCTGCTACCACCTGGGCCAGGCCACATGGCCTCCCACTTGGATCCCTGCAGTGCCTGTCCCACCCTGCCCCTGCAGCCTGATCTCCTAACCCTCATCCTTGCAGTGTCCATCCCACCCTGCCCCTGCAGCCTGCTCTCCTAACCCTCATCCCTGTGGTGCCCATCCCACCCTGCCCCTACAGCCTGCTCTCCCACAGCAGCTGGAGTGACCGTTGAAAATGCACATCCAGTCATTTCCCTCCTCTACTCAAAACCCTCCAGACCCTTCCCACATTATCAGAATAAAAGCCAGAGGTCCCACTATGGCCTGGCAGGCCCTCCATGGCCTTCACCTTCGTTTCCTCTCACTTCATTTCCCGTGCTCTCCCTGACATTTCTCTCACTGGCTACCTTGCTCTTCCTCAGGTATGACCTTCGCTCCCTGCTGCCTGGAACCCTCTCCTTCTGGATTCTACAGGACTGGCTTCCTTATTTCCTGCAGGCACCTGCTCAGTTGCCGCCACATGGAGAGGCCTTCCCTGGCCCTATCTCAAGCACCCCGTAATCCCTTTTCACTCTCTGTCCCCCTTTCCTTCCTCAGTCTTCCTCAGCACTAAGCATTGCCTGACACATTATACATTTACTTGTCCTCTACTGGAATGTCATTTCCATGAGGAGAGAGACTTTTTCTTGTTCCCTGCTGAGTCAATCTCCATCCCTAGAGCAATGCCTGCCATATGGCAGCCCCTCACCTGTTTGTTAAATGAATATGAAAATGTCGAACCTGGACTCTTTCTAATGAGGGCCCAGCCTGCTTTTAGAACCTTGGCTACCTTCCCTCCAGTGGGCCTCGGAGTGGGCAGTGTGAACATTTGCTCTTGTGAATGCCGTTTCCCATGGGCCTTGGTAAGTTCTGCCATGGAGGGACGGGACTGGTGAGTGTGCGCATGTCTGTCCATGTTTGGGTCTGTCCAGGCATCGTCCTCCCAGCAGTAAATCATCACTGCACTGACCGTGCCTTTTCACATGACCACAGGGCAAATCAGCACGCTCTTCTGCAGCCTCCCTAATTGGTGTCATCTTCAAAAACAACCTGTGGCTTCCGACTGTGGTTCTGCTTGTGAAAGTGTCTCCCTATTTCTCATGGAACATCTTAATGTAGCTGGGTACTTGGATCTCTCTGCACCTTCTCATTTCACCAAGCTATAAAATGAAGGCCTATAAATAGGTGTGATAAGCAGATCAAGGCCATTTATTGCAGAACCTTCCTCCTCACCTCACCTACAGCCCGGAGCATGTGCATGCAGAGCAGGCAGTCTCTGGGGGGATGCATCCAAGACTTTGGGTATTAGAACAAGGCATACTGGGGTGTCAGGGGCAGAGATTTATCTCCTCTCCCAGTTGGAGAGGGGAGGGCTCCCTCCTTAGGCACCTGCTCCTTCTCCTTGTCTCTGCCCCTGCCTTTTCTCTGCCTTTGATTAATTTTTTGGAGGGGATGATGTAGTTTAGAGCAATTAAGTTAATTGTCTTAGAAATCATGATTTCTTTTGATGCACTGTTTCCTCTATGGAAACTTCCTGACTCTTGGTTGCTGTCAGTGTTTAATTATGGTTGTCAGGCAAGATGATTTGAAATGATTAATGGGAAGATGTATTTCAAGAACAACAGCAGGCATTTTTAAATTAATTTTTAAATAGACTTTATTTTTTAGAGAAGTTTTAAGTTCACAACAAAATTGAGAGGAAGGTACAGAGATTTCCCATCCACCCCCTCCCTCACACATGCACAACCTCCCCCATTATCAGCATCCCCCAGCAGAGTGGTACAGTTATTACAGTTGATGAACCTGCATGAAGCATTGTGATCACTCAGAGTCCGTAGTTTACAGTGGGGAGCATCCTTGGTGTTGTGTATTCTGTGGGTTCGAACAAATGTGTAATGACATGTATCTACCATTATAATATCCTACAGAGTAGTTTCACTGCCCTAGTGAAAATTAAAATTTAATTACACAAATAATAGATGAATGCATGCTCCTTTAAAATATTAAAACATTACACATAAAGCTAAAGTCTCTTTTTTCCACCACTCTCAAACTCAGATCTTGCCCCAGAATTAGTCACTGTTATCAGCTTGTTTGTATGCTTCTATTTGTGCCCCAGGTAACCTTGGAGGATAGAGTGATGATACTAATTACATCTCTGATACCATTGACAAAGGAGCTCTAGGGCTAGGACATATACTGGGGACTTCATATGATTCTCCCAGTGGGCTGAGCATGGTGGCTTAAACCTGTAATCCCAGCACTTTGAGAGGCTGAGGCAGGCAGATCACTTGGGGTCAGGAGTTTGAGATTAGCCTGGCCAAAAAGGCAAAACTCTGTCTCTACTAAAAATATATAAATTAGCCGGGCGTTGTGGCATGCACCTGTAATCCCAGCTACTTGGGAGGCTGAGGCAGGAGAATTGCTTGAACCCAGGAGGCAGAGGTTGCAGTGAGCCGAGATCACCTCACTGCACTCCAGCCTGGGCGCCAGAGCGAGACTCCATCTAAAAAAAAAAAAAAAAAAATCATCCCAGCAACCCTATAAGGTAGGAGGTGGGTACTGTTTTGTTAATAACAGCTTTGATGAGATGTAAGTCACATATCATGAAATTCACCATTTAAAAATATACAAGTAAACGGTTATATATTCACAGAGCTGTAATTCATCACCACTAATTCCAGAATATTTTTATACCCCCAAAAGAAACTGCGTACCCATTAGCAGTCACTCCCCATCCCTTCCCTTTCCCCTTCCCTCATCCTCTGGCAACCACTAAACTATTTCCTGTCTGTGTGGATTTGCCTCATCTGGACATTTCATATAAATGGGATAATGTAGGAGTGGAATTGCTGGGTCATATGGTAACTTCAGATGTAACATTTTGAGGAGCATCCAAACTGTTTTCCAACGTGGCTACACCATTTTACACCAATGCCACTAACAATGAATGAGGATTCCAATTTTTCCACATTCTTGCAGCACTTATTATCATCTTTTTGATTTCAGCCATTCTAGTGGATATGAAGGGGAAACTCATTGTGGTTTTGATTTGCATTTCCTTAGTGACTAACAATGTTGAACATCTTCTCATGTGCTTAATGGCCATTTGCATGTCTTCTCTGGAGACACATCTATTCAAATCCTTTGCCTATTTTTAATTGGGTTATGGGTCTTTATTGTTGAGGTTTTTTAACCCTGTTGTACAGATGAGCACGGCCCTTCCTCTGTGGCAGTGCACAGGGAAGGCAGAATTATTGTGATTTTCAGTTCATATGAAATTCCTTAAGTGTTGGGCTTGAGTTTTACTTCAATTATAGGCTTATCTTTTCTTCCATGTCTAAATAATAATAGTATTCATTTGTTAGTAGATGACAGACACTGTATTCTAAACACTCTACTATTCTAAACAACTCTGCAGAAACTGAGGCTCAGAAAGGTTACATTACTAGCCAAAAGTTACCGGGTAAGAGACCAAGCCAGGGTCCAAGTCAGGTCTATTGACTTCAGGGCTTGTATTCTGAAGTCAATACTTAGCCATCAAAAGAGACAAACAAATCCCGTCTGCCAGTGTGTGTGCAGAACCCGTTTGTCTCTGTGGCAGTGGTAAAACAAATGACCAAACAAAACAAAACTGATGCTGTGATGCTGGACCTTCAAGCTAGTGATGCTTCAGAATACACCACACCAGACTACCTGTAAAACATCTGCTCCAACAGGTTGCAGGCTGCTCAGGTTGAAATTGCTCCAAGCTGGGAGCTGCAGAACTGAAGTAGCCTTTCAGCAAAATTGTGACTTCTTTGTTGAGAGAGGAAGTCTGAAGATGTTTCCTGGGGCCTCACCTCTTACCTGCTATTTCCTGAGAGTGCTTCGTCAAGATTTTCTCAGTTCTGTTTCTGGAGACAGAGCAGGAACCATTGACTTGAATCACGTTAGCACTGTGAGTGGGGAGAAGCATTGACTCCCTGGCTTCTCCCCACAAAGAGTCACCTTGACAGGCCCAGTAATATCCCTGCAGCCATGGGCGTGCTGGGCCATATCGTTGCCCTGGTGGAGGTCTGGCACAAGACTCAGGGAGGGGACATTCTTTCTCTGAAGCCAAAGCAGATGTTTTCACTTCATCTGGGGATGAATCATCTGGGGAATGAGAACAGTAGGCAAGGAAGGCAGGATCACCATTATCACAGGAGATGCTTTATCCGGCACCTACTGTAAGTGTACCAGGTTTCTTGAGGCAGTGCCTGGAAACCTTGATCCTGGTCTGCCTGCATCCCCCTCAGGAACTTGACTGCTTGGGCTCTGACTGCATGCCTACCATGTGTCAGGTCTTCGAGGAGGAGTCCCAGTCCTCAAGGAGTTTAAAGTTTTGGGTAGAGAAACGTGTGGATTGCCAAGTTACTGCAAAGTGGACTGTGATAAACACTGTCACTGAGCTCTATTAAGCAAGTGACACCACTCCATGAACTTGGATGATCATAGCTCTTTCCCATCTACACAGCAGGTTAATCATTCTCACCCTGTGTAATTCACAAGAATGACTCGGGAGTAAATGAGACCAAGAATGTGCCAGAGTTGAGTGTACTAGTGGTGCTAACATTTTGGAATCAGAGATCCCTTTCAAAGGCTGATGAAAGCTTTGGACTTTCACCTCAGAAAAATTACTCTGGAGCGTGCGCTTATATGACTTTGCAAACAGTTTCAATTTCATGGTTTTTATGAACATCCTGAAACCCATCCATGGACCCTTGTGGGGGACCTGTAGGTCAATAACGCCTGTTTCGGTGCTTGTTCCCTGAAGGATGTTTTAAAAGTCCCAGATAAATTCACATTACTATTATTAGGAATCCTATGTTTCTCAGTTACTTCTATGTTAAAAATCTTTCTCCTAAACAATTATTTGCTAAATATCCCTTATAACTAGGTATTATTTAGATTGATGAACTTTAAGGATAAAGCAAAAGCAAGACAATCTGATTGGCCAGATTTGTCTTCTGTTTTGTGTACATGTATAACATAAAATGGAAAACAATTGCAGAGGTGCAGGCTTTAAAAAAATACAGAAACAGAGCACATCAACCTGGATTTTAGGTGTGACATCTTGCTTGGTTGTGTATTTCAGGGGCTGCAGAGCTCACAAAGCTATTGCGGGGAGGCAGCGTTAAATCTGTTGCTCTTGTAAAACCAATTGTATGGCATATAGCTGGGGTGGCGTGTGTATAGGAAGCTGAGAGCATTGGTCACGCCAGTTCTCTGAGACGGGAGGCAGGATTGACAGCCACAGCTTGGCCTCTGTGCTGGGGGTGGAATCTGCTGCGTGTGCAGCCTCCTTCCTGCCCCCCTCCCCCGACCCCATCCTGGCAGGCAGTGGTGCTGAGCAGATGGACCCCATCCCCATCTTGGGGGCAGATGTGCTGCTGACTGCCCCATCTGCCCACTCCTGCTTTACCTCTCCCTCTCTCTGGGCACCTGCCTCCTTGCTCCCCTGACGCAGCCCCTCTGCCGGCCTCTCCCTCTCAGTGGAATGTTCTGTCCCAGGAGGCATTGCATCACTGCTGACCAGCCTCCTGCTCCTGATGACTGGTTTGGCTCTGACCACGAAAGGGCTCAGGTTTGGGTTTCAGGGCTGCTGTGGGTGTCTCTGTCCTAGGTGGCCTGTCTCAGAGTTGGAGATGGTAAGGTCATGATACCACCCAGCATCTCTACAGCATCATATTTTCTCCGTACTAGAGCACTTTCTAAGGTCTCCCCTATCCTCTCATGGCATGGGTTACTGTTCCAAGCATCAGCAATGAGTGAGGCCCTCTATTCACTTGCCTGTCACTCTCAGGGTAGCAGATGGAGGCAGTATTACTCTGCACCCAATGAGAGTTTCACTGGTGCATAGCTTGGTGATTAACCCCAGTTCCTCTACCCACTGGATATGGGATCATGATCAAGTGATGGCCCTCTAAGCTACTCAGTGTCTTTGTCTGTGAGGTGGGACTAACACCCGCTTCTTTGGTTTTTGAGGATTAAATGACATTGTAGAAAAACTACAAAGTTTGGGGTCCTCAAAACCACTTCCACTTCTGATGCCAGTTGCAGGTTCAAGGGTCTCCAAGACCACATTCAGGTGTTAGAAAGTCCTACAGCACTTACTGAAAGTGGTTATAATCAAAGTTATGGTTTATTGCAGGAAAAAGATACAAATTAAAATAAGCTGAGGGCAGGGGCCCACAGGGAATCTCACCTGAGCCTGTATTTTTGTTTTGTTTTATTTTTGAGATGGAGTTTTGCTCTTATCGCCCAGGCTGGAGTGCAATGGTGCAACCTTGGCTCACTGCAACCTCCGGCTCATGGGTTCAAGCAATTCTCCTGCCTCAGCCTCCGGAGTAGCTGGTATCACAGGTGCCCACCACACTGCCCGGCTGATTTTTTGTGTTTTTAGCAGAGACAGGGTTTCGTCATGTTGGCCAGGCTGGTCTCAAACTCCTGACCTCAAGTGATCTGCCTTGGCCTCCCAAAGTGTTAGGATTACAGGCGTGAGTCACTGCACCCAGCCTTTTTTTTTTTTTTTTTTTTTTTTTTTTTACTATTAAGAAATTCCCCCTTTTATCTTTAGTTGACACATAATGTATGTGTTTCTGGGATACAGCATGGTATTTCAATATGTGTACATAATTCATTTTTTCAGTTTTTGGGTTTCTGATTCACGCACGGTTTATTCTGGTGTTTGGTGTCAGGTGTGGGCTGCAATTGTATCTTTTTCCAAATGACTCTCCAGTTGTCACAATACTATTTATTAAAAAGTCCGTCTCAAAAAATAAAAATAAAAAAAAAATAAATAAAAAGTCCATCCTGTTCTCACAGATGTGAGACACTATCTCAATTATATTTTAAATTTTGTATGTAGTTGGGTTGACTTTTAAACTTTCTATTCTGTTTTAGTTGTCTGGTTGTTTACTCATATGCAATGTTTTGATATAAAGAAGACCAAATCACTTCCCTCTTGGCTCTTATTTATAAGAGGCTTATCAGTTAATTTTGTATATTTTTCTTTTTTTAATTTTACTTTAGGTTCTGGGATACATGTGCTGAACGTGCAGGTTTGTTACATAGGTATACATGTGCTATGGTGGTTTGCTGCACTCATTAGCCCATCATCTAGGTTTTAAGCCCTGCATGCCTTAGGTATTTGTCCTAATGCTTTCCCTCCCCTTGTCCCCCATCCCTCAACAGGCCCCAGTGTGTGGTGTTCCCCTCCCTGTGTTCATGTGTTCTCATTGTTTAACTCCCACTTATGAGTGAGAACATGTGGTGTTTGGTTTTCTGTTCCTGTGTTAGTTTGCTGAGGATGATGGTTTCCAGCTTCATCCATGTCTCTGCAAAGGACATGAACTCATTCTTTTTTATGGCTGCATAGTATTTCACGGTATATATGTGCAACATTTTATTGATCCAGTCTATCATTGATGGGCATTTGGGTTGGTTCCAAGTCTTTGCTATTGTAAATAGTGCTGTAATAAACATACGTGTGCATGTGTCTTTATAGTAAAATGATTTATAATCCTTTAGGTATATACCCAGTAATGGAATTGCTGGGTCAAATGCTATTTCTTGAGCCTAGTTTTTACTGGGGCTCACTCATGTAGCTGACAGCTGTGTGGCTGGCCTAGGTCTCCAGCCTCTCTGGAGATTGAGTTGATGCTGCATGGCCCAGGGCCCCTGCCATAAATCACGTTATTAGACTATCTGGGTAGCCCAAGGTCCCCACTCTTCTCAGGCAGTACAATCTAAGGGTTTAGAGGTTACCTCTCAGAGTCCAGGAAAGGGAAAAAGCCACACTTTTTTTTTGGATAAGGTTGATTCTTTACTAGACAGGTAGACTTTGGTAGACTTTGGTAAATTGCTGTTAGTGCTCATTTTTATGCCTCAGGGTCAAGGTGAGGGGGAGTGACTTCAATTTTCTCTCTTTCTCCTTTCTCTGTAATTATGTCTGTGGTCTTGGGAGGGTGTCATTCATTGTGCCTACTTGAAGTTATTATCAGGGTGTGTTTTTGCCCAATCATAATGCTTCTCTTTTGTGTGGTGCTCTCAACCTGTCAGGCTCACGTGTGCTTGTATTAAGCCTCACAACAACCCAAGGAGGTGGGTGGGCAGGTGTCATTATTCCAATTTTACAGGTGAGGCAGGTGATGTCATAGGAAGCTTGCTGAGTCGCCAGGTCTCAGGACTGACAGCAGGCTGTCCCTGGGTATCTTTCCACCTCCTCTGCTGACCCGCTGAGCGATGCTGCTCTGTTTATGCACACAGCCTTGAACTAGTTGGGCCTGGGTTCAGATCTGGTCCCTGTCACACCCAGGCTGTGTGATCTTGGGCAGAATTTCTTCACTGCTCCCCTGCCCATAGGGTTGTTGTCAGAATCATGTGAACTGAAGCATGTAAAGTATAGGCTTTTAATACTGTTCGCCGAGACAGAATATTGGTTACTGTTGCTGCAACCATGACAGCAATAATTTCTTCAAGCGTTCTGCTAGGTGTATAAGAAATTCAGAATGAGAAAGTATCTTGAATACAGAGAAGGCAATTTATGGCACAAGATTTAAGAACATGCCACTTAAACGCTCCCAATTTTAACCTCAATAATCCTTTTCACGTAACTACCAGGTAATTATTTAAATAGTCAATAAAATAATATGTGTTGTTCCCAAAGCTCTCTCCTGCGAGGGGTTGTCTCTTCCTTCAGGTCCTGGTGCCTGGGCTTCTCTTTTCTGCCCTTCCTGCCTCTCCTTCTCACCTAGTAAACCTTGCACTTTTTTCAAATCCCAACAACTTTCCAACTCCAGGTGAGGTTCACACCCTCTTATTTACCCTTTCCTTTGATGCATTGATCAACCCACAGTTTCACAATTATTTGACAGTTTGATTAATATCTATCTCTTCTTCTAGGCTATGAGCCGCAGGAGGGCAGAAGCTGAGATCGTATCTCCCAGATTTGGCAGCTGCTGCCACTTGCAGCTCAAACCTAAAAGTCAGGTGTGATCAGTTAGAGGCTCCAGGGGTGATTCCCAGCCGTCCGTCATCACTGTAGAGAACACTGGCCCTTGTACCCTGGCTGTAGCGCAGACAGGCCTGAGGGGAACCGCATCCACCTCCGCCCTAGATGCGATGTTGGAATGCTTGAGAGGCCCTCTCCTGACCCCCTCTGTCAGGAACATTAATGTCATTTCTTCCCCCTTTTATTTATTTATTTTTTGAGACGGAGTCTCACTCTTGTTGTTGCCCAGGCTGGAGTGCAACCTCGGCTCACTGCGACCTACGCCTCCCAGGTTCAAGTGATTCGCCTGCCTCAGCCTCCTGAGTAGCTGGGATTACAGGCATGCGCCACCATGCCCGGCTAATTTTTTTGTATTTTTAATAGAGATGGGGTTTCTCCATGTTGGTTAGGCTGGTCTCAAACTCCCAACCTCAGGTGATCCACCCGCCTTGACCTCCCACAGTGCTGGGATTACAGGTGTGAGCCACCGTGCTTGGCCCTTCTCTTTTTTAAGACTAGTCCCAAGCACCAGGTGCTCATCTGCCTTGTTAGCTCTGCATGCTTCCTGGGAGAAGCAGACCCCTGGATAAATGACAGCAGCTAATTGGTTGCTTAGAACACATTCAAGATGGTTTCCTCGGACTTCTGTTCTCCTGACTGTGCATTAACATAGCAATGCCAAGGCAAAGTTTCTATGGCAAAGGTTTAAGAACATGCAAATTGAATGCGCCTGATTTTAACCTCATTAATCCTGGCTTGGAGATCCCCCGACCTCCTTTCTTGGGTGTCCAGCTCCAGAATGCCCCTCCCCCTTTCACAGGTCCTCCAGCAGAAATGAACACGGCTTCAGTCCCGAGGACTCCTCTAGCCTAGAAGAAGGAGGCAGCATTGTGCAGACTTTGGAGTCAGACAGGGTGGGGTTCTCGTCCTGGCTGTGCTATTGACATTGTGGCCTTGAACAAGCTTTAAGTTGCTAGGAACTTCATCTGTAAAATGGGCAGAATGCCCAGCCCATGGTCAGCCCTCAGACCATGCCAGCATGTCCTCCTCTCCAAAGTTCATTGCGGTGGGATTGAGTGCTCCCTTTCCAATCTCTCTTGGAGTCCTGAATGAGGACAAGAAGCTCTGAGACCTCATGCCCAGCCCCTCCTTCCTTTGTGTTTCCCAATTAAATAACTGCAAGAGCAAAGTCATGTGGGAGAGGCCGGCAGGCAGGGAATCAGGAAGAAGGAGGAGGGAGGCATCCTTCCTGGTTTCTTTCTACCTCCCCACCCTCCTACTTGAAGTGTCAAGCCGCCCCCCATCCTGCTTAGAGCGTGCACACAGCACCAATCGCTTCGTACTGGCCCCATTAGAAACCAGTGGGCTAGAGCTCTTTAACCATTGTGTAACTTATATGCTTTGTCTAGAACTCCTTCTGATAAGTATTTCCAGTGGTTCATTCACTGGCCATAGTGAGTTTGAGGTATGAAACTGTTTTGTTTTATTTTTTCTCGGTATGAAAGGCAGTCTTTTCTCTAGGTACTCTGCATGAGGCCACTTCTCGATATTTGGGGGCTGGTTGTTATCCACGTTGGGAAATCACCAGATTCCTCCCTCCTTTCTTATTTCCTCTCACCTCCTCCATGTCTGCCCACAAATTCAAACAAAAAACAAGGAAGCGAAGAAGCTGCTAATTTCCCTGCTTTATTCCTTTCCTTGAGAGAATGAAACAAGGAAGATGGCAATTCATTTGGTTCCTTGGTAAACAATAAAAGAATGGACTCAATGAAGAGAGAAGCTAAAATTGTGTTTTGGATTTCCACAAGTTCAGTAATGTTCTATCCATAGGTTCTTACACCTGTACCCTGGGTCACAAATTCCCTTTGCCATATCCCATTTCTTTCTGAAAAACTCAGGAATCCACCCCTTTTAGCTGAACTCATAAATCTGCCTTAGTTACAATTCTGTCATTTTCTACGTGTGCTGCCATCTTTAAAAAATAATTTTTCAGAAGCCTTTTATACTGTAATTTGTAGAAATTATCATTTCTCCCTCTTGTTATCTAGGCTAATTCACCTTAGAATTTTCTGAGAGTGTGCTAATGAAAATAGACATTCTTATGTTAGAATGGCTCCTAAAGGCAAAAGCTGCATTTTTTTGTCCACTTCAGAGTTTAGGCTTCTTCAGGCATTTTCCTTAGTTGTATGCTGAGAGTGTTCTCTTCAGCTTAATTTGCAAAATGTCCTTTTTTGTGTTAAGTTTACTGTTGTAGTAAGATTCGAGGTATAAAGCTGGTCTTTTAAAATCCTTACCCTTGCATTTGGCATTAGATGCCTCTGAATCTCACATTCATGGACCTTCAGGTCCATCTTCTCCATGTGCACCTTCAGCACCTCTAGAGCTCTTTCTTGTCTCCTCAATCTTCTCACCTATGTTTTTCTAAAAGGACTGTGCATCTCAAACAATGCCACTTTTTATCTTAATAACCATACTTCTGATAGTGACATTTTTCCCTCCCCTGCTTTTTGCCTTTTCTCGAGAGTATTTCTTATACATAGCATCCTTCAATATTCCCATGTTGCAGTTCTCGTTGGTTTATCTGTTTCATGGTCATCTCCACTTTTTTCTATTCCCCTGTCCCCTCGCCCCTGCTATTTCTATGGAGAGGTTGGTATTGATTTTCTTTCTCTGACGCGCTGTCAGTCATGGTTATTTCTCAGTTCCTCCATGCTCTTTCCTATGAGAATTATTTTTTATGAAAATGGGCATCCCTTCTCCAGCTTCCTCTCAGATTCCTTTTAAGGATTTAGGGGAAATGTTTCCTTTCTCCTTCAGATGATTTCAATTGCCCACCAATCCTGACTTCTGACAAAGGCAAAACCAGGTTTCCAAGGGCAAATTCAATTCACTGCTCTGTCTCCAGCAGTTAGGGTTCATTCTTAGGTTCTGAAATCATTCCCTAAATTTCTTTTATTTCTCAAACTCCGGTTTTGCCTTTCTGGGGTCCAGGGGCCTTCTGGGTTAAGTGTGAGTCACCGCCACATAAATTCTGCCCTTGCCGTTCACACGCACCCCATCGTTGGGTTCCAGAGCAAAAACTCTTCAGGGAGCCTGGCTCTTTCTCCTGCCCTGAGAAGACTGAAATCATGTCAAGGGTGAGAACTTGGTCTCCTGAGTCTAGAAGTTTTGAAGACCTCACTGGAAATCATTGACTGTGTTGACCTCTGGAACCATCAGCATCCCTCCTGGTTCCCCATAACAGACCCCAGGAAACCCTAGGAAACCTTCCCAGGCTGCAGAACCTGGAAACAAGAATGACCAATCTCAGTGACCAATATCATCAGGGCTACTCACCAGGCTCGGAAAATCTCCTTTTGTTCTTCTATTTTCCATATGGAATCAATTCTTATAAGTACCAGGATCCCTGCTGGACATCCTAATTCTGTCAAGATTCTTCCTTCCCTTTCTGTCTCTGTCTCAGCACCGTCACCACCGTATTGCAGAAGGGAAGCTTGTAAGGCTCTGAAAGGATCCGTACAGCCAGCGACAAACAATGCCCTTTCAGAAAATGGAGTTTCTTTACTACTTACTTGAAGTTGTTCTTGGGATCTCTTTCTGCCCTTCTTGCTCCAGAGCTGGTTCATGGTGTCTCAATTCAGTTCATCCCCGTCCCCAACCCTGATATTTCTTCTAGTGCAGAATCAGTGACCCCTTCCCTGCCCTCACCCCTGGCGGGGGATGTGTAATGTTGAGAAGGAGGATGAGGTGAAACCACACGGTATAGAGCCGGGTGTATGGCTGGGAGGATTGACGATGTGGCTTCCAAATACCTACCCAAACGGGTGTCTTTTGGAGGACGACACTGCCTCTGGATAAATGATCTCTGGGTACACAGAGGAGGCATGCAGTGATTTGTGGTTACTATGAATAGAATTGCCCATGCAGGGCTAGCTCCTTGGGGTTCTGTACCCTGATTGAGGTCATGGTTAATCAGGGGTGCATTCTCTTTCATAATCCCTGGGGATCTTGCCTGGCATTTTTGTTTAGCTGGAGAAATATTGGCTTCGCTCTGGCCACAAATTTCCCACACTGGCGTGGCTCGGCGCTTTCTGGCTGCCTTGGAGATCCTGATGCCTGTGACTTTGCAGAATGCCCAGGAACTGCTCGCTCAGCTACTTTCACTCTCGCTCTAAAGATAATCGCCTCTAAAGCAAGGTAATGGACATGTTTTATCCCCAGCAATTCGGTTTGCCCTTCTGGGGTGCTTCTCAAAAGAACAGCCTCAGAGATGCTGACACGTGACTTCAGCTAACCAGCTTGTGTGGGTGTGATGTTTAATCATGCCTGTCTTTTTCTTATCTTTTCATTATACCTGCGAATGTCTGTTAGCCACATCCATTAGATGCATTTCTTCTCTTTTTTTTGTAAAAATCAAATCAACCCCTCCCTTCCATTGGATGAGGAGATAATTATCATCATTCACTGAAGGTCGACATTCTGTCTTGAATTATTTGTCTTTGGGCAAGAGCTTGAAAGAAGCATTGTAATTCCAACATATCTTCTTGATTAAATCTGGTTTTTAGAATGTCATAGAGTGTGATAAGAGGGTCTCATTTGTGTCCCAGGAGAAACTGATTCGTGCTTCCTTGGATGAGATGTTGAGCAAAAGGATGGTGAGATTGTAGGAGCAGAAAGAGGGATGGAGAAGAGACTAGAACATGGAAAATCAGGTCCACAAATACTGCTATGTCAGTAGAGAAATGGCCCCTCAAGATTGGCTCTGGGCACTCATACACATTTGTAACTTTTAAGTCATTTACTTTCAGATACAGTTTTGAGTATTCTTTGAACTACAGGTGTCACTGGAAATGATTCCCTCTGCTCAATATGGATTTGCATCTATGTTGATTTCATGTTGTTACCTACCTTATTAAATCCTGTGGGTGAACTCATTTTATTCTATAAGCCAAGATGCTGTCTTTTTTTTTCTATCATGGAACCAATATAAAAATTCCCTCTTTTTTTTTTTTTTTTTTGAGAGTGTCCTTAGTATACCCAGACCCCCCAACCCATTGAGGTCAGTAATTTTAATCTTAAGAGGAGATATTTTCTCATTTGTAAAATAGGGCTCCTGACTCAGTTTCTTGGGTCTCTTCCCAGAGATATTCTTTATTTATATACAGTGCTCCCCACTCATGCCCCCTGAATCTGCAACTTTACTTTCCACAGTTTTAGCGACTTTTGGTCAACTACAATCTGAAAACGTTAAATGGGAAATGCCAGAAATAAACAATTCCTAAATTTTAATTTGTGAGCTGTTCTGAGTGGCGTGATGAAATCTCCTACTGTCCCACTCTGTTCTTCCCATGACGTTAATCATCCTTCTTCCAGTGTATCCACAGTGTATACACCACCCATCCTAGCATCACTTAGGAGCCATCTCAGTGAGCAGGTCCACTGTCGAGGTATCGCAGGGCTTGTGTTCAAGTAACCATTATTTTCCTTGATAACAATCCCAAAGCATAAGAGTAGTGATGCTGGTGATTCAGATATGCCCAAGAGAAGCCATAAAGTGCTTCCTTTAAGTGAAAAGGTAAATGTTTATTCCAGGTATATATAGGAAAAAATAAATAGTATATATAGAATTTGGTACTATCCAAGGTTTCTGGCAACCAGTAGGGGTCTTGGAACATATCCCCCCATTGCAGATAAGGGAGAACTACCATAAACATGTATCTGCATGTATTTTTTTTATGTGGAAAGGAACATATCATGCATACTGTCTAGCCACCATACTTAACTTCGTTTTGACAATGTGTCTCTGAAGAGATTGTAGCCTGTCTGCACACAAGCCTGTACCTTGCGCTTTTGTCCTGATTGAATAGTGTTCCATTGTATAAATTATTATAATGTGTTTTCCGAGCCTCCTGTTAATCTAGATTGTCTCTGATAGGTTACTATTACTGACAGTGCTGCAGTGAGGATCCTTGCACACCCATCTTGGCATGTATGTATGAGTCCATCGGAAGGATACATTTCTGTAAATAGGATTGCTGGGTGAAAGGTATATTTGCTTTTGTTTTGATGAAAACAGTCATCTAGCGCATGAGCATGTCTGTTTGCCCCATCTCAAGGTTTTATGCCTTCTAGTTAAGCATCGGCTACTACATGTAGAGCTCAGGACACTGACCCATGCACGAAAGGTACATAAGTCAAAGTTACTAATTAACATGTATCTTAGTAGGAGTTTGGGGTATTTGTTCAGGATTGCTGATCTCATGGCTAGATTAGTGAACATTCACCCCAAGAGTGAAAGGCTCTGGAATTTAACCACAAGCTTAGGCTTTGAAGATATGGTATCTCCCACCCATCTCCCTCTGATGGCAGATTAACTAGGCGGTGGGCAGAACCAACCCTTCCACACGCCAGCCTGTCTTCCTTAGAGAGCACAAGTGCATTTGCCCAGAACATTCACACTTTCAGACCTGGAGATGAAACACAATTTTTTGGCAGCAAATCTCAAATAACATGTATTTAGGATTACAAAGTCACAGTTTTGCAACCAGAGGGCTTGGGAAGGAGTTGCTTAAAGCAAGAAAATTGCAATGCAGTTTTTACAAAAATTAAAGATATAAAGTCCATCTTCCCAAATTACATTCCACACATTTACTTCTCTACAAATGCCATTTGCACACAATATACCCAGTTTGCACTGAATTCCATTCCTTGCTTCTTTTTCCCTTCTTAGTCACACACTATCTGTGCGTGTCAAGACACTGTTGTATAAAACTGCTGTATAGAACTAGGTATTTTATTTTGTTTTGTCTTTGCTTTAAATTTTATACACTTTTTGGATTAGGTCATTGAATACTTATCCTGTTTTCATCTGAATTTTCTTGGGAGAGAAAATTTAAATATTTACCTTCATCTTAAAAAAAAAGAAAGAAAGAAACCAATCCAGATGACAGAAACTGAGAGGGACATGGTGGTTGCAGGTGTCCGTGTGTGCTGGGAATGCAGAAACATGCCTGGAGCAGTGGAGGCTGTGCTCTGGCTCTGCCAAACACCCTGTGGGCCTATTGAGATCCACCACCACCTAATGGAGGAATTGCCTTCTTTCCTTTTTTTCAGTAAGCTCTTCATTGAATGCTATGGTTTGAATGTTTGTATCCCTCCAAAATGCATATTTTGAAACCTGATCCCCAAGATGGTGGTATTAAGAGGTGGAGCCTTTGGGAAGCAATTAAGTCATGAAGGCATGAGTGGGATTAGTGCTCTTATAAAAAAGACCCGGCCTGGCGCAGTGGCTCACAGCTGTAATCCCAGCACTTTGGAAGGCCGAGGTGAGCAGATCTCCTGAGGTCAGGAGTTCGATACCAGCCTGGCCAACGTGGTGAAACCCCATCTCTACTAAAAATACAAAAAAATTAGCCGGGCATGGTGTTGCGCGCCTGTAATCCCAGCTACTCGGGAGGCTGAGACAGGAGAATCACTTGTACCTGGGAGGCAGAGGTTGCAGTGAGCTGAGATAGTGCCATTGCACTCCAGCCTGGGCAAGAAGAGTGAAACTCTGCCTCAAAAAAAAAAAAAAAAAAAACACCCCACACACACACTCAAAAACAACAGAGCTTGTTCACCCCTTCTACCATGTGAGTGGAGGCAGCAAGAAGGCACCATCTATGAGGAAGTGGTCCTCACCAGGCACCAAATCTGCTGGTGCCTTGATTGTGGACTTCCCAGCCTCCAGAACTTTGAGCAATAAATTTCTATTGTTTTTAAGTTACCTGGTCTAAGGTTTAGCAATCTGAAATGACTAAGGTCCTAAAGTATAATGTATAGAAATAATGTGTGAACAGCTTGATAAATTTTTACACAGTGAACATATCCCTAAAAACCTGCATCCAGATCAAGAAACAGAACACTACCAGCACCCCAGGAACAAGTGGCTACCTTTTGAGTCACTCTTCAGCCTCTGACGATCTTTAACAATGTTGACCTCTCTGAAGATAGATTAGTTTGCCTTTTTTTTTTTGAGTTTAACGTAATTGGAATGATATGGTGTATACTCTTTTGTGCCTAAGTTTCTTTTACTCAGTTTTATGTTCGTAACATTCATCCATGTTGTAGCAAATAATTATACCTGGTTAGTGTTCGCGGCTGTGTAGTATTCCATTACAGGAATACACCACTATTTATTCATTCTACTCTTGATGGATATAGGTTGTTTCTAGTTTCTGGCTATTACAAAGAATGTTGCTGTGAACATTTTTTACGTGTCTTTTGGAGAACATATGTACACATTTCTGCCAGGTATACACCTGGGGTGGAATTGCTGGGTTGTTAAATTTCCTTACTGGGGCCTATAAGACCAGGTCTTGCCTGCTGCTAGATTCTTGTCATCATTAATCATCATCTATATGCCAGGCACTATGTGAGGCATTGGGAATAGTAAGGAGCAGAAGCAGATGTGGTTTCTGCTTTTGTGCCAGCATTAATTAAGCAAACACCAAGGTAAGGTGGTGTGATTGCCATGGAGGTAAGTGCTGAAGAGGAAAGAGGCAGGATCCCAGGACAGCTTACTGTTAGGTTTTTTAAAGGGAAGGTGAGGGTTAAAGAAAAACAGAGAGAGAGTTGGCGGCCCTACAGCAAAACATAGGCTTTATGTCCAACATAAAACCTGCAGAGGTTGGGGGCCAGCTTAATGCCAGTGCCCACTGCTGCTTACAGGCTGGGGCAATTATAGGCCTGAGCAGGAGGGGTCTGGGGGGAGCATGGCCTGCTGCCTGGGAAAATGTTGATAACATGTTCCCACGATGAGGTGGTTTGGCCCTTGTTCTGGTGGAATGTGATGTTCCTTGCCCTTTCTCCCAGCAAAGTCAGGCAGTTGGTCAGGCTGTTTCTCACGGCCCGAACCCCCCGTGGAATGTTTCACTTTGACCAAGGTCTGTGAAATGACAGGGAGCTTACGAAACGGTGCAACTTGGACTAACACTTATGACATAGGAAGTGGATCTGGGCTGGGGGAGAGGGTGGCATGGAAGGGGGGCTTTCCTGAAACAGTGACACAGCTGAGATTGGAGGGATGAGGAGAGTATACCAGGGTACGGTGAGGGAGAAGCTTCCCAGGAAGCTGGAAGAGCACGCGGGGCATGTTCCTGGAGCTGAAGGAGTGCCAAGGTGCCAGAGCATGGAGGCGGGAATGGGGATAGAGGAGGTGGCGAGGCTGACATTGGGGTTGGGGCTGCAGCCTTTGTGCCTGTGATGGGAGCCCAGACCTATAGCTGTGAGGTGTGTTGGTCTGAGAACTCTCCAGATCTCGCCTTCCTTGCAGATTCGTATCACAGCAGAGCAGGAAGGGCCCATTCAGCTACAAGAATTAGTAGGAAGCATTTGAAATGGTCCACAGCTGCTCACAATCCTTAAGGGAGTTTATCTGTAACTGAGAGAGTATGGGGAGGTGTCTGGACAGTCAGGAAGTACCTGTCGCAGGTGGCATTTTCTGGCTGGGCACAGGATCAGATGGATGTCTTTCTGTCTGTTGACAGGTCCTCCTGAGGACCAAGGCCTGCATAGTCTGATTTATGCTATATGTATGTAACTACTTTAGTACAGTTGAGGGCTCTTGAAGTCATGCTGTGTTTTTAGGAAGATATTTGAGCAGGAGATCATGAAAATTTTGCAAGAATCTGCAATCTGGAAGAGTGTTGATTCAATATACATTCATTAGGTGCCCACTCTGGGTTACTGTGTCTCGCACTGTCCTGGACACTAGGGATTCAGCAGTGAACAAAAACAGACAAAATTCCCCAACCTCTTAATGTTTATATTCATCCAAAATTTTCTTTCAAAATGGATTGTTTTGATGAGCTGCCGGATCTCTTGACCCCTCAGAGAATTTTACATTAGGGAAAAGTGCTTGTGTGTAGGCATAAGAAAGAAAGAAAATCTAGGATTGGAAAGTTGGAAACCAGTTTTCTACAGCCTTCCAGAAAGAACTCAACTCGAGGACTGACGTGGTGGTGGAAGGCAGAGTGGCAGGGGAAAGAGCACCAGCATCAATGTGAACATTCTAGCTGGGACGCTTCCTTGTGGTACGACTTGGGGCAACTTTGATCTTCTAAATGGGTATTAATAGTTCCCACCTGCAGGACTGAACTGTGGAAATGCACTGAGATCCAGCAGTTCAAATCCCTGGCCTGAGTATTGGGTGATTGTTGCGGTCATGAAGGCATGAGGCTTCTGTGCGACCTGGGTGACTAACACAGCCCACAAGCAGTGAGGAAGCCACTCCCAGCGGCCCTGCCCGTCTGGGTCCTCCTGCCCTCACTGGGTGTTCCCAGCCCCACTATACTGTCTCCCTCTCCCTCCTTCTCCAAGTGCCCAGACCTGCTCCAGCTGCCCCTGATACTCAGCAATGCAGACTTGTCTGGAAACACGGACAACAAGGCAGCTTGGCATTTCCGAGCCAACTGCTGAGATGAAACAGGTTCATTGTCAAGGCCAGGGCCAGGGCAGGAAGTCTAGTTGGAGGCCCCAGGGTAGCTCGCCCCAGAGTTCTGAAAGAGCACTGTTTAGAATTTTGTAACCATCTGTTGGCTTGGGTATGTGTTTGATGGCTGTGGCTGTGGGTTGAGGTGGAGTAATGTTGACCTTGGAAGGTTAGGATGCTTTTGTTTCTGATGAGACCATCTAGTGTAGGTCAAAAGGACTGTGTCGGAGATAGAAAACAACATTTTTTTTAAGTTGGGTGTTTTTGAATCAGCCAAACCTTAATGCATTGGGCAGAAGTGGCCCCTGGGGTAGTACCAGCTTGGTCTGAGTGTTTCATGGGCAAGGGTGGGGGCTGGGAAGAGAAGCTTGCCCAAGGCCCTGCTGCAGAGGGAGGGGCAGGAGAGCTAGTGGGAGCCAGGTGTGTGGAGCTGCCTTTCACAGAACTGGGTTATGGACCCACCAGAGAGATGGAGCCCCTTCTCTCCTTCCCTTCCCCCATGTCTCCCTCTCCCACCAGGGCTTGGTAGGGGTGGGGAAAGCAAGTTTATGGCCACCTTGATGTTCACTGGAGTGGCCCGAGGACTCCTTTTTGAGTTAAAGTGACTTGTTTTCTTCTTACCTTTATTCATCCCCTTACTCAGTAGGATGGCAGCAGATATAACATCATTATGTGTGTGAAAACATACAAAGACACTCGTTCTAGGGGGTGTTGTCCAGCAGATGCATGGACGTCCATGTTAACTCTTGTGAGTACAGAAGAGGATGCAGAAGTTAGCTGGATCCAGATGCTGGATCTCCAACATCCTTGGAGATGTGTGGTGTTGGATGCTTCTGTCCAGGGTAACATGGCTCTCATTACCTGGGCTTCAGAGCCTTCTCTACCTTACCATCTGCATTTGTTTTTTCTTTTTGATTGGGTGGCATTCACCTGGGCTTTCCTTCACTTCCTGACGATTCAAGATGGCAATTCTCATCTCTGGTCAGGCTGAGCTTCTCTCAGCAGCTCCTGACATTTCCTCCAGCTTGTCTCACCTTCTCAGTTGTCTCCCATTCCCACCAGCACATCCTTTGACCTTATCTTCCATACCCTTCTGCACCTAGGACCTCTTCCACTCCTTCCCAGTCAAGAAGCACCTATGAATAAGCACAGGTATTCAATATTTGTTAGGGTGGATACAGGTAAAATAAGAAATCATCTGTAGAGGTGACGTAGAAAGCACAGATAATAGAGAAATAACAGGTATCTGCCTCTGTCATCTTTCCTGAGCTCCAGATGTCAGTATTTAGGGGACTGCAGCTGTTTCCACATTATATCTTCTGGCACCAACAACTTCATGTGTCCGAAGTTGAACTCATGCAAACTCAGCCTTTGTTTTCCACATGACTCCTCCATCAACTCAGAAAGTGAAAGAGACCCACAGGTCATCCTCAACTCCTTCCTTTCCCTCACCTCTACCCCATGTCCACTCACCAAGTTCTGCCAGCTTTCAGTCCTAAATTTTCCCCGAATCTCTATCTTCTCTCCAAGACTGCCCCACCAAGCCTTCTGCCATTTGTCAACTCACAACTCTGTGGCAGCCTGAAATTGTTTTCAATTCCCAGTAGCTATGTACCTGAGGGCTGCCCCCTGCCCCCCATCACCTGGCTTTGTCCTACTCTTTCACCAAGCCTGAGCTCAGACCTCACCTCCTCTAGGAACCCCTCCAGGACCAGAGTACATGACCCCCCTCCCTCCCCAGGAGAGCCCTGCAGTACCTCTTCCAGGATCCTGCTCCTCTAGAATGCCCACTTCCCACCCAGTGTGAGGATGATCAGTTTACGTGCCTGCCTCCCCATGGACGTACACTCCTCTAGGGCAGAACCCAAAAGCTGCTGAAATTATCTTTGCCCAGTTTGACAGAGGGAGGGAAATGTAGTGGACTGAAAGTTGAGACACCAGGTTCAGCCTGACCCCAGTGAGTGCTCCACCCTTTTTTGTAGATTAAATGAACCCAGAAGTTAGTTCATGATGTAGTTCCTGTAAAAAATAATAAATAAACCTAGGAGGAGCCTCAAAGTCCCTTCCTGACCTGATGTTCTGCGATTCTGCCAGAGGAATCTGCTCTCTCCAGCCTGACTTTTCTATCTACACCTCCTCATCAGAGGAGCCTTCTGCACTACTGCCCTCTCCCAAGTCAGGGGCTGGGGACAAGGAAGACTTTCACTTTTCAGTAGCTTCCTGAGCCATTTCTTTCTTAGCTCCCAGGCTGGAGGCCTTTTCCCAGGTCTCTAATGGACAAACTTTCCACACATGACTTAAGAGAAGAAGACACAGGACTTGGACTTGGACAGTTTTGCTGCATGAACCACTGAAGTCTCTGGAACCTTAGCAACATGGACCCCTGGACCTTGGTCTTGAGTGTGGGGCCTGTGACAGTCCCCTGGCAGTGTGCTCATCCTGGCCTTTTTCTGGAGCTACTAAAGGAAAGAAACCCAGTTGAACCCAGGATTTTTTTCTTTACCCCCGAACTTCTTTGTACAGAAGTTTCACTTTCTCATAACATGATTTCTTTCTTTTACAAAAGACAAAATAAAACAGAACCCAAACTTGACACACAAATCCAACCACTACTGCTACTGTTCAGGCAGCTGGTCTATATTTTAGTAGCTCACCTGTTTCAAAAGCACCTAGGTAGTAGCTGGGAGGCTCGGTTAGTATTTCAAACCCCCAAAAGCTGCACAAAGCAGAGGCTCGGGTTCTTGAGTAGAGGGCTGATGCTAGAAACATAAAGAGATTCATCTGCATCTTCTTCAACAGTGTGCCTCACCTCCAACTCTCACTGTGAAAGATCTGCTTTCTGCTGAGCATGGACCTGGGAGAGATGTGTTCCCCGGAAGGCGGCCCGGGCTGTCATCAAGTCAGTTGCACAGGGACAGTGTGAAGCCTTCTCACTGTGGCACGAGCCATCACTCTCAGAGCACCTCAAGCCTGGCAGGGTTCCGAAAACCTCAGGGTTTAATCACTCCCCTGTTTAAGGAACTCAGACACAATGTATTTTACAAATTATTTTTGAAAGGTTTATATGAAGTGTTAAATTTTATGAACTGTATATTTTACCAACAATGGAAAAAAAAGGCTTATGAGCTTAGAGGCTTTCACATTCATTATTTCACTTAATTCTCTAAACCTCCAATGGGGTAAATCAATTTCTGTTTTGCAGACCATTAGACCAAGGCACAGAGAGATTAAGTGGCTTGCCAAAAGGGGTAAGAGTTTTCATGGGCTAACTGGGGTTATTTTTTTCACAGTTCATCAAATGACAAGTTTAACGTGATATATCTTATTTTATGTTGCATGTGATAAATAGTTACACTTTTTATTTGTTAATTACTAGGTTTTAATGGTCAACTTTAGTCCAAAGCTTCTCCCTCTTCTCACCTTCTCCCAGCCTTCTGATTCAGTTTATACATACACACACACACACACACAACATACACAGAGGCACACACATGCATGCATGCATGCAATACCCACATTGTTCTTTTATATTATTATTATTTTTTGAGGTGGCATCTTGCTCTGTTGCCCAGGCTGGAGTGCAGTGGCACAAACTCAGCTCACTGCAACCTCTGCCTCCCAGTTCAAGCGATTCTCATGCCTCAGTCTCCTGAGTAGCTGGGACCACAGATGCGCACCATCACACCCGGCTAATTTTTGTATTTTTAGTAGAGATGGGGTTTCACCATGTTAGCCAGGCTGGTCTTGAACTGCTGACCTCAGGTGATCCGACTACCTCAGCTTCCCAGAGTGCTGGGATTACAGGTGTGAGCCACGGTGCCCAGCTGTCCTTTTATTTTTATTTGGTGTTCCTTGTTGGAAGAGATCAGCTTCTCTTCACTAGAGAAATTTTTCAGTGATCCTGGTGGGGGCTCCAGTCCCCTTTTCTTTAGGAAGAAATAGAGTAGAATGATTGGGAGTACAGTGACAGGGTGGTGTCACATTTCCTGAGTTTGAGCCTCAGCTCTTCCACTTGCTGGCTGTGTGGCACTGGGCAAACTCCTTCACCTCTCAGTGCCTCAGATACCTCTCTATACAGAGGAAATGCAAGCGGAAGTATAAGGAAGATCACACGAAATAGCGCCTGTCAATCACTGTCAAGCACAGTGCCTGGCACACAGTAGGTTTGCAGGATGCCTGTGGTTTCTGTCACCCTGATGTGACTCTCCTGGGGCCCTTGAAGGTAGCATTCCAGGCCCTCAGAATCTCCAGGGGAGTGACTGGGAGCTGTAGTTTCACCAGCACCGGGCTGATGCTTGTGGCTGGGAAACGCCACTACCAAGGTGATGAAAGGTGAAGGTGGGTTGATATATAAAATAAAAGAACTTGGAGGAAAGTTAATACCTTTGAACATTGGTTCCCAAAGTGTGGTCCTGCACCAGCAGCAATATCCACCTAGCAACTTGATGGAAACGCAGATTCTCAAACCTTCCTCCAGACTTACTGAACGGAAACTCTGGGGGTGGATGCTAGTGATATTGTGTTTGAACAAGCCCTCCAGGTGTGTCTGAGGCCTGCTGAAGTTTGCAAACCATACTTTAGAATGTGAAAGAGCCAGTCCCTATTTCATTTCAAATGAGTTTAGATGTATATTTAGCTACTGAAATAAGAAATCTAAAGATATGTACACTTGTACCAAGAAGACAAGGAAAGAAATCTGCTGATATGAAGACTCAGTTATATTTCGAACAAAGGCAATGAATCCATCTTGGTCCTTTGCTTGGCTCATGGTGAAACATAGCGGCCACCATGTGGGTCAAGAGGCTTGTGTTCAGGACAGCTGAAGGGATGGCCTTGACCTTACTGTCCTCCCAGCACCAAAAGGAGCCAAGAGCGAGAGGTTACTTCTGCCTCTCCGGAACTCCAGCACTTCCTCCCTGGGGGTGCTGGCATCTTTCTTATGCACTGTCACTCTCCTCGTGGTTACTGTTGTTTGGGTCAATGTTGTAAGCAGTTGCTTGAATACAAACCCTCTGCTTTTTCATCCCTGTTTCTCCTGGGCAAACCCAAATGTGACTGCAAAACATCTCCAAATAGAGTCCAGTTCTTCTAAGTGTCAAGGCTTGGCCCAGCCACTGCCTCTGCTGTAAAGACTTTCTAGCCTGAATACCACCATGGCAAGTCATAAGCCTTGTTCTTCCCCTCCTGTGCTCCACATCCCAGGGATTTGATCCCTGCAGGCTGCATTTCCAGGCGCCTGCTGGGTTTGAACAGTGCAAGCCTCTGGGGTGAGACTGCAGGGTGGTCGGAGAGGGATGCCAGGGTGGTTCTCCCCCTCCTCTGTGGCTGGCTGTCTGACAGTGGCTGGGGATCTTCCAGGGCTCTATTGCTACTCCTGTCCCCACTAGCTTTTGTGTACCTTCTTGTCTGTTTGATAAATTCTCTGGATTAAATTCTCCAAGGGATTTGGAGTGGTTTCTCTTTTCTTTATTGGGTCCTGACTAACTTAGCCCCTTGTCTTGCTTCCACTGGGAGTGGTCACTCAGCATTTGCATACGTATCTTCTCCAATAGCCATGAGCTTCTCAGGAGTAGCCGTCATATCCAATTCAATGTCACATCCTTAGTGCCTACTCCAGGAGCTGTCACTTTCAACATGCTTGGTGTTTGATGAATGAATGCGTGATAACATGTGAGGAGGGCTGAAAATGCAAAGGAAAATCAAAGTATGCCGTATATTCAAAATGCATGCAACAAGCAAGGTTTACCATATGGAAATAGCGATGTATGCCCTGCCTAGTAATCTAGTTTAAAATAGTAATAATAAACCTTAAGCTTGTCCACAGTACAGATTTTTTAAACAATAATTTGAGAATGTTCAAATCTGTTCCATTATAAGCCACCCCAGAACTTAATGATTTAGAACCCTTTATTATTTCTCATGATTCTGTGGGTTATGACTTGAGTTGCCTTCAGCTGTTCTTGCCTGGGCTCGCTCATCACCACGTTTGGTAGCGATTCGGCTGGAATTCATATGCGTGGGACCTCAGGAGAAATGGAGATTCTCTCTCCACTAGAATCTCATGCTGAAGGAGGCTGGTGCGGGCTTGTTCACAAAGTGGCAGTCTTCCAAGAGGGTGAGGGGCAAACTCTGAGGCCAATTGAGGTAGAGGCTTGGAAGTTACACAGCATCTCTTCCTGTGCATTCTGCTTCAAAGCAAGTCAAGAGCCCAGCCCAGATTCAAAGGATAGGGAAATAGACTCATGTCTTAATGGGAGGGGCTTCCAGGAATTTGTGGCCATATTTAATCCACTGTAGAGTGGTTATTCTCATTACGAAACATTCTTTATTACAACATTTAGTATGGCTGTACCTTAAGTAGAGCCTCCTGGAATAGATTTAAAAGGTTGCTCAACTGGTAAGACCCACAAATGGAGAGCTGCCACTGCTTTCCTTAGTTCTTTGTCTGACCACCAGATGGTGGCATTGCTCAGTCGACCCCGAGTATTTCAAGGCCGGCACCAAATTCCACCTGGAGATGCCCTTCAAGCTGTGGGAATTCTATGATTTTGCACAGCTGGATTGGGAGCAGGCAGTGCTACCTATGGAGAGGGTCTGGGATTAGGGTTGCAATGGGCATTGGATGCCTCTTTCTCCCTGACTCTTCTAGAACTGTTGTGGGAAATTTCTTCACCTCCCCAAATGGGGGACTGGAGTAAGATGCTGCAAATATCATCCCATCACAATGGACTCAATCATGAAGAAAAATATCGTTTGTAATAAAAAAATTGTTTGCATACTCATGAATTGTCTATCGAAATTACATTGTATTGATTTCATCCTAGTGATGTAAATAATTCTATACCACTTCTTTTTCTTTTTTCTACCCTCTGCACCATTATAGTTGTTTGTATAACAGTGTCTGCAAAAACTGATAACATTTGATTAAGGCCTGCAGTCTAGTCCATTGTATTGTGCCAGTGTCAATTTCCTGGTTTTGATCATGTAATATAGTGATATAAGATGTTATCATTGGGGAAGATAGGAGATAAGGACATAGACCTTTCTGTACTATTTTTGCAACTTCTTGCAAGTCTATAAGTATTTCAGAATAGAAAGTTAAAAAAATACCCTCACTAAAAATAACCTCCACCTGCTTGTGTATTACTGGTATTTGCATCATCATTTGGGAGAAAAGTTGAGCATTGATTTTAAAAACTCTTTTTTTGGGGGGGGGGGTCATTCTGGCAGGGTAGCACTGGCTTCTCAACCCCCTTCAGATCCACTGGCCACTTCCACAGATCCTGCCCAGGCTCAAAGCACCTGCTAGACTAGGTGATCAGTGGTGCAGAGACCTGGAGCCAAGGATGGGGAGAGACAGTCATTGCCACCTCCTTTCTTCCCTTTCTGGACTCAGAGATCCTCTGTCCCAAGTTTCTCCCTTATAGTCAGGGCTCTGCCCTTTACTACTCACTTTCTTGTTTGTTGTCTTAATCGTGGGTTACAATGCTTCTCTAAGACTAACAGGAAGACACTTTTATTTCCATTTTGTGAATAAGAAAACTAACACCCAGGGTTTGAGGTACTTGGCTGGGACCAAAAGTAAGTGATGCATCCAAGGCTAGAAGGTAGATTAAATGACTTTTTAATCTGGGTTTTCCTTGCTAATTTCTAAATACACTAAAAAGAGAAAACTTTTTAGAAAGTTTTCTTTCTGAAAGAGAAAGCCTTTTAGAAAGTTTTCTTTCTGAAAGAGAAAACTTTTTAGAAAGTTTTCTTTCTGCAAGAGAAAGCCTTTTAGAAAGTTTTCTTTCTGAAAGAGAAAACTTTTTAGAAAGTTTTCTTTCTGAAAGAGAAAACTTTTTCAAGTGAAGTAAAACTTCTTTGAAATATTACGTGTTTAAACTCCTAGGCTGTAATTTCATATGCTTTTATTTACTGTCTTGTTCTATTAAAATGCAACCTATAGCACCTTTTAATGTTCACACAGTGTTTGAAGTAGAGAAATGAAACTTTTATGAGTAAGTGGAGAAAGTAGTGTTAACTTTTTTTTTCATTAATGAGAAAACAATAGGCAGCAATGGGTTTAGGAGTTCTATGGCGAAAAGGCATTTCCTGAGATTGAATCAGTGGCAAAAGGAGAGCCTGTTATGTTTTGCTAACCAAAAGAATGTGGGAACATTTTAGCTAAAATGCAAGTTAAAACTGTGAAACATATAAATAAGCATTTGGTATGCTTTTCAGTTTCCACAACAGTAGTCAAGCCAGTGAGCCCTGTGGGGAGGGCTCATGGGCCCTGGACTCAAAGAGCTCAGAGTATGTCTACCTGGGGAACTAAACCAGTGTGCATGAAATGACCAGAGAGTGATATGGGGCAGATAGGGTTTCATGCCAGGGTGTGTACCATGGTTGTGTCTGGAAACAAGGGCTACCGAGGCCTGGATCACTCAGAGGAGGCATCAGGGAGAATGTACTGGACTTGGGCTCAATGTAGAGATGTAGGGGGTAGCTCTCTTTTGACTCCTAAAATTACAGTGAAAAACTGGGTTCTCGTAATCACACTTACGAGTTGTTGTGTCCCTGGACTAGTTATATCTTCTCTCTCTCTCTCTCTTTCTCTCTCTCTCGCTCTCTGTGTGTGTGACAAAATACTCATACCACAAAATTTACCATTTTGATTATTTTAAGGTACACAGTTCAGTGCCACTAAGTGCATTTACAATGCTGGGCAATCATCATGACTATTTAGTTCCAGGACCTTTTCATTACCCACAAAGGAGACCATGTGCCCATTAAGCAGTCACTCTCTCCTTGGCAACCACTTAATGTGGTTTTCGTCTTTATGGACTTGCCTACTGTGTGACACACAGTGTTTTGTGGTGGATGGGAAAATGTATGATATTTAGGCCTTACTCTCAAGGAGCTTACTAATTGGGAAGATGTAATCTGAGAACATGAAAAAGACAGTTACATCCTATGACCAACATCATGCTTGCTGGGAAAACCTTAGAAGCATTCCCAATTACAGTCAGAAATAAGATAAGAGATGCTAAATGTCACCGCTGTGATTCAGCATTGTGCTGAAGAACCTAGCCAATGCAGTAAGACAAGAAAAATAAATGAAGCACAAGGATGGAAAGTAAGAGACAAATTATTGTTATGTGGAGATGATATGGTTGTGTACTTTCAACGAGTTGCTTACCTCTTTTATTATATGTAATACTTTTGGAAATTCAGTGTCCATGTACAGAAAGCAATAGCATTTCTGCCGAACTACAGTAACCTATAGGAAATGTTATAGAAAAAAAGATACAGTTCACAATAACAATAAAACAATAGGGTACCTAGAAAAAAATTAAATAAAATATGCCTAGTTCTTTAATAGAAAAAATTATAAAACATAAAGTATATCATAAGTAGAATATGATATGTTCGTAGATAGGATAGCTCATTTGTGTAAAAGTGTCTCATTGAAGACAATTCCAATAAATATCCCAACAGGATTTATCTTGCAATTACAGAAACCAATTCTAAAATTGATTTGAAGAGTAAGGTACATCCACAGGTCTGATATGTCTAAAAAAGAATAAAAGGGTCAAGAAAGCAAATGAAAGAGCAGAGAAACAGGCCTAAGAATCACTGTGAATTTAATACTAGATAACAGTGCATGATGAATGAGTGGGAAAGGCTGAGCACATCATTGACTTATCTTGAGACAACTAGCTTTCTATAAAAAAAGATACTAGATCTGCATCTCACAACACATACCAAGATAAATCTCAGCTAAACCAGCATGTGAAAATCAAAATGTTAACACTGTCAGAAGCCAACCCCGGGAGAATATCTTTATGACCTGAGAGGTTAAAAAGAATTCCTTAGAAAGGATCCAAAAAACACAACTCAGAAGTGAAAAAAATGATAAATTTGACTAGGTTAAAGTATTATGATTTATAGGTGTATAATATAAGATTATGGCCTAGAAGTATACACATAGGTGTTGCCTCTGGACACAGAGTGAGGGGAGAGAATGGGACAGGGGACATCAGCTTTATCCATCATGTGAAAAATGATAAAAATGTTAACATTGGTTAATCCTGGTTGGTGGGGACACAAGGGCTTGTTACACTTAGAAATATTTCCATGTTTAAAAAATTTTTAAGACAACACAAAGCAACTACCAACCTCAGCATGAAAGGTGGAAACTATCGTTGTATAGGGGGAAATTGCCAAACCCAAAATCCTGATTGATCTTATCACTGCCATCAGCAAGCTGCGTCCATGGGTGAGGACCTTCCTCTCAGGGGCTGTGTGCTCTGGAAAACAAGAGGGTTGGACTGATTACTAGCTTAGGTCCTCCTCCCTTGCCAGCGCTCACATTTTCTCTTCTCTCTGTGGGGCAGGTTACAACTGCTAGAGGAGCAGAGAAGGAAGAACGCGTGGGGAAGAGCATCGTCACAAGCATTAAGTTCTATCCAAGCATGGGGAAATTGTTTTCATTGCATTCAATTCTTACTTACCCGACCTCTTAATTCATAGATGCTGCCTGATTTCTTTTAAGCTCTAGACCTTGCTGTTTTCCTTGACAGGGTGAAACTGGGTGTTCTGTAATGAAATGTGTGCTCCCTGACAAGTGGCAGAGATTCTGAATTTTCTGGGACTGACTAGGAGCATCATGCTGCTGACATCAGTGTACCTGCTTAATTGGGCTTCATTATTGGTCTGAAATCATGAGGCCTTTCAGGAGCCAAGAAATACACCTGGGTATGGTGGGGTGATGAAGGAAGGGTGCGATGGGTCTCTAAGGAGGTACCAGTGTTTTAAGCAAGGTGGTCATTTGTGGGCTGGTAATTTGAAAATGGGAGTTGTGGAATTCTGCTTTACCTGCAGACCTGCTGACCACTTCTGCCTGAGTTTTCTCATCTGCGAAGTGGGGCAGACTAGAGTGACGTAGGGCATGCTTTCCTTTTTGCCAGCAGAGAGAGGGCTTTGAAGGTAAGAGGAAGGTAGTGTGGTTTTCCACTGGGGCTACATACTTATAGCTATCACTGCTGTCAATCTAAGCAGGGAGTATAACCAATGTCTCCATCATCTTAAGTAATTTGTGTGTGCACAGATTCTTCAGACCTTACAGGATGTCTCTGTAAAACCTGTCTGGGTGCTAGATGACAAGAAAGTCTGAGTGGAAAGGCAAGGCCTTCTCTAAGGGCCCCTCTTTACCACAGGAATGAATTTTAAGAGACTGTGAGATAAAGTGACAAACATAAAAAGCCATGTTTATTCATCTCCACAGCATCATTTCACAAAGCCCCTAATTCTGTGATGACATACCACTCTCCAAAAAGATACTTTAAAGACCAAAGAAGATAAAAAACATGCCCCCCATGTCTTTTGCCTAAGTCACTATATTTCCTAAAAGAGAAATGACCCCAGTCCTTGCCTTTCCTACACATAAAATAATGTCTGACAAAATTCATAATTATGCCTCTATAATCTGTAACCAAATATGTTCTTGCACCTAAACCGTCATGGCAAGCACACTTTGGATAAATCATTTAACTTCATTAGACTTCAATTGCATCATCCATAAATGAGTTATAATAGTAATTTACTTGCCTTTAGACAGGGACTGGATGAAACCATTTTTGGAGAACCCATCTGTGGGTTTTTTTGTTAAATAACATCAAAGTTTATTGGGTAAAGGACCAATATTGTAAAATAGAAATTAAAAAAAACTCTATTGATGTTGGGTTTTGGGAAGGAACTTGGGGGAGATAGAGCAGATCCTCTGCTCAGGCACACTTTTTTTTTCTTTCTGAAAGACTGTTTTTTTTAGAGCAGGTTCACAGCAAAGTTGAGAGGAAAGTACAGAGATTTCCGATATACCCCCGCCTCCACACACACACAGCCTCCCCTATGGCCAACATCCCCCACCAGACTGGTACTTTTGTTACAATTGATGACCCTACATTGACTCATCATAAGACCCAAAGTCTGTCCTTTACACTGGGGTTCACTCTTAGTGGTGTACGTTCTGTGGGTCTGGACAAACGCATGATGACGTGTATCCATCATTATTGCACCATACAGAATAGTTTCACTGCTCTAAACACCCTCTGTGCTCCTCCTATATATCCCTTCTCCCCGCTAACCCCTGGCAATCACTGACCCTTTTACTGTCTCTATAGTTCTGCCTTTTCCAGAATGTCACATAGTTAAAATCATACAGTATATGGCCTTTTCAGACTGGCCTCTTTCACCTAGTAATGTGTATTTAAGTTTACTCCATGTGTTTTCATGACTTGATAGTTCATTTCCTTTTAGTGCTGAATAATATCCCATTGTCTGAATGTATTACAGTTTATTTAGCCATTCACCTGCTGAAAGACATCTTGGTTTCTTTCATGTTTTGGCAATTCTGAATAAAGCTGCTATAAACATCTGTGTGCAGGTTTTTGTGTGAACACATGTATGGATTTTTGATCTGCTAAACACTGAACTAAGAAGATTTCTGGATATAGATGTAGTTGAAAGGGATAAATATGTACTTATTTTTTTCCAATGATTTTTCATTGTAAAATATTGCATACACACCCAAAAATACTTAAGGCATCTATGCAAAGTTTAACAAATAAAGCAAACACCTATGTATCTATCACTGGGTCAATAAATGGGATGCCCCTGGCACCCAGAAGCCCTCGAGGGTCCCTCAGCCATCCCAGCCTCCTTCCTCACTTACACCTTTGTGTAATTTCCTTGCTTTTCTCTATAATTTTACCACTTGTGTTTCTATTATTTTGAGAGTTACATGCTCTATTCTAGAAATTATAATACATATATATTATATATTTATACATATATATATATATATATATATATATTTTTTTTTTTTTTATGAAGTCTCCCTCTGTTGCCCAGGCTGGAGTGCAGCAGTGAGATCTCGGCTCACTGCAACCTCTGCCTCCCGGGTTCAAGCAATTCTCCTGCCTCAGCCCCCTGAGTAGCTGGGATTGCAGGCGTGCGCCACCATACCCGGCTAATTTTTGTATTTTTAGTAGAGACGGGGTTTCACCATGTTGGTCAGGCTGGTCTCGAACTCCTGACCTTGTGATCCGCCTCGGCCTCCCAAAGTGCTGGGATTACAGGTGTGAGCCACCGTGCCTGGCGAAATTATAATATTTATACTGACAGTCTAAAGTTTATCAAAGCTTTCATTTCCCATAGAGTAACTCAAGGTCCTTGGAACACTCTAAAAATGTTTAACCACTCCCAACTTATTTTCTCTCATTGTTTTGTATTTTAATTCTATATTTTTAAAGAACACCAACAAAATATATTGTTCTACACAGTGGAAGTTCATTTGGATTTACTCATCATGCATCTGTCACTTTCTTTGCTCTTCATTCCTTTTTGTGTTTCCAGTCTTCCATCTGGGATCACTTTCTTTCTGCCTGAAATGTAATCTTTAGAATTTCCCTTGCTGGTGAGGAACTCTTTGCGTGCCTGAAAACTCCTGGATTTCACTTCACTGTGGCAGGGTATTTGTGGCAGTTGTCTTAGTTTTCACTGGTTGCTGTAACAAATTACCACAAACCTGGTGACTCAAAACGACACAAATTCATTCTCCTTTGATTCTGGAAGGCAGAAGCCCATCATCAGTTTCCCTGGGCTAAAGTCAAAGTGTCTGCAGAGCTGCGCTCCATCTGCAGGTTCTAGGGGGGAATCTTTTCTTTTCCCAGCATTGCGATGCTGCATTCCTTGCATTGCTTGATTCATGGCCCCCTTCTCCATCCTCAAAGACAGCAGCCATTGTAGCATCTCCAAATCTCTCTCCTGTCACATCACCTTCTCTGTGTCAAATCCCTCTTTGGCCTGTATAACACTTCTGACTGCACTTAGGGCCCACCCAAATCTACCCATCTAGGTTATGAGATCTAAATTCTGAGATCCTCAACTTAATCACACCTGCAAAGTCTTTTTTGCCATATGAGGTAACACTCACAGCTTCCAGGGACTATGACCTGAATATCTTTGGGGGTCATTCATCTTTCCTCATCAGAATTATAGATTTGTCATTATTTTCTTTCAGCGTATTAAAGATATTATTCCACTGTCTTTTGGCTTCCATTTTTGATGTTGAGATATTTTTTAGTCTAAGTATGATCCCTTTTAAGATAATCTGTATATTTTTTTCTCTAAGCTTTTCTCTTGGTTTTAATCACTGTGATCACTGGTAACTACGATGGGTCTAGGTGTACATTCCTTAACATTTACTTTGCTTGGGATTCTCTGGTCTTTTGACCACTTAGTGTCTTTCAATAGTCCTGGAAAATTCTCAGCTTTTATCTTTTCCATATTACCTCATTCCCATCCCCATTGTCCTCTTTTGGGACTCCAGTCAAATATATGTTGGGCCTTCTGACTTATCCCCTATAGTCTAAATCCACTCTTCTGTGCTTTCCATATTTTTGCTTTTGATGCTGTATTTTGAACAATTTCCTGTGATCTAACCTCTGGTCCTTAATTCTCTCTTCTATTGTTTTTAATCTTTTGCCAAACACTTCAATAAGATTTTCATTTGTTTTTAAATTTTTCCTTTCTAGAAGTTCTGTTTGATTCTTTTCCAAATCTACTAAGTCAGTTTTTACAGTTTTTGGTGCTCTGCAGATATTTGCAAGCTTGTTTACTTTTTCATGTGGTTAGCAAATATAAACTTACTGAGTTTGCATCTGAAGTGTGTCCAGGTCGGTTTCTGCTCTCTGCTGTTTATGCTGGTTCTCACTCATGTTGCCTTATTTCCTTCTATGCCTGATGATCTATTTTCTGATACGCCTGACAATTTCACTAGTTATTGCCCGTAAAGAAATTATGTGTGGAGATCCCCTGAGGCTTAGAATGAGTGTGCTCTCCTTCCTCTGGTTGCCTTTTGGAGTCACTACAAATGAAATTCATTGTCCATGTATGATATAGAACCCTGGGGTGCAAATCTGGATGAGGGCAGGCCTCTGGTCACATCTCAGGGGTAATTTTATCCCCTTCCTACTTCCTCTCTTGCTTTGCTCAGGTTTCTCTCTGGGCCTATGGGTTTGGGGGGGACAGGAAGTGACATATTACTCCTGGTTCATCCTAATCCTGAGGGTGTGGCCCTTTGGGACCCAGCTTACTGTAGGTATATGTCTCCTGTAAGAGTCTACATCAGATGTGCTCTGGGCCCTGACATCTTTCATCCTTACCCCTTTGATGTCTGCAAGGCAAAAGCAGCTTTGGCACTCAAATCATCCTCGAGTCTCTTTAGGTTAAAGCTTTCTCCCTAAATCAGCCTGGTAGGGATGTGCTATCATTCAGCTCTTCAGTGTTTTTATGGTTACTTACTCAGAGTTGTTTTTAGCTGAGGGCTCATCCAATAATTCAATCACCTAACCTTCCCTCGTAGGAAATAGCTATTACATTTCTATTGTGTAAAATTTTACAATTGTGTTTAATATTTATTTACAATTTAATAATTGTGTTATGTGTCTTTAGGAAATTTAGAAATTTACAGTGCAGAAAAAATCAAGGGAATGTAGGGCCACAAGTTTTTATTTGCTTTAAGATATTAGTAGCCACATGGGATATTGACCTGGTGTCCCATCTTGGGGGAAAAGGTGAGAGACTTTTACTGGTTGCACATTAACACTGGGGAATGGAAAAGCCCATCTTGTTTGATGCCATCTGTTGTTTCCTCAAGGGGTAACTTTAATTGGTTGGCCAATAAGTTTCATCCTTGCCTTAAAAAAAATGACCACCAAGGGAAAACTACTCTTAGCTGGCTTCCCAACCACCTCAGCCTGGCCCTGAGCTGCCCTGGAGTGGCCACCATCCAGCCCCTTCAAGTTAGGGCAGCTGGCTTTGATTCAGGCTGTGGAGACAGCGTTAGTCAGCAGCCTCTTCTCTCATGCATGCCCTGATCTTTAACGCTCCAACGTGCATCTGTGACAATGACAGCGGATTCCTGACTGTGGCCATGGCTCAGGATACTTCAGTGGATAAATTTGGGCCAGGTTTGTGAGTCCCATCTTTGGGCTCCCCTCAACATCACGATTTAGCCAGTTGGTGTTGGATCACGATTTTAAAACTTTAAACCTTGAGTGTTAAGAATGAATTCTTGACTGTTCAGTCCTCATATCCCAGATTTGGATGGAAACCTCTGATGCTATAATCAACATGAGGAAAAGCCTGTAAATCATTTACAGATTCAGAAAACACTTAATGGACTTCTCCTCTGTGGAAAGCACCATGCTGGGTATTGTGGCATCCGTGCCCTCAGAACGCTTCTAGTCTTTTCCTATACAGAGAACACAAGTATGCCCACCTAAGAGAGAAGCTGAGATTTAGAGGAGCCACTGAGGATGGCTGTGAAAGTGATCTGGCTAGGATGTTTGTCATCCCATTGCTCACGAGGTTTGATGTGGCTGATCCGCCTAGCTGGCATCTCTTCCCTCCTCATACCTCAATGCACATTCCTCCCACATCTGGGCTCATGGCAGTGAATGTGACCTTTCTGTCCAGAGGAGTTCTATCATTTGGTCAAGGTAGGGAGGTGATTGTGCTTCTCTGTTTAAGACTTAGCAAAAGACAAAATGCAGAAAGCCTGAAGGTGGGAGCTAATCTTTCTGGCTGTCACCAGGTCTTATACAACCTTGTGGTTGTCACGATATATGCATCAGAGCAGACCCCATTTCCTGGAAATCATTTCATAATGGATACTGGAATTTGAATTAATAAAACTTAGAAGGACCCAAACTTGGTATCTCCTTGCCAATTCTCTCAAAATTGAGTGTTCTGCAGTGTTCCTACACAAGTGAGGTTGGTGCATTTATTAATTAATGTCACTAAGAGATCAGTTAAAGCCTCAGCAAACAATTGCCATGTGCTCTTTCAGGGAAAAACAACTTACAATCAGATTTGTTCCCTCAGCAAGAATTAGAGGATATACTGCCAAAGTTTCTCCAAGCTGCCCCCTCTTTTTCTTGGCAAGCTATTGGGCTGTTAGCTTCCAGTCCCCCAGCTTCCTTGACTATGAGGATTCCTTCCTAGTGTGGTTCAGAGCACAGATTCCACCTGCTTTTATTTTGCTTTCTAATTGCTTATTATTCTCCCAAGCACACACTGTTTTTCTTTGCTCTATTCCTCTATGTTGCTGAATATTTTGATCCTAAACAAAGGTGACTTTTGTACTCAGCTTGTTATGAAAGATCAGTAATATGTGACATGTGATATGTTTTCCAACTTTTATATCTTTATACTCCCTGAGTGTTTGGCCATGGGGTTCATGTTTTGCTGAGTATAATACCCTTGCCATTCAAATTTTAATTGAAGTAAATAGTAAAACAAAGTTGGAGTAGAGTGGGTCTTTCTCCTTCTCCTGATCCAGAGGAGGCACCCAAAAGTACTCACAGAATATGCGAAGTATTAGGATACTAACTTCTTAAACTTAGGATAGATTCCATCCTATTACTTGTTTCTGTAGGTGCATGTGGACAAAAAGTGATACCATACTGAAGACTGTCTAATGCTATATTAGAGGATATTTTGGTCTTTTGCAAAAACAGAGAATGAAGACAGTGCAAAGTGCTAGGCACAGCACTGGGCATTGACTGTTGGGGAATAAAAGGCAACTGGTGTTCCTAGAGGAGAATTAGACCAAGTTGGACTTTGTCTACTCTGCTACTCCGTCAGCACTCAGCCTCCCAGATAGATGCTCCTCATGGGGCCCATGCTTAGACATTATGGTGGCCCATGGGAAGATTAGCTGCATCTCTTTTGGGTGGCTTTTGTCCTCTAACTCCAGAGTCATGGGATAGACCCTACTGTGAGTTGTTTATTCAAAATATTGAGCTCTGCTTGTGGCAGATACTGTCATAGGCATAGGGCATACAGCAATAGAAAAGACAGGCAAGATCCTTGTTCTTTTTTTTTTTTTTTTTTTTTTTTGAGACAGGGCTCACCTGTCATCCAGGCTAGAGTGCAGTGGTGCGATCTCAGCTCACTGCAATCTCCAGCTCCCAGGCTCAAGCAATCCTCCTGTCTCAGCCTCCCAAGTAGCTGGGACTAGAGGTGTGCACCACCACACCTGGCTAATTTTTGTATTTTTTGTAGAGATGGGTTATACCATGTTGCCCAGGCTGATCTCAAACTCCTGGCTTAAGCAATCCACCTGCCTCAGCCTCTCAAAGTGTTGGGATTACATACGTGAGCCACTGTGCCTGCCCTAAGATCCCTGTTCCTATGGAGCTTATATTCCAGGGGAGGGACAAGCAATAAAGTGCAAGATAAACAAGGTAATTTTATAGTGATAAAGATAGGATAAGGGAGGAGGTCAGAGAGTAAACCATATGTCCTGCTTTAGAGGAGTCCACACGCCCATACAAAATCCAGTAATAGGATGAGATATATCCAAAGTTTAAGGCAGGACATATGGTTCACTCTCTGTGAGGTGGCCTCTTTGAGAAGATGACAGTAGCACTGGGACGTGAGTTTGAGACTCAGTCACATGAAGATATGAAGCGACACTGCCCAGCAGAACCCTCCACCTGCCGCCGATGATATGTGCTGTCTAGCATGATAATCGCTAGTCACATGTGGCTGTTGAGCCCTTGAAATGTGGCTAACGCAACTGAGGAGCTGTGTTTTAAATTTAATATTAATAATTTAAATTTAAATAGAAAAATGTGGCAAATAGCTATCCTATTGAACAGTGCAGATGAGGGGAAGGACGTTTCAGGTAGGGAGGGCAGCTTGTGAGAAGGTACTGAGGATATGTCACCCTGTGGATCCAACATGAGATCCCTGACTGGAAGCTCTGGTCAGTTTTTAAAGAGCAAATCTGGAAAATTTAATGATGTTTCCTGCTTCTGTTTTATGGGCCTCTGGAGAACCTACAAAGGAATAACAGTTAACCAGACAGGAGTTAAAATCCCTGCTCAACAAAGAACCTATTTCCTTTCCTAGGAAGGACTCATTCCACATTGGCTGACTCACAACTCTTGACTGGTTTCCTCTGCTAATGGCTGTGGCCAGCCTTTGTCTGTGCAGGATGTAGCCTTTTCGGCGCTGAGCTTGTTCGTTCTGGGAACGAATCCTGCCTTTGTTCTGGACTTGCATCTTCTGGTAACAAGAGGCTGGAACCCCTACCATGGCTCCTTCAAGGTGTCTCTTTGTATTCCACATACAACTCCTCCATCATCCTAGGGGGCTCAGACCTCATCTTTTCTGGCATAGCTTTTCTATTTTCCTCCATTGCAAAGATAGAGTAGTCAGCCCTGGTTTTAAAGAGAAATCGCTGTTTAGAGAGAATTTCACCTTGAATTGCCACTTTATGTTGAAAGGATTAAGAAAGAAAAGGAAAGAAGAAATAAGAGAAAAAGAAAAGGCCCCAGGAATGTTTCCAGTGGTTTTCTTACATGCCATATATGCATTGGGATCTCTCAGGCCACGGAAGCCTCTCTACCTCCTGGGCAAGAATTGGGCTATTTGAAGCAGCCACTGGCTAGTCCCAGCAGGGGCAGAGGGAGGGGCAATGGCAGGGACCGGCTCTGTCCATCCAGCATGGATGGAGATTCGGCTCCAGCAAGATTGCCAGGCGAAAACAGAGATGAGGTTGCCAATGCTGGCTCAGTGTGCTGAGGATTAGAGGAGGCTCAGCTGCAGAGTCTGTAATCCTGGACTAGCCTGGATTTGTCATTGGTTTAATGATGAATCTACTACTCTCTTTGTACTTACATAGCCCAAGAAAAAACAATGACCTAGTACCACCCTGAAAGGTGTAAGAAACAAAGCAAAGGCAATCCAAATGTTAAATTGGAGGCCACAGAGCCAAGCCCACCTCCATGGTTGAGCAGTTACTCTGCCTCCTTCCTTTGGTCTTACCTGACTGTCTGCAATTAGCTCAGTGGTGGTGGGGGGCACAGGGGAAGGCTGTGAGCTTCAAGCCGTGGCATGTACCAAGAAGCTATCTTGATGTTGATGACCTTGGTCCCTCTGATGGACAAGTTTGAGATCATAAAATGAGTACCTGTGATGACTGAACAATGTGCTGGCGTGTTCCATCCCCTTTTGCAAAGAACCTTCCCAGAACATAAGTGTGAAAACCCACCTGAATCGGGTGCTTTGGCTTCATGTGTAAACGTGGCAGTGCTTCACGAAGATCCCTCCCATGCACATGTGCATTGCCCTTACTCTTAGCACCTGGTTCTCCAGGAGAGGAAATCCCTTCTCCCTTCTTGGGAAAGGGGCTGTGTTAGACACTTTCATCTGAGGGGTTCATTGGAAGACACTATAAGCTACATGGGTCAATATTAGCCCAGCTGAATTCCATCATCTTTTTTTTTTTTTTTTTTTTTTTTTTTTGGAGACAGGGTATCTGTTGTCCAGGCTGGAGTACAGTGGCGTGATCTCAGGATCTCAGCTCACTGCAATCTCTGCCTCCTGGGTTCAAGCAATTCTCCTGCCTCAGCCTCTCAAGTAGCTGGGATTACAGGCACTAACCACCACGCACGGCTAATTTTTGTATTTTTAGTAGAGACGCAGGGTTTCAACATGTTGGTCAGACTGGTCTCGAACTCCTCATCTTGTGATCTGCCTGCCTTGACCTCCCAAAGTGCTGCGATTACAGGTGTGAGCCACTGCACCTGGCCAGGAATTCCTTTGTCTTATAAAAATTATTTTTAATTTTAAAATAGGTATGTTTATTAAAGAAAAATTAGTTGGCCAGGTGCAGTGGCTCAGGCCTGTAATCCCAGCACTTTGGGAGGCCAAGGCAGGCAGATCATGAGGTCAGGAGTTTGAGACCAGCCTGGACAATATGGTGAAACCTCATCTCTACTAAAAATACAAAAAAAAATTAGCCAGTTGTGGTGGTGGGCACCTGTAATCTCAGCTACTCAGGAGGCTGGGCCAGGAGAATTGCTTGAACCCAGGAAGGTGGAGGTTGCAGTAAGCCAAGATGATGCCACTGCACTCCAGCCTGGGCAACAAGAGCAAGACTCCATCTCAAAAAAAAAAAAAAAAAAGAAAAGAGAAAAGAAAAGAAAAATTAGCCTACAGCCATACTACCTTGAATATGTCTGATCTCATCTGATCTCAGAAGCTAAGCACGGTCAGGCCTAGTTAGTACTTGCATGGGAGAAGCTTTAGAAAACTTACAAAAGGAAAGAAGGGAAAAAAATTACCTATGATTCTACCATCTAAACACAATGATTCCTGTTAACGGTTTGGTATGTTCTCCAATAGGATTTCTTTCCTACCAGAGGAAAGCCTTTTACATGGCTGTAACTGTAATGTATATACAATTTTGTGCACTGGTTTTAGATTTAACATTAAATAGTAAATGAATAGTAAATATCACTTTTTAATGGCAGCATAGTATGTCCTTAAGTTCCTGTGTACTTGGCACTTGGGCGACTTAAGCCACAAGGACTCAGTAACGGTTGAAGGTCACACAGTGAGTGGGTGATGCAGCCAGCCGTAGCCCGAGTCTCCCACCTCCCAGGTGAACACTCATTATATTCACTGGATCTCAGTCTTTCCCTGACTTTGTCCCCACACGTGGGGTGTATACCACTGCCAGTTGCCTCCTCCTTACATTATTGTGTTTTAACACCCTCTTCTACTTCCAGTGAGGGCCACTATACCACCCGCTGCAGGACATGTCCCCGGCATGGAGGCCAGATTATCCCCGTCTATCCTGGTACCGGAAGAGACCCATAGTATCATAATAAATAACAGTATTCATGGGGGCCAGGTGTGCCATGTGCTTCTCCCAACCCAGCTTCCACCTCTTACCTTAATACTAGTTTTGGAGTAAAAGGAAGGATTAACTGACATGGCATAGTGGCTCATGCCTGTAATCCCAACACTTTGGGAGGTCGAGGCCTGCGGATCACCTGAGGTCAGGAGTTGGAGACCAGACTGACCAACATGGTGAAACCCCGTCCCTACTAAAAATACACCTTGTGTACTGGGAGGTGCTTTAGTGGAAATACAAAGTCTTTGGAATCCAACAAACATTGTTTCAAATAACCACATACTAGGCTTTGACACTTTAGGTGAGGTACTCAGTCATTTGGAGCTTCAATGTTCTAATCTGTAAAATGGGGATAGTGATCTTAATTTGTTTTAAGACTTGTGAAAATCAAGAGAATGTGTGAAGCAGGTAGCATAATTAGCCTTGTGCACCCAGACTTACTGCCTACCACATGTTCCCCACTCCTTCCTTGCCTGGCACAGTGCTGGTATACAGTAGGTACTCAATACATGCCTACGACATTGAACTGAATTTTCATTTGGGATGTTCAGCTTGTGCGTCTTCATTTCCAGATTGGAACTGGAGTTGTGTCCCAGTCTCTGGGTAAGAGCTAGGACCATACAATTAGAAGGGCTTATTCTAAGTATTGGCATTTATTCTCCTGGGAATTGCACTCCAGGCCGTGTATGAGGGTTCCTTTTATTTCAATAATCAAGCTCACATTCAGTGTATCATGTTACGGAGCTCACAATAGCAGATACACAGCTCCGGCTGTACCAGGTGACACGTGGCTCCTACCAGAATCCTGAAGGTAGGCACGGTCCTCATCCTTCTTTCCTGTGGCTGGCTGTGGCTGGCAGGTTTCAGGTGTTTGTTTTTAACCACTGCACATCACTGCTTCTCCCACAATGGCAGACAGGAGCAGAGCCTTCTATGTGGGTTTGGGAAGATGTGTGTGGTGGGGCGCTTTTCAATAAACTCTTAGTCTAAGAAAGTTCTGGGCATAATGAAAGAAGACAGAGAGAGGAAGGGCCAAACCTGCTGATTGGAGTAGAGCCTGGCAGCTTGGGGAAACCTAGTAGACCATGGGAAGGACTCAAGGCCAGAAGAGAAAGGCAGCCACGGCCAGGCTGGCTGGTTCCCTCAGGTCAGGAGCTGGGACTGGCGCTTTTAGGTGTCTGTGACTGAGTCAGCGGCTGAGGCCAACGGAGCCTGGGACAGCCTGTGGGCTGTGACTAAATTAGGAAGAAAAAGCCTTTGGGCTCTCCTGGGAGGTCACTGGGGCAGGTGGCCCATGGAAGAGCCTCTGGTGGGCAGCTAGAAACAGGCTGGTCAAACATATCCGACTGGCTTTCACTTTGGTTTTTCAGTGCGACTATAGAAACGTCACACACCGGGTCTGAATTCAGTCCCAGCAGGAGGGAAGCCCCCCTGATGCCAGGATACCCCAAGCCCCATCTCCTCCAAGGGGCTAAGTTAAAATAGGAGAATCTAGTAAGCCTCAATCACTAAGTCATTTATAAGCTCACTGGGGAGTTTTGACCTTTTAAAAGGAATATACCCTATTGACTGTTTTGGATAGGAGATTACAGTGGACACCAGGCATTGCAGGTAGACATCAGCCTGTCCCAGACAGGACAAATTGGAATGATGGTTGCTTTGCATAACCTGACAATGAAGTACCTGTGACAACAGATTTTGATTTTAGAAAATCACGTGAAGGTTGAGTTTGGTTTGAGTGTTTAAGGATTACAGTGTGAGATTTGGAAGGAGAAAAGTAAAAAAAAGTTGGCAGGAGAACGGTGGCTCCTCGGAAGAAAAGTTACATTTCTAAGTAATCAAACTCTGAATGAGGCCAGCCAGGGTCTTTAGCCACTTCCTCACAGAGAGGGGCTTCTTGGCTTTTTTTTTTTTTTTTTTTTTTTTGGTATTGTACTTTCTGCAAGACTGGTTGAAGGCGTTAGCCTGAGAGCACAGTTTCTCAACTGCAACACTATTGATATCTTGGGCCAAATAATTATCTTTTGTGGTGGTTGTCTTGAGCATTGTAGGATTTTGTCAGCATCCCTGGTCTCTGCCCAGTAGATGCCAGTTGCATCCCATCACCCCCCTCAGTTCTGACAACAAACTGTTTCCAGCATTACCCTGGGGGCCAAAATCATCCCCAGCCACTGCTTAGAGCAAAGGAGAACTCACTTTTCCTCCTGAAAGGTATTGCAGTTACCACTGGGTAGGTGAAATGATGGGTCATCTCCGTTCATCTCCTGTTCCACAAAAATAAAGAAGGGCAAGTGTTTCAGGAGCTTTGCTGGCTGGGAGTCAGTTTGCTGGGGTTGTCTGATGTAGCTGGATTGCTAAGGTTTTTAAGGGTATCTTCAGGACCAAATTTTCACCCGTGAAAACCCAGAGTAAAAAGCAAGCAAGCAAACAAACAAACAAACAGACCACCACCACCACCACCCACAGCAGCAACAACAAAAAATAGGGAAGTAAACCAGGCGAGGCTTTGGAATTTTATTAAAAATGGTCAGCGCGATCAGACCTAGATCCCTTCTTCTGAAGTGCTCTCAGGAGACCTGTCTCCATAGAGCTGGCTTGGGTGTTGATATGTGAAGAGGCTGAGAACATGTGGCATAAACATCGACTGATATTGTTTGCCATTTACACTCAGCATGTGTAATGCAGCAGGAATGGCTCCCGGTGGCATGTGACTGCCCTTCCAGGCGGGTATGCCGTGCTCAGGCACTGCTCTTTCTCTTTCGCTCCCTCCCTCCCTCGCTTGCATACCCCCTCCGCTGCCCCTTTCCAGACTCGAGAGAGTTTGAGTGAAGGCTTGTCATGATTGGCATGCAGAAAGCTGGTAGAATGTCATTGGAATTTTCTAGGGAGGCACATGCGCAACACCCAAAATGACTCCAGGCTTCGATAGCCGCAGGTCAGCCCGTCGTGCCAGGCACCCTGGTATGTTTCAGAAAGGTAAGGTTGCATGACATCATCCTACCTTTCCCCAGCACAAGGGAGAAATCGAGGTTTATTTGTTTCTTTTTTAATTCTCCAGTTCAGGCAGCACCTCTAAACATGTTCTCGGCGCTGAGCATTTGTGCATGAGTATGCGATTTGTCTGTGTCCCCACCCCCTCCGTTTTAAAAAAAAATTAACAAATGATTCACAACGGCAGTTTAACATGTGACCTAAAACAGCTCCTCATGACCCCAGTGAAATCAGCGATCCTAATGTCAGGAAGTCTAGATGCTCTTTTTACGCTGGTTACTAAACTCTTCTTTAAAGAAAAGTCGCAAGGCTACTGGAAAACAGATTGAGTTATCACCAGATCTGGGAGAATGGAAGGGGATGCATTCAGAATCCCAAAACTTTATAAATGATGGGCATCTCTTAAGGGTGAGGTGCTTTGTGTTAATTGCTGGAATTTGGCAGTGATGGAAAATGAACTTAAAGGTGTTTGAAACATCTCGTATGTGTTGAGTGTTGACTCATTCTGGACCAGGAGGGGAGTGCCGTGTTAAAATTCATGAGCAGGGGATATTTCGCCAAGAAACAAGGCTTGAGAATAGCTTCTGAGCACCCCTGAAGTAGCTGGAATATGAATTTCAGCACCTCTTAGGTATCTTTAAGTAAAGTTAAGTGTTTAAACAAAACTATTTTCATTGTCGCCAAGCAAGCAAGCAAGTGCATAAACTTCTGTTGTGCGGTTCAGGGTACAAATTTGGACATGGACATGATGGTCTGTTAGCAGACTCAAGCACAACCAAACATGACTCACCTCATTTCTCTATCTGATGCAATTACAAGTAGCTTCAACACATGTGGTAGAGGAATACTAGTTTTCTGCTTGCAAGTGTGTAAAAGCAAATCCATACTCATAAAACGGCATGGACGGGGTGTCTTATATCACGGAGATTTTTTTTTTAACCTCAAAAATAGCTTTTATGCAGCTTTGCCATTGGTTTCTGCCTTATATACATTGGAATCTTTTCTTTCTTGCAATTCTGAGATGTCAGAAAACTGAAGGGGAGAGGGTTAATATGTTCACACACTTGCCCTTCCCCCACATGCATATGCTAACAGCTGCCATGTATGATTTTTGTGGAATTTGATATTTCGAATGAAATGACTTCCTTATTTTCCATAGTAATATAATAATCAATTTTACCACAGAGAACTGTGTACATGTCAAGCCTTGGCTGCCTCTAATTAGCAATGGATGGGGTAGCTGGGGAAAGTGCTGGAGAGCAGTTTCAAGTAAAAAAAATCAGTCTTCAAGCTTTAACCATTCTTTCTGGCCTCAGCCAAGGCAGTTTTCAATCTGCTTGGATCGTAACCACAGGTTTAGTTTGTGGTATTCTAAGAAAATATCTAGAATGGCACATGCAAATGTGATGAAGATGGGCCTGTGTATCTAACCGTTGTGAGGTTGTCTTTTAGCTCTACTCTGCAGTAACTTTGTTTTTTTTTTTGTTTTTTGTTTTTTGTTTTAATTGATCATTCTTGGGTGTTTCTCGCAGAGGGGTATTTGGCAGGGTCATAGGACAATAGTGGAGGGAAGGTCAGCAGATAAACAAGTGAACAAAGGTCTCTGGTTTTCCTAGGCAGAGGACCCTGCGGCCTTCCGCAGTGTTTGTGTCCCTGGGTACTTGAGATTAGGGAGTGGTGATGACTCTTAACGAGCATGCTGCCTTCAAGCATCTGTTTAACAAAGCACATCTTGCACTGCCCTTAATCCATTTAACCCTGAGTGGACACAGCACATGTTTCAGAGGGCACAGGGTTGGGGGTAAGGTCACAGATCAACAGGATCACAAGGCAGAAGAATTTTTCTTAGTACAGAACAAAATGAAAAGTCTCCCATGTCTACCTCTTTCTACACAGACACGGCAACCATCCGATTTCTCAATCTTTTCCCCGCCTTTCCCCTCTTTCTATTCCACAAAACCGCCATTGTCATCATGGCCCGTTCTCAATGAGCTGTTGGGTACACCTCCCAGACGGGGTGGTGGCCGGGCAGAGGGGCTCCTCACTTCCCAGTAGGGGCGGCCGGGCAGAGGCGCCCCTCACCTCCCGGACGGGGCGGCTGGCCGGGCGGGGGGTGACCCCCCCACCTCCCTCCCGGACGGGGCGGCTGGCCGGGCAGAGGGGCTCCTCACTTCCCAGTAGGGGCGGCCGGGCAGAGGCGCCCCTCACCTCCCGGACGGGGCGGCTGGCCGGGCGGGGGGTGACCCCCCCACCTCCCTCCCGGACGGGGCGGCTGACCCCCCCCACCTCCCTCCCGGATGGGGTGGCTGGCCGGGCGGGGGGCTGACCCCCCCCACCTCCCTCCCAGACGGGGCGGCTGGCCGGGCGGGGGGGCTGACCCCCCCACCTCCCTCCCGGACGGGGTGGCTGGCCGGGCAGAGGGGCTCCTCACTTCCCAGTAGGGGCGGCCGGGCAGAGGTGCCCCTCACCTCCCGGACGGGGCGGCTAGCCGGGTGGGGGGCTGACCCCCCCACCTCCCTCCCGGACAGGGCGGCTGGCCTGGCGGGGGCTGACCCCCACCTCCCTCCCGGACGGGGTGGCTGCCGGGCAGAGACGCTCCTCACTTCCCAGACGGGGTGGCTGCCGGGCGGAGGGGCTCCTCACTTCTCAGACGGGGCGGCTGCGGGGCGGAGGGGCTCCTCACTTCTCAGACGGGGCGGCTGCCGGGCGGAGGGGCTCCTCACTTCTCAGACGGGGCGGTTGCCAGACGGAGGGTCTCCTCGCTTCTCAGACGGGGCGGACGGGCAGAGACGCTCCTCACCTCCCAGACGGGGTCACGGCCGGGTAGAGGCGCTCCTCACATCCCAGACGGGGTGGCGGGGCAAAGGCGCTCCCCACATCTCAGACGATGGGCGGCCGGGCAGAGACGCTCCTCACTTCCTAGATGGGATGGCAGCCGAGAAGAGGCGCTCCTCACTTCCTAGATGGGATGGCGGCGGGGCAGAGACGCTCCTCACTTTCCAGACTGGGCAGCCAGGCAGAGGGGCTCCTCACGTCCCAGACGATGGGTGGAGGTTGTAGCCAGCCGAGATCACGCCACTGCGCTCCAGCCTGGGCACCATTGAGCACTGAGTGAACCAGACTCCGTCTGCAATCCCTGCACCTCGGTAGGCCGAGGCTGGCGGATCACTCGCGGTTAGGAGCTGGAGACCAGCCCGGCCAACACAGCGAAACCCCGTCTCCACCAAAAAAATACGAAAACCAGTCAGGCGTGGCGGCGCGCGCCTGCAATCGCAGGCACTCGGCAGGCTGAGGCAGGAGAATCAGGCAGGGAGGTTGCAGTGAGCCGAGATGGCAGCAGTACAGTCCAGCTTCAGCTCGGCATCAGAGGTAGACCGTGGAAAGAGGGGAGAGGGAGAGGGAGGGAAAGGGAGAGGGAGAGGGAGAGGGAGAACTTTCTTATGGCCACAGCTTTGTAAGATAGAGGCAAAAGCCAAAAGTAATGCACATATAATATTCTCTGCCTTGGGCGACATCTGTGTTGTGTTGGCTGTAGTCAGAAAGATATGTGTCTTAAGGCACCAGAAACTTCCACCCATTTTGGGAAAGGGATATTTTTCTCAATAAATAGTTATATGGCTTATTTATAAAGCCCCAATCTTAATGTTCTCATTTAATCTAAGGAGTGTAAAGGAATTAAACTGTGCACATTCCCAAAACACACACGGAAACATATACCATGTCCTTCACAAGGAAACAGGGTATTCTGGTAAGATCTACATTCCCACATGCTTAAGACAGTCATAATTTCAAGTCAGTTGAACCAGTATTTGTTCAGTGCCTCTAATTTGCCCAGTGTTGAGCCACATAGGCACTTGGGAGTTTGAAAGATTCTAGGATGTGGATGATGTCCTCAAGGTGCTTATAATTAGAAGGCAAAACTCCTCCCCTAGCAAACCTCACCTGGCATTCTGCAGCAGAAACTGTATGTGTTCTCTGGGGGAAATCTTGTTGCAAAAAATATTTATCGATTTGCATGAAAAGGTGCCAATAGAGCTAAGAAATATTTTTAGCTGTATTGTGTTTGACCCTTTGTGGACTTGTGACCCTTTGTGGACTTGTAGAAATTTCAGTGTTTATTCTTCAGGGTCATTTAAGACAAATGGTCATGCTGTTTGGAGTGACAAAAATGGCTTGTGGGACCCAAAGTAATAAAGAACAGATTGATTCTATTCTTTTATAGATTGGTAATTCTTAGACTTTGCTGCACAATTGTTCTCCTGGGGAGCTATTAATATTACAAATTCCAGTGCCTGGGTTGAGTCAATCTCTGGAGGTGGGACTCAAGCCCCAGTTCTTTTTAAAACTTCCCAAGTAATTCCTAAGTGCCACCAAGTTTGAGATCTAGTGATACAGATGACTTTATCAACAACCTTTTTTTTGTTGTTGTTTATTTGTTTGTTTTAGCCTAAGCCTTCTAGGGTGAGTTTTGGAATGGGCTTTTTATAATGATGGGGGTGGGTGTTGACTAAAGAACTTTCAGCTTTCTGGAAGCTCACCCTCTGTTCTCTGTACTAGTGAACTCAGTGTAGATGGAGGTATGCTTTCTCCCTTTCCAACAAACCTGGTAATATGATGCCAAGCCAGTCACTCAACCATCTATGTTACCTAAGGTTCCCTGAACCTTGAGTGTTTTTATTACAGCAGCCCAAATGTTCTGAAAATCTTGATTATGTCTCTTAAGGGAAGGTAGTTTTATAATTAATTACATGTGTCCCTTGAAATTATTTTTACATTGTCTGAAACCCCCATGGAAGAGGAAGCCCATTCTTGGTGTACTTGCAGCTAGTAGAAGTAGCTCATTAAAATACAGGGGTTACTCAATTCCTGATAACTCACTATAGATTTTTTTTTTTTCAGACAGGGTCTTGCTCACTCACCCAGGCTGGAGTGCAGTGTTGGTATCATAGCTCACTGTAACCTCAAAACCCAGGGCTCAAGTGATCGTCCCACCTGAGCCTCCCAAGTAGCTGAGATTACAGTTGTGCGCCACCATGCCTGGCCAATCTAAAAAATTTTTTTAGAGACAGAATCTCTCTATGTTGCCCAGGCTGTTCTCGAATTCCTGGCCTCAAGTGATCCTTCTGCTGTGGCCTCCCAAAGTGTTAGGATTACAGGTGTGAGGCCACTACCCCCAGCCACCTCACTATACATTCTTAGGGTTGGAAAGTATTTTCAAAATACTCTAGTACAGCGGTTCTCAAGGTGCAGCATCAGCCTCACCTGGACTTGTTAGAAATGTACATGTTCACGCTCCACCCCCAGATCTTCCGAGTCAGACACAGAGATGAGGGTGTAGGTGGTGGTGAGGGGTGGGCCCAGCATCTGTGTTTTAGGAAGTTCTCCTCTCCGGGTGCCCACCAAAATTTGAATTACTGCTGTTATTTCACCTTGTCAGAAACTGAGGTACCCCAGTCCTCAGATCTGTCTCTGCACCATGGCCAGATCATCCTAACTTTTCTGTGTCATGAATAACTGCCTTAAGAAAACACCCACCATCCTAAAATCATAAGGCATAAAGAAACCTTAAATGTTGTCTCATCTGACCCTCCCATTTCACAGATGAGAAAACTAAGGTCGATAGGGTGACATGAAGTCAATAAGATGTAGAGTTATTGGTGACAGAGCTTTTGGTCTACTTAAAACCGACACAGTCTTCCTCCCCCACTGGCCCACATTGCCTCTCCAGTTTTATGTGGACTTCTAGTATTTGGCTGAAATCACGTCAGTTAAAATGTCTAGGTTAATTGTCAGGCAACTCTAGAAAAAGACCAACAGAATTTTAATTCTTTAAAATTAATCCAAAATTCTTTCATTTCAAATTGGCTTGAATTTTATAACTGTCTTTGTACATTTAATAGAAAAAAATATCGGTGATGTAAACTGCTGAAAAGAAAATTCACAGAACATGGGGACCAGTCCTGGAACATAGGTTTCATCCCAACATCGTGTAGATTAGGCACTTAACAGCGCCTCAGAGGCACACACTGAAATTGCATTTTCTTCCGATTTGGTTAAAAGGAAAAACGTGACAAGAAGTCTGTTTGTTGAATACTTTACAATTTTATACTTGATGTGGTTAGTGATATTTACATAATTTTGTCCGTGTTCAAAGACTGAATCTAATCCACATTCTCTGTAGAGCTTCATCTTTCAAAGCATTGTAGCAATACACAGGGAACATTAAGCCAAGAAAACGAAGGGAGAACACACAGCTATTATCTACATACACATATACATGGAGCAGGCATGTCCATGGATAAATTTTTTTTTGGTTTTTTTTGTGGGTTTTTTTGAGACAGAGTCTGGCTCTGTTGCCCAGGCTGGAGTGCAGTGGTGTGATCTCAGCGATTCTCCTGCCTCAGCCTCCCGAGTAGGTGGGACTACAGGCGCGCACCACTATGCCTGGCTAATTTTTGTATTTTTTTTAGTAGAGACCAGGTTTCGCCATGTTGGTCAGGCTGGTCTAGAACTCCTGACCTTAAGTGATCCGCCTGCCTCACCCTCCGAAAGTGCTGGGATTACAGGCGTTAAGCCACCATGCCTAGCCCATTGAATAGAAGTGTTTATTGGTTCCACACACCTACCATGTGCTAGGTATTGTGATGTGGTGTGGGACACATATAGTTCCTATCTTCGAATGATCATGGGACAGTGGGAAAGTCAGACAAGTGCTTCAGTAGACAATTATGAGAGCAGGTGGTGGAGTTAGAAGAGAGTACAGTTGAGGCTGATGGAGCAGAAGGGCATTCTGAAGATCATGAAAGGGACATCAGTGCACACTGGATGGGAGCAGAAACCAGAGAAGGCTGCCTGGAGGAGGTGTCCTGTGAGCTACATTTCAAAGTATGGTAGATATCTAGGTGAAGGGGAGTAGGGAGGAGGTTGTGTAGGGAGAGGGGCCAGTATATGCCAAGGCATCAATGCTTGTGTGTACATTTTCTATCACTGGGCCAGGATTGATCTATAAATCCCTATGTATTTCTTTGTGTGTATAAACATTAGCAATTTGGTTTCTTAGAGAAACCAAATGCTTTGCATAGCAGTTTTAAAATATACATTTCGAAAAGCTCATTTTTCCATTACAAAAGACTCAGATGTTCCCAAGAAAAGTTTCTCAGTTGAGAGGTCACCAGATCTTATGTTACCGAGAAAATGGAAAGATTTCCCCTAACCCCAGAAGTCAAACCAGCTTCCTCAATTTGAGACTGCACAAAACCAATTAATTTTTGCCCATTGTGGATTTTCTTAATAATTGCATCTCCGACAAACCAACTCCTGTCCTAAATGGATTTGAGCCACATTTCACTCTGAAAGCTGTGGGTCCATCTGGGAAATGTCTTTGTAGATGAGAGAATTTTATAATAAAGTATTTTTGGTATTTCATTTACTAAATCTTCAGGGATATAGGTAAGAGAGCCTCCGTGCTGAACTGACTGCCTAACAGAACAAGGTTAGAGAGAATGAAATTATTTCATGCTGTCTGGCCTGCAACACATGCCTCTGAACGAAGCCATATACAGTCGCGGGTCGCATAATGATGTTCTGGTCAATAACAGATGGCATATACAATGGTGGTCCCATAAGATTATAATACTGCATTTTTACTGTACTTGTCTAGGTTTAAACATATTTAGATATGCACAAATACTCACCATTGTGTTCCAGTTGCCTCCAGCATTCAGTACAGGAACATGCTGTGCAAGTTTGTAGCCTAGGAGCAATAGGGTATATCATATAGCCTAGGTGTGTATGTACACTCTATGATGTTCGCATGACAAAATTGCCTAACAACACATTTCTCAAGACATGTCTCTATTGTTAAGCAGCACATGACTGTATATATAACAATGGTTTCTTTAAAAGCACTCCCAGGAGTGGCCAGGTGCAGAAATAGCTGAATTTGTGAGCAATGATAATGATAGTTAATATAATTATCATATTTTCCAGAGCACCTGCACATCACGTTTGATCTTTACAGTGAGTGGAACAGACATTACGATCTCCATTTGACAGATGAGGAAATTAAACCTTAGAGTTATCAGATTTCAAAGGTGAAGGGACCTTAGAGATCCTTTCATCCAGCTTTCTCATTTTACAAAAAAAAGAACTCCCTGAGATCCAGGGAAACTAACTGACCTAGGATCCCACAGGGAGTGAATAAGGGCTGTTGGGCCAGGCCCAGGTCTTCTGATTTCTAGCTTCCTGATTTTGCACTCCATTGCGCTATTCTCAGTCTTCAGTGTGTTAGAGGAAACTTGGTAGGTTATGCATTTGTTCTTAAGGAGAAATTTTGTTGATATCAGTCCTAGGCACTATTTTATAAATGCACACATGTGGAAAAATCCCTTATTTTCCTGCTTTTTTTCTATATATAGATACAGGCAGATACACAGACAGATAGACACACCACATGTGGATGTCACTGGGGAGATGAAGGTGGGATTGAACTTAGCAGAGTCTCAAAGGGGGCTTCAGCTTTATCTGTCAAATATTCTTTTATTAAAAAATTTTGAAGCAAAATGACCATTACAGTAGCATTTATTCATTTTGGATAATGGGCACTGAATTCATAAGTGTTTGTTTTCCTCTTCATATTTCTGTATTTTAAAATTTTCAAAAAAAACCAAATATGGATATTAAAAATAAATTCTCACCTATAATACCATACCCTCATTTTATAAAAATAAAGAATATTTTCAAAGAAATAAAAATGGTTCAGAAGGATGGAAAGAAAACTATACTATGGGACTCGTTAGTTAAGTTGACATTAATCCTCTGCTTTAAGTCTTTCCTGTGATGACACTAGCAGAATGTGTATCATTTTCTCTGCATTTGCTGCAGGATCAGTTCTCTTTGGCAGGTTTTGAGCCGTTCTAATAAGTCCAGCATGAAAGGCAGGCCTCTCGTGTCAGTTCTAAACCCACCAGCTGCCCCATTGTGACTGCATAGTCCCCTGGTTCTGAGACTGTGCTCTGCCTGATAAGCGACGTACGGAGCACAGTGGACTGAAAGCCCGGGGATCTGATACCAAACATGTTAGTTAAACTCATGTTTAACTAACCCAAACTCATGTTTAACTGGCCCAAAGGAAGTAGGCCCAGAAATGTGGTTTTTGGAGCTCCCTTTAATGAACGTGTAAACAGAGGATAGAATATTGGCCTTACAGTTTAAAAACCCTCCTTCAAGTCCCAGTCAAGTCCCTTATTCACTGGATGACCTCACACGGTTCATCTGATCTTTCTTGGTCTCAGTCTTCTTACTATAGACTGGAAATGGTCATATTTGACTTAGCTGTCCATATGGCTGTTCTGGAGATGAGACAGCTAATGAAGTGAGAACACTCATTAACACACCAACTGAAAAACACAAAACAAAAGAGAGATGATAGGATTATATTGCTGTTATGAATCATTCCAAGAGGTGTCATGGTGATATGAATCATCATATGGTAATGTCATGGCTAAGGCCCAAACACAGAATAGCAGCATTGACCCAGTAGTCTCGAAATTAGTCACAGAGGCCAAGCTAGTGAAGACCCAGCAGCCCTATTGTTATCAAGAAAGAGCACTATCCAAAAGGTGTGTGGCCTCATCTTCTCCTTGCAAAGAGAGAATTCATCTGGTATATGTTGATAGGCGTGTATCCGACCACAGCTACCTCCATCAGCCCTGAGGACAGAGGCAGCCTGCATTCCAGTCCCAGCTCTTCTCTGTCTCGGTGTGTGACTTAGGCGGTTTCACAGAGGACGCCAACTTCATTGGCTTTTGCGGTTTTTTGTTTGTTTGTTTTTTGTTGTTTTCTTTTTGTTTGTTTTGTTTTGTTTTTGTCTGTAGAATGAGTGAGTTAAACTAAATTGTCTGTAAGGCCTCAGCTCACTCTTAAAGTGTGATCACTAGCTAGAGTTTGAACTTTAGCCCCAATATGACTGTTGTGTTGTCATTGTCACCTTTGTAACCTGACATTCAGGAATGTCCCTCTCTAGTTCATATTCTGACCTAGCTTCTGAAAGCATTATAGCAGAGTTGAGAATTTTTGATCTAGGAAAGATAAATATTAAAAAGAAATTCCCACCAAAATACCATAAATAAGGAATGTTTTAAAGAAAAATGGTTCAGAAGGAAGGAAAACTATAATGTAGTTCTTGTTAGTTAAGTTGACATTAATCCTCTCTTTGCTTTAAGTCTCTCCTGTGTTGACACTAGCAGAATGTGTCATAAAGACATGGAAAGATCATAAATTCTCAACTCTGCTCTAAAGATCTGACCTTCAGCGTTGCATTTATTTGGCCACACCTTTATAGTGTGGTCATACCTAGAAAATATTTTCTTGCCTGGTCATCAGCCCTCTCACCTCGATTACTTTCTATATTTTAGCACAAAAGAAGAAATGGCGCATTCACCACTCAGCCAGTTGCACTGGAAGTGAATTTAAATTCCTGAACTGGTTATCTTGGAAGATATTGTGCTTATTGCAGATGTGGCCGGTGCATGAGTTTAGGCACTACCATGCTCTGGGCTGTGGTTCTTGGCTCCTGCTTCTGGATGGCTGGACATTACCAGGAGAGAGCCTGCTGATACATCTACGCACATTCACTCTACTGCACTTCAGCTGTGTCCTTGTTATTCCACAGCCCTTTAAGTCCTGGTTCACCAACCAGATGTTAAGACTCTCTTGGATCCCTCAAATCCCATCCCCATGCCTGCTGCCTCCTCTCTCAGCAGTTGCCCACTCCTTATCTTCTAATCCTCTTTTCTCCCTATGATGATGATAGTGACCCTGTAGCTCCAACTACTGGGTCCTCACAGTCAGTCCACTCCTGCAGAGGAAACTGGAGGGTGACCAGGAACCTTCAAGTCAATGTGGGCCACAGACAGGAACCGTCTTTAAAAGATGGTTAAATGCCCGTGGTTTACGTAGGTTGGCTTTCTTTAAGCAAATAAAGGAAATGCATTGCTTCATGTCCAGCAAAGTACAGGGTGGATTCAGGAGAAGCTGGCTCAAGGCATTCCTAGGAAGTCATCAAGGAGCTGCCTGTACCTCTGTCTTCAGGCCAGCATCTTCTGAGTTGGCTTTATTCTCAAGCAGGCTGTCATTAAGTGATGGCTTAACAACAATTTAGCAACCATGGCATGACAGAGAATCATGCCTGATAGCTCTAACAAAGTATCCGAGAGTGTTCCCCCATGAGCCAATCACTGTTGCCAGAGGGATGTGGTTCTTGGACTGGCCAGGTCTGAGACACGTTGCTTGGGCCCCTATTTGTGCAGAATTGGCCCCTGACTACATTCCCAGAGGGTCTTTGGATGTTTGGTCAGATGGTCTGTACTCTGGGGGGATCAATTCATACCAGCAAGGTCCAGTCAGCCCCTACACCTACCACCGCCTCTCTAGTGGAAGCCACTTTTGCATCTAATTGTCTTGGGAATTGTGTTGGTTTTCTATTGCTGCTGTAACAAATTGCCACAAATTTAATGGCTTATAATAACATACATGTATTATCTTACAGTTCTGGAGGCCATAAGTCCAAAACCAGCCTCACTGGACTACGGTCAAGGTGTTAGTTCCTTCTGGAGGCTCTAAGGGACAATCTGTTTCCTGGTCTTTTCTAGTTTCTAAGAGGCTTCCTGCATTTCTTTGGCTCATGGCCCCTTCCTCCATCTTCAAAGCCAGCAGCAAAGCATCTTCTCTCCTCTCTGACTTCTGTTTCCATCCTTATATCTTCTCGCTGACTCTGATCCTCCTGCTTCCGTCTTAGAAGGACTCTTGTGATTACATTGGGCATACCAAATTAAATTCAGAAATTCAGATAATCAAGATCTTTAATTCAATCATGTCTGCAAAGTCCCCTTTACCATGTAAGATAACATATTCACAGCCTCTGTGGGTTAGAATGTGAACATTTTTATTATTCAGCCTACTGCAGGGATTATCCACTCAATTTAAAAACCTGAACTTAGACAGAGAAAGAGTGTACTGAAGCTCCTGCATTGGAGTGGGAAATTGTAGATAGTGACCTAGGAAGGTGACTTTGTACCTGCTTGTAGGTTTAGTTTTATTTGCTTCTTGGGTGTATTTAGATTGTCCTTTTTGAGCTGTTTGTGGGTTTTTCTCCACAGAATTGGGTACTCATAAAAGAGGTGTCCATATTGCCTCAAAGCCACCAGATTCTGATGAGCCATACCCCTTATCTTCCTTCTTCATTTTGTTCACGGCAATTACTTTGTGCCCATAAAGTGGGAGGCAGTGTGCTGAGGAAATACAAGATTCTCCAAGACACACTCCTTTCTCTTGTGGAACTTATGTCTGGTGGAGTAGAAAGGCACGCACGCAATTATTTTTAACCCAAGGCACAGGATGTGCTGAGTGATATAAAAGTGACAAACTAAGGAGTGGGAAGACAGCAGGAGACATCAGTTCCAGCTTCCAGGGGTGTCAGATCATGCACCCCAATTTTTGGTTCAGAAATATGATCACTACTATATGCACCTCAATTTCAGGTTATTAACTATTGCAGGCTAAGAATTTTAGGGCTTTAAAAATAGTATGATGTGTTTTTTCTTCTTTGTCTAGGGTGTTTGGATGAAAGCAGGTGCTCAGCTCTGATGATTCATGTGAAATCACTTCTACTCAAGGTTGACTAAAGTTGGGAATGATGAAAATTTCCTAGTCAAAGCAAAAATTAAGAAGAAAACCTGGTTAGTTTTCTTATTTTTTGAGGAATCTGAATGGGTTAACGTCTGTAACCTGGGCCATACTCTGAAAAGGACAGGTTTCCCATGGCTGACCTGCAAATACCCAGCATGGCTGGCTTTCCTAGTTGGAAAGCCCTTCCTCACGTGTCCTTTCAGTGGCAAAGGGGAATCTCTACTAAGAGCTCCCTCCTGCCCAGAATGCAATTTTAGAAAATAGAGCTGACTTCTCTGGGAAAAACAAAACCAACCTTGTCTTACTCTGGTCATGGAAACCAACTTGGCACCTCATTATCGCCTTGTTAGCAAGAACAGGCTGTATGATGGACAAACCTGGGAGGAAGAGTTGGCCCTGTGTGGCCACGGTTTTGAGTTAAGCTTAATTGCTTTTCTAAAGCTCAGCTACTTAATACTACACAAGTCAAAATCTATCATCAGACTCTTGACCATCCATTCTCCTCTTCCTTCCGTATTCTTGCCTACATAGACATTGGTCGCTCCCCATTCTGCTGCTGTTGAATTTGTGCTGGGTCACCCAGGGACCCCCAAGGCTTGTTTGCAACCAGCCCGGCTCCCCAAAGGAGAACAGGGCTGTAACTACCTTTAACTTTCAGTGCCCTCTTCCCCCATATTTTAAAATGCAGCCAGCCTGTTCTGCCCTTGGAGCATAGCAGGGCTGCTGGCTGGGGAAGGTGGTGTCTTTTTAACAACTTATAGGCAATTTTTGATTTTTCATGCAAATGGGAAAGAATAACAAAGGCATTTTATCTGGCTCTCAAATGTGCTTTGTACTTACATTTAAATGTGGGTGTGCCTGATGTTCTGGGAACTCCCTTCCAACAAGACAGTGTGGCAACCCATGTCACTTGCTATGTCTCCCTTTTCCTCCTCAGCTGAGCTAGCTCCCAGCCTCTCTCGTTTTTGTTCCATTATCATTGGATTTTTACTGTACAGAACCTGTGACAGTGGAGACTAAGGTGTCCCAGTTGTGCAGTGTCTACCCTGTACTGCCTAAGCATGCTTATTGTACAGCATGCATTGTTTATGGCAACTCCAATTTCCAGTTTTCCAGTCCCCTTCTTCCCATTCAAATGTCCCAGAATTCCAGTTCATCAACATCCTGAACATATTTCCTGATGACACCCACTTTTCAGAGGGGAATTTAAAACCTGGAAAATGTGGTCTTAACCAAAGATTCCCTCCCTGCCTGTGGTAACCACATATCCCAGATGTTCTGGGAAAGTCTTTCCAGTTTCCAGACCATGCACACTGATTTTTGGTCCAGAAACCACTATAACCAACCAATATAGGTCACATGAAAGACACATGTCAGACGGACACCCTTTCTGCAGTAAGATTCGGTGAGAGTCTGCTATTGTCCCCTACCTCAAATTCAGATTTTTTTACTTGTAATTTTTTGGTTATTCCTTATACTAGTTAGGTTTGAGAGCTCAGTTGAAGGGAACTGTGATATTGTGAGATTTGGTCTTCCTCAGGTTTCCTAGCATAAAACTCCAAAAGTCTTTGGAATCGGATAAATATCTTTTTGTATGCTAATAAGCTGACAAATGTCTGGCAGCCCCTTAGGTATCTTTAGGATGGGGTCTGGTTACTGGAAAGACCACAGCAGGATGGAAGGGTTGGGACTTTCAGCCTCACCCCTAACCTCAGGGAAGGAGAATGGGGCTGAAAGTAGAGTTGATCACCAATGGCCAATGATTTAATCAAACATGCCTGTGCAATGAAACCTCCGTAAAAACCCAGAAAGGACTGGGACATGTGGAGGTTCCTGGAGAGGGGGGTGCCCGAGAGGATGTGGGAGCTCTGTACCCCTTCCCAAACACTTTGCCCCATGCACCTCTTCCATCTGGTGTTCATTGGCATCCTTTGTCATATATCCTTTCTAATAAACCAGTAAAACTAAGCATCTCCCTCAGTTCTGGGAGCCTCTCTAGCAAATTAGTCTAATTCTGATTTACAGCCAGTTGGTCAGAAGCATGAGTAAAACAACCTGGGGCTTGTGATTGACATCCAAAGTGGGGGGACAGTCTTGTGGGGCTGAGCCATCAACCTGTGGGATCTGACGCTTTCCCCAGGTAGTGTCAGAACTGAATTGGCAGACACCCAGCTGGTGTCCACTGCAGAACTGGTTGCTTGCTTGGTGTGTGGAGAAAACCTCCCACACATCTAGTGTCAGAAGTGGTTCGTGTTGTGAGAGTATAGGAGACGCTGAATTTGTTTGTGCCTATATTCAGACAGGAAGACAATTCATGTTACTTTTGGATGTGAAATGAGGACAAGGATGAAAATGTGTTTGGCACAAATGTAAACACGATTCACTCTGTAGGCAATTGTTAAGCCTGCCTTTTTCACTTAACATTAGAGCATATAGATTTTCTCATGTCATTAAAGTGGTTTTGTTTTTGTTTTTTTGTAACAGAGACTTTGGCAAATTCAAGATAATGTTTACCATTGGCAATCACGGGGAAGGGTGAGGTGGGGGGAGCACGTAACCAAGGGAGATTTATCGTATTGGAATGCTCTCTGTCTTAAGCTTGGTGCTGTGTACTCTTTTTTGAATGTCCTAAATGTTACATAATAAAGTAGAAATTTGAACACCAATAGTAATGGTTACTTAATATTTTATTATGTTGGTGTATCATAATTTCCTCAGTTCAAATCCCATCTCGCTATTGTTGGATATTTGTAATTTTCAACTTTGGACTCTTAAATAGTATAGTATTAAGCATCTTTGGGTATCAAATTTTGTCTGCATTTGAGCTCATTTTCTCAGTTTTGATTTATATAATTGAATTCCAGGGTCAAAGAATATGGCTATAATAAATGCATTTTGTTAGACTATCTTTTAACAAAGCTGTATGCGTTGATTATCATTGACATTGTGCCTATTCTACTCTCTCTCCAACACGGAGTGCCATTTTAAAAAATTGCTATTTTGCTAGGCAAATATTTGTTTTGAATGGTTTTAGTTTATGTTTCTACTTACTAGTGAGATTGAACGTTCTGTCATATAATTTTTCCATTGGAGTTTTTTTTTTTTTTTTTAATGTGTATGTGTGAGCACAGGTTTTTGCAGATTCACTTGTATGTGGGACCAGTGTGGGAAGGTCTTGTTTATGTGGGAGGGGGGACCACAGATAACAAAGAACAGCCCCTTGCCCCCCTCATTGAAAACCAGCTGTGCATCTAGACCTCTGTCTTCCCACAGTGCCGCCAAGCTCCTGGACAAGAACCCATTCTCGGTCAGTAACCCGAACCCTCTGCTTCCTTCACCTGCCAGTCTCCAGCTGGCTCAACTGCAGGCCCAGCTCACCCTCCACCGGCTGAAGCTGGCACAGACAGCTGTCACCAACAACACTGCAGCCGCCACAGTCCTGAACCAAGTCCTCTCCAAAGTGGCCATGTCCCAGCCTCTCTTCAATCAACTGAGGCATCCGTCTGTGATCACTGGCCCCCACGGCCATGCTGGGGTTCCCCAACATGCTGCAGCCATACCCAGTACCCGGTTTCCCTCTAATGCAATTGCCTTTTCACCCCCCAGCCAGACACGAGGCCCCGGACCCTCCATGAACCTTCCCAACCAGCCACCCAGTGCCATGGTGATGCATCCTTTCACTGGGGTAATGCCTCAGACCCCTGGCCAGCCAGCAGTCATCTTGGGCATTGGCAAGACTGGGCCTGCTCCAGCTACAGCAGGATTCTATGAGTATGGCAAAGCCAGCTCTGGCCAGACATATGGCCCTGAAACAGATGGTCAGCCTGGCTTCCTGCCATCCTCGGCCTCAACCTCGGGCAGTGTGACCTATGAAGGGCACTACAGCCACACAGGGCAGGATGGTCAAGCTGCCTTTTCCAAAGATTTTTACGGACCCAACTCCCAAGGTTCACATGTGGCCAGCGGATTTCCAGCTGAGCAGGCTGGGGGCCTGAAAAGTGAGGTCGGGCCACTGCTGCAGGGCACAAACAGCCAATGGGAGAGCCCCCATGGATTCTCGGGCCAAAGCAAGCCTGATCTCACAGCAGGTCCCATGTGGCCTCCACCCCACAACCAGCCCTATGAGCTGTACGACCCCGAGGAACCAACCTCAGACAGGACACCTCCTTCCTTCGGGGGTCGGCTTAACAACAGCAAACAGGGTTTTATCGGTGCTGGGCGGAGGGCCAAGGAGGACCAGGCGTTGCTATCTGTGCGGCCCCTGCAGGCTCATGAGCTGAACGACTTTCACGGTGTGGCCCCCCTCCACTTGCCGCATATCTGTAGCATCTGTGACAAGAAGGTGTTTGATTTGAAGGTGAGTTGTCCAAGACAGGCTGGGAGCCACAGCTAGAAGCCTGGGCAGGCCTTTCCCCATGACCCAACTCACGCTGCCAATGGGCAAGGAACTGTTGCATTGGGGTAACAGAATTTTGCCATCAGTATTCTTGACTAAAATCACAGGTATTAGGACCCATAGGAATTTCAGAAATGTATCAGGACCAGTCCCTTGCTTGAAGGTGAGTCAGAAATTCTTACACACTTTTTCTAGATGAGAAAGCTGAGGCTGAGTAGGGGAGCAAAGGACCCCACCTGGGTTGCAGAGAGAAGGGGCTCAGGAGTTTCCTGCCTTCTCGTGGAGGGCTTCTCCCCCGTAGTATGCCTAGAATCTACTGCCCCTTGAGTACCCATATTGTAGTGAGTTAGAAAAGAAAAAAAGCAGAATTTTGGATCAGGGGAAACAGATTAATTCCCCCTTGGGACCTAGACAAATTATTATAGAGAGCCTCAGCTTCCCCATCAGCAAAATGGAGGTAGAGTCTCATGACACCTTCCCGGTGGTTGGGAAATGCTTTGAGTTCCTGCAAACAGAGGTATATGATAGTATAATGTCCCCCCAAAAAATGTATTGCAGATGCAGTGAAATATTTTGAAGCAATAACAATTATAACAAATACCATATATTAAACCCTTTCTGTGTGCCAGCAGTAACTCTTATGAGGTAGATATTATTATGATTTTCATTTTACAGATGAGAAAACTGAGGCCCAGAGAGATGAGATGACTTACTCAGCCCCTTCTCCCCGCCACCTCCCCAGCTTGAAAGTGGCAGAGTGGAGATTCAAATGTGGCCCTGACCCTTTCAGAGCCTGCACCATTTAAACACTGGGCTGTCCTGCCTCCCATCTCTCATCCTGTCCAAAAGCATAATAATGTCCTTGCAGAGTGTGAGTCACACTGCAGCATGTCATTCACCTCTGTTTGGGTCACACCATCCAAGTGCATCCCTGTGACCCAGATAGGACATGCCCTCTGACCTCTAGTCTTGGGAGGGGACTAGCTGACACGGGGAGGTGCTCAAGGATTTTGTCTCTCATGAACCTTTTCTAAGGCTTTGTAAGTCACTGTGAGTCTACCTGCCAGATTCTCCCAACTGGATATGAAATAGGTGGGGTCTTCCTGGGGGAAAGGAGAAGGGGTGGGAGGTGGGAGGTAGGTGGTGGGGGCAAGGGTCCATTGAGAGGGGTAGAGGGAATCCAATTTGTGAGTCTGGGCTCCTGTTCAAGATGGGCATGAGATGTATGGATGAGGAGCTGATGGAGCAAAGGCTGGATGGGGAGGCAGGAACAGTGGGAGGAGCCTGGGAGGGAGAGAGGAAGGGTGGAGGGATGTGTCTGCAGGGGTGGTCCAGCCTCTGGGCGCTCTGTGCTCCCTGCCTGACCAGTGTCTCTGTGCTCATCCTTTGCCTTCCCATGGACTCAGTTCTACTTTGGTCACTTTTCTTTCCTTCTGACCTAGGACTGGGAGCTGCATGTGAAAGGGAAGCTGCACGCTCAGAAATGCCTGGTCTTCTCTGAAAAGTAAGTGCTGTTCAGGAGGACAGGCTCATGCGTAGGCTCAACACATATTCACTGAGCATTTACTGTGTGTCACACGCTGTTTTGAGTCCTGGGGCAATAGCAGAGACCAGAACAGGCAAAGTTCCTGCCCTCAAGGAGCTTGTGCTTCACAGGGGCCAGGGAGATGATAAACAAAATGAACAAGAAAATTACAGCATCCCTGGTGGTAAATGCTAGGCAGAAAACACCAGGCAGAGGCCGGAAGTGCGTGTGTGCGTGGGCGTGTGCCTCCCTTTTCTGGCTTTCATTTTTTTCATTGTAGTCAAGTTCACATAGGGCTTACTATTTTAAATACTTTGAAAATACTTTGAAGTATACAATTCAGTGGCATTTAGCACATTCACGACATTGTGCAAATGTTACCACTCTCTAGTTCCGGAATATTTTCATTACTCCAAAAGGAAACCTCATACTCATTAAGTAATCACTCCCTATTCCCCCTAAGCCAGCCCCTGGCAACCACCAATCTGCCTTCTGTCTCTACGGATTTGCCTGTTCTGTACTTTTCTGTAAATGGAATCATATGATATGTGGCCTTTGGTGACTGGCTTTTTCTTTTTTACTTAGCATAACATTTTCAAGGTACATCCATCCATGTTGTAATATGTACAACCTTTCTATGACTGAACAATATTCTATTGCATGTATATATCACATTCTTGTTTATCCATTCATCTTTTGATGGACATTTGGATTGTTTCCACCTTTTGACTATTGTGAATAGGGCTGCTAGGAAGGTTTGGGGACAGTTTTTGTTTGAACACCTGTTTTCAACTATTTGGGGGTCTGCACCTACGAGTGGAATTTCTGGGTCACATGCTAATTCTTTGTTTAACTTATTAAGGAGCCGGTTTCCCTTTCTCGCCCTCTCCAGTGCTGGCATCCGGTGTATACTTGGTTCGGCAGAGGGAACATTGTGTGCTTCTCCCAACAGCACAGCTGTTTATAACCCTGCTGGGAATGAAGGTGAGCAAGGCCCTACAGGTCAGCAGCTTGAAGCAGAAGTGGGCTACCCACAGGCACATTATGTCCTGTCTTTAATAACCAGGACTTCCCTGATGTCCCCTTCTCACGGATGTAGAAAGCAAACAGATCCCAAGACACTAAAATGCATTGGGCCTGCTGTCTGGGCCCATCAGTATTCTCTGAGATACTTGAGACGTAAAGCTTTGCTGATTATCAGCATGTCCAGAGGTACAATCATGCCAATCACTAATAATATGTGAAGGGGAAAGGTTCAGTTTTCTATGCCTGCTTATGTCCTAATAATGACTTTTGATGTTACATTCTGGGTTTTCACTGACTTTGTGTAATTCATCATTTAGATTATGCCTCAAATCTTGGAACATCATACGTGCCCATTCCAGCAAGGTCATTCACTCAGTCAAGCCCCACATTTCCTTTGGCTTCTGTGGGGACAACTGTGAGTACGGAAACATTTTCTCTAGAAATTAATGAAAATGATTATTAGTTTATTTATTTGTTTGTTTATTTGAGACAGCCAGGCTGGAATGCAATGGTGCAATCATATCTCACTGCAGCCTTGAACTAACTCCTGGTCCCAAGTGATCTTCCTGCCTCGGTCAACCAAAGTGCTGGAATTACAGGTGGCCAAAGTGCTAGGATTACAGGTGTGAGCCACCATGCCCTGCCTCAAATACCTCTCTGTGTGCCAGTCACCCTGAAATGCTTGTTGCTTTCCCCAGCACTGTGTTCTTCATGCTCAGTATGCACCTGACATGCCACAGGCTGGGAGGATGTTAACACTTTTTTTAGTGGAGAGTTGGCTGGCTTTTGAGGTCTAGACCCATTTATACCTGGTACCCTTCAATTTTCCACTCTGGGAATTACACTTCTCTAGTTTCCAAGATGACATGACCAGAAGTGAGGTGAGCATGTGACTCAGGCAGCCAAGGAGATCATCACACTTTCTGGCCATAGATTGGTTCATGAATGGTGTATGCCTGTAGTCGCAGCTACTTGGGAGGCTGAGGCAAGAGAATCACTTGAACCCGGGAGGCAAAGGTTGCAGTGAGCCGAGATCGCACCACTGCACTCCAGCGCAGGTGACAGACCGGGACTCTGTCTCAAAACAAACAAACAAAAAAACCATTTTCTCCATTGTCATTGTTGTTGTCAAGCGTTTGTAGTATCACCTGCTATATCTGGGCCTAGAGGTGCTGACCTGGCTTTGTGTCATTCAGAAAAACAACCCCAGACAGAAGTGAAGAGCTGTTTAATCCAGTTCATCTAGTATTGAAACACATGACTTAAGAAGCAGACATAAATCCTTAAAATTCAAGGCATTCCTGGACTTTCTAGCATTCAGCGCTGGCTTAGAAAAAAAAAAGTTGGAGCTTTTTATGTTTTTTTAAGACTATTTAATGTTTTATGGAAGTAGATTATTTCCTATGAGAGGGTAATTTTGAAGCTTGAACCAGAAAGTGTGTGAAAGTAAGGACTACGCACCAGTAGCATTTGTTGGCCCCTTGAGGAACTGGTTTGTGCTGTATGATGTTTTTGTTTGTTTTTAGTTTTGCTGTCTCTGCAACATACATTTTCGTCCTCCAAAGCTCCTAAGCTTCATCTCTCCTTTTTCACCAACGGTGACAGCTCCTCTTCTCTCTGGGGTTTCAGTTGTTTTGTGCCACCACCCTACACCCCCATCTGACCTCTTCTTCTCCTCTGGGCAGGAGAAAGGGGAGTGGGAGGAAAACTGACTGTAAAACAAATGCATTTGTCTGAACCCTGCTGGAGGGCACCTGTTTGTGTGCCTTAGCCTGTGCCTGTGCTTTTGTGGTGTGAGTTGCTGCAGCCTCTTTCTCTCTTCTCCTGCGAGTGAACACAAGCTCACAAGAGCATGTCTCCACGTGCTGTCCCCTCTACGTGTTGGCATTGCAAAGCATCAGGCCAGTAAGCTGTGAAGTGCAGCTCTCAGGCTCTGAGGAGTGAGTAAGCGGAAAAGCGAGGTGGTTCATGATGAGACGTGAGGCCTGCCTGAGCCCAGGCTTCTGTTTATTTGTGTGTGTTGATCTGTGATGTTGAATAGGAGAAGCGCTTCGAGAGAGCCCCTGTCTGGAAGCCCACATTTTGGTGAAAGAGAATTTTGTGGTTTCCCTCTCTGCACTCTGCTCGCTCAGAGCCATGCCCAGGTCAATGGCAGCTTCGGGTCAGTCCCAGGAGACTGCAATGGCTAGATTCAGTGAGGCCTGTCCTCTGAGGTCAGATTCCTGGTAACATGACCTTGTGTCCTGATGGGGGTGTGGGCCATGGAGGCACCTCTGTGCTCACAACCCTGCCCTGAGACCCCACTCCAGGCACTGAAGGGGAGGAACTGTGACCACGATGGGGGAGGCTGGATTGAGTGTCAGGTGGGCAGGGGGCAGGGCTTGTAAATTGACTCCAACCTGGGGTCTGGGTACGGGGAAGAGATGGCATTAACTGAGCCCCTCCATAAAGGGGGGTGGATGGGGAGAGGAGAGACACAGGCAGGACATTCTGCAGTCTGTCCCAGGCCTCTTCCCCACCCTCCAGCGCTGCCCATTGAGCCAGAGACCCTTTCCTATGGACTTGGCTCTAGGGACCTAAGTTCAAGTCCTACTTTGGGAGCCACTTGCTGTGTGTCTCCAGGCAAGTCACTTTACTTCTCTGAGGCTCTGTTTCCTTAAGTGGGAACAATAATGCCTTTGGAAGATAAAGTAAACAACTGGATTTCCATCCAGCTTGTGTAATTTATTGTTTTGATTATTCCTCGAATCTCAGAACATCCCATGCAGCTCTGCAGCCCAGGCTTCTGGTTCAGTGGCCAGCGCCAGACAGTGGGAGCAAGGCTTGGGATAGATCCAGTATTGTCCTGCCCTTGTGAGGATCAGATGAGATAATATCAGGGACAATGATTTGGGAACCGTCAAGTACATATGAAGTAACCATGGCTGTTCTTGAGTAACGAGCGCTTTTAACCCATTTTGGCTGTGAAGAGTCGGGGGGAAACCCATGCTGTCTAAGGCTGGCTCTGTCTGCTGGCCATAGGATTTTGTCCGAGTCTTGGTATCAGTGTTCCCCTTACACAAATCTGTCTAGTAATACCCAGGGTCACACTTGCTCCACCTTAGAGATGTTTTGAGGTTCCCATGGATGTACTTTTAAATTACGTACCAGTGGGCAAGCACAAGCTATCTGATGATTTGTGTGTTGATTCTAATTAATTCCTCGAAGCTCTGAGTGCCACTTCCTCCGAACACCTAGAGATGGGGAGTTTATCTGGCTTGAGCCTGGTGAGAAGCAACGCAGGAAACATTTTGCTAGGAGCTAGGAGGGGACAGAGACCTAGGGGACAGCTCTCTGCGAGGAGCTAGGAGGGGACAGAGAGCTAACATTTTGGGAGCTAGGAGGGGACAGAGAGCCCCAGTCATTGTAGGATGATAATAAAAACAACAGCCAACATTTATATAGTACTCAATATGTTCTTAGCATTTTTGTTTTGTATTAGCTCATTTAGTCCTCTAGACAACCCCATGAGGTGGATACTATTATTATCCTTATTGTACAGTTGGGAAACTGAGGCCTAGAGAAGCTTAGTACCTTATATGAGGCCACATAGCTGGTAAATGGAGGTGGTGGGATTTGAACCTAGGCAGCCTAGCTCTGGAAGCCTCATTTGTAACCACTAAGCCCTGCAGCCTCTCTGCGAGGATCTGAGGGGTCTCTTCCTTGCTGTGATCCTCCTCTTTAGTAAGCCCCTCTCACCTCCCCCTCTCCCTACCCCACAAGCCGCTTGGGAGGTTCTGAGGCTGCGTTGCAGGTGACAGGGACTTCTCTGGCCTTGGCCACCCATGGAGCAAGATGAAGAGGCCAGCCACACCTGGTATCCACATTCTTCTGCACCCTGACAGCATCTGCCAAGATGAACTCAGATGTTTGGAGGCCTTTTCTACAGACCCAGTGGAAGGGGAGAGTCAGCATTTGTCTGGTTTTATCATTATAACCTCTGTGACATCTTGCTGGTCACATGAGCCTCCTCAAGCCTATCTGAGGGACAAGGACAAAGCCTGCCCCAGCCAACCCCTACATTGTCAGTGGCTTGATGTTCATTCACATCCTTCTGTCAGACGCTGGTCCCCCGGTTTGCCATTGCCAGCATATGGAATTGAATGCAGGTGTATCTGTCTTGAGGAAAACCTGAAATGCGAGAACATTGACATTTGAAGACAAGCTGAGAAATGGAGAAATGATTAATCCACTCTTGAAAAATACTTTGCAAGTCTCCTTTAAGTAGCAGAAGAGTCCCTCAGAGAAACTATTGACTTTCTTTCTGCCTACAAACACTGACCTCCAAAGATATCACCCCAAAGATAAGGGGTGATTACTCTGTTGCCAAAGGATATTTTTCCAGTTTCCAATGAATGCCCAGTGAGTTGTTTTTGCATATACATTTCTAATGTTTTTCTGCTTACAAAACTTATGCTTATTGTGAAAATGCAAACAGAAAAGAAATACTGAGGGGAATGAAATTCCCCGGTTGTCTCCCTTTCAGCCCTCACAGAGATCCCATTTTCCTCCACAAGTGAGGTCTGGTCCTGCGCCAGCACTTTGTATGTCTGATTCCATTTACATGCATCTTTTCAGAAACACTTTTTTTTGAGTAAAACCAGGAACAGCCAGGATCCTGCCACTGTCTGATCATATCACTAATGTCTGTGGAGCGAAGAGCAGTTACTGCCTCTAAAGCTCCCTGTTTTTAAGCAAGAGAAGACCAAAGTGACACGGAGCTCTGGAAATGAGCCTTCAGATTATATCCGAACTGCCACAAAATCTAAAAGGACCGCAAAGACCATCTGCCACTGCCACCAAGCCCTTCTGGGGACAGACTTGGCTGCATTTAAACTTCTCCCACCTGTGTTGGAGTCTGAGTGTTTCGTTGCCTTGTTTGTTTATTTATTTTTGTTTAGGTTTTTTTTTTCTCATTTTCTTTTCTTTTCCTTTTTATTGTTATTTATTTATTTATTTATCGAGACAGGGTCTCGCTGTGTCACCCAGGCTGGAGTGCAGTGGCATGATCATGGCTTACTGTAATCTCCACCTCCTGGGCTCAAGCGATCCTCCTACCTTAGCCTCCAAGTAACTGGGACTACAGGCATGTGCCACCAGACTCAGCTAATTTTTGGAGAGACAGGGTGTCGCCATGTTGCCCAGGCTCGCGTGTTTATATTTGACAGAGACGGGACACTGCACTGACAGTTGTATGCTGTGTTTGCTGTTGGTAGGGTGATTTGTGTCTGTCCTCAGCCCCTCCCATCCCACTCTAGGGTCCCCAGAGATAGGTGTTCACTTTCACTTAAGCTCCTGCCATTTGAGGCCAGGCACTTTCTCCTTGGCTGACTGAGTCGTCATAAACAGAGTAATCAGGTTTCTGGAAGGGGCCTTGGGGCTTTCTCAGCCTGTTAGTAGTTTTTGTGTACCTGCCCGAGGTGCACTTTCTCTGTGTCTGTCCCTGTAAAGCCACCTTGCAGTTTTCACAACCATCTTGGAGTTTATTTAGTGCCAGTGTCACAGATGGGCCACCCTGACCTGGGATGATACACATCGTTTTTATTATTTATTTCTCGCCAAGACCCTGCACATTGGGGAACTTGTATAAATAAGGAAATGGAGGCTCAGGAAAATAGAAATGTCTGTGGAAGGCCAGAGGTGTAAGTCACAGGCTGCAACTCTGATTACTGGCTGTTTCTGGAACACCATCTGTCTGCCCTGGCCCTCTGAATGCATGGCTTAGAGCGCTCTGGTCTCCTGACTTCTTTGAGCATGAGGACTAGTAATTGATGTGGCATATACTACCAGCCGCCTCCCCACCATTCCAGCTCTGTCATTGCTCCTGTCCCTCCAGCAAGGGCCACCTTGTGCTTTTTCAAAGAGAGCAAAGAGGAGGAGACAGGAGACCTGGGTAGGTTTTGTTTTGGAATTTGTTCTTTTTACAAATCTTACTTTTTCTTGTTGGAAAAGCAGTGTGAACATTGTGTAAACAATCTTAGCAGTAACAGAAATATAAAAGAAAAGTCAACTTTGCAGAGAAAACAGAAGTTAAATGCTTTTGTTATAAGTATATATCTCTCTAGCTAGTGTATGTGTACATGTTTCATTAGTAAAAGTAATTTTTTGGGCACAAACCAGATAACGTCATACAATCTGTTACACAATTTGTTTTTTTCACTTAACATAAGCTTTCAATATATATTTAAATCGATTTCTAGACATCTTTCCACATCAGAACGTAAATAGTTCCTATCTTATTGTGTAACTTCATTTTTGTATTTACCTTAATTTATCAAGTCTGCGATTGATAGGTTTTTTTTCAGTGACACCTGAGTTTTAATCACAAATCTGCCACTGTTTAATTGGCCACAGATTAAGATCCTTAACTTCTCTGAGGCTTCAGTGTCCTCATATACAGCGTGGACCAGATGACCTCCCAATTTTAACGTTTTGTGACTCTACAGTTTCCAGGGATGTTGAAGCTGCTAAACAGGTGAATCGTCCAAGATCCGTAGGCAATCCTATGGATTTACCAGTAAAAGTAAATTCACTCTGAGTCAGAGCTAATATGCTCTATAAAATATTTGAAAGCATCAATAAAGGCAACTGTGTCTACCCTCCAAGTTAAGCCAAGATCCATAGCTACGGAATTTGCAACCATTTGCTATCTGCATGATAGGTTCAAAATCAACATCTTGCTCTCTGCATAACAGGTTATAAATCAACATCATGAGAGATAAATATTTGCCATATCTGCTCTTAGGCATGTTTAGAACAAAACCAGCAGAGGCCCACAGACTCTGTGCCAGATAACATTAGATCACATCTGAGACAGATCAGGCTGGAGCACAGAAATCGTTTACTGAAGATGGAATCTACACTTTGCAGCTCTAGGAGGCAGTTTGAGAGACCTCTCTCACCCTGCAGGCCTGTTGCCCTAAGCCATATTTTTACGGCAACTCTAAGTTATTTGAACTTGAGCCTCTTATTTGAACTCGGGCCTCTTATTTGAACTCATCTGTGAAGGCTATTTCTACCTGCACCAAGGGGCAATGAAAGGTCTTAGAATCTTCATATACAAGTCTGTTTGCTTCTTTTGCATTTCTCCCCAGCTACAAAAGAGTTGAGGGTCAGTTGAGAGGTCTGGGACCCAGCCATATGAACGATCAGGAGCACCATCTGGTTTTAAAGGTGCAGCCCCCGCATGTGAAAATGCACAGCCCAGGCCCCCGATCCCATGTGGGGGCACTCAAGGTCAGTGCTGGCTTGCAGGCAGGCTAAAGCCTCCCTGAGGCTGAAAAAGGATGATTGTCCCTTTAGCTTGGTAATTCAGGCTTTAGTCACACCCCTGCAACTTAGCTCTCTTAGAGATGTGACCTCTGCTGGAAAGTTTTCAGTGCACCTGTCTTACGTGTGGCTCCTTGGCACTCAGCAGACAGAGCCCATCAACACCTTGACCTGCCCTTCTCCCCTACAGTATGTCTTTTAAAATTTATTTTTGGTAACTTTTAATATATTTCAAACTTACAGAAAAGTTACCAAAAAGGTATAAGGAACTCCCATATAACTTTTGTCCAGATTAATTTCACTACTCCTTTATATTTTGCCCCATTTGCTTTGTCATTTTCTCTATCTTCCTCTATCTGTCTATCTATCTATCTATCTATCTATCTATCTATCTATCTATCTATCTATGTATCCATCATTTGATCAGCTGTGCATTTTCCCCTAAATCATTATTTTTAGAGTAGGTTGGTGACATTGTACCTCTTCACTTCTTTTTCAGCATGAATTTCCTAAGAATACAGACTTTCTCTTACATAATCACAACAATATTTTTTCCCAATGCAGAATCATTGTAACACATCCTTTAACTGTTGGGTGGAGGAAGGAGATAAACATTATTTACAGGAGCCTGCATAATGCCAGGCATTGCCCCAAAGCACCGTACATTCACGGTGGCATTTCATCTTCTCAGCAGTCCTGTGGAATCAATTTTTATTACCCCTGTTTTACAGACAAGCCAACTTGGGCTTGGAGAAATTCAGTAACTGGCCCACAGTTAGTCACAGAGGGAGCAGACACAGACTCAGGTCTGTCTGATTCTCCCACTGCCCTGACCCTGGTGCCTGGTGACTATAAAACACACACTTGACATGAGTCTGTTCTCAGAGAGGCCCCAGGCCCAGGTGTCTGTAGTTCATTTGTGTATCCTCTCAACTCTTTCTAGCCACCGTGGCAGCAGAATTATTCATGGAGCTGCAGGATTCATAAACAAGGTGCTCACTGCTTGGAGCTTATCTTTAGTCCTATAAAGATGAGACTACCACCAACACAGACAAACATGTCTGAAAGATGAACATGCTTGGGAATGGATGCATGGTTAAACAGCCAATTACACAGAGAGAGAGGACAAACATTACATTCATTGGAACAGGGAGTGGGAAAGACATGGGTTTCCTGTTTATACTGAGCACAGTTGGAGAAAGCTATCATTATCCTGGTTCTTGGGGTTTAGCTTGTCAAGGCATCTGGGAGGAGTGGAATTTTAGAACTTAGAGCCACATAAGCATATATATTTTTTACATCCGGAAAGGACTTTAGACCTATAGGTCATCTCCCTCGTTCCAGACGTGGGGAAACTAAGGCTCAGAAAAGGAAACTAGTTTGTCTCTGTCATGCACCTAATCAGCGGCTGAGCTGGGGATTGAACCCAGGCCCTCTGTCTTCTAGGAGGATGCTCTTTCCACTGGAAAGTCCCAAGCTTTTTATAGCTCAAGTCGCCTTTCATTATTTACTTCCACCCCAAGCAGCCACTGTCCCGCATCTTCATATTTGGAAAGATTTTATCTGCCAAAGTACTTGTATTAATGAGTAACTAACTGGTGACCCATTTTTATTAATCAAAGACAGAGACACACCAATTAGACTTTCTGATTAGCCTAAGAGCTAACCAGTGTTAAAAGACAAATTGTAAATGAATTAAATTTAACAGAGTTTAATTTAATTGGGCAGCCCTCAGAACCGGAAGAGGTTCAGAGAGCTCCGCTGCACCACGTGGGCAGGCAGCATTTATGGGCAGAAAACTGAAGCCAGATACAGAAACAGCTTGATAGGTTACATCTCCGTATTTGCCTAATTTGAACATGGTCTGATCGTTGGCTGCCTGTGATTAACTGAAGCTTGGCTGCTGTGATTGGCTGAGACTCAGCTATTTGTTAGAAAAGTACACTACTTCAGGCTTTCACCTAGGTGATGTGCTAAGTTAAAATGCAGTTCCTTACATAAGAACTCAAAGTATGGAGGCATCCTCAGGCCAAATTGAATTTAACACCACATTACCATATTGATAAAGAAATTCAAAGTACGATCTCAACTCGCATTTTTCAATGTAAAGAATAATGTTTAGCCCCCTGCTTCCTGTGGTATTATTACCTTTGAAGACCTTTAAGGGCTTATAAGAGAGCCCGGGTTGGGAATTACTGCGTAGCATGGTGACGCTTGCTCAAGAGCACTCAGGATTGCCGGTGCCCCTGATGTACAAACTGTACTTTTGATGTACCACTCAGGGACCTCACTCCGCCTGTTTCCCTTCTCACTTTCCTCCTTCGCTCCCTCCCTTTTTCCCTCATGATTCAGATCTCCCACAGGGCATAGGGCAAATAATAGCCATGTTTATGTAAAGTGTAATGAGAATAGAATAGAGTGAAAACAGCTACTATTCTACATCTTGTATGAATCATATATGGTTTTGAACCTAAATGGAGTTCAACAACAACCCAAAGATATTTCAGATCAATGGCAGAAAAGAATTTGATGAACCATCCTAAATAAAATATTGGCAAAAGAATAGAACACATAAAAATTAATTTATCTTTCTAACTGGATAGGATTTACCACATGCCCTGAAGCCAGACACCACACAAAAGCAAACTATTAACCTAGAGATTCTCAAGATTTTCATTTCATGGCTCACTTAGAAAATAATCTGCTGAAGTAAATGGTTTAACTGAAGAAGCTACTCATGATCACTGGAGGAACTTGGCCTTCAGCCTGAGGGATCAATATCTTGGCACTCCTATAACCATTTGCAGTTGATGTAGCTCATAATTGGAAAGCTCCAAATTACTATTATCTGGAAGAATACTAAAAATCTCATTAGTGTCTTAATAAATGACAACAAGGGAATTGGTAAAATCCAGCATCTGTTTCTGATTAAAATCTTGGAAGAGAAAGAACTCAGAAGATGTCTTTTTAAAATTTGACTGGAAATTTTAATTGAGACCCATTCACTTAGTGCCTTTGGTAACGACATCTTCAGCATGAATGCTTCTCTTCTTTGGTGACTGGCAGCTGCGAGGTTGTTTTTTCTACTACCCAGCAGCAGCAGTTGCTGTGCTATGTTCCAATAAAAGCCTCTTGAGTTGTCCTTTCAGTCTGGAGGAGACAATGAGAGAGGCACTGGCCCTCATGCCTGTTCACTAGGCAACTGGATAGGCCAGGAGCAGGATAGGCCTGGAACTGCCTTGGGTGTCTGCTCCATTGTCCAAGCACACATTAGCACAGGCCAACCACAGCAAAGTCACATGGGGCAGAAACGTGCCTCGCTAAGAGACCAGGCAGAGCACCTAGCCTCAGCCGTCCTTGTGATAAGCTCAGAGGACCAGCCACTCTACCCTGCTTGAAAGCTCAGCTGTGTCTGCATCTTTAAGTGAACACTCACACTAATGGGAGGCAAAGATTCTGCTTCTTAATAGCACTCCTCCTTTCGTTTCTGCAGAAGGGTTCAGTCCTCACTAGCCAGGCTCAGACTCAAAGTCTCCTAGCTGATGGAGAGTCCATTTGCACTTTAGGAAGATGAGGAGCTGCTCTGGGAGCTGCCTGAATCCTTGCTCCCCTTTGGGAAAGTGCTTGACCTCTGGACATTGCAGAGTGGGAGGTCGGAAAGAGGCACTTGGGCTTCAACAATTCAGGGCTGAACCATAAAAGGAAATTCTTATTGACTGTAATTGTTTTCAGCTCAAATGAGACAAATGAGGGCTTTTCATGGTAGAATTACCCAAGTATTAGCCCTTGTTAGGGGTGACATCTTAGACTTTCCCCCTGTATTACCTTAGCAGAGTCGGCCCCACATCAAATGTAATTAGATGTAGAAGTTCAGTTTAACATAGAAAATTGTGATTATGCAAATGGAGACTATGCTATTAGAATGTGTTTCAGGTTCGGAAAATTATATCCTTCTCTTCCACATTGGGTTGGCTTATGGTTACTAATTCTTGACCCTCCCAGAGATTCCAGGCTGATTAAGGTTTGCACAAAACAGACAGACACACTTCCTCCCTCCAGGAGCTTTGATTAGGGCCAAATGTTGGCTTCCAAACTGTGTTCCTTAGAGGTGCCTTTGAGACTGCCAGGTGGGGGTCGTGCCAGGGTGCCGGACCCCAAGGTTTGACCAGAATAGCTCCTCTTTTATTTGTTGAATACATTGGGATAAACCAGTTTTGTTTGAAGAAAGGACTCCAAGCTAAAAATATTTCGAAAACCACTGCCCTAAACCACAGGTTTTTGCTGTGAATATCAATGCATATGTATTAGATTCCCACAAACTTTCTATGTTCTTTTTTCTTTATTGGAATTGTAAGTCAAACAACATGAGGTATATATGAAGAAGGTTCAGCATGTCTCATCTTACTGCCTTCCCATTCTGCTTCTCTGAAGATAACCAGCATTGACAGGTTGATATATATGCTGCACATCTTTGTCTGTATGTGCTGATATTCTTTAAGCATTTTTTATTGCAAAAATTTTTAAACATACGGAACAGTAGAGACCAGTATAATTAATCCTTGTATACCCATCACCCAATTCCAATAATTATCAAAATTTTACAACACTTGCTTCATCTGTCTTTTTTCATATATTTTTGTTTTCCAAAAATGGCATTATAGTACACATACCACTTGGTAACCTGCTTTTAACTTAACAATCTGTCTTAAAAAGTATTTCATATCACCAAGGTGAGAGAATCACTTGAGGTCAGGATTTCAAGACTAGCCTGGGCAATACAGCAAGACCCTGTTTATACAAAAAATAAAAATTAAAAAATCAGCTGGGTGTGATGGCTCAAGCCATCAATAGTCCCAGCTATTCGGGAGGCTGAGTCGGGAGGATGGCTTGAGCCCAGGAGTTCAAGGCTGCAGTGAGCTATGATTGTGCCACTGCATTCTAGTCTGAGTGGTACAGGAAGACTCTGACTTCTTAAAAAAAATTATTCTATATCAGCACATTTACCTCCTTCTTGTCATGGCTATGTAGTTTTCAATTTTATGATTGAGCCATCCTTTACTCAAACATTTCCCTATTGTTGGACATTCAGGCTGTTCCCCCAATTTTTTGCCACCTAATAAATTACTGTAATAAATGTTCTTGCACATGAGCCATCACATATTGGGGTGCTATTATTTCTATAGGATACATTTCTAAGAGTGGAATGGCAGGATCATGGGCTCTGTATACTTTGTTTTATTTAATATTGCTAAAGTATATTCTCAAAAGTTTACAGATACTCAACCTCCCACTAGCAACATATGGATATGTGCATTTCCTCATATCCTCCACAGCCCTCGTTGTTACTGCTTATAAAAAACATTATTATGAAATGGTGGTGCATGCCTGTGGTCCCAGCTACTTGGGAGGCTGAGATGGGAGAATCACTTGAGTCTGGAAGTCAAGGCTGCAGTAAGCCGTGTTTGCACCACTGCGCTCTAGCCTGGGTGATGGGAGTGAGACCCGGTCTCAAAAATATATATATATATAATGAATCCTTTTGTAAAGAGATAGAATAAAATTGATATTTTATGTGTGTCTGTGAATGGATTTTTTCTGCATTAATTTTGTAAATTATAGTTTTACAATCATTGTTTAGGGGAAAGATAGCCATTAAGAACGTCTGGAAGAGAGGGGAAAAGGGAACCGTCTTCTGAATACCACTAATGATCTTTGTTCCCATTAGTTTGCACAGCGGAAAGGGGCTGGCCGTGTGGTGCACATCTGCAATCTCCCTGAAGGAAGCTGCACTGAGAATGACGTCATTAACCTGGGGCTGCCCTTTGGAAAGGTCACTAATTACATCCTCATGAAGTCGACTAATCAGGTAGGTCTGGGTACTTTCACTCCAGTGTATATGCCACAGACCACACATTAGTGAAAGGGAACGATATAATTTTTGAAAGAAGCCATTCTTAACATAAAGAGGCGATGCCGTAGCTGGCCTTCTGTTGGCATGGCGTAGGTGTTTTTGCTGGTGATGTTTTTTTGTTTCCCCTAGTTTCACTCTAACCTTCTAGTGATAGGTACAGGCCTTTGTGAATTGCCTAGAGGTGAGAGGAGATGCTTTGGAATGAGGTGCTCATTCACATAGAAAGGGTAATTGGCACCCAAAATAAAAATCTATGGACTTGAATCTCTTCACTGTGTTGTCAACCCCCCTGAGCTAATTATAATCTTATCCTCTAAGCCTCTCCTATCTGATGGCCTGGATTTGGAGCCAGCCAAGAACTTGGGACTAGGTATTTTTCCTGGTCCTTGATGTCAGCAGGTGAGGCCCTTTGTCTCACAGCAGGAGAGTAGGAGTGTGAGAATGGATGGATGCTTACTAAGTCTAAGGAACTAAGAATCCTTAACCTGTAGGAGTTGACTGAGCCCTTTGGGATGGAGTACCTTTGTCTTCATTTCTAAAGTCAGGTGGGGAGTTTATACTCCCAACAGTCAGAAATCAGAATATTTTATCTTTTAATGAATATTTTTACTTTATGAATCGGAGGAACAGGCATAGGAAAAATTCTTTTCTTAAAGAAGGCTGAACTTTGGAGACTCATAGCCACATCAGGTCATTAAGCTATCTCTCTCCATCAACCTGGAGTGAGACTACTCACTTGTCTCTGTTCCTACTTCTCAGAAATTCTATTTTGGGTAAATGCACAGAATTCAGCTTGTAACATTGATGTGGTGAGAGTCCCTAGATTAGTATTATTCCCATTTGACAAGTGAGAGCTAGAGGTGCTAAAGTGTTTATCAAGAAAAAGGCACTGAGAAAGCTGGGTGGCAGAATGTGAAATAAAACCCTAAAGAATCTTGACTTCTTAGTCGCCCACGCTAATGCCATAGACTATGACAGCATGGAGAAAAGCTGTGCATCTGAAATTCAGAAATAAATATGAGAGAAGGAAGAGAATGAGCTTGTTTAGATCATTTAGTTTAAGGAAATGAGAGAGTCAGGGGCTCACAGTGAGGGCTTCCCTGTCACCGACCCCTTTTCCCCTGCAGCATTGAGGAATCAGGATCAGTATATTGTCAGTATAGTACAAACCAAACAAATCCAAAAAACAATAGCAGCAACAAATTCACCACACCAACTACTGGGGTAAACTGATGCACAGTCAAAACGGTCTCTTTGGAACTCTCAGTAGACACAGGTTTAGTGGAAAAGCCCATTTGTCTGTGTTTTATCAGAGCAGTTAAATAAAGAAGAAAGATGCTGTGGAAACATAATCGGGAAGTTTTCCTTTTTCTTTAACTCACAACAACATGGCCTTCCTTCAAGCCTAGGGGTTTGTGAGTTCCTGAATTTTTTTATAAGGAAAGTAGAACTCAAATAACCAAAGCTTGTGTCTCTTGCTGTCACCATCACCACCAGAGAGCAAGTTTTATAGGGATCAGCTCAAGGCCACATATGCAACTGCCCCTCCAGGGAAATGTGGGTTAGTGGGCTCTTCCATCTCAGAGGTATTCCATGGCATGATGTAGCCCAGGACAGACATACATAATTAATAACAATGTCTGGTAACCCTGGGGATCAGGAAAGGGCCATCTTATAATGAGCTCTTTTGGTGATGTTTATAAAAAGGTCTCTTTGAACAGATGGGATCAAAGAGATCTCTTCCTTGTGCTGACTTTTTTTCCTTTTAAGTGAGGTATAAAACACATACTCTACAGTGCATAATGTACACTCATCCTAAGTGTACAATTCCATTAATCGGTTACATGTGTACACCCATATAATTAACACCCAGGTAAAGATATAGAGCATTTCCAGAATGTCAGGTTTCCTTATGCTTCTTCTCCATCAGTTCCCCATCCCCACCTGAGAGAGAAGCTCAATGCTAACTCCTGTCACCGTTGATTAGTTTTGCCTGTTCTTGAACTTCATAGACGTGGAATCATGCCTTGTGCTGAATCTTGTTTAAGACCATTAAAGTCAAGTCCAGTGAGTGTCCTTCCTTTCTTTCTTAGGCCTTTTTAGAGATGGCTTACACAGAAGCTGCACAGGCCATGGTCCAGTATTATCAAGAAAAATCTGCTGTGATCAATGGTGAGAAGTTGCTCATTCGGATGTCCAAGAGATACAAGGAATTGCAGCTCAAGGTAAAGCATTATCTTGCTCATTCAGTCATTCAACAAGCACCAGATGAGTTTCTCCTCCGTGTTAGGCACTGACCTAAACGCTGGTGGAAAGGAGAGGATAGGAAAAGATTCAGAAATTACACACTGCCTTTGAGGATCTCGAGGCAAACCATTGCAGCATGGCAAGAAAAGTGCTCTTGAGGTAAATACAAAGTGCAAAGAGACGCCTGAGACTACCTGGGAGCCAAGGAAAGTTTTCCAGAAGAAGATGTTCACAGGGGAACTTTTAAAGGAGGAAGTCAGAAGGGAAAGGTGCTGAGAGTTCCAGGCATAAACCCTTGAATACAACCTTCTCTCCCTATACAGACCTTCAGTAACATTTTCTTCTTCTGTCACCCCCTTGATCTCTTGTTCTCTTCTCTCTCCTTCATATTTACGTCTTAAGCCTCATAGAAGTCCTTCTAAGCAGCCCTTGGCTGAATTGGCCACTGTCAGAACTCAGGGATGCATTCAAATAGTTCCAAACCAGGGTTTGCTTTTGTTTTAGCTGATCTACGTTTCTTTCTTTTCTTTCCTTCTTTTTTGTTTTATTGTGAAGTATAACAGAACACACAGAAAAATGGCTGATTATATATTGTATGGTTTAAAAAGTAATAATGGGTGAGATCTCACAAATCCCGTAAAACCACCACCAAAGTCAAGAAATAGAATATGGACAGCATCCAGAAGCTCCCGTGAGTCCCTCCTCCTGTTCAACCCCTCCCTCTCTACTCTCCTGACTTCAATGATAATCATATCTGTGCTTTTCCTTATAGTTCTATCACCTGTATATGCCTCCCTAAACATTATGGTTTAGTTTTGCCTGTTTTTGAACTTTATATAAATGGAATTATGCTGTGTTCTTACAGATCTTGCTTCTTTCATTCAACATGATGCCATCCATGTTGTTGGGCATGTCTATTTATTTTCATTGTTATATACATTTCCATTGTATGGCTATACAGTTTATCCATTCTACTGTTGATGGACATTTGAGTTGTTTTAGGGACAAGGCTAATCTGAACCTTCTCAAACATGTCATCCTGGTATATATGCACTTGAGCATATAACTAGAGGTACATACATAACTAAGATTGAGATAGCTGCATCATAAGGCATGCTTACCTCAACTTTCCTAGATGATAGCAAGCTCTTTCCAAAATTAGTTGTCTCAAATTTATACTCCTACTAGTAGTGTATTAGAGTTTTCGGCCGGGCGTGGTGGCTCACCCCTGTAATCCCAGCACTTTGGGAGACCAAGGTGGGTGGATCACGAGGTCAGGGGTTCAAGAGCAGCCTGGCCAACATGGTGAAACCCCGTCTCTACTAAAAATACAAAAATTAGCCAGGCGTGGTGGCAGGCGCCTGTAATCTCAGCTACTCGGGAGGCTGAGGCAGGAGAATCGCTTTAACCTGGGAGGCAGAGGTTGCAGTGAGCCAAGATTGTGCCACTGCACTCTAGCCTGGGCAACAAAAGTGAAACTCCGTCTCAAAAAAAAAAAAAAAGTTTTCAATGGTCCACATTCTTGCTAACACATTGTCTTGTCCAACTTTTAAATTTTTGCCTGTCGTGGGAGAGTATCATGGTTTATCACAGTTTTGTTTTGTTTTGTTTTTGAGACGGAGTCTTGCTCTGTCACCAGGCTGGAGCGCAGTGGTGCAATTTTGGCTCACTGCAATCTCCACCTCCCAGGTTCAAGCAATTCTCCTTCCCCACCTCCCGAGTAGCTGGGACTACAGGCACACACCACCATGCCTGGCTACTTTTTTTTTTTTTTTTTTTGTATTTTAATAGAGACAGGGTTTCGCCATATTGGCCAGGATGGTCTCAATATCCTGACCTTATGATCTGCCCGCCTCAGCCTCCCAAAGTGCTGGGATTACAAGCGTGAACCACCGTGCCTGGCCAGTTTATCACAGTTTTATATTTTATTCCCCTAATTGCGCATGGAGATTGAGCACTTTTTCATCTGTTTGTTGGCTGTTCCATCTGGATCTTCTCTGATGGGCTGTTTCTTTTCAGGTCATCTGCCCATGCTTTTCTTTTGCATTGTGTCTTCTTATTGGTTTGCAGGAGTTCTCTTAACTGGAGCACGTAGTCTATTTGGATTTCTTGTAATTAATGCTGTATTAGTGTTTGAATCTACCCTCTTATTTTGTGCTTTCTACTGTTCCATTTAATAGGGATTTTCCCGTTCACTTTAGCTCATTCCACATTGACTTAGGGTCCATTTTGTCTAAGACCCACAGGCCTTAATCCACCTTCAAGGTTGAAGTTAGAAGACAAAGGCTTAGTGGATGTTTCTGGCTAGGACTGGCATTCTGACAAGTCTCCATATGTAGATGGGCACTGTGTCAACCAGCTTCCAGAGTCCTGAATCTGCTTTGCTTGCATCATTGCCTCTGAAATTCCTTTACTAACAGTTCTCCTTCAGGCAGAACCTGGCTTTTTTTTTTTTTTTTTTCCTAATAAAAGTATATTGCTTCTTTCAGACAAGTAAGCATCCCACCCCATTCTATATCCAACCAAAGTTCCTGGTCTCCTGGATTCTTCCCTGGGGGCTGGAATTGAATTTCTACACTAAGTTCCCAGTAGAGCTTTGGTCTCCAAATGAGATGTTGTCATAAGTTTCTAATTAGGATTAACGGCAGTAATTGGCTTCTTAAATTAAAGTACCAAAGCATAGCAATACCTTCCTGAGGGAGATAGTTTGGGGTGGTGCAAAAAACATGGGTTAAAGAGGTCAGATGGTCGAGTTTTGCTTTCAGCAAATGTGCACTGAGTGCTCACCGTGGGTGGAACTGGGCCAGGTGCCATGGAGGGAGAAGTAGCAAGCTGGCGAGGAGCTCAGTCTGGTGGGAGAAAAAGCAAATAAACAAAGAACCACTGACAACCATGTGACCTATCCTAGATTGGAAGATGGTGATGTCAGCCTGGGCTCTACCGCTTCCTGCTTTAGTGAGCTTAGAAAAGTTGCTTAACCTCTGTGAACCTCAGTTTACAGATCAGGAAAGGACTATACTTTGAGTTATTTGGCTTTAAGTATTTTTTTTCATACATTATCTTTTCAGTCTCGTAATCACTGTACCCTGTGAAGTGTGTAGGGTGTATAATAGCAGTAATTATAAGAGTACAACAATAACAATAATGTATACCTTTAATTGAGTCCCGGTACTCTGGGGCAAAGAAGTTTACATACATTATTTAATCCTGACATCAGTCCTGTTAGACAGGTATTATTATCTCAGTTTTACAGATGAGGAATCTGAAGCTAATAGAAATTCAGGAACTTGCCCAGGATTGTACTTAGCTACTGGAAGAGCTATGATTAAAACTTAGTGCTGTTTTGGTTTTGCACTAAAGCTGCATTGTTATAGTGTGTTATCATGATCTCTGTTGTCTATGTGAAAAAAACCTGAGAAATCAGGTAATTTGCTTATAGTCACCCAGCCAAGAAGCCGCAGAGATAGTATTCTAACAGAGCTTCTCAAGCTTCAGTGTGCATACAGATCACTTGGTGATGTTGTGAAAACTCACTTTGATTCAGCATATCTAGGGTAGTGCTGTTATTGCGTATTTCTAACGAGGTCCCAGGAGATGCTGCTGCTGGTGGTCCTCGGAGAACACTTTGAATAGAAAGGGCGCAGAACACATTATTTTCTGATCTTTAGCAGGGCTTTTCTGCTCCCCAAGCTGCCATATTCCCTCTTAAGGCATTGTGAAGGTCGCATGGAATAACAGATGTGAAAACAACTTAATGTATGTCTCAACTACATAGTAATGCATGCTTTATGGTCCCTATGTTGATATGAATCAGCTGCCACTCTGTCTGCACGTAACAGAAATTCATCTCCATTAAGCCTGTTGGCTTAAGCAAAAAAAAAAAAAAAAAAAAAAAAAAAGAATTTATGGATGCATGTAAATGAAACGTCCAGGAGTAGATCTGGCTGCAGGTGCGGCTGGATTCAGGACCCAGAGACCCTCATTAGGACTTGGTTTCTCTCCACGCTGCCTTCTGCTCTTTTGGCTTTGTTTACTGGGGGCTCCCTGGGATGGGCCGTAGCAGCCCAGGCTCTCTCCTCTAGGTGGCATGATGGCTACAGTGACCTCAGCAGCTCTTTCTCCCCCTTCCCTTTCCTTCAACAAGAGAAAGCCAGAGTTTTTTCCTAGAAGCTCCCACAAAAGTCCTGAGACTTTTGAGAGAGAGTCGCTCTGACTGGACTAGCTTAGCACAGGTGCACATTCCTGAATTGATCTCTGGCCAGGGCTAGGCCATGCTGTGATTGGCTGGACCTGTGTCATCTGCTACATCCTCAGAGCTGGGACAGAGACCCACCTAGAGCTCTGGAGCAAGATGAGGGAGGAACAGCTGCTATCAGGAGGAGGGAGAGTGGCTACCGGGAAGGTAGAGGGCAAACACTGTATCCATGTGTGTCTCTGGGCCAAAGGGGCTGCATATGAGGTCCCACCAGGGTTTGCAGAGGTGGGGAGAAATTCTGATTGCTCTTTCTCCTCTAACTTTATCTTTTGCTCACCAGGTAAAGTATAGGGAGAGAAGGGAGAGATTTTAAGGTATTTTTCATTTCCTCTCTTGAATATTTCTTCATGCACATATCTTATCTCCCCATATACTTCCTGTGGCAAGGGAGTTCCTCAGCTTATTTGAGGCAGAACCTTTCACATGATAGATGTTTAATAAATATGCAAAATGAATAAGAAAGAGAAAATCTGAAGGAACAACAAAAAGTGAGTAGCCTTCTTCCTGCAGACCTGGACAAGATGATTGGAATATATTCTGGGTTGTTCTATGGAAACTTCGTCAATAAGTATGGAATCATAATCTCTCTGATGCAGAAGTGAACTTGGAATAATTTAAACCAGTGTCTCCCAGTCACTTCATCAGAGGGTCATCAGGGGATTTTTTGTGGGGGGAGTCCTCTTGCCCAGAGATTCTCTTCAATAGGCTTCGGGTGGGAATGAGACTCCCAGGTGCTTTTGAGGGCAGAGGGTCTGGTTTCAGAGCCATTGGTCTTGCCAGCCTCCTCGCTACAGAGAGGGCTTCTGGCCCTGGGAAGCAGTCTTGTGAATGGTCCATGGTGCTCTCAGTTGGGAAGATGATTGAGAGTCTTCTCTATGTGCTGATAGTTACAAAGCAATACAAGACATGGTTCTCAGTTGGGAAGAGTTCACTCTCCAACTGGGAGACAAATTATTCTTGTGCAAAATTACACAAGATTTAAACATGAGTGCATAAGTACAGGAGCTACCAGAAGTTCCATGGCAAAAGGCAGTGTGACTGAGGGGTGTGAAAAAGGGAAGAGATTCCTAAACAAGGCCTTGAAGAAGGGGAGAATTAGCTAAAGAGAGACAGAGCTTCCAGGCAGGAGTCGGGTGAGTGATGATGTCGAGCCTAGAAAGCCTGGTAATGTTGAAACAGTCAGGGCTGCCTTGACAGGATCTGGCTCAGATGAGTTCTGGGCTCATCTAGAAGGTTTCAGTGTCTTCCCAGGACTCTTGAAGTGTGTAAAACAGGTGTGGAGTTGTCAGAGGGCATGAAACTTTCCAGCAGCTCCCTTCATGTTGGCCAAGCACTCTGTGACTTTTACGGGTGTAGCCTGCCATGCCCTGAGGCTTTTGGTGGATGCCAGATGGGCCTCATTAACCCACCTTCACTGGTGGAGAAAGTGAGTTTCCCATCGGCAATAAGCCTTGACCCAGGGTGACCTAGCCAGGTGCGGGCAGGGCTGGGGCTGCTCTTCCTGGGTTGAGATTCCTAGTGGTGGTGCCTCCCTCTTAATATGCCAGCACTTTTCTAGGACTGCATGGGGCTTGGAATCTCACCCTTGTCTTAAAAGCAGCAAGATGTGTTAACTCTGAGCACTGTAGTTGGTCCCTTGTGGGGCTGTTGAGCGGAATCATTGTCATCACAGAATGGATGTAAAGATAACAATGTCTGACGTTTGCTTCAAAATAATATAGGGGGTGGGGAAGGAGGGTGGTGAGTACAGATGTGTATTAGTCCGTTCTCACACTGCTTTAAAGAACTGCCTGAGGCCAGGCCGTGGTGGCTCACGCCTGTAATCCCAGCACTTTGGGAGGCCGAGGTGGGCGGATCACTTGAGGTCAGGGGTTCAAGAGCAGCCTGACCAACATGGTGAAACCTAAACTAAAAATACAAAAATTAGCCAGGTGTGGTGGCGGGCACCTGTAATCCCAGATGCTTGGGAAGCTGAGGCAGGAGAATCGCTTGAACCCAGAAGGCAGAGGTTGCAGTGAGCCAAGGTCGCACCACTGCACTCCAGCCTGGGACACAGTGTGAGACTCCGTCTCAAAAAAAAAAAAAAGAACTACCTGAAACTGGGTAATTTATAAAGAAAAGAGCTTTAATTGGCTCATGGTTCCACAGGCTGCATAGGAAACATGGCTGTGGAGGCCTCAGAAAACTTACAGTCGTGGCAGAAGGCAAAGGGGAAGCAGACATGTCTTTCATGGCCAGAGCAGGAGTTAGAGTGGGAGCAGGGAGGTGCTACACACTTTTAAACAGCCAGATCTCGTGAGAACTCTGTCACGAGAGTAGTACTGGGGGATGGTGCTAAACCATTAAAAACCACCCACATGATCCAGTCACCTCCCACCAGGCCCCACCTTCAACATCTGGGATTACAATTGAACATGAGATTTGGGTGGGGACACAGAACCAAACCATATCAAAATGCAACAAGATTAGTCATCATTGTTGGCTGAAGATGGGTAATGGATTCTTCGGGGTTCAGTAAACCATTCTCTCTACTTTTGTGTATGTTTGAAATTTTCTACAATGAAAAGGTAACCAAAATTTTATCATAGACCTACTCTTTTCTCTCCCATTTCAATTTTTCTGGGGTGATTACAGCTTTGTTTCACCTGCCTTCTTTATGCCTTTACCCACAGAATACAGAAGCTGGCCAAAGAGGAAGGTGGAGAGAATTTTCTTAGGGCTTTCCGAAGTCAATTCTCTTATTTGAAAATCTTTGGCTACTTCTGTCCCCTTTTCAGATGGCAGCTGGCAGCTGGTCCAGAGAGCACCAAACAATTTGCAATTACCACCTAAAATAGCAGAACTGATGCTCTGATCCTCAGGAGGGATCACAATACCTGTGACCACTAGCCCCAGCGTGCAGTATTTGCAGATTCATATTCATTCTCTGCAGCCACATCCTTCCATCTCTCCAGCCATGCATCTTGGGATTAGTGTTAGGGAGCACCTGCTCCATGCCAGGCTCTGTGCTGGTGCTGGCTGTGTGAAGATTATCAGCCCAGGGGCCCCCTCACTGGGGACCTGGGATCCGGATAGAAGTAACTCCAGGAGGTATGGGCTGAAAGTGACCCCAGGAGGAGGTTCTGTGGTTAAGAAAATAAGGGGCAGAGGAATGTTTAAGCCAAGGAGAGGCTCTTCTAAGCTCACTCTAACTGCACCTCTTTGACCCCTGGGAAACTGCATGGGCCACTAGAGGATGTTTTCATCTGCAGTGTCTGATCAGCCCGCTCTGCCCCTCACTGGGGGCACCCCTGAGGGGAAGGGCCTGGGGGTGCCATCTGTGATAACCAACGTGCAGAAGGGACCAAGAGCTCGTGGAATGCCTCTGGCCCTGACATTGGCCTGACCTGCTCCTGCCCCCATGCACCTGAGCCCTACCCTCATAGTCACTCTGCCATGGGTAATCTGCAAAACCTCAGCCGCTCCCTGCCAAGACCATCCTCCTCCCACGTCGGTCTTTCCTGGATCTGGGCTGGAAGGAATAACCAGGAGGATATGAAGTTCCAGAAGAGCAGAAGAAAACTGGAACCTTGGGGACTCTTTTTACAACAGAAAGCTCCCCATCCAACTCCCATGGGGAATTTTATGTTCTGAAGAATTGCCATATACATTTATGCCAGTCTGGGGGCACATTCTTTAGCCTTTGTCTATTCTAGCTTGGCAGTGCAAGCCACAGATTTGGGAGGGACCCGGGGTGTGGCTTCCCGGCGATGGCAGATCTCATGTCATGGTCTTGGTCCTGATGGTTCCCACCAGCTTTCCCAAGCTCTGCTGCTCCCCTGGTGCCTGTGTGAAGGCAGTGCTGTGACAGGTCCTTTCAGGGACCAGCCATCCCAGCTGGCTTTCCCTTGATGATACAGTAGCCGGAGTTCATTGTGTGGCCCAAGGTGGGCAGGCAGGAAGAAGACCTGCTTGGTGGGATCCACATCAAGTGCAGTCAGCTCCAAGTGAGCCTCTTCTTCTACCCCAAGTGACAACCGACCCTGGCTGAAGGACCAGTGGTCTCTAGCCACACGGTGGGGTGGGAGGAGACATCCTGGGCAGCAGCTTTCTTCTTGGCCGACACCAACAGGCTTGGCTTCTATCCTTGTTTGGCCTTGGTCTGAACAAGGTCCAGTTTAAGTGGCTGAGGTGCTGGAGGCCAGTGCAAGTCTTGGGTGATCTGGTAATTTGTAGGTGGCACTTTCATGGGCTTTACAGAGGGTTGATCTCTACAGCTCCAGTTTGACATAAGGGACCATTTGCCAAAGTTGTGGTGCCTTTTCTTGTGGACATCCTGCCCAGTGCTGAGTTCCTGGGCCTTTTCTTGAATGGGGGATTGGCTGACTTCTAAAACCTCTGACTTATTCACAAGCACAGTTGAAGGAGTCACTGCCTTCTCTTTGACTTTCTTTCATTTTGCATCTCCATATGACAAGAGGTGAGGTCCCTCCCTCACTTGAACATTTTATATCTCTTTTCTGTGTCCTGACCTCTCTCCCTGAAACTGCAGGCAGCTCCTCCTTCATTCTCACCTTTACTCTGTGTTTTTCCCAGCCCAACCCTCTATCTCAACAATAACAGATAATCAGCCACGCCACTCAGAGCACTCATACCATGCTAGGCCAGCTAGATCACATCTCTGGACCTGAGATTCCCATCTGTCAAATGAGATACGTGATGCTTTTTAACATTTGTATGGCTCTTATTGCATGATTTAGCTGGGCGTGGTGGTTCATGCCTGTAATCCCTGCACTTTGAGAGGCCAAGGCAGGAGGATTGCTTGAGCCCGGGCGTTCAAGACCAGCCCTGGCAACATAGCGAGACCTTGTCTTTTATAAAACCTAAAAAAATTAGCCTGGTGTGGTGGTGAGCCCCTGTAGTCCCAACTACTTTGGAGGCTGAAGTGGGAGAATCACTTGTGCCTGGGAGGTTGAGGCTTTCAGTGAGCTGTGATTGTACCATTGCATTCCAGCCTGAGTGACAGAGCAAGACCCCGTTTCTTAAAAAAAAAAAAAATTGCATGATTCTTTGTAAATTACATAGAAAAAATCAAGGAAAAAAAGTCGATTAAATTTAATAAAACTCATTATCAAAAGTTTACATAGACTGAGGGTTTTTAGTCTTGGTCTTTAAAAAAATCAGCTTTATTTTTTGAGATATAACTCACATTCCATAAAATTCACTCTGCTTGCTACATTTTTATGTAAGGGATGAATTCTGCATAGTCTTCAGGAAGATGCTCCTGTTGCCTTTTGTGCTTATGAATTTCTTTTTAAAAATCATTTATTATTTATTTATTTTGGTTATCATGTGTCCATTCTGGGTTTAGGAAAGGGCTTTGGTCGGGAATGGGGGGCTGGGGTTGGTCCTGTCCTGGCATAGCCACCGTCTAATGACCTCTGGGAAGGATGGAGCCCTGGCTGCCTACTATTCTCAGCTGTGAAGCCCGACTCCCAGCTTATGCCACCCTCCTCACAGATTTACTTTGAGCATCAGCTGATGTCTGTGCTTGAGGTGTTGAAGGGGGCACAGAGCATGGAAAGCATGGAAAGGAACTTGGAGTTAAAATACCTGGTGTCAGGTCCTGATTCTTTTCACTATCTGTGTGACCTTGAAGTGTTCCTTAACCCAATACAACTCCAAGAGTCACCAACTGCATGGAACACAGGGTGGCTGGTGACCCTGGAGCTGTGCAGAGCAGAGACCCTGCCTCAACCTCTCTGGCTCTAAGTTTCCATAGATATAAAAAGCGGAGGCTGCAGTCAATGATCTTCAAGTCTTTCCAAGTTTACAATGCATGCCTGCCTGCCTTCCTTCCCTCCCTCCATCCCTCTGTCCTTTTCTTTCTTTCACATTTTAATTTTTTTTTATTCGGGCAGAGGTGGGTATTAACAAATGCTGCTTGTCTCCAGCACATGGATGTGAACACCAGGCTCCTTCCTTCCCCAGCTCAATGGACCACTCAGTGTTCTCTGGGCCACACAGCCCCACCCAGTTCAGCATTATACTCACACTCATCCGTTGGATTACACCTTTTGTCTTCCCCACACAAGGTATTTTTTCCCTTTTGGTGGACCAGGCAATGAATGACCCAGGTCAGAGCTGCTTCCCTCAGGTGTTTGCAAGGCCATCTCTGATCTGATGGTGATCTCTCTGACTTTGCTAGAAACCCGGGAAGGCCGTGGCTGCCATCATCCAGGACATCCATTCCCAGAGGGAGAGGGACATGTTCCGGGAAGCAGACAGGTGAGGCCCCAAGCCCCAAGTCTCCAGGCAGGTTCTGGGCAGTGGGAACAGACTCCTGTTTCTCATTCTTAGGGGCATTTGAGTCATGCTGTGCCCTGTTCTTGCCCCTACCCCATCCATCTGCTTTTCTGGGTCCCACTTTTCCATGTTCCCCATGAAAAACACCAGTCCAGTTCAGACATGCTGCTCCGGTTAACCTCAGGAAAATACAAAATGCTGAGCTTCCCTTCAGCTCCTCACCCTTTGTTGGAAAATAATATAGGAAAAGGTCTGTTAATATTTGGCCCTTTGGGGCAAGTCTACACCCTATTAAAACAGCCTAAAAGTAATGCGTGTGTGTGTGTGTGTGTGTGCGTGTGTGCGTGTGTGTGTGCATGTGTGTGCGTGTGTGTGTGTGTGTACGTGTGGCTTCGTTTAGAACCAGCTCTTGGTTTTCATAAGTTGAATGTAGATGTAGGAAGTAAAATGTAGATGGTTAAAAAAAATCAGTTATTTGAACAGTCACTTTCTCGAAACATTGAATATATTCAGTTTTCCAACCCATTTCTTCCAACCGAAGTTTGTGATCAGGCCAAGCTGGGGCTATAAGTTGACCACTGTCACTCCCCTACAAAGACAGTTCCTGAAGAGAACCAAGGTAGAAAACTGCAGGAGCAGGCACCTGGCTGGCACGTCCTGGGGTTCTTGCTGGGGTGGCCACAGTCGGTGCTGTCACTTCCCTGTAGAGGGCACAAGCCCAGGGTGTTTCCCCCATGATGGTCAAGGCAGCCTGGTCCTAGCAAGATGCACCTTGGTGTCCCCTGGTCAGTGAGGGCTACGTGGTTTTCCTGTGTTTGGGAACTTAATGAAAAAATGCCCATCCTTTTAGAATATCGGATATATGACTCAGTTGACCTGCTTAATAACCAAACAGCCTTCAGAGTGTATCTGTATATATGTGCGTATATCTTTGTACGTAACTGTTCAGGCTGGGAATCTTTATTTGTTTATTAGTCTGTCTGTTTTTTTAAAAAAATTCTGATTATTTGGGTTTTTTAAAGACGTGTAAAGCCACATCTTGCCACCTGCAATTCTGCGGCAGAGTGGAGGGGGGTTAGGAAGTCTTGTTCTGAACCTTACACAGGTTGGGGTCCTTGTCTGGGTTTCAGTTTCTTCATCTCAGACGTGTAGATCAGGATTCTAGAGTATCTTCCAACCCTAAAATGCCTTCCTAATTCTTTTTTTTAACCTCTGAGCGTGCCCTCCCCAATAGTTAGCATCCCTTTTCCATGCATAAATTGAGCTGAGAAATAAATGAGAAAACTGGAGGCTAAGAGGTTGGCTTCATTCTGATACAGCCCAAATGTAGGAGTGGCTTCAAGTCTTGTAGCTAAGAGGCCGGCTAATGGCACCCAGGGTTAGGCAGCCTTACCCACTAGGCTGGACTAGGGCAATCTTGCCCCCCAGCGCCCACCCCGCACACCCCCAGGAGGAGAGTCAGAGGTCCGCTCCCTGAGCATAGCTCCCTTCCAAGAGAAGGCAAGCTGGAACCGAGCCAAATCAGCCCAGTTCTTCTTCCTAGTTCCCAGGAGCAGAATGAGTAAAGGCACAGCGAGTGGCCAGTGCTGTGCTTAGGAGAAGTCCTCTGCACGGAAGCCAGAAGGGAGGAAAAGGCTTTCTCCTGAACCACTCTGTGTGGTTCTGTAGAGTTGGGAGTTAAGAGTGTACACAGTTACATGCACAGTATATCTAAGACAGAGACTGTGTGTCTGTGTGTGGGTGGGGTGGGATGGGAGGTGTGAAGATTCTAAATCCTGCTCCTTGGCTCCCTCACAGATATGGCCCAGAAAGGCCGCGGTCTCGTAGTCCGGTGAGCCGGTCACTCTCCCCGAGGTCCCACACTCCCAGCTTCACCTCCTGCAGCTCTTCCCACAGCCCTCCGGGCCCCTCCCGGGCTGACTGGGGCAATGGCCGGGACTCCTGGGAGCACTCTCCCTATGCCAGGAGGGAGGAAGAGCGAGACCCGGCTCCCTGGAGGGACAACGGAGATGACAAGAGGGACAGGATGGACCCCTGGGCACATGATCGCAAACACCACCCCCGGCAACTGGACAAGGCTGAGTTGGACGAGCGACCAGAAGGAGGGAGGCCCCACCGGGAGAAGTACCCGAGATCTGGGTCTCCCAACCTGCCCCACTCTGTGTCCAGCTACAAAAGCCGTGAAGACGGCTACTACCGGAAAGAGCCCAAAGCCAAGTCGGACAAGTATCTGAAGCAGCAGCAGGATGCCCCCGGGAGGTCCAGGAGGAAAGACGAGGCCAGGCTGCGGGAAAGCAGACACCCCCATCCGGATGACTCAGGCAAGGAAGATGGGCTGGGGCCAAAGGTCACTAGGGCCCCTGAGGGCGCCAAGGCCAAGCAGAATGAGAAAAATAAAACCAAGAGAACTGATAGAGACCAAGAAGGAGCTGATGATAGAAAAGAAAACACAATGGCAGAGAATGAGGTAATGATCAATTTCTTCCCCAGGTAAGGCGAGGCAGGCCCTGAAGGAGAATAATCATAATAATATAATGAGGATGAACGTTTATTGAATGAATGAACATTTACTGGCTATTTACTATGCGCTAGGCACTGTGCAAGACACTTTATCTCAATGAACTCATTTAATCCTCACAGGTTTTGAGTACCAACCTTTGAGCTTGGTACTATTGTTACTGCAGGTGAGGAGACTGAGGCACAGAGAACTTACGTTATTTGTCCAAGAACACACGGTCAGGAAATGGCAGACCCAGAATTATACCAAGGAGATCTGGCCCCAAATCCCATGGCACCTGTTGCCTTTACTAGAAGTTAGGGTGGGACATCATGGAAAGGCCTGTAGTCCTGTTCGTCCAGTAGGGAGTGGCCTGAGGTGTTTGCACCCAAAGAGCCTCCCAAGGGAGATTAGATCTTTGGTTCATTCTGTCCTCCCTCCTGCCAGAAGCATTTACCAGTCCTGGAACTCTGAGGAGAAGTGGTGAAGGAGAAGCCGTCACCACCTGCTAAATTAAACTGGGTGCCCAGAGCTGTCCACAGTGTTTTACCTCCACTCTAATAAAAATGCACGGTGGCTGGGCACAGTGGCTCATGCCTGTAATCCTAGCACTTTGGGAGGCCGAGGCAGGCAGATCACCTGAGGTCAGGAGTTCGAGACCAGCCTGGCCAATATGGTGAAACCCTGTCTCTACTAAAAATACAAAAATTAGCCAGGCAAGGTGGTGCACCCCTGTAGTCCCAGCTACTCAGGAGGCTGAGGCAGGAGAATCACTTTAACCCGGAAGGCGGAGGTTGCAGTGAGCCGAGATCATGTCTTTGCACTCCAGCCTGGATGACAAGAGCGAAACTCTATTTCAAAAAAAAAAAAAAAAAAAAAAATGCATGGCAATGGCTGGCACCTTCATGGCATCTGAAAGGTCTGAGGGCTTGCAGCAGTACTTCAGTTCACACAGGGGCGTCACAAGGAGGGTTGTGGTTACCAGGTTTATATTCTAACTTGGCTTACACTTCCTTCTTGCCAGAGCCTTCTATATTTAAGTAGGGGTAGGATAAGTGAGGTTTGGCAATATGCATAAGGAGCCTAATTTTTAAAATCCTCCACACATACCTTCTAGTCATTCTGACCTGGGAGTTGGTGACAATACTAAGTGCAAATAAGGAAACCAAATCTCTACTCCATGAACACTGAAGAGTCACCTTTTGGATGCTACTTCAGCATTCATTCCAACATGTATAGATGGAGTGCCACTTTGCCAGGTGATGTGCTAGGTGCAGGCGAGCCAAAGGTGAATAGGACATAGTCCATGTTACAGCAGAGACTGAAGTCCAGTGGTGGAAACAGACCTATTAATATAAAAATAATTTGTATACAATGGGACTCATGCCAGCATTTACAGCGGATGAGCTGCTCTGTGGGCAATTATTAACTCTGCACAGGAACGGGAAAATAGCTGCTCAGAGAGGGTGATATTTGAGCTGAGTATTAAAAGTAGAAAAAAGCAGTTTGGGTTTTGTTTTGTTTTTTTTTTTGAGACAGAGTCTCACTCTGTTGCCCACCCAGGCTGGAGTGCAGTGGTGTGATCTCAGCTCACGGCAACCTCTGCCTCCTAGGTTCAAGCAATTCTCCTGCCTCAGCCTCCTTAGTATTTGGGATTACAGGAGTGCGCCACCACGCCCGGCTAATTTTTATATTTTTAGTAGAGACAGGGTTTCACCATGTTGGTCAGGCTGGTCTCGAACTGCTGACCTCGTGATCCTCCTGCCTTGGCCTCCCAAAGTGCTGGGATTACAGGCGTGAGCCGCCGTGCCCTGCCAAGATTCTTGATAGAAGCAGAAGCCAGGGCAAAAGTGAAAAAGAAAGACTGTTTTGAAGAACCTGGAGATAATCGGCATGGCTGCATCTTTAGGGCATATTAGGGATAATGTTTTTAAAGAGTAAAATCATGACTCTGATGCACATATATAATGAATACATGTCAAAGGTTTTATTCAACTCATTAATTAATGACGGCATCATGAGATGCAAAAACCAACTCAAAAGAGAATCCAAAGAGCAGGCAACATATACAGGCAATCAGGAATGCTAAAATGAATTTGCTAATAGGTGTAAAAGTGGCCCCTTCCACAGGGGGCAGGGAATCGGTTGCATCTCCAGCAGAGACAATTCATGTGCATCTCTAGGAACAAGAATCATTTGTATTAGGATCTGATTTCTGCAACTTATACAGTTGTAAAATACCTCAGTTCAAGATAATGAAAGGTGCAGACTTCTATAGAATCAGATGCCCTGAAAGGATGTGCTAGACAAATGCCCAGCGTTCCAGTGAAAGGACACCCAGTAGTCTTTTTTTGCCCATTACAAAGTCTGCCACGATTTTTCCTAACTGGCATAGCAGGAGGAAGAACAGGAGATGAGATTAGGGAAGAGGGTGAGACTCATGGAAGACACTGTGTGCCTCACCAAGGACTTGAACTGGATCCCAAGGACCTGGTGAACCAGTGGATATTTTAAAAAGTGTATGTGCTTGGAGGTGTCCAAGTTGCTGGTGATGGATGATGGGCAGAGAGCAAGAGTTGGCAGGGGCTCAAGGAAAGCCTGGGCTTCATGTGGATACCACCAGCCTGCCAACCCTCTCTCCCCCAAGGCTGAGAGGTGGAGCTGCTTCCTGCACTTCTACTCACACTCCTGAGACTCTGCCCTGGGAACCTCATTTCTTCTACTGTTTTACCACCCTGCTCTCATCGGTTTGTATAACATTGCTCATTTAAGGTGACACTATGTGTCAGCCAAAGAGCCCCTGATGGAAAAAGAATCTCAGAAAGCCCCAAGAATTTCCCCACAGTTCTGTCCCTCAAGTTGGTTCTGCCTCTTACAACCCTGGAGTGGGGTCAGTAGGGACTTACTGGGGCCCCTCACAGATTGTGTCTTTAGGTTTGGAGCCAGGCAGTCCAACAGTGTGTGTTGGAATGACTGCAGAACAGAGAGTATTTTGCACTGTCCTCAAACTCTGTATGATGAACTCAAGAAAAGCCCAGACCCCACAGGGCTGCCCCTGGAGTCAGATAACAGGTGGCAACTGAACTTGGGAATGAAGGCAGCAGGGCTTGCTGTTCTTCCAGTGCACCAGGCACCTCCTGCCCTCAGCGCCTTTACAGGTGTTGCTGCTGCCGAGGAGCCACAAGTCTTCCTGGCTTGCTCCTCACCTCCTTCGTCTTTACTCATGGCCACATTCTCTACTGTCCCTGGCCACTGCACATGATTTCAACACCCCAACCTGCTCTTCTCCCTCCCACCACTGCAAACCATCTCAACACCCCACCCAACCCCCTCACCTCCCCCGACACTACTGCAGACCATCTCAACACCCCAACCCATTCCTCTCCCTCCCCACCACTGCATACCATCTCAACACCCCAACCCACTCTTCTCCCTCCCCGCCACTGCAGACCATCTCAACACCCCAACCTGCTCCCCTCCCTCTCGTCACTGCAGACCATCTCAATACCCCAACCCATTCCTCTCCCTCGCACCGCTGCAGACCACCTCAACACCTCAACCCCCTCCTCTCCCTCCCTGCTTTCCTGTTTTTGGTGGCATTTACCACCTTCAAACCTATCACTTAATGTCTTTATTTTACTTAGTGTCTATTGTCACCCCCAGCTCCAGGTGTAAACTTCACAAGGCAGGAAGTTTTGTCTGTTGTGTTCACTGCTGTGTTCCCAGTCCCTAGAGGAGGGCTTGGCACAGAGCAGGTGTCCAGTGAGTACCTGTTGAAGGTATGAAGGTTGGAACCCAGACTCTGGAAGCAAAGGCCTGGCTTCTGAGAACCAGGTCAGACCCTGCTTTCTTCTGCCTCACTTTTCTTGTTTGTAAAATGGATGTGATCACAAGGCTGTTGTAGTACTGTAAAGAGGTCATGCTCATTAAAATATCCTGAGCTCTCTGGAGAAAGTTTCTGTGGTTGAGAAGCCAGTGTGCGTGCTGCTCCGTGGTGATGGGTGGCCACGTCCATACCTGAGACCCAATCCTGGCCACAGGACCATAAAGAGGAGGAAAGAAATGAAGTCACAGATAAGGAAAACATGGGGAAGAAACACTGCTACATCCTACTGGGAGGGAGGGTTCGAGAGTGGCAGGCCCAGGTGACTAGGGAAGGGAAGCCAGGCTAATGACAAGTGGAGCCAGGCCAGCATGATGGGACCATGGCTGACTGAGAAAGTGGTGCCATCTGTGGGGCCGGAGCTACTGCTCAGCTCCATTCTACAGCTGCCATGCAGGAACGCATGCCACGCTGTCAAATCTCCCTTTTCTTAGAGCAAGACAAGTGTCTAGTATAAACCAAAACATACCTGTGGGCCAGATGCCATCTAGAAGCCCCAGAGTGTAACCCCTGGTATAACCAATCCATAAGAGGTGAAGATTTTTAAAACCCTTATGCTTCAGAGCCTAGACAAGACCCAACCATGCGGGAAGACAGGTGAGAACTTGTTATTCGCCCCACCCCCTTCTACCAATTTCATTCTTTTATTGACCAATATTTGTGGAGCACCCGGCATTGGGACTATAGTTAGTGACACTGAAATGACCCCTGGGCTCGTGGAGCTCATAGTCTAGTGAGAGAAATGCTAATCCAGTGATTTCTTAAATGAACAGAAGAGCTTGAGTATTAAGTGCTAAGAAGGAGATGAAGGTACGCAATGCTGTGAGTGCCTGTGATAAATCTGAGCCTTCTCAGGGTTAGGCTGTGCCTATTGAGATTTGGAGGCACGGTGAGTATTGACTGGGTGAAAAGGAAGTGAAAAGACAGAGGAAGCAGCATGCACAAGGGCCTCCAGCAGCTCCAGGGCTCCAGCGTTGCCGTAGCAGAGAGCTGGCATTAGAGTAACAGGAGGTGAGGCTGACTTGTCAACAGGGCCTACACTATGCAGGGCCTTGTAGGCAGGTTGAAGATTTTTGCCTTTATCTTAACTACCAGGGGAAGCAAATGAAGTATTTAAGCAAGAAAATACAGTGAAGAGGCTGGACACAGTGGCTCACGCCTGTAATTCCAGCACTTTGGGAGGCTGAGGCAGGCAGATCGCTTGAGGTCAGGAGTTCGAGACCAGCCTGGCCAACATGGTGAAACCCTGTCTCTACTAAAAATACAAAAAAAAAAAAAAAATTAGCCAGGTGTGGTGGCAGGCACCTGTAATCCCAGTTACTTGGGAGGCTGAGGCAGCAGAATTGCTTGAACCCAGGAGGCGGAGATTGCGGTGAGCCGAGATCATGCCATTGCACTCCAGCCTGGGCAACAAGAGCAAAACTCCATCTCAAAAAAAAAAAAAAAACCAAAACGACAATATGGTGAGGATGTGATCATTTTTGCATTTTGGAATGATCATTCTTGATTGCCTTGGGAAGAATAGATTTTGGGGGAAGGTACAGAGCAGAAGTGGGAGACCAGTTTCGAAGTGGTTCGGTAGCCCGGGCCCTGTGGTGGCAGAGCCCTGCTTGCAACAGTTGGCGTTTCAGTCTCAGTCTGTGAGCTGCTGTGGGCAGCTGGGGGCACCCGTTGCACCCATCTGTTCCACTTAAGCTGCTGCTCTCTCCTGGAAGTGATCCCACAGCAAAGGGAAGCTCTGAAAGGTTGTTTCCTTTGCCTGCAGGGTGGAAGAGCAGGGGTCTGCTTGGTGGAGGGCTTTCAGCCCGGCTAGCAAGACTGTCCCTGCCTCTCCCAACTCGAACTGAAGGGGGTCCCTTTACTGTGTTGATCTGGGAGTGTGGCTGCAGGAACTGCTTGGGAAGGGTAAGGATTATTCATTTTGACAAGAGAGGGCCATGGATAGGTGATTCAGGGAGATAAAAATAAAGTCACCTGTTGGTAGAAGCTATAATAGCTAAAAAGGTATTTGTAGTTGCTTTATACTCAGGCTAGTGCAGTAGACTTCAGCAAAGCTTTCAGTGGAATCTTCCACAGCAAACACTGGAAACAAAGGACTTTAGGATTTGAACCATGTATCCCTGTCCAGTAATAACTGGTGAAACCAGTCAGCCCTGAGCTTCTGCTCCAGCTGGCTCCTAGTCAGCTCAAGGGGGTGTGTCTGATTGTAAGAAATCAGAACTAGAGTGGTTTACTTAGAACCAACCTCAGCCAAGAATGTCCTAGAACTGCAGCTTGGCCCTCAGAAAGCCCAGGAGTAGTCATTGATTTGGTGGCCAAAGTTTAAGTCATGGGAGAATATCCCCCAGAAACTTCTAATGTGGGGGTTGGCAAAGTTTTCTAGGACTAGATAGTAAATATTTTAGCCTATGTGGGCCAAGGGGCAAAATTGAGGATTTTATGTAGGCACTTCTATAATCACTTAAAATGTAATTATGTAAACGTGTAAAATTCATTCTTAGCTCACAAGCTATACAAAAACAGGCTGTAGGTCAGATTCGGCCTGCAGACTATAGTTTGTTGACCCTTGTCTTAAAGGTTGGGTAGAGGCCCTAATTCTCAAACCAAACACCTGCTTTCAATTGTTCAGTTTCACAGACATGCGCACTACTGTGAGGGTCCTGATTTGGGGGAAGGGAATACAAGGAAGGAGGAAAGGGAGTGTTAGTTTGGGCTATCACTCAAGGACAGAGGGCAACAGAAAGGTGTGAGGGCACTCTGACTGTGCCCTTTCTACCTATAAGTGTCCTGAATGATTTTTTTCATAGCCAAGATGACTCTGTTGGGGAAATGTCACCGTGATGGTTAACCCTGGGGTCTTGGCCGGCCCAAGTCAGTTCAAGTTTTGTTGCTTCTACTCTGCAAAAAATACCCAGTTTGCCAGGTATTTCTGCCCCCTAAAGACATCGGGCCAGGCTTCAAGACATTTCTCTGCCTCCATTTGTCTGTGTGACTGTGAGCAAATTACTTAACCTCTCTGAACCTCAGTTTTCTAATCTATAAAACGAAGATGCTGATAGCAGCTGCCTCCAAGGGATTCTGGGAGGATAAAGGAAATGCTGTATGTGAAACCTATCTGAGAGCTGGGACCTGCATTCAATATCATTCTTTTTTTCTTCTCCCTGTCACTGCTCACTGTTGATTTGGTTTGCTCTGTTCTTCCTTTGATAAGGCTGGAAAAGAGGAACAGGAGGGCATGGAAGAAAGCCCTCAATCAGTGGGCAGACAGGAGAAAGAAGCAGAGTTCTCTGATCCGGAAAACACAAGGACAAAGAAGGTAAAGTTTGTTTCAGATTCTGCACTTCTGCCATGAGGGACTGAGTCACAGGAGTCCCCCTTTTGCCTGGTGATGTCCTGCTGGATGGAATATGGCTGAGACCCCACCATTAGTTCCATGAATGAACCAGTCCTCCTAGCGCTACTTTGGAGGAGTGGCTGTGCCTGGAATCTTCGGACAGTTTTTATTGAAGCGATCTTTACCCACATGTCTGGGCTCTGCTCACTCTCCAGCAATTTGGCTGTGTTCCTACGAGAAAACATGTGCCCAAAAAAAGACTCAGGCTTCAGAGCCAGGCTCCCAAAATAGACAAGTCCCTTGGCGGGGATGGGGCGAGAAGCTGCTTTGGGCACTCAAGCTGGGGCCCTGACTTCAGCAGGCCCAGACCCTAGGATTAACAAGCCATCTACTGTGCTTGTATAGATTGTTTTACTTAATTAAAATGAAAAAATCCAGTTACAGTTCTCCTGGGCTGGAGCTGCCACAACAAAAAGAAATATCCTTGGAACAGGGCCATCTTCGTGCCTTTCCGGTCAGGAGAGGCAGGAGAAATGAGTATCGCTGGCAGGGAAGCTGATCTCCTAAATCTGTCTGTGGAGTTGGGAGTCCATGGGCTGCTGCAGATGCCAAGGGGAAAGTTCTAGAAGGGGCCTAGTAGAAGCTTTGGCTGTGGGAGTGTATGTACCCCTGCTGGGAGAGGGTGCTTGGGGGGAATTTTGTGAGGGGCTTTGCTGCAGTTACATTTAGTGATGACCCAGATGCAAGAAAGATGCTCCAGTAAGTATTTAGAGTTTATAACTTCATTATTCATGCATTCAAAAACTGTATATTGAGCACCCATTATCTACTGGGGCTTGAAATTCTTTGCGTCACTTTAAATATGGTGGATTAAGCATTAAGGGCCTATTCCAAACTTTGAGCATCACCCTAAAGATGAGTTGGTGCCGTGGGACTTGAGTGGTTCACAGTAATTGTACCAGGTAGAGGTAAGAATGCTCAGATTCTTCCTGATTTGAGTGGTCCTTATGGCCAAGTCTTGTGCCTTCCAGTTGAATGCTCTCAACCACCCTCTGACCTCCATTCTGCATTTTTGTACAGGAACAAGATTGGGAGAGTGAAAGTGAGGCAGAGGGGGAGAGCTGGTATCCCACTAACATGGAGGAGCTGGTGACAGTGGACGAGGTTGGGGAAGAAGAAGATTTTATCGTGGAACCAGACATCCCAGAGCTGGAAGAAATTGTGCCCATTGACCAGAAAGACAAAATTTGCCCAGAAACATGTCTGTGTGTGACAACCACCTTAGACTTAGACCTGGCCCAGGATTTCCCCAAGGAAGGAGTCAAGGCCGTAGGGAATGGGGCTGCAGAAATCAGCCTCAAGTCACCCAGAGAACTGCCCTCTGCTTCCACAAGCTGTCCCAGTGACATGGACGTGGAAATGCCTGGCCTAAATCTGGATGCTGAGCGGAAGCCAGCTGAAAGTGAGACAGGCCTCTCCCTGGAGGATTCAGATTGCTACGAGAAGGAGGCAAAGGGAGTGGAGAGCTCAGATGTTCATCCAGCCCCTACAGTCCAGCAAATGTCTTCCCCTAAGCCAGCAGAGGAGAGGGCCCGGCAGCCAAGCCCATTTGTGGATGATTGCAAGACCAGGGGGACCCCCGAAGATGGGGCTTGTGAAGGCAGCCCCCTGGAGGAGAAAGCCAGCCCCCCCATCGAAACTGACCTCCAAAACCAAGCTTGCCAAGAAGTGTTGACCCCGGGTAACTATCTCCCCTTTCCTCACGGGTGGTCGGGTTGATTGGACTCCTGCTCACCTGATAAAGTATGAGCATGTGCAGGCTGGAATGAACATAAGTAAGGTTTCAACTAGCATTAAAGTGGGTGCAGAAAGTGATTTAGCAACAAAGGCAAGCCTCTAAAAGCCTGGCTAAACTGTTAGTGATTTTAGGCAAGTGGTGTAAAGGAAGTTAGATAGGAGGCTGCATGTTTTCTGAGAAGCAAACTCAGGGCAGACTTCTCTGCATTTACAGGAGCCCAGATGGACTTGGATAACTAAAATTAGACTGGGTTATCAGCAAAAGGAGATCAGGAGGAGCCTCGTGCCTGCACAGCAGAGGGCCACCCAGGCTGTTATTTCTGTGATGGGGGCAAGAGTAGGGGATACAAGAAAGGAGTGGAAGGGGAAGGAACAGAGGATCCTTAAAGGGTACAGCTGTTCCCCTTCTTACTACCTCAGACCCATTTTTTGCTAGGGTCTGACAGTGATACAAGACTTGTTTCAGGATATTCTCTCACTCCATTGGAGGTGACGTTTTGTGCCTATGCCCGGCACTGTGACATCATGAAAGAGAGAGTTTAAAATAGGCTAAGCCCCGTCTTCTCTGCCAAGTGGAACTTAAGATCCATCAGGGGGTTTGGGGGGAGGGAGAGAGAGTAGCCTTTAAGATTCTCACTGTGAAAATAATTAGGGATTTGCTTTACAGAAAGCCTGTAGCACACCAGAGGTTGAAGTGAGAGTCAGGGGCAGAAAATACAGAGGAAAGGCTTAAAAATGAACATTTCAACCCAGGGCCCTGTGGGTGGCATGAGCTGTTAGGTAACTGGGAGGCTTGGGATTTTTTCCATGTCAAGCTGACCTGAGCTGTTTTTTACCTGCACGGATCTGAGTTTCCATGGAAACCCCGCCGTGAAATGCCTTCTTGTTGCTAGAGAAACCGTGAGGCCCAGGCTCTGTCTAGAGAAGGCAAGAATAAAGGAGGAGTGAAATCTTCACCTCACTCCAATCAAGCCCCTTTTATTTTGCGGTATAGGTCTCAACATGTGCCAGTGTTAGAGGCTCATTAACTGACCCAGTGTTTGGGGTTCATATTTAATAACAGCTTGACAAGCTTGGGGAGAGAATGGCATTGCCTGTTTTGCTAGCCTCGGTGGACGTCAGCACAATTTTTGCCCGTCAGTAATTCCTCTGCCTGCAGAGATGGAATGATACTGAGATGGGAGGCATGGGGGGTGGGGGGTGGATCTTCTCAACTGAAGGCATCAGCAGCCCATCCCCCTGGGCCAAATGCAAACATTTGCCAAGTTTTATTGTGTGTGGCATTCTTTTGGCAGTGGAAAAAGCTCCTAATGACAGTGCTTTGGTTCTAATTAGCAACCATTGCCCCAGCCTTATGTGATTAAGCAGTCCAAGGAACAATTCCCAATCATACTATGCAGGCATAGAATTTCAGGGACTCTTTGAGGCATGTTGTATTTCTTTTTTTTTTTTTTTTTTTTTTTTTTTGCCTTGGTTCATGTTTTGCAGAAAACTCCAGGTACGTGGAAATGAAATCTCTGGAGGTGAGGTCACCAGAGTACACTGAAGTGGAACTGAAACAGCCCCTTTCTTTGCCCTCTTGGGAACCAGAGGATGTGTTCAGTGAACTTAGCATTCCTCTAGGTAAGCAAAACACACAGTCTTTCCTGAAATTCAGGTCTAGGAAATAACAGTTCCATAGCAACCTCAAGAGCTTGAGAGAGCTTTTTGGCATTTTGTTGTTGACATCGTTTTTTGTTCTTTTGAGACAAGGTCTCACTCTGTCACCCAGGCTGCAGTGCAGTGGCATGATCTCAGCTCACTGCAGCCTCAAATTCCTGGGCTCAAGTGATCCTCCCACCTCAGCCTCCTGAGAAACTTGGACAACAGGTACACACCACCAGGCCCGGCTAATTTTTTTAATTTTTTTTTTTTTTGCAGAGATGGGGTCTCCATATGTGGCCCAGGCTGGTCTTCACCTCCTGGGCTTAAGTGATCCTCCTGCCTCAGCTTCCCAAAGTGCTGGGACTACAGGTGTGAGCCACTTCACCTGGCCGGCCTATCGTTATTTTAAGTGTATGATGCAATAACCTAGATTTGCAAGGGGCGGCTGTAAACTTTCTTGCAATTTCAGTCTCCCGTAATAGACCAGATACTCCGTGAAAACAGCCTTGAATAACAGTGCCCTGGGACCCAGAACTAAGAAGTCCTGTTTTTCCTGTCAGGGAATGCTTTATTCTTGATGACATGGAGTCTTTAAGCCTAGCCTTTATTCAGGCAGGAAAGCAGATGCCCAGCAGCCTCCATAAAGTCAACAAAAATGAACTTCGTCTGCTATTGTTCATTGCTCCAGTCCTTCCCAGAACAATGCTACATATTTTTTTCTCTTTAAAGGACCAACTTTTCTGAGGCAATGATGCTGAATAGAATGTGTTTGGGGCAGACTACCCCTAGTTCATAGAAAGGGTATTGAACAGGGAGACCTGGGTTTCTGTTCTTCCTACTTATGGGTGACTGTGTGCCCTCAGGTAAGTCATACCCCTTCTTGAGCCTTAGTTTCCTCTCTGTAATTTAGACAGCGATTTTTTCAATGGTGGAAGTGTTGGGAATGAAGTGGGGAGGGAGTTTACTGATGGAATCACCTAGGAATGAATCCCTTTTCAAAGAGAAGAGTTAAGCAGAGTCTCAGGGTAGGGAGTGAAGGCACTTTAAGAAAGTTCCCTGGGAGATTCTGACACAACCACTAACCCAGCAACTCCAGCCTACATCATCTTTGAGTCCCCTCGCATTAGCTCTGAAAGGTCGGAATTAGATAAAGTAGTAGTAGCAGCTGCTCAGAAGGAGAGCTCAGGAAAGTGTCACCTGGGAAAGTGTCACAAGGAAGCATAAAAAGCACGGGTCATCTGATGCCTGATGACCACGTGTCTGATCATGCAGGGAGGGGCTGGTCAGTGTGGAGGCTCGTCCTTTCCATCCAACTTGCTCTTTTTTTCCCTTCTCCTTTAAAAAAATCTCTTACTATTTCTTTCCTCCAGGTGTACCATTTTTATAGTCAGATCTGGAGAGCAAACTTCCTTTTTTTTTTAAGGGATAAATTTGCTGCACAGCATCTCCCAAGACAAAAACATAAGAAAGAAGGAAAAAGAAATACTAACTTTAGAATAAACTGAGATGACCCTGGGTATTTTAGCTCTAGAAAACAGTTGCAAAGGCCACCCTGCAGGAGAAGAGAGGGCTCCTTCATGCATTCAGTCAGTCAGCAAATACTTACTGGATAACATGGTACTGTGCTAGACACTCTGGGGTAACCAAGAAATATAACGCAAGTCTCTTGTCATCCAAGAACTTGGAACCTAATTGATACTAGCAAAAATTAAGAATAAATTCTGCTACCTTGTAATTTGTGTTTTACTACTGTTTTTCATTATAGAAAGTGTGAAAGATTATTGTAACAAATTCAAAAAATAAGAACCATATCAAGTCAATATTAAAGGTCTGATTGATCTCTTCCCTCCAGTCTCTCCCCAGTCTCCAGAGGTAGCCTACCACTGTCATGCCCAGTTTTTCTCTCACAAAAATGGGATCACACTACACACATAATGTTCTGCAAGTTCACTTAGTAGCAGGTCTTAGACATTTCTTCATGTCAGTACATAGAGAACACATTCTTTTTAACCACTGCAAATATTCCATCGTAAAAGCTATGCTATAAATGACTGATCTTTCCTCTGCTGGTGAACAGTTAGGCTGTCTGCTCTTTTTCCCATTTTAATAGCTAAGCTTTTATTGTTAACATTCCCCATGCAGGCACCATCCCTAGGGATCTGTATGTATTATCACATTTAACCCTCTCAAAACACCTATGAGGTAGGTGCTGTTTTTATCCTTATTTAACAGATAAAAAATCTGAAATGCAGAGTCACACAGCTAATAACTGGCAAAAACCAGAGTCAGGTTCAAATCCCAGTCATCTGACTCTAGAGCCATGTTCTTAGCTTCTGTTCTCTGCTGCCTTTCAGATGTGCTTGTTCAGTGGTATGTGTATGCCAGTGTTCCTGTGGGAGAGCGTCCTAGCCAGGGGGTTGTAGGGTGGTATGTATTTGCATTTTAAATTTTCATAATTGCTACTAAATTGCACTCCAAAAAGATGGTATCAGTTTTCCCTGCGACCTTGAGTGAGAGTTCCCAATATCCACCTCCCATTGGATTTTATCAGTTTTTAATCTTTCCTAACCAGTTAGGAAGAAAATAGTATCTCACCTTTTTAAAATTGGCTCTATTGAGTTATAATGGATATAAAGTAAGTGCATATCAAGTGCATAGTTTGATCAGTTTTGACCTATAAATATACCTGTGAGACCATCACCACAATCAAGACTGGGAACAATGTTCATCATATCCCAAATTTCCTGTCTCCTATGTAACCCCTCCCTCCCCACAGTGCAACCCCCAGGTAAAGGATCTCCTTTCTGTCACTAAATATTAGTTTGCATTTTCTAGAGTTTTATATAAAGGGAATCATATTGTATGTGCTAGTTTGGCTTCTTTTGCTCAACATCATTGAGATTCATCTGTACTGTTGGGTGGATCAGTAGTCTGTTTCATTCTTCTTCTTTTTTTTTTTTTTTTGAGACAAAGTTTTTCTCTCGTTACCCAGGCGGGAGTACAGTGGCATGATCTTGGCTCACTGCAACCTCCACCTCCTGGGTTCAAGTGATTCTCCTGCCTCAGCCTCCGGAGTAGCTGGGATTACAGGCACCTGCCACCACGCCTGGCTAGTTTTTGGTCTTTTTTTAGTAGAGATAAGGTTCCACCATGTTGGCCTTGAACTGTTGGGGTCTTGAACTCCTGACCTCAGGTGATCCACCTGCCTCAGCCTCCCAAAGTGCTAGGATTACAGGTGTGAGCCACCGTGCCCGGCCAGTCTGTTTCTTTTTATTGTTGAGGAGTATTGCGTTGCATATATGGATACATCACATTCTGTTTATTTATTCATCTGTTGACAAATATTTGGGTTGTTTTCAGTTCGGGGCCTTTACAGATTGTATTTGTTAATAGTCTTCAGTTAGCTTTGAGATTCATTATCTCATTGGTCCCCGAAGGAAGAGTATGGTATGAGGTTCTGCATTTGACAGGTGAGGAAACTGAAGTCCAGAGACTTACCCAGGATGACATAGCAAACGCAGGTTAGAACTCAGGATTTCTCAGCCTGGGCAACATAGGGAGACCCTGTCTCTGCAAAAAAATAAAATAAAATAAAACTAGCCAGGAGTTGTGGTGTAAATCTGCAGTCCCAGCTACTTGGGAGGCTGAGGGAGGAGGATTGCTTGAACCTGGGAGGAGATCCAGGCTGCAGTGAGCCATTATTGTGCCACTGCACTCCAGCCTGGGCAGCAGAGTGAGTGAGACCCTGTCTCAGAAAAAAAGGAAAAGAAACAAAAAAAAAAACTCAGGATTTCCGATCTCAGATCACTCTGTTCTCCAGGTTCTTCCAGTTCAGGCAGCAACACAGTGTAGGAAAGGCTACATTTGTGCAGAAACTATGAACACAGTCTGTGGAATCTGATTCCCTGAGTTTAAATCCCCTGTCTACTACCTACTGGCTGGATGACAAAGAGCAACTTATTTAACCTCTGCTTGGATTTCTTCATCTGTGAATCAGCCATAGTAATAGGAGGCTACTACGCAGAGTTATTTCGAGGATTAAGTGAACAAATACTGGTAAGGTCTTAGTGGCTTCCAGTGGGAGGTACTTAATAAGGGTTGTCTATTATTATTATTCACTCATGAAATATTTAAGACCTATTATGGCTCCTCTCACCGGGGCTGCATAACCCTTTAGCCTGCAGGACTGGTCACTACTGGCATGGAGACTTCTAGGGAGGTGAGAGACAATTTTTTGGCTTTGTCCCATGGAAAGCATAGAGCTGAAATAAGGGATGTCAAGGACTGGGCTCCCAGATGGGAGGAAAGGGAGGCCAGTCGCGTTGCTCGGGGACTGGGGGTGGGCATGGCTGGGGAAGTACACTGCACTCTGCACTTGAGATCCAGGCCAGTTCTGCATGACCCTGGCCAGCGCGAGCCTGCCAAGGCTTGCTCTCAGTAGAAACAAACAGCATCGCCTGCAAAGTGCAAGCTCCCTCCTCTATCCATCCCAGCTTTACTAGGATGACAGAGTTATAATTACCCGTGCCATGAGCTGTTATTAGAAGCCAAATGCAGCTTTAGTGATCCTAGTAGAGGCTGAAAAATGGAGGACTGAGTGGCTCCAGAACACATCAGGGCCGGGGCAATATGTCTTGATGCTGCCTCTTCATGTCCCCGTCACATTCCAGAAGTGTCCTGAGTTGTGCCATGGGATATGTGGTGTCTGCAGCAACCCCCATTTATTCTGGGACAAGTTACCAGCTCTTGGGGTTTCTCCTCCCCCAGGCTTCTCTCCCCCTAGTGCTGCCTGGTAGCTGCCTGGTACTGCCTGAACTTGCAGAGCAGGGGCCAGGGAAGAAAGTTGCCACCAAACTGTGGAGCCGGGTTCCCCAGGTGGCCTTGGGGAGAGGTTGGGGTTCAAGTGAGAAAGCCAACATTTAGGCAGTTATTAACAGCTTCTGTGATGAAATATTTAACACGTGTCTCCAAACCAGTATTTTTGAGCAACAGGCAAAATGATAGGTGATTCCCCTAAACATCACTTACAGCACTATTATTCCTATTTCACAGATGAGGAAACTAATCTCAGAGAGGGTAAACAGTGTGCCTGAGGTCACACAGCATAAGTAAAAGAGTTGGGTTTGCCTCTACATTCTATTTTCTCTCCATGACACTGTGGCTTCCAAGGTTTTTTTTTGTTTGTTTGCTTTTTGTTTTTTGTTTGTTTGTTTGTTTTTTTGACAGTAGAAGTCTTTGTTCAAGTGAAATCGGTTCCAGAACTGACAGAAGATAGCTCTAGCTACACTGCTGGGGGCTTTGGCTACCAGCTCAATCCCTGCTTCAGGGTCTGTGGTAGCTCCTAGGGCATCTGTACCCCTTCTGGGGATCCCAGGACAGGGACTCAGAGGACTCAACAGGGGGCTTAATAAAAACCCCAGGGCTTCTTTCCTGGTACCACCCAGCTGGTTCATCCTCCAGAGGCTGGGACGGGACTGAGAGTGTGGCTCTGATCAAAGCTCTCCTTTTTTCCCAGCTGCCCCTCTCCTATACTGCGGGGGTCTCGGCTCCCTGCAGAGCAGCAGCAGAGGGAAAACTATTTTGTAACAACGCAGGAAGGAGGCAGACCTTGCTGAATGCGCCTCTGCCAGCACCAACAGCCAGGAGCCAGGACCTGTTTGTGAGGTGGAGGGGAGAACTGGCCCCCACAGCCCAAGCTGGGGCCACTTTTCCATCCTTTGCAGAGAGGAAGGGAAGGACACTCAACCTCCCTCCGGGCACCTGGGCCTGAGTGAGGCCCTCTCACTTCTGGGGACCACTGCTGAGGGCATGGCGTGTAGCCTGCAATGTGGCAGTTAGAGAAAGCCAGACTGAGGAGGACGCCTCAGGCCCCGGACCACAGCCCCACTGTCAGTCCAGGCAGGCCTCCTGGGCTCCCTCCTTCCCTCCCATCTCCCTCCCTCAGAGCTGCCCTTCACACTGATAAGTGGCTATTTTGAAATGAAAAAAAAGTTCTAATGACAAGTCTAGGCTGCTTCCTTCTGACAGGGTCTCCTAGGCACTTAGCTCAGTGTCCTGGGAGGTGGGAGGAGGAAAGTGAAGCCACCCAACCAGCTGGGCTTGCAGTCGGTCACGCTGTGCCTTGGAGCAGGCGCTGTCATGAGTGGAGACCTTGCCTGTCCCCATCCCTGCAAGAAATTGCTGTTCCCCTGCCTGTGCCATTCCCAGGCCCCTTCCTTCCTTCTACCCAGGATGGCCAGACCTGAAACCATTGCCCAGCCCCAGCAGAAGAGAGGCTTGCCCCGCAGCCTGCAAGTGGGATTGGGTGTTCCAAGCATCACCCCTCTTTCTTAGTTCCCTGATGGGTCCTGCTTCTCACAGCCCTCACACCCTGCCCTTTGGCTGGCGCTGCACAGTCAGGTGCCTGGTAAACAGGGCATGTGTTCCTACCTCCATTCTCAGGTGAGGAAACTGAGCCCCAGGAGCAGTTCGGCTGACTCTCCCCGGGTCACATGGGTTCTTAGCATCTGGCCTGGACCCTCTCAGAGCTGGGCTCTTTCCACTCCACTGACTGACCGTGTCTTCAAAAGGAGAACTGTGACCTGCAAAACACCTTCGTGGAGGCTGGAGCAGCCACCATCCCTTCAAGGATGACTCCCCTGGCTGTGACATTGTCACTCCTCTCTGGCGGTGGTGCCAGTTGTTTCCTTTGCTTGGAATCAAAAGGCCTCCCAGAATTCTGGGACTTATATTTAATAAATCACAAATGAAATGCTAATTGATGGTTCGGATGTAAAGACTAGAGGAAGTGGGAAAATGTTAATGATATACAATTTCACGAAAAAAAGAGGACAGAGAATTGTAATTAGGGTATGACTAAAATGGCCCCCCCAAAAGAGGCCTACATATAGGTTAATTATGTGGAAGAAAATATTTGGATTGGAGTGACTCTGGGTGATTTTTTCCTTCCTTTTATTTACTTTTTTTTCTGTAAAGAACATAATTCTAAAATAAACAAACAAAAACGAGAGAATTCTTCGAGAGTCCCGGTCACAGCAGCTGCAGAGAGAGGTACAGTGTGAAGAAATGAAATCCAACAAGTGAAATATCAGAAATGTCAGAAATCACCTTCATTGTTCTTGGAAGGAGGCTGATAGTAGGAGAACAGGCCAGCGGCAGGCCATGGAATGGCTAAGTGCTTACCACACCGCCGAGTCCATCCCTTACATTCACAACAACCTGTGAATGAAGTGGGTGTGAGTCTCTTTGTGACTGTTCTGCAAGTGAGGAAACTGAGGCTTGGAGAAGCTCAGTAACCAGCCAAGGTCAACAGCAAGTGAGGGGTGGAGCTCGTGGCTCCCATTTCTACCTGATGGCTGCCAGGACACAGGGGCCTGCCTCCCATGCCATCCTAACCCTGCGTGTCTATCCCCCATCCTTTCCCAGGGGTGGAGTTCGTGGTTCCCAGGACTGGCTTTTATTGCAAGCTGTGTGGGCTGTTCTACACGAGCGAGGAGACAGCAAAGATGAGCCACTGCCGCAGCGCTGTCCACTACAGGAACTTACAGGTAAAAATCCACTCTCCTTGCCCAGCATGCCAGGGGCTCCCCAGTCTCCATAACCGAGCCAGGTGTCTGGCGTCCTTGGCCTTGCTTGCCTCTGAGTCTAGCTCCTACCTGCAAGGCCTACTCCAGGCCACAGGTTACTTGCCATTCCCCAAGCACACCAGGCTGTTTTCTGCTTCTGTGTCTGTCTCCTTCCACTACATGGAAAACCCCTAATCTTCCCATAGACTTGATTCCATCAGGCTGCTCTCGACATGGTGGCTACCTCCTGTGTTGCTCCTAGCACATGTCTCTACTTTAATACCTAAAACATCCTGTTTGGGTTGGCTTTGGCAATATCCACCTCTCCCTCTATACTGTGAGTAACTCAAGTTAGGCCAGTGTTCCTCTGGCCTGTGATTGGGACTGACCCCTTCCCACAAGACTCGGATGTTCTAGTTTTTCTCTGTTTCTGTTCCCCTATGCAGGTATCCCTGCTTGCTAGAATAAAAAAAAAAAAAAAAAAAAAAAAACACTGCTTTGTTCTTTTTAACTGTTCATCCATACAGCAAATACTTATCACAGGCATGCTAGGTACCAGACACTATTCTAGGGACCAGGGATACTGGAACAACAACAGTAAAGTGGACAAAAATCCCTGTTCTCATGGATTTTTCATTCTAATGTAGGTGACAAGCAATAAATGAAATAAATGGTATAGTATGTTAAAGGGCGACATATAAAAAATACTCTATACACCGTATTTCACCCAGTCTAAGGTGCCATCATTTGTAAGGCACCACTATTTTTTGGTACCAACTAGAAAAAAAATGTTGCAAATCAAGTGATGAGACTCCATCAACTGTAAAATGAATTTTTATTTCAGAGATATTAATGTGTGAAAAAATGTGTCTTGAGATCAATGAAATATGGTAATATGTTCTATAATATATACCTAATTAATATGTAATATATTAGAATGTGGTTTTCATGATTAACTTCTGGCATGGGCTAGGTTTTGATAGCTTAACAGAAGACATGGTATATCAGAGGGCCAGGGGTAAGTATCTGAAGACACCTCCTGTTTTTACTACAAGGAATCAGACTAGTTATTTGAACCATAAGGCTTTGACTCAAGAAGTCCTCACAGTGGCTGTGCCCAAGTCCCAGGCTAGGCATTACTATTATCATTAAATTGTTTAAAAGTGACTGATCTAGCCGTTCTTAACCAGGGACATGAATCAGACTCATCTGGACAGTATTTCTAAAATTCAGGTACTAAGTTATATATTTAGTAGAATTTGGAGGTGGAAGGCAGATTGCAGGAATATGTAATTTGAGAAAGTTCTCCAAAAGATTCAAATGTGCACCCCTAGTTAAAAAAAAAACAAACTCAGATATGGGCCAATTTTCTTGTTTAATAATTAAGAAAATTGAGACCCAGAGAAGCTATATAATTCATCCAAGTCCACACAGATGGTGAGTTATTGGGCCTAGGATCAAATCGCCTGATTCTGAATCACTTTCCTCTTTTTACTCTACTATACTTGTCTTGGAAACTGAGACCCATAATGTCATGGCCTGGGTCACCATGTGCAGAGAAGTATCATAGGCTATGCCCAAACTCAAGTCACTTAAGCCTCTGATTTCCCTCCGGAGAGCAGCTTCTCTGTGACTGAGGCAGCCACAGCACCTGTGGCCCAGGGCTAGGCCTCTCCTCGGGCAAGGCAAGAAAGGCCTGACTTGGCCAGAGCAGGAGGGTCAGACTGGGTCCCACAAAGCCAGCTGAGGGAAGTCATCTAGCTTGAAGACATAATCAATCCCTTTTCCCAACAAGATGAAACCTACAGAATGGTAAGGATGGAAGGGGTCTTGGAAATCATCTGGTCCTGGTTTTCCCAAACCTTCTTCTTTGTACCAGCTGGCATCTTTTTGAAATGCAGCTTCCTGGGCCCGGCACAGTGGCTCACACCTGTAATCCCAGCACTTTGGGAGACCGAGGCGGGTGGATCACGAGGTCAGGAATTCGAGACCAGCCTGACCAACAGTGTGAAATCCCGTCTCTACTAAAAATACAAAAACTAGCCAGGCGTGGTGGCGCGCACCTATAATCCAAGCTACTCAGGAGGCTGAGGTAGGAGAATCGCTTGAACCTGGGAGGTGGAGCTTGCAGTGAGCCGAGATCACATCATTGCTCTCCAGCCTGGGTGACGGAGCGAAACTCTGTCTCAGAAAAAAAAAAAAAAAAGAAATGCAGCTTCCTGGCTCTCACCCTACTCTTGTTTTCTCATTTTCTGTAGGGCTGGGCCTGAGAGTCTGTATTGTAAACCATCCTTATATCAGGCTCTGATAGTCGATGTGAGAACCTTTTCTCTCATCCAGCATTTGCAGTAGTATTGTGCAGCCCTTCAGGGGGCCACATAGTTCAAGGTCACCTCGGAAGTTAGGAAGAGTTCAGACTTGCCAGGGCCTCTAATTCTAATTCATGTATGTTTCCCAGGGCAGTGGACTGCACTGTGTTCTGAGCCTCTGGGCCACGCCCCCAGGCAGACTCCCCTCCCCGCAGCAGGCCAGAGCCATTCTTGTAGTTCTCAAGTGCATTGGGGTAGACATTGGTTAAGCCCCTCGTGCCAGCCAACTGCAGTGTAGCTTTACCTGGTGCACCTGCTGGGGAGCTGGGAGTTTCCACCACAGGCTTCCCAGATAGGATTTCTGTCAGCGGCTTTGACAGAATGCCTCTGTCCACACAGCCTCCCCCACCCCAAGCAGCAGGTAATGGCTGACACTTAAATCAGGCAACTTTTAAACTTAACACCACTGAGAGGCCTTGAGTTGGGGACCAGAGGTTGCTCCTAAAGGCAGGGAGCAGGTTGAAGGAGCCTCCGCTCTCTCTGAGCAGCCTGTGCTGTGCCCCACGGCTGGTCACGGCTCTGCAAGAACCCACCCAGAGTGATTCAGAACAACAGGTGGAGTCAGCGCTCGATAGGAAAACTAGATACCTGCTTGGCTCCAGGCCCTGGAGCGGAATGTGTCCACGTACTGGGCGCTCATTCGCTTGCCTTCCTCAGCACACGGTTTACCCTCCCTGAGCCAAGGCAGAGGAGAACCCAGGCCCTCCATCAGCAGCTTTGCCTGCTGCCATCCACCGTTTGCTCTTCTCCTAGTCAGGCTGCACCCGTTTCTGGAAGCCAACTGCAGTCTCTTCTATGGAGACAGCAGGCAGACCTGGTCATCTCACACACACCCTCTCATCTGACCCACACACCACCCCAGAAGGGAGGGTGAGGACAACAGTGTTCCTCCCATTTAACAGATTAGGCCTCTGAGGCTGGGAGAAGAGGAGTGGCTTTCTCCAACTCATATGGCTGGTGCTGCTAATAAGAAAAGCCAACATTACTGAGTGTTTATTCTGTGTCAAACGCTGTACTGAATGCTTTTTGTTGCCTCTCTTCGACTTCACAGCAACCTTATGTTGTTGTTACTGTTATTCCCCTCCCTTCACAGATGTCAGAGATATTTGATAACTCGCCTGCTGAGGGATAGGATTGAACCCAGGTCATATGACTTCAAAGTGCACACACTTAACCACCGTACTGGTCTGCACCCTTCTGTCTCCTAATCCAGTGCTCTTTGCCTTTTCCTTGCTGCCCTGTCAGAGAACCCCAGCTGGGGCCTCAAACCTGTCCCAGTCTGCCTCACTGTGTTGACTCCAGATAGCCCAAGAGCAACCCAACCTGCCTCATGGTGTTGGGCCGAGGCCAGTCATAGCAGTGAGTGTTCTGGGGTCATGCAGAGGCAGCCCTCAACGATAGAATAGACAGGCCCATTTTTAAATCCATCAAAAGACCTCCAAGGCTCCCCACCCACTAGCCTGCCCTGACAGGAAACAGGTTGTTAAGAGTCTCAAATGTCAGGCCGTGGTGCTGTTTTGCACAATTGCCATAGGCCAGCGCTCATTTACCCTGCCTTCCAGCTTCCCTCCCTCTGCCTTTTAAGCATAGATATGTTGCCTAGAGCTTGGGCTGTTTCTGGAAAACAGAGTTGTTTTGGGAGTTAAATGAGCTTATTTAAGTCAAGCAGTTAGAACAGCACTTGACACTAGATAAGGGCTTTGGAAGTGTTTGCTATTATAGCTGTACTTTCTACTCTTTCTTTTCTTTTCTTTTTTTCTTTTTTTTTTCTTTTTTTTTTTTTTAGATGGAGTTTCACTCTTGTTGCCCAGGCTGGATTGCAACGGTGCGATCTCGGTTCACAGCAACCTCCGCCTCCCGGGTTCAAGTGATTCTCCTGCCTCAGCCTCCCGAGTAGCTGGGATTACAGGCATGTGCCACCACACCCAGCTAATTTTTTGTATTTTAATTAGAGACGGGGTTTCTCCATGTTGGTCAGGCTGGTCTCAACTCCCGACCTCAGGTGATCCACCCACCTCGGCCTCCCAAGTGCTGGGATTACAGGTGTGAGACACCACGCTCGGCCTGTACTTTCTACATTTTCTACAGGAGACATGTATTACTTGCAAGCTAACATAATGAGGTACTTAGCATAAGTTCTGTAGCCCCAGTGGGGATCTCTGAACCAGGAAAAGGGTAACCCCCACAGCTGGGCACAGATGCCAGGAGAGGGATGATTGAGGCATGTCCGCTCCTCTCCTCTCCATCTAGGTCCCTACTAACATGCCCCTTCCTCCACTTCCCCTCTTCTTTCCACAGAAATATTTGTCCCAGCTGGCCGAGGAGGGCCTCAAGGAGACCGAGGGGGCAGATAGCCCGAGGCCAGAGGACAGCGGAATCGTGCCACGCTTCGAAAGGAAAAAGCTCTGATGCTTCTGCTTCTGCTGCTACTGCTGCTGCTGCAAGGTTGGAAAGGAGAGCTTGCTGAAGTGGGGCCTTCCTGATTCTGGGGACAGGACTAAAGCCTGAGAGGAAGGAAAACCAAGCAGGGCACATTGCTTGGGCTTGTTCCCAGAGACTCAGTGAAATGCCCCTGATATGTCTCCAGGAGCAAGTCACCCAGGTGTGTCCAGCCCACTGAGGGTCACCAACTCTCTCCCTGCTGACTCTTGTTTCTCTCAATCTTTCAATTCGTTTTTCTCTCTTTTCCTCTTGTTCTTTCTCTCCCTCCCTCCTTATGTGCCAAGGATCGTTTCCTTTTCACAAAACCCAACTTCTCAGGGATTTTCACAGTGTTTAAATTCTTGGTAGGATATAACAGGTCAGGCCTAGCTGAGTCAGGCAAGGAAAAGGTTTAATGGAAACTCCTGGGTCAGGCGAACCCCTGCAGTGAGTCTACAGCAGTATCTCTGCCTGGTGTCCCATGTATCCCCTGCATGAGGAGCTGAGTCAGGTCTGCAGTCCTGGTGAGGGGACATCACGGACAATCTGTTGGCAGAGCTGGGAGGGTCTTCATTAACCTCTTCCTCCAACTGGGCCACCCTTTTGAAAAGCCCCTGTTTTTAATAACTGTTTCATCCTCTCAGTTATTCTAGAAATCTGCCAGACTTATGCCTTAAAGTAAAATTAAATGAATTTTAGAGAAGATGAAAAGAGCCCTTCATTTTGGAAGCTCTGATAAGTTTCCTCCAAACTTATTCCCCTCCTCTTGATTTCAGGAGATGTCAGGGTTTTTCTATTCTGGACAATGAATTTGGTACAGAGTCACTGTAATTAAATATAAAAACAGAAGCATCTTCCTCCAGCTAAAGCAGCAGTTGGCGCGGGCTTAGGTTGAATGCTGGCCTCTCTGCAAAGCACAGCTTTGGCTCGAGAGGCACAGCTCCAGGCTGTGGAAAACAGAGTTGTCTTGGGGGTTAAATGAGCTTATTTAAGTCAAGGAAACATCATCTGTCCTTGATTCAGCCTTGGTGCCTGCACTCTGGGGTACAACCACCTCACAGTAGGATGGTTTTTAAATGGCCCCCCAGTTGGGGGAGAAGCTAAGGAAAGAGAAGGCTGCAGATCCAAAGAGTGGCATTGAAGTTTGCTGGGTGTCTGTAGGTGGACCCTTTCCAGCTGGGCAGATAGTTGAGGGCTCCCTGGGTTTGACTGTATGTGCAGACTTTGATACCAAAATGTTATGAAAAGTCGTGATTCCCGCTGCTCTTTCTGGTACTGGAGGGTGGGTACCTTCAGGCTGTGGGGTCTCTAGCCTGATATTCCATTGAAAGGGTGTGGGATAAAGGTGCTGGGGGAAATGAGGCTCTGCCACAGCCATAGAGAGGCCCTCGGGCAGTTAAGAAGGGAGCCTGGAGCTGTTTTCATGAGCAGAGATACTCTCCTGAAAGCACCCTTCATAGCTTAGCCCAGGAAAAATAAAACAAGGAAGACAGGTCACTCTCCCCTAGGCAGTTCCTGTTGTTTCTGTTCCTGACCTTGGGCAGGCAGACTGAGAAGGGACTGTGTAGGGTTTTGTTTTGTTTTTTTTCATTTTCCTTTTTATGGCATGTGAGAGCATACTGTACATTCTGTCCTCTGTACTAATGGAGGAAGGGCAGAGAGATTAGTTCAAGGCTAACATTTTATATCAGGTAACTGAGGCACACAAAGGGAACAAATGAAGAACATAAAATGATCAGTGTAAACCTGAAAGCACGCAGTCATTGGCAAGGGACAGGCTCATGGGAGCTGGTGAGAGAGAGCAGTTAAGGCAAGCACCAGGGGAAAGCAGACCAACTTGAACAGATGTGATGCGGAGAGGTTGGAAGAAGCAAGAAACCTGAACTCATCATCAGGCTATTAAATAAAATTTATAGGAGGCTGTTGGTTTGGACTGAGCTCCTGCAATAGGCCCAACAGACCAAAACAAAAGGGAGTCACTCATGTTGAAGTTCTGTCTTCCAGGAAATCAGGAGAGAGAGAGAGAGAAAGAATAGCCAAATCCCCAAACAGGCCAGTTTTAACCAGCATGATGAAGTGTCCTTGGTTTTAACCTTTATAAGGAAAGCAGCTTTGAGATGACCAGTCTGGTTTTTGTTCTTTGTGTCTGCTTTCCTCAGCCCTTTTCTGTCTATAAAGCCAACCTCCTCCGCTCAGCTCATGGGAACACTCATTCTATTTTATAGAATGACATGTTGCCCAATTCTAGAATCAAAAATAAAGGCCAACTAAGATCTTCAAAGTAAATTTGTTGTAATTTTATCTTTTGAGAAGACCATATGGGGGCTGCTGAAAAGTTGGTATCTCAAATAAAGTCTGAAGATCACGGCTCAGCCCAGATTGTTCCCCTGGCCAACTCCACAGGTTTGAACCTGGCATTCTGGACACCAGCTATGCCTCCTCCATTTCTCAGAAAACCTTTGATCTTGTGTGTCTTTCTTCCTACTGAAGGGAATTGTGGGGGCAGTTCTTTGGCCTTCTTGCTGAACTTTGCTGGAAATAGCCCACAATTTTTATCAGAGGTTAGAACTGTACATTATCAGAGAGACTGGACACTTTATCCCCTAGCAAAGTGGGAGAAGATTTTACCAGCTCATTCCACTCCACCCTGGCCTTCCCCCACCCCCCATCCCCAGCAGCATTTCCATGGAAATCCAGATGGTCGTGTAGTGTTATGGCTCTCTTGTGATAGACTGGCCTTCATATTGGAGAGCTAGGGAGAGCCCCTGGGAGGGAGAGAGATAAGGCGCTATCTGCCTTCAATCAGAACCTTCGGTTTAAAATCATCTAAGAGTCTATACTTGTGTGTACATACGTATTTATTTTTATTTATTTTTATACAATTCCATTGGCATGGTCCTTCACCGACCCTATGATTTGCACTTTTTATTTCTATGTGTGCCACACACAATGCAGTATTAATGGCAACCAGGTAAATATTGATTTATTTTTTAAAGCTTTTCTTCAGTGTTTTGTCAACCATTTCAAAGTGTCTCCCAAAAAAGGATGCTGAAGAGCAATTGCTCCCTTAAGCAACAGATTCATATTTACCCTGGGTTAATACAACAAAAGGCCTGTATAATTGTCTTTTCATTGTTAACACCCAAAATAGCATCTATCTAGACAGTATCCCCAAAGAATTTGGAAAATCTGATGGTGTGAGCAGCAGCCGTTAGTATCAGGGTTTCCCATTCTTGGACAGTCCGAGGCTGTGACCTGTTAGATAATTAGATTATACTTGAACTGGACCAGAGTTTGTTTTTTGAATTTATGAGAAAAACCAAAACACTAAGTTAAGTTTGAACTTGTAAAGTATTGAAATTTGTTGAGTGTCCTATAAATTGTCACTACTTTTCCTGATCTGTATAACTGACTGCAAAGTGTTTGTTTTTACAAAAGAGAAAAGAAAAGATTTTTAATAAAGAGAATTTGAAAGCTGTGAGTGAGTGACTCTGTGTCATGCAGGGGTCCCTGACATTTGGCTGGGGAAGGCTCATCAAGCAGAAAGGTTGAGATTTGGTCCCTTTGAATTGTGAATTATTTTCAAGGGTTGAACAGAGAGGACAAAACAGGTTTTCTTAGGGCTCCAGTTAGGCTACCAGAGAGAATCAGAGATTCTCAGGGGTGATCCTCGGGGGATGAGTCTGACTAAGTGGGGGCTGCTGTCCTTTTGGAGGCTCAGATACGAACATTTCTTGGCCTCTTATAAACTCCTAGCTTTGCCACCCAGCGTCCTGCACCAGGGTTAGGCCATTTCTGTAAGTTCCATTCCCTGTGAAGATGAATATCTGGTGGTCAGTGCTGTAGTGGAAATAGCAGGCACAGGCAGAGGTCTGGCCCTGCCCCTGTTAGCCCATGACTTCCTAAGGCCCGCTTCCTTGGGTGTAAAAGAAGATAAGAGTATTACTTGCTCCGGGTGTGGTGGCTCATGCCTGTAATCCCAGCACTTTGGGAGGCCAAGGTGGGTGGATCACAAGGTCAGGAGATCGAGACCATCCTGGCCAACACGGTGAAACCCTGTCTCTATTAAAAATACAAAAATTAGCTGGGCGTGGTGGTGCGCACCTGTAGTCCCAGCTACTCAGGAGGCTGAGGCAGGAGAATCGCTTGAACCCAGGAGGCGGAGGTTGCAGTGAGCCGAGATTGCACCACCGCACTCCAGTCTGGGTGACAGAGCAAGACTCAGTCTCAAAAAAAAAAAAAAAAAAAAAATGAATCGCCTCCCAGGGTTGCTTCAGGGTTAAGATAATTGCTGGTGGAAGCACTTGGTGTGCTGCAAGTCACCGAATCTTGTTTGTTTTTGCAATCTGGACAGCAGCCCTCCAAATTTCAGGGGTTCTTAAGTTGTTTCTCAACCATTTCTTCTAGCAAAACAATGCCAGTCTTCTAGGCCCAGTTGGCCAGTCCTTTGAATGGCCCGGAACCTTCTCTGGGCCCTTCCCTTTTGTTGGCAGTGCTCCTGAGTCAACAGGGAGGGGCTGGGCAGCCTGGACCCAGAGGGCAAAGTGAGGGGGCCGCCTGCAATTCCTGGGAACAGATTGCAGGTCTGAGGAAAGTTCCTGCTGAGCCTGTTGCTGTCTGCGCCCCACCCCCACCTCCTGTGGCCATGGTGGACCAAGCTCAGGCCTCCAGTTTCCAACCAGGAGGAGTAGGGAAACCTCCTTTTCTGCAACTGCTATCTATGCCCCAGATGGCCAAAGCAGTGAATGGGCCTAGACTGGTTCTGCTGCCCTAAGTACAGGATCCAGGATGCTTGGGGGTGCCCCTGGTGCCTAGTCCTAGCATGTTGTTCTATGTGGCACAACTCTAGAGAGGGCATCCACATTGTATCCTATAGGATGGCACCCCCTGGAGTTGTGCAATGCAGACACCCAGCCAGGGACACCCCCTTCCCTCGAGTTGCAGTTGTTCCCCCAAGCCTGGGTGTTCCCATTTGCTCTCTGATATCTCTGTGGGCCCTAGAGCCTGGTTCTGAGCCAGTCCACCAGGCTGGACCTCTGACACTCAGACCTACTCCCTGTACCACACCTATCCCCAGGGATCAACTCCAGACTGCCCCTGCCTGACTCTGCCACAGCCTAGACACTGGGATTCCTCCTCATAATGCCCTACTAGGTCAGGGCACTTGGATACTAACCTTGCTTTCTTTTCTTTGTTTGTTTGTTTGAGACAGGCTCTCACTCTATCACCCAGGCTGGAGGGCAGTGGCACGCGATCTCAGCTTGCTATAGCCTCTATTTCCTGGATCCAAGCCATCCTCCTGCTTCAGCCTCCCAAATAGCTGGGACTACAGGCATGTGCCACCACCTCTGGCTAACTTTTTTTTGTAGAGATAGGGTTTCACTATGTTGCCCAGGCTAGTTTCAAACTCCTGGGCTCAAGCAATCCACCCACCTCAGCCTCCCAAAATGTTGGGATTACAGGCATGAACCATCAAACCTGGCAACAGCAACTGTTAACTGCCCTCTTAGGCAGTGGTTGGACATCTGGGCTCAACCCTGTCAACTCCCCATTCTCTTTTCCCACAATGGCAGTCATATAAAGGTGCCTATCCTGAGTGAAATTCCAAGCATGTTGGAGCAGGATGGCCCCAGAGACCCCCAAGCCTCTGCTCTTCCTTTTACAAGCCAGAAAACAGGCCCAGAGAAGAGAGGTGACTTGTTTGAGGCAACACAGCTTATTGGTATAGGGCCAAGACTAGAATCCAGATCCCTTGAGTCTTGCTGGGGCTACTTGGAGAGTTTATGATATTTCGATTACATTATCGTGTGAATTTTCCAGGTCTGGTCCTAGCTGGACTTTGGCACTCAGCAAGGGACTCAAGAGAAATCATGGATTCTCATGCTTTGGGTGCATCAGCCGCACCTGGTGAGCTTGCTAAAAATGCATATTCCTGGCGCCCCCATGGAGATTCTGACTCATTAGGTCACGGGGAGGACCCAGGCATTTGCATCTTAGCAAGCCTGGGGGGTAATTCAATGCAGGTGCAGTCCACCGATGACACTTAGAGAAACACTGCCCTAGATGTCAACCAGGGACTTCCCCAGTAGCTCCTGGAATAGAAGCAGCATTTATTTTACTGGGTGGTAGGGCCATTGAAGGTAGGGGCACTTTAGTGTGAAAAAGGCTTGACAGTAGGAGGCAGAGAAAAGGAGACCAGCATGGCCATGGCAGAAGGGGCTGGTGGCAGCTGGTGGGTGGGGGAGGCGGCGAAGGATGGGGGTGGGAGCGTGTCACAGTCATCGAACTGGGTTTGGGAGCATGTGTTATGATTTTTAGTTGGGTTCGTACTTACTGTGCTCAGGCAAAAGTCAATTTTCCAATGCTGTCTTTATCTTTGTTAATGGCTGGAAGTGTTGTGGTTATTAAACAGCTCCTCGAGATCTGATGGAAGCCCTGCTGCTGAAGACAGAGAGCTGTGTGGAGTCAGCAATCCTTACTCAGAGGAGAAACAAGGAACAGGGCCACTGCCCAGGGCCGCGTTGCTGTCAGCGAGGAACTCTGGGGTCACACACACTTTCTCTCCCTCTTCCACAAGACACTACTGCTGTCAGCTCGGCCCTGCTGATTCCTGAGTCCCCCTGCATGGCACACTTAGTGTACTCCATAGGGGCACTGTCTCTTGGCCTCTTCACAACTGGAGAAGCAGGTACTGTTATTCTCCCCATTTCATAGATGGAAAATGAGGCTCCGAGAGACAAAGTGGTTTGTCAAGGGTCAGACGACCAGTAAGTGGCAGAGTTGGGATTCAAACCCAGGTCCACATGACTGTCAAACCACACTCTTAGCCACTATTCTCCACTGCCTACCTCCTGTTCCTGCCTCTCCCTAAAGCCTCTAGACTCTGGGTCTGCCCAGAGCTGCTTGGATAAATTAGAAAGTCTAATTTAGCAATACTGCAGTTACCTATGGCTGAATTCCTGATTGTTAAATTCCAGAAACTGATTTCTCCAGTACCTCTCCTCCCTGGAAAGTAAAGAAAGGCCTCCACCCACAGCACTATACCCAGAGAAATACTGTTTCTTCCTTCTTCTCACTTGGGAGAATATTCCAGGGGAGCTGAGTCTGAGGGCAAGAGAGGAAGGAGGGCCCCGGGGGCTGCTCAAGTTCCTCCTGTTTCAGGGAGGAGAAGAAAGAGAAGCAGCTTGCTTTCTGCTCTCAGGGGACTTGGGGACAAAGGGGAGTGATCAAAAGGGGATTTCCCACAGCCCCAAAATGCTAGCCGGATTGCACTTGTGACCTCTCCTTCCTGAGTGAAACTAGATTGTTGACTTGCCTGCCACCTGTTTCCAACATGGAGTAGAGATGTTGCACATACATGATGCCATGTGTCCAGATTAAGACAACAAAAAATTATAAACAAGGATTGAAGAAAGTTGGAGGCAGCAAATATATGGTCTGTAAGGGCTCATACAGCAAGAGATGTGACTAGAAGCCTCCTGGGAGCCAAGGCAGAAAGAAAAAAAAAAAAAACATGCTCTGTCCTTAGGCTGGAGAGAGCATTCCAGGTTATCTGGGGAGATTGTTCTACTTGACTCTATATTCTGGAATAATTCTCCTGAGGGACAGTACAGAGGTACTGAGAGGTGTTGGAAAAATCCTTAGGGAGCTCACAGCCCAACATTGGAGAAGAGCATAGTGGGAGCGGGGACACTGGGATGGCTTCTGGTCTGTGTGAACTGGTTCCTGATGTTGGGGCAACACCTCCCAGTGTCCGAAGGCCTGATCCTTGCTCACACCTGCCCAGCCACCTGAGAGTGAGTATGCTGGCTGGAGTTCATGAATTTTTGTTTGGGTTTATTTTCAAGCTCTGTTTTTCAAATTTCTCTGTTAAGTGGCTGAACTTCCAGGAACCAGTGTTCACAGGCCAAGGAGGAGGCCACCATCATCTCTACTACCTGAGTGCCCTGCCACACCCACCTGACAATAGAGAGCTCTAGGGTGGGGCCCCTGCTCTTTGGATTGTTGGGGGAAATAAACCTCTCCAGCATTTATTCTTTGGGGTTACCCCAAACGGATGACCACAGCCAGGAGGGAACAAAGCCTGACTGGGAAGTGCTGATTCTCTCTGGCAGTTTGGGAACTTCCCCTCAAACCTGTCTGATAAGGAGCGGCCTAGGGAGGAGGGGTGCAAAAGGTGTGCCCCGTTTGCCCGTGAGATCTCTCACCATCACTGTATGCAAGCCTAGGAAGAACAGAGCTTTCTGGCTCAGGGACAGATCTCCATGCTGGGAATCAGGACCTTGAGTTCCTGGGTCAAATCCACAATGAACTCATTCTGAGATGTAGGCAAATGTTTACCTTCTGTTGCTTCGGTTTTCCCATCTGTGCATTTGATGTGTGCCTTGTGCGTGCCAGAGGTTTTTGGGAAGAAAATAAGAGTGGAGACTTGCTGTCAATCACAAGGTGGGGGGTGGTCACTTCTCTACCTGAATCTCCCACATGGGCCTGTGGGGAGCTATGGTCCTTATTACCATCCTCCTGCCCCCAGCAGGGGAGCCTACCCATGAGGCAGGCTTGCTTGGGGTCGGCCAGCCTGGTCTCTGTGGTTTTTGTCTCCTGGGCTCCTCGTATGGCTTAGCTTGGCCCTCCACCGACCCTACTTAATCTTGCCTCCTCTCCACCCACCTTCTCACCCCCACAGCCTCCATTTGTGGTTCAGCTATGCTCAGTGCCTCGGGGGTTCCCAAATAGGCCCCTTCCAGCTCCTTGATTTTGTAAATGGTTTTCCCACTGCTAGGAATACCTTTTGGCCCTTTCTGTCTACCTGGAAACTACGACTTTTTTTTTTTAACATTCTACTTAGGTGTTGTCTTCTTTACGAAGCCTTCCTTGACTTCTCTGACCTCCCTGCAGGTATTGCTGGTCCCCCACTGTGTCCCAGAACACTTTGTACCCCTAGCCCAGACACACACACAAAGGCCCCTCTTTTTTTTTTTTCTTTTTTTTTTGAGGCGGAGTCTCACTCTGTCACCCAGGCTGGAGTGCAGTGGTGCCATCTTGGCTCACTGCAAGCTCCGCCTCCCGGGTTCACGCCATTCTCCTGCCTCAGCCTCCCGAGTAGCTGGGACCACAGGTGCCCGCCACCACGCCTGGCTAATTTTTTGTATTTTTAGTAGAGACGGGGTTTCACCATTTTAGCCAGGATGGTCTCGATCTCCTGATCTCGTGATCTGCCAGCCTTGGCCTCCCAAGAGGCCCCTCTTTTATAGCCCTTATCATGTTTCCTTGTTATCTGTTTATAGATTTGCCTCTGCAGTAGTCATTGAGTCTCCAAGGTCAAGAAGTGTATCCTGCTTCCCCTGTGCACACTGGTATCCCCACTACAGAGCAGATACCAGTGAATGTTAGTTGAAGGACTAAGTTATCTGTTGCTCACTTCTGGGACTTGCTGGAGCAACAGAGACCTGAGTCCTAAGTCTCTGCCCAGTCACACACTGCCCAGGTACCAACCCATGGTACCTCTGCCCAAGTACCATGAGGACTGGCACAGCTGGCTGGCTCTAGGAGCAGGGTGGGTCCTTGGAGCAGTGCCAGGGAGCACCCTACCCGCCCACCACCTTCCCTCCCCCTACCCATCCTTCCCTTCCCTGGTCCCCCTACCCCAGGGCTGGCAGTTGGCTCTGAAAGTGGATAACACAGCCCTGCTTATGTTGCCCAAAGCTTGGCCTTTTAACAGCTGGCTTCTTCTATAGCCACAGAGCCAGGGCTCCTGTGTAGGCTGCATCTCTGTGTCCCCAGGGGCATCTCCTCCCCAAACCTGTCTGTCCTCACTCTGCACCTCCACCTAGCCAGGCCCACCCAGTTCTCTAGGACCTTCCCAGGCAGAGCTGAGAACAAAGCAGGGTTTATGACAGTTCTGTCAACACTGGGTAGATGGCCTTGGTTCACCCTGCACTTTGCAAACCACGCCTGCCTGACTGCCTGCCTGATGCCCACACCTATTCAATGCCTCCAAAGACCCAAGGGCTGCAGGGAGGCTCCTGGCACCTTCCTCTCTTCATGTCTAAAAAGCACTGGGAGACTTGGGTCACTGAGTGGGAATTTCACAGCCCTGGAAGAGAGAGACCTTGGTCTAGATTGATTAGGCCAGCCAGATGATTAATAATTAAACTTGACCTGTTCCCAGACACACACATACCCTGCAGCCAGGAATTACCAGAGAGTAGGGGCTGAGAAGGAGGCTTTGAAGCTTGGCATGGGACCAGCTCTGAAAGCCCCCAGGGAACTAGGCCTCTTAGTCTCAGGGGTTCCTCCCCACCTATCCCAGGTCTACAAATCCACCTCCTAATAAAACCTTACTGACTTTTTCCACAGGCTCTGAGCTCAGAGCAGGCCTTTGGCAATCCCTAGGGTGCAGGCAGCCTTGGCAGCTCTGCTCTGGGGTGGGATTTGCAAAGCAGTTTGGACTTCAGCTGCACCTGTGTTGACACACGATTTCTTCCTGAGCTCCTCCTGAGCACAGCCTCTCCCCTTATTTATATTCCCATTGCTGAGCACCCAGCAAAGGGCATGGCACACTCAGCATACCCAGGACTGGCTTCTTGCATGATCCTGTCACAGCAACAGCGTTCAGCTCAGAGAGGTGGGAACTGGCCAGTCAGGGTGCAGCCCACCCACATCAGCAAGAGCCTCCTGAGCTCTCCCAGGGGTCTTCTCCAACCATGAGAACACTGAGACTCCACAGCTGGCTGCTGGACACTATAGGGGCCAAGGACCCAAACACTAGGGTGCAGCTGGGTGGCCAAAGTGGGGCTCCCTTCCTCCCTCTCTCTGTAGACTCATCCTCCCAGCTTTTCCCTTGTTTTTCCTAAGGTCCTGGGGAAGCATGATCTTCTCCCCGTAGGCTGCCTTCCTGCTGCCCCTTCCTCCTTCCAGCTCCACATTTCCCCAGTTATGAGGCTTCTTCATCTGGGGGAGGCCACTCATCAGCATGTTGTCCAGCCTTTTGTGGCTAGTTTTTACTTCAGGTGTGGGGATAGGTGTGTGACTTCGGCCCCTCTGATGCCTTGGTCTCGAGCCAGCTAGGCTAATGCAACCCTTCTGCTTTGGGATGAGACAAATCCCCCAAGCTCTCTGCAGCCCAGATTTCCCACCTGAGACAGCCCAGCCAGCCCAGGAAAGCCATATGAACCCTATGCTGCCCATCCTGCTTCTTCCACTGAATTGCAGGGTGACTTGATTGGGTCACTTCCTTTTCCCCCTACCTCCCCTCCTCACCCCCAGGCCTTTTCCTCTCTGGAAATGAGACCATCATCCTGGCCCAGCCTCCTTCCCTCCTGGTGTGACGTAGCAGAGAAAGACATCAACCTATTATTTAAACACGTGTGTGCAAGTGCCTGTGTCTGTCCACATGTGCATGTGTGCAAGTGTGTATGCGTGCATATGAAGCTCCCTGAGAGCTGTCACGTTTGGCAGTTTCAAATCTGAGCCTTCCCGGGATGCCCCATCACAGGTAACACTCCCATCCATCCTGGCCCTGGGCTGCAGCCGCTCTATCTGCCTGTTTCTTTTGGCTCCTGGTTCAACAAGTATTCCTGTGGGACTATGCAAAGCCTCTATCTCTTTCCTCATCCTTGCTAAAGAAAATTTTAACTGCCAAGCATTTACTCCTCTCTCTTTTTCTTATTAAGTAGAGCAGCTCAATCAGCAGGGTTGGGGAAGAGCCAGAGGAGCGGGGCTGGGGAGAGGCCCACCAAGGATGGTTGAGATGGACTTCCAGAGAGAAGAGGAAAAAGCGGGGGAGGAAGAAAGAGAACACACTCTCACACTCTTTCTGGGGAAGCAGTCAGGGATGTTTTGAGGTGTTTTGGTGGAGAGTAGAGAGAGAATGTGAGGCTTCTGGGTTAAATCTCCAAAAAAAGGAGAGATTTAACGACATGTTGCTATGTATTGCATATCTGATCTCACTTTATGTTCTTTGAAAGATCCGAATAATATTTTTCATCTAAGAGGGCATCAATTGTAACTCTCTCATCTTTATTTTTTGTACAATTAAGAAAGAAAACGACACAGTCAATTAAACTCTAACACACATTTGTTAAATACATCCTAGTTTCAGGAATGTTAAAATGTAAAAAAAATTGTGTGTATTAAAATATATGGATAAAGTTCTTTTAGATTTTTTAATACACAACATGCTGGGACTGGACTGCATGGGGCTCTTAAACTTCTTCTGCTGACAGTCGTGCATCTGGGTCAGGTCCTCTCCTCCTCACCCTGTTTTCACCCTGTAGCCCTCATAGCACCTACTGCATGTGCCTGCACATAAGACAAACTCATTTAAGCAGTTAAAGGTTGAGCAATCACGTATTCTCAAGGGGCTGTAGTCAAGTCCTCTCCTAGTCTTCATAGATTTTTTTTTTTTTCATTTTAATGACAATCTGAAAGATGGGTAGAAAAATAGGTACATGCAGCCAGGCACAGTGGCTCACAACTGTAATCCCATTCCTTTGGGAGGCCAAGGCAGGCAGATAACTTGAGGTCAGGAGTTTGAGACCAGCCTGGCCAACATGGTGAAACCCCATCTCTACTAAAATACAAAACTTAGCTGGTCATGGCGATGTGCGCCTGTAAACCCAGCTACTTGGGAGGCTGAGGCAGGAGAATCACTTGAACCCAGGAGGCAGAGGTTGCATTGAGCTGAGATTGCACCACTGCACTCCAGCCTGGGCAAGACAGCGAGGCTCCATCTCAAAAAAAGAAAAAAGAAAAATAGGCATATGCACAGAACCATATCCACACATTCCCCCATACCCATACCATAGTCTGGACATCTGGATGGTCAAATGACTTGACCCCTCCACCCCCCACACCCACCCATGTATGTTTAGGTTTACGATAGCGTTGGTGCCCATAGTGTATTGATTGCTCTGATTATCCCAGGCTCTTGAGGAGAGTATTGATGGAGACTTAGTACACAAAGAACATATTTGTGCATGCAGAAGGCAGTGTGGTTTGCAGTGGTTTAAGAAAGAAATGTCTTTAGAGACTGGGGACAGATCAGATTGCCTGAAGGGAAGGAGGTTTTATGGCAGAGCCCTTAAAGACTTCCATCATCTGAGGGATATGCAAAGAGCCTGAGAAGCAGCGGCCAGAGAATTAGGAGGAAATCTGGGAAAAGTATGGCATCGAGGACATCTGAGAATGAGAATATTTCAGGAGTGAAGAGTTTTGTTTACTAGAGTTGAATGCTCCTGATTGGTTGTATTAGTTCAGTGTTTCAGTAATTCTGAGAGTAAGTAAGTAGATTCAGAGTGTTAAATGGCAAAAGTGAAAAAGCTCAGACAGGTCAAATCGCATTTGAGTGAGTGCCATTTTTAAACTGCAATGGCTGGTGTGACATAATGAATTTCCATTGACTTATGAATGGTCTAGAGAATCATTCTCCATCCCCAGCTTCTAATATCTGAATCCCTTTTGCCTTGATCTATCAGCCATGCCTGAAGACCCACTGGATTCCAATTCCTGAATCAAGTCTGGCTAAGATAGGGAACATATAAACAGTCATACCCCAACATTGTTGATGGGAGCCACAGAGAGAAGCACCTGCCCTTGCAAACACACATAGTACCCACCACTGCAGACACACACACAACCTGACCAAACCTGGGTCTGGTTGCCTCATCCTGCCTGCTGGGCTAAGCCAGACTGGCTGCAGGACATGGTGCCCTCAGGGGCAGGGATCCTGCCTAAGAATCTTTTCATCACCTTTAATCCATTCTCCTGCCTGGTGCTGGCCTCAGGTTCTCCCAGGAATAGGCCCAGCCACTAGCCTAGGCACTAACTTCTTTTACCCTATTGAACTGATGTTTTACATAAGTTATTTTTGCCTGTGCAATATCCCTTCCCTCTTGTTCCTGCAAGAAAACCACTGCTTATTGCGGGAACCCATTCCCTGTGATTTGCATGGGCCCATCTGTCCTGTCCTTCCCAGAGAGGTGTTCACATGATCCAAGCCTGATTAATCAGAGAACCTCATCCTCCTCATCACAGCAATTGATTCAGGATGAGGAACATAATCCAAATGGGCCAATCAAAATGTTCCCTGTGATTTTGTCAGTACCATCAAAAAGACACACTCTAATTCTGAGGTTGCTAGCTGTAAGTCAATGGTTCTCGAAGTGTGGTCTGCAGATCCCTGCATGAAGTCAAAACTATTTTTATAACCACATTGAGATTTTATTTGCCTTTCTCACTGTGTTGACATTCACACTGATGGGGCAAAAACAATGGTGGGTAAAACCACTAGCACCTTTGCTGTTCTGTGGGAAAAAGTGAGAGGCTAGGAGGCTGAGCGGTAGTCAAATGAACGCTGTGCTGCCCATGCTCTGCCCTGTAGTTACAGAGATCATGTCCACTGTCATACAGCTCCAGGGCACCATGTAATATGGTAGTCTATGAGAGTGGTCCCATCAGAGTTGTTCAGTGCACAACCTACATGGGTGTGCCCAGTGGTCCTGAGAGCTGTGCTCTCCAAACTATGTTCCATGTGACTCTGGTGCCACAAAATACAACTCACAAAAGAATGCCACAGTTAAATAAGCTTGGGAAGGCTGCATTCTATATACTTCTCTCTTGAGACTCTCAATGGAAAGCCACACAGAAAGGTTTCACAATCAAGTAACCTGGTTATTTTATTAACCCCTGTTTTCCCCAACTATTTCACCATGCAATCATTTTAATTCAAGAAATATTTATAATGTACCATGGAACACTGAGCTTTAGCAAATGCTCTTAAACACCATTACAAACTTCATGACAGCAGAGACTGTCTTATTTTCTGCAGTGTGCAGTATGCTCATGGCCTGATACGGTGCCTGACACATGAGAGACCCTTGAAAAATTTGTTGAATAGATTAATGAATCCATGAATGATTGATGCTTTCACAAGTATCTGATCTCCTTAGTATTCTCTATATTTACAAAAGGTGAGGTCCTTGTAGTGCATTATTTATGTTATTTTGCCAACACTGAACTCTGTGCTGTGGTCAGTTGTCTTCCCAAAATGATATGTTTTTCAGGATGCAGTGAGATTTTATGCATTTGATTATGTTCCCTCCGTGAGCGGGGCTGGGCAAGCACAACTGTTTCCCATTACCCAGCCTCTCTGAGGCCGCCCTTCTTCTGTGGTTTGAGGTGGAGAAGCAGCACAGGCAAGCCCTTCCCAGCGGTTTTTGTGTGGTTGACAGAGACCTAATGCCAGCTTTGGAAAAGGAAAGGCCTTTAGCAGCTCTGACTCTGCTCAGTTGGGAAATAACGAAGCCCCTGGGACGTATTCTCTGGAGTTGTCAGGCTCAGACTTGTGTTTCCTTCTTTGAGAAGGAAGGGGCACCAAGAACAGGAGTGAAAGTGTCTTGGAAACCCCAAGGTTTTAGAAAATGCAGGACTTGGAAGATTGAGGCCAGAAAGAGAGAGAGCGAGAGAGAGAATGAGAATACTTTACTCTCTAGTATCCTCAAGTGCAGGGGCTGACAAACTACAGCCTGAAGCCAAATCCAGCCCACTGTCTGTTTTTGTGCTGCCCTCAAGCTAAGAATCAATAAAAAAATTAAAAGAATATTTTATGACATATGCGAATTATATGAAAATCAAATATGAAATACATAAAATCTCTTTACACATCAGCATTAGCAGATGAACATTTGCAATTGATTTTAATGATAGAACACTTTGAGCCCCAACTAAGGAAAATGCTATTTATGAAAAAAGAATTTTAATCTTCTTATTAGGAGATATGTTTTATCTAAAAACTGTATTCATTATTATACTTTGAACTTCACTAATACAAATATCATAGGAATTTGTTTTCTCTTCTGCTTTTTAAGTACCTATATCATAACCTCGATTTTGCCACTTGCCTGGGAATCCCAGATTTGTTTTGAGACAGAGTCTCACTCTGTTGCCAAGGTTGGAGTGCTGTGGTGCCATCAGGCTTATTACCCTGCCAGGCTCAAGCAATCCTCCCACCTCAGCCTCCCAAATAGCTGGACTATAGGTACTTGCCACCATGCCCAGCTGATTTTTAATTTATTTTGTAGGGGCGAGGTCTTACTATGTTGCCCAGATGTACTAGCTGATTGCTTACAGAAAATGTCTGCCAATCCCCGCTCAAGTGGATTATCTTCAATGACTTAAGCTGTTTTATATGGCAGGGGAAAAGGGAGCCTAAGTAGATTCTTCCTATATTCATTTAGTCACCAGGTTCTTCTAGGAGTCTTCTATGGTCCTGAGTGTGCAATTGGTGAACAAAGCGGACACATGGACATGGTCACTGTCCTCAGGGACTTTACTATCCAGAGGCAGGTCACTGGAAATTGATCAGCCTGCATGTACATGTCGATAGGATGATGAGTCAAAGTGAACCCTGACAGCTTTGGAATTTGAAGTGTGTCAGCTGGTCAGTGAGTCACATTGCCCAGGGCACGGCTACCTAGAAGTGCTCTGTGTGAAACCTACCGGGAGGAAGGATCAGGTGAGTGCCATGAGACCAGCAGGGGAAAAGCCAAGTCCAGGAATGTCAACCAGGATAGGGCTGCTCTGTCATATTGATTCAGGCAGTTGGTCAGAGAGTTAGGCAAAAGCAGCACCAGCACATGAAAAACAAGGTGGAGAGCGGCATCCCAGGGCAAAGCTGCCTGCTAAGGCCTTCTTCACATTTTCTGCCTAGGGTAGCTAATGAGACGCCTTAGCCTCTAAGAGCTCAAGACTCCTGAGCACAGCAAGGGTGCAGGGATGGTCCTCTCAGGAGGCTAAGTACTTCTTTGTAACTTTGTTTCATTTATAACTTTGTTTCATTTCTTTGTTTCATTTGTAGCTTCGTTTCATTTCTTCAGATTAGAAATTTTTTTTTCCTTATGGCTGCAGCCTTTAGAGGAGTCCACAGTAATCGCCTTTTGTCCTCTCAGAAAATCTGTGGATAAGACAACAGGCACATCATCTTTCTCACAACTTACCACTGAGGAAACGGTACAGAGAGGAAGAAAAAAAGCATCCCAGAAAGGCAATCTAGATCACTCAGTGACTACCGCCTAGCACCTCCAGGAACAGAGGCAAAAGTTGAAAGCAGGGTGTGTCCCCAGGACATCCCTGCAACTCACCCTTTCTCCTCTGCTTCCAGAAACATCCAAGCAATGCCTCTAGGGCTAGTCATAGACTTAATCTTGTCTGCCTGGGTCCTTAAGATCTCAGATAGAATCCTGTAAGCTATTCTTGCTAACCCTATACCTCGGGAGCAGCCTAGCAATGTGAAATGAACATGGGCTTTGGGGCCGAATGAACCTCACCCAGAGCCTGGTTCTGCTACTCAGTAGCTCCATTATTTGACCTTGGCAATGACAACTTCTATAAGCCTCAGTAAATTTACATACAAAGCAGAGAGAATACTTTCAACTATAAAAAATGCGTGTAAAGAGAAGAGTCTTCTTCCTCACCAATCCAATACCCTTCCCAGACTTGTATTAATAATGCTTTGGTTCAAATACCTCCAGATTTTCCCTAGGCTTATACTGACACAAATATGTATAGATATAGATACACATGCATATTTTCACAAGCTACATATTACTGTACATATTGATCTGACACTTGCTTTGTTTCTATTCAACAATATGTGTATATCATTTCAAGTCAACACAGATAAAATATTGTACTATTCAGTGACTGTATAATATTCCCTAATATGGATAAATGATAATTAACACAACCTACTGATGGATGTTTTTCTTGGTTTAAATGTTTTTCTATTACAAATCTTGCTGCAATGGATGTACAGGTTTATGAATCTGTGTTATTATTTCTGTAAGACAGAGTACTGAACATGGGGTTGCTGGGTCAAAAAGGACACACATTTAACATTTTAGTAGATTCTATGAAATCACCTTCCTCCCAAAGTTGTGCCAGTCTACACTTGCATTAGCAGTGTGTGAGAGAACTCCAGATATCCTTGCAAGCACTCTGTACTATCAAGTTTTTAATTATTGCATTTCCTTGACAACAGAGAACATCTTTTTATGTTTATGGGCCATTTGCCTTTCCTCTGTGAATTCTTTGTTTATATTTCTTTCCTATTTATCTATTTGGATGTTTGAGTTGTTCTTACTTATAGGCACTTTTTGTACATTAAGCATAAACATCTGTTGGCAGAGAGAAAAGACACTGTGTTTTGAAGCTCCCAGGGGTGAGTATCAGGGTCTGAAGCAGGTACTGAACTGCCAGAGGTCTGTGTTTGATATTAGGAATATTAATCTTTCATGTTTTAAGTGTTGCAAATATTTTACCTAGGTCTATCATTTTTTTAAACTTTGTGCTGTCTTTCATCATGTGGAAGTTTAAAATGTTTCAATATTCAAATCTATAATAGTTTTCTTCATGGCTTCTGGGTTTCCTGTCTTGTGTAAGCAGTCTCCCCATGCTGATGTTATGTAATTATTTTCCTCTGTTTGCTTATAATACTTTTATGGCTCCATATATTTATAATTGCATCTTTAGTATATCAGAAATTTACATTTGGAATAGATGAAGAATTTATATTCTCAGCATACAGGATGTGTTTCTGAGGTTGTCTTCTCTCATCACTCTAAATGTACTGGGGGGGCTCATTTTTGAGTAAAAGAGGTCAATATCAAATATGATCCCATTATTGTACTCACTTATATAAACAATTCTACAATTTGTTAATGTTGATTATTAACTAGAATGTTAATACTGGTTATTTCTATGTGATGGGTTGCAGATATTAACTTTTTCATCTTATCACCTATATTTTCTTTTTCTACATAAACAATTATGATTTGTGTAGTGAAATGTATTTAAAGAAAAAAGTGTCAGGAGGGCTGCTATTGTCGATATCTCATATTGGGCAGCCACCTTGGTGGCCTTGAAAAGCACCAGACCGTAAGCTCCTTGAGGGCAGCCCCATGCTTCTTGGGTGCCTCTCCTTATCCCAGGGCACAGTGAGTCCCAGACAGAGGTGTGTAGCTCAATGGGTTGCATTTCTCTACAAGCCCACAGTGTTTACCCCGATGTGAAGATAACAGCTCCACTCACTGAACAAAGACATTTCTTCTGATTGCAAATTTTATTTCCCAATTCCCCCTTTTAGCGCCTCCCACAGTGGGTGTGGCATCTGTGTTGGGAAAAGTTCACACTCTAAATACAAGTGAAGGCATAATGAATTTACGTTCCAGGCCAACTCATCAACAAGCATGTTTGTTAGTATCATTTCTAAGAAGTCTTCAAGAATAATTCAACACCAGCCGGGCATGGTGGCTCATGCCTGTAATCCCAGCACTTTGGGAGGCCAAGGCCAGTGGATAACCTGAGGTCAGGAGTTCGAGACCAACCATGGCCAATATGGTGAAACCCTATCTCTACTAAAAGTACAACATTCGCTGGGTGTGTTGGTGCATGCCTGTAATCCCAGCTACTTGGGAGGCTGAGGAAGGAGAATAGTTTGAACCCGGGAGGCAGAGGTTGCAGTGAGCCAAGATCGCACCACTGCACTCTAGCCTGGATGACAATAGCAAAACTCTGTCTCAAAAAAAGAAAGAAAGAAGAATTCCAGACCAAAGTGACTGCTCCTCACTGTCCTAGTGGTTAATTTGGGTAGTGTTTTATACATTTTCAGTACAATAGCATCTCTATTATTTGATTTGATCCTTGGACAAAACTCTGGCATGCAGAGAACAGGTATAATTGTGTCCTCCAGAGCACTCGTGAAAGAGTTATGTATTTTCCCATATATGAAATTTCAAGATATTGAAAAGTTTCCCCCTTAAGCACCAAAACTTTATTTACTAGAAACATTTGTAAGAAAATTTTCCTAAAATAACATTCGGTAAAGCCCTGCCTTGTTAAACAGTAGTTACAGAGTACAATCATTTGAAATTTCCTTGGAAAGCCTTTGTAAGCATCAATTGTCATACCAGGCTCCTAGGCAGATGGCTTTGTAGATACTGCCACGTGTAAATGCCTTTGCCCTAGTACTAAACGGTTCCCATTGCTTTGGAAGATCTTGCTTCTGCCCTACAGTTTTTCTTTCCATTTCCTTGCTCTCTCTCTGCTTTTTTATGTTTCTATCAGCAATCAGTGTGCCTATCTCTAGCAGCTGAACTTCCTGCTCATCAATTGTTTGTCATCTATGATAGGCTCGGAAGCCAGAAAACCAAGCATATTCTCAACATGAACAGGCAACCTACAACATGGGAGAAAATTTTCGCAACCTACTCATCTGACAAAGGGCTAATATCCAGAATCTACAATGAACTCAAACAAATTTACAAGAAAAAAACAAACAACCCCATCAAAAAGTGGGCGAAGGACATGAACAGACACTTCTCAAAAGAAGACATTTATGTAGCCAAAAAACACATGAAAAAATGCTCATCATCACTGGCCATCAGAGAAATGCAAATCAAAACCACTATGAGATATCATCTCACACCAGTTAGAATGGCAATCATTAAAAAGTCAGGAAACAACAGGTGCTGGAGAGGATGTGGAGAAATAGGAACACTTTTACACTGTTGGTGGGACTGTAAACTAGTTCAACCATTGTGGAAGTCAGTGTGGCGATTCCTCAGGGATCTAGAACTAGAAATACCGTTTGACCCAGCCATCCCATTACTGGGTATATACCCAAATGACTATAAATCATACTGCTATAAAGACACATGCACACGTATGTTTATTGCGGCATTATTCACAATAGCAAAGACTTGGAACCAACCCAAATGTCCAACAATGATAGACTGGATTAAGAAAATGTGGCACATATACACCATGGAATACTATGCAGCCATAAAAAATGATGAGTTCATGTCCTTTGTAGGGACATGGATGAAATTGGAAGCCATCATTCTCAGTATACTATCGCAAGAACAAAAAACCAAACACCGCATATTCTCACTCATAGGTGGGAATTGAACAATGAGATCACATGGACACAGGAAGGGGAATATCACACTCTGGTCTGGGGACTGTGGTGGGGTGGGGGGAGGGGGAAGGGGGAAGGGATAGCATTGGGAGATATACCTAATGCTAGATGACGAGTTAGTGGGTGCAGCGCACCAGCATGGCACATGTATACATATGTAACTAACCTGCACAATGTGCACATGTACCCTAAAACTTAAAGTATAAAAAAAAAAAAAAGTTAAAAAAAAAAAAAAACAACCAAGAAAACACAGGCTCCAGGAGGAGCTCTAAGGGATTTTTATCTGAGTAAAGGGGATAGACTGATAAGAGAGGTCATTTCTTCTGCTCGTTCACAGGTCTTTTGAGATTTTCTTTGCTTTCACACTGATGTGGTTTTACTGCACTAGCTCCATTTTACGGATGGGGACATGGATGCCAATAAGACAAGATGACTCAGTCAAGGCCACATGGCAAGTGAGTGGGTGTCTTCCTCCATCCATGGCCCTGTCAGTTTTGGCTTGGATGAGCCAAGTGGTAGAAGCGTGACTGGGGCAAAGCTCACCAGCACCTCTCCTGGACTTTTCTTCAGAAGAGAGGGTCAGCAGTAGCCCCTCTGGGAGGTTTAAACAACTCCATGATACACCTGGATCCCTTCTGCTAATGCAGCAGGCCCCTTCATTTCCAGAAATTAGAGCTTGCCAAACAGCTGTGTTTACATTCAGAGCCGTAGTTTATCGCTGCTGGTCCTGGAAGGGATTGTTCAAGCTTATCTTCTCTAGATAGCAACGTGCTGAGGGTTGCACAATTCTGACCTAGATTGAAATCAGCTGCAAAACACCTAGTCCTGAACACACACACGCACACGTCTCAGGAGACTCAAGGCACTGCAACTCACTGACACATTCTCTCCTCAACAGGCCAACTCTCTCCCATAATCCTGGGACCTGGGCCAAGGCAAGGCGGTACGGCAGCAAAGGTCCCAGGGGACTTTGTTGAGGCAGGACTGTTTCCCTGAGCTGGGTGCCGGCCTCCTGCCCCATGTGCCTCATTCTCTTGTCTTTCATGCAGGGAGACAGCTGGGTGAGAGGGCACAGAGAAGAAAGACAGTAGGCATCATGCTGCAGAAGATTCAGGGCCAGAACAAAGGGCAGCCATTGACAGCTGCACATTTTATGCAAATCTTGAACGGTTTCATCCAGGGAACAAAACCCTTGTGAAAATGGTGGAAAAGGGCCCTTTCCCTTTTAGAAATTCTACGGTCTGACTACTCCAGATGGTAGAAGACTAACAAAAAGCTCCAGCCCCCATGGCTCTGATCTGCCCACTGCCTGGTCAGAAACCTTTAAGAGCTTTCAACAGTTGGCCCTATAAAGTCCAAACTCATTCAAGACTCTTTATGGACTGGCCACATCTTTAGCTCCCTCCCAGCCCAGAGTCACCCTCTGCCTGCTCTCAACCTTCCTGGTCTTTTATCTGTACCCCTCCTTGTGCACTTATCACTTTCCACTATGTACAATGGTTGTTTTTATGAGTCTTATCATTCCTGCTGGCCTAGTCTATCAGTTCCTTAAGGGCAGGGCCTATGCTTGTTTATCTTTGTACGTTGAAGCTTTAGTATGGTATGCATTATGGGGTGCCCAATAAAATTTATTGAATTAAACCAGGGACTCTCCCACAGGGATGAACTTACCTTGAGAAAGACATCTAAATTCCTCACTGAACCCAGGAGCAGGAAGGACACCTTCACCCCAGCCTGCATAGGAAGTGTTTCAGATAGTAATCTCAAGGTCATGTGGTCCAACTCTTCTATTTCAGGAGATGAAGAGACTGAGATCCAAGTGTTGGGCTAGGGACAGTAGATGTTATGAGTTTCATCTATAGGTGAGGGAGCTGAGGCTCTGGCAGCAGAAGTCACTTTCTCTTTTTTTTTTTTTTTTTTTTTTTTGTGATGGACTCTTGCTCTGTTGCCCAGGCTGGAGTGCAGTGAAATGATCTCAGCTCACTGTAACCTCTGCCTCCTAGATTCAAGCAATTCTCCTACCTCAGCCTCCTGAGTAGCTGGGATTACAGGCATGTGCCACCACGCCCAGCTAATTTTTGTATTTTTAGTAGAGACAAGGTTTCATCATGTTGGCCAGGCTGGTCTTGAACTCCTGACCTCATGATCCACCTGCCTCGGCCTCCCAAAATGTTGGGATTACAGGCATGAGGCACCGCGCCCGGCTAGAAGCCACTTTCCTAATGTCAGGAAGGTAGAAGGTGGTAGATTTAAAGGGATTTAAAGCAGGGTCTGCCTGACTCAGAAGCTTATTTTCTGTTGTGAAGGAGCCCACCTACAGCCTCCGCCCCTGAACATCCAGCTGCCCTGCTGGTTTCCCAGAACAGGACTCTGTCTGGCCAAGCCCTGGGGCTGGTTGGACACTGAGGTAGGCAGCACCTGGCTTGGGTGCATTTGGAGCTCCATGGCTGGAGAAGCTGTTTATGAACTCTGCCCATCCAAGGCCTGGCAGCACAGCTACCCCAGCTGGGTCTTTTCACAGAAGGCCTGTCGGGCAGGTCCTAGAACATCACACAGAGCCTTTGTCCAGAAGGCATGGTGTTTTCCAGTGAGAAGTTTGCATTGCCTACACTGGCAGGAGGCAAGGGAAGTGGAGACCACCAGCCTTTTGCCAGCAGGAGTCTGCTCCCAGAGGGAAAAGGGGAGGAGAGGGAGCTCAGGCCAAGAAGGACCCAAGTGGAAACTCGAGAGGGAAATGGCCTCGGCAGTATTTAGGGCAGTAGATTGGGAACTCCTTAAGAGCTGGAATTGAGTTTTGTGTTGAAACAGCTCAGGCTAATTTCAAATCTCAAGCCTGCCCTTTACTGCTTGTGAGGCCTTGGGCGATTTTTTTGACCTTTCTGAACCTTAATTTCCTCATTTGTTGTGTGAGGGGGATAATAGCAGTATCTTGCTGGATGTGATGAGGATCAGAGACCAAGGAGTACGCAGGCACACAGCAGTCACTCAATAAATGGTGGAGTCCACATACATTTTTGTAAGCATTCCTTCTGTTTCTGGATTTATGAACTGATAAAAGGCCAGGGCTGCAGAGGACACCCAGGCAATGGTGTCACATGACTGTTAACTGAGAAAAGGAAACGAAATTACCAGGAGTAAACCCACATTTAGAGGAACTTTGGCCCAGAAACAGCTGGGGGTAAGGCAATCTGTTTCTAGTTAGGAAGCAGCCAATGGAAGAACTGTGAAATTCTTCAGTTGTTGCTAGAGCTGTTGCTTCATAAATGTTCTAAACTTAGCATGTGTATGGGGGTGTGTGTGTATCTATGTGGTGTGTATGGGGGTGTATGTGTGTGGTGTATGGCATGTATGTATGTGTGTGGTGTATGGCATGTATGTATATGTGTGTGTGATGTATGTGTATTATGTGTATATATATATATGTGGTGTACATGCTTCTCTACGGTAAGATTGTGGAAGCCTTGTCTTTCTCACCTTCAACAGTGCTCAATAGTACAGGAAGGAAAGACACATATTTATTTTAGAAATGCTTGATCCTTTAGTATATGTTTTTTCTATAATTCTCCCAGTGGCTCTCAGACAAGGAAAGTGAGGCTCAGAGAGGCTTCTTGTTTAAACTCAACCTGCTGGTTAGTGCCAGAGGTCCACCCTGGGCTTAGATCTGCTTGACAACAGTAGGCATTGTTGGCTTGACTCCTAAAAGAAGAAGGCCACAAATGCAAATACAGTCGGGGTTTTGTTCTATGGTCTGCTCTTCAGGCAACTTTTCTTGTGGTATGTCACCTAGGTACCTGTGTTCTGTTCTGGCTCTCAGACTTGCAACTTCCTGCACAGCACGTTGTCACTCTGGTTTTATTTTTGTCAGCTCTTCCTCTGAACCAGGCCTCACCCCAGAGAAGCAGACTCAGGGAGGGCAGGAACAGCTCTGGGGCTATTGGGCCTAGCCCCTGGGCTGATGTAGAAGCATCAGTTCTGCCTCAGGCTGGGACAGCTGGAGTGTCAGCCTGCGCGTTCTGCCTGGGATCCAGCATGGCTGCGGTCCCTGGAGGGCTTCAGCTTCCCGCCATTCCTGGGAGGCCTCTACAGATGGCCACAGTTCACCTTCTGGCAAATTCACAGCAAACTCAAGCATGAGCTGCAAGTGCTGAGGACAGCTTATTGCAGTTCATTCTCCTGAGTAACTCCACACACACCTAGCAAATGACAGGTAGGCATCTGCCGGGCTAAACCAGGAAGTAAAACTCTGTGGGCAGCCTCAGACAGGCTCTTGTACAGAAAATAGAAATCTTATTAGTTCCTTTAGTCTTTCACCAAACATTTATTGACAACCACCTGCCTACAATAAGCCTGATGCAGGGGCAAGGTTTTTGCCTTTCAGAAGGCCACAGTCCAGTGGGGAACTGATGTCAAAACAAACAGCTGAGCTTGGGGAGCAGCATGATAACAGATAGGCATATCATGGCAGGAATGGAGGAAGAGTCTCTTCACTCTGCCCTGGCCTGGGGAAAACTTCTCATGGGAAGCATTACTTTACCTAAGCCTGAAGGATCAGTTAGATTTCAATAAGTAAAAATAATATCGAAAGCTATTAAAGTATTATTATTATTTATTAGATACTTGCAATATGTCAAGCATCCTACTAAGTACTTTACAAACATTATTTCATTTAATTTGAATAACATCCCTAATTCAACGATACTGTAATTATCCCCATTTTACAGGTGAGGAAACTGAGGATCAGAAAATGTGAAATAACTCACTCAAAACTAGGAAATAGAAGAACAAATAGTCAAACCAACTTCTGCAGATTCCAGAGCCCAGGCTTTTATGCTTTTTAATATGTTCAAAAAATATAATAATATAAATAGGTAAATGTCTTGTTCCCCTCCTGGCATCTCCTGCTGGTCTCTGTATATCCCATACACACCAACTGCCTGCTGCCCTTATAGATGTAAACAGTTACATTGGTTTTTTATATGTTATTCAGTGTTTATGTCAATATAAATGAGTCTGAGTAAATATTCTTATTTACCCCTCTTTCTTATTCAAAAGTGGCATATATTAACACTGATTTGTACTTAATGTAGTCTTGGAGAGCTTTTTATTGGAGTATATAGCAATCTTCCTCATTCTTTTGCACAGTTGTATAGTACTCATTTGCTGAGCCCAGGCTTTCAAACACAAGGCAAAGTTCAGCTGGAAACATATAGGTAGGCTTTGCTAAACTGTCTAAATTTCATGAGGCACCAAGGAGCAAAGGGGTAATGATATGGATTTATTTTTAGAAGATTCCTTATATTAGGTAGGAAGATGCACACAGCACAGCCTGCCTAAACATGTAGCCCCACCTCAGTACAAAGACATGATGTACTGCCACAGTGGTGGCTGGAGAAAAGCCCTTCCATGGAACAAGTTCTGACTTATCTCTGGCCCTGTTGCCTGCAGCCCTGCGGCCTCTGCTTTTTAAGATGTCTTCCCCATGATCTGCCTGTGGAAATTTTACGGAACTTCCTGTGCCTAGGATGCAGAAACCACGTGTAGTCTTAATGTGTCACCCTGGGCTACTGCTCTGGGTGACGCATTAAGACAACTTATAATAATTGTGCAAGAGCTCGAGACGCTTCACAGGTGGTACTTAAAGTATTCCCAGGCCTCTAGTATTCCCTGGGAAAGCTTGCTGTCAGGGCTGTTACTGACTCAAATGCCTTTGAAGGTAAGCTGGAGTCAGCACTCCTTTTCTCTGAGAGAGGGGGTTCTCCCACAGAGTAACAATACCTGTGGTAATAACTTTGGTTCTTTGAAAAGAGGAGTTTTCTCTTTAAGGTTATGTGATCACAGTTGCTAAAACCTTGGTGGCTTCAAAGAGGTTGTGTAGTTTCCAAAAATACAGCCCCATCAAATGCACATGGCCACCAGTCAGCTGCCTTTGTGTTTGCTGAGTTCTATGGCTATGGACCTACCACATATATTCATCACAGTGAATAAAGCTGACCAAGCTTTACAGCACTGGTTACATTTTGTTCTGGTGCCTCGACGTTTGCCTTATCTTTCCAAAGAGTTCTTAAGAGAAGGTAGCTTATAAGTGAAATCATTGCACCACACAGTCTCCTGGAAGAAAACATGCATAATCGTGGGCAATGGCTATAAGCAGAATCTTAGACCAGATCTCAGCCAACTCACAGATCATATTGGATAGATTACAGCCCCAGAAAGAATCTGGGAAACGTTTTAAGTTCTACACCCTTGGAGCCATCAAATTACTCAAGGTCATACTTCCAATTAGTAGCACAACTAGGATTGGAATCCAAACCTCTTGCCTTCTCGTCCAGATCCCAGTCCATTAAATGTGTTTTCCAATATGTATTCCATAAGACGTTAATAGACACTATGTACAAAAGGGTGTTATGGTCAGATAAGAACAGCAAACATGGGGTTAAAGAAAATTGAATGGGTTACTTATGACAGAACTTCTCAGAGCCTTTAAAACACCATTATTTATTGTGATTTTCTAAGAGGGGAGATGATTAGCAGTTTCCCTAAACTTACTTCATCCTAAAACCCTTTTGTGGTGGAACATCTGTGGAGCATATTTTGAGAGACACCATGTAATGCTTCCTCTCTTAAATAAGTTCAAGAGTTTTTTAAAGATACACTCATGGGTAATGGGGCTGACTTTTGTTTAGGAAATGTTGGGAGGTTTGGCTTATATTTTTGGCCCATTGAAGTCATCATAATGGGAGGTAGGTGCCAGGCCTGACTGGAATGACTATGGGGTGTTCCAAGATGGCAATTCATCTCTTTTTAGGACCACTGCTGTCTTAAAAACCAATTTTGTTTTGTTTTCCTATTGTTACTTTGAAGTACTTTGACTGCGCCTGGTTTGACATACAGAGGAAAGGTAAGTCTGGTGGCCTCTCTTGATGAAATACTGTTGTGTCAAACCCCTATCTACTCCAATGGGGATAGCGCCAGGATCAAGAGGCAGAAGAAGAGACCCAGAGCCAGCAAATGAGACATGGGGTTTGGCTGGGGGCTTACATACAGGAGACAGAGTCCAGTGATGGTGGGCTGGACAAGATAACTGCAAAGTGCAGTGGTGGCCGGCTGGACAGAAGAACCACAACTGATTGCAAAAGGCATGCAGTTTACATATCTTTTTCACTTAGCATCCTTTCCCTAATAACCTCCACCTGGCAACCTTCACTCAACCCAAAACTCAGGGCCTCAAGCTGCTGTACAGCCCATGTTTCACAGGATGGTCTGGGGGCTCAGATGTTCCTGACAGACAAGGAACGAATCTCCTGGTTGGCCACTTCCAGATTCCCTAGCTCAGAACACACATTCAGGTGCATTTGTCATACAAGTTCATTCTCAGGGTATGCTTTAGTTATTGCTATCAGATGCATTTACCATACAAACACCCAGTCTGAAAATGGGCCCAAATGTAATAACATGTAATAACATAAATGTAGAAACATATTCCAGATGTTCTTGATCTTTTCTGGGACATGATTCTTTTGGGGGCCTTATGGGAAAAAGTTATTGACCCATTGTGGCATCAAATGCATATTCATAATAAAACTTGCATAAAATTTTAGGGTGTTCTTGCACCCTCTGAAGCCAACCAGTAAATCACTGGGCTAGATTTACTGTCCTCAAAGAGAGCTCTCTGAAAACAAAACATATCATAGACCTATGTAACACAAGAAACGATAGTAAGACTCTCAGTTGTCCCCTGAGCAGTTATTTTTTTTCTTTCTTTTGAACTCTTGGTTCTTGGAGGGTGGCCTGTTGCTTGCTAGTTCCTGTTTTGATGTTGGCTTTGTCAATTGCGCTGAATGACTGTCAATCATGTTACTTCAACTGCGGTACTTGGGGACTTCCTGGAGCTGTTGTTTACAAATGCCAGTCCTAGTTTCTCTTTCTGAATGCTGTCCTCCTAGCTTTTTGGAAAGAAAAAAAAAACAGGGCAGAAGGACAAGACACATGCAGAGAACCATATGGAAAAGGAAGGCAGCTGTTGGCCGTGGAATGAGGTCCTATGGCTCTGTCTGTGTCTTGCCAGGAGCCGCACCACTTCTGTCTGGGCCTTGGTTTGCTCATTTGTTATCTGAGCAAGTTGTCCTCACCAGGTCATCTCCTGGGACTTTATTCTTTTCTCTGAACTTCTACGGGGCTAGCTTCATTTTTATTATAAACATTTAATAACAAAAAGCAACATCTTTCTTGGGTTTCCCTTGTTCTTCTCTTGCCACTACTTTTATTTATTTATTTTTGCTCAAAATAAATAGAGGTTCGATTAGTTCCATTAATTAACTTCTACCCAGCATTTGTCTCTTCAGCCATCCCCCTTCCTCAGCCCTGCCTTACCCCTGCCCTTCTCTAGCCTTCTCTGTTTGTACTTCCTTATAGATTTGGCTGTCTTAATCACAACCCAAGATCATTCATTTCATTTATTTTCCAGAATGAAAAGTTCCTCATTTCTATACCAGGCTTTCTGGGCCCTACCTCCTTGTCTGGGAAGCAAGCCGACACTGCAGACATAGAGGGGAGGGGGGCATAATGGCAGCTATGTGCACTCAGGGCAGCTGGAGAAAAGAGGATTAATTCTGAGACATGTGAAGCCTAGCCCAGGATCCAGTGTTCCAGAAGAATGCGAATAAAGCCCCGAGAGATACAACTGGAGGAGCACTTCTCTACCCTGACTCAACACTATTAAATGCAGGGCGTGGCAGTTATAATAAATGCTGAAAAGCATCGGGTGGAATGGTCTGTGTTTGCAAAAGTCTAATGAACTGGAGTTTGCAAAGGCTTAGAACTTAGGCCAAGTATAGGAGATGTGGTAAAATTTGTGTTTTGGCGGGGGATATGGTGCGGGAAAGATTTCTTGCTGGAGTTCCTCAATGTTAATTGAGCTTTTTTTCTAAATCTCTAAGGTGGTAGGAGTGATTTGAGGGGGGGAAACCCCATAAAAGACAAATGTACTAAGAAAACCTTTCGAAACCTGAATTGAGGAAATAAAATCTTAGTAGTCTTTCAATTTTTCTTGGTACATACCACAGTAAAATATTGCATCTATTTTTTGAACTATGCTTCACATTACTCTGTGCTTGCTTTTTACCCCAGGAAAGACATGCAAGAAATGCCCCTTGAAGGGTTTCTAAACGTTGTACAATGCTTACTACCCTTTCCCTCTTCCCCACTTTCAGGCCCCTGAGATGGATTCATCTGATACCAGGAGCCTCTAGGACCCAGAAATTTAACTGTCAATCAAGAGGCATGTGAGGGAAAGTCCAGCCCAGCCTGGGTGCCAGAAGGTCTGGATTCCTGGTCTGCACATTCCCTACAACTCTGGGCAGAGATCTCATATGTACTTCTGGCTCAGCTACTAACTTAGCTGTGTGGCTTTAGGTGACCCACTTAACTTCTCTGAATCTGTTTCTCCATTTGTAAAATAAAAGGTTTGGACTAGGGAATCCCCAAATTTCCTTTCAGTATAAAAGTTCCATGATTACCAGTGACCTGCTCAAGGTTCATTATTTCCCTCATGTTTAAAGCACAGAATCTTGTCCACTTCATAGGGAGGTGGTGAAAGTCTATGCACATGTGCTCAGTAAATCTTAGGCCAACACAAATGTCAGCTATCATCATTATTATAAGAATTCTTTATGCAGCTCTTTCTTCAGAACATGTTTTATATCTTTTACCATTTGTGCTAAAGTGCAATTTTTGCCTTAGAGAAATTCTCAAAATTCAGGCTTTGGTTTGACAAAAGGAGACAAGGCGTCAGTTCAGGTAGATGAAGTTGCTGCAAATGACAGCAGCATCTAAAATTTCTTAGGAAGGAAGTGGGCTAAGACCTACCCTTAGCCCCCAGAAAGACAAATTCTCCTCAATTTCATTTAGGGGCATGACCATTTCTTATTAAGAAACAGAACTCTCAAATGAGGCTTTACCCTAAGAATGAAAAGGCCTTGGAGAGTTCCAAAGGCATTAATAGTAAATCTAGGTGCTTATCTTTTGCCTTCAACTGTGCTTTTTCAAGTACTTTACCCAAATTAATTAATTAGTGCTCCTAAACCCACACCAGCCATCACTTTGCCTTTGGGATGGAGGGAGGTGATATTATCTGAGCTTTGCATTAGGAGAAAGCCCCTGGGTTGACAGTCCCTCTGTCCATACCCGGTGGAATCCTCTCCTGCCAACAGTGGCAAACTCCTTTGTTTGTTTGTTTTGAGGTGGAGTCTGTCTCTGTCACCCAGGCTGGAGTGCAGTGGCGGGATCTCAGCTCACTGCAACCTTCGCCTCCTAGGTTCAAGAGATTCTCCTGCCTCAGTCTCCTGAATAGCTGGGACTACAGGCATGCACCACCACGCCCAGCTAATTTTTTTGTATTTTTAGTAGAGATGGGGTTTCACCATGTTGGTCAGGCTGGTCTCAAACTCCTGGCCTCAAGTGATCCGCCCACCTTGGCCTCCTAAAGTGCTGGGATTACAGGCATGAGCTACCACACCCGGCCAGCAAACTTTCTTATCTCTTGTTCTCCATTCCCAGGACTCCCATGGTACCAACTCAGTACCTTGCTCAGCATCCCAGGGTGTTAGAACTGAATGGCTGCTTATGGACTCCCTGCAATGGGCACCTCCTTCTTTTACAGCACAGAAAATTGAAGCATTCAATTCACTCAGGGAGAGGAAGTGAAACACCCAAAGCAACACAGCTAGTTAGGGACAGGGTCACTACCTTGTCTTAAGAGGCGAAAAATAGGAACTATCTCCCACCCTCTCCCCTGACAAAACCAAACACTCTTTGCGCCCCTCCAAGTATCTCAATACTGCTTAAGCCTGAGGAGTACGGGGAAGATGAAGTATGTAACGTTTATCTACTCACAAAGCACAGAGTTTCTGTTGCCACCTCTGAGCAGCTGTCTTGTTCTGGGCAACTGTGATCTCCCTTCCTCTCCTAAGCTCTTGGAATGAATCTTTCTTAAGGGAAATGGAAGTTGCAATTCCATTATTCTGTATAGAGTGAGTTAAGGGGAAGGCCTCTCTCCTTTTCTGTCATCTAATAGCTAAATTAACATAAGCCCATAGGCACAGGGATTCAGGTAACAGAAACCTAGTTTGTGACAATTACAACGTGAAATGAAAACATACATTGTGGCCCAGAAGCCCGGGCAGCCCTAGGCTTCAGATATTACCTACCCTAAAGTAGTATAATGCCTTTTACCAAGAACACAGCTGAATCAACTGTGCTTTTCATAGAACAGGCACACACTAAAATATTTGTGGATTGATTTGGTAGGCAAAAATTCTTGGCACTTGGATACTTCTCCATTTTCAGCTTATTCTTAAAAAAATTTTTTTTGTTAAATGTTCAGCTGCAAAGGCACAGGTGACTAAGTGTTCAACACAGCTGGAAGGAATGTTGGTGACAGTGGCTGTCATCTATATTTCCCAAGTTGGTTTCTAAATAACACTGCTTCTGGGGTATCTTGAGAAAAAAAGGTTCTGTGTTTAAACAAGGTAGGAAACATTACTAATCTTCCTACCTTGGTCTCCCAAGACACTAAAGGCACATAGCTTATTAAAAACACTGAGAAGGCTGGGCACGGTGGCTCATGCCTGTAACCCCAGCACTTTGGGAGGCCGAGGAGGGCAGATCACTTGAGATCAGGGGTTCGAGACCAGCCTGGCCAACATGGTGAAACCTCAACTCTACTACAAATATAAATATTAGCCAGGCGTGGTGGCAGGCGCCTATAATCCCAGTTACTGGGGAGGCTGAGGCAGGAGAATCACTTGAATCCAGGAGGCACAGGTTGCAGTGAGTCAAAATAGTGCCATTACACTCCAAACTGGGCGACAAGAGCAAAACTTCATCTCAAAAAACAAACAAACAAACAAAAAACCACTGAGAAGAGTTGTGGGTAAAGAAACAGTTTTATTTTTGTTTAAACGAGTTATTTCCAAGACCATTTGACCATGGAACAATCCCTCCCACATTTTTTTTTGCATGATATCTATTAAAGTTCCACAAAATTCATGTTCTTTGGAAAATAACTTGGGAATTACTGATTGAGCCCAATTTCTGAATTTTATTGGTAAAGAAAAAGGTCCTGAGAGGGGCTGAAGTTCTTACAGGAAGTTAGTGGGGGAGGTAGGACGACAACCCTATTTCCTGAGTGTCTGGCCCAACCTTGTCAACCACACGCAAATACGGCAGCATTCTCAAAGGTGGGTTCTGGGATCCCAGCCATCATGGGTACTGCTTGAGATGATACGCAAAAAGGACATGAACGTTTTCCTCCCTAATGGGTCCTTTGGGGGCAATTTGCTAAAACATAACAGGTTGTTTTAGATGCTTCTTAAAATTGGTAATCATATCCCATTCTTTCTTTATCTCATAGAACTCGGGATGCCTACCCAACACAGCCTGATTATGCTATATGTGCTTAGTAAGTACATTCAATGAATGACTAAATGAAAGACAGGGAGGAAGAAGGAAACAGTCCAGAACTGAAAGGGATGAGAAGAGAAAAAATGTGGAGAAAGAGAAGGATGGGTAACAAAGGAGCCAGCAGTCACTGATCAGTAGAGTATAGGTGAGAGAGGGGAAAGGAGACAGCTGCAGATAATGGAAAATAACAAAACAAAACTGAGGTCTGGGAAGCTCCGATTTTAAAAAGTGAACATGAGTTATGAGACTAATTCAGATACTGGCCACACCAGGAGGCCCCCGCCCAGGAGATGAGGATGACCACCAACTGCTGAGAATCTTTGTAAACTCAAATCAAGGTGTATTTATTGCACAGGCACAATAAATGAACAAGGCATCTTAAGTACTACAATGACAGGTGAGTGGGTCAGGCACAGTGGCTCACGCCTGTAATCCCAGCACTTTGGGAGGCCGAGGCAGGCAGATCCCTTGAGCTCAGGAGTTCAAGAGAAGCCTGGGCAACATGGCAAAACCCCATCTCTACTAAAAATACAAAAAACTAGCTGGGTGTGGTGGCACAGGCCTGTAGTCTCAGCTACTTGGAAAGCTGAGGTGGGAGGATGGCTTGACCCCAACAGGTTGAGGCTGCAGTGAGCCAAGATTGCACCACTGCTCTCCAGCCTGGGCAACAGGGCAAGACCCTGTCTCAAAACAACAACAACAACAAAATCACAGATGAGTAAGACACAGGTCTTTCCCTAAACAAGGTTACAGTCTAATGGGCAGAAGGGCTAGGACAGGGACTCAGATGAAATAATGCCAGGTAGAATGTGATCAGTGCCCCTGGAGGTGTGGCAAGCCAACACTGTGAGGAATCAGCGGCAGGAAGATCATATCAAATCACGAGGCTCCAGAAAAACTACGAGGGTCCAGGAATGGTGGCTCACGCTTGTAATCTCAACGCTTTGGGAGGCAGAGGTGGGCTGATTGCTTGAGCCCAGGAGTTCAAGACCAGCCTGGACAACATGATGAAACCCTGTGTGTACAGAAAATACAAAAATTAGCTGGGCATAGTGAGCTGTGCCTGTAGTCCCAGTTACTCAGGAGGCTGAGGTGAGAGGATCGTTGAGCTAGGGAGGCTGACGGAGGTCGAGGCAGCAGTGAGCTGTGATCATGCCACTGCATTCTCCTGGGCTAAAGGGCAAGCCCCTGCCTCAATTAAATAAAACAACAACAACAACAAAATAAAAAACTACCAGGAAGGGCCATGAGGCACAGAAGGATTGCATCAGGCGGAGATAGGAGATGAGAAGAGAGACATTTCAAGGTGATATATAAAGAACTACCAGGGGGTGAGGAAGCATATGGGGAGATGTGTGGAGACACAGCCTGAAAGTCTTGAAGTCACATCACGGAGCCTTGAATGACCGACCGAGGCGCTGACACTCAAGAGAGGCAATGGGAAGCCAGTGAAGGTTTGTGTGTGTGTGTGTGCGTGTGTGTGCAGAGAAATAGTAGCATTAGAGATGATTCCCAGGCAGGGTGACTGGGCAGCCAAGGGAAAGCGCTGGCCTGTGCGGGATGAGGCAGTTGGGTTCTGGAGAGCACAAGCAATCATTCGGTGCTGCCCATCAGACAACTGAAAAATCTGATCAGAGGCAGTGGCTAAGTCCCCGCCTGGGAACACAAAGGAAGCCTAAGGTTCTGGTTATCACCCTCAGGGGACCGTGACCTTGAAAGAGTAAGGATAGTACCAGCCAAAACCAATGCAGCCAAGAGGAAAAGTCACAGAGAACAGCGAGGGGAGGTGGAAGTTTCAATACAGAAATTGTAGCCATGGCTGAGAACCCCAGCACTGGAGGCCGGAATTTGTGCGTTTGAACGCCAGAGGCTTGGCTAGTCATGATTAGCAAAGGAACTTCAAAGAGTTTTGGAGCCTGCTTTATATCTGTGAAATGGGAATTATTTCCATCTCAAAGGTTTGAGGGGATTCGCTGAGAGAAACTTCTTAGCATGGGATCTCCAGAAACTGGAAGCCACAGAGAAAGCAGCGGCCAGAGGGAGGAGGAATCGGACAGGCTGATCACTTGGAGTGTTCGCCTAAGCAGTTTCTAGAAATGGAGGCAGGGACCATCAGGAAGCTCAAAACCTTTGCTTCAGCCGAGTTTGCAGAACGCCCTGTGAGGAGAATGGGTGAGCTGGGTCGAGGAAGCTTCATCCTCGTCCCCATCCCCCAGCACTGCCCTTTTCCCAACGCTCCCATCCCGCCACGCCTCCCAACATACCCCCACCCCGACTTCCCGCTCAACTCCCGCTCCAGCCAGTCCCAGGAGCCACATGCGCATGCGCCCTCCCGCGCCCCTCCCCAACTTTCCACGTTTCACTCCTCTCCCTTTTCCTCCTCAGCTCCGGCTCCGCCGCCACGATTGGCCAGCCGACCACCCGGCCTCGGCCAATAAGCGCCGCCCTCTCGCCCCCGTGTTACTGGGTAGAAGAAAACAAAAACAAACAGAGCGAGAAGGGCCAGAGACTCTCCGAGGCGGCGGCAGAGACAGAAGAGCGGGGTCGGGGCCGGCTGACCAGGAACCTGGGCGAGCAGCGGCGGGGGCCCGAGGGGTCAGTACCAGTAGGCGCGGCTCACACGCTCGGGAAGACTGCGCCCTCTCCCCCATCCCTCCTCGGAGGCAGCCGCAAGATGGGAGGGGGCGGGGGCGGAGGCGTGGGGGTCGCGGTCCTGTCAGGTCCGGGCCTGCGGTGCGGGGGTCCGGCTGCCTTCTTGTAGCCCCGCAGGTCCAGCCGCGCCCTCCCCAACGCCCCGGACTGCGGGCATCCGGCCTGGTTCCCTCTTTCTGAGCCCAGCCTGGAGCGTGTCGGCGCGGGCCCGCCCCCTCCCGGAGCCATCTCCCCACTGAGAGGGGCGCGCGAGGCGCTCGCCCTTGAAGGTCCCCCTCAGCCCTCCTCCCCCTCTGGCGGAGGTTGAATTCGGGGGCCGGGATTGGAAGGCGTGTTTCCGGCTGGACTGAAATCCTGTGAGGAAGATTCGCGCCCTCCCCGCCCCCTGCCCTCCCTGGGAATCCTCTGAAGATGCGGCCCCCTGTCCTTCGTGAACCCGGAGCCCCGGCCTCGGCCCCGGCCCAGCCCCTTCCGGGGGCCGACCCGGGCTGGGACTTCGGGGGTCCTAGCCTGAGCCCGCTGCGGGAGAACAGGCCCGGCCGCTGTGGGGAGGGGCCGCGCGCTATCCTCGCCGGGGGCGCTGGGAGGCGAACACGTGCCCGCCGCCCCATCCCTGCGCGAACTTCGTCGCGCCCGTCTTCCGGCAAAGGGTCTCTTTTTTTTAGTTTAGGTAAAATAAAATCTCCCAGAGAAAACAAAGCCGGGAAGGGAGCCCCCTTTCTGTGAAACGCATGCCATCTTCTCCATTTGTCAGTTTGATGCTGTAACGTACATGGGGTTTTGCAAGAGCTTCAAAACTGTCTGCAGACGTCAATTTCGCCCCCCTCCCCCTTGTGAGAACTCGCTACGTAGCCAGCAACTGTGTAGTGTCTACAAATGATGAAAACGATCAGAAATGCGATTAGGTGTCGGGGAAAAAAGGGTTTCCCCTGTTTTTAACTTGTATTTTTACTTTAATTGTTACAATCTTGATATTCTTAACGTGACTTTTTTGGGAAACCACCAAGTGCTTTTTAAGCAAGGAGTTACTGGTATTTATGCCCTTAATATTCCTTCATTATAGGCTTATTGAATACGTTAATATCTCAGTAAGTGTATTTGAATTATAATTGACTGGCTTTTTCTGTGGTACTAATGTGAAAGGAAAAAATATTAGGACTGCAAAAATAAATGCCGCTTGAATATTATCTGTAGTGCTTGCTTTTGCATTACTGTAGTAGAATGCTTTTAGCTGGTTTTAAGCTGCTAATTAGCCGTTCGTAGCCGAAGAATGAATACAAGTAATCCTAGTTAATAAATGGCCAAAGCTTGACTCCCCAAAATGCCAGAGCAATTTATGAGGTATATTTCAGGAAATACATATGTATATATTTCGTGGGGGAGTGGAGGGTCTGTCTCTTAGGGAATGTCTTGGCAGTTGAATACTTCTGATTGTATATTTCGTGTAACACACTGGAGAAAAGAACAGTGTTTAATGTCAGCCTTCATTTTCTTCTAACTTGTATGTATAGTTTTCTCATCGAAAATTCATTTTTGTAGGTTAGTATGAAGGAAATAGCGTTTGGATTTTTTGCTTTATATTTTCTTGTTTGGGCCAATTAAGGGTTGTTAAATAAATTGGAAAAAATCCTACTACTTTAAAGAGCGTAAAAACGTGGAACATGTCTTATCTAAACTCTTAAAACGTGTTTGTTGCTGTCAAATATGACTTGAGTTCCTGATCGGGTTATCATTGCCTAAAGACACAGGACTATTTTTTTTATTAAGATAACTTTGTTTTTATCTTAATAAAAGAGATGATAGTCATTTCCTGACAGTTTTGTCTGACGGAATGCCTTCTGTATAATAGTTTAAAATAATTATTTTTAGTGTTTGGAAAACAGCATTTAAAAGTTTGAACAGCAGAAGTCTGTTTTAAGAAGCTTCTGTTAACCCTTGAAAAGAATCTTCCTGTGGGATATTAAAATTTTGGATTGAACTTGTGCAAACAGTACTGGATTTGGAAGGTCTGGATTCTCATCCTGGCTGTTCCACTAAGCAGCTGTCTGTCCTTGGACATATCACCTACCCTCTCTGAATCTGTTTAGTTGTGTGTAAGGTGGAATACCTACCCGAAGGTTTTTCTGTAAGGTACATTAAATAATACATGTACAATTCTTTTTGAATTGTAAAGGGCTTTATGAACATCAATTATAATCATTTCGCTTATTAGGTTCTGCAGAAAGTATTCTCTCAAAAGTTATACTTTCATCAAGAATGAAAAAGACTTTGTAATGGAACTCTAAAAAACTGAAACACGTATCATATGACATTATTCCTTTCCTATATGTATTTCATGCATGGAATTAAAACAGAATGTAGCCTTTTCAGCCATGAAGGATGCTGAGTGTTTAGATTTGCAAACCATTTTTGTTCATATATTTATATGAATCTCTACATATTTTTAAGATTTTTTTTTCATATCTAAAGTTGGCGGGAGTTATAGTGAAAAGTGATTATAAAGATTCACATATATTAATTTATTCTTAACAGAATTAGAGAATGATCTCACCATTTTCTTAAGTTCCCAAGCAATATGATAGCATATTAGTCTGAGGATTATACCATAGTAAGAAGCCTATAATTTTAACATAAGGTCCATTTGTTTTTGTTTCACAAAATAATACCGTTTTCTGAAGAAAAGGGCTATAAACTTATGTTAGCAAATAGTAGTACATAATGAGGAATTTAAAAGTCAGTTTCACCTTTGAGTCCCAGGAGGCTCTGTATATATCATTGTTATCCTAAAATGACATCTAACAGTAGGTTAAGTTATATAGGAAAAAATGTGCTTTTCTGTAATTAATTTATTAGGCATTTTCACTAATTTGTGCATTTTATATCTCTGAAGAGCACACTGCTAGCAACCTGATTGTAAATGACCAGAAGGACTTATATCCAACCTATGTGACTTAAACATACACTTAAGTACTCTAAACCACTATTTAAAAAATACTTCTAGAGAGATTCTGAAATCTTAATTTGGTTGCACTTTCTGGTAATATATTTTTTGAAAACTATTTTGATATTTCTTTCATATAACATTATTGGATCTGTATCACTAAGTTAATTGTCTAAAAGGTAACTGATTTCATCAAACCTTCCAGTATTAATAATTTTTAAGCCATTTTGAAACTGAGGCCTAAAATACTGAAATGCTTATGTCGTTGTACTTACTCCTTTCTGAAATGATCAGATTTTTAAAAAATGGATTTCTCATATAAATAATATTATCAAAAAAGGATTTCTCATATAAATAATATTATCAAAAAAGCTGATTTTAAAAGTTTCTCCCAAAGTCTTATTCTAGTAATTATAGAGACCTAGGTAATGAGTGGCAGATATATCTGCCTTTCAGATATGCCGTAATGTGAAAAATAACACAGTCATGTGATATTCTTTATTAACTAAAACTGTGTTGTTTTTATTTTGGAGTAGTTCTCATAATTCATTGGTAGGGAACTATCCAGTATTTATATTCCTATGTATGTATATCAGATTAATTTTGAGGCTTGGTATTCCTAAAAGATTTGGATGTGTGTATTTCTTTAACTTGACGTAAACATGTATCACAAACATATCTTTTAATTCCAATTAAAGGGGTGCTTTGGCACATGCTGAAATCTGGGATTTTTTTTTTTGACTTTGATAAATTTATCAAAAAGATTGGAACCAAATGTTAATTAGGGTAAGTTGTCTTTGAAAGTAAAGTGAACTGTTTTATTTAATGGAATTGTGTGTTTTTTGTTGTTGTCGTTTGTTTTTACAGTGTGCTTAAGTAAGTTTAATTCAGCTTAATTACATCAGTTTAAAAGATCTTGAAGCTTTCTTTTTTTCTTTTAAAAAAACAGATTCTGAAGGAAGATTTCCATTAGGTAATTTGTTTAATCAGTGCAAGCGAAATTAAGGGAAAATGGATGTAGAAAATGAGCAGATACTGAATGTAAACCCTGCAGGTAAGTAAGGATATCCTTTTTTCTTTTTTTCTTCGTTTTGAGACAGGATCTTGCTCTGTCACCCAGGCTGGAGTGCAGTGGTGTGATCATGGCTCACTGCAGTTTTGACTTTCCTGGGCTTAAGAGATCCTCCCCTATCTCAGCCTCCTCAGCAGCTGGGACAACAGGTGTGTGCCACCACACCAGGCTAATTTTTTATTTTTTGTAGAGATAGGATTTCACTATGTTGCCTAGGCTGAAATATCTTGAAGCTTGACTATGTTGTGAGGAAGCTTCAGACCATTCCATATTTTATAAAAACATGATAGAAAAACTATCTTTAAATACTCTTTTATTCATGCTGTAAGAAAACAGGCTATATTATTTTTAAAGTCAAGTTTGTGATTTTTATTTTCATGGAAATTCATTACATGTCCTATTTTTCTGCCTATCCTTTCACATTCCACATATTCCTATTCTCTGTTATATAGTACAGAATAGAGAAGAATAGTGAGCCTGCTTATTTTCACATGGGCTAGTTAGTGATTTCTGTAATATAAACTTACTGGTATCTTTGGTATCTTTCCTAACAAATAATTTTTATATTCTAAATTACCTAGGGTATTTTCCCTAATTCTCCATGGTGCTTCAATAGCATGTTATTATCATAAAAATGAACAGTTTTGTGGAATAGATGACCAAATGTGAGTAACTCAAGATAATTTAAAATGTATTTATAGTTTTAAAAATAATCTCCCAAAAAGTTAATTAGAATTGTGTAATATCTGAATAGTGAGAACAGTTCATATTGGTATACTTTGGATAATTCTTTGTCTTATAATTTTATTAATATTGAAAGCTATTTTCTGTCATTTTAAGTGTATTTCGTAACTAAATACTACATCTTTCTTTCCTCAGTGACTTAACTCACTATTGTTTACAATGTACATAGTTTTCTTTGATCTGAACAAACATGTTGAATTTGAAGCTTCTTTACCATTGTTTATTTACAGATCTTTTTAAAGTATGGTAAAAAATTGAAAAAAATTTATGTAATTAATGATCATTTCTGTGCTGCTGTATACAATAGCTGTATGAGTATGCTTTAGGGTTATAAATGGATAATATGTACCTACTTAATTGAGATGGGGATGGTAATACAGTTTAGAATATATTTTACATATAGGTAATTGCTTCTTTTCTGCACTGTCCAGTATGGTGACCACTAGCTACATGTGGTTATTACTCCTGGGCTCAAGTGATCCTCCCTCTTCAGCCTCCTCAGTAGCTGGATTACAGGCGTGTGCACCACTGTGCTTAGCCACATGTGTTTGTTGAGTACTTGAAATGTGGCTACTCTGAGTTGAGATGAAGGTCAACTATCTCAATAATTTGTTATATTGCTTGCATGTTGAGATGATATGGTTATATTAGATTAAATAAAATATATTTAAATTAATTTCACCTGTTTTTACTTTTTAATGTGGCTACTGGAAAATTTAAAATTTCTTATATGGCTTGCATTCTATTTCTATTAGAAATAGAAACACAGCTTTAAAATGTGTACTTTTTGTTTCCTAACTACAATAAGACCTAGTTCTAACCCTGTTCTTGGTGCTTGTGTCCAGCACTGCTTTAAAATAAAAGACTTGTTCTTCAATATTTGAATAGGCCTAAGATAGACCCTCTTTGTAGTAAATTCTTCACATAGCAAATAGTCCAAGTCACACTCTTACTCTTTTACTTGGAGGAAGTAGGTTATTCTGACCTTCAGTTTTTTCATGTATAAAATTGGGATATAAATACCCTCTGTATAGATTTATAATTAGGATTTAGTGAGATATTGTATATGTGTGTTAAGTCTGTGAAGCACATACTAGGTATGTAATACATGAAAGTGTGGTAATGTTATTCTAATTATGCCACTCATTGGACACCAGTAATTGAAAATGTGATTTTCTGGTGCTGTGGTCATATACAATTGGAGTGGTTACTATTGAGATATCAGAATTCAGAAAGAGGGAATTAGTACACAGTAGGAAACAATTTTGAAGTCAATCACATTCTGTACTCAGCTTATCATTTTAATTTTGGTTTTCTTAAAGTCAGCTCAATAGGGGTTATGGAACTCCAACAGTTAGGTGAGTATGAGTAACAAAATATAAAGCAATTAATACAAACATGGGTTAAAAATGATAAGGTCAAATATATAAATTATACTGAGAGAATGTTTACTGCTGCAGAGACACAAACATACTTGAAAGGATGTTAAAATTGTTGAAGAAAAGAAAACTCGATTATGGGAAATAGATGTATTTAAATTGAATACTCCAAGGGACAGTTTAAGACATTTTATTATAGTTCTGACTCCTGTGTCTTCTGGACCAGTTTTGTGGTTCACCTTAATGGCACAATGATGAAAGCACTATGTTACAGGTAGATGTTTAATGTTTTTCTCAACCATCCACTCTTACACGAAAATGTCATCTAATTTATGTGATCCTGATCTTTCTGTCCCCTTCCACTTAATCATTTTTGTTTATCTCTCTTTACATTCACGCCCTTGTTCGTCTCTTTAGCTGTCAATACTCTGCTGTATTCTAGTTTTGTATTTTCTGTAGTTATATGGGATTAAAAATGTGGGTTTGAATTCTAGCCATAATCCTTTCTAGATATGTAACTTCTTGTGAAACACATTCCTTCTGTAAAATGAGGATAAACAGTTTCTTTCTAGAGCTCTTGAAGCTTATAGACCACATATGTAAAGTGCCTTAGCTAATAGGTACCAGGTAGTGTGGAATCTAATAGGTACCAGGTAGTGTGGAACCTGGTATCTAATAGATGACAATAGTAATGGTAATGATGAAAGAAACAGTACTACGACTACTTCCACTAAGACTATAATTACTACTGATGGTTATGATGATGTCCCAAACACACCATCCTAACACCGGCTTCTTACCAGTTTGAAAACTTTTAAGGCATTGTTTGACTTCTCTTTAATCCTAGATACATTCTGCTTAAAAGTCCTTCATTATTTTCTTTAAAAGTGTAACATTATTATTTATCCCACAGTTACTACCCTTGCTCTTTACCAGTTAGCTTGTGACTGAATTACTGAAGCATTTTCTTAGCGGTTTCCTACTTTATACTTTCTCTTTTTGTAATATACTCAGTATTCTTCTGCCAAATGAATCCCTCCCATCTCTTCCCTATGATATCTAACTTAAGCTCTGACAATTTGAGTGTGGGAGTAGTTAGCAGTGATTCTGGTGAGGTAAGCAGGGGCAAGATCATAAAGGACCTTAAGTTACAAGGTAAAGAGTTTACATTTTGGCTGGGTGCGGTGGCTCACGCCTGTAATCCCAGCACTTTGGGAGGCCGACGTAGGTGGATCACGAGGTCAGGAGATCAAGACCATCCTGGCTAACACGGTGACCCCATCTGTACTAAAAACACAAAAAAATTAGCCAGGCGTAGTGGCAGGCATCTGTAGTCCCAGCTGGGGCAGGAGAATGGCGTGAACCCGGGAGGCAGAGCTTGCAGTGAGCTGAGATTGCACCACTGCACTCCAGCCTGGGTGACAGAGCGACACGCTGTCTCAAAAAAAAAAAAAAAAAAGTTTACATTTTTTGTGACATAATGGGACTACTTTTAAAGGATCTTCAGTGAGGGCATGCTTGAGAAAATCAGTCTTCATTCAGTATAGTTTGAAGACTGGAGGCAGGGAGACTACTTATGAGACTAGTGAAATAATTTGGCTCTAATTGATGATTTTGTTTAAAACAAAACATTCCTACCTTCCTAAGTATGTCAAGAATTGTAAAGATTTAAACACATGTATGCTTTTTATAGGTTGGTGAAAATTTTTGGTTTCAACATGTCTTAAAACATATTAAAGCCCATGCACATAGACCTGACATGTTATAATTATCTTTAGGCATATAGAAAATGATTTGAGTGATTCAGCTCTGATTTGCGTTAACAATAATGAACAAAACTGTGGCCCAGTGGTAGCTAATTCAGTAGCCTTTCTGACTTAAAGAGCTTTCAGGGCAAAGCCAAGTGCCTCCACTTGATCTCCATGGAATTTGAGTATGAAGGACACTCTGCTAGGTGATGGGGATACAAAGAAGGACATACAGTCTAGTTGTGGTTTCTCCTTTGAAGCTTATGACTTAGTTGGAAGAAAAAGACTGCTATATAAAAAGAAAGTGATTTCCATGACGTGTTGAATGAATAGTATGTGAGCAATTAGTGTTCCTGTACCTAGAGTTGTAAGGGAAGTTTTAATGCAGGGAGTAAGACTTGGGCTATATCCTAAAGGATTTTGATAACTGAAAATAACAGTGAGGGCGACATTCTACTGGGAACTCCAGTATGTTGATCTCTTTCAGAAGAATCAATTTTATATAGGCTGGAAGATTTACAGGATGGTAAGTAATAGGAGAAAAGTTTAGGGAGATGAATTAGGACTTTGAGATGTTGGCTTTTCTTGAAAGCAAACTTTGTCTTGAGGCAGTAAAGCATCAGCAGTTCAGCTCAACAATCATATGCGATTATTTGCTAAATGCCTTTCATTCTCTTTTGGATTACTAATAGTTCTTAAGTGTTTATACCTAGTTATGGGACGTTTGGCAAATCATTTAAACATTCTCAGCCTTAGTTTCCTTATCTGTCTTCAATGTTATAATAATTAACTGCCAAACTTGTGCATAAATAAATGATAGAGTGTCTAGCACAGTGCCTAATAGTAGGCATTCTATAAATATTAGTTTATCTCTCTTCTCAAGATGCTTTGTCTTTTCTTAATATCTCCAATTAGCTCATAAAAGTCTAAGGGTTTTATATTTGGTGTTGCTGTTAGCATAGATTTTATGATCTAAACGTGAAATAACATGCTTCTTTTGGTAAAAACAAACAAATTTGGTTTGTTTTTGGTAAGAAACAAACATGCTTTGTTAAAATTCAGTGCCTTGGTTTACTTTCCTTGATAATGTGAAAAGTAATCTTATTTAGTTGTTTATTAGATTGAAGTAGATGAAATTCCCAATATGTGACTGTAATTTACCTACAAAAATGGTAATGTCATGTGATTCAACCTAATCTAACTTACCACTATATCTATAAAACAGTAGATACTTAAAATACTTAGAATTTTTTTCTTCATTTTTCTCTTTAAGATCCTGATAACTTAAGTGACTCTCTCTTTTCCGGTGATGAAGAAAATGCTGGGACTGAGGAAATAAAGAATGAAATAAATGGAAATTGGATTTCAGCATCCTCCATTAACGAAGCTAGAATTAATGCCAAGGCAAAAAGGCGACTAAGGAAAAACTCATCCCGGGACTCTGGCAGAGGCGATTCGGTCAGCGACAGTGGGAGTGACGCCCTTAGAAGTGGATTAACTGTGCCAACCAGTCCAAAGGGAAGGTTGCTGGATAGGCGATCCAGATCTGGGAAAGGAAGGGGACTACCAAAGAAAGGTTGGTATATATCATGTCCAACAAATGGAAGATAAACAAGTGGAAAAAAATTGTCTGGTTCTTGTACTACACTTTCCTTGTTCTAGGAATGAGAGAGATTCAAAAAGTGAAAATGTAAGGCTTTACAGTTTGTATATATTTTTACTTAGTAATAATGTGAGAACCATCTCACTTTTTCTTTAGGTTGATGTTTTTTCTTGTTTGAGTAGATTTAATTTTCTTGAGCAGAATGTTAACGATTTATTTCCAGCAAAATATACACTGATGTTTTTCACTGTTACGAGTTTTACGTATATTCTCTAAGTTTGAAAGGAGTCAGAAATCCATCATACTTATTTAATATAATTATGTCCATTACTACTACTAATAAATATACATTTGATTGATAACGTCTAGATCTGAATTTTAATGTTTTCCTAGATCTCACGGTGAGTTCTCTTTAGCTCTTTATTTTGGGTTCTGTAGTAGATTGGTCTGTTTCACTGCTGTTTCTCTAGTACCCGAAATAGTGACTAGTACACTGTAGGCAAATATTTGTTGAATAAGAGTTTTCTGACGATTTCATCACCTTCTGAATGGTGGGAACTTCAATTTATAGCCTAGGTTTCTTGTAAAATGTTTTTGTGATCTGTCAAAAATTAGTTTTGTTAAATGCCTCTGCAATCATGTTTTATATCAAAATGAAACCTGGTTGTCAGATTCTGTTTTGGTCTGATGGCAAGGATATACTTGGTACAAAATAAAAACCTCCAAAAACAGAAATGTTGGTGACATTGTAAAGGTTCTTTAAAAAATAGTGTAGTACATTAGTCCTTAAAACATTTCAGTAAGTTGATGTAGAAAAGCAACTTTGAAAATTGGAATTGTTAAGCTTCTTTTGGTTGTTTTGTATTTAGAAAACAGAATTTTCAGGGCTGTTAATGCTTAAAAGCAGTTAGAATTCTTTTCTATATTTATAACATATTGCTAGTTGTATGGTTTAATGTGTACTTTAATATTTAAAGAGTACTGTATTTGACCTTAAAATATTTGATGGTGGTTACTGTCCTTTTTTGTTAAATAATTTTTCCCTTGTTGAGTTTTCTATGCTAAGCTTTACCGGCCCAGAATGTTTCTTTTTGTCTTAGTCTCAAAGAAATGTCGAATAAAATTTAGAGCTCAGCTGCAATATCATCTCCTTTGAGGTCCTCAATATAGCTATTTTTTTATCTTTATTTGTTTTTGCTTTTATTTTAAAGCATCTGCTTTTTTAGTTTTTAACTTCATAAGCTATTTTAACTTAATGTTTTTGGAAATATTGAAAGAGTGGTCTGAACAAAAACCAGTAGGGGAAGAAAACTGGAAAAAAACTAACACGTTAAATACAATTTTTTTTTAGCTGTTGTTTAACATCGGAACATTTTATTTTAGATTTCAACAAATTGATGAATTTTGTGTTTTTTCTTTCTCAATGCTAAACTTTTTCAGGTGGTGCAGGAGGCAAAGGTGTCTGGGGTACACCTGGACAGGTGTATGATGTGGAGGAGGTGGATGTGAAAGATCCTAACTATGATGATGACCAGGTATCAGTGCTTTGCTTTTTCATAATATTTAAAATGTTTATGAACTTTTTTGACTTCATGTTTGTAGTTTACTCATACATGTGTCAAATCATATGTATAAATGTTTTGGATTAGGAAACCAAGTAAACTGACAGTAATACATGCATAACTTTCACTTGGTTTCTGTAGTGAGTCAAAAATAGCTCTTTAGAAATTCACTTAGGATTATTAAGTTGTCCATTTTTCAGTAAATTCTGTTAATATAGTTTGTTTCTATAGTAATGATAATTGAGAATATCTTCTTTTGAATATTATGAGTTACAGATATTAGATTCCTTTTAAATATTACTGTTTAGAATGGTAACTATATAATACATTTTGTTTTGGGGACATGCGCATCTTTCTTTTAGGGATAATGCTGAAAATGTAAATTTTTAATAGATTGTGAAGTGAATTTTTTATTTTTTTTAATGGAAAAAATTTAAAGTAGAATAGTATAATCTGCTTGTACTCCTCTCTTAGCTTTACAAACTTAAATAATTACAAACTCATAGGCAGTCTTGTTTAATTCCATTTACTCTCCGTCTTCTATTGGCCCCTTTGCCCCACCCTGTTTTGGATTATTTTGAAGCAAATCCCAAATGTTTTGATTATGTTTTTTGAAAATTTGTCTTTGCACAAGGTGAGACACGGTGATGGAAATTTTAGACAGGAAAACGTTAAGAGTATGTGTTAGGTTGTTTTTATTGTGTGTTGTATGTATGTATTTAAGTGTTTTAACTAATAGATATGGAAATATTTCTAAGAGAACATGAAAAATATGAAACTAGTAGGATTCAAGTACTGTAGAATCTTTGCTAAAAATGTATTAATCTTTCAAGTATATGTTTTTAGGCTGAAGCCAGTCACAAGTTGTAAATATAGCAGTCCCCTCTTATCCGTGGTTTCACTTTCCGCAGTTTCAGTTACCCATGGTCCAATGTGGTTTGAAAATATTGAGTGGAAACTTTCAGAAGTAATTCATAAGTTTTAAATTGCATGCCATTCTGAGTAGTGTGATGAGATCTCCTGCTGTCCAGCTTCATCCACCTCATCCTGCCCAGGATGTGAGCCATTCCGTTGTCCAGCGTGTATCCGCAATGTATACACTACTCGTGCATTCGTCACATGGTAGCTGTCTAGGTTATCGGATTGAGAAAACAGTATTTATTGGGTTCGGTACTATCTGTGGTTTAAGGCATCCTCGGACGGGGCTTGGAACATACCCCTTGTAGATAAGGGGGCACTACATTTCAGAGCTTTTTTAGCATGGGGAGAGAGGAATGGTTTGATGATGGATGTTAATTTTCTTTTTGAAATTTCAATTGAACAGTGCTTTTTTCCTTAGAGATTTTTTTTCTGTCACTACAACATTGATCTTTGTGTTATACTTTTTATTATAATAATGCTAATCGTGAAGGCTTTGGTTCCTGCTTCATTTTTTTTTAAAGTGAAATTTTAATTAAAACACCATTTATGATAGGAAGCCATCATGAAACTTTTTGATTACTAAAAGATTGGTTTTGAGAGAGACATAAAAATTTTGAGAGAAAAAATTAACAGAAGACATGGGGGTTGGGAGCAAATTATGTATTTGCTGTGGTTAATGATTCTAATCTATATATTGGCTTATTGTATTCTGATTTTGTAAAAGAGCAGTGACATATAAATTCTACTATTTTTATTATGATTTATTATTATTATTTTTTAGCTTTGTTGTCCAGGCTGGAGTGCAGTGATGAATTATAGCTCACTGCAGCCTCGAACTCTTGGGCTTAAGAGATCCTTCTGCCTCAGCTTCCTGAGTAGCTAGGACTACAGGGGCAAGCTACCATGTCTGGCTAATTTTTAAAACTTTTTTGTAGAGACAGGGTCTTGCTATGTTTCCCAGGCTAGTATTGAACTCCAGGCCTCAAGTGAACCTCCCGCCTTTGCCTCCCAAAGTGTTGGGATTATAGGTATGAGTCTCCTTGCCTGGCCTAGATTCTATTTTTATATGCGATCAATGTATGTAGCATGTCTTTGTCTTGTGCTAAGTGGGGATTATTAACCACTTAGAATATAAAATTGTACAACAATTTCACTTGTTTATTTGCATTTTGTTTTTTATAACTCTTACTCCCTTTTCCCCTCAAAGGAGAACTGTGTTTATGAAACTGTAGTTTTGCCTTTGGATGAAAGGGCATTTGAGAAGACTTTAACACCAATCATACAGGAATATTTTGAGCATGGAGATACTAATGAAGTTGCGGTAGGTTTAAAGTTGCAAGTATAATTTATTTAATATAGGAGAGAAGACATCTTTTATAAGCAAAATACATCTACAATGATCTTGGGTCACTGAATAAATTTAATCATTTTCTTTTGCATAAGTGAATTTCTAAGAAATGGAATAAAATCTCATTACATTAAAACAGTTATATATTTGGGATGTGATGAGAGCTGTGTGCCATTTTGTTCTCTGAAAAATGACACAATATTTTTATAATTTTTATAATTATAATTTGTAATGTATATGAATTTATAAAATCTGTTTTTATAATTTATAAAATATAATTTTAGCAGTTTGAGGGCACTTCTAGACGCCCCCCGAAACCTCTTCAGGGATCTCAGTTAAGAATGCCTGACATAGTTTCATTTTTTTGACATTTATTTCACGTATGTTCAGAAGTAGGATAAAATCTTTTTGTACTTTGTCCAAAAAAAACCCCACAAATAATAAAGATTTGAAAAAGAATATACAGAAGCCATGAGAATAATCATGATTTGTTCATAAAGTAAATCTAGGATAAAATAAAACCATTGGTCTAGTTAGGATTATCAAATTAAAGTAATACAATTGTAACTCTTTAGAAGACTTTGATCATTTAGATTCTTAAAATTTAGACTGGACTTTTATGATTTGTCTGATACTGTGAGGTTTGATATCTTTGGATTTGTAGGATTTGAATATAAGACAAATATTTGTTCAGTGCATACCATCTGGAGGAATTTGTAATAGGTGATTCTTGCCCTTTTGAAGCCCAGTCAAGTGAAAGAAATGATATGTAAACAGATTATTAAAATACGTGAAACGTTCTGTTATAGAGGAAAAGTTTCCATGAGTCCTATGAGGGCAGGGACTGTTGAAATCTTGTTAATCTACCTAGCATAAGATCAATTGTATACTATGTATCTGTTAACTGAGTACTGTTTGGAAAGCATAAAATAGAGAGTAATAGTAGAGATGATTCTCTGCTGTCTGAAGGATGTTGAGGAGTTCGCCAGTTAAGATAGTTTTCCAGGAAAGAGGAGTATTGTGTTTGAGGGTAGTGGATTAGTTGTTAAAGTGCGGTCAAGGAAGATGAAATGCAGTCAGTGAGAAGAGATTACTAACAAGGACACCAGTTACGTGGCTGTGAAAATAGTTTTGGCACTCTCTTAGTAGTATATCATGATTTAAAGATTCTAAGAAAACTTTCATTAAAGAGGAGGGCACTCTAACTGAATTAGAACTTAGCTTCTAGAGTCAGACTGCCTTTATTCCACTTTCAGTTTGGCTACTCCAGCTGTGTGCCCTCTCTCCTTTGAGTATGATAGGTGTGATAATTTAATACTCAAAGGGCTATTTGAGTATTAAATAAGATAATATAACTAAAGAGGCTATTATAATGCCTGATACATTAGTCAATAAGTATTAGCTGCAGCTATTATATTTCTAAAAGGAAATTTTAAATTTACCCCAGAATCTTAAACCAATAATCCCATTTAAAAACAGTTGTTTAAGATCTCATTTTAAACTTGATACAAAAGTGTGAAGTGAATTTTTATTTCAAGAGAAGTCTTTGAAGAAAAGTAGAATATAAATAGCTTATGATAATCTAAAATGAATTTTTCCACAAATTCTCATAAAACAATATTTATAGTAATAATAGATTGTAAGGCAGGTTAGTTAACTCCTAATACCAATCTCAGCAATATTATGTAGTTTAATGAACTAGCCATGAGCTGCATAATGACGTTTCCATGACAGACTGCATATATACCTTTGGTCTCATATAATACTCTTTTTACTGTATCTTTTCTGTGTTTAGATAGGTAACCACTGTGTTAACAGTTGTCTACAGTATTCAGTATAGTAACATACTATACAGGTTTGTAGCCCGGGAGCAATAGGTTATACCATGTAGCCTACATGTAGGCTCTGCCATTTAGGTTTGTGTAAGTACACTCTATAATGATTGCACACTGATGAAATCACCTAAATGGTGAATTTCTCAGAATGTATCTGTGTCGTGACCCATGACAGTATTTTAAAGGTATTTCACATTTTTGAATTTAGCGATGTTAAGGCAGTTAAAGCTTGACAAAGTGGATCAATGTCTGATTTATGCACAGGGAAAGGTGTGTTTATCCTATCTTCTAAAACATGACTGGGTCTTTTGATTATTTCCAAAGAGTGAGACGTAGAGATATATAGATAAAAGCTCAATTTTTCAAAAATAAAATTTTATTGAACTATAGGTAGTGATACACTTTTAAAATGTTTTTAAATTATTTTTTTGAACAGGAAATGTTAAGAGATTTAAATCTTGGTGAAATGAAAAGTGGAGTACCAGTGTTGGCAGTATCCTTAGCATTGGAGGGGAAGGCTAGTCATAGAGAGATGACATCTAAGCTTCTTTCTGACCTTTGTGGGACAGTAATGAGCACAACTGATGTGGAAAAATCATTTGATAAATTGTTGAAAGATCTACCTGAATTAGCACTGGATACTCCTAGAGCACCACAGGTTTGTATGATTCTTCTTTTTGTTCATTCCCTCCCACTACTATATTCCTAATTGTGGAAATAATGTATACTCCTAGGAAATTTTAGTAGATGGAAGGGGATGGCCAACATTTCCTACGACACCGAAATATTCCGCTAGCATTTTGATGTATTTTTTCCTAGTTCTTTTGTTTTTTAAACATGGTCTTCATCATGCTATAAATTTAATGTTATCTTGTACTTTTCCCCTATGATCTGCATAGTTTTTAGGTAATTTTTTTTTTTTTGCCATATATATAGTCTTTGTTATATGTAGTTGTTTTATTAGCTAAGATTTTTAAAAAATGTAGGTTATGATTGAATGCTTCACTAATGTTTATTATAAGAAGTCATAAATAAGACTCTTCCCTTTTGTAGCTTTGAAAATGTGAAATTGTTGCTATTGTCAAAAGTTTTTAATCAAGGTAAAATCACTTTACTTAAAACATTAATTTAGAAATAGAATATAGGCATGTCAGTTCCTAAATGCTGTTTCTGTTAAACTTAATGACAGACAATACTCGGTATGAGATATTAAGTGGTGATTCTAATGCAGACATTTTTTCCTTTTATACCAATACACATACTTTAAGAAAATGATTACATAAGTTTATATTTATTGTAGAATTTTTGAAAAATAAAAGCCAGAAAGAAGAAAGGCCAGCAAAAACTGCTACTGGTGTTAAGTTTTCCATTCTCCTTTCTGTGGGTATATATCAATGTATGGCTTCTATAAATCCTTAATTTTTTAAAATTAAAAAAATGGAATCATACCATTATGCTATTTTATAAACTTGATTTTTCTCATACCATAAAATATGGTAAATATCTTTCCCTGTGGCCACATAGTATACCATTTTATGTGTATACCATTTAACCATACCTTTATTTTTGGACACCAATTTCCAGTTTTTATAATAAGTAATGCTGTGAACATACTTTCAACTATTTCTATACAACTTTTTTTCTCCACAAGATAAATTCCTTTGATTAGTTTTTGAGAGAACCTAGTCCTTTTTTTTTGTTTTGTTTTAAGAAGAGAGGACGTCACTTGACCTTAAATCATTCGTTTAACCCCAGCACTTTGGGAGGCCGAGGCAGGCGGATCACGAGGTCAGGAGTTCGAGACCAGCCTGGCCAAGATGGTGACACCCCGTCTCTACTAGAAATACAAAAATTAGCCAGGTGTGCGCCTGTAGTCCCAGCCACTCGGGAGGCTGAGGGAGAAGAATCACTTGAACCTGGGAGGTGGAGGTTGCAGTGAACTGAGATCGTGCCACTGCACTCCAGCCTGGGCGACAGAGCGAGACTCTGTCTCAAAAAAAAAAAAAAAAAAAAAAAATTTGATCATATGCTATGTATTCAGGCAGTGTGCAAGGTGTTAGGGATTCATTAGTGAGCAAAACAGATGTGGCCCCCACTCTGGCACTTAACTTGAAGGTTAAGATGTGGGAGTGTATGCCAGGCATAACAGGTACTACATAGGTTTTTTTTTAAAAAAAAATTCCAGCATCTTTTAGGTACTGACTGTGTACTTCAGCTAATCTTCATCATTTATGTATTTAGAAATTGTGACCTATAAAAGTTATTTAACTTTTTTTATAGCTCTTTTTTTTTTCCTTTTTACAGTTGGTGGGCCAGTTTATTGCTAGAGCTGTTGGAGATGGAATTTTATGTAATACCTATATTGATAGTTACAAAGGAACTGTAGATTGTGTGCAGGCTAGGTAAGTAAATCACTTTTCCTACTTAGAATTTCAAAATAGGGGAAAATTCTACAGGATCCTATTGAAATGACACTTGTGTTAATCAGACACTCTGTACATCTGTTTGTCACTTCTCTATATTCTCCACTGTTAAAATGGAGAGACTATTGGCATGATATACCAGGAAGAGGACAGTACTATAATGGAAAAGTTCTGGAGTTTAGCTAAATCATTAATTACCTTCATGTCAAGCCACTCTTCTTTGGGCCTCAGTTTCTTTATTTATGAAACAAAACCATTGGACAGATCTTTAAGTTCTGTTTTCAGGTTCTAGCATTGTGTAATAGTTTAATATTCTAATAAGATGGATAACCTTAAGAAGAGAGGCCTGATTTATAGTTTTATTTTGTATTTATCTACTGTAGAAATCTTAGTCAGAAAGTATCTTTTTCACTCTTGTGATTTAGTATAATTAATATGATATTTGGTATAACTAAATGTGATATTTGGGAGTTATGCTATTTGATTTTTCTTAACTTCTTGGAGACTTGGACTCAGCCATGTCTTAGTTTTCCTCAGGTCTATATATTAACTTAATTTTCTAGGGCTACTTCACATCATAGTGGAATGGTGTCCCTGGGTAGGAAGGCATGGATCTAGGTGAAAGTTAATTATATGTGAAGTGTTTCTTCTCAGTGTAGATCAGTTATTTTGTAATGTGTTTTGATTTTTCTTGAATGAGAAATGAAATAGAGCATGAGAATATTAACATGAGGATCAACTTCTTTTTGCTCCTTTTTGTTTTGAAAAAGTGTTTTGAATTTTATTTTGCTTTTATGTTATGTGAAAGATTTAGGGCATATAGGATTTTGTCAGCTTTATCCCTAATTTAGTAAACTTTAGGTATGTCCAGCTATCAAACTTAAATTTTTTTCTTTCTCTGTAGAGCTGCTCTGGATAAGGCTACCGTGCTTCTGAGTATGTCTAAAGGTGGAAAGCGTAAAGATAGTGTGTGGGGCTCTGGAGGTGGGCAGCAATCTGTCAATCACCTTGTTAAAGAGGTAATGATTGGGTATTGTTTTTAACTTAATTTATATGTATTCCTCTGAGTGAAATAAATTGTGGCTACTAGCTGGTATTTTTATGGACAAAAATTAAGTTCGGTCTTACAGCTGCAATTGGAAAATGAAATAATTTTTTTAATATGTGGCTTTATAACCTTTTATTATAAATTATATGATTAAAAAATGAGTCTGTTAAAATGGCTTTCATGAATAATTATAAGCAAGCCATCTATGAACTTCAAAGGAATGCCTGAAATCTTTTTCTTATAGTATTATTTAATAATTTTCAAATGCTGTTGAAATGAGATTTTCTGTGTTTTAGCTATTCAATAAATACGCTTTTATATGAGCAATTTAAAACTAGATAGTCTTAAATAATGAGTTATGAATTATGAGCACTAGAGCAGATCAGAGTGTTAGATTTTTGTGAGGACATTCACTACCCATATGCATGTTTTAAAAGAAAATTGATTGTAATCCCAGCACTTTGAGAGGCTGAGGCGGGTGGATTGCTTGAGGCCAGGAGTTTGAGACCAGCCTGGTCAACATGGTGAAACCCCGTTTCTACTAAAAATACATAATAATTAGCCAGGCATGGTGGTGCGCACCTGTAATCCCAGCTACTCGGGAGGCTGAGGCACCAGTATTGCTTGAACCCAGGAGGAGGAGGTTGCAGTGAGCTGAGATCACACCACTGCACTCCAGCATGGGTGACAGAGCAAGACTCTGTCTCAAAAAAAAAAAAAAAAAAAAGCGATTTATTGCATTAAAATGCCAGATTTATTCCCTATGGATTTTTTTTTTTTCTGGCTGCAATGTGGTGTCCTATAACAAGAAACCAAAAAACAGAAAAAACTCCTTATCTGCAGATCTCTTTAAGAAAAGGCATGCAACTAGAAGATTTGTAGTTCATGTGCTTCTGATTTTTGAGTATAATCTTTTCATGTAACTACAATTTTGATTTTTAGTAAGTCTTTTAATGAGGTGTGTGTGTGTGTTTGTGTATGTGTATCTAGCTTAAGTGTTAAGGAGTTCAAATTGTAGTTAGAGCCTTGACTGTTTTTGCTTTTATATATGTTAAAATAGATGAGTCAGTGTTTGTAATGTCGTGATTGCAGTATCTGTTTTTTAAAAATTAAACAATTATTAGAAAAATTGAGGTATAAAAATAGTCAAGATGCCAGGGCAATTAGGCAGGAAAGATAAAAGGCATCCAGATTGGAAAGGAGGAGATAAAACTAGTTGTATTCCCAGATAACATGATCTGTATACAGAAAATTTGAATGAATCCACATTTTTTAACTCCCCAAAACTGAAACCAAACTATTAACTAAAAAATGAGTTCAGAAAGGTTGCAAGATAAAAGATCAGTACACAAAATTCAATTCTCTATACAGTAGAAATGAATGATCTGAAATGCAATTATTGCATTTGTGATAGCATCAAAAATAAAATACTTAGGAATAAATTTAACAAGACAAATGCAAGTCTTGTACACTGAAAACTGCAAAACAGGTTGAAAGAAATTAAGGAAGACCTAAATAAATAGAATGATATCCCATGGTTATGGATGAGGATACTTAATATTGTTAAGATGGTAATACTCTCCAAAATTAATATTTTTGGAAACTGGACAAGCTGTTTTATGGTGTGTGAATTCTCTCTCAATAAAGAAAATTGACAAGATAAAAATGGAAATAAAACTGCCAGTATATGAGTTTGAGGTTGACATTATTTGGATATTTGCTTACATGGAAGGGTTGGATCAAAGAAGACTTTTAGAAATGTATAAATGTATTTGTAATTTATCATTCTCAGAAGTGCATGGAATTTGATGGGGGATATTTTTAATACTTCTAAAGTTATGTAACAAATGTTAAAAGTAAGTAATATAATTTGAATAACAAGTACAGTCACGTGCCACATTATGATGTTTTGGTCAGTGATGGACTGTGTGGGATGGTGGTGGTCCCATAAGGTTATAACGGAGCTGAAAAATTCCTATCGTTGAGTGATATGGAGGCAGTTGTAATGTTGTAGCACAGTTACTTTATTTTTTCATAAATTTAATGTAGCCTAAGTATACAGTGTTTATAAAGTGCATAGCCAGTGTATGGGTAATGTCTTAGGCCTTTACATTCACTAACCACTCACTCATTGAATCACCCAGAGTAACTTCCATCCTGAAAGCTCTATTCATATTGAGTGCTCTATACAGGTGTATCATTTTAAAAATCATTTACACTGTTTTTTATTGTACCTTTTCTATGTTTAGATACACAAATACCATTGTGTTCCAATTGCCTATATTATTCAATATAGTGACCTGCTGTACAGATTTGTAGCCTAGGAGCAATAGGCTATACCATATAGCACTGGTGTGTAGTAGGCTATACCATCTAGGTTTTTGTGAGTATACTCTATGATGTTTGCACCATGACAGAGTCATCTAACACACTTTTCAGAATGTATCCCTGTTAAACGATGCATGACTATGCATTAGTTTGTAATTGTAAAAATACTCAAATGCTATGCTTTAAATATTTACTTACATGTAAATATTTAAATACATATTTACTTACATGTAAATATTATATCCTAAAGCATGACAGCAATTAAATTTTACTTTACCTTTTATGAAAATATCTTATAGAAGTTGGAAGGATACTTAAATATGATTTTTTAAATTCAGTCAGCCAACATTCAACATTCAGGCAACTAGATATGTGCCCACCAAATACAAAGGGGATTTTAACAAATAACATATAGGGAAAAATATTCCTAGTTGAAACTCTTGTGCTGAAAAAGTTCTCCCACTTTTTTGAGATGTTCAAGTTTGAGCGGGAAAATCAAGACTTGTCTCTTTAGCTACAGCTGGAAACTGAATTATTGAACATTTTAGATAATGAGTTTCAAATTCTCAGTTGTAGAGAAAAGAGAAACTATGTGGAAATCTTTGCCCTCTCTAGTAATGCCCCATTATCATCTCTCATTTTTTGGCTCTCAGTGCACTATTAAGAGCGTCTTGATAGAAGTGAAATATTTTGTGCCACTTTATGTTGAAACTTTGTTAGTGCCCTCTAGTGGTATTTAAAATCCCTTATTTTTAGTGGCACACTAGAGCATTATGGTCACAACCCAGGACGCATGCATTATAAACCTATTCGTAGTTCTCAGTGATTCAGACACACTGAAGCATTGCATTTGAATCATAATTATGAACCATTTAAAAATTGGGGATTTATTTTTTAATTATGAAAAATTCTGTTGTAATAGTACCACATCCAATGTATATGTTATTAGCTGTTTGTTACCCACTATTTCATTATATTGGAATGAGGGCAAATAATCCTGTAGGCAAGCACGATATTTTAAAAGTTAGGAATTCTGACACATCTCAACTTTTAAATCTAATAGATTGATATGCTGCTGAAAGAATATTTACTCTCTGGAGACATATCTGAAGCTGAACATTGCCTTAAGGAACTGGAAGTACCTCATTTTCACCATGAGCTTGTATATGAAGTAAGATTACCTTGCCATGTCAAAGATAATTATTAAGTGTTCCTTTTTGTACTGTAGCGACTTATGCTTTTTAAATAATGTACATCCTTTTTTTAATATCAAAGGAGGAAGTGGTTATTAAATTTCTACGATTACAGAAGGCATCTAGGTGCATTTTAGGAGCAGTTTCATATATGAATTAACCAAAAATTCACTCATTGATTCAATTTTTAGGCTATTATAATGGTTTTAGAGTCAACTGGAGAAAGTACATTTAAGATGATTTTGGATTTATTAAAGTCCCTTTGGAAGTCTTCTACCATTACTGTAGACCAAATGAAAAGAGTAAGTATAACATTGTTTTTGAACAACTTGTAGGATTATGTCTTAAATATATGATTGAATACAGATTATGAATTGTCAGTGAAATTTTCTTTAGGTATGTTTAGTGTTAATATGCCTATATGTTTTGTTTTTTCTTAATGGTAATGTTTGAGGTTTGAACCTTTTGCAACCATTTTTTGGAAAGTAACACTGCAGTGTTTTTTTTTTTTTTTTTACCTACTTTAACAAATGTAATTATGTATTCTACCTCAAGGGTTCGGTTTCTAAGATGTGACAATTTCTATTTTATATCTAGAGAGAAACATGAACCTTTAACTTTTAACAAATTATAAAGTACTTTTTTCCTATTAAAAATTTTATGATTATTGTTTTAAATGTTTGTGAGGTTTTTGTTTGCCTTGTATTTTTTTAAAAAGGTAGTAAGTGTAAATAGAGAAGTAGATGGGAAAGGAGTTTGCCCAATGTCTGATGTCTGCTTACAGCTCTTTTAAGAGAACAGTATTTAAAAAAAATTTTTTAGCTATGTAACCAGTTTTACTTATTTTTTTATTTATATTTTTAATTTTAGATATCAGAGGGGTATATGTACAGGTTTGTTAGATGGGTGTTTTGTGTGATGCTGAGGTTTGGGCTTCTAATTAATGATCCTGTCCCTCAGGTAGTAAATATAGTACCTGATAGGTAATTTTTCAACTCTTGTCCTCTTTCCTACCTCCCCACTTTTGAAATTCCCAATGTTTATTGTTCCCATCTTCATGTCTGTGTGTACCCAATGTTTAGCTCTCACTTACAAGTGAGACCATGCATTATTTGGTTTTATGTTTGTGATAATTTTCTTAGGATAATGGCCTCCAGCTGCATCCACGTTGCTGCAAAGGACATGATTTTGTTCTTTTTTATGGCTATGTAGCATTCCATGGGCGTATATGTACCACATTTTCTTTGTCTAATCCACCATTGATGGGCACTTGGATTGATGCCATGTCTTTGCTGTTGTGAATAGTACCCGATAAATATACAAATGCAGGTGTCATTTTGGTAGAATGATTTATTTTCCTTTGGGTATACACCCAGTAATGGGATTGTCGGGTTGAACGGTAATTCTATGTTGAGTTCTTTGAGAAATCTCCGAACCACTTTCTACAGGGGCTGAACTAATTTGCATTCCCACCAACAGCGTATAAACCTTCCCTTTTCTCCTCAACCTTGCCAATGTCTGTTATTTCCTGACTCTAATAAAAGAGAACAGTTGTAAAACACTGTAACAAATCTACTTTCTGTGCTTCTCACGATTCAAATCTGACTTCAGTTTAACCATTTGAATATTTGGCCTTAAATACAAATTGATGACATAGTGATGGATTGTGTTTTATGACATTTATTTTATATGGGCTAACAATTCTGCATGTAATTTCATTGTTGTAGGGTTATGAGAGAATTTACAATGAAATTCCGGACATTAATCTGGATGTCCCACATTCATACTCTGTGCTGGAGCGGTTTGTAGAAGAATGTTTTCAGGCTGGAATAATTTCCAAACAACTCAGAGATCTTTGTCCTTCAAGGTACTTTATTTAAATACTACTTTCTCAATGTAAAATAGTGGATGAGATCTTTGGGAAGGTTAACTGCTAAGTTAGTTTATCGTTCCCTGAAGTCACTGAAGAACGTGACTCTTGTGAGTTCATGGAGAAAGAAGGGCGAAGCTTGTTTTAGCCCCCTTGTAAATCTGTACAGGACTGCCTCATGAAGTCCTAGTTTATTTGAAAGAAACTAATCTTGTGGAGCAGGTCCTTTGTTGTAAGTAGTTTCAGTGTTTAGAGTAGGTATTATCAGTGATAAGATGAGAAAATTGAGGCTTAGGGAGGTATAATGTACTTTTTCTAAGGTCACATGGCTAGTACATGGTAGAAGCCAAGTATGAATTCAGGACTTTTCTGGCTTCAAAGATCTAGGCTCTTACCTGTACTGGATGTGGCTTCCTTGACTTCTTTACAGGTTGGAGAATTAGGGCTAATTGGATGTTCTCACTAGAAAGTGTGTGTGTTGGGGGGTGTGTGGAGGATGTTCTCACTGGAAAGTGTATGTGTGTGGGTGATTTTCCTTGGAGCTATTAATATTTTTGCTACTAGTTGGTAAGTTTTTTTGTTGTTGTTAAAGCTAATAATGAAGCTTATAATGTAATAATATAAATGTTTAGTAATAGCTAAACTTTTTGCTTGTGTGGGTCAGTTTTATATAATCTTAAGTTCTTATAATTTTTTATCTGGAAAATTTCTTAAGCTTTGATATTTTTAAGTGCATTGTAAGAATTAAAAGTCAGAAAAATATTTCCTGGTAGGGGCCTTTGCTTTAGAATTTTAGAAGCCATTAAAAGAGAGGGAAAAGAAAGTGATGAAAGATAGTTTAATAGCTTTACTAGAAATGTTTGGAAATACAGACGTTAGCTTGGTGATGGCAGGATTTATGTATGGATGTGCCAAGTGATATACATCAGTAAAAACTCTGAACTTTGGCCTTCTTATTATTGACTGCTTTTTCATTCCCTACCTTGGTCTCATACAGTCTGAAGCCTTTATGTTCAAGATGATGTAGCTGTTTTCCACTTAGACTTAATATGAAAAGGGGCCAGTACCCTGGCATTGGCTTTTTGAAAGTTTTTCAGCCTCTGTTTGAAAGTCTGATTGTTTCTGTGTGGCTTTATTCTCAAGGGTCACATGAGGCAATAAACTTTCTGTGTATACATACCATACAGCTTTGACTTGGGTCCTTCATCTTTTAGCCTATTTGGGTAAGGTGCACATTTGTGTGTGGTTTTGCATGCTTGTGCCTATTGGCCTGGGGTCAGAGAGTAAGGGCTAATGTTGCCTAAGTTCTATTTCCCACTTACTGCTTTAGGCCACTGGCCAGCTGTTCCTTCTGGGCTATTGCCACTACATGTAGGTAAGAGTGTGGTTACATTATAGAGCAGGGCTTCTTGAGTTTGACAAAGCACGAATCCCAAAATGGGGCATAGGCTGTAATTCTGATTTTTTTCCACATTCAAGTTATGGCTTTTCTACAGTTGATAAAACATTTTTTTTTAAATTGCCAAACATGGATATTTTGATAGGTTGCACAGCTCCAGTTTGCATAATTCTGAATTATGTTAGTGTTTCCTATTTGGCTTACTGTTAAGCTTACAAATAATAATTAGAAATTAATTAGAAATAATTTTAAATTTCTAAATAAAATGTTTTAGTTTGAGTCAACTTTTTTTAATGTGACTCTGTTTGGATAGTGAACTTATTAAAACAAAAACTCAGATTTGATATTGATGTTTTATGCTAAGATATATAGTAGGGAGTCTTTTCCAAAGGAATTAGAGGCATGCTTTTTTTTTTTAATGGAAAACCCTTTAAAAGCTAACACGTAACGAAAAAATACCAAGTTTTTAATTTTTTTATATATTGACTATAGTCAGAATTTGTATCTGTTTTCATGTCTTTTTTTTTCTTCATTACAGGGGCAGAAAGCGTTTTGTAAGCGAAGGAGATGGAGGTCGTCTTAAACCAGAGAGCTACTGAATATAAGAACTCTTGCAGTCTTAGATGTTATAAAAATATATATCTGAATTGTAAGAGTTGTTAGCACAAGTTTTTTTTTTTTTTTTTTTTAAGCACTTGTTTTGGGTACAAGGCATTTCTGACATTTTATAAACCTACATTTAAGGGGAATTTTTAAAGGAAATGTTTTTTCTTTTTTTTTTGTTTTTCGAGGGGGCAAGGAGGGACAGAAAAGTAACCTCTTCTTAAGTGGAATATTCTAATAAGCTACCTTTTGTAAGTGCCATGTTTATTATCTAATCATTCCAAGTTTTGCATTGATGTCTGACTGCCACTCCTTTCTTTCAAGGACAGTGTTTTTTGTAGTAAAATCACTGGTTTATACAAAGCTTTATTTAGGGGGTAAAGTTAAGCTGCTAAAACCCCATGTTGGCTGCTGCTGTTGAGATACTGTGCTTTGGGAGTAAAAAAAGAAAGTTATTTCTTTGTCTTAAAGAATTTTTAAAAAATTAGTCATGAGACTTATTCATCTTTCCAGGGAACATACTGATTGGTCTTAAAAGACTAGACAGTTAAGTAAAAGGTGGCTGGAACATCTATTTTTCTACAAAACTGGAAAAATGAACCTGGTTCTAGAAGAATGTACACCAAAATAAAACATGTGAAGCAGTATTGATTCTTTATTGGGAGTACATTTTTTTAGGTCTCTTAAACTTTAATTTCACACAGTAAATTTTGAATCTCATAAGGAAGCATATTTGAACCTAGTCAATTTAATCTTAGTGTTCCCTTGAAAACTTTTTTTCCCTACAAAATTTTAAGTGAAAAATACAATAGTAAATTAAGATTACACTGGGGAAAAAAATGCAGGTATCACTTTACTCCATTGTTATCTGACCTAGAGCTTAATTAAGTTTTAGAAATATGTAATACCTTCCATCATTCCATCATCCTTAAATTCTGTTACCAAATAATGGCTAATGTTACAAAAAGTTATACTCCAGAGACCCAAAGCTTGACATTTACCTAATGTATGAGAAAATATTACCAATTAACAATAAAGAATGATCATATTTTTAACCTCTTTTACATAGCCTAATAACTCAGCAAGGCCTCAACGTCTGTGCTAATTTAAACTGCCAAATATTGACTGCAGCAAACAAGAATTATATTCAGAATTTATGAGGGTACTGTTAGGAGTATACTGCTTACAGGTTTAGATATAGTCTGTTAGAATTAAAACCAAGTTTAGTGTTCATATTTACCTCATGGGCTTTATCAAGCCCATATTACCTCAGCTTATATATAGTTACCATTTTTAGGTTTTTAATTGTTTGACACTTGGATGATAAATGCAGTCATTTTATTCTCAAGTGCTTAAAATTAATGTAATTAAAAGCTTAGCTGACTACAGAATAGGTGAGGGTTTCTTAAAAATGAGATTTAAGGGCTGGGCACGGTGGCTCATGCCTGTAATCCCAGCACTTTGGGAGGCCGAGGTGGGCGGATCACTTGAGGTTGGGAGTTCATGACCAGCTTGACCAACATGAAGAAACCCTGTCTCTATTAAAAATACAAAAGTAGCCAGGCATGGTGGCGCATGCGTGTAATCCCAGCTACTTGGGAGGCTGAGGCAGGAGAATTGCTTGAACCTGGGAGGCAGAGGTTGCAGTGAGTCGAGATGGTGCCATTGCTCTCGTTTGGGCAACAAGAGTGAAACTCTTGTCTCAAAAAAAAAAAAAAATGAGGTTTAAGACAGTTTTGTCATTACTGGTGGGATCTGGTCACACAAGATAGCATTAAACGTGACATGGCACATAAAATTGGTTAAAAAATTTTGTTTTTTAATTACGTAATGTAAAAGCCCAACAAACACTTTATGCAAGATTGGAATGTATCTTCAAATTCAGATTTAATAAACATGTAAAGATCCTCTGTATATAAAAGTTGTATTTAATCCCTTGTGCCCAAGAATGCTATAAAAGATCCCAAGAATGTTATCTATAAAAGATAGCAATAGGAATGGTGAACAAATAATTTAATTTGCAATTCTAAAAACATGACTTAAACCCCATAAAACTTGGTTCATAGTTTAACTGTTTATGTTCAATACAAACCAGAGTGTTTACATTCACAATACAAATTTCATCAATCTTGGATATTTTTGTATTTCTATGAATACTATCAATTTTATTGATAACACATACTACTTTCAGCACACAGAAGCATATTTTCTAGTTATTGTTAAATAGTAGATAAGGCAGGTTGTTCCCTAAAGTGCTCAGTTATCATTCAGTGGGTTATTTGCCGTTGATCCTTTTCTGCCATTTCTTGTTGGCGAATTGTATTCTGTGCTGCTTGATGCATTTTCTCTAGTTTTTCCAGAGTCAGAGATTTTAAGGGTAAAAGTTTGGGTTTACACAGCACCATTGTCATTATATCTTCCACAAACAGTGGCCCTAAGTTTAACAAGAAATAAGAATTAATTCAAGAAAGATAACCCAGTTGTTTGTAGTTGGATTTGCAGCTAGAATGAAGGTCTAAAAAATTAATCTCTTGTCACTGAAAAACTCTTGTACCTAAATTGAGTTTTGCTCTGGAACCAGAAAGATCATTGTCATTCTATAAGCGCATTTCTTACTAGTAGGGTGCTTCTGAGGAAGACAAGTTTTGAGCGTTCTACCCAAGAATCTATGCTACCATAAGACACAACTTTTTGTGTCAGAAGTTTAATCTTAAAATAAGATTTGGCAGAATATATATATACATAGTGCAAAAAAATATAGCAAAATATGATATTTAACGTAAATATTCAAATGACTGAAGGTTTAAACCTTCGGCTTTTCTTACTGTTGCTTCAGGTTTCTCTTTCTCCACTTTCAGACCTTATTTAACATAGTAAATTCCATTATTTCTTTCACTGAAGTTTCATATTGAGTAGGGCATGGTAGCTCTTACCTGTTATCCCAGCACTTTGGGATGCCAAAGGGGTTGGATTGTTTGTTTGAGCCCAGGGGTTTGAGACCAGCCTAGGCAACACATTGAGATCCCTTCTCTACAAAAATAAGAACAAATTAGCCAGGCATGGTAGCACATGCCTGTAGTACTAGCAAATCAGTAGGCTAGGGCAGGAGCCCAGTAGTTCAAGGCTGCGGTGAGCTACGGTTGTGCCAGCTGTACCCAAGCCTGGGTGGCAGAGTGACAACCTGTCTCTTAAAAAAAATTCATATTGTAATTAGGAATTTTAGGAATTAGCTAATTAATAGGCAATTTTAGGTATAAGAAACAATGTTTCATTTGTTATCCTTTTACTGGATGTCATGAAAAAGCATATAGTAAAAGACAGTAAATGAGATAATACGGAACACAATAGCTGCAGATGTTTAGCTATTAAGCCTGCTATGTGACACTGCCTATGACTTCTTTAGTCCTGTAATAATCAATGACCTCAATATTTGTGATGTACATACCTTGCTTTGGAAGAACTTCCCGGAACATTGACTTCACTTCTGCCATATCTGAGTTGTTGGATATAGTGTTTTTTCCTTCAATGAGAAATCAGTATTATTCAAGAATACATTCCCAAAGCAGACTGCCTGAGACATTTCCATTGTAGTTTAAGAAGTAAAATCCAAATTCCTATAGAAAGTGAACTACCCTAACCTTGTATAATATTGCCATTAATTTCCTGTGACCTTGGGATAGTTTGTATAAGCATTTAGATCTTGTCAACTTCCATTAGTCAGTTGTGGTGTTAACTACAAGGCTAGGTGTTGTAATTTTTTTTCTCTCATAGTGAAAACTTGGTAGAGCTTCAGTTTTTAAGGCAAAGATGATTAATATCATCTGAGGAAAAGGTATTTGTGTGTAGCCAGCGTGGTTCGTTGATAGCATCTCCCCTGAATGGTGGGTGACAAAAAACATGACCACCATTTGATGGGGGTGGTGAGGCAGGTAGTTAGGAAAAGTAGGAACTGGCAGGCTAACATTTCCTAAGATTCCTACTTGTCTCAACGGCCAACAGCTGGTTTCTACTTTGTGTCTAACAAAAAGAATCCTATGGATGACTGACTACACAGCTGCAATTGGTAACGAAGTAATACAATAGGTGAAATTGGCTCTTGCAGAACAGAAATAGAGTTTCAGTTTACTATTTTCCTCTAATACCGAGATTCTATATGCGAAAGGACCAACAATATTTAACTATTTGTTATGAACATCCCAGCATATATGCCATTTTTGCCAGTGACATTTGCTCCAAGTATTACAGTCAAGATTCTGCTATGCTGTGTGTTCAAGGTGTTCTGGACTAAGCTGTAGAATGATCCCTTTCCAAACACAGATGCTTTTCTAGACGGTCCCACCCACTCAGTGATTCACCTTGCTGATGCAACCTTACCATGCATCTTTCACAACATCACCCCCACAGATTTATTATTTATAAAGTGGTGAATCTGGCTTGGTGCCTGCCTTTACCAACCACTGCAAATTAATTATAATCAAGTGAAGCTTCTTCTGGTTTTTGTTATTCCCGCTCCACTACTTTGACATTCCTAATAAAAGCTTCCTACTCTGTATTCAAGTCTCTTCCTCTCTCTTGCTCAGATTCTTACTCTGGAACGTCTAAGTTCCTGAAAACCTCTATCTGCTTTCCAGAACTTTGTCATCAAACTTCACCCCTATACTGCTCTAGCAGGGAGAGATGATGAAATAAGTAATGGACCAGGAATAAAGCAACTCATCACTAAATGGAATGTGAAATAAATACAATACACAATTTCCTTAGACTGCACAGCTTCTCCTACCATATTCTTTTCTTTTTAGGCCTGCCAGTGGTACCTAGTGATCACTGCCTTTTTTTTTTTTTCCAGGTTAGGATGAAGGTTACTAGCATTGCAGACCCCCTGATTAGCCTTGAATTGAACTATCAAAACCACCACCTAGCCTCTCCATTAAATACATCACAGTGAAAATATTCATTATGATCACATTTCTTTATTTGAAGCAAACCTGACATGATACGCCACTGAAAGGGAGGACATTATAGATGTTGATAAATGTGAAGGAAATACATAGGAGCTAAGGATTTTTATATGTATCACCAAAATGCTAAAGTGGTAGATAAACAACTCTTAGCTGTTATATAGTGTAAGCAACTCCAGCTACTCTGAACTGTCACTATCCTTTGTTTTCTCTTAGTCTGATAACTCTTTCACATCCAAAATCTGGCCTGACAAAAACAATGAAACTTGGTGCTCTACCAAACCTCAGTTCTCTGTTTGACTAAGCTGCCATTGTTACTGTAAAGGGTGTGGAGCCAAAGGGATGGTAGGGAGTGGGCTGCACCTAGTGTGGGGGAGATTAGTGCCAGTCACTTGCCTGGATAGAATGTCTGTTTTAATAGGGTTGGTTCTTGTTTCTAGGCCCCCTTAGGCATTGGCAAGAAAGAAACAGGAAGGGAAGGGCTAAAATAAGCAAGGTTGGATGGCCAGCACTGGCTGGGCTACACTTTGTTGATAATCAGCTGCCCTGGGAGTCCAGAGTAGGAAGGAGTACAGTCATGTGTTTCTTAATGATGGGATATGTTCTGAGAAATGCATCATTAGGTGGTTCTGTCATGGTGCAAACATCCTAAGAGTGTACTAACACAAACCTAGATGGTATAGCCTCTTACACAAACCTAGATGGTATAGCCTAATATAAACCTAGGCTATATGGTAGAGTGTACTGGGCCTAGGCTATAAACTTGTACATGTTACTGTACTGAATACAGTAGACAACTGTAACACAATGGTATTTGTGTATCTTAACATAGACAAAGTAAAGTGTTCTGCCACAATATCATGAGCATTACAACGGGGTATGACATCATTAAGCAATAGGAATTTTTCAGCTTCATTATAATCTTATAGAACCACTGTTGTATATGCAGCCTACTGCTGATCACGTTGGTATACAGACAGTATTTCCTTCTCCCACACGGCCTGCTAATAGCCAGACATGGGTGATTTGCTTAGAGTAATGCACTGTAAGCAGTTGTGGCTACTTTTAAGAGAACTTTCTTGTCAGGTGAGATGTATTTAAACCAGGGACAGATGGGCCAAGGGAGAAACATAACAGCTATGGCTGAAATTCATGTGTATTCTACAATTGCCATGGCCATTTAATTCAATAAATATGTGAGTTTTTTTATCATCTGCCAAGCATTGTTCATAATTAACAGGACAAAAACCCAAACTTTTGCCTTTTTGGAGCCTACAGTCTAGAATAAGGAGAGAAACAACAGCATGCCAGAAGGTGGTAAGAACTATAGAAAATAACGTAAAGGGGATTAAGGAATGCTGAGGGGGGTGGTATTTCAGTTTTAAGAAGAAAATCATGATGACCTCATTAAGAAGGTGACATTTAAGCAAAGACTGCTTTTGTGTGTATGAGTGCATGTGTAATGTCTTTTTAAACTGCAAAAAAGTTAAAAGTCTGATAGTATCCACAGGTAGGGACGGTATAGGGAAATTAGCACTGTTGTTAAGCTTTTTTAGAGGAATATTTTGCAGTACTGTATCTACTAAAACTAAATATGCACAATTTTGACTCATAGTAATTGGTTCTAAAGAACACAAATGTGTAAAAATAAGAGTGTTCATTAAAGCATTGTGTTGAATAGCAAAATGTTCAGCAATAGATGAAGCTGACTAAATGTTCACCAGCAGATCAAAGGTTAAATAAATCATGGAACATCCATAGAACGGAATACTATGCCAAATTAAAAAATGATGCAGATTGTCAAGGCATACCTTAAGAGAAAACATTAAATTACAGAAAATGAAATTATTCTTACATTAATAGAACCAAACTTATAATGCTCACAGAATACAGTGTCAATTCATCATTTTTTGAAGGCCTTGGTTTAGGTAAATGGAGAAGAATCTGCTGTTTCCTTTTCTTACACAGATTCTAAAGTTTGTAATTTCTCCCAGAGATAATAGTTTTGATGAACAGTGCATTCCAAAATCATGACAAGGTACGCAAACCTGTTGTAGCTATTTGAGCTGGATGTCTAAAATTAATGCTGAAAAACTTGAAGGAAAACCAAATCTTTGTCATGAAATATTTTACTCTGTTTTAGGAGTGAGAGTTAAAACGCAGGTCTAGGATGGATTATTGCCTTCAAATCAATCACATACATTTGGCAAGTTAAAAATCCCTGGTGTGGGGGCTGGGCGCGGTGGCTCACACCTGTAATCCCAGCACTTTGGGAGGCCAGGCGGACGGATCACAAAGTCAGGAGATCGAGATCATCCTGGCTAACATGGTGAAACCCCGTCTGTATTAAAAATACAAAAAATTAGCAGGGCGTAGTGGTGGGCGCCTGTAGTCCCAGCTACTCCGGAGGCTGAGGCAGGAGAATGGCGTGAACCTGGGAGGCGGAGCTTGCAGTGAGCCGAGATCGTGCCACTGCACTCCAGCCTGGGCGACAGACCGAGACTCCGTCCTCCCCCCACCCCTCCAAAAAAAAAAATCCCTGGTGTGATTTAGTTGGATAACCAAATTAAATAATGGGTGTGAGACCAGACTAGATCACTGAAGTGTCCTTCTGAACTTGGAGAATGTATTATTAGTGGTCCTCAAATTTTCTACTTGCATACTCCCAAAGAGATTTTGGAAAACTAGGTATCACTTCATACACTGATGTTTAAATTTCTTATCATAAATTTAAATTATAAAGGATATAATTTCCAGCATATTTAAAAATAACTGTTACCTCAGTCTTTTAAAAACATATCCAATATAATCTAAACATAACAGCAATTTGATAGCTACCATCATCCATTAATAAAAAGAAGATCATTTTTAAGTTAGAAGTTTTATATCATCTTTTTTTCTTCCTGGACCTCTATTTCCAACCCACTTTATTCTAGTGTAACGTATTTTCATGCCTTTTTTTTTTTTTTTGAGACGGAGTCTTGCTCTGTCGCCCAGGCTGGAGAGCAGTGGCGCGATCTTGGCTCACTGCAAGCTCCGCCTCCCGGGTTCATGCCATTCTCCTGCCTCAGCCTCCCGAGTAGCTGGGACTACAGGCGCCCGCCACCAAGCCCGGCTAATTTGTTTTGTGTATTTCTAGTAGGGATGGGGTTTCACTGTGTTAGCCAGGATGGTCTTGATCTCCTGACCTCGTGATCCGCCCACCTCGGCCTCCCAAAGTGCTGGGATTACAGAGGTGAGCCACCGTGCCTGGCCTCATGCCTGGTATTTTAATGATCATCCTATCATACTTCTTTGCTACAAAAATGTTTATAAATTTAAACTTTAAAATATTTTGGATTCAGTTATTACAACTGGCACAAAATTGGTCAAAATGAATTACACATTGATAAAGCAATTGTTGAACATAAAAGTTATTGGCCATATATCTGTTAATAAGAAGACAGCTTTATTTTCTCAATTAGTTCACGTATATACATGGCTGAAATTTACTTATTGCTACAATTCTATTCTTCTTCCTTTTTTTTGAGATGGAGTCTTGCTCTGTTGCCCAGGCTGGGGTGCAGTGGCACGATCTCGGCTCACTGCAACCTCCGCCACCTGGATTCAAGCAATTCTCCTGCCTGAGACTCCCGAGTAGCTGGGATTACAGGCGCATGCCACCATGCCCGGCTAATTTTTGTATTTTCAGTAGAGACAGGGTTTCACCATGTTGGCCAGGCTGGTCTCGAACTTCTGACCTCAAGTGATCCGCCCCCGTTGGCCTCCCAAAGTGCTGGGATTACAGGCGTGAGCCACTGTGCCCAGCCCTATTCTTCATTTTTGTAGATGTAAACACTGAGATGAAAATGGGAAAATTTTTTTCAATCTTTGAACTTACGTTATATGCTAACAATCACGTAGTGACCTATCATCAAGAAATAATTTTAAATGACCAGCAGACTACTCAATTAGGTATTCCTTCAGTATTGTTGAAAGCTGAGAACAGTCTCTTGACTTGCAGAAGCACTACTTACTTAATAATTAGCGAAGCCCTTAGTCTTTCTTGAGTTACCAGTGTTTCCTTGTCTCTGTGTGTAGCTCCTAAGAGATGTTTATTTTCTGGAGCATTTTTGTCATAGTAAGATTCTACCAGGCTAGAGAGATGCCTTTCCTTCATACATCCTTAGAAAAATAATTGGGGGACTGGTGCGGTGGCTCGCATCTGGAATCCCAGCACTTTGGAAGGCCAAAGTGGGAGGATCGCTTGAGCCCAGTTCAAGACCAGCCTAGACAACAAAGCAAGACCTCATCTCTACAAAAAATTAACAAAAATTATTCGGGCATGATGGAGTGTGCCTGTTAGTCTCAGCTACTCGGGAGGCTGAGGTGAGGGTACTGCTTGAGCCTGAGTTTTAGGTTGCAGTGAGATATGATCACGCCACTGCATTCTAGCTTAGGTGACAGAGTAAGAGCTTGTCTCAAGAAAAAAAAAAAAAAAGAAAAGAAAAGAAAGAAAAATGGTGAAAGAGGAGACAGGAAATGAGATGAAGCATGATGGTTTATCCACAGGTCCATTTTCTCAGGGAATGCATTATCAGCAGACACTACATATAAAAGTTTAGGATCTGAAAAGTGATTGTTCTTAACCTCGCTTGCTTGTATACCCCTCCGATTGTCTTCAGGCATCTTGAAGGATATGCAAATCCTGGTATAAAGGATGGTGATTGATACAATAACCACGTTGTTCTTTGAGATGTTAATGGACTTTCTGATAAGATTCCATAGTTATTAAATTTGAGAAGCCCTGGGAAGGAAAAAAGTTAAATTTTCTTTTTAATAGCAGGACTGTTTAGAAACTTTAATATGCTAAAGTATGTGATACATTTCAAACAGGGGAGTTGAGTATATATTGTTTCCTAAAGTTATGTGATTCTGGAATTCTTTAAAAGTGCAATCATGGGACCAGTATTGCCTAGAACACACTTTGTATTCCTAGGGCAATGTCACTTTCAATATGGCATATGTAGTAAGATGCTATATCTTAAGCATATTTAAGGAAAATACCAGTATTTACAAATAACTAATTTTGAAATTAGTAAAAGCTGTATTTCTTCTGAATGTAACACTTATTAAAATTAAGTGAAGAATGACTTTTTTCTCTGTTAAGTGAAAAGTTTAGACCATCCTGGACAAAGCTGTATTTTTATAAAGGAATTATTTAAATATGAAAAGATAAAATCTTGCAAAAGACTTGTAGACTTGGCAAAAATGACATCTTTTTCTCCTATCACAAGGATATCCTGATGTGGGGGTTTCTAGTGACGCAAGTACAATATTTTGTGCCAAAATGTTAACTAATGATTACTTATGGGCCTTATTTCTACTTTCTATTACATGAACATCCATTACTAAGAAAGGGTTAAGAACAAAACTGAAGTATTCAAATAGCAAGTCATCTTATATTGAAATTTTAATTCAGCATCAAACTTACTAAGGCATAGTCTCTAGGCTTGAGGATCCTGAAGGATGGGGGTGGAGGGAGAAGAAACAGGCACATAAGCGAAGAAGCATAATGCAATATAAGTTCTATACTTAGAAGTATTTGTAAAAATGCCATGGGAACACAGAATAGGGAGCAATTGTGTCAGGTACAGATGATGGGGGAGGAACTTTAGGTGCAGGTAACAACAGTTTGTGCAGAGGCATGAAGATAGGCAACACAAAGCACATGGTGCATTATGGGGGAGGCAAGGAATGCTTAAAAAAAAAAAAAAAGAGTTACGAGCAATCTGTCTGGAAACAAACCCTAACCAAACTGCAATCAAATTGATTTTGAAGGAAATAAGGAGAACCACTGAAATATTTTAAGAATGAGAATGACCTGAACAGATCTAAAATGTATTCAGGAGGACAATTACAGGGCTATTTCAAATAGTTTAGGTGCAGGTGAAAAATGGGTGCTTCAACTGAGCACCTAGCTACACTGTGAAATCATAAAGCTAGGGAAAGACAAGATTTAAGTAAAAGCTGTGATGGGGTGGTGATTAACTCAGGCCAGCAAAACAATGATACCCTCAACAGATTTTCCATTAATCAGGCAAGCATCTTCACAGAAACAACTTCAAACTGTAAAGACTAAGATTTATATAATTTTGTTATGAAAAAGTTGGCCTTTTTTTTTTTTGAGACGGAGTCTTGCTCTGGCACCAGGCTGGAGTGCAGTGGCGCGATCTCGGCTCACTGCAACCCCCACCTCCTGGGTTCAAGCGATTCCCCAGCCTCAGCCTCCTGAGTTGGGATTACAGGCATGTGCCACCACACCCAGCTAATTTTTTGTATTTTTAGTAGAGATGGGGTTTCATCATGTTGGCCAGGATGGTCTCGATCTCCTGACCTCGTGATCCACCCGCCTTGGCCTCCCAAAGTGCTGGGATTACAGGCATGAGCCACCGTGCCCGGCCAGAAAAGGTTGGCTCTTATGTCATCTTTTGAACTTAAATGTTGTGGACTTGCAGGAGACCTACAAGTGAAAGTCTTAGAAAAAGACAGAATCCTTCGCTAAGATCTTCCCTGCACACCTATTACATATTTGGGAAAAGAGCCTAGCTCCTAGTTCTCTGTTCAAGAAAGTATAAATCTTTACAGTGGACAGAAATTGTGAGTTAATAGGCCAAATTAATGCTGTACCTTGTATTCTATTTGGAAATAAGCACTGGACAGTAAAGACTAGAGTGATAAACATGAGAATGATGTTGTTTTAGGTGACAACAAAAGCATTACTCTTTCAGAGTAGAAAACTAACAAATGTAACATAAAAATAATTTGGAATGATAAAGTACCTATACGAACAGATTTTTTCTTTCAACAAACATACTAAATGTCTATAATGTACCAGCCGTAGCTAAGTGAGAGAGACAGAGTAGGTAAAAACCAGTTTCTTTCTTTGGTGGAGGTGAGGTAGGGAATGAGACACATGTAAATAATTATAATTGAATACAATGTACTTTAATAAAAGCATGCCTACTGTGCCTTAAGAAATGAAAACCATGAAAAACTTGGCTAAGGATAGGGGACAACGGGTGGTCTCTGAAGAAGAATTATTAAACATGACATTGGAGCTAGTCCCAGAAAGCTGAATGGGGGTTTACTAGGCAGAGAAGGAGATGTATAGCAAGGGGCAGATGTTCTAGACAAAGCGAAAAATACGTTCAAATGAAGAAGCATTAAAAAAAAGTGTTCTGTCGGAGGACATGGCTAGAGTGCAGTGTGTGTACAGTGTGCATACAGTGTGCACCAGGTATTGTGGTGGGACTGACCAGCTGGAGGCCAGTTCACACTCAGTCTGCAACGCTGAATTTGGACTTCATATCCTATAGTCAGGAGGGAGCTAACTGGATGGTTCTAAGCAGTTACATGACATGATTCATGTTTTGGAAACACATTCTAGACAAAATAAAGGAAAAATGAGAAGAGACACTAGAGGAAAGGAGATTAGTAAGGAAGCTATAATTGTTTAGGTAAGATGATGAAAGTATGAATTAAAGCAGTGATAACAGACACTAAGAGGAGAAGATATGAGGTAATTAAGGGTACAAGAAGTTGAGATTCAAACATCCTCCACCTTCCCACCCCCCACTGCCAGTGGGTGATAAGGAAATGATCACAGACGACTGAAGTGAGCTAACATGATTGTGGATATACCCATATTAATTCATACCGGAAACACAGATGAGAAGGTTGAGAAGGAATAGTAAAGACCATGAGTTCGGTTTAGATTCACAGAGTGTGGAAGTCCAAGAGGAAGGTAAAAAGGACTGAAGGCCCAGAGTCAACTGTACAGTAGTACAAGCTACGGAGGTGGATATAATCACTCAAGAAAGATATGGCAAAATGGTAAGTGGTGGGGTGATGGTAAAAAGAGACAAGGGTCTAGTGTGGTGGTTGAAAGAAGCAGCTGAAGTCAGATTAGTCACTTAAATTACTTGATTTTCTGAGCCTTCGTTTCAACTGCAAGATAAAGCTTACAATGGCATCAACTTGAGATGGCTGGTGCATTAAAGATATAATTCATATAAAGCCATTAGACCAAACCCTGCATGAGAGCTCAATGAATGTCAGCAATTCTTACCATAGTGTACCATTATAATGTTGGCATAAAATTAGATTTTCAGAAAAAATAAGCTTATTAACATGTATTAGTTATAGAGGCTTATTACTAAAAATGCATGATGAAAAACCTATGGGCAAGCAAAAATATTTTAGAATTCTCCACCTCTTCTCTCAATACCCATACTCTTAAGAGTTATATTAAAGGCAGACTTGTTTAAATGTCAGGACATTTACCTTAGCTTCTTTCCTTTAGTTAGCCTAGTGGCTCTTAAATTTTAGTTTGCTTAAGAATAACAATAGCAACACAGTGTTTAGTACGAAGTCATGCATGTATTTCAACTAAGTAGATATTTTAAGGAATTTTCTGCAGTAATTTTGAAAAAACTTTTATCACCATAACTGGTGATTTTGGAATTGAATTACCCATGTGCCCATCCACCTCCCACTGCATCTCCCAGTTGCAGCGGGAGGTGAACGGGCACATGGGTAAAATTATATATTGGGTACACATATATATATGATGAAATTTAACAGACTAAAACAAGGTTTAAGAAGAGTTATCTTGTCCAACATCATATAGTCGATAAGAAACAGGATTTGAACTCGGGTCTGCCTTACTCAAAGGCAAGGTCTCTTTTCAGTTTTCTCTATGCTACATCTGTAGGATAGGGAGATCCCAAGCAGGTTTAGTACGGTGCTTCACTGAAGGAATATCAACATTTAAGAAGATGGTGGAGAGATAATCGTAGACTATGGTGTGCAGAAGCCAACAAAGGCTGAAGTAACATACAATCTTCAATTTCTACTGAAATGGGAAATTTTGAAGACACTAATAACCCTTACAAAGGAGGGTGAAAATAAAATATGAGGCAAACAGTAAATCTCAGGAATGAGGTAGACGAAAAAATAAGCGCAGCATATTGACTAAAGCACATTTCTTCCTCTATAGTTTGGGAACTGTGTCACAGTCGGACCAATATATGGCTCTAACCAACATGTAGCTTTTCTTTTCTTTTCTTTTTTTTTTTTTTTGGTCTTCTTAATTTGAGGATTTAGCATTCCAGTTGTCATGTTTGATGCCATTCTGAAATAAATCTCTTAGGAAGAAAAACTGCTTTTTGACTCTAGATTTTGTTTATAGCATTAAATATTATTTAAACACTATGTCACTGAAACTTTCAAATCCTAAGCTTAATTAGAAATATACAACACTTTAAAAGCTTACAAATTTTGCATTTTTAAATTATTTTCATCATATCACAAATTATATGACAGCTTATATCACAACTCATGAGAAGATACTGATCTTGGGTTAAACAGCTGAAGAGGGCAATTAGCTTTAGACTGCACCTATTTTCATCTAGCCATCTGGAAAATGTAAGCTGTGGTCACACAGTGGACAGACAGAGAAGGAGACTAAATTACTAAAATTCAAACTGCATTCCTGATTACTCATAACGTATACATATGGATCAGAAACATCAAAATGAAAACATATTGTGGATGCCAAAGTCAAGTCTTGGTTTCTAAAAATGTTCAGGATGGGATTCGGATGTTTTTAAAACTGTCCTCCCCACACTAAGTCTCCTTAATCTAGTATTTGATCTTTGCTGGGAGCCCCAAGGAGCCGTTCCATGGGTCTATGTGTTTATCTTCCATAATATGTGCCTACTACTCCTAACCTGTCACTACATCTTCAATGTAATTCCTTTTTCCCTCTATTAATGTATCTAAACTTATCAGCTTATGCTAATTGTACAGACCCCAGTTTTAAAGTTAGAAATAGAATCCTTGAGCATATCCTAGGATTCCGTGTGTTTTAAATAAACTATGACAGTAAAATCCAATGTGTGACCTAAATAAAACAGAAGCTTATACTAGAGTCTGTCATTTCTTTCTAATCAATCTATTTCACCTTTATGTTTTAAATGAAGTACAGGGTTGCTCTCTGGTGCTAACTAGTTGTACTCTATTTCACATTTATACTTTAAATGGGGTACATGGTTGTACTCTGGCCATGCCGCTAACTAGCTGTGTGACCTTGAATACATTTCTTAGCCAACCAGAGGTTTGGTTTTCTCATACAAAACATGTTTATTATCTGTCCTGGGTTGTAAGGGTCAAGTGATAAGTGGATGTAAAAGTCCTTAGAAATACAGTATGACATTTATTATTCCAGGACTAATTTTCATATTGCTATAATAAAGGACTTGTTCTAGATTACCATAAGGTATCTTCTGTCTCTAAAAATCTTTGAATCTTCATAAATATCATGGTACCTATAAGACAGCATGATCTATTTAAAGGTGCTTTTCTTTAAAAACCTGTTTCACTTACTTACTTTTGAAGCAGCACGTGCTGCCAAATTGTGTTCTTAAATGTTTTAAAAAGTATGATAATAAAGCAAACCTATTTCATAATAGAACTCAAAGCTGAGAAAATGTGAACAAACTTTTAAAAGGGCAGCAAAGGTTAAAACCTTTAAAATTGTAATCAAGGCAACAGAAGCTTGTTGTCTAAATTTTAATCTACCTTGAATTTTTGATGGAGATGACAGGTGACTTGTTGCCTAACCTAGAGAAGTAAATGCAGTTGACATATGGCAAAAAGAAAACATTTCTGAAGCATTTTGAGATTCTCAACAAAAGCACCACTTATGTTTTCATGTTAAGAAACATACATGTCATAAACTGGTAACCCTTGAAGCTATCCACTTAAATATTTTGTTGGTTTATAGGTTTTTAAAAAGTATTTGAGCCAATGTTTAAAAATCAGGAAATTTCACAAAAAATCCAAATTTTAGCTCCACTTGACAAATCTGGCAACGTCAAGCCCACATTTCAACATGGCAAAATTTGGCTAGGGCTGGGAAGTGATGCTTCACTTAGGTAAGCACATGCTCTGGAATTCTCCAGTCCTTCCTACCACCTATTGTTTCCTCTTACCTTACTTGCCCATCCATTGTAGGCATCTGACTTTGCAACTACAGTAAAACATATGCCAAGCTGTCTAATTTTATCATTAATGGGCATTGAGATGCAAAAATACAATCTCTGGGAACTGAAGGAGTAGTCAGGAGCAATCATGGCCATGGACTGTAAAGGATACTTTATGTAAAGAGTATTTTTCTTCTATGAATATTTATTAAGTTGGGTCCCTTAAAGTAAATTCAACCTGCCTAGTGTGGGGGTTCTGAGAGGGGGTGGTGAGAATGGTAGAATAACAAAATTTTTATCTTTTGTCTTATCCAAGACTTGTGGTTAACTGACAGATGAATTTTCAAAAACATACTAGATTTCTGAATGTAAATATGAGAAAAAGGTGAAAAGGGGAGCCCAGAAAGAATGCATTTTTCAGCAAACATAAAGTAGTAATACTCACTCTTACTCAACTGCCCACATGCTAGCAGAATGCTTAATTTGGATTGATAATGTTTATCTGGAGATGCCAAGTAACATATGACATCATATGTCATATGTCGGAGACTACAGCAGATTCTATTCTGCTTTGCTATCTGGCATCTGCTGGTAGAAAAATGTTGCAACGTGTTCAATTTAGCTAATTAATTCAAGCTCATGTGAATAAAATGTGTGGTGTCTAGCTTCTGAAATGTACCTAGGCCTAAGAATGGGAATTCTTGGGTGAACTTGGATGATGCCACTGGCTCTGGGAAAATCCAGTAGCAGACACTACTATTAAGTTAGTAATGATACATCCTACTCATGCAAAATGTCTTTTTCTAATAACCCTTCCTATTTCAAAATTCAGTAGTAGACAGTGGTCCTAAAAATGTTAGCTATTAACCTTTTAAAAAAAGTATTTGCTCAGCACCTGAGATATTTAGTTAGCTATTTCAACAGTGTGCAAGGAAAGAGAAAAGTTGTTTGATACTTTACAGAGTGCTGCTTAAAGCCCAGTCCCCAAATCATCGCATCAAAACTCCCTGTACAATTATTAAAAATACAGATTTTTCTGGAGTTCTTCAGAAATCAGAATTGCTGAATCAGAATACTTTTTCTTTTTTTGTTTTTTTAAGACAGGGTCTCGCTCTGTTGCTCAGGCTAGAGTGCAGTCGTGCGATCATGGCTCACCACAGCCTTGACCTTCTGGGCTCAAGTGATCTTCCAACCTTAGCCTCCCAGGTAGCTGCGACTACAGGAACATGCTACCCCACCCAGCTAATATTTTTATTTTTTGAGACAGGGTTTTGCCGTATTGCCCAGGCTGGTCTCAAACTCCTGGGCTCAAGTGATCTGCCCACCCAAGCCTCCCAAATTGTTAGGATTACAGGCATGAGCCACAGCAGCCGGACCCTAACTTTTAATTAAGTCCCCCACATTAAACTTAAGAGAACTACTGTCATAGATTCATTCCTTCACTCACTAAATAATCAATGTCAATATGTGCCTGAATTCAATACGTCCCCTAACTGGATTGCTTTAGAAGTTATTAACTACCATAAACTGACTGCACTCCATGTGCTATAAACCGAGGTAAAGCACTTTATATATATTTGAATTAATTCTGTAACACAATCCTTAACAGTTTTAAGGCTCGTTTTAATTTTTTTTTTCTTTTTTGAGACAGGGTCTCGCTCTGTTGCCCAGTCTGGAGTGCAGTGCTGCAATCTCAGCTCACTGCAACCTCTGTCTCCCAGGCTCAAGTGATTCTGGTGCCTCAGCCTCTTGAGTAGCTGGGACTACAGGTGTGCATGACCAAACCTGGCCAATTTCTGCATTTTTGGTAGAGATGGGGTTTTGCCATGTTGGCCAGGCTGATCTCAAACTCCAGACTTCAAGTGATACACCTGCCTCGGCCTCCCAAAGTGCTGGGATTATAGGTGTGAGCCACACCTGGCAAGGCACTGTTTAATAGATTATTAATAGAGTGAGTAGGCTGTCCAAGGTCATCCAGTTATTGAATAGTCTTATTCCTGAAACCCAGGTCTGATGCTAAAACCTGTGATCTTAATTGGTATATTATTTTGCCTTACTTAAATCTGGATTATTTCCACACAAGCAAATTCCCTTCTACACAAAGGAAGCAACTAACAGAATGCACTATGTAATTTTCAATATGATGGCTAAAAACATTCTATACCAATCTAAAAAATTCTGTCCTCCCAGAGCATTTTCTTCTGCTCCCTTATGTGCAGTTTTTTCCTTTCACTTATCTTTCATGATCAAATATAAGTCTAGGCTAGGAGGAGTATACGACGTTGGCAGTCTTGAGTTTTCCCTTTGTGATTAGGAAGTAAATTCCACAAACACTTCTCTATCCATTGGGCAGAGAACGTATCTAGTGTACTAAGTGTTAAGTATAATCTTGATTTTGCAATTTTTAATAGGCTCTGCTTAATGCTACCAAAAAGCTATCATAAAAACACCAGGACCAATTAAGACTTGCATGAGAATTTCAGTGAGAAAAATAACATTGCCTAAATTGGAATGTGACCAGATGGCCAACAGTTGCCTTGGTATTTGCTTTGATAACATCAAGATTCATCTGTATTTGAATTGCAGGGCCCACACATCTTTCAACAATGTCTGCAGGGTGCCAGGAGTTGACACTCATAAACTATGCTGACATCAGTACACTTTACTGCAGAAAGTCATTGCATCAGCTCCAAGAATAGGCAAAGTAGCAGCAACACTTTATTAAAGGTAGTCAATGTTGCCAACCCAAGGCACTAACACATACTCTATACACACAGGATTAAATGCTACCCTCTTCTTTGTAGGACACTGGAGAGGGGTAAGCATGCTAAGAAGTGAGATGGATTTAACCAGCAACTCACGGCAAAGTGCGTATAGCTGCGTTTGAGAAGGCTTAGTCATGACTAGAAAAGTGTGAATACTGTGACATATCCTTGCAAAAAAAATGTTCAGCTTAAGCCTCTAGACTAACTTCTGGTTTACAAGAAGAAAAAAGAGGGGCCCATTTCCAAAAAGACTCCTGCCTTGAACTCTTCAAAATGCCAATGTCACAGGGGGAAAAAAGATGGGGGAACTCTACTACATTAAAGCTAAAGAAAAATTTTGACTGGATCCTGATTTTTTTTTTTTTTTTTTTTTTTTGCAGGATTGGGAAGGAGAAGGTATAAAAGATATTCCTGGGTAAATTAGGAAAATTAGCACTTGGCCTAGATTTTAAAAGTTACAAAACAGCTGAAATAATGATATTGTGTTTTGCTGGAGAACTTCAAAATTCTTAGGAAATTCATGCTGGAAATCTTAAGGGTGTCTTGCCTAACAATAAGTGTCTGCAACTTTTTATGACAATGAAAAAGTGGGGAGGAATGAAAAAAAATGGCAAAATGTTAACTGCTGCATATAGATGATGGGTACATGAATATTCATTAAATTATTTCTTTCAGCTTTTAAATATATGAACACTTTCATAATAAAACACTGGGGAAAAAAATCATGTCAGAAAGACTTCACAGGGGAAACGTAAAACAAAGATTGAGTAGCAGGCGCTCAGCTGAATTTCTGATAAATTGAAGGTCTCTAAAACTTGGCTGGAAGTGTCTTGGGCATCCAAGAGACACCCGATATATTCAAACTTTCAGTAAGTATTTACCAAAATAATATCATGTGCATGGTGAAAATGACGGGAAGACGAATCTGATACAAACCATTCTATTTAGGTGCAGACATGGTAGTGAAGCTAAAAACATAAGCGCTATTATATATATATAACATACTGATTGTCATAAAAGATGTACAAAAAATGCTAAACTCAGAGGAAATTACTTCCTGCTGGGAAGAATCTGGAAACACATCTCCACGGGTAACAGAATCAGATACAGAATCACAAAAGGTGACTGCTACAACAGATTTCAGTAATTAACAGCAAAGAAACAAGAGTAGTTCATTTTGGCTGGCGTGTAAGTACTAAGGAAGCAGAAATTAAGTCGAGAAGGTAGGTTTGCATCTGTATTGTTGACTGGCTGGATATTAACCATTTTCAATTTTACCTGAAAGTTCTGGTCTTTTTGCTGCAGCTTTAAGCATCCAACCCGGTATTACCAAGATGACTTAGAGTTCTTGACTCAAGCATACAGAAGAAACTACAAGATAATGTATGATAACTTTGTAAAGGGCCATATAAAAGCAATACAGTATTTTCAAAAATCTTCAACACGTTGTTTAAGAAACTGTAGACCTGCAGGAATCCCACCACCAGAACCGCAGTCAAAGCTTACAAAGACTCAAAGGAGAGACGCGGAAAGGGGGGAAAAATCAGAATGGGAAGGCAGGTGGCAGGGGAAAAAGATTGAGGTCCTGCCCTGGTGGTAGGGGCTCATCTTTTCCTTTTATAGGTGAAGGTGGAAAATGATTTTCTGAAGTTCCCGAATTCTCCTCCCTCCAAAGGCCAAGGAGTGAAAGTACTTAATAGGAACTTGCGGAGGCGTGGTCAAGAGCTCCGTTTTGCCGGAGTTAGGAGCTCCGCCCCGAGGTCCCCGCCCATTCCCCGCTGGGGTCCTCCCGGCCGGGCTGCCTCTGGCTGGGTTAGGGCGGCCTGTAGAGCGGCCTCACCCCACAGGGAGCCTCACGGGGGCGGGCCGCCGCCAGGCCAGCCCGGAAAAAAACCGCCTTCCAACGGAAGCGGCCCTGAGCCCCGCTCGCCATTTCAGCGCTCTGTCCCACAGGGACCGTCCGGCCCGGGTCCGGCCCACTGGTTGGGGTCCACGGACTCACCTCACTTTGCAACTAAGGTCAAAAATAAGCATTCCCTGGGGCACGGGCGGCCAGGCTATTAACACCCTTCCGCCATGACCCAATTCGGAAGTGCCAAATGCAACTTCCGGGCAGGAGAGGGAATTTCGGAGCCCTAAACTGTTGTCCATCTCCGTAAGTGACCAGACGTCTCAGTAAAATAAGGGCCAGGAAACTGGACGTGTAATCCGGAGTATGAATTAACTTGTCTAACATGGGATGTGTGGTCACCCACGGTACCTCTTTGGGCTTACTTACAGATGCATCCCTTCCCAGACGGCTCAGCTGTTGCCCCGGGTAACGGTGAGACTGGCGAAGGAAAAAAATCTACGTCACCCTGGAAACAGGAAGCCAGGAATCTCCTTTTGCCATTATCAGTTATGGCCGCCTTAGCTTCAACAGTAACTTCCGATCGGGGAGTTGTCACTCTACCCTGCTGGAGGCTTACTCTGTAGCCCGGCTAGCCAGAGGCGCCCAGTGGGCGGGAGACGGCGTAGAGGAACTGAGGAAAGGACAAGGGCGGAGAGAGAGAAGCTGGCGGCACTGCCCGTCTCTGATTGGGCAGCTTCTCTTGCCCCGGTTCCGCCCATTTTTCTTGCCTAGCGAGTGACGGGCCCACGGCAGAGGGGTGGGGCGGGGAGGCTGGAGCGAGAGTAGTGGCGGGGCGGGCGGGGCGGGGCGAGTGGGGGAGGGGCGGGCGGGGGGCGGCGGTTGGGCAGCGTCGCTTCTTAGGAGGAGGAGGAAGAGGAGGAAGGAGGGCGAGCGAGGAGGATGGCGGAGTCGGGGCTCCTGACGGTAACTCGGGGCCGATGAGGCGGAGGGTGTCTGTTGGTCGGTTCTTCCTGCCTGCCTTCCTGTCCGTCGGGCAGTCGGGCTGGCTGTCGGTAGGGGGAGGCCCCGTGCGCCCTGACAGGCGCGAGCCGGCAGCGCCGGGGCGAGGCCCGAGGGGCCGGGGCCCTGGGAGGCGCCGCCGCCGCCGCTTTCCTGGTTGCTGTCTCCGGGAGTGCGGGGCCCTTGGAGCCGGCTCGCGTGGGAGCCTGCAGCCCGGCGCGGAGAGGAAGGCGGTCGGGTGTGACAGCGGCCGGGGCCGGGCCTGCGGCGGCGGCGGCGGGCGGCCCGGACAGCGCCTGGGCGACGGCGAGCCGGCGCGAGGGCGCGGGCCGGGGGCCCCCGGCGGACAGTCTCTCTCCTCTCGGCTCCCTGGGCCCCCGGGCCCAGTCCGCAGGGCGCCCCGAGTCGTGTAAATCGTTGGCGAGGGCCCGGGCGCAGCGGCGGTCATACAGGGTGGGGTCTCTTCTCGCCCCCTCCCTGGAGTCCACCTTGCTCTCCCGTTCTCCTCTCCCTAAAAACCCTTGAGTGAAGAGTGCTGGATCGGCTCTGGGTGTGTTGCCTAGCGAAGCGAGTTGTAGCCCTTCGAGACCGCCTCGTAGAACATGCCCGATGGCAACCTCTCCCCGTGATAGCACAGCTTTTAGGGAGAGAGGAAAAGTAGTCTCACTCTTCCCCGACTTCCCCAGGCTCATAACACAAGAGGCTTTGGGGCAAGACGATTTTTCCCCCAGCACCTCAATATCCATTGTTTTTGTACCATCCCCCTCCCCCCATGCCTAGGTGGAAGAGTAATGACTCCAAAGCATTAACTTGCCTTTCTCTTTATTTCTTTTCTTTCTTTTTCTTTTCTTCCTTCCTTTCTTTAAGCAGGCAGTTTGTGTTATTGTGGAATTATGGATTTACAAACAGGTGGAATAAATACCGATTCGGGAGCTAGAAAGAAGATGCTTTGTGTGTGTGTTTAAGCCCTTACAGTTGGCAGTTTGATTTTTCTTGTCTGTTGCTTTGTATCGTAATGGGGGTGATGAGAATAAAAGAGGAAGCACTGTTTTGCAACCTACCCAAAGAAATATTTTCGAAGTCTCTGGGGATGCTGAAGCAAAATTAGGTTGCAGATGTGGACTGTATAGTATTTGCCTCCAGCGTGATAACTACCAGCAGTGTCTAGGCTTACACCTGTGCCATTTCGTATACTTTTCTTAGATACCGAGTGCGTCTAGTTTCTACTCAAGAGGGACTACTATATCAAAAGCTTTTTGTTACGGTTTTCAGAATCCTAAGGTACATTTGTGTAACCAAGTGTTTTTGTAACTAAATGCAGCAACACCACTGAAAAATAGTTTTAATTTTAAAGACCTCAATTTATTAGTGTACTTACTAATCTTTACCCTCATCCTCCATGCTGTGGACTGTAGAACTGTTACTGTGTACTTGAAGAGACTTAGCTATTGCATCCAATTTGTAACATTCAGTAAGGTTATATTTATAATTTGAATTTATCAAGTGTTGATGTTTTGCTGTGTGACAGTGAAAAGAATTTTAGGAATAAAGTATGCAAATGACCATTCGCCACATATGGAACTTAGACTGAGTATGATAAGCCTTTTGTCTTTATTTGGACATAAAGTATATTGTAAACTTTTTATGTAATTATAAATACACATTTGAAAAATAGACAAAAATAAACACAAAACTGAATAAAAGTTTTGTCTAAGGTTTGTAACTTTCAAATGTCTGAAATTTAATATAAAGCCAACATATAAAACAATATTGAAATCCCAGTTTCAAATTATGGACATGTCTTTAAGGGTACTGCATTTTCCCAAGGTGCTTGTTCAGTTTTATTTTTAGTTTTTAATTGTTATGGGTACATAGTAGGTTTTTATGGGTTATATGAGATATTGATACAGGCATACAATGCATAATAGTCACATTAGAGTAAATGAGGTATCCCATCATCTCAAGCATCTACCCTTTGTGATACAAATATCCAATTATACTCTTAGTTATTTTAAAATGTGCAATTAAATTTATTGAGTATGGTCACCCTGTTGTGCTATGAAATACTGGATCGTATTCATTCTGTTTTTTTATATCCATTAACCATCCCCACATTCCCCCTTCAGTTTTTGAGGAAACAGCTACATTAAAAGTTGACATTTGTTTTCTGATCGCTCATTATTAATATAATTTTTAAGTTCAAAAAATTTTCTCATAAATTATTATGGATTAAAGAGTGATATTAAAATATACATTAATAGTTTGCAGCTAGATCTTTTTTTTTTAGTTTTTAAACTACCGTATTCAGAAAGTTCATCAGAGCTGTTTTTCTGGTAGTTGTAGCAAGTAAAAGGTCATGCATCAACTTCTGAACTACAAGCCAGTTGGAAATTTGAAACATTTCATGTTTAAATAGAAACATGAAAATTACAAATTCCTTTGTCACACTTGCTGGAATTACGCCTTTAAAATGTTACTCTTTTTTCTGTGACTTGGGTCAGGGAAGAATGACTTTTCTCTTTCCACATCAGAGAGACATAAACTGGAATTCTATGTGGAATGTTTCCAAAGATGGCTTCCGAGTAGTGATTGGTATAGTTATTGCTTTGGCTTACCTGTATGAATTATGGAGGATGGGTGAATAAACTTGAAATTCTTTATTATACAGGTGGATAAATTATAGTTATATTTGCCTTAAAAATATGCTCATTTTCAATATTTGTTGTATCATTTAATATTTCTGGAAGACTTCTTTAAACTTCAGATATTTTGATTTTTTTGTAAAAATATTTAAATACAGAAATCTGTGTTTTAACTAAAAGATACAAACTCTATATGTAGATATAAGGATGCATATTTTTGGAGGCTGAAGATTAAGTGAAATGTATCTTTAGAATTTGGTTTACTATATGATTCATGTATCTTTCATGTATGAAAAAGCCTTAAGATTAATGCTTATAACAAAATAAGATTTTAAAAAACCCCAAACAATAAAAAACAACAAAACAAGTTAACTCACAAATCCTTCAGTGAGTTCTGAGATTTATAACTTAGACTTGGAAGAATTTTGCTACTCGTTTATAAAATATCAATTAACAGAGGAAATTTAAATATAAATTGGATATTTTGACATTTCTTAATGAGACTAGTAGGGATTGGTATTTTGCTATAGATGAATAAATGGAAACTGTAATTTATCAGTAGAATTATACATTAAGTACTTTTATGTGATACTTAAATGAGTACTTCAAATATTAAGTGAGTTGGTATTTTTGCTTGTTGGTAGACCTGTATTTCATGCATTATGTGTTGTGCATTAGACATATAAGTTGGCTGAATCTTAGACTAATTAATGGACATATATCATCTGCTATCCTTGTAATCCCCTATTTTAACTGCTTGGCCTTCTGAATTTTGTTTCATTTACTTGTTACACTGCATCAAAGTTGTGCCCTGTAGATCTTTTTTGAAATATTTTCTCTTAATATATTAAATTTTTATATTTTCCGACTGTGTAAACTGACTTTTAAAATCTGAATAATTTCTGAATTACAGATGACCTATGGTATGCTTGAACTTCATATATTATAGAGTGTTCTTAAAAGTGTTTGTTAATCATTACAGATTGAAACATAAGTCTGAGAAACTTTTATGTTCTAAAATATATAATTGAATTATTTTAATATAAATTAATGTTCATTCTGGTTTTGTTTGGTATTTTCCCCCGGGTCTCAACTTTTTAACACAGCATCTTTAATTCAGCAAAGCAGAGTTTATACACGCAAAAGGATATTTTAATTACCAATGATCCTTAAGCTTTTGAGATAATGGTAGTGTATGTGCTTCTTGAGAAAGCATGCAGTTCCCATTATCAAGATTTAAAAGAACACTAATTCATTTTCACACTGTATATCTCATTCCAACTTCTCTAAAGGTCAGAACTGATTGCAAAAAGTAGTACATGCTCTAAAATGTAAGGATTCATTTATGAGAAAGAGTGAACATACTGCTTGTAGCTAAAACATTACAGGAGACCTTAAAAAGGGGTATAATTGGTCCCTATGTGAAATGAACCTGACATATTTTTATAAATTATTTGTGCATGACTATCTTTTGTTGATAGCACTAGGAAGACTTCTAACGTTTAAATACTTTATTTGCCCTCAATTACTATTTAAAAGTCCTATAATTTTAAGTAATTTTACAGCTGACAAAGATAAATATTTTTTTCTTTTAGTTTTTCTAATGTCTTGGAGGTAAAGTGGAAATGGCCTGTTTTGACACATAATTTCTAGAACTTGGAGTTAATTTGATCAGTTACATTTGGGTTTTTTTCAGTTTCCAGTTTTGTGTTGTATAACACTTCTTCCTGCTTTCAGTACTTTCTCAGTCTTGCAAATAGTCTTTAACTTTTCAATTTTGTTCTATAAATATTTCTTAGTAACTACAGTTTCACATTCACCAATGTCATGGAACTTCTGCTGAATGCCATGTGTGTCCCAGGCTCTGTGGATACAGAGATAAATATGTTTCCTTCTTTCAGTAAGTTCAGAGTTTGTTGCATGAACCGGACAAGTCAATAGTTAATTGTTAAACAATGTGACACATGCTTTTAACAGCAGTATATACACTGGCAAACTCAGATGAGTTAAGACTCACACTGCACGTATAACTGGCAATGCCTACTGGAGGACAGGACTGGAATGAACTCTTGAGGAATAAGTAGGATAGGGGAGGGTAATAAAAGCACAAAGGTTAGATATGTTTAGGTCCACTTGGGCAGTTAGAGAAGAATAACAGTTTGGATTCTAGTAATAATATTAGGTCATATGGTAGACTTCGATTAAAGCTTGTATTATTATTAATAATAATATTTCTTGTGTTCCTAATTTTATTTGGGCTTTGAACTGCAGATCTGTATTAATGTTGACCAAACTATTATTTAAAACTTCACCTTCAACACCTGTGAAAAGGGAAAAATTTTCACCTATTTTTCATTACTATTTTAATTAAATACAAGGAGAATATATCAGTGTAACGTGGGGAATAATTCCCAGGCTTAGAACTTGGATAATGTTTCAAAATCATACTTAAGGCCGGGCGTGGTGGCTCACGCCTATAATCCCTGCACTTTGAGAAGCTGAGGCGGGCAGATCGCTTGAGGTCAGGAGTTTGAGACCAGCCTGGCCAATGTAGCGAAACCCCGTCTCTACTAAAAATACAAAAAATTAGCTGGGCGTGGTGGCAGGCACCTTTAATCCCAGCTACTCGGGAGGCTGAGGCAGGAGAATCTCTTGAACCCGGGAGGTGGAGGTTGCGGTAAGCCGAGAACATGCTACTGCACTCCAGCCTAGGCGACAGAGTGAGACTCTGTCTCAAAAAAAAAAAAAAAAAAAAAATTAAAATAAAAAGCAATACTTAAATGTCTTTTCTCAGCATTTATGTATCATGTTAAGAGTAACATTTATGAACTTTCTTAGAATTCATGGTAAAGTTTTTTTTTTGTATAATCATTTAAAATGTACTCTTTTTTGAGTACACTTTAAAAAACACTTTCCATACTTACTTGACAGTGCCACTCTTTAGGTAAGTCAGACTGTATGGTCAACAGTTATACCCTAGAAGCAGGCTTTGTAATTGTCTTGTATGATTTAAAAGTTCTCTGAACTTGAGAATTGACTAATTTTTCACGCAGTATTTTTTGGGTTTTTTTGTTTTTAAGACAGGGTCTCTTTTTCACGCTTTTTTTTGTTTTTGTTTTGGTTTTGTTTTTGTTTTCAAGACAGGGTCTCGCTCTGTCACCCAGACTAGAGTGCAGTGGCACAATCATGGGGCTCATTGCAGCCCTGACCTCCCTGGGCTCAAGTGATCCTCCCACTTTAACCTCTCGTGTAACTGGACTACAGGTGTGTACCACCATGCCTGGCTAATTTTTCTATTTTTTGTAGAGACTAGCTTTTGCCGTGTTGCCCAGGCTGGTCTCAAACTCCTGAGCTCAAACAATCCACCTGCCTTGGCCTCCCAAAGTGCTGGAATTACAAGTGTGAACCACCACGCCGGACCTTTCATGCAATATAATTTAATATTTCTTCCAGGGCGTATCATGTGAGGCCTAATTTTGATATCCCAAACTCCATTCCCTGCAGAGTGCCATAGTTTTCTGTGTTAAAACACTCATTTGCATTTCTTGATGCTCCTAATTATTTTTATTATAGAAATCTGAGAAATTTAAAAATATTAATATTTTAGCAATTGCCTTAAACATGTTGTTACACCTCATTTATCTTGAGATTACTTATAGGAAACTAAAACTATCTGGTGTCATCGGCTTGGTTACTACCTCATGCACTCTTCATGTAGCTAAACTCTAATCACCCTTCAGGCCTCAATTTTGTATCCCAGACTTTGGGAGACCTTCCTTTCATCCCTAGTTAGGTTCTTCTGTTTGAAGGTATCCTAGTGCTTTTACTTCCTTTTTTATAACACTATTTTTGTAATGATATATTTGATGTCTGTCTTTATTGCTAGACTGTAAGCCTTAAGATGAGCATTGAGTATGTCTGTCTTATTTACTGTTCCACCAGTATACAATGTCTAGACTTTGTAGGTTCCAAGTGGAAAATTAGTTTTAGATGAATAGTCTACAGCTCCAAAACAAACTGAACAGGCCCAAAGGAAGGACAAAGACATGTCATAATGTTCTTGTTTTTAAACACACATTTTCTGTTTTTAGAGTCCTTCAAGCCTTAATTCAGGCATTTTTATTCTCACGTAGTGCACAATTTTTAAAAGTTTGGTAACCAAATGTAAAAAGGACTGAAATTACTCCTAGAGGGATAAGAGAGTTGAAAATAAGAGCAGAAGAAAAACTCGAAAAGCCAGATGCAAGACATTTTGTAAAAACAGCAGTTTATAGCAACTTAATGTTATGACAAACATGCGTAGAATCTTTCAAGACACTTTGTTTTATACATAGAATAGTATAGAAAATAATGATCTAGGATCATGAAGAAGAGGTTATTGGATATTAGTAAATTTTGTTAATAACCTCATGTATTTTGGAAAAATTCCATTCAAAATGATACAATTTAAAACTTTTACTGTGTTAAGCTTTTCTTACTGGGAAGGTTTGCTTAATGAGGTAAAATATAGTAGGTAACAGTATTTATTGAACAAAATTTAAGTTGAAACAAATAATTATCTGAAAATACTGATCAGTGCAGTATAATATACTACCTTGTAATTTGTAGAGGTAGATACTATAATTACTATGTGTTTCTTTGTTTACTTTGCTATGAAATATGTAAAATTGAGTAGCAACATTTTTTTCTTGACCCACTTTTAATGAAAACAACCTGTTGCATTGATAAGACAAAATAACTAAGTATTTCTTCAACTTTTATTCTGTTAAAGAAAATAAGCTTAATTCCTTGGCATTGCCTGGTTAACCGGACTGGGAAAATTAGGTTGAAAGTCATAGTTCTTTGCTAAAAGTATGTGGTGTCTGACAGATTGGGTGACCTGAAATAGATTATATTTAATTCAGTTTGGGTTTGTATATATCTGCGATATAGAATTCAAAATTTCACCAGAGCTTTAGTTCTGGTTCAAATAAATTACATTTTATTTTAATATTGTGATCTCTTGAATTCTGTGACTATAAGGATAGGTAGGAGAGCTAGTTATTTTGCTCCTAAAACAAATATTGGTTTATCTACCATGTGCTAATTGCAACTCTAAACTCATAGAAATGGGATGCTTATATACTAGGCAGCTTAAAATAGTAAGGTTTTATGATTTAATCTTGAAGACATTTATTTCTGTACTTTGGAAGTAGTGATTTGAAATTCTTAATACTAGAAAATGGCCTAGTTTCAGAACACCCACTAAGCAACTGTGGGAACTCAGTATGCTAAATGGCTGGTAGTGCTGCAGTATTTTTTAAATTTTCCCCACCTCCTGTTATATAATAGCTTATAGTAGTACAACAGAATATGAGTATTTGGGACGAGAACAAAGCATATTGAAACCGCAAAATGATGTGAGATTGTGTCAGGCTTTGTGTTGGGCACCAAGCACCTTAAGATAGTCAGATATAATGATGGTTAGTGAATGTTTGAAATAAATCAAGTGGTAATGTTTTAGGTTGCAAATAAGGCTCATGAAAATAATTATTTGGAGGCTTGAGAAAAATGACTTTTAAAATGGAGTCACTATTTTTAAAACACAATACTCTTTTATTAGAAAAAGTTTGATAACTCTGATATAAATATTCCAATGATGCTTGTGTACAATACTTAAAGCTTTTAGTGAAAATAGTTTTTATTTAAATATTTCCCCTGGCCAAGTGTGGTGGCTCACACCTGTAGTCCCAGCACTTTGGGAGGCCGAGGCGGGTGGGTCACCTGAGGTCAGGAGTTAGAGAACAGCCTGGGCAACATGGTAAAACCCTGTCTTTACTAAAAAAACAAAAATTAGCTGGGTGCAGTGACGCATGCCTGTAATCCCAGCTACTTGGGAGGCTGAGGAAGGAGAATCGCTTGAACCTGAGGGGCAGAGGTTGCAGTGAGCTGAGATCACACTACTGCACTCCAGCCTGGGCAACAAACAAGCAAAATAATTTCCCGAGACTGTTGTGCAACCCCGTCATTGTAGCATTGTTTCAGCCTATGAGAACCAGATACTGAAATTGATTAGAAACTATTAAAAAAAGTTCACTATTTACTTTTTTATTTAGGAAAATATGGTTATAAAGGAATTTGATAAAACATACTTTTACTAGCTTATTTTGTTAATTTATAAAGGGACCAAGTTGAGCCTGCACTAGTTGTAAAAGATAGATTAATATTAAATGTTTCAGATAAAAGGTTTTATGATATGAAAAAGGATGGACTTAAATTTGCTTTAAACATCAGCTGTATGGCAGGCACAGTAGCTTATACCTGTAATCCCAGGAGTTTGGGAGGCTGAGGCAGATGGATCGCTTGACTCACAAGTTTGAGACCAGCCTGGGCAGCATGGTGAAACCCCGTCTCTACCAAAAATACAAAAATTAACAGGGTGTGGTGGCATGCATCGGTAGTCCCAGCTACTTGGGAGACTGAGGTGGGAGGATGGCTGGAGCCTAGGAGGTGGAGGTTGCAGTGAGCCTAGATCTTGCCACTGTACTCCAGCCTGGGGAACACATCCAGACCCTGTCTCAAAAAAAGTCAGCTGTATAACTCCTGTAGAGTTAGCTCTGTGAGTAATACCTTAATGCATATGAAAAAACTTTCCTGGCTTTTTCTCAATTGGAACTCAATTATACCTGATATTTGCAGGTATATATGTGTATTATATAAATACCATAATATAACAACAATGATCCTGTGCCAAGATCTTGAAGATTTTTGTTTTATCAAAGAAAGCTGAAATTGTTTAATATAATTGAAGTTTTCTTATATTTTGTCATATTCAAATTCTTTGAAAATTGATAATCTATAAATAGTAGATTGATGTGGTAAAAATAAAAATTGTTCATTAGCACATCTTATGGCCATTATCCAGTTTTTATAACTAATTATGCAAATTGATAATATTTGAGTTGCTTCCAAGAGCAACTAAGAATCACTAATGTCAACATTTTTTTCTTCCTGGCATGATTTAAATAATATATCACTTGCTACCTGCAAATTACTACGTGATTTACATGTTTGTGGTATGGAAATTTTTTTCATATCAAAGCTTCTGATGTGGGAATCTTATTTCATATCAAAGCTTCTGATGTGGGAATCTTATTTTGAGATTTTCTTTATCTGCTTGAACTGCTATAATAAAATACCATAGACTGGGCGGCTTAAGCAACAGTATATATATTTCTTACAGTTCCGAAGGCTAGAAAGTCCGAGATTGAGGTGCCAGCCGTTTCTGTTCAGGGCGAATGAAGAGTCTCTTACAGGTCTTCCTGCTGTATCTTCAGTTGGCAGAAAGTGAGAGAGCAAGTTCTCTGGTCTCCTCTTACAAGGGCATTAATCCCATTATGAAAACCCCACCCTTGTGACCTCATCTAAACCTAAGTACCTCCCAAAGGTCCCATCTTCAAATACCATCACATTGGAGGTTATAGCTTCAGCATAAGAATTTGGGAAGGACACAGTTCAGGACATAGCAGGATTATATTCACAAGATAGTAGTTAATACATACCAGTTGGGAATTGTAGGGTTGTGTTTAATGTGTTAAATTACAAAAATAAAGTATCCCTTTATGTATATTAAAACATATAAGAGCTGCCTTTCAATATCTTGAGTAACTTCTGATGGGAGAAATTCCTTATTATCCTTAAATTGAGTATGGCTGCTTATTATGTTTCTTTTGATCTTATATGAGGAAGATTTTAGCTTTGTGATATTTTTTAAAATGTAATACAGAGATAATGAGATTATATTTTTAAAACCCAAATTATAAAAGTTCTATTTAATAAACCAAACTGTCAGAATGGTAGATAAATAGTTGAACATAGAGGTCTTTTAAAGTCTCAGAAATGGACCATATAAATGTAAGAAACGCCAGTTGTTTTATAATCATGGCAACTTACTAAATACTGACTGATACTCAAATATAAGATACCTTGAGACCACACACTCCTAGTCTTGTTATTGAGAGCGCATTTATTTTTGTTTTTTTTCTGACAGTTTCCGATAGTTTAAATAGAGTGAGTAATGGAAAGGATTTATAATGAGATAGACTTAGTGAAGAAATATGTGGCTTTATATGTACAAAAAAGTAGTAGTTAAATTTAATTAACAGTTTTTAGTTTAAAAGGTCTGAAAATCTTTTTTTCTTTGAAAATACTATATTGAATATTGTAGTCATCTTAGTGTATGTAGCAGTTATATTTTCTCTTTTGCTTTACACTGGTAATTAAATAGCCTTTTTTTTAAAATTGCCAGTTTGCATGGGAAATGAAAAGTAAAGTATATCTTGGGAATACTTAAGTTGTGTATGACATGTTTGGAGTTCCTTGGCAAGAAAGGCAATTTAAGCAAATATTCACGAGTAAATCTTTTTTTTTTTTTTTGGTAGTGTTTGTGTGGCATTTAAAACTTTTCAGATAATGTTTGGTCATTTACCATTTGACGTTTACCATTATATCTTAGTACTTTTGAGACTTTTAAATCCCCTCTTCCCTATCCTGCCTTTTAACTGTGAGACTTTGGTGAAGAATTTTGCAGTTTATGCATATGGTGAGTTGAAGTGTTGTACAAGAGAGCTGTAATCCCAATTATGGTTTATATTGTGGATTGGGTAAACAGGAATTTTCAGTTCTTTGCTCTAAACTCTTGTTTTCCTAGAATGTAAATTACACGTAAAGTCTTTTGCTTTCCCATAAGAAGTAATGCAGGTTTCCTAAAAAACTCCCATTTGCTGCTATATAAAATAAATCAGTCCCATGTCTCTCCATGTCTTTCCAAAATATTTTATTTTGCTTCCTTACCAAGGAGGGAAAAAGTTGAATGAATGAATTTGAAGATGCTATGAGTTGTGGACTCTTGACATAATTCTAGTTAAATGGACAAGTGTAGAACATTTTATTTTTGTGGACAGCCGTTAGCCTCTATCCCCTACCTCAGGTTCACTTGTGCTGCTTAAAGGTGTGCTTTTCCATTTCTCTGTAAACAATAACATTCTTTTGAGCATGTTAATTGTGGGTGTTTTCTCATTCTTTGGACCAATCTTTTGGTCTTCTAACTTTGAAAGCTCCTTTTTAAACTCTTAAACTGCAAAAATATATAGGTTTACATGATTTAGGTGGGAGAGCTCTTTCTTTTTATTTAAAAGAATAAGAAGCCTTTACATCTTAATAAATAATGGGAAATACAATTGAAATCTTGTCATTTTTAGGTATTCATGTCAAAATTTGAGTGACCTGGAGTTAATTTTAAGTAGGATATAGGGGAACTCCATGCATGAGATGAAACCTTGTTTATTGTTCATTTATCATGTTATTAAACCAGTATTTATTGAGCATTTATTTTGTGCTCAATAAAAGGTTCATAATATTATGTTTAGAGTTATTTATAGAGTAAAAATTGCTGTCTAGAATGGCAGATAAAGCCAAATTAGCAAGTATTTATTGTTCTTTCAATAAATATAAGTGTTATATGTGCTAAGTATTGTCCTAAGTACTAGAATACAACTGTGAAAAAGGCAGAAGGGTTCCTGTTTTCCCATTACCTTTAAATGAGAGAGTCAGACAACTAACCTGCCAAGTCTAATAATAGCATGATAAGTGTTCTGTTAGGGGAAGTTTTAAGTGGGAACACAGAGGAGGTGGTATGCAGAAAGGCTTTTGAATAATTAGGAAAAGCCTTCCCAGACCTCTAAGCTGAGGTCTGAAGAGTAAGTAGGAGTTAGCTCAGTGAAGAATTGTAAATCTGTGTTTCTGGCAGAAGAATATAGCTTGTGCAAAGTCCTTGAGACAGGAGATAGAAGACGCTGCCATGGGATGTGAAAGAAGTTCATGTGACCATAGTGCAAGATGGGAAGTATTAGAGTTGTGGCAAAAGTATGCAGGGGCTAGATCTTCAAGACATGTGAATTATTATTAAGAAATTTGGGTTTAATCCTGAGGACTCCCCTCAGTTCTTTTAATTGGACATTAACCTGATTAGATTTGAATGTTTGAAAGATCACTCTAATTACAACATAGTGATTAGGTTAAGAACAGGATGGGAAAGTGGATATGGTGAGACCAGTTAGAAGGCTATTAGAAGAGAGAATTTGGTATACCTTATAGCAGGGTAATGGCAGTGAGAATGAAGAGAAGCCAATGGCATTGAGAAATTTGGGGAGAAAAATTGATAAGATTTGGTGATTGTCAGAATGTAAACATTGAAGGGGAGAGAGAAGTCAGGATGACACCACCTGGATTCCTAGCCCCCTTTCACCTTTTTTGGTTGATTCCTGCTTAGATGTTATCTCTTTTAAGAAGCCTTTCCTGATTCCCCTAACCTCCAAGGCTAATTCAGGTGCCTTCCCTTTGTGCTTCAACAGCACTTACTCGACTTTTTTCTTGCTTTACTCACTTGTGTATAAGCTTTCAGGCAAGGATTGTGCTTTATTGTTATTGCATGGTTTGCACCTTGCAAAGTGCAAGGTATACTAAGTGCATTACACTTAGTATAAATGTTGACCAAATGAAAATATACTTTTTATATTTATAAAAATTTAAATGTAATTGGAGAAAATTGGTTTTCTGAACTGCTAATATTCAAAACTTGTTTTACAACTTTAGAGTGAGTCATATCATTCCATGTACTTCTGAATGCCACTTGTAAAAACAGTTTATATTGTAATTCTGGCTGGAAGTAGTAGATATATTAAGTTCTTTATGGGTAATCATAGACTAAATGATCTCTGATTATTATATAGATCTTTTATGCATTCAGATTTTCTTTGTAGGTAAAGTTTTAATTGGCTTTATTAGTTTAAAAATTAACATCACTATCAGTGTTACATATATTTTGTTTCAAAATGAGAGTAGCTTTTTTTCTAATTATGAAAGGAGTGATTACTCATTGTATACATTTAAAAGATATACATACAGAGATAAAAAGTGAAAATCACCTGTAATTGAAGGATAGCATTGCTAACACTTTATGTTCTTCTAGACTTTGAAAATTTTATATATATTTATGATTATATATGATTAAGTTAAAAGAAAAATTAACAGTAAATACTTATGTTTGTACAAGATAAGGTATTAATATCATTTATAGTAAGAATCTTAATAGCCAGTATGTAGCCAAATAAACCAATAGGACTAGGATACTAAACTTCAATTATTACAGGAGACCAGGCAGGTAACATAAATGAGTGAACCCAGTAGGGGAAATATATGAGGTGGTTGAATTGTAGAACACTTGGAGAGGGCAGCTCCTTTTCAATGTCAGTTGATTTTCGTCATTAAGAAGTATGGAGCTGGGCGCAGTGGCATGCACCTGTAGTCCCACTACTCTGGAGGCTGAGGTGGGAGGATCTCTTGAGCACAGGAGTTCAAGGCTGCAGTGCACACTGATCACACCTGTGAACAGCCTAGACACTGCACTCCAGCCTAGACAATGTAGTAAGACCCTGTCTCTAAAAAACAAACAAAAGAAATGTGGATCCAGTCCAGTGATGCCCATATCTTTTGATTTTTTTTTTAACGAAAGTTTGGATTTTTTTGTGAGGCTCCCAAAGATTAAATTCTGGCAAATTAAAAAAGCCACAGTGTGTGTTAAGCACGATGTAGCTATTAGCTGTATTTTGTTTGAATACCACAAACAGTGGAAGAATGGAAAGATCTGCACACTCTTACTAATATGTAGATTTAAATAATATATCATTTGCATACGTCAGATTGATGAAAATGATTACTAATTTGCAAGGCTGGAAGAGTATAAGTTGATGCAGGCTCTTTGGAAGAAGGCAGTTTGGAACTACGTATAAAAATTTAAAATGCATATTAGTTTGGACCTGACAGTTCTACTTTCAGGAATCTGCCTTACAGAAATATTAGTCCCTGTGGGTGAAGATTGATGTTCAGTGAAGCATTATATATCTTGGTGAAAACAAGATTAAAAAATGTAAAGGAAAATAGAAACAACCTAAATATCAGTTGATAATAGGAATGATTAAATTATGATATAGCCATATCACAAATCATAGGCAATGAAAAGATGAAATATATCTGTATTCCTGTGTGGAGAGAGTCTAGAATTTACTATTTGTTAGTTACATACAAAAATTATAATTTATATACATAAAGTTATACTATGCTGTCATTTTTAATATCCGTACAACATTGCATAGTACCATAATTTAGTCTATTGATGTACATTAGGTTATTTCTAATATTTTGCTATTTATGTGCACATTGCAGTGAACACTCCCTTTACATATGTCCTTGTAGTGTTGTCTCCTAAGATATATTCCTTTTATATCTTACATGGTGACAACATTAAATATCTGAACTCTGTGACATCTTGGGGACATACATTTACCTCTGATAATTTGCTATTTGTATGACCCTTGAATTGAGTAAATGCACCCTAGGCATGGTAGACCAGAGAACTAACCAGAAAAGTGGCACTGTGTTTAGTCATCCTAGATTCTTTAAGATTTTTAAAGGTAACTTAAGTAGTAGTTTTTGTCTAGTCCATACATGCATGTGGTGTAAAATTCAAAAGATATAGAAAGGTAAAGTAAATCTTTCTCCCACTCTGAAACCTCTTCTACCCAGTTTCTGCTCCTGGGAAACTACTATGAGTTTATTCATCCTTCTGCACATATTTTATACATATATGTATACTTTCTGCACATATATGTGCATATATATGTATATATTTTAAGTTTTTTGTAAATGATAGCATACTATGCTGTTCTACAGTTCACTTTTTCTCACTTAACTATAATAATATCTAACACTTACGTAGTGCTTTGTTCTAGGCCCTGTTCTAACAAGTGTTTTTGTATTGATTACTAATCTTCATCACAAACGTGAGAAGTAGGTAAATATTATTCCCTTACCACAGAGGAAGAAACTGAGGCACAGAAACTTTAAATGACATGCTAGTAGGTTGTCAGCTGGAAGGTGAACTCCAGCATCCAGCAGTTTGGCTACAGAGTCTTTTATATTAGCCCATTTGCTATACTAACTCAATTGTTGCCTCATTCTTTTTATTAACTACATAATATTCCCTTGAAAAAACTTCAGTTTATCTAACTAGGTCCTAGTTGGTGGACATTTAGGTGTTTCCATATACTGCTGTTATAGATGATGCTAGTGTGAATATCCTGGTGCTTATAAATGCCTGTGTCATTTTGAATATGTAAATCTCTTTCATTTTCATCCATTCAAATTTGGGAGTTAGGGGAGTCTTGTGTTCATATAGTTACATTCTATTTTGAGATCTAATATGAGACTTTTTTTTCAATGAATGTATTTAGCTAATTTATATTTATTATATCATTATGGTTATAGCCTCATCTTTTATAGCTAATGGACTAAGAGATAAGTCAAGGTATGTTAACAATTGAAATATACTTAAAGATGTAAAGCAGTACAGTATAAAGATATTAGCATTCCTCAGTCTATTTACTCTCTCACGTTTTGTTGGTTATATAAAAACATTATCAGGAATTGTAACAATTACATTATATTCTATAGCCATAGCCATAGTTTTAGACCAATAGTTAAGTGGATTCAAATGCTCAAAGTTTGTTATTTTCGATAGTTTTTTAAAAATCTTTTAGATGGCTGAACTTTATCATCAAGTATTTTCTTAAAGTTTATGAAAACTATTCCTTAGGGTTTTGCATATTTAATGATGTTTTATGCTGGGGGTAAATTCTTGAGTACTCTAGATATTGCTTCACTGATTTTTTTTTTTTTTTTTTGAGTCGGAGTTTCGCTATTGTCGCCCAGGTTGGAGTGCAATGGCGCGATCTCGGCTCACTGCAACCTCCGCCTCCTGGGTTCAAGTGATTTTCCAGCCTCAACCTCCTGAGTAGCTGGGATTACAGGCGCCCTCCACCCTGCCCGGCTAATTTTTGTATTTTTTTTTTTTAGTTGAGACGGGGTTTCACCATGTGGCCAGGCTGGTCTCAAACTCCTGAACTCAGGTGATCCGCCTGCCTTGGCCTCCCAAAGTGCTGGTATTACAGGCGTGAGCCACCGCACCCAGCCTGCTTCACTGATGTTTAAACATTGATTCCCTCCTCCTTCACATGTTAAGATAGTAATGTTTTTTGCGTAGATTCTCAAAGGATTCTCTTTTTAAATCTTTGAGAAACAGTAATTTTACTATTGCAGTATTTATCTTGATTAGTCTGCATCAGCTTTTCTTAGGAAAGGGCATGTCCTTTTCTTTTCCTTTTTTTTTTTTTTTAACAGTCTTTATTGGGCTCAGACCAGGAGTCCGTGGGTCTTGAGGACCTCTGTGTATTTGTCAGTTTTCTTCTCCATGTTCCTCTTGGCCTGTTTCCGTAGGCTTATGAGCTCTTTCTTCTTCCGGTAGTGGATTTTGGCTTTCTCTTTCCTCTTCTCCTCCAGGGTGGCTGTCACTGCGTGGTACTTCCAGCCAACCTCGTGAGCCAGGTGCCCCAGATAGGCAAACTTTCTTGTAGGCTTCAGACGCACAACCTTGAGGGCAGCAGGAACCACCATCCGCTTTTTCTTGTCGTAAGGCGGTGGGATGCAGTCAAACACCTTGAGGCGGTCCAGAGCGGCCTGGCCTCGCTTGGTCTTGTGGGGCAGCATACTTCGCACAGTCAGCCAGAAGATGGGGCTGGGGGCCCGGAAGTGGTAGGGGCGTCGGAAAGGGTTGGTGTTCATCCGCTTGCGGAGGAAAGCCAAGTACTTCAACTTGTTTCTGTAGAAATTGCCAGAAATGTTGATGCCTTTGCAGCGTACGACCACCACCTTCCGGCCCAGCAGTACCTGTTTAGCCACGATGGTCGCCAGGCGGCCCAGGAGATGGCCTCGACCATCAAGCACCAGGACCTGCACCTCTGCCATCTTCGGCTGCCCCTTGGGAAAGCTGCTTTTTTTTTTTTTGGTCCAATCCTGACTCTGTGTTTCAGTGATGCCAAATGAGGTCTGTGAAAGCTTCAAATGTTTCAAGCAAGGGACTGTTGGGTTTGCTTTTCTGACTGTCATGTAATTTACAGAACTGAACTAATAGTTTTAAGATTTGAAGATGCAAGCCATTTCCCTGGCTTGAGCTCTTCTAGCATCCCTCTTTGCCTTCACTGTATTTAGTAGACCCTCTCATATGTTATGGTTAGGGATATGTCTTAGTTTGTTGAAGAAGTAGTTTGTGTTTCTGTTTCTCACTCTCCTCTCCTAGTTGTTTTCAGATATTTTTAAGAGGAAAAGAGGGGACCATACCATCTTTCAAATTAGAAATCCTAAGAGCTACAGGTCAGTCCAGTTTTGTCAGAATTAAGATAACTTTAAGGGATAAAGTATGGGCTGATGTAGTTTTCCGAAAGCCAAAAATAGTTCATTTACAGAGGCTCTTTTGGATAAATTTGTTTTATTAAACAAAATCACAATTTAACATATGAGTTTGATTATATCAGTTTGTAGTTATGAAGTCTTGTGCATTAAAAAACATTAAGAATGAAACTAGTAAGTCTGCAATTAAGAATTAAGCATGAGACTAGAGACTAATGCCTAAAGACTAATAACTAAAGTTAGGGTTTAGTTTTAGAGTGCTCATCAGTTCTTCAGTTTTCCTTAGATGGTGATTCTTCTTTCAACTGAATCTGAAAATTAAACTTTCATGTACAAAGTTCTGCTACTAGAATATTTTTAAGTCCTTTAGCTTAATGAATGTTAGTTCTGGAATAATCTGGTATTCTGAATGGCATCTTGTTTTTCAAGGGTAGTGTCCATTTATTTTCCTCACTTAATTGGTCCTATATGTTAAAAGAAATATGTTTGAAAAATTTTGATAGCTAGTGGGCAAGCCTTCTTCTGTTCTCTGATTTGAACATATTCTTATATTCATTTGCCTGAGTTTCATTTTACCTGTGGCACCTGAGAGAAGCTAAGTATTTTTTCCACCCCATTTCTTTTATGTGACTGACTGTATATTTCTTAGTCTCAAATATAAAAACACATCTAACAGCTTCACAGAAAATTTTAATGCTTGGTAGATTATTGGAGCTTTCAATTTTTAGCCTTTGTTACTCTAGTTATTGATCATTTCAGTATTTTTAAAATCTCAATTACATTTTTAATAATTTATAATAATAAAATTTGATCAATGTTTTAATTTGATAATAGTGCCTATGTTTACTACTAAATAAGTGTACTTTGAGCAGTTGAAACACTGTGAGATATTGATAGATATTTCCCAAAAAGGGTTTTGTGATCCAAATAAATTTGGGATATCTTCTATGTAATATAATAATGTACTTTGCGAAGAACGTATAGAACACTAATAATTTCTACTTAAAGGAAGAGTATAATTAGATTGGAAGCACTTCTTATTCCAAACCTATTTGATAGTGGAACTAAATGTTGTAGAAATACATTTTGGGAAATGCTGAGAATATATTATAGAATATTTTCAGATCAGTGTGTTGTTAACGGTATTCCAGTACATGTATTTGCATGTCAGTTGCTTTTTAATAGGGATAAATGATAATTGCTGTCCCAGGATGTAAATATAATCAGAACATTTAACTGTGGTAGTATGTTTTCTATAAATCTGAGAGTTTTTTGACATGGAAATTTTGTTACCATTGATTTTCCAGACTAAAAGTAATTTTTGAGTGCCTCCTATGTATTAAACATCAAAAATTGATCTTCTTTGGAACTACTTTCTGTTAAGTCTTAGCAGGAGGAATTTTGGAAATCTTGTAGCCCTCCCGACTTATTTTTCAGTAAAAACTGAAGCCTAGAAATGTAGCTTTTGCCTAGGTCACATTGGAACCAAACCCTATAACTCCAGATTTTTTTGCTATTTTTTTTACTGCCTTAAAAATTTTATTTTATTTATTTATTTTTTTGAGACTCGGTTTCACTGTGTCACCCAGGGTGGAGTGCAGTGGCACCATCATGGCTCACTGTAGCTCCTATCTCTTGGGTCAAGCCATCCTCTCACCTTAGCCTCCTGAGTAGCTGGGACCATAAGCACGTGCCACCATGCCTGGCTAATTTTTATTTATTTATTATAGAAATAGGGTTTCCTTATGTTGCCCAGGCTGGTCTCGAACTTCTGGCCTCAACCAATCCCCCTACCTTGGCTTCCAAAAGTTCTGGGATTACTTTTGAGTACATTGCTTTTGAGATGGAAAGCTAGGTGGTATCTCCACTTAACATGAGAATTGAGGTAAGATATCGAGTCATCCATATGATGTTAGATTGATGTTAGATTATGACGTATGTCAACTTTGATGTTAGATTATAACGTATGTCAACTTTAATATATGTAGAACTCAAGTTTCTAGACATCTAGTTTCCCCCTCAGTTCTCTGAATTATTTTTCTCCTAGGCAAGAGAAAAAGTAGTTTTAAAATAAGCATGTATCCTTACCAATATTACTACTAAGGAATAATCAGTGCTAGTTTTTAAGAATTGGTGCACAGGCCAGAGATGGATGAGTCAGATTCTTTTCCCAATTGAGCTACATCATCACTTCCTAATGGTCAATTATGGAAATATTTTCCTACTATTAATGGAAAAGTGGACTTAAATGACTATGAAGTTAATCTCTAAGGTGCTGAATTAAAATTTATAGAATATATTCTTTTTAACATACTTTTCAGAAGATACCATTCTGTTGAAAATAATTGGCCTCTTGGTTATATGAATTATGCATTTAGACATAATGTATTATTGGAAGAAATTTCTCTTTTAAATAGCAGAATGATAAAAGTTATTAGTGCCATCTGTAGAATCAGGACTGAAATGATAGGAGAAAAATTTTTTTTTGAGATAGACATGTGGATTTTGTGTATTTTGTTGGCCACTCATTTTACTCAGTTTCCCAATACTAGAAAGCAATGCTGCCTTTCCTAATCTTGTTTCATCATAGTTTCTTGGGGTTTATGTGTCTAATCTTTACATTAATTGTGGTGTATGTTCTTCTATTTCTTCTTCTGTGCCTCTTTCAGAGATGCGTAACTCTCACATACCTTTATATTTCTCTTAGAAAAGAAATGAATCATATTAGGAAGAAGGCACATCTTTAGGGTTAGGTTCAAAAGTCAGCATATACGTGAAAATAGTGTATATTAAAAATGTCCATTCAAAGTCCTCTAAATGTTCAAAGTATAATGTGATTTTGCATGTATCATGTATGTAAATTCAATTATTTATAGTTATACAATTTTATATAGAGCTTATATTAACAAATTATTCAGGTGCTTCTTAGGTATTGCAGCATGTTTATGAACATTTCAATTTACTGATTCTGTTTATTGTCATCTTTATTTACTGTGATGATTTTATCAGTTCCTCTCTTAGTTATTTAATGGTTTTCTGTTGTCTTTAATTTAGATTTTTTCTTTAACAAATTGAGGAACTGTCACCATCCACTCAACCTGGCCACTTGGATAATTGGTATACGTTTTTTAGAATGTTTGGATATGTTGAAAAATGATTCACACACTCTTTCTATAGATTGACCACACACATTTGTCTTTCTTGAGGAAAGACAAAATAGTGGTATTTGTGGTGGGTTTTTTTTTTTTTTTTTTTTTTTTTTTTTTTTTTTTTTGTGACAGGGTCTAGCTCTGTTGCCCAGGCTGGAGTGCAGTTAGCACAATCTCTACTCACTGCAACCTCCATGTCCTGCGCTCAAGCAGTCCTTCCACCTCGGCCTCCCAAGTAGCTGAGACAACAGGTACATGCCACCATACCCAACTAATTTTTAAAATAGTTGGTATTTACATTATTTCTCTCTCCCCATCTCTCACTTTTTTTTTCTAAGTTGTGATAGGTGTGTAGTGATCTGTCATTGTGATTTTAATTTGCATTTTCCTATTGATTAATGATACTGAACATCTTATTTGAACATACTTGTTTTCTGTATCTCTTCTTCCGTGAAATGTCTGCCTGAGTCTTTGCCCATTTTCTGCTTGTATTATTTCTTTTATTAATGTTGAGTTTTTGTTTGTTTGTTTTGCATTTTCCTCTGTTGCCCAGGCTGGAGTGTAGTGGCGCGATCTTGGCTCACTGCAACCTCCGCCTCCCAGACTCAAGTGATTCTGGTGCCTCAGCCTCCCGGGTAGCTGGGATTACAGGTATGTGCCACCATGCCTGGCTAATTTTTGTATTTTTAGTAGAGACAGGGTTTCGCCATGTTGGCCAGGCCAGTCTCGAACTCCTGGCCTCAAGTGATCCACCTGCCTCAGCCTCCCAAAGTGAGGCATGAGCCACTGTGCCTGGCGTAATGTTGAGTTTTGAGAGTTCTTTTTATGTTTAAATGTAAGACTTTTGTCGAATACATGGTTTGCAAATATTTTCTACCAGTCTATATAACCTGTTTTTTTCATTCTCTTAACAGGATCATTTGTGGGGCAAAACTTTTTAATTTCGATGAAGTGCAGTGTATTGATTCTTTTCTTTTATGAAAAAAAATTTTTTTTTGCCTACGAATTACTAGTATTTGAAGACTTTCTTGTATGTTTTCTTCTCAGAATTTTATAGGTTTACATTTTACATTTAAAACCATGATTTTGAATTAACTTAAATTTTGGATTAGTTGAATTAATTTTATATACACTGTGAAATTTAGATTAAGGTAATTTTTTGTTTTTGTTTTAGCTTATGGATATCCAGTTGTTCAGCACCATCCAAAGAATTTTTCATTCTCTGCTAAGACAAAATTCATTCGTTTGTTTTGTACTTTGAAGGGTTCTTTACCCACGTGTGATTTTGATTCATCATACATTGGTCTTCTGGCTCTTTGAGTTACGCAGATTTTCTAAATGTTGACACATTTTATCATACAGTATTAAATAAAGACATTTGTTAATAATTCCACTGATTTCGTCAGGAAGGTCTTTAAATATTGGGTTGCTTTAAAGTTCATGGTGGTGAATGCATGCTTTCTAAAGTTCTAATTTTTATTTAGGGTCTAACTTTATCACTGGCAACAAATATTCTGTTATTTTGTTTTTGTTTTTGTTTTTGAGACAGGGTCTTGCTCTGTTGCCTAGACTGGAGTGTAGTGGCTCAGTCGTAGCTCACTACAGCCTCTAACTCCTGAGCTCAAGCAAGTCTCCCGCCTCAGCCCCACAAGGTGCTAGGATTATAGGCATGAGCCACTGTACCCAGCTCATTTGTTTTTGAATTAACAGGCTCATTTCCTTTATTTTCAAGAAAATGTCTGCCAAATACTAGAGACTGAAGAGCCGCACGTTCTCCTCAACTGGCTCAGGTTTTGATAATCCATACCAGGCTACCTCTCTGTAATAACATCCTCTTGGTCTACTCGGACTCTTTCATGTATATTTGAATTACTTTCTAGTGTCCTTCCATTTCAACCCAAAGTACTCACTTTATTTCTAATAGGGCAGGTCTGTTAGCAATGAATTCTTCTGGTAATGCTTTCATTTTACCTTCATTTTTGAAGGATAGTTTTTATGGATATAGAATTCTTGTTAGACAGTTTAAAAAAATTCTTTTAGAACTTTGAGTATGTCCTCCCACTGCCTTCTGGCCTCTATATTTTCTGATGAGAAATTAAATGTTAATACTTAGTATCTCTTGTACATGATGAGTCACATCTCTTGTTGCCTTTGTTTTGAGTTTTTTCATCCTCAGTTTTCTAAGATGAAGAATTCTTTCTGTCTGTCAGCAGTTTGATAATCATCTGCCTTCATGTGGATTCTCTTTGAATTTATCTTCCTCGGAGTTTGTTAAGCTTCTTAGATGTATAGATTGATGCTTTTCTTCAGAATTGAGATGTTTTCAACCATTATTTCTTTTCCTTCTTTCCTTCTGGGACTCCCATTATGAGTATGTTAGTTCACTTCATGATATTCCACAGGTCTCTGAGGCTCCGTTTCTTTTTCTTTATTCTTTTTTTTTTTTTCTGTTCCTCATACTGGATAATATAAATTGACCTATCTTCAACTTTGCTGATTCTTTCTTCTTCCTGCTCATATCTGCTGTTGAACCCTTCTAGTGAGGTTTGCATTTCCATGATTGCACTTTCAACTCCAGGTTATTTGGTTCTTTTAAAAACAACTTATATCTCTGTATTGATATTCCCTATTTGGTGAGACATTGTCCTTATACCTTCCTTTAGTTCTACAGGCATGTTTTCCTTTAGTTCATTGAACATTTTAAAAATAGCTAACTTACAGGAGATTTGATATTAAATTTTCATTTACAACTTTTACCTAAGTGAACATGGGCTATCATGACCTTCTGTGAGCCTGTGTCTTCAACTCCAGGGCGTGATCAATAATAAATGGCTGAGTTGTCCTGCTGGAACACTGAAACCTTGCTAACTCACTAGAGAACAAAAAGTAGTCTCACCATGTTAAATATTAAGTGAGTAACTTGTGTTTGTCAAATTGAGAACCTATTTTCTTATATCTAAACAAGGAAGTTAATCTTGAGGCAGTAGGAATGGAATTAAGCATTCTGGTCACGGAAAGTCACATTGGCCTTCTATGGATCAGTTTTAACAGTCTGCATTCTCCTTTTCTTCTTGGCAACCCAGAATCTTTCAACCAACTCTTTTAGCACACTTCTTCCACATATTATCATTTCAGATCGTCTTTTGCCCCAACTTTGCCCCAAGTGGCTGTGGATTGGATTTGATCTCACCAGTCTCCTCTTTCTTGCTCGTCTCAAAGGAAGACCTGCCTATTATCTCCCTGCTTTTTTGTTATTACAGAAAAACTGAGAATGACAAAAACATACCTTGGAAAATTTATTATGAAATCTGAAATGTGACATGTTACAAAGTTCATAAGCTCCTTGTTCCATAGTATATTGTTATCTCCATTCTTAGGATATTCTGTTGTGATACTGTTTTCTGCTTTTTATTTTGAAGTTGGTACTTATCCAGGCCCTCTTACCATTTTACCATTATCCAGTGAAAATTTATGGATTCTACCTTTATGTGTGCTCCTTCTGCCCACAGTGGAAAATGAAGATAATCCAGATCACAAATGAAAAGTATGTATCTTTGAGCCAAAAAAAAAAAAAAAAGCTGACTTAGAAGTGTTTAATAAGTCCAATATCTGGATTTCCTCAGGGACAGTTTCTGTTATTTGCTTTTCTTCCTGTGTATGGTTCATATTTTCTTGTTTCTTTGCATATCTTATAATTTTTTGTTGAAAATTACATTTGGACATTTTAAATAATAAATGATCTTTGAAATAATGTGGACATTCTAAATAATATAAAAATGTCCAAATAGTGGAGACTTATAATAAAATAATTTGACAACTATGAAAATCACATTTTGCCCTCTCTTCAGGGTTTGTTGGAGTACTTGTAGTTGTTTCTTCATTTAATTTCTTTTGTGAATTAATTCTGCAAACTCTATTTGATGTGTGTGACTACCTCAGTAGATAATTCAGTCTCTAGTTGGTTAGCTTAGTTGTTGCTAATGACTGGACAAAGATTTCTTTACATGCCTGGAACCAGTAAATCTCCTAGTCTTTGCCAGAGGATTTTGTGTGTGTGTGTCTTGGGGCATGCCTTCAACACTCAGCTGGGTAGTTGGCAACTCTGCCTTGTCCTTATGTCCTGCTTGTGCAGAGCTTCAAAGCTTAGGCCCTTTTCAGGTCTTCCTTGAGCATGTACACAGCCTTAGGCATGTGTATGACCTTCTAGATTCCCAGTAATATGTCAGAGCTTTTCAAAGTCTGTTACGGGTATTTCATTCTCAGCTTTTCCTTTTAAGATTTAAGTCTGTTGCTCCAACTGTTATTCACTGCCTCAAGTAGATATGGTATAAAACACTTTCCTGTAATTTTTTTCAATGAATATCTCCCTGGGGAAAAGGCGTTTTGCATTGTGCAAGCTCTGAGTCAGGTCACATACGGTCAGCATTGCAAATAGGGTCTTCCTGGAAACAAGACTGCTCAAGCAATAATTTGGGGAGAATGAAGCTTTGAATGAGCTACAACTCTTGCTGCTTTTTAACGTAGCTTCTAGAGTGCACTGGGAATGTGAGCTGTCGTTTCTTCAAGACTACTGTGGATCTGGAGAGCAAGGGATGGGACTAGGGCAAGTTAAAATAGAAAGCTCATCATTCTTAATGAGATTGAGCTTTTTAAAAATAAATGCAACTTGGATGCAAGCTTTTTATTAATTTTTAGAGTTCTGATAAAGTTGATTCTATTTTCCAGTTTTCTTTGTGCTTTTGTGGAAGAGACAGTTTTTAGAGATGCTTACTCTGCTGTTTTCTGTGATGTCGCCTCCACTTGGGCTTTGCCATCCCACACTGACAGACCTCCATGTTTGACTCTCCCTATCTCCACCCCAACCCCACTCAGACTCTGACTCTCCATGCTAGGCTTACCCTGTGTGTGAATACCTTTTCACCTTGCTTGAAATCTTAACTGTTCATGTTGCGCAGCCTCCTCCTTAACCATCAATCAAGCCTATTATGTAGAAATCTTCCTCACTCTCATAGACTCCAGTATCACACCCTGGTTCATCACTACCTGTGGATGTTCTTCTCACCCCCAATCAGGTTCTGATTCTCTGTGTTGAGCTATCTTCCTATGAGCATACCCACCCTATCCCAATTGGCCTCTTAAACATCTTGTGGGTTACCATCATATGTCAGTGTTCATCTCTTCCTGTTCTAACTGATACCCTACACAGAACTGCATCTTTGTGGGATTGTCCTTTTCATCCTACTCAGGCCCTGAGTAGGATTTTTTTAATCAAATAAAAATCCCTTCAGTTTGAATAGTATAATCATGATATCACTCAGTGAAATCCTTGATATCTTATTATTGTAGTGGTAACTTCTGATGGGTATGGGAATGACAATTCTATACCATGCCTTCTTTATTTTTCATTTTAGTTTTACTGAGATAACATATTTTGAAGCTGATCATTTATATTTCTTAAAGAAGAAATTTATTCTAAAAAATTATGTCTAGATACATTAATTTGTTGTTTTATTCATGTAGTAACCATTTCTTGGGCATCTAGTATTGGCCAGGTTCTAGGCTCTGAATATACAGCTGCAAACCAAATAGTCAGAAGCCCCTGCTTTCACAGTTTTCACATTCATAGAGGAGAGGGAGATGATAGACAAAATAAATAAGTAAATATATTTTATGAGGTAGTAAATGTTGTGAAGAAAAATAAAGCAGGGTAAAAAGAATAGGAAGACATTTCTCTTTTATATGTAGATCAAGAATGAGATATTTGAGCAGGGAACAAACAATGTGGATATTTGAGAGAAAGGGCTGTATCTATGCAGATGGAATAGCTAGAACAAAGACTTCATGTGTGAGCATGTAGATCTGCATTCAAAGAAAAGCAAGATTAATATGAATGGAATGCAAGTACCTAGCGGGGAGAGTTGGAGAAAAGCTAGACAAGTGTAGGGGCTAGATCATGTGGAGTCTTGGAGGTTGGAGGTAAGGGCTTGCCTTTTATTTTGAAAGATGGGATGGCATCAGATTTTTTAAGCAAGGGAGTGACTTCATCATATTTAAAAGTTAAATAGGAAGAGTGATGTTAGTAAAATGTCAGAATAGTAGTTTTCAGCATTTGTTTCTTCACAGAAGCATTTCGAATAACCACTCATAGACAAAAATACCTTCACAAGAGCTAAGGATTCCAAATGATAGATTGTAGCACCCGGGTGTAGCATAGATACAACAAATGATGCATTGAAGAGGATAGGAACTACAGTTGCACATTAATTGTTTCACCCCTTCCCAAGCCTGTGCAGCACAGTATGGAGATAGATGCCCTCCAAGTGGAGGAAGGAGAGTCAAGTGAGCCCCTAACTTTACTGTGAACCCCAGCACTAGAACCACCTCAGTGAACCCCAGTGCCAGGCTGGCACCCATGGACCCAGGCACCAGGCCAGATCCCACAGAACCAGTCTCCAGACCCATCCTTGCGGATCCAGTAACTGAGGCTAGCCTGCTGGAGAAGTCAGGCAGCAAGCCTGCTCGTGGACTATGCCAGCCATGCTGTCCGGAATCTCTGGACAGGCTGACTGGTAAAGGGCTTCCTATGTTAAAGCTCCTCTGTAAAGACTGGAGAGGTGACTACTTCTTCAAATATGCAGACACCAGTGCAAGTCCATAAGGATCTCAAATGATCAGGGAAACGTGACACCATCAAAGGAACAAAATAAAGCTTTAGCTATGATAATTTGTTGATAAATATATAATCTAAAAAGATATAAGTTGTGTCCTCAATAATGTAAACTTGGAGAGGGTGTGGAGAAGTTAAGAGTTTTTGTATGTGATTGAAATTAAATTTTTATCAGCTTAACAACAGACTATTATAACTACAAGATGTCTTATATACATTTCGTGGAGAAAAACCCCTGTAAATACACAAAAGATAAAGAGAAAGCAAATAAGTACCAAAAAAAAAAAAAAAATCAAATCGCAAAGGAAAACATTAAGAGAAGATGAAAGAAATAGAGGAGCTACAAGATAGTCAGAAAACAACAAAATGACAATGTTAAGACTTTATCCACAATTACTTTTAATGTAAATGGATTAAGTTCTCTAATCAAAAGGCAGAGTTTTTTAAAATATATTTTTCAAAAGATCCTACAGTATTATGCCTAAAAGAGATTCATTTTAGCATTAAGGACACACATAGGCTGAAAATGAAGAAATGGAAAAAGATATTTCACGCAAATGGTAACCAGAAGAGAATGGGGTGGCTATATTTATGTAAGATAAAATAGACTTCAAGTCAAAAACTGTCATAAGAGACAAAGTCATTATACAATGATAAAGAAGGCAGTTCATCCAGAAGATATAATAGTTGTAAATATATATACACTCAACATCAGAGCACCAAAATATTTTTTATAATGAGAAAGCCAAGATTCTAAAATCTTAACAGAAATGATAGGAACAATAGATAGTAATATAATAATAGGGACTTTTGTACCTCTGCTTTAGCAATAGATAGATTAGCCAGACAGAAAATCAATAAAGAAATAACAGACTTGAACAACATTTTAGGCCAAATGGACGTAACAGGCATATACAGAGCATTCCATTGAACAGTAGCAGAATATACACTCTTTTTAAGTGCACATTGAACATTCTTTAAGACACATTAGGTCATAAAACAAGTGTTAAGAAATTTGAGAAGATTGAAATTGTATCAAGTATTTTTTGTAAGCATAAGAGTATGAAACTAGAAATCAATAACACCAGGAGGAAAACTGGAAAATTTACAAATATGTGGAAATTAACACATTCCTGAACAACCAGTGGATCAAAGAAAAAAGGGACATTTGAAAAGGTGTCTCGAGACAAAAGACAGTGGAAACACAACATAGCAAAACTTACGTGAAGCAGCAAAAGCAGTTTTAAGAGGGAATTTTATGGTGATAAATGCTTACATTAAGGAAAAAAGAAGATAATCAAATGAACAACCTTACTTTGTATCTCAAAGGACTAGAAAAAGCTTGTCCAACCTGTGGGCCACATGCAGCCCAGGATGGCTTTGAATGTGACCCAATACAGACTTGTAAACTTTCTAAGTTTCTTAAAACATTATGAGAGATTTTTTGCATTTTTTTTTTCCCAGCTCATCAGCTGGCGTTAGTGTTAGTGTAAATTACTTGTGGCCCAAGACAATCCTTCTTCCATTGTGGCCCAAAGAAGCCAAAAGATTGGAAACCTTGTACTAGAATCCAAACCAGACATAAAGTTGTTAGAAGGAAAGGAATAATAAAGATCAGAGCAGAAATAAATGAAATAGGGACTAGAACAACTGTAGAAGAGATAATGAAACTAAGAGTTGGTTTTGTGAAAAGAAACTGAACTGACAAATCTTTAGCTAGACTATGCAAAAAAAGGACTCAATTAAAATTACAAATGAAAGAGAAGCCATTACAGCTGATACAACAGAAATACAAATGAGATAATAAGAGACTACAATGAATAACTATACACAAACAGATGGATAGCCTAGAAGAAATAGAAATTTTTTTCTAGAAGCATAGCGTCTACCAATCATGAAGAAAGAGAAAATCCAATCACACCCAGTGACTGTAAGGAGACTGAATCAGTAATCAAGAACCTCCCAAAAAAGAAAAGCTTTGGACCTGAAGGCTCCACTGGTGAATTCCAACAAACCTTTAAAGAAGACATAGCACAAGTCCTAAAACTCTTCCAAAACCTTAGAGGAGGGAATACTTCCAAACTCATTTTACAAGTCTGGTGTTGCTGTGATACCAAAGCCAAACAAGGACACTAAAAGAAAAAAAAAATACAGGTCAGTATCTCTGATTAACGTAGACGCAGAAATCCTCAACAAAATACTACTAAACTGAATTCAGCAACACATTAAAAGGTTCACACACAGTGAGCAAGTGGGATTTATCCCAGGGATGCAAGGATGGTTCAGCATATGCAAGAACCAATAAATGATACAACACATTAACAGAATGAAGGACAGAAATTGTGTGATCTCTCAATAGATACAGAAAAAACATTTGACAAGATTATCACTTTGTGATAAAAACTCAACAAATTAGGGATAGAAGGTACGTATCTCAACACCATAAAGATTATATAAGCCCTCAGGTAGCTGGAAGCTTGTCCTCTTAAGATCAGGAAGAAGACAAGGATTTCTTCTCTCATCACTTCTAGTTTATAAAGTACTGTACATCTGAATCAAAGCAGTTAGACCTGAAAAAGAGATAAAAGATGTGGAAATCAATAAGGAAAAAGTAAAATTGTCTTTCTGTAGATAACATGATCTTATATGTAGGAAACCCTAAGGACTCCGCCAAAAATGTTAGAATTAATAAATGAATTCAGTAAAGTTGCAAAATATAAAATTAGCTTACAAAAACCAGTTGTGTTTCCATAAACTAACAATGAATAAGAAGTTAAGAAAACAATCCCCTGTACAGTAGCATAAAAATAAAAAGGAATAAATTTAACAAAGGAGGTGAATGATCTACACAGAAATCGATAAAACATTGATGAAAGAAATTGAAGAAGACACATAAATGGAAAGATATCCTGTTTTTGAATTTGAAGAATTAATATTATTAAAATGTCCATACTACCCAAAGCAATCTATATATTTGATACAACAGCTATCAAAATTCCAATGATATTTTACACAGAAATAGGAAAAGCAATCCTAAAATTTGTATGTAACCACAAAAGACTCCAAGCAGCCATAGCAAGAACAATTCTGGAAGCATCATACTACCCGATGCCTCCATAATTGTTCAAAATATACTACAAACCTAGTAATCCAAACAGTGTGGTACTGGCATAAAACCAGAGATAAAGACCAGCAGAACAGAACAGAAAGCTTATACCATGTGTACAATCAGTTGATCTTTAACAAAGATGTTAAGAACACAGAATGGAGAAGTGATCGTTTCTTCAATAAATGGTGTTGGAAAAACTGAATATCCATATGCAGAAGCATGAGCATAAAAATTTCATTCCTGTACTATATATAAAAACATGAAAATAATTACACCATGTACAAAAATCAACTCAAAATAGATTAAAGACTTAAAGAGCGAAAACTGTAAAATTACCAGAAGAAAACAAAGGGAAAAGTTTCTTGACATTGGTTGGGGCAATGATTTTTTGGATATGACCCCAAAAGCATAAGGAATAAAAGCGAAAATAGAGAAATGGTATTGCATCAACTGAATAAGCTTCGGCACAGCAAAGGAAATGATCAACAGAGTGAACAATAATTGACAGAATAGGAGAAAATATTTGCAAACCATACATTTAATAAAGGCTTAATATCCAAAATATATTTAAGAACTCAATGATACAAAAACAACCCAAGTTTTTAAGATGAACAAAGGACTTGCATTGATGGTCTTCAAAAGACAACATACAGTGTACATCAGGTATGTGAAAAAATGCTCAACGTCATTAATCATCAGGGAAATGCAAATAAAAACCACAATGAGATGTCACCTCACACCTGTTAGATGTCACCTCATACCTATTATCCAAAAGACGATAATAAGACTGTAAGTGTTGGTGGGGATATAGAGAGAATAGAACTCTTTTACACTGTTGTAAATTGGTACAGCCATGTACTGAAAAATAGTATGGAGTTTCATAAAAAAATTAAAAAGAGAACTACCATATATGATCCATCAATCTCATTTCTTTGACTTCTTGGTACGTATCTAGAGGAAATGAAATTATTATATTGTGAAATGTCTACGTTCCCATGTTCATTGCAGCATTGTTTACAATAACCAAGATATGAAATCAACCTATGTCTTCATTGATGGAAGAATACACACAGAAAATGTGACGTTCAGCCTTCAAATCTAGGAAATCCTGATATTGGTGACATGATCTGATCTTGGCCCACTGCAACCTCTGCCTCCCAGGTTCAAGCGATCCTCCCACCTCAGCCTCCCAGGTAACTAGGATTATAGCCATGTCTGGCCAATTTTTCTGTATTTTTGGTAGAGGTGGGATTTCACCATGTTGGCCAAGCTGGTCTTGAACTCCTGACCTCAAGTGATCCGCCCGCCTCAGGCTCTTAAATTACTGGGATTACAGGTGTGAGCCACCACGCCTGGCCTAATAATGTCTTTTCAATTGATTAAAACTTACAGGCACAGGGCTGTTTTTATTTTTGATTTAGGACAGACTTAAGAGGTCATCTGTAGATTGTTACAGACAATGAAACTACTAGTTTCTCTTAAATATTGCCCTCTTTCACACTAGTTAACCTTAATTTTTTGCCTTTTTACGTTTTGTTTTTTTCAGCTTTTAATAAAGCAGTAATTTAAGTGATTTTTTCCAGTTAAATTTTTAAAATATAGTCTTCACTTTTAGATAAATTTTAGGTTCATAGCAAAATTGAGTTGGAAGTACAGAGTTCCCGTATATTCCCTTTTCCACCCTACAAGCGAAGTCTTCCCTGCCACCACCATCTTGCATCAGAGTAAGCACATTCATTATTATTGATGAACTTGCATTAACATATTATCACAGAAAGTGCATAGTTTACATTAGGGTTTTTACTGTTGTAGGTTCAATGGATTTTGACAAATGTGTAATGACATATAACTATCACTATAGTATCATAGGGAATTGCTTTACTGCCCTGAAAATTCCTGTGTTCCACCTATTCATCCCTCACTCCCCCAACCCCTAGCAATAACTGATTTTTTTTTTTTAAGTTTACTTTAAGTTCCAGGATACATGTGCAGAATGTGAAGGTTTGTTACATGGGTATACATGTGCCATCATGGTTTGCTGCATCGATCAACCTGTCGTCTAGGTTTTGAGCCCTGGCTGCATTAGGTGTTTGTCTTAATGCCCTCCCTCCCCTTGCCCCGCACCTCGCAAAAGGCCCTGGTGTGTGTTGTTCCCCTCCGTGTCCATGGGTTCTCATTGTTCAATTCCCACTTATGAGTGAGAACATGCAATGTTTGGTTTTTTGTGCCTGTGTTAGTTTGTTGAAGATGATGGCTTCCAGCTTCATCCATGTTCCTGCAAAGGACATGAGCTCATTCTTTTTTTGTGACTGCATAGTATTCCATGGTATATATGTACCACATTTGTTTATCCAATTTGTCATTGATGGATGGGCATTTGGGTTGGTTCCATGTCTTTGCTATTGTAAATAGTGCTGCAGTAAACATATGTGTGCATGTGTCTTTATATTAGAATGATTTATACTCCTTTGGCTATATACCCAGTAATGGGATTGCTGGGTCAAATGGTATTTCTGGTTCTAGATCCTTGAGGAATCGCCACACTGTCTTCCCCAATGGTTGAACTAATTTACATTCCCACCAGCAGTTTAAACGTGTTCCTGTTTCTCCACAGCCTGGCCAGAGTCTGTTGTTTCCTTACTTTTTAATAATCACCATTCTGACTGGCGTGAGATGGTGTCTCATTGTAGTTTTGATTTGCATTTCTCTAATGATCAGAATCACTGATCTTTTTATTCTCTCCCTGGTTTTATCTTTGCCAGAAAGTCTCATAGTTGGATTCATACAGTATGTAGCCTCTGCAGATTGGCTTCTTTCATTTAGAAATGTGCATTTAAAATTCTTTTGTGTCTTTTTGTGGCTTGATAGCTTATTTCATTTTAGCGCTGATTAATATTGTATTTTATGATGTACCACAGTTTATTCATTCACCCATTGAAAGACATCTTGGTTGCCTCTAAGTTTGGGCAATTATAAAGCTGCCATAAACATCTGTGTACAAGTTTTTCTGTGAACATAGTTTTCATCTCATTGGGTAATACCAAGGAGCACAATTGATGGATTGTATAACTTGTGCGTAGTTACAGTAAATCTTTGAGAGAGAGATATATATATACACACACACACACGTGTATATATATATATATATTTTGATAGGTTTGATGTGTATATATATTTAAACCTACCATCTTATGCCACATATTTGGTGGATTGGGGGGAATAGAAAAGGAAATATACTTTAAAAATGGATATCTGGTGATACCTCTTCTATAGTATAAAAAGGAAAATTTTTAATTATATATAATTATTACTTTTTAATATATTTAACCTAAGTGAAGTCATCTATCTTGGTTTATTTTATTTTCTAATTTGGGTTGTCTATAAGCACTGATTTAGTTTTTGTTGACCAAAAATTTGTTGAAAAATTACATTTTTATTCTAAATAATTTGTATTCAGGAAAAGCTACTGTTTGCCTCTTTTTAAGGAAAAATAAGTCCATTGTTTTTGTGTATAATTTATTAATGTTTATATTCCAATTTAGTGTTCACAGTATATACTGTTAAAATATTTACTTATATTAATATTAAATATTACAAATTTAATTTCTTTTTTACTAAAAGATATTGTCCTAGAATAGAAATTGAAATATTTGAATTAATTACATGTTTTATTTTCTGATTATACATTTTTTAACATGAGAGAGGCAGCTTGGTTAGGGTGGCAGGAGTATATTGACTATGGAATCAGAAGACTTGGTCATCTAGAATCATCTCATTCACTACCTAGTTATATGATAAATGTTTATGTTAGCATCAAAATAAAGGGGTAGTATCAGCTAGCTTCTTTGCAGCAGATTCTCAAGTCACTTTGAAATTAAAAGTGCCTTTGAAATTAAAGTTTAAATGTTTTGTTATTTTAATATGGGTCTTAACTACTATAAAACAGGAACTGATAAAGATGCTAACAGTATATTTGTGAACAAGACAGACAAGGTCCCTTATCTTATGGAAGGAAGTCTTACAGAGCTTACATTCTTGCAGGGAAATGGGATGTATCATAAGCAAATAAACATAAAAGAGTAAAGTAATTTCATATACTAATAAATGTTATGAAGAAAATAAAACAGGATAGATGGTCAGAGAAGGCTTTATTTAAGGGGTGAAGCTTGAGGTGAGTCCTAAATATTATAAAGAGTCAGCCATGTGAAGACTGAGGAAGAACATTCCAGGCAGAGGAAACACAGACAAGGGCTTGAGGTAGGAAAGAAATTGATGTTTTCAAGGAACAGTAAGAGCAGTGTGACTGGGGAATAGTAAGCCAGTGAGAGATTGGTAAGAGGTAAGGTTGAAGAGACAGGCAGGGAAACCTTTTCCTAAAATATGTTAATTTTGAGATTTAATGGGGCAACTCTAAGATGTCTTTTCTTTACCTAATATTTGAAAAATTAGCCATTTCTAGTCCTCTGTAACATTTTGTGCTGCATACGGCGGTTAGAGAATTTGAGCAGGAGAGTAATATGAACTATTTGGATAAAAAGTGCTTTGTTCACTTTTTGGAGAATGGATTTAAAGTATGTGGGAATCAGCAGGCCAAGGTAGGAGACAAGGTAGTTCAAGAGAGAGACGATGAGAGCTTGGAGTACGGTGAAGGCAATGAATGTGGAGAGTAGACGATTTGTGATTCATTTTGACTAAAGTCCACCATGTTTGCCAAAGGTTTGGATATGGGAAATTAAGGAAGGAGGAATAGGAATAACTCTTAAGTTTCTTAAGTTTCTTGCTTAACTGAATGTTGTCTTTTACTGAAATGGAGCAGTTTGGGATAAAGATCTGATTTTGGAAGGAAATCAAGTTTGATGCAAATGAGGTAGGTTTTTAGTGAGATTGGGGGGGAAATCTATTGATTATCTCAGTTCAGTTTAAAAGACATTTATTGAGGTCTCTGTATGCAGAGTTTTGTGTAGACTCATTAACTGCTGACTTAATAAATTCATACTTGCGGTATCACGTGTGGGACATCTGTTAACCTGTAGTGTGAAAGGGAACTTCAGGGGGAAAATAGAATCTTTTAACCAAGAAATACATAATGTGACTTTGTGTCATTGCTCTGTTTTCTATAATTTTTGTTTCAACCAAAATATTATAATTTCTTTTTTACTAAAGTACATTGTCCTAGAGTAGAAATTGAAATATGAGACTTAATTACATGTTTTATTTTCTGATATTACAATGTTCATTCAACACTGAACAAAGTTCCTGTTCTCGTTGAAGAGTTAGGAGGAAGGAAGGGTATAAAGACATAAGGAACAATTAAGCAAATAAAATAATTTTAGATAATTTAAAGGTCATTGTCATCAAAATTGGAAGATATGACAGAGTTGTAAGTGATGGAAACTTATTAAATATATGCTTTTTAATTACATGGGTCACACAACCCAAATATATGGCTATGTATGGGTAGCACATGCACCAACATATGTAGAGAATTATAGACTTTGCAGAGTCACCTGTAATAGCTTCCTCTGGTATCTGCATGTGCCTAATTGCCTGAAATGACTCCTGTGGATCCAACAGGTTTTTTACATTTCATGTCTTTTTTTTTTTGAGACGGAGTTTCGCTCTTGTCACCCAGGCTGGAGTGCAATGGCGCTCACTGCACTCTGCCTGGAGTGGCTGGAGTCTCGGCTCACTGCAACCTCCGCCTCCCGGGTTCAAGTGATTCTCCTGCTCAGTCTCCCAAGTAGCTGGGATTACAGGTGCGCGCCAGCACACCTGGGTAATTTTTTTTGGTATTATTAGTAGAGACTGGGTTTCACCATGTTGGCCAAGCTGGTCTCAAACTCCTGACTACATTTCATACCTTAAGACCACTCTGCTTCTTTGGATATAGCTGCTTGCAATTCTGCTGCTTTGCCTAATGTCCTGTGATACTTTGCTGCTTTTTAAAAAACCTTTGTTTTTCACAGCAGTGCTCCTTGTCCTAAAATATGTTGAAATTGTGGAATAAAAAGTTTAAGACTTTTCCAGTTTGAAAACTCTTCTTACATGTTAAAAAATGATAGTCTTGTATAAAATGAATGTTTTAAATCTTACATTTATCTTGATCTGCTTGGGTTTAGATTGTCTGCCTCTGTTACCTTATATAATCATTGTGTTTTTCATGTTTATGAGAAATAAAAGAAAAAATAAATGATTGGGCCCTAGGAAAAATCCTTTTTTTTTTTAAATAACAAAGTATTCCGTTTAATGTTCCTTTTAATATATTGCCAGTGAAATATCTCGTAAGTAGCTTCTTCTTGTAAGAAAGTTAGCTATATTTGTAGCCTCTTTAATTGAAAGAAAAGGTTCTAGCTGACCTGCAGAATTAGACATCAGGGTACCTTTTCTGGTGAACCTGGAGCTTTGTTCAGAGATCAAGAAAACAAGCTCTTTATTGGGCATTTGCCCTAAGGCAACATTAACTTAATAGATATTTTCTTCCTGTAATTTGCTGATCTTTGTATTTAAGTTTGGAAATAGCAATATTCATAAATGGGTACCTTTGGTTGTAGTATTGTTCCATGCTTTCATACCATTTAAATGGTTCATCAAGATAAAATATGTTATTGTAGTCAGCAAGATTGGTTAGAATAGTGCCCTGAATATCAGTAGCTCTGTATTCTAGTTTCAGCAACTCAGTGACTCCAATATGTGCTTGAGTAAATCAGCTCATTTCTTTACTTCTCAAAGTCTTAGGACTGTTGTGATTGAAAGCTTATTGCTTTGTTTTGCCATAATTTACTATCTTTTTAGCTTTTTAATGCTCGTCTGTTATACCGACTCTTTGACTTAACATAGTTTTTTACCTGGTGTGTATAATGCCGCATGTATATGTTTGTGGATAAATGTAAATTCTCCTGCAGGAAGAACATCAGATTCTTAATCATGAAGATACCCCCCCCCCAGCCCACAATTTCCAACTCACTCTTCCAGTTTCTTGATCACTCCCTTTTCCTCTAATTATCTAAGAAACTAATGGCTTATTAGGTTCACTTTTTTCTCCTTACCAGCCCAAACTGTACTGTCTGGTCCCTTATTTTTCTGCCACACTTGCCCTGTGAATCCCCTCAACTTTAAATTAATTTAGGAATACAATTTAGATTGCCAAGTACAGTTTTGGAGATTGATGCCACGACAAATTAATGATATCAAAATTTATCAGACTCAGCAATTTTATTTATCTCTGGTCTATGTCCTCATACATTCCTTTTACTTCTTTCATCAACCCCTTAGCAAACTTTGCCTTTCATGTTCTCAACAGATTAATTTGCTTCTGTTTCACCAAACAAATATGATTCTGTATGTAACTGGAGATGATAATCCCACTTAACTCTCTTATTCCTCCTCCCTTCAAACAAACTTGTCTGTAGCTGAATCCATTCTCATTTTTTAATTGAAAGGAAAAAAGATCCGTCTTCTCTAAGGCTAAGTTTTCTGCCAGTATGCTACATATTTTTGACTACTCCTTCCTTCTAAAATTTAAATAGATGAACTGGCTGCTGCTTTGACAATACCCTTTCCTAGTTTATGTGTACCTCTGTTTCTCTTTGAGGCCTTTGTCTTCCATCCATTTCTTTCTTTCTTTTTTTTTTTTTAAGACGGAGTCTTGCTCTGTTGCCAGGCTGGAGTGCAGTGGTGCGATCTTGGCTCACTGCAACCTCTGTCTCCCAGTTCAAGCGATTCTTCTGCCTCAGCCTCCTGAGTAGCTGGGACTACAGGTGTGCACCACCACGCCCAGCTAATTTTTGTATTTTTAATAGAGACGGGGTTTCACCATGTTGGCCAGGATGGTCTCAATCTCCTGACCTCCTGATCCGTCTGCCTCAGCCTCCCAAGATGCTAGGATTACAGGCGTGAGCCACTGCACTTGGCCCATCCATCCATTTCTAAATATTTATCTTCCCCAGAGTACCAGTATCATCTTCTACATGCGTTTTGTGGATAGTCTCATCTGAAACCTTTGCTGTTGACACCAAAGCTGTATCTTTATTTCTAGCCCAGACCTCCCTCCTTTATTCTAAAATCACATTTTCAAGTGTGGACTAGACTAGAATCTAAGTATAAATTTGTTCAAAATTTTACTAATTTTCTTTTTTTTTTTGTTCCCTGTCTTGAATAATCATGCTGCCTCCACCTGATTTAAGCCGGCTACTCAGACATTACCCTGAATCCCTTCCTTCTCCCTACTCCTGTTCATCCCCAACTGCTTTCTGTTTCTAGAATTATTCCTATATTTTCCTAGTACCTTTGTAGTTTAAACCAATTGTTCTCAAGTACATCAGACCTAATATCCCATTTATGCAACATTCTGTAACACTTCCTTACTCTTAAAATGATAGTAACCTACATTATTTTTAAAAATCTATGTAATTTCTTAAAGGAGATATATAAGAAAAATATTGTACATTTTATATGTTATGTAAATGCTTAGGCACAATGATATTAGAAAAAAATGAAGAATTTATTATACATTTTATGTTTCAGTATTTAAGTGTTCAGGCACAATACCAGAAAGCAATGAAGAGCAAAAGTTTGTACATATGTCCTCATGAATGTGATTGTTAGAAGTGCAAACTGATATAGACGTGTTATATTTTTGACTCGGATACCAAGATCAGTATGAGTATCAGTGATCATCAGAAATAACAAATAACTCTTAAAGAATAGTGCAAAAATATTGCAGTTTTTGTGTAAAATGGAATTAGGTGCTCAAAATTATAAACAGGTATTTCACCTAGTTATATATCTGGTAGGTATTTGAAGGTTGTACAGTATGCAAGGATAGTTCTCATCTCCAGACCTGGCCCATTAAATGCCAGTAGCATTTCTCTAAACATTGAGACAACCTAAAGTGAACCTACAAAATTCCAAAATACTGTAGCTAAAAATAGTTAGATTGTACCTTTATCATGTTTAGCATGGACTGTTGCAGTGGCTTCCAAATTCGGCTCTACATAGAATCACCTGGAAAACTCTTTAAACATACAGCTTACTGTTCCCTACCACAGATATTTATTTTGTTAGCATTCTTGGATTAGGGGTTAGGATTTCTAAGCTCGCCAGATGATTCTTGCTGAAAATGTCTGGCAATGATTGAACATTAGGGAATTCTTGCTGAAAATGTCTGGCACTGATTAAACACGAAATTATTACTGCTTTTTAAATTTTCTGCCTTCCTTCTGAAGTCCTGACTGTTTACAGTCATTCTAAACATTGTCAGGTAAATTTTGTTAAAATATGACTGTAATCATAGCCTCTTCTCCTTCAGGAATCCTTTATTGGCTTTTTATATTTACTCTTGGCAGCCCCTAAGAGTACACTGCTGGAACATTAGAGTTGAAAGAATCATGATGTCTGCATGATAAAGTCCAAATTACTAAATTTGAATAACCAGCGTTTCCAAATTTGGCAGCCTACATTTTTTACTTCTTGTGTCCAATTTGCATAAAAATATAGTTCCTGAAAGGAATGATTTAAAACCTGACACTGACTTATGACAGGGCTTGGGAAACTATGGCCTGATGGCCAAATCCAGTTTGAGGTCTGTTTTTGGTAAAGTTTTATTGAAACACAGCCACTCTTACTCATTTGCATATTGTCTACTTTTATGCTAAACTGACAGAATTGAGTACCTGCAGCAGAAAGCAATCTGTCTTGCAAAGCCTCAATATTTAAAATCTGGCCCTTTACAGAAAAAGTTTGCTCACCCTTGACTTAGAAGCCATTAGAAGCCTAAATGAATTGTAATCACCACCGTCATATAGTCATGATTTGGATGTTTTATCTCTGAAATCCAACATGGGATGGGAAAAGAATATATCTGGGCTTTTGAGTCCTGACCAGGCTGACCTGGTTTTGAATTTTTCCTTAGTCACTTAGTAGGTATCTGACTTTGGTGCCTCAGTTTTCTCATCTGTAAATTGGGACTAGAGGAACTATTCTACTTAGGAATTTGAAATTCAGAGTTTTCATAATTTGGAATATAGTTATGTTCCAGAGAAAAATGGTATCAACTCAGAGCTCCACCAAGTTTGTAGTTTTTATTTGGTTTTGTTTTTGAGGAATCTCTCTCTGTCGCCCAGGCTAGAGTGCAGTGGCACAATCTCAGCTCACTGCAACCACTGCCTCTTGGGTTCAAGTGACTCTCCTGCTTCAGCCTCCCGACTAGCTGGGATTACAGGCGCCCGCCACCACGCCCGGCTAATTTTTGTATTTTTTAGTAGAGATGGCGTTTCACCATGTTGGTCAGGCTGGTCTCGAACTCCTGACCTTAAGTGATCCGCCTGCCTCAGCCTCCCAAAGTGCTAGGATTACAGACGTGAACCACCACGCCTGGCCAAATTTGTAGTGTTTTTGTTTGGGGTCACTAATGGTTAAGTGTATTCAAGGGAGCTAACATATCAAGTGCTTCATATGCGGTAGTTATTAGGTGGAGGTGAATAAAAGAGTCCTCTGGGGTAGTAAAGATCCCTGTATAAAAACCTCCTTGCCAGCCTCAGCTTAATTATTGTTGCAATTTTATGCTTTTATCACTAGATTTCAAGCATTTTGAGACTGGGTACTGTGTATTCTATTACCTAAATGAGTGCAAGATTCAAATTTTATGCAAATATAGCCTTCCCCCAAAACATAGTGGAGTTGAAGTGATTAAAAAACAACTATTAAATAAATAACTTATTTCCAAGAAACATGAAAGATTACTCTCAATATGTTTTCTTATCTAAAACGTTTGACAGTGTCACCTGATTCAGGTCTGAACTAGATCCAGAACTTAATTTTTGACTGTCAGATAATTTGTTAGTTCTCTTGGCCAAAAATATTTTTACTGGATGTGAAAAATTTTTAGTTAATAGCTAGGTCTGGCTGGTTAGTTAATTCCCTTAAGTAAAGCATAGTAATTTTGTCAAGGTCAAAAGCTTTATTCTCTGACTAGTTATATTTCTTATGAGCTATTATTGAACTATATATATCAGCAAATCTCATTAGGTACAAGTGCTACAGGATGAGTTTGGGGGTCACTAGTTCAAATTCATCACCACTGCAGTAAACCCATCAGACAGTTCAAGTATCAGTCTGAATTTCAGATACAGTGGCTAGTATTATGGATTATGGGAAGTCCTTTTAGATTTCAATGGGAACTTTATTAATAACTTATATTTTCATTAATACAGTTTCTTTCTTGACCCACCCATTACCTTCAACCTTCATTGTTTTTTAATTATATTTGAAAAATATAATATTAAATATACTGGTGTTCAGATCTTACATTTGGTCATATCATGTGTTTCCCGAACTTGATAAGCTTTTGTTGAGGCGTTTATTTTTATAAAATACCTAGACCCCCTCTCCCTAAAATTTTGATTCAGTGATTTGTGATGGAGCCTGGGAATTTGTATTTTTAAACAAATATCTCAGGTCACGTATTTTCTTTTTTCGTTTTTATCATTAGAAAAGTTTACTTTTTATTTCTTTCCAAGTTTTCTTACCTTTTAATAGGGGTAATCTTGTTCTATCCTCTGTACTTAATATATGTGATTTTACACCTTATATATTTCATTTGATCCTTATATAGGAGGTGTCCTTCTAAATTTAGGGTATACATATCTTGCTAAATAGAAATTTGATTTCCAGAAACTTGATATAATGACATTTCTTAAATACAAATTGATAAGCAATGCCTGTAACCCTTTAGCTATGCATATTTCCCATTATTCAGTTGTATGGTTTTAGTAAATGTACTTTCATATTGGCTTATCAGCATTATTTTCTGAATCAGTATCTCTAGAGTTTTTCTTAGTCTCTCTCCATCGCAGTGCAAAATAATTTTTTTCTTTTTTTTTGAAAGGGTTGAATAGTAATAGATAGAGCTCTCCTGGTGTGCTAGCAAATAATGATGTATTTGTTTAATTGTAGAATCTTATATACCAGTAAAGTTCATACTGTGCAGTTTCAAATTTACAGATTATTCATCCTCTACCCCAGTTCCTGTTATTTCTGCACATTTGACCATTTGCTTCAGCAAAGTGACACATTTTCAGTGTCCCGTGCAAACTAAGCTCCACTCCCTATTCTAGGCAAAACTTTCTTTTTCATGCCACCCACCTGTAATGCTTTGCCATCTCTCCTTTACTTGCTTGAACACAACCCATTAATCCAGGACTAGTTAGCCTAAGTCCTGTATGCTTTTCTCAACCATTCTCACTGTTACAAATTTTCTCAAAAGTGCTATAGCATATGCCACTTGCCTGAGGATTTAATAATATGCTGTCTTATCAATTACTTGTTATATGTGAGTGTTTTGGCTGTCTAATTAAACTACAAGCTTGTATACAGAGAGGTTCACATCCTATAAAAATAAATTATTAGCAGAATCCTTAGCACTTAACATTATCACATCCTTTTGGTAGTCTGACAAAATTCTAATAACTGTTTTAACCTCTTAAGCTAGTCAGGTAAGAAGTTATTTTATCTTTAATCCCTAGTACCAAATAATTACCAGTTAGTTAAATAGAGTTAACAATAGAGTCATAAAATAAGAATTACTAATTTTAAATTTCAAAATGTTTAGGGAGGACTGATTCCTTCCATAAATATTTTACTAATCTTTTTGTCCTTTGCCAATCTTTTCGGCCTGTCATTTTACCAGCAGACTTTTTCTGCTTTTAAGAACCCTGTGCCATTGATCTTTCTTTTTCAGTCCCTAGAATATACACATCATTGGACATTGCCCTTTGTCACTGGTTTTCAAAGGTGATCCTCAGGTCTACCTCCATCAGAATCATGTAGAGTGCTTATTAAAGTACAGATTATTAATGCCCCTTTCCCTGAACTGTGCTGTTTTTCATACATATTTCACTTTGTTCTTTTTTTTTCTTTTGCCAGACTGCTCTCTCTTCTATCGTCACCACCACTGAAATCCTTTCTGTTATCTAAAGCTATCCGCCAATTAATTGTAGCTAGAACTGTTTTAGTGTAGTGGGTTAGGAACATAGGCTGTGAGCACATACTACCTAATTTGGAATATTGGCTCCATCATGTTTCCAAGATCTCAGAGTTAGTTACTTAAAAATATTTCTGTGCTTTAGTGTTTCTTTGTATAAAATGGGGATAACAATGTATCTCATAGGGCTGTTGTATGTGTTATATTAATACATGTGAATTCCTCAGAATAATGCTAGTACATAGAAAGCACTTAATAAATATTAAGCTTATTGTTGTGGTTTCTTCCACTTTTTAGGTCTTATAAAATTTTCTAGTAAAGTAACTTACATTCATACATCTTCCTATTAGATTGCAAGTTTCTTGAAGGTAGAGCCAGCCTTATTAAGCTGTGTAGTTTTAAATGGATTTTTACCTATAAAGGATGTTCATAAATATTTGAGAATGAAATCATAGGAAAATGGCAAACTCTAATAAGATTGTTTTTCAGAGCCTATTTAATATAAATTATCTAAAGTAATTTAATACTGTCTATATTATATTTCAGGAACTCTAATGAATCATTGATTGACCAGCACTATTTTACCAGTTGGAATGAATGATCAGAAATGGGCATAGTGCTTTTAGATCCAACATGTAACAGATGGATGTTACTCCATGCTGATTACTTCTTCAAGCCAGTACTTTTTTGATTGTGTAGGATCTTTGTCTCTTCATCTTTGAATTCAATTACTGGAAAATAAAAGGAGTTCATGTAGTTTTTGTCCAGGCTTGAGTCACCATGAGTAGTAGTTTAGGAAAAGAAAAAGACTCTAAAGAAAAAGATCCCAAAGTACCATCAGCCAAGGAAAGAGAAAAGGAGGCAAAAGCCTCTGGAGGTTTTGGGAAAGAGAGCAAAGAAAAAGAACCTAAGACCAAAGGGAAAGATGCCAAAGATGGAAAGAAGGACTCCAGTGCTGCCCAACCAGGGGTGGCATTTTCAGTTGACAATACGATCAAACGGCCAAACCCAGCACCTGGGACTAGAAAAAAATCCAGCAATGCAGAGGTGATTAAAGAGCTCAACAAATGCCGGGAAGAGAATTCAATGCGTTTGGACTTATCCAAGAGATCTATACACATATTGCCATCATCAATCAAAGAGTTGACTCAATTAACAGAACTTTATTTATACAGTAACAAATTGCAGTCCCTCCCAGCAGAGGTGGGATGTTTAGTAAATCTCATGACACTGGCTCTAAGTGAAAATTCACTTACCAGTTTGCCTGACTCTCTTGATAACTTGAAGAAGCTGCGGATGCTTGATTTACGGCATAATAAACTGAGAGAAATTCCTTCAGTGGTGTATAGGCTGGATTCTCTCACCACTCTTTACCTTCGCTTTAATCGTATAACTACTGTGGAAAAGGACATCAAAAACTTGTCAAAACTCAGCATGCTTAGCATTCGAGAGAACAAAATTAAACAACTACCTGCTGAAATTGGTAAGAGGCCTTGGATTATTATTATTTGTAGTATTTGTTATGCTAAATAATTTTGAGTGCTTTCTCATATCAAAAAATGCCTGATACTTGCCTAAAAACAGCTTATTTCTAAATTACAACTTTTTTATGGTTTACTTTATTCCATTTTCAGCACTGTTAATAGTACATGGCTTGAAATTGTTTCATAGACTTAAAAAGTGAGTTAGAAAATAGATGTAATTAGATCTTTCCCACACAAACCTAATCTTTAACTTTCATTGGAGAATAAGTAAATTTAAAGAAGAAAAGATGTTTGCCTAATTTTCAAGTTGTTGCTGTGTTTAAAGTATCTGTTGATACAATTTTATTAGATATATGAAAACTACATTTTCTCATTCTCTGACTTTTCCACCTTTATCTGAAAGATGTTTAAATTCACATCACTTTCTACCTAATTTACCACAAAAGGTTGACAAATCAGAGCCTTACAAAAGAGCAGTGTCATAAGAAATAGAAAAAAAATTTTTTTTTGCATCTTGAAAGTACTTACATGTTTATTAAAAATAACACAAGAATTTAGAAGGGTAGAAGAAACGTCACCTGTAGTGAATGCAGCACTGTTACCATTTTGCTAATTTTCATTCCAGTCTTTCACATAAAGCTAACTTGTACTAAAACAAAGAAAATGTTTTTTAAAGGCTGGTAGTAGGAGAAAAAAATAGGGAATATAAACGCGTGAACATGTCAGTAAAAAATTAAAAATTAGTTCTGGCATTTTTAATTATGGAAAAACATTCTGAAACATTTGGAATATAGTAATCCATTGACATCAGTTTTGAAAAATTGATAAAGGTATTGCCTCTGTGGGCCCTTTTTATAAGATTTGTAAAAATTGTCATAAGAAGTTGATTATGAAGCTTTTTAAAGGATGTTTTCTTTTTGTATTAAAGGCAATTTATTCTGAGAAAAATAAAGATTATATTTTTGTTGCTTTCAGCATTGGTCTTATAATGAGTGATAAACTTTCTGATTTTTAGGTTTTGCAGCTTTTCAAAGATATGATATTCTGTGGGTGTTTTAATATTTTGTTTAGCTTTGAAAAAAGATGTGGTTTAAATTTTAGGTATGACTTGTTACATTTAACTCTTAACTAGACAATCCAAATATTAATTAAATTTTGGTTTAATTTAATGTGTTTAGAAAATTTATGATAGGTTTTCTCAAGTAATATACTGTAGAGTATGACTTACTCACGAGATATTAAAATATTCCCAGGAATTTCTGGGTGAAAATGTTCCATTCCATGTCTTCAGATAGGAATGTGGTTGTTGAATGACTTGTTTTAGTGTCATATTTAGTCAAAATTTGACCTGCATGTTATGGCTCATTGTGGAATAGAATTATAGGCAATTGGAGAAATAAATGCTGAATTTCTACATAGAAATATAAAAGTTACTTCCTGTCTTTGTTCTTGTTGTTTTGTGTATGTGTTACACTCAGTCCTAAAAGTCTAGCTTTAATTCACAAGTCTCTAAGGACTTTTTCCATAGCAATGCTATCAAATTACCTAGGAATTAAGAATATACATATATGTTCTTGAGCATATAGATAGCATTTTTACTAAAAAGTGAATGTATCTTTTAAAATTGGCATATTTTAAGTAATTATGTGGCTTATATTTGTGGCTACCTAATCTTTTGACCTTTATTCCTAAATTGTAATTTTAAAAACAGCCATTGAATTTGTTAATGGGCTCCTTCCCATCATTAGTGACATTACTGAAGTTTGTGTTTTTGTAATTGCTGTACTTCTGTAAAAATGGTAATATCATAAATGTTGCTTATTTCATTCTAAGCAGGGCATCAGAAAGTAAACTGCTTTTAAAAGTATAATGTTTTTCATAAGGAATTATGATTTATAAAGTTTAACTTAGATACATGGATCTGGGGCAAACATGCAGAAGTCTGGGTCATCTGTTTCTTTATAGGGAACAAGAAAATAAAGGTTAGTAAAAATAACATCATAATAATAAGGATGGCTGTTGTTTGAGCCCATGAATCATAATACTATACATTGTTCTGTCCGTGTATACTTTAATTATACTATCTTATATCCTTACAGTAACCCAATGAAATAGGTATTTTCCCCATGCTACTGAAGAAGGAACTGACACTGTAGAAAAATTAGGTAATTTACTGAAGATCATGCTTCTAGGTTGGCAGAGTCAGAATTTGAAATGTAAGTCTTGGTCGTTTCCACTGTAGTCTCCCCACAATCTAGAAAAATGGGTACCACCCCCCATAGATTTTGATTCTCTGGTAGGTCCAGGGTCTGTACTTTTAAAGAGCAGCCTGTGTTAGTTTATGTGCAACTGCAGTTGAAAGCCATTGCACAAGATTGCGGGGGAGGATTGGGTTTAACAGTTTAATTATAATATAATTCACATACCATACAATATACACATTAAAAATAAACAATTCAGTGGTTTTTAGAATATTCAGATTTATGTAACCATCAGAGATAATGTTAGAACATTTTCAATACCTCCAAAAGAAACTCTGAACCCTTAAGCAATCACTCCTAATTTCTCCTAACTCATTAACCCTAGGCAAACACTAATCTACTTTCTGTCTCTATAGATTAGTGTTTTCTGGATGTTTCCTATAAATAGAATCATATAATATGTGGTCTCTTACGACAGGTTTCTTTTAATTTGCATAATATTTTCAAGTCTCATCAAGGTTGTAGCATGTATCAGTACTTCATTCCTTTTTATTGCTGAATAATATTTCATTATATGAGTATACCACATTTTATTTATGCATTTATCAGTTGTCAGACATTTGGGTTGTTTTTGCTTTCTGACTGTTATGAGTATAGTTTCTGTATTTGTGTACAAGTTTTTGTGTGGACATTTGTTTTCACTTCTCTTGAGTATATACCTAGTAGAATTGTTGAGTCATATGGTAACTCTATGTTTAACCTTTTTGAGGGATTACTAGACTGTTTTCCAAAGGGACTGCAATATTTTACATTCCTACCAGCAGTGTTTGAGGGTTCCAATTTCTCTGCATCCTCAGTAACCTTGTTATTATCCGTCTTTTCTTATTATAACCATTCTATCGTGTGAATTGGTATCTCATTGTAGTTTTGTTTTGCAGTTCCCTGATCACTATATATTTGTTTTTAATTCTTGAGAGCTATCTTTTATTGTAACGGAAAGACAGAAATAGTTATTTTCTGTGATGTAGATCTTGCTTTAATGGGTTTTTAATTTAAAAGAAGTTCTGAGCTCCTTGGAGAATGTTTATAAAATAAGACCTGTGCTCAATGATCAAGTAAAATGGAAATTTGACATTTTTTAAAGTGTTAAACACCTTTAATGTAATTTGACTTACTGCAGAAACCCATAACAGGGAATTTTTAATTCAAAATATATGCTAATTATAATTTTGTTAAACTTTCATTTATGCATATTAGAGCTACATTATTTATAAATATATATTAAATTTATATTATATTAGATGCTTATTCTTCTTGTTTGAATAAATATATCACTTTAAATCATGCCATCCAGTTTTTATTCAGCAGTATATTTGAGGAATATAAGTTTTTAGCTGGGCACTGTGACTCACACCTCAAATCTCAACTACTGGGAAGACTGAGGCAGGAGGATCCTTGAGCCCAGGAGTTGGCTGGGCAGTCAGCTATGATTGCGCCACCGGACTTCAGCCTGTGCAACAGAGCTAGACCCTATCTCTAAAAAATAAAAATAATTTTTTTAAAATTAGGAGTTTTCGAAATAGAGCCTACTATTTAGTTTAAATAATATAATTGGAATTTAACCACGACACAAGGTTGGGCTATGCTGTTGCCTTGATAGGAAAAAAATATTAGAACATTTATCCTTTTAAGCATTAATGACATTTTTATTAATGTAATGTGATTTGATACCAGTGATACATATTCACATGGGTAAAGATTGGCAGAAAACAATAAAAAGATACTGGAACAGACTGTTCAGAGCCAGAGATCTATCAGAAAGTAGCTAAGAAAACTTTTCATTTAGTAATGTTCATTTACTTTTCTCCTTTTGTATGTTAAGGCATAGACAAATAAAGTAAGTGTCCCTTCTTTTTGGGTTAAGTAGACAAATTGAAACCTTAGTCATTGCTTTCTTTTATAGATCAGTGTTCCATTCTTCCTGTCATTCCTTCTTTCTCCATTTCTAATCTTGAAAAAGACTCTTCACTCTATACAAAGACAGTCAAGAACCCATGTTTTCAGAGGGAAAACAGGAAATAAGCACTTTTTTACCTCCTTTCCCAACTGATTGGTTCCTTTGAGTTTCTTGTAAAAGATGTGCTTTTGTATATTCTCTGTTTATGAGTGGATTAGAGCAGGGGCCACCAGATAGACAGTTTGTATAACGAATCTATTTATTCAGGCAACTCTAGACAGTGAAGTTTTAAAGGATTTTATTTTTCTGGGAAGGAAATCGTTGCTCATTGAAACCAGGTATAAACTTCATTTTGTATTTTGCTAATATTCCTGTGATTTCTTTTCTCTCTGAATTGTGGGTTTAGGATTTCTTCTCTTTCTTTAAAGTTTCCCTTATTTATTCTTCTTTATAAAAACAGAAGTTGGAGTATTTTTAAAAATGTGTTTTACCTACATTGTAGGTTCAATAAAATGCTACATATTTATGTAGTATATAATTTCATGTGGGTCTAGTTGTCAAAATAACCTTTTTTGCTTAGGAAAATTATCTAATATATTAAAGTATATGCTTTTTGAGAACCCATATCATTTTCTTCATTTACAAAGCAATTCTCACATCATTCATATGTATGAGAAATAATAATGAGAAATAATAATTGTACCTATTTGTGGTTTACAATGTGATGTTTCCATACATGTATACAATGTGTGATAATGAAATCATGGTAATTAGCACATCCGTCACCTCAAACATTTATCATTGCTTTTCACTGGACACATTCAAAATCCTCCCTACTAGCTATTTGAAAATATACAATAAATTGTTTGCTAAAGTCACCCAACAGTGTTACAGAACAGTAGAATTTAGAACAGATAGAATTCCTCCTATCTAGCTGTAGTTTTGTGTCCATTAACCAACCTCTCCCCATCCCGCTGCTCCCCAACCCCCGCCACCCTTCTCAGCCTCTAGTAACCACTATTCTACTCGCTACTTCTTTGAGATCAACTTTTTTAGCATGAGAGAACATGCAGTATTTATATTTCTGTGCCTGGCTCATTTCACTTAACATAATGTCCTTCAGGCTCATTCATGTTGCTGTGAATGACAGAATTTTATTCTTTTTTTGGCCGAATAGCATTTCATTGTGTATATATACCACATTTTCTTTCTTCATCTGTTGTTAGAGGTTGATTCCATATCTTGACTATTGTGAATAGTGTTGTAATAAATAAGAGAGTGAAGGTATCTCTTTGATATGCTGATTTCCTTTCCTTTGGATATATACCCAGTAGTCAGATTATTTGGTCATGTGGTAGGTTTTTGTTTAGTGTTTTGAGTAACCTTCATACTGTTTTCCATAGTGGCTGTACCAATTTATGGTACACCCACCAACAGTGTATGAGAGTTCTTCTTTTTCTGCATTCTCACCAGTATCTATCTGTTTTTGTTGTTGTTGTTGTGATGATGTTTTTTTTTTTTTTTGTCATTTTGATGATAGCCATTCCAATAGGGTTGAGATACCTTCTCATTGTACTTTCGATTTTCATTCCCCTGATGATTAGTGATGTTGAGCATTTTTTCGTATACCTTTTGGCCATTTGTATGTCTTGAGAAATGTATACTTAGATTGTTTGCCCATTTTTAAATCACATAATGATGATTATTGTTTTGCTGTTGAGTTCTTGTATATTAATCTATTGTCAGATGAGTAGTTTGCATATATTTTCTTTCATTCTGCAGGTTGTCTCTTCAGTCTTTGTTTCCTTTGCTCTGCAGAAGTTTTTAGTTTGAAATAATTCCATTTGTCTATTTTTGCTTGGGTTTGCCCTACTTTTGAGGTTTTACCCATAAAATCTTTGCCCAGACCATTGTCCTGAAGTGTTTCCCCTATGTTTCTTGTAGTAGTTTTATATTTTTGGTTCTTGACATTTAAGTCTTCAATTCATTCTGAGTTAGTTTTTTGTATATAGTGAGAGATAGGGGTCTAGTTTCATTCTTCTGCATATATATATATCCAGCTTTCTCAGTACCATTTCTTGAAGGGTCTGTCCTTTCTTCAATGTATATTGTTGGCTCCTTTATCAAGTATCAGTTGGCTGTAAATATGTGGATTTATTTCTGGGTTCTCTACTCTATTCAATTGATCTATTGTCTTGTTTTTATGCCAGTACTGTGCATTTTGGTTACTCTAACTTTGTGTATACTTTGAGGTCAGGTAGTGTGATGCCTCCAATTTTGTCCTTTTTGCCCAGTATTGCTTTGGCTATTTAGAGTCTTCTATGGTTCCACATGAACTTTAGGATTTTTTTTTCTTTTAAGAATGTCATTGGCATTTTGATAGAGATTGCATTGAATCTGTAGATCACTTTGGGTAGTATGGATATTGTAACAATATTAATCCTTTTAATTCATGAGCATGGAATGTCTTTCCATTTTTTGGTCCCTTTGAATTTCTTTCATTGTTTTACAGTTTTCATCATAGAGCTTTTTCACCTCCTTAAATTTACATTTAAGAATCAGCATTTTAAAAATTACCTATTTGACTCATCAACATTTATTGAAAGCAAAATCAGTTTCTTACTATTGTGCAATATGGAGGTGTTATATTTGATTATAAGTCAAATGATGTACATATAACTGACACATACATGTGTATATAATTAATATCTATATATAAAAGCATATTGAACAGAGTCAGCAACTTTTTCAAAAAGTTGACCTTAAGAGATTTAATTTAACTCCTATTATGTAATTTTTCTGTGAATTTTTTAGACATTAAGTGGTAGGCTTTCAATAAATGTGGCTTGAAGGAAATTTAATAAAGCTCAGTACTATTAACCTATTTTTATTTTATATTTTAGTATTATAGTATTATGGTATTATTACTATAACTTTATAATATATAAAAAGTATAGTATTTTCAAGATTTTAGTATTATATACTTTATTTTAGTACAGCATTATAATATTTCAGTAATATTTTCAGTATTAACTAAAATTGTAACTTGTGATCACTAAAATTCTTGAAATTCTCTCAGGACTGCCAGGAGTGATACAATTGCTTATATGGTCCAGGTAACATTATTTAATAATCTCATTTGAATGTTTGTACAAATGCTAAGTAACTTACTTTAGCAGGAATGATAAATCAGTAAAGGGAATTCATAGTTGTTAATAAATAACTTCTTTTGACTGGGAACCAGCAAGAAACATTAGAAACCTACAAATGAACTCTTTACTTATTACTGTTAGGAAATTGTGATTTTCACTAAACAACAAAAACCCAGAGAAGTTATTATTGCTAAAGGAGGCAAAAAAACAACAACACAGAATAGCACTTTGGGAGGCCAAGGCAGGTGGATTACTTGAGCCCAGGAGTTTGAAACCAGCCTGGGCAACATGGCAAAACCCCGTCTCTACAAAAAATTAGCTGGGCATGCTGGCACACACCCACAGTCCCAGCTACTCATGAGGTTGAGGTGGGAGAGTCACCTGAGTCCGGTAGGTTGAGGCTGCAGTGAGCTGTGATCTCGCCACTGTAGTCCAGCCTGGGTGGCAGAGACCCTGTCTCAGGAGAAAAAAAAATGGAACACAGAAAAATAGTACTTGAACTGTTTTAGAAGGACTTGATAGGATCAAAGGAGACAGTTTACTTTCCATGTGGCTGAGGTATGGGAAAGAGAGGGAGGCAGACATTGTACCGTAAAGACAGCATGTTACAAAATCAGAGGAGCATTGTCACTTGTCCATGTCCCTTAGTTGCAGAAAACTTGCTTAGAAGAGCCCCTGAAGTCGTCTTTGCAATGAAAAGGAATAATTAAGCTTTTAAGACAAGTATAAATAATGTTCTGGTATAAATTCTGACCTCTCTAAATCTGTTCAAACTTGTGGGACAAGTGTTTCCAACTCTTTTTAATTATATAGTTTTACGAATGTATTTTAATAAGATTTGCTCTGATTTTTATAGAGCTGAACTCTGAATATTTGAAAAATATCCCTATAAAGAACAAGAGTTATTTTAGAATATAAGAATCCTAAATGTGAGTCAAATAAGAGTAAAGGAAAGTTTATAACCGTGAAACAAACCTAAATTACTCATTTACCAATCTTTGATTGCCTACTAGGTACATTTTCAAAGGGCCTTTTTATATATTTCTGGATTTAATTTACTAAAATTTTGTTAAGGATTTTTTTTGTCTGTATTCATCATAGATATTGATCTGTAATTTTATTTTCTTTTTTAAAAATTTTGATCATGGTTTGGTATCAGGGTAATACTGTCCTCATATCATAGAATGAGTTGAGACATGTTTCTTCCTCTTTTATATTCTAGAAGGGTTTGTGCAGAATTAGTATTATTTCCTCCTTAAATGTTCGGTAGAATTTATCAGCCATACAGTCTGGGACTAGGGTTTTTTTTGTGTGTATGGACAAGTTTTGAATTTCGAATTCAGTTTATTTAATAGACACATAGTTATTCAGGTTTTCTATTTGTTCTCTATTGAAATTTTGTAGTTTGATCTGTCAGGGCGTTTGTCTATTTTGTACAGTTTGTTGATTTTGTTGGCTTAAAGTTCACATTTTTATTATGCTTTTAATGTTCCATATATATATATACACTATATATATATATAGTGGTGTTCCCCTTTCATTCTTGAAATTGGTAATTTGGGCCTTCTCTCTTTGCTTATCAGTTTGGCTTGATGTGTATCAATTTTACTGATCTTTTAAAAATTCTTTTGTTTGTGTGTTTTCTTTGTTTCTGGTCTTTATTTTCAAATTCCTTATTACTTTGGGTTTAATACGCTTTTCTTTGTTTTCTTAAGTTGGTCAATTAGATTGATTTCAGGCCTTTATTCTTTCATTATATAACTATTTCATAGCTAGAAATTTCCCTCAAAGTACTTTTTTAGCAGCACACAAATTTTGGCAGGTTATCTTTTCATTATTCAAAATATTTTCTAAATATCCCTTTTTATATCTTCTCTGATCCATGGATTATTAAGAAGTTAATTGTTCAGTTTCCAAATATATGAGAGAGATTTTCAGATTTTTTTTTTGCTTTGATTTATAAAATAGGGCTTGTCTTGATAAGTGTTCTAAATGCAGTTGAAAAGACTATATTCTGTTGTTTTTTGGAGGATTGTAAAAATATCAGCAAGGTCAAGGTGGTTGATAATGTTTTACATTCAACAGTGTCATACAGTGCTTGCATTGTATACCTTTTTCTATCTTTTTAAAATGGGTTTTGTAAACAGCATATAGTTAGGTCTTGTGTTTCTATCCTGCCTGACAGCCACTTGTTCCTTTTTTCCCTTCCTCTCTTTTCTTATGGATTAAGTATTTTTTAAATAAAAGTTTCATTTATCTCAACTTTTGGCATATTAGTTACACATCTTTGTGGCGTTTTTTTTAGTGTTTCCTCTAGTGTTTACAATACATTATCAGAACTTGACACATTTTACTTTGAAATAATATTGTATTATTTTGCATATATCCTAAGAACTTCACAACAGAACACCTTTATTTCCCTCCTTCCATTCTTCGTACAATTATTGTCAATACATTTTACTTCTTCACATTATCATAAGTCCCATAATAATACATTGATACTATTTTGCTTTAAGGTTTAAATTATGTTTTTAAACAATTTTTCAAAATTTTTTATTTTGAACAAATTCTAGACATACAGAAAAGTTTCAAAACCATTTTGGAAGATTTCCATATACCCTTCACTCAGCTTCTTGATATTAATTAACATCCTATATAACCATTGTATAGTGATCAGAACCAAGAAATTAACAGTGATACAATACAATAAACTAAACTACAAATTTTAGTTAATTTCATCAGTTTTTCCACTAACGTCCATTTTCTGTTCTAGAATCCCATGTTACTTTTTTTTTTTTTTTGAGATGGAGTCTCGCTCTGTCGCCCAGGCTGGAGTGCAGTGGCGCAGTCTTGGCTCACTGCAAGCTCCGCCTTCTGGGTTCACGCCATTCTCCTGCCTCAGTCTCCCCAGTAGCTGGGACTACAGGTGCCTGTGACCACGCCCGGCTAATTTTTTGTGTTTTTAGTAAAGACGGGGTTTCACCGTGTCTCGATCTCCTGACCTCGTGATCTGCCTGCCTCGGCCTCCCAAAGTGCTGGGATTACAGGCGTGAGCCACTGCGCCCGGCCTATGTTACATTTTTAATAGTCATGTGTCCATAGTATCCTCTGATCTTTGACAGTCTGAAAGCAAAGACTGAAAGGCTTTCCTTTTCTTTCATGGCTTTGATACTTTTGCAGAGTACTCTTCAAATGTTTTATAGCATATCACTCATTTTTCCTTTGTTTAATTTTTTTTTCACGACTAGTTTGAGTTTGGTTTTTTTGTCAAGGATGCCACAGTGGTGATTGTGTTGCCTTTTCCAGTGAATTATATCAATTCATATTGATAAGTCTCATTACTGGTGATTTTGACCTCGACCAGTTGGTTAATGCTTCTCCACAGCTTCTCCACAGCTTCTGCTGTGCTTCTCCACTTTAAAGTTAATATTTTTTTCTTTTTAATTTATCTTGGGAGATGTTTTTAGACTATGCAGATACCTTGTTTTTCCCTAATCTTTTGCTCACTAATTTTAGCACTCGTTGCTGGATCTTCTCTTCTTCTTTTTTTTTTGTGAGATGGAGTTTTGCTCTTGTTGCCAAGGCTGGAGTGCAATGGCGCAGTCTTGGCTCATTGCAACCTCTGCCTCACGGGTTCAAGTGATTCTCCTGCTTCAGCCTCCCAAGTAGCTGGAATTACAGGTGTACACTACCATACCCGGCTAATTTTTGTATTTTTAGTAGAGACGGGGTTTCACCATGTTAGCCAGGCTGGTCTCAAATTCTGTCCTCAGGTGATCCGCCTGCCTCGGCCTCTCAAAGTGTTGGGATTACAGGCGTGAGCTACCACACCCAGCCTCAAATCATTTTCTTTTGCCCAAAGAACGTCCGTTAACATATTGTAGTACAGGTCTGCTCAAAATGAATTCACTCAGCTTTGTTTATTTTAAAATCTTTATTTTGCCTTTTTTTTTTTTTGAGGCAGGATCTCACTCTGTTACCCAGGCTTGAGTGCAGTGGTGTGATTATGGCTCACTGCAGCCTCGACCTCCTGGGCTCTAGTGATCCTTCCTCCTCAGCCTCCCGAGTCGCTGGGACTACAGGTGTGTGCACCACACCCAGCTAGTTTTTGTATCTTTTGTAGAGGCAGGGTCTTACCATATTGCCCAGAGTGGTCTTTAAACTCCTGGGCTCAAGCAATCCATCCACCTCAGCCTCCCAGAATGTTGGGATTAAGGGTATGAGCCACTACACCTTGCTGCCTTCGTTTTTGAAAGCTGTTTTTCCTAATATAGCAATGCTAGTTTGAAAGTTTCCTTTTTTCCCCCCTCAGTATTTTAGAGACACCTCTGCATTTTCTTATAGCTTGCCTAGTTTTTGACAAGAAGTCTGCTGTTATTCTGATCTTGGAGTTTATAAGCCTCTTGGATCTGTGGGTTTATGGTTTTCATCAAAATTAGAAAAATTTTGGCCATTATTTCTTGTAACTTTTCCCTTACTTGGTCATTTTTTTTCTATTATCTGAGTCTCTTATTACATGTATATTAGACTTTACATTTTAAGTCATTGATGCTCTGTTTGTCCATGTGTGTCCATGTATATTTTAGATAATTTTATTGCTATTTTTTTGTTGTTGCTGTATATCATTTCTTCTTCAGTGTCTAAATCTTACTGTTCTATACAATGAAGTTTTCATACCAGGTATTTTATTTCTCACCTCTATACATTCCATTGGGTGTCATTTTTATTCAAGTTTTCTTTACCTTGAACATATGGAGCTCATTGTTTAACAGCTTTTTCACTGTCCTTGTCTTATAGTTTCCTCTTTTATTTTTGTTTTTGTTGCTACAGAATGATTTTTCTCCTGGTTGTGGGTCATATTTTCCTGCTTCTTTGCATGTCTGGTAATTTTTTTTTGAGACAGAGTTTTGCTCTTGTTGCCCAGGCTGGAGTGCAATGGTGTGATCTCGGCCCACCGCAGTCTCTGCCTTCTGGGTTCAAGCGATTCTCCTGCCTCCCGAGTAGCTGAGATTAGAAGCATGCACCACCACACCCGGCTAATTTTGTGTTTTTAGTAGAGATGGGGTTTCTCCATGTTGGTCAGGCTGGTCTCAAACTCCCAACCTCAGGTGATCCGCCCGCCTCAGCCTCCCAAAGTGCTGGGATTACAGGCGTGAGCCACCGTACCCATCCTGCATGTTTAGTAATTTTTAATTGGATGTGAGCTTCATAACATTTTCACATTGTTGAGTCTTGGATTTTGTTGTATTCTTTTAATAGTGCTGGACTTTGTTCTGGCATACAGTTAAATTTTTCTGTAGTCAGTTTAATCCTTTCGTGGCTTGCTTTTAAGCTTTGTTATGGTAGTTTTAGTAGCCTTTTGTCTACATCTAATTTAACCCCACTACTAAGGTAATAAATTTTGATGACTCCCTGATAAACTATATATTATGAGGTCTTTTTGTGGCTGGTAGGAATTCACACTATTCACAACCTTGTGTGACTGCTGGGAATTGTTTGGGTTGCTGCTGCTAGGTCTTTGCCTAGCCTTTGGTAGTCTGTTTGTACCTAATGCAGATAAGAATTTAGGCAAACACTGCATAAGACTTTCTTGCAGATTGCACAAATCTATTTGCTGCTCTCTTCTGTCTCCAGTTCTGCCTCCCAAATTCTAACCATCTTGGCTTTCCTAGACTAAAATCGTTTGCCCTAACTTAGTAATAACTATTGGCCCTTGTTCTATATTCCTTCCCTGCTTTTTCTGTGACCTGGAACCTGCCTCCAGGCAGTAACCTGGGGCAATCATGGGACTTCTGTTGTTTTCCTGTGATACAAGGGAATACAGTCATATATGGCTGTTGTCTGCAGTCTGCAAACCATTTTCTCAAACATTTTGTTCATTTTCTAGTTGCATCATGGTGGTAAATAGAAGACAGTCTAGTAATTCTTGATTGGCTAGTATAAATAGCTAATACTGTAACTCCTGTGGATTCCATTATCCTCTGAAAAGTGTTACATTTTGTTCTGCTAGGCGGTTAAATTGCTGTTGAGTCACCTTGACCGTAGAGACTTAGATTTAGCTCTTGTAAGGGTGATGCTATTTGGTTATAGCCTTAAACCTAGGGTAAATTCCTTAGTTTTGAGATGTGATCTTTACTCTCCTATGTTATAGCCCTTTTGGAATTTTGTTTATTACTCTCCAGCAACTTGACAAGACTGAAAATCCAAACTCTTAAAGACCACAGTTGGCAACTGTTGAAATCTCTGCTCAGCTCCTTTAGCCTTCTAGCTGTGGTTCTCCCCTTGGGCTCCTTGCAGTCTCCTCTCCCACATGTATTTTCGGAGTCAGCAAGAATTTGAGGAGTGTGTATTTGAAGATTTTAGGGCTCTGCTCTTTGTGATTTCCTCCTTTACAGAGTATCCAACCTTGAATTCCAGTCACTCTTATAACCCTGAACTCTGTCCTTTGGCTTCTTAGGCAGTAGGACTCTGGCCTTCGACTTGAGATTTACTTTTCACCTGCAGATTTTTTAGTTACTTCATGGTAAAAGCTTTATAAAAAGGCATTTATGAAAGTAAATCTCATGTGATTGCTGTATTAGTTATCTATTGTTGTGTAACAAATTACTCTAAAAGATAACTCTTATAACAACAATCATTTGTTATCTTATAGTTTCTTTGTTTTGGGTATCAGGCACAACTTAACTGGACCTTCTGATTTAGTGTCTCTCACAAGGTTTTTCAGTTATAGTGTTAGCCAGGGCTTGGGAAGACTCATCTGGGAAAGGATACACATCCCAACTCATGTAGTTTTTGTTAGGACTTAGTTCCTAGCAGGTTGCTGGAGAGAGGGCTTCAATTTCTTGCTGTTGGCTGGAGACTGCTCTTAGTTCCTTTTCACATGGGTCTTTTCAACATGGCAGCTTGCCTTATCAAAGCGTGTAAGCTAAGACATCAATAAAGTGCTAGCAAGGTGGAAGTCAGAATCTTTTGTAACTGAATCACAAATGTGACATCCCATCACCTTTGCCATATTCTGTTGGTAAGAAGCAAGTCACTAAGTTTAGCCCACACTCAAGGGGAGGGGTAATTATATAACGTATACAATTATTCATGAGGCAGGGCCATTGGGGGTTATCTTAGAAGTCTGCCTATTACAGTTCTCTTCTTTTAAGGGTAAATTCCCTCTAGTTTTAACTTTGGTCTCCCTGTATGCCTTTAAGTATTTTATCCACAGTTTTAAATTATCAACACGACTTCACCACCCTTAGCCAGAGCTCAGTGTTTGCAGATGTTAAATCCAGCTTTCTCTTAGGACAAAAATGTTCTACCATGATAACATTTTCTTCATCTTTTTCCCCCATAGTTAGCCACTAAATATTTTACGTAGATGTCTCACTGATATCTTAAATTCTTCATGACCAAACTGTAACTTCAGCTCAACTTTTCTTCCTTGTGGATTCCATTCCTCTCTCATAATTGCATCTTATCTTCTCTATCAACCCAAGCTCAGTATCTTCGGATCAGAGAATTTTGTTGTTGTTCTGATTCTAGTCAAGGTGTAGCCTACTCACTAGACAGGTACTGGGCCACCAACTGTTTGTTACTAGTTTGCCCAAATTAAGAACAGAAATTGAAAGTAAGCATTTAGAATCTTACATAACAATTTGACATTGCTGAGACATCCAAGTGTGTGAGTTTGTGTTTTAAATATTCATCTACAACCAGTTGGGAACAGCAAAAGACAAAGAACCAGGCCTTCACCATCTGTAGTCTGAAAAGCGTTGTTCTACCCCATTCCTGTCACTTTTTTTTTTTTTTTTTTGAGATGGTCTCACTCTGTCGCCTAGGCTGGAGTGCAGTGGCGCAGTCTCTGCTCACTGCAAGCTCCGCCTCCCGGGTTCATGCCATTCTCCTGCCTCAGCCTCCCGAGTAGCTGGGACTACAGGCGCCCACCACCATGCCCGGCTAATTTTTTGTGTTTTTAGTAGAGACGGGGTTTCACCGTGTTAGCCAGGATGGTCTCGATCTCCTGACCTCGTGATCTGCCCACCTCGGCCTCCCAAAGTGTCCTGTCACTTTTTCTTCTCTCTTGATAGTAGGCCTGTTGTTCACTCACTTACTTCCACTGCCATTGAGGTAGTATAGACCTTCACACTATTTCTCGTGGGCTAATTGCAGTAGCTTCAACCTAGGCTCTGTGTTTTTTATTTGTCTTTCTCAAGTCCATCCATTCAAACCTAGAGAAAACAGACTTTTTAGAACAGTACTCTGATTATCATGGTTTGCTTCAAAACTTTAAATTGTGCTTTATTATCTGGTCAAAATGGTCTAGATTCCTTAGGTTGATATTTAAGACCCTAGATTTCTCACTTTGTTCCCCTCCTCTCCTTATTGCTTATTTTCCCTCCCAATCCCCTGGGTCTCAGTTCAAATATGCTTTTTTTTTTCACCCCAACTTCCCCCAACAGTCAGTTCCAACTTCCTTTCCTTATGTGTTTTCTTGTTGTTGTTTACAGCAGTTATCACATTCTGACACTTTATTTCCTTATTTTATGATTCCCCACTCCATGCACACTACAGTGTAAGTTTCATGTGGATGGAAACTTGCTTTGTTTCCTGCACTGCTGAATCTTTCATGTAGATGGAAACTTGTTTCATTTCCTGCACTGTTGAATCTCTAGTAGGTGCACAGTAAGTTTTTCTTTCATGAATGAGTCAGTGAAATGGGTCACCACCTTAAAGATAAAGAACTTTGTGAATGGCCATGAAGATCCAAAAGAATGGCTCTTTAATGGTGAAATTTTATAAGCAAGCAGTGAAGGACCTATTTGGAGCAGAGACTCTCTAGCCTCCCTCAAATCACATTATAGTCTTTTTACGAATTGTAAGTTTCATGAATACAAACATTTAGTATATTGTAGTCTGTTTCTTCAGTGCCCAGTATTGTGTCTGGAAAAAGAGAATGTACATATCAATAATTTTTTGTCTGAATGAATGAATTAATGCAGTAAGTGTTCCTACCAAGCTCCCAGCTGTGGCTTCTACTCCTGGTGACTCTGCATCACATTTCTCTCCAGTTCTGGGGCAGAGGTTTGTCCTTAGATCTCAAAAGGATGTAAGAAAAGTTGATAATCTTCACTTTGTTCAGCCTTTTTCTTGTGAGGACAGGAACGATGACTTCAAAATTTTTTATGTGTTAGATTGGAAACTGGAAGTCGGCTGTAAGTTTTTATAGAAGATTTTTACTAAATTGAGGTAATTCCCCACTGTTTCTAAATTGGTGACAGTTTTTAACATGAATGCATTTTGAATTTGTTAAAAGTTTTCCTTGTATGAATCATCAAATGATCTTACTTCTTTAGACTGTTGATATGGTAAATAACATTGATTGATTTTCAAATATTAAACCCACCTTGCATATCTGGAATTAATCCTAATCATTCTCGGTCATGATGTATAATCCCTTTTATATTGTTGAATTCAGTTTTCTTATTTATTTATTTATTTATTTATTTATTTTTTTAAGTTTTAGGGTACATGTGCACATTGTGCAGGTTAGTTACATATGTATACATGTGCCATGCTGGTGCGCTGCACCCACTAACTTGTCATCTAGCATTAGGTATATCTCCCGATGCTATCCCTCCCCCCTCCCCCCACCCCACAACAGTCCCCAGAGTGTGATGTTCCCCTTCCTGTGTCCATGTGATCTCATTGTTCAGTTCCCACCTATGAGTGAGAATATGCGGTGTTTGGTTTTTTGTTCTTGAGATAGTTTACTGAGAATGATGATTTCCAATTTCATCCATGTCCCTACAAAGGACATGAACTCATCATTTTTTATGGCTGCATAGTATTCCATGGTGTATATGTGCCACATTTTCTTAATCCAGTCTATCATTGTTGGACATTTGGATTGGTTCCAAGTCTTTGCTATTGTGAATAATGCCGCAATAAACATACGTGTGCATGTGTCTTTATAGCAGCATGATTTATAGTCCTTTGGGTATATACCCAGTAACGGGATGGCTGGGTCAAATGGTATTTCCAGTTCTAGATCCCTGAGGAATCGCCACACTGACTTCCACAATGGTTGAACTAGTTTACAGTCCCACCAACAGTGTAAAAGTGTTCTTATTTTTCCACATCCTCTCCAGCACCTGTTGTTTCCTGACTTTTTAATGATTGCCATTCTAACTGGTGTGAGATGGTATCTCATTGTGGTTTTGATTTGCATTTCTCTGATGGCCAGTGATGATGAGCATTTTTTCATGTGTTTTTTGGCTGCATAAATGTCTTCTTTTGAGAAGTGTCTGTTCATGTCCTTTGCCCACTTTTTGATGGGGTTGTTTGTTTTTTTCTTGTAAATTTTCTAATATTTTGTTGAGAATTTTTGTGTCTTAAGTTCCTGACATAGAAATCTCATGAGAGACATTGATTTATAGTTTTCTTTTTTGTACTGTCTTTGATTTTAATATCAAGGTAATACCTCATAAAATGAGTTTGAAATTGTTTCCTCTATTTTTTGGAAGACATTGCATAAAATCGGTGTTAATTCATTTCTAAGCATTTGGTAAAAGTCTGCAGTGAAGCCATCTGGACCTAGAATTTCTTTTTTGAAAAACTTCTTAGTTACAAATATTTATTTAATGGCAGTAGTACTATTCAGGTTTTCTGTTTCATCTTGATTGAGTTTTGGTAGTTTGTGGCTTTGAAATAATTAGGTTATATCTTATAAGTTTTTGAATTTATGATTTTAATTACAAAGATTTTTGTAATATGTCCTTTTTATCTTTTTAAACACCATAGGATCAGTATTCCTTTTTTTTATTGCTAATATTTGAAATATGTGCCTTCTCCCTTTTTTATCTTTGTAAGTCATGGCAGAGGGCTATAAACATTGATTTTTTTCCACCAAAAAACTATCTTATATTTACATTATTCTCTTCCTTTTTTCATTTTTATTGATTTATACTCTTATTTTTATTACCTTCCTTTTGCTTGCTTGGACTTATTTTTATCTTTTTCTGTTTTCTTGAGATGGAGACTTAGATTACTGATTTGAGATCCTGCCTCTTTTGTAAGGTAAAAATTTAGTGCTATAAACTTCCCTCTTAGCACTAGCTTAGCTATGTCCCATAAGTTTTTTTATTATAAAATATGCATAACATATAATTTATCATTTTAGCCATTTTTACTTGTAGAGTTCACTGGCATTAAGCACATTGACATTGCTGTGCAACGATTACCATTATTCATCTCCAGAACATTTTCGTCATCTGAGACTGAAACTCTGTACCTGCTGAACAATAAGTCCTCATTCCCCTCTCTCCTCAGCACCTACTAACCACGGTTCTGCTTTCTGTCTCTATGAATTTGACTATTCCAGGTACCTCATATAAGAGGGATCATAAAATTGTTTTTTTGTGTGTGGCTTATTTCACTTGGTTTATAATGTTTTCCAGGTTTATCCATGTTTAGCACCTATCAGAAATGTATTCAAGTCTGTATAATACTCCGTTATATAAACATACCACATTTTGGTTATTCATTCGTTAATAGACACTTGGGTTGTTTCCACATTTTGATTATTGTAAATAATGCTGCCATGAACATTGGTGTACAATTACCTGTTTGTGTCCCTGCTTTCAGTTCTTTTCGATATATACCTTGAAGTTGAATTGCTGGATTATATGGTAATTTTATGTTTAATTTTTTGAAGAACCACTGTACAGTTTTTCACAGCAACTGTACCATTTCCCAACAGCAATGCACAAAGGTTCCGATTTCTCCACATCCTCACTAGTACTTGTTATTTTCTATTTTTTGATAATAGCCATCCCAGTGGGTATGAAGTGGTATCTTGTTGTGATTTGCATTTCCCTAGTGATTACTGATGTTGAGCGTCTTTTCATGTGTTTATTGCCCACTTGTATATCGTTAGAGAAATATCTATTGAAGTCCATTGCCCATTTTAAAATTGGCTTCTTTGAGGTTTTTTGTGGTGGTCTTGTTTTATTGTAGTTCTTTATATATTTTTGGATATTAATCCATTATGAGATATATGATTTGCATATATTTTCTCCCACTATATAGGTTGCCTTTTCACTCTTCATAGTATCCTCTGATGCACTAAAGTTTTAAATTTTGATAAAATCTAACATCGATTTTTCTTTTTTTATTATGTATAGCTTAAAAATGTGTTCCACACCCATTCTTCAGAGTTCTGTAGTTTGTGCTTTTCTGTATCTCCAACCTCTGCCTTAAAAAATAATAATAAATAGAAAAATCTTGACAAGACCAATTAAAAATGAAAAGGTTTTTTAAAGCTCAGTAACACTGCAAGTAATTTAAATTGCCAATACAGAGCTTTCAACCAGAATGGAAAGGGAGAAATATACCTTATTTTCTGTTCTTTTAGAGTCCTAGTAAATTGAGAAGCAGTTTTTATTTGTAAATGTCAATTTATGCATTTATATAACATCAGAACACATGCATATTTGAAAGCATATATGAGATTTCATATTTGAAAGCTGGATGTAGCTCACAATCAACTTGAACACCTTCCAAAGGAGACTGAAAACAGTACACAGATAACCAACTTTGGCAACACAGTGAACTGCTAGACCTCCTAGATACTATAGGCATGAGAGGAAAAAGAAGATACTGATAGCTATTAATAGCTAACTGGATATTAAGAAGATTATCTTGATCCATTTTGGTAGTGAAAATTCAAGATTAAAATTCACAATTATCAAAGTTGTAAAACTTTTAAGATAATATTTTAAAATCACTTTTCCATTTCCATTTATTTCCATGTCTTGAGGTAGATTATGACCCTCAAACTGAACTCAAGGTGTATCTGATATTATTGTGCTGAATTTGGTTAACAAAATCAGTACTTCAAATTTTGGAATATATGTAAACATTTGTGGCTGAATTGGTTACTTAAAGAGGTTGGAAAAGTAATCATTCAGAAACAACATTTTAATTTTATCAGATGTCATCTTGAAGTAGTGGTTTCAGATTTGTGGTTGACTTAGTTTTTGAGAAAATACAATTGTGATACAGAAAAAAGAAGTTTTTATTTTCTGGCAATGCAAGTATGTTCACTAAATGATTTAAAATTTTAAAATAAAAGTTGCCTATCTAATAAGGTTATGTTTCCCGTTGTTTGTGTTCAGAAATTATAGATTTATTTTCTTGCTTAGAAGTATTATCTAGTATGTTCTTTAATAATGCTTATTGAATTTTTATGTTGGTCAATTTACAGGTGAATTATGTAACCTCATTACGCTGGATGTAGCTCACAATCAACTTGAACACCTTCCAAAGGAGATTGGAAACTGTACACAGATAACCAACCTTGACTTGCAGCACAATGAACTGCTAGACCTCCCAGATACTATAGGTATGAGAGGAGAAAGGAGATATTGATAGCTGTTAATAGCTAACTGGATATTAATAGGACTATTTTTGATCCATTTGGTAATGAAAATTCAGGAGTAAAATTCACAATTACCAAAGTTGTAAAACTTTTAAGATAATATTTTAAAATCATTTTTCATTTCCTTTTCTTGGCAAAGAAAATAGGTTTTAGGAAATGAGCCCAATGGGATTATAAAAGAGAGAGAATATTGAGTTACATGTATATATATTCTGTCATAGTTTGAATTGCAAAATGGGTGGCTTTTTCTATTTCTGCTTATTTCTGAGTTGCATGTTATTATACTGGGTGTGGTCCTTTCTTTGCTAAAGTATTCCATACTGAAAAATAAAACCATTGCTATTTAGTTTTTTAAACATGGCCAATATACTTTAAAGTTTGTTTATCTGTAATACTAAGGGGATAAGCAAGGAGATGACTTGAAGTTCAAAATATGTTTTATAGACTTAGCCAAATTGCAAAAAATTGAATTGAGCTGTGATATGTTTTGTGTTTATGTAGTCTTATTTTTCCGATTGCCCATAAATTTATACCAGTAAAGTGAATTTTAAAAATTCTGATGCCTTTTTAGTTATTAATGTGGTATAAGGATACTATAATGTTTATTTAGAAAAATTACATCTCTACTTAATTTACATAATTTCAGTCATGAATATTTAGTATTTTAATTTTTTAATTTTTATTTTTTTTGAGACAGAGTTTCACTCTGCCTCTCAGGCTGGAGTGCAGTGGCGTGATCTTTGCTCACTGCAGCCTCCGCCTCCTGGGTTCATGCGATTCTCCTGCTTCAGCCTCCTGAGTAGCTGGGACTACAGGCGTCCACCACCACGCCTGGCTAATTTTTTTCTATTTTTAATAGAGATGAGGTTTCACTATGTTGGCCAGGCTGGTCTTGAACTCCTGACCTCAGGTGATCTGCCTGCCTCTGCCTCCCAAATTGCTGGGATTACAGGCCTTAGCCACCGTGCTTGGTCCAGTCATGAATATTTTAGAGGCATGATTACTAAATCATTTGAGGCCTGTGATGATGTTATCTTTCTCCAGAAGAGTTTTTGTCTGCCTCTGTTGGGTACCTAGTAGAGAGGGGATCACTTCAATCAATTCGTGTTCAAGGCTTGAGATGTGTGTGGTCCCCCAAGTGATTAAAAGTTTTGCTGCAGGCTAACTGGATGACTATTTTATTTCCAGTTCACCCTTACTGGTAGGGTGCAGCTCTAGAGGGTCCCAGTTGAGGTTGATGACTAGAGTCCCCACCCTTGGCAGGCCCTAGATTTTGACTCTTGCTGGAAAAATAACTTAGCCTTTTAGCTGCATCTTCCAGTTAGGGCTGTGTTCTTAGGACAGAATTATCTCCATTGTTTTGCTTGTATCTGGGTTCCCAGCTTGTTTCTGTTCTGGTGCTTAGTCATTACGTTGTTAACTCTCTGATTTTGGTTTTGGAAGATGTTTTTATTTATTTATTTTTTTATTGGGAGAATTTATTTGAATTACCTACCATTACTTGAAACAAAGCAGTTGTTAGGGAATTTCTTAGCAGGGTTGAGTAGATTGTCTTAGGTTATACAGGACAATTATTTACAGAAAAGCAAGCTGAGACATGGATGTAATAAATAGCCGTTAGAATCTATGTTTCCCTGATTTTTGGCCCATGACACTATCGTATTACTATTTGTAGTGGAAAGAGATTACATATTCTAGTTAACTGGTTTATGGTTTAGATGTCCCTCTGAAAGGCAAGATTGTCTCCAACACATAATGAATTATTCTATTAATATCCAAAATAAATATTCTACTAAATGTCCTGTATAAAATAAGAGAATCAGATTTCTGGTTCAAGATAATAAGGACCAAGCACAATTATTTCATGCTTTTTTTTCTCTTTAAAATCTATTGAAATGGCCAAGATGAACAAGGAGATGTGACCTTAGGAGAAAAAAAACATAGGATATTTAAACTGCATGTTTAAAACATGATGAGGCTGATACAAAAAGGGAACAAAGAATAAAATACAATTCTTAGAGATATGTTTGCCAAATCAAATTTAATGGAAAATTCCATATAACCAAATGAACACAGCCAGAGACCAAAGTGATGATCTCTAGGATAAATTAAAAGTCCCCTAGAATCTAGATCAAAAAGAAATGTATACAAAAGAAGTGAAAAGTTAAAAAGTCATGGCAGATAGGACTAGACGTTCCAGAAGGCCAAATAGTGGTGATAGTTATAAAATATAATTTTATAATGTTTCCCTGAACTTGATAAAAACCCGGATAATAAGACCAAAATTGCTTACCAAGAAGAAATAAATTAAAAAGTTACATTCTGGTGGTAGTTTTAAATATTAGATGTATTTGTTTTGAATAAATAATAAATTCACATGTAATGTTATACAACCTATCTTTACCTGGTTTTTGGTTTCAGGGTAATGCTGGCTACGTATGTTCAATTTTTGGAATAGTTTGTATGAAATTGCATTATTTCTTCCTTTAATATTTGATAAAATTCACCAGTGAAGCCATCCAGGACAGGACTTTTCTTTATGGGAATTTGTTTTAAAGCAATTTCAATTACTTTAATAAATATAGGGCTATTCAGGTTATCACTTTCTTCTTCAGCAAACTTGGTCATATGGGTCTTTCAAGGAATATATTTGTTTTATTTCAATTATCACATTTAAAAGCATTAAGTTGTTCATAACATTCTTATTATTTTAATATCTGTAGAATCTATAGTAATGCCACCTCTCTAATTCCTGATATCAAGAATTTGTATGTTTTCTCTTTTTCTTAATCATTCTGGTTAGAAGTATATCAATTGTGTTGATCCTCTCTTAGTTTTATTGATTTTCCCTATTGTTTCTCTGGTTTTTATTTCATTGATTTCCATTTTGAACTTTATTTCACCAGCTTACTTTGAGTTTTATTTGTTCTTTTTCTAGTTTCTTATGGTGGCAGCTTGAGGTCATTAATTTGAGACCTTTCTATTATTCTCATAAAGACAGTTAGCACTGTAAATTTCCCCTTAAGTACTGCTTCAGCAGCATCCCACAAATTCTGATATGTTGTATTTTCCTTTTAAAAGTTTTTTCTAATTTACCCTTTTGTTTCTTCTGTGATCTATGGCTTTATTAGGTTGGTACAAAAGCAATCGCGGTTTTTGCTATTACTTTTAAAGGCAAAAACTGAGACTACTTTTGCACCAACCTGATAGAAGAATGTTATTTTGTTCCCAAAAGCTTGACAATTTTCCATGATATATTATTGACTTCTAATTTACCTCCATTGTGGTCAAGAACATTCCTGATAGGACTTGAATTCTTTCATCATGGTAAAAGTATTCCATGTGCAGTTTAATGTGTATTCTACTTTTGTTGGGTGGAGTGATCCATAAATATGAATCATGGTACAGATGAGGCAATCAATGAGTTTATTCTACTTTCTGCCGTTTCTGGAGGAGTCTCTTTTTCTTCTTATTTTTGTTAACTGCATTGTCAGCATAGGTAACATACCTTGTTGTACTAATTCCCATTTTTGTTTTAGTCTTAATGTTTATCAGCAGTCCTGTTGCCATAGTTGCCTCAGTCATTTCTTGGTTGGCTGAAGTCAATCTGGTTGGTAGTCATTTGCTCAAAAATGGTTCATGGGAGCAGTATTCTCCTATAGTTCTTGCATGTGTGTAGCTTTTATAATTTAAGAACAATTTAGATAGATACAAAATAATTGGATCAAACTGCCTTTCCTTGAGGATCTCAGTAGAACTTGTTAACAGGTAGTTCTACCTTCTTCTGGAATTGAATGTACAAAAATAAGAGGCCAGTCCATTTTCTTTTTTCCCCATGATAAGTGACTTAGTCATTTTGCTTGGCCAGCCAAAGTATTATTTCTAGATTTCTGAAATTTTAAGAACTATATTTTATTTATCAGTGTTTATTTTTCAGGATCATATTTTCCTAGTATACTCTGGGCCAATTCAACATATAGGTTTAAGTTTTATTTCAGTACAGTGTTCTTCAGTATATTCAGTATATATTCAGGGTATATATGCTTTCTGTTTGCCATATATATTCAGTGTATATTCAGTATAGTGTTCAGTATAGTAAATATGTCACACAGTGACATATTTAGTTTGTGTTGTATGTTTTTACATTAAAATATGTATCTGTAAGTTTGGTTAGTATGAACAACAAACTAATTGGAATGGTAAAGAAGAAAAGAAAGAATAATGCATAATCTCATCATAATCACTTTCAGTGGAATGTCACATAAAAGCACTTTCAAAAAATGACTTTATAAGATCCAAATTCTTAGTCTTAGAAAAACAAAATGTTCAAGGGCTGAGGAAGGCGAGCGCATGGCGCGGGACTGGCAGGCAGCTCCACCTGCAGCCCTGGTGCGGGATCCACTAGGTGAAGCCAGCTGGGCTCCTGAGTCTGGTGGGGACGTGGAGAGTCTTTATGTCTAGCTCAGGGATTGTAAATACACCAATCAGCACCCTGTGTTTAGCTCAAGGTTTGTGAGTGCACCAATGGACACTCTGTATCTAGGTGCTCTGGTGGGGACGTGGAGAACCTTTATGTCTAGCTCAGGGATTGTAAATACACCAATCAGCACCCTGTGTTTAGCTCAAGGTTTGTGAGTGCACCAATCAACACTCTGTATCTAGCTGCTCTGGTGGGGCCTTGGAGAACCTGTGTGTCGAAACTCTGTATCTAACTAATCTGATGGGGACGTGGAGAACCTTTGTATCTAGCTCAGGGATTGTAAACGCACCAATCAGCGCCCTGACAAAACAGGCCACTCGGCTCTACCAATCAGCAGGACGTGGGTGGGGCCAGATAAGAGAATAAAAGCAGGCTGCCGGAGCCAGCATTGGCAACCCACTCGGGTCCCCTTCCACACTGTGGAAGCTTTGTTCTTTCGCTCTTTGCAATAAATCTTGCTACTGCTCAAAAAAAACAAAAACAAAAAACAAAAAAAAACACAACAAAATGTTGCTTTACTCTACTGCAAATCAGACAGGAGAACCAAAATTTAAGATACTTGAAATGTTATCAAGTGATTTTCTTATCCCTCTCATTGATGTTTAGTCACTATGTATATCTTAGGATATTAAACATGCTAGACATTTTATTGTTTCTTGAACATATCAGGTAAATTCTAGCCTTGAGATCTTTGTGCTTCCCATCTCTCTGTTTAGAACTCTTTTCTCCTAAATATCTGTGTAACTTTGCCTGCTCCTTCAACTGATCAGATAGATATATATAGCATGATTTTCATTCGGCCTTCTTCTCTGTCTCAAATAGTCTAACAATATTTTATTATTTAATATTTTTATATATGTGTCTGTATCTCAAACTTGTTAAATAACAGTCAAAGGGGCATGCGATTAAAGTACTGAAATGAATAATCCTGGTAAACAGAGAAAGCATAGGTGGTGATATATGATACAGTCTTCTAGTAAGTAGGATTAGTGTCCTATTGGAGGTAATTCTTCTGTGTTTTAAGTGTGTTTACTAATATGAAAACATTTGATTTTATTATTAATCTCTTGTAGTTTAGATGTTATCCTAGAATAACACATATGCCTCACCTCTAGCTTATTCTATAGGGCCAGATTACAGTATTACAAATTGGAAATCAATGAGAACTGAAACATTAACAACAAGAAAATTTTAAATAACATTGCATTTACTTTTATATGCTTTGATGGTTGTCACCAAGTATAGTACAGCTGTTACTCTGAGTAAATGGCAAAGTAAATTAGTAATATTTATTGAAACTTTTTATGATATTGTAGTCATTTATCGATTACCATGTTTATTAAAATAATTACTTTATCTTTCTCCATCCTTTCCAGTCCTAGTATTTTGATGATGTAGCAGAAGATTGAGGTTTGGTGGGAAACTTTGACGTTTGGGTCTTGGTCTGTTAAAAATTTCAACAGTTTTAATTGACCTTTGAGATTTTCACTCTCATTTATTGAAGATGAAGAATTTACCCTAAGTAGTGGAAACTTAATTGAATTATGGTTCTCCTGATACTTCTCCTTTTTTAAATCCTACTCTAGTTCTGAGAAAGTATAACTTAAAATGAAAAACAAACAGAAAGCCCAACACCTGTTCTGCAGAGTTGATGCTAGTCTGGAAGCAGCTGCCCACTCTCTTTTCCTTGGACTAAAGAATCTTGCCCTAAACTTGTAACTGAAAATCAAATCTTGTATTGTCTTAAAATCACTTCCCAGAAATCACTGTATTTACTTGCCTTTTCCTTTTTTTCTTTTTTCTTATAAGTAGACCAGAATGTTTTTTACTTTTTTCTTTATTTAACATGAACATTCCTGGAGTAACTATCACTCCCCTGTGATAATTACTGCCATTTACTTCCAGGCTGAGAAGCTAGTATCGCTGACAACTCATAGGATGTGAGGAAGAGACAGAAGGAAATGGGTTGGGGATTACCAAGTTGCAGTTAAGTAAGAGAGTGCTTAAATACATATTTATAGTTTCTCTGATTTAACTGTTAGTCTGCCTTGTTGAATAAAAAAAGTATTATTTTATATGAATATTTTCTCATTCAGAAATTAGCTATGAACAGAAGAAAATATTAAGCTTTATTCCAACAGTTATTTTGTTTTAAAGTATGAACCTGATGTTTTTTAAAGCCTTCTGGTACCTCTGGTAGTTTTATGTAATCCAGGGAAGAAACAGTCCGAAGTAGGAAAAAATACTTTACTTTGTATTTCTTCTCAAAATGAGATTAGGAGAGAACTGTGCCACAAAACCTTGCCTTCAAGGCTGGAGTGCAGAACAATTCACAGAAGCCTTTTTGTTGCACTGGGCTCTGAAGAAATGTTACATTAATTATGGTTATATCAACAAGTAGCATTTTAGTCATTTTAGTAATTGGGTTTTAGGTAATTACAGTGCAGCGTATGTATAACAACTTTACTAGTTTTCTTTTTAATGGTGGTGTTCTTTGGGTTTTTAACATTCAGGAATTTCTGTGTTGCTTACTTTTCAGTTTGCTTTCAGTTTAATGTTTCTGAAAAAATAATGGTACCTTTGACATTTCATCCTTCCAACCCTGAGTCTTTCCTACTATTTTTTTTGCTACTTTGTTAAAATAAGATTATGATCATTTAAATTAGTCTTACTCGAAAGTTATACTAAATTAAACTAAAGTTGCTGGTTATATTTGCTGAAATTGAAAGAATCTAATTTTAATTCATAGCCATTTGATTTCACCATATTTTAAAAATCTGACAGCGTAAGAGAAAGCAAGCTGTCAAAGTGGAGCACAGAACAATTTGTAGACAAAGTTAAGCACTTGAAAGCTAAATGCCAGTGATTGGCAGTGATCAGCCTACGTTTATATACAGGAGCTCAGCAACAATGATTTTATTTCTTAGTCAAGATGGCTCAACATTAAAGCAAGCTTGTGTTGATTTCTAGGTTGCAGTTTAGTTTGTGGTTAAAACCACTCATTGAGAGGGGTTAGAGCTGAAACCACTGCAGAGGGTGAATCACAATAAATGCCAGACTTCTGATGTTTTCTTCTGGCGTAAAAGAGTTTTGATATTTCATCCTTAATTTTTTTAACCTTTTTTATTTAGCTGAGAGTAATGGACTTTGGCAAAATGTGGATGACTCTTTGAATTTGCCAGTGGTCTCAAGTGATAGGGCCTTTGCAAATGTGAGATTTCTTCATCAGAACAGCCTATTCTCATAGATTACATTGTTAGAAATTCAACCCCTTCCGCCCCAGCAAAAAGCAAAAAATTTAGATCCAAGAAAGGTGGAGGTACCTTTTAATTTAAATTACTACTGGTTTTGGTACTAGATAATGTCATGTAGCAATTTGGCTACATTATTTTTATTTTGTAATTTTTAAATTCTAGGAACCTACTCTGGTTTTAAAAGTGAGAAACTTAAGAGTTATTTGGTTTTGGATGAGAAATTTCAAGAATCTGGTTCTATTTACTAGGCTTTTGAGTTGACAAACATTTAGAATTTGGTTCCCCTACTAACCTTTGTTACCACAGAAAGTTTTTTAGTTTTCAGTGAGAATAAAAAACATTTAAAATATTGTATTTATCTACCATGATACTGTAAAGGGTTATTGAATGAGGCATGTCAGTTGATGGAGTAAGATCATGGAGACTTCTCTCTGTTAATAAATTCTCCCCTCTTATGGCAGACTTCAAAGACCCCTTGGTGAAAGATTCAGCCATTTTGTTACAATGGATCAACTTTCTTCCATAGGGAAAGCAGTGATGTAAAGGAGAAAAAGGGATGGTCTTGTTTACTTCCATTTTTTTTTTTAAAGGTTAGCTGCCTCATTTTATCTGCAGCTGCATACAGGAAATTAAAATTTTATCAGAAGGTTTTGAAGTTCTTTGTAATCAGACATGATCACTACTTGGAGGAAAATGTTCACTTCTGCTGGCCTTGCTGTAGCAGTGGCCATAGGAATGGAATAGGCAAGGGATAAAATGTTGATACCATCCCTCCCCATTTTACAAGGATGTGAGTAAATGGGGGCTATTCTTCACTCTTAGTGGAAATAAAAATGATATAGCCTTTTGTTATTTATTAAAATTTTAAATATCTATATCATCTGACACATAAATATTTTCACATGTGCACAAAGATACATGTCTAGGGGTATTCATTACATAATTCTTTTTTAAAAAATTAAATGCCATCAGTTGAGCAATGATTGGAGAGATAATGGTACACATGACATGAAACACTTTACAATGGTTAAATAGAATGAGGTATATCTGTGTTTACTCAGCATAAAAATATTTCTATCATCTGTTATATGGGGGAGGGGAGAAGCATATAGAATGATCTCATTTATATGAAAGCAAACACATAAACATAAGAAATCCCTGTATTTTTATACATATAAATAAGTGTTTAGAGACAGGTCTCAATAGGTATGTATCAGACTATAAACCATGGTTATCTAAGGAAAATAGGAAGATACATTTATATATTTTATAACTAAAAGTGATGTGGTGGGGTGGGAGGAATGCAGAAAGTTGGAATTGTTAGTAGTTCCTTCCCGGCTGATACCTAAGCATGGACTGCTCAGAAGTTGGGTATCCCAGAAAAATTCCTGCAAATATTTGTAGAATGATTAATTTGTATTCAGATAGACCAGATGAACATATATATTTTTCAATTATGTCCAATAAAGTCTGTGTTTCATAGACATGCTATTTTATAAAATAAGAATGGGTTGAAGAAAATAGATTTTTATGGGCCTTTCATATAATTTTTTGTATCTTGTTCCTAATGGAAAGGAGGATAAATAATGAAATGTTTTAGTTTCTGTAATTATTAAGAAAGTATGAATTAATGCCTATTGTATGCTTAGCACTGAAACCAATTCTGTGGAGAGAAGTATAGCAAAGCTCCTCACTTACTGGGTTTTCAGTCTGGTGAGGGAGATAACTAATCCATGAAACAGTTAACATAAGACCAAATATAATTAATTGCCAACTTACGGTGAAAACAGTGTGCTGGTATATCCAGTTTACAGAGAGGTCGGTAAGAGCTTGATAAAATGACTAAGAATGGCTCAATGAACAAATGCATTGGACTCAGTATGGAAGAAAAATGCAGTCCATGAGCACAACAGTGAGGACAGTCAAACAGCATGAAGGTGAGAATGAGCACAGCATGGTTCTGTGACAAGGAAACAAGCTAAGTGGAGCAAAGTCAATGAAGATCTTGAAGGCAGATTTGTTGATAGGGAGCCAACCAAGTTGGATTCACCAACTAGCTGGTGACTGTGACAAGTTACTTCACAAATGTTATGGTAAAGTCCCTGCTGATTACCCTCAGATGGCTCTTACTGCTGCTTCCTAGGTATCTTTTTCATTTCTTTTTATCAAATGTCACAGGATGGCTATCTAAAACTTAAAACCACCATACTCATTTTTTTCACAATTTAGCTTATGTGTTCTCTTTATGGAGAAGATGACCCTTACAGTGTAAAGTGCCCAGACTTCTTACTTCTACATTTATTTTCCCTCTTTGCTTATCTTTTGTTCATTCTCTCCTGTTCCTAGAGACAGAGATGTTCCTTCTTTCTAAGATTAACTTTTTCACTTTCTTTATAAAGCCAGCTTTGATCCTTTGTGTTGGAAGTTGTCTCCCCCATCTCTAAACATTCAGAGATTTTGTTCATACTTCTTTTAGGGTATTATCATAGTCAACTAAGTATTATAGTTATTTGTGAAAATATACCACTGTACTGTAAGCCTCTTGAGAGAAGAGACTATGTCTTGTGTGGCACTATGCAATTATACAGCAGTTAAACAATAAGTAGCTAGCTTGATGGGTGGAGGTATATTACGGGAACCCCTAGAAGCTAGCAAAGAATGTTTACATTTGATACAATAGGAAATAGGTTGTTTTTAGTATAAATGTTTTTGGCCAGGTGCAGTGGCTCACGCCTGTAATCCCAGCATTTTGGGAGGCTGAGGTGAGTGGATCACTTTAGCATAGAGATCGAGACCAGCCTGGGCAACATGGCGAAACTCTATCTCTACAAAAATACAAAAATTAGCTGGGTGTGGTGGTGCATGCCTGTAGTCCGTGCTACTCCAGAGGCTAAGGTGGGAGGATCACCTTAGGCCAGGGAGTTTGAGGCTGCAGAGAGCCATGATTGCGCCACTGCATTCCAGCATGGGCGACAGAGTCAGACTCTGTCTCTTAAAAAAAAAAAGAAATGATGAGGGTGGGATTGGAGAAGGGACAAACATGAGAAATATATTTTGAGAATACAAATAGAATTTTGTGACTGACTTGGAAGGGATGAAACTGATACTAGAAAACATTTTTAACTAGATAAATATGTACTTATTCCCTTCTATAAAATACAGTTTTATAGAATACAACCTACCTTTTTAATGTTTCTCAATTTTTGCTTTATTATAATAAACTTTCAGTAAACATCAAATACATATTACCAGTGTCTGGCTCTGCACTAGAGTTCTGACAGTGGATAACTCACTAAGTGTAAAAATGGACACAGACATGAAATAAACATTTATAATATGGTGTAATCATGATGATAGAGGTATTGGCACAGTGCTGTGGGTGCTCCTGTGCACTTGTCGAGAGGTGGGTAGAGCTTTATCACAGAGCATAGAGTTAAGTGAGTTAAGTATCAGGAAACTAGGAATTCTAAAATGAATTTTGGGCATTTTTATTTTGTTCTTTATTTGGCAAATGGTGTATACTGTTTATTGGCATTTTCCCCTTGGTCTTTGCATTGCTAAGATATTACATTTTGAACTTTAAAACAAGTTGACTTAGAAGCCAGAATTAAGTGAAATAACCTGCAATATATAGTCTAATATACTATTAAAAACATGTACAGGCATATAATGCAAATTGGTCACATTATATAAAATATCTCTGTAATGTAAAATATTCATCCAAAAGAAAAAGGATAGTGGAAGGATGTCACAATTTTTTAAAAAATTAAAATGACTTTAGAACTATAGCTCTATTCTTATCAAAATGTTTTTAAATTTTAAAATATAGAAAATTAGGAAAAATGTAGACAAAATGAAACAAATTTTTAATTGTTCTTCCATAATTCTGCCATGCAGAGATAACAATTAGTTTTGATACATTTTCTTTCCCTTTTTTTGCATGCCTGTTTCTTACGTTGTTGAAATCATACAAAATGCACAATTTTATCATGCTTTTTCCCCCCCAACTTAACATCATACCTGAAAGTCTTTCACATCTTAAAACTTTTTATAACATAACTTTAGTATGTACAGAATATTGCAGAATATAGACATACTACAGAATGAAAATTATATATTGAACATCTATTATGTATCTGTTAGTCATGGTGCTAAGTATCTTACGCACGTTATATCTAACCCCTAGAGCTACCCTGTCAGGTATGTGGCATTATTTCCACTTTATGGATAAGGAACAGACACAGAGAGGTTAAGTAACTTGCCCATGGACATATAAATGATATAAAATACTTTGGTTTTTCTATTACATTGTGATGCTTCCAATTTAAATAATTATTCTTCTGTTATTGAATATTTAGATTGTCCCTATTTTTGCCATTATATATGACTTAATTAACATATTTTGTCATAAAGCAAATTATTTTCTGCCAACCCAGCTTTTAAGTAACATTTTTATTATAGTCTTTTTTTTTTTTTTTAATGAGACAAAGCCTTGCTGTGCCACCCAGGCTGGAGTGCAATGGCACAATCTGAGCTCACGGCAAACCTCCACGTCCTGGGTTCAAGCCATTCTCCTTCCTGAGCCTCCCAAGTAGCTGGGACTATAGGCACACACCACCATGCCCGGATAATTTTGTATTTTTAGTAGAGATGGGGTTTCACCATGTTGACCAGACTGGTCTCGAACTCCTGACCTCAGGTGATCCGCTTGCCTCGACCTCCCAAAGTGCTGGGATTACAGGTGTGAGCCACCATGCCTGGCCTAACGCAGTGATAGCAATAGTGAATATTCTCGTTCGTATTTCTAACCTCTAAATTTTCTGGGGCTTTGGAAAGTCACTCAATTTTTTTTTTTCTCCTGAGGAATTGACACGTCTCACCAGAGTGTCATCAGAAAGACACTGATGAAGTCACTAAGTGAAGCATCCTTAGTTAATTTACAAAGCTTTTTAAAGACTAAATTAACTTGTCTTTGCTAAGTGGTAGTTTTTTATTGTTGCTTTTGTACTCCACTTTGTGCCGGTTGGAATCTCACTTAATTAGACCCAGTAAACTCTTGGCCCAGTTTCCAAACACTATTGTACAAAAGTGATGTATTAGTAAATGAGTATAGCATACCTATGGAATAGTTCTAATTGGAAGAATTGAAGTGGTGGTTACATTTTTCTGCGTTATAGTTGACAACTTATGGCATAGAATTATGAGTATTTTTTTATTATCAATGACTGATTCTTATCTTGAAAATGTAAAGGCTAAAAATTAGCTCCAATTACTCATTATGTGTAACTTCACTCACTTGATACTTTCAGCAAGAAGGAAAGATGCAGATGATTGATGACCAAATAAGGATCATGAGGCATAAGGAGTGCCCTCTTAAGGTGTCAAGGCTTAACTTATGCTATAGACTAATGTATGTTTTCTGTAAGTATTGTAGTAATATTGCATCTAAGAAAGTAAGTTGATCATATGACAGCTTTTTGAACAATGATTAAAGCAAAAGGAGAGAAATGGACATCAAGAGGTTGTGAAGGCTGAAAGGACTCAAAATACTTATCTCCAAAAAGTTAAGTGTTGACACAGGCTTCCACTTCTGTAATTTCTAACACTGGAAATAACTGTTTAATTTAAAAGTAAAGGCTACATTTGACATTTTAACCTGGCCCATCCAAGTATCTCATAGCAACAGTTGTGATTTGAAGTCAAAAAAGAAATTAATCAGCCACAACAAAATAGTATATTGGATGAAATTCTTGTCTTGTTAGCTTTTTTTGTATCAAAATTAACTTATTTTTAACGTATATTGTTTGCAGAATTGAATTTGAGTTGAACCATATATGATAGCAGATGTCATTATATTCATCATTCATTATATATAGTTGGCCATGTAGTCTTGGCAAGAAAAGTAGAAAATAAAATGCTCAGCTGGGCGCAGTGGCTCACGTCTGTAATCCCAGCACTTTGGGAGGCCAAGGCAGCAGATCACTTAAGGTCAGGAGTTCAAGACCAGCCTGGCCAACATGGTGAAACCCCGTCTGTACTAAAAATACAAAAATTAGCTGGGTATGGTGGTGGGCACCTGTAATCCCAGCTACTTGGGAGGCTGAGGCAGGAGAATTGCTTGAACCTGGGAGGTGGAGGTTGCAGTGAGTCAAGATTATGCCACTGCACTCCAGCCTGGGTGATAGAGTGAGACTCAGTCTCAAAAAAAAAAAAAAAAAAAAAAAGAAAGAAAAGAAAAGAAAGTGCTCTTCTGTTTATTTATTCGATAATGACTATTTTGTGCTCAAGCTGGATATGCTTAGATAAAAGAGACTATAACTTTCACTTTGGTTTGTAAGTTTTGGGGAGGGGGTTGAGAAATTTTTTACCATCAGGCCAAGTTTTCAGTATGGAACCTTTCTGATCTCAGAAAATAATTTATATTTTAAACAATACCATTTTAGAAATTTGGAAATTTCTTCTCCAAAATTACGTGTACATACTTATATATAACCACTTGTTCTAAATTGGATCATCATAACATAGAACAAATGGAATAAGTATTGTAAGTTTAAAATATACACTGCTTTGATGCAGTTAAATTAGGCCTTATCTAAAGATTAACTTGTTAAAGTATGCCAATACTTTATCTAATCGTTCATTTAAAAATTAACTTAACAGCTGTGTATTTCATTATTTCTCCGAGACAAGTGAGCATAAAAGTGATTTCAATTTCATCCTAATTGATAGTGTAGTGTGAGTTCCTTGTGCTAGAAGTTAAGGAACTTGCTGAAACAGTACTTTGAAGTAATTTGTAAATAGTTAGTAGATAGCCTGTGACAGTGAGAGGCTCATCAGATTTTGTAAAAAATAAATTTCTTTTTTTGTGTGTGTTTACAGGAAACCTGTCCAGTTTAAGTCGTCTTGGTCTGAGATATAACAGACTGTCAGCAATACCCAGATCATTAGCAAAATGCAGTGCACTTGAAGAATTAAATTTAGAGAACAATAACATTTCTACTTTACCAGAGGTAAGAAGTGGATTAGAGAAAACAAGATTTGAAATGAGTCTGCAAGATAATTCAAGGAAAGCTAGTAAATCTTTATAGCAGGGTAAATAATTTGGTGATTGAGATTGTTTAAATAATGAGTATGCTGTGAATGTACCACCACCGCTGAAGTAACTCCAAACAAGAAAGAATGGGTATATGAACCTATTAAGTTTTATGATTATTATTTTTTTAATGTAAAGAAAAAGGGAAAAACTAGGAAGAAAGTAAGTGTGCTGTATTCTACTTTAGCACCATGTAAATCTTTCTCATTTCATTTTGGGAACTGACAGTAAAGGTATTAAGGAAAAACTATATGGCTGGTTTTAAAATTCAGCTACCCCACCCAGTTCAGTTATAAAAAGAAAGATGATAAGTGATACAGAATGCACTATCATCAAAATTAATATTAGCAGCAATTCTCCTGTGACTCAAATTATTACCTTGTTTATGCAATAATATTAAGGCCTATTTAGTATAGAACAATCGCCAGAATCTTTTTTTTTTTTTAACACATTTTTAGGTTTTGTTGATTCTATTAGAAAAATATTTTCACTTATTTTGCTTAGGGATTAATTGGGTAAGATATAATACTTTTTTTTTTTTTTTTTGAGGCAGAGTTTAGCTCTTGTTGCCCAGGCTGGAGTGCAATGGCGCGATCTTGGCTCGGCTGCAACCTCTGCCTCCTGGGTTCAAGCGATTCTCCTGCCTCACCCTCCCAAGTAGCTGGGATAAAAGGCACTACCACGCCCGGTTAATTTTGTATTTTTAGTAGAGATGGGGGTTTCACCATGTTGGCCAGGCTGGTCTCGAGCTCCTGACCTCCAGTGGTCCACCCTCCTCGGCCTCCCAAAGTGCTGAAATTACAGGCGTGAGCCACCACAGCCAGCCAATATAATACTCTTCTTTTAAAGTTGTCTTTATCAACATTATTAGTCTTTTACTATTGACTTTCTTTTCCCACCTATTTTAGCATGTCGACAATGGATGTTTGCTTATAGTTGTTCAAGCATGTCTTTCTGTAGTAATGTAACAAAAGAATTGGGGACTTATGGATTGATTGAGCTTTGCAGAGTCTTTTTTTGTAACAAAAATGTCTTACGTAAGTGCTGCTACTATGTTTTGACTTGGTAGTTTTTCTGAGTATGTGTGTGTGTAATCAAATTAAGAACAAGGGTTCTTTAATAAGGTCAGGCGCTGTAGCTCATGCTTGTAATCCCAGCACTTTGGGAGGCCGAGGCAGGCGGGCGGATCACTTGAGGTTAGGAGCTTGAGACCAGCCTGGCCAACATGGCAAAACCCTGTCTCCACTAAAAATACAAAAAATTAGCTGGGTGAGGTGGTGGGCACCTGTAATCCCAGCTACTCAGAAGGCTGAGGTAGGGGAATGGCTTGTGGCTTGAACCCGGGAGGCAGAGATTGCAGTGAGCCGAGGTGACGCCACTGCAGTCCAGCCTGGGCAACAAAGGGAGACTTTGTCTCAAAAAAAAAAAAATAAGTGAAAAAATTTAAATGGATATATATCCAGTCTTATTGTCAGTGAAGTGAAACTAATAATTCCTGGGTACCTATTAGGAAATACGGATTTTCCTGGGAGCTTGTTAGAAATGTGGACTCTTGAGCCTCACTCCCAGTCCCACTGAATATGGGAAAGTATGAAGTCATAATTTAAAAGTAATCAGTGTGCTTTGGAAGCAGCATAGTCCCAATGCAAATGTGAAATTATCCGCATTTATAGTAAGGAAAACAATAAAATCCATTAGACAGCACTTATGAGATACTCAAGCTGGGTTAGGCAAGAAATCATGAAAGTGGTTTTCAATAAGGGCATATTAAATAGCTGAAATCAGAGCTGCTAAAATGACTATTTTGTCATTTGAAGACTGTCTGAAAATGGACTTATTTTAATGTAGGTGTATACATATAGAAAAGGAACTAATAATTTGAACCACATATTCCCAAGGCTTGAGTCTAGTTGCTCTACATGTATTGTCTCATTTAATCTTTATCATAAACCTACTAGTTATTGGAGTATCCTCATCAAACAGATAGCGAAATAAGGCTTAAGAGAGGTTATATTTTTGGCCAAATTTGTTACTTTAAATATTTTTCTGGAAGTATGGTAAGAGGTATATTGATTATCTAATTAATCCACCAAAGTTGACAAAACTTAGTAGAAGGTGTAAAATAGAAGCCTAGATGTGTCTCATTCTAACAAAAAAAAAAAAATGATAAGCAACCCCTGCTTCACAATGTGACTAAGAAATGAGAGCTTGAAGAGCTGGCTTCTTGTTGCCCCTTCTCAAATATACTCAGTATTAACATTTTATCATAAGAGTCAATTCAATAAAGTAAGTCAGTTGTAAGAATAAAAAGAATCACATTTTTTGCCATGAGGCTCAGTAAAACTCCTTTATTTTCAATCGTGTAGCCTGTAGAGATTTTTCCTGAATTGACTGCCATGCAGTTTTCTTGCCACTGTTTTACCTCTGTTGTTCCTTTTGTTTCTGTACAACAATACACAAATTTTAAGGGTAGCTTCTTAAGGTACAGTATAAAGAACAAGTTTCAGTTCTCTGTATAGTTATATCCTCAATTATATAGTTACTTCATTCCTTCAGATGGCTTTGCCAATTATACTGTCACCTCAAGTACTAAGTTTTCAATTTGCTGATGGTGGACAACTGAAGTTTGAACATTATTTTAAAAACATACATACCTCATACAGTGCTTGCTTCTCCCTGCTTGTGCTTTTACTTTGAATCTAGAGTGTTTCTTCTATTTCTCTGAGTATTTTAAAATGTTTTCATCCTTCAAGATCTAGCTCACTGTCAGCTTTCATCCTATTTTTCCAGTTATTCCAGTTTTCCTTGCTTTGAATTTAAATAGAGAAAGGACTTAAAATTTAAGCACTTACTTCCTACTAGGTATTGTTAACTTATTTATGTATTTTATCGCTTTTAGTCTTCACTATGGCCCATAAAATATTATTATTTAAAAAATGATACACTAGGTTCGGAAAAATAACTTGCCAAAGTCACAAGCTATTTAAAGATAGAGTCAGGATTCAAAACAGTTTATAGCCTGTACAGGATTTCTCAGATGTTAATGAGCATGCAGATCACCTGGGAATCTTGTTAAAATGCATATTATGATTCAGTGGGAGTGGGGCCCAAGAGTCTGCATTTCTCACGAGCTCCCAGGGGATGCTGATATTGCTCTTCCTTGGCCCAGACTTTGAATAGCAAGAGCCTATTATATATAATTGATTATTGATTATATACGGTCGTATATTATTTTCTAATTATTTCTTACCTATGTACTTCTATAAATAGAGCTTAATCTTCTTTACCGCAGAGATTCTTTGGTAATACCTGAATATTTTAATACTTTGGTTAAATGGTGAGAGGCTAAAGTAGGGCAAGATGGGGTTATGTGCTAAGTAAATACTTGTTTAATGGGTACATATATGCCCTCAGAAATTTTACCATATAGAAAAGCGGTGTATTATACAGTATCAGGAAGCATAATCATCTACTGAATTTAATAGTTCCTAAAAGGAATCTTTATGTTAATCTTAATAATTTAGAGAGAGGTATATGACTAAGACTAGGTAGGATTGGTCACACAGCCAGTGGCAGAGACAGGGCTCAGACCTGGGACTGTCTGACACTAAAGTTTCTGCAATGTAGAAGTTTCAAATTAGTCACCCATGAGGCACCTCTCACACACAGACATGTTTTCCTTACTCCATACAGTGTTTTAAATAAATTGAAGCCAAAGAATAAAAATTGGGAAAATTTTCTGTTTCCTCCTATAAAATCTGGAAGTCTACATTGGTTCCACATTTCTGCAAGGCACCAAACTGCTAGAACTGTGTAGTGACTGTCCCTGTAGAGAAGTGTCACAGACTGCCCCAACCAGTCTCTGTCATTTGTCACCCCCCAAAGCCCTTTGAGGCATTTGTGTTGGGACTGCTGTTCTATAAAAAATGAGTCTCATCACAGTTCTAATTCTTATGTTTATTTCATTTTTTTTACAGAGTCTTTTATCAAGTCTTGTGAAACTGAATAGTTTGACCTTAGCTAGAAATTGCTTCCAGTTGTATCCAGTGGGTGGTCCATCTCAGTTTTCTACCATCTATTCCCTCAACATGGAACACAATCGAATCAACAAAATTCCATTTGGAATTTTCTCCAGAGCAAAAGTATTAAGTAAGCTGAATATGAAGGTAAGCATATATTTGTTTACTAGGGAAAGGAATTGCTTTAATTGGTACTTCCACTAATATTTATGTTTTCTCTAATTGTGTGGGGAGTGGGTACTTGTACCTTGCTGATGGGTCTAAACTGATCATAAGACATGTCAGGGTACTTTGTATCAGATAACAAATATCTTAGAACTGAGCATACCCTTAGGATTTTGTCCTAAAGAAATCATTGTCCAGCTCAGTGGCTGATGCACCTGTAATCCCAGTGCTTTGGAAGGCTAAGGTGGGAGGATCCCTGGAGGCTAGGAGTTCAGGACCAGCTTGGGCAATATAGTGAGACCTTGTCTCGCAAAAATTTTTTAAAAATTAGCTGGCCTGTGGTACCAGCTACATGGAAGGCTAGGGCAGGAGGATGGCTTGAGCCTGGGAGTTCAAGGCTGCAGTGAGTTATGATGGCACCACTGCACTCCAGCCTAGGCAAGAGAGCAAGACCCTGTTCCCCATCCCCCCAAAAAAGGAAATATGAATGTCTATAAAAGTATAGTTGTAGGGATATGTATTGCAGAGCTATCTATTTCATAGGTACCAACTTATTAATAGAGATTTAATTTTGTTAAGTAGTTTATCTTTAGTGGAATACTGTGGAGCCATTAAAAATCATATTTTGGTCTAAAAGAACACTACGTACTAGTTGAAATATTCTCATTTTATCAAGTGGAAGAAAGTTAAAGCATGTAAAAAATCTCTTCCCACCCAGAATTTTTGAAAGCTGTTTTTAATATGCTTAATTGTATATTAAATATCTTTATATTTATACGTATAGCTGGTTTTTGCCAAAATGTTTAGAGATCAGAATTATTTATGGGTGAACGTTAGTTTCCTTTTGCTTACCCACTCTACAGTGATCGAGTTTCACCTTTGTAATGAAATTCATTGCAAAAGGAGAAAACAAATGGAAAATTATCAAGTTCAGTGATTTAATTTGTACTGGACAAACTTTAGGCCCAAGGAAGGTAACTGAATTGGCCACATAGCTGATAGTATTCTTCCTGTCATGATGAACCATTTGAACATAGTTGTGGTTCTTTAAACTATAATCTTAAATGTACAATTTTTAAATTTCATCCACACTTGCTCATAAATATGGTGTGTATCTTTTATGATGATTCTTTGGAAGTATATGATAAGTAAACTAATGGAAATTCAAGATACTCATACAGTTTTAACAATTGTAAAATTTCTTGTTAATCAGTCTGGTTATATGAGATTTAACAGTGGTAATGGTGTTGATTCTGAACATTCATTTTGTAGTAATAGGCTTAAAACACAATGGTTCAGGTGTTCATTAGTTTATGCATTTGCATGTAAGTAACAGTAGTAAATTTTTAAAAATGAAAATACTTTATAAATCATACTATAAGTGTCAGTAGTTTAGGCATAGATAGGTACTAAGCTTAAATATTACATAGATAACAAGTTTAAATATTACAATAAAAGAAAAAGTGGGTTTTCAAATGGATGCTTGCTACTTGGGATTTCTTTTATGGGTCATTTTGTGTGAAATGAGACAATCCATGTGCAATGCAGCAAATTTTTTTTTGTTGTTGTTGTTTTTGAGACGGAGTCTCGCTCTGTCACCCAGGCTGGAGTGCAGTGGCGGGATCTCGGCTCACTGCAAGCTCCGCCTCCCGGGTTCACGCCATTCTCCTGCCTCAGCCTCCCAAGTAGCTGGGACTACAGGCGCCCGCCACTACGCCCGGCTAATTTTTTGTATTTTTAGTAGAGACGGGGTTTCACCGTTTTAGCCGGGATGGTCTCGATCTCCTGACCTCGTGATCCGCCCGCCTCGGCCTCCCAAAGTGCTGGGATTACAGGCGTGAGCCACCACGCCCGGCCGCAAATTTTAAAGATACAGATTAACATAAAGGATATAAAATAATACTGCCACTGAGAGGTAGCATCACTGTTAACATACTGACATACATTGTTGGTATTGAGCTGGATGGGGTGTTGATTATCCTCTCCCAATACCAATACCCCTAACACATAACATTGTGGTACGAGTTGTTATTGATGAAAGTATACTTTATAAGTGAATAAAAGTGGCATACTTTTTTTCTGTGGACAGCATTGTCTAATTTTTAAACCAAATTAAGACCATATTTACTGTTTCCTCTGTTTTGGTGATGAATATATTTTACCATTTTTTTCTTATGGATTTTTAAAGTGAAATGGTAAATACCTGATTAGTGTTTTAATGATTTAATTTGCTGTCTTTTTAAGACTGTTTTTCCTCCCCTACTTTACTGCTCAGCACCTTAAGAATTCCTGAGCTCATTCTGGTTTCCTTATGGGCTGTCATTAGATGCGTCTTCTTCTATTGTTTTCATATCTTTATTTGAGCATTTATATTTTATTCAGTGATTTCTGCATATTGTGAAATTGTAAAAACATCATATTTATCATAGGATCTTTGAAATCTCCAGTGTTTCTCTGTATACTGTGTTTTTCTATTTCCATTATAATCACATAAGGAACAAACTTCCAGTTTAACTCCCAAATAAAAGCCTCATTACTGTATAAAAAACTTTGGAGGCTTAGAGTTTTCTGTTGCTGATTTTTTTTCTTTCTATATTTAAATATCAAAAAGGGGAATAAGATTTTGTTTAATTAAGAATTCTCTTTCCGAAGTGACAGGTATATATAGAACTTTGTTTTTGTGATTCTACCTTGGATGCTTCTTTTTGTCTTTGCCAGGACAATCAGTTAACATCACTTCCCTTGGATTTTGGAACTTGGACCAGTATGGTAGAATTGAATTTAGCCACTAATCAGCTCACAAAGATCCCTGAGGATGTGTCTGGTCTCGTTTCTCTTGAGGTTAGTATAAATGAGCAATTAGAGAACTTCAGAACCTTCCATACGTATCTCATTTAAAAATTTCAAATTTAAATAAGCAATTTCTATTTGGGTGAATGTCATAATTAGAAATGTTAGAACTCACTTAAACATACAACCCTAATAGGATAATGAAGTGTTGACTTAGGTAGTCTAGATTCAGTGCTTTTGAATTTCTCTTGCCTACTACAAGTTGGTGTCTTTGAGTGCCATAAAGTATTAATATCTCTAAAAGAAAAGTTCTGTAAAAGCATCTTTTAGAACAATTTTTTTCTTTATTCTGTTTAAAAACTACACCATTGTCTACCAAAATAATTATCGATTCTCAGACTGTCATTTAGAATGCTTTATCATACTTTTTCATCCTAATTACCGACCTGCTATTTTATTTACTCATTGATTATTGTCTTTGTTGTAAATCTGGTATGCCTATTTCTAGCCCTCTAATTTTAGTCCTATTGTTTTCTGTATCTAGAATGCCCTCTTCTCATCCCCTTAGTTTTTTTCTTTTAGTATGTTTTTCCATAATTAAAGATCCATCTTATTTTCACCTCTTCAGTTAAGGATGATTTCTCCTGCTTCTGAGTTCCTAGAGTTTTCATCCCTTTGATGAAAATGCTTACTAATAGTAAATATATTGCTTTTTAAAATTTCCTTCATATCCATGTTTTTTAAAGGTCTAATTTTTAAATTATTTAATAAGGTGAAATAGTATGGTTTAATGGCTAAAAACATGGGCTTTGAAGTCAAACAAAGCTGAGTGTAATTATCTCTGTATATTTATGTACTTAACTTGCCCAAGCTTCAGTTTCTTAAGCTGTGAAATGGGGATAATAAGAGTATCTACCTTGTAGAGTTGTAGTTAGGATTAAATGCAATAATGCACATAATGCATTCAGTACAGTGCCTTGCAAATAGTAAAATCAAGTGGTGACTGCTGTAATTATTTTCTCCATCTTACTGTATATATTTATTATGGGTGGTGTAACATTAGGGAAAATAAATGAACATAAAAACTTACCCAGAACCTTACGTATCTGTTTTACCTATTGCTCTTTCTCCCAACCCAGTATTGTCTCCTTACCTTTCTGCTAGTTTGTAACTTTATCGGAACAAAGGCTATCTTCTCTGCCATTTTAACCCCCTTCAGTATCTTCCAGGATGCTTTCAGTGTAATAAGAACACCACAGATAATAAATAGAGTGGATTGATATAGCAAGTTTAGAAGGTAGCTTTTACCTTCCTTAAGTAATGGTTTGTAAGGGATTTTGAATAAATAGTTTCCTATTAGATAAACATTTGTAACTATTGAGCATTTTTTTGAAATTTCATTAAAATTAAATTGCTTCTTTTGTTTTCATTAGTTTTGATATAATCAAATAAAATCTCTTTTCTAATAACTATGGTGTTTTTTTAGAAAAGTAAGTTAAATATTTTATATGTTATATAATTGAACATCACCCTTAATATTCACTGTTTGGAAAATTAGCATTGCTTAATAGATTTTAAGCCACACAATGACAGTATATAATTTCATTTCATGATTTCCTAAACATTATCAATAATTTCTCATTAGGTTCTTATCTTATCAAACAATCTTCTAAAGAAGCTTCCCCATGGTCTTGGAAACCTTAGGAAGTTAAGAGAGTTGGATCTAGAAGAGAACAAATTGGAATCCTTGCCAAATGAAATTGCATATCTTAAGGATTTACAGGTAAACATTATGCTGATTTTGTAGTTTTATAAAGTTTTTGGAATCTGTTCCAAATTCCACATTTCTCTTAAGATTTTGATGTAATTCTTGGATCAGATAGACTTTCCTATTCTAGTATTAGGGCTGAGTTTTATGTTCATATAACCTGGCTTTGTTTTCCTAACAAATGGTATTTTGTGAAAGAAAAATATGTAATGTAAGTGATTCTCATTCTATCCAATCTGGTTTCCCTGTTAATTTATTTTATTGTTTAGACATATTATTTTCAGTTTACATTAAATGTAGGAAATATATTTGTAACTCTCTTTTATTTTGTAAATCTTTTAGAAATTAGTCTTGACAAACAACCAGTTGACCACTCTTCCCAGAGGCATTGGTCACCTTACTAATCTCACACATCTGGGCCTTGGAGAGAACCTACTTACTCACCTTCCTGAAGAAATTGGTATGAACCCTGTGAATGCTTGACTCTGTACTAATAATTTGCTCTTGTGCATTCAAGCAATATTTCAGATAAATATGACAAATCTATTGTTTTTTAAACTGAGGTTATATCAGGCTTAAGATTTTTTTTTTTAATAGAGCACCGATGGTTGATTGTTGATTGGTTTTGGTTAGGTTTCCTAAAGGCTGTTAGGATTGGTTTTAAAATTAGTACTGTATTTGAGAATGTTTTGGAATACTTACATTTCCAATAGGTTTTATGTATAACCTCATTTTAGAAGTTATTTTATATTCCTTCTAAATTTAAAATTACACAGGCTTGAATTAGTAATGTTTTATGCCAAAAGAACATTTATGAGATTTTAGAATTAATATTAATATTTAACCAATATTAACATTTGGGAATACTTAACATTTTCCAGGTGTTTTCATTTCCATTATTTTATGTAATATACATGACCACCTGGAATTTTAGACAGTGCAAGTTGTAATCTTGCTTTATAAAGAGAATTACTTGATTAAGGTAATTAAATGTTAGCTTTTAAATTAGTAATTCTATGCATTAATGTTTTCCCATCTATAGTGCACTGTCCCACAGGAACTATAGGTTAGTAAACACCGCATGTTCTCCTCATAGGTGGGAATTGAACAATGAGAACACTTGGATACAGGGTGGGGAACATCACACACCGGGGCCTGTCGTGGGGTAGCGGGAGGGGGGAAGGATAGCATTAGGAGATATACCTAATGTAAATGACTAGTTAACGGGTGCAGCACACCACCATGGCACATGTATACATATGTAACAAACCTGCACGTTGTGTACATGTACCCTAGAACTTAAAGTATAATAAAAAAAAATGGTTTTGGAGATAATTGACAATTCAAAATCTAGCCCTGCTGCTTATTGGCTTTGTGACTTTAGGTAAGGTATGTAAACTCCCTAAGCCTCAAGTTTCTTACCTGTAAAATAAAGATGATAATAGGAAGTTCTCACAAGGTTGTTCTGAAGCTTAAATAATATCTTACATGTAAACAAATTGATTACATACTAGCTATTATTTCTGTTATTTTCTAATAAATGCCACTGTGAAATATTCTGAATTTTGAAATTTAAAAATTGGAAACACATGAGGCAAATTTACACCTATATTTCTAGTATATTTATTCACCTGATCTCATTTAATTGCTTGAGACATTTTCCTAGAGAATACAAGTATCCTAAGAAAAAATTTTTAAAGGTCTACATAAGTCAGTTTTTGGCTTACTGCCATATATGTGATAACTCTTAGTGAAAGGTTCATATTAAGTAACAAATATTTTGCACATAAGAAATTTATTAATTTGAGAAAATGTTACATCTACAACAGAAAAGTGGTTATAGACATTGAATATATAATAAGCTCACCTTTGGAGTTTTAAAATATATATAAGTAAATGTTATATATGTGCCAAACTATCCCAAACAGAATCTCTGGAGATGGGGCATATGTATTTTCAAAAACCTCTCCAAGCTTGAAGACCTACCATAAAGGAGGAGGTTCTAATTTAGTTTGTATGAAGTGTGACCTGGACATATAGGAGTTTAAAAAGTCTTCCAAGTTGATTTGAATATGCAGCAAAATTTGAGATCCATGGTTGTAGAGTTTTAAAGCTAAGAAAGGAGAATAAAAGGAAATGTGTGTTCAGTATATGTAATGACCAGAACAGCATCATGCCCAGTTGAACTTTTAAAATAGCAACTAATTTTTAAAAAAAAATTGATTTTTTTTTTAAACAGGTACACTGGAGAACCTAGAAGAACTGTATTTGAATGACAACCCCAACCTGCATAGCCTTCCCTTTGAGCTGGCACTCTGCAGCAAGCTTTCAATCATGAGTATTGAGAACTGTCCACTCAGTCACCTTCCACCTCAGATTGTTGCTGGGGGGCCTTCTTTCATCATTCAGTTCTTAAAGATGCAGGGTCCATATCGTGCCATGGTCTGATATAAATCTGCTGGTCCCACACACTGTTCAAAAATAGACTGCCATTAATGTTTCTTATCTATATCTGTATCTATTTATGTAGATATTGGTATATGGCAGATTTATAAAAATTGCATTATGTGTTTCTGCTAATAGAGGAATCATAGCCATTTAGAATTTTTTTTAAATTCTGTACAAAAGGCTTATATAAGTTTTCTTTGCTGAATTTGATGGATGTTTTTCTGTTGTGTAATCTGATATGCCAGTTTGCTTAAAACATTTGCCAACACATTATGAAGTTATTAAATTTAAGGGACAGAGGTAGTATAGTTAGATATACTTTCTCTTAGGAAAAATAATGGGCAAAAATTTTTGTTGCAACTTTTCATATATATTTTCCCCTTACCAATTGTTTTATCCTTATAGTATTGTAGGCCCTGAAAGTAGAATTTTTCTTTAACTTATTTTGAGATTTGAGATTTAAATTTTATGTATTGTTTACAGTCAGAGTAAATCACTGGATTTCTTTTGTTTGTTTTGATTTGCTCTGTTTTATTCAGTCAAATCTAGAGTTTGAATCCTCTGCTAAAGAATTTGCATCCACTGGTGTAAACAGTGAAAGGTATTTGCTTGTTGAAAAAAAAAACTGGCAAAGTGAAAAGATACAGTCAAAAATCTAGAATTTCTTTAATTTTGCTTCTCTGACGAGTTGTGAAGCAAAATACCTGAAGTGAGTCTTTGGGTAGGGGAAGGGTATTGAGACCTTTTCTAGTATGAATATTTTTTAAGTTTGGGGGAAGAGAAACTTGCAGTGAAAAGGAGTTTTTTCATTCCTGAAAGTTGCAGATCCACAAAACTAACAGGATAATTGGGCAAATAAATTACATATAAACACACACAATCTATATATGTATATACAATGCTATATAGATATGTATTTATTATATCATAAACTACAGTAGGTAACTTTAAGGATTTCTTCCTATCCTTGTACAATGACATGAATGTCTTTCTTTGAAAACTGCAATGTATGTATGTTTCAAGGTTATTTAACAGTGTACTATGGTTTTATATCTTGACTTGCCTTGTACATCTTTCAATTCTGGAATATCTGTGTCTAAGCACAATATCTTCACACTGTGCTGTATTGCTGCTGAACTAAATGCACTTTTCCCCACATATGGGGCACTGGCTTCAAACAATTCAGTTCAGTATCATTACTTTTAATCTCATCTTTCCTTTCTTGGTAGTTGTTAATACAGTTATGGAAAAGAGGCACATTGCATAGAAGCCATTGGGGAGTTCAGTGGAAGTTCTGTAAGATGTGCATGTACTATTTGATGCGTTTTCTTTGCTTCACTGCTTTTAATACTTAGCAGTATTGTTGGTCTAAGTCAATTTGATTATTGAGGAGTCTCAGAGCAAGGTGCGTTCTAGATGTCATCCTAAAAAACACTTCATATATAATTAATCACTATTTTGTATAATTACATATTGCTGCTTGTGTGTTTTTTTTTTTTTCCATTTAGTTGGGCGTTGTGTTTTACACAAAACCATTTTTGAATTAAGGCTATGATATTAAGATAGAAATTTGGACTGTTGTTCTGCTTTTCCTGGCACTCAAATTCATGACTAGTTTTGAGGTCAAACCTATGTTCGTAATGAGAGATTTTATAAGGATCAACTAAGAAATGGAAGGCAGGTGAAGATATAAAACCCTAGAATGCTTAAATGTGCTGTAAAACTATTGTAGATGTCACTGGATTTTACCAAGTAATATCCTTTCTTTTTTTTTTCCCCCCATCTGCTGTGGCTTTTCAGTTAAAATTTTGTTTATAAAAGGAATTTGTTTATTACAGCTCTACCTAGAGCTTGTGTGTTTGTGTGGTTTTTTAAATCTCGTATCCAGGTGTGTTTATATATTAAGATGTTGGGACTTGAACTTTAAAGGTAGTAACTAAATGTCTTTTCTTAAAAAAAATGGTTATTGTTTCTTAAAATGAAAATATGGTTTTTAAAGCATTTTTGTTCCACCTTTATGTTAATCTGTAACAGTAATGTAAAACGATCAGTCTTACATGTAGAAGTCATGCTGTGTGTAAACAATATAATGACAAGTTATAAAAAATTTTAAAGAAGTATAAAATGTATATCCTCTGTAGGCTGTCACCTTGTGAGAGCCCACAAATTTCATTATTTCCCAAGAAACTAAAATGGACTCTGATTAAGATATCCCTGTGAAATCAAGATATTTAATATTTAAATAGTTTGAATATAATAAGGGATATTGTTGAAGACTACATATGAGCTAATACTTTTTCCTGAAACTGCAATGGGACTAATTGGCATATCCAAAAATTTTCCTTTCCTTTAAAGAAATTATATTTAGTCTCTCCATGAGACTCAGCAAATAAAATAAGAATGTCCGAGGATGTTACATTATAAAAACATTGCTCTAAACTTTGCTTTTTGTTAATATGTAGCAGAAAAATGGCAATGGTAATGCCAAGCTGTCCTTTTCTGAGTTTAATACTTTCTAAATCCCACATGATTATTTTATACAGAAAGGAGGAAGTGCTAAATAATTTATGAACTTTATAGATACAAGTGAAAACAGTAGATGATACAGGAAGGGAAAATACACATAAAACATTTATTTGTACTTAAAATGTAGGTATTGCAATGGGAATGATCTCTAAAAAATGTAATTGCAAATTTCTAATTTATCTAATTGTGTAGCTTGAATCATTTAAAATAGATAAGTTATTATACATTAAAATTTATCTAGATTTTCTGTAAATTTTTGTTATAACCTTTTGCTTTTCATCTGTTACTTCCTTTTTTTTTTTCCTTTTTTTTTTTGAAACAGAGTCTCGTTCTGTCACCCAGGCTGGAGTGCAGTGGCGTGATCTCAGCTCACTGCAACTTCCGCCTCCCGGGTTCAAGCGATTCTCCTGCCTCAGCCTCCAAAGTAGCTGGGACTATAGGTGCCTGCCACCACGGCCAGCTAATTTTTCGTATTTTTAGTAGAGATGAGGTTTTACCTTGTTAACCAGGATGGTCTTAATCTCCTGACCTCGTGGTCCGCCCACCTCAGCCTCTGAAAGTGCTGGGATTACAGGTGTGAGCCACCACGCCCAGCCTCATCTGTTATTGCTAAGCCATGTGTATTGAATCCAAATTTCACCTTGCAGAATTTATAATTGTTTATTAATAGGAATGTATAGTAACTAAGTATATAAAAGTAGACACTTCTGAAATGAAAAGGGGGCACTACCAATAGTTATATAGGGCCAACAGCACAACATTGGTCTCAGGAAATCAGAATATATGATCACTCTTGCATGATTAAAATTAGATAAAAGTGGATAGCATAATTCAAAATAAACTGGAGAAGTATACATTCCTGAAATCTATAAACTTTAAAATGAATTACTTGTGAGGAAAGATCTCCTTCTGCCTTGATCAGAGGATAAGATAGTGTATCAGATGTCTTAGCTAAAACTTATCTCTTGCCTTATTCTTTTGAGTAGTTTAGTCTTTAGGAGTCATTGGGAAACGCATGGCAATCTTTAGTTGATTATGTAATCTTGGAGAATTTGAATGTGCCAGAGTTGTGACATTGTCTTGGTATCTAAGGGGGTATCTTGAACATTGTTACATTAGGCAAATATGAGAATGTTTTATAAAATAGTTATCAGTACTTTGTTATTGAATAGAAGGCCTTTCTGAGAAAAATTTCTGGGTTTATTTTTTCACTTTGAAAAATGACTTTAAAAATAAGGGATTTTTTTAATTTTTAAAAACTGGAGTTAGTTCTCATTACCCTTAAAAAATACTTTCTTTTGTATACACTTATTAAATATCCCACTGACATTATAAGTTCTGAATATAAGCGGTTTTGAATTTAAATACCTGTTTGTGATCAAGACTTCATCTGGATAATAGTTTATAGTATTTCAGACTGGAAACGTTTCCAAGTTTGGTAGGAGGAGTAGCCTCTACTGTTTAGAGTAGTTGGGGCAGGGCATGCCTTATACAGCTTTTGCGGTTTGTGCGGTATACAACAGCATAACATGTTGGGGGTGATGTTCATTCACATCATAGATTTGTATATTATCACAGTTTTTTTTAGCAGGTGTTGGTAAAGTTTCTTGTTCTAACAAAATCAATATATTATGTCACATTTCTGACAGTTAAGAACCTTAAGGAAGGAGCTTTTTTTTGTTTGTTTCTTGCACAATGGCGCAAGTTTGGCTAGAGGGGAGATTCTGTCTTTGTGCAAATTATTAGAGTTCCATCCTAGGAATCCTTATGATGTAATAATATTTAAATGGCATTAGAAGCATTTTATATATTATAGGTACTCCAAAAAATCATCTTACTTGGAAAATCTAATGAGAGTTTTTGGGTGCTTTATCAGTGACCGTCATCATTTAGATGTTCTGTGTTATCTAATTTGCCTTTTATAATTATTGATGTTGTTTCTTTCTTTCTTTTTTTTTTTTTTTTTGAGACAGAGTCTTGCTCTGTAGCCCAGGCTGGAGTGCAGTGGTGCAGTCTTGGCTCACTGCAAGCTCCACGTCCCGGGATCACACTATTATATTCTCCTGCCTCAGCCTCCTGAGTAGCTGGGACTACAGGTGCCTGTCACCACACCTGGCTAATTTTTTTGTATTTTTAGTAGAGACGGGGTTTCACCGTGTTAGCCAGGATGTTCTTGATCTCCTGACTTCGTGATCTGCCCGCCTTGGCCTCCCAAAGTGCTGGGATTACAGACATGAGCCACCGCACCCGGCTTATGTTGTTTCTTAAAATGAAAATATAGTTTTTAAAGCATTATGGAGAATTTAACCTTCCACTGGTCTGATCAAACAATATACAAGTAGCATCTGCATCAGCCATCTATACCATTTTCTTTTTATGATTTCGAAGAAATTATTATTCAAGAAATCTGTCCATTTAGCTAGTACTTAAAACCTGATGTCCACTACTAAAAATGTTTTATGTGTGGATCAAATAATTTATTTTAATATTAGTCTTGAATAGAAAAATATACTAATATAGTTTTTTTCACATTTGCTGTTTGTCTCTTCTTCCACCTCAAAACTCATTTTTAACATAGTTCAGAAAGTTATCTTATAATTGCTAAATAAGAACATGATGATGTATTTAACAGTTTGGATTTTTCTCCAGGTAAAGATCAGGTTTCCACTGATGTTTAACAGGGCTTGTACTGTGTTAAATACTTAGCTATTCTGAATTATGATTCAAGGCTAAAAGGTATAAATAGCCTTCAAATAATGTACTTTGAACTTGAATTATATTGTTGATTATTTCGACTTTATAAAAATGGCCATTTTAGTAAGTCATTCTGTATTGTTATTCAATGGAAATAATGTATTTGTAAATGTTCTGCCATAGAGTCTTTGAAAAGATTTCTAATGCTGTGTGTAACTGAAGCTGGACCTGAAGTCAGTCTTTGCAGTGTCATGAAACCATAAAAATGTGGAACTGAGAGAAATGACTTTTTACTATTATGAAATTCTTCTGGAGAACTTTGAAACAGCAAATGGCATGTAGAAGGTATACAGAAATAAGTGCACAAAAACATGCAACATAGTATTTGATACGGTCAGTGGTGTCCTTCATTATAGTTGTTTATGTTGTTTATATATTATTATTTTTAAAACCCTAAATGTCAGGGTTTTTTTTGTTGTTGTTGTTATATCCTGTCATGAAGACTGTGCTCTATAATGGAGAAATGAATTCTTAGAAGTCATTCTTCCATTCTCTGAGCCTTCTAGTCCTAATAGTATTTTTATCATGATCTCCATGTTCTGTAAAGAAAATGTTTTTGTTTTCTTTTGTAAACTTTTATAAGAAAGTTTGCTCTGACTCAGCTGTTTAGGATGTCATGGTAACTAAAGGTGGAAATTGAGTGCAGGTTTCCTAGAAAAGTAAGTTGTAGTATTGGCTAATTATGTAAGTTTGTGTTCTAAAATGTTTCACAAAAACAAAAGCTATGAGGATAAAGGAGATAATACCCAATGATAACTATTTAATTGGCTGAAGAAAACTTAAGGAAGACAACAAATTTTAGTCCTTTGCACAATGTGATTAATTGTCATCTTTCCTGGTATCATTCTTTAATATGTATTTTTAAAAACCACTGTGGCTACCTTGAGAAGAATAGATTGAAGGATATCACAACTAGAGACCAAGAGGCCAGATGAGAGACTGTTAGAGTAATCCAGATGATGGATGACAGTGACTTTGATTGAAATTTTAGTAATGGGGTGGAAAGAATGACCCTTAAGGGAGTCTTAGCAATACATATTAGTAAGAAGTAATGATTGAGTGGGTAAAATGACTAAGGATCAAAGAATACTCCCAGATTAGTGGCTTAAGCATCTGGGTGTATTTACTAAACTAAGGAAACTTGGCAGAGGACCAGATTCTTTTGGTTTGTTTAGAGGTAGGAAGAAAATGTGTTTTAGAGCCTGTGGAACATCAAGTGGAGATACCAGGTAAGCAATTGGATACATACATGTTAGGAAGTTAGGCCTGGAAACAGATGATCCAACATATAGATGGTAATTGAAACAAGGATTCCCTAGGGAGATCATGTAGGATGGGAAAAAGATGGAATCCCTGATGAACTCCAAAAATCAAGAAGTAGCTGTAGTAGAGGTGAGAAATTGTATTTCCTTAAAGAATTGGGGTGGAGGATGCCAGATGGAGAATGTTAAGGGCAGTATAGGACTGCTTATCCTCTTTATTTAGATTTAATTCCCTTAAATCTTCTCTTTAGAAATAACATGTTAAGGATTGAGCTTATTTTTCTGCATTAAAAAAATTTTACCGCTCTTTTCCAGACTTTTAATTATTTAATTAACCTGTTTATGCTGGGTTTTCCCTCTTCATTTTGCTCTTTAACTCTTCCTTTATTTTGTGGTTAACCTTGTGGAATAGATTGGGTTTGAGATAACTACTAGGTCTAGTTTTTAACTCATCTGCAACTCAGACTGGCTTACCTGATCCAGTTAAAGAATTAGATTTTTTTTCATAGTCTTAGCTTTATTAGCAAAATTTAGGCCTAGGAAGAGAATAACTGTATTTTGGAGGGGCCCAGTTCTAAAACAGACACACAAAATATTCTGACTTGAAAAGAATACTGTTATAAAATATAAAAATAAATTACATTTAAATGATTAGACTATTGGCTCTGTAATGCTTTAGTAGATTGAAGTGATTAGACTGTTAATCTTTTTTACCGGAATTTTTTAAAGACTGCGTAATTTATTCAAATTAGAAGTGCATATATCTGAGAACATACATACAGTCAAATGCTCTACCCCTGAGTTATACCCCTGAGAACATATAAATATTATCTTCCAAAGCAGGCATTGTAAATGTCCAGATCTTTTTAAAAAATATTTTATTTGATTGAATAATTTCCTTGTTGAGATTAAAGAATCTAAATGTTTGGATTTTTTAGTTTAGATTGTATCACTTTGAAAATTAGTTGGAAACCCCAATTTTAATGAAATTTATTTTCTAGAGCAAGAGTGGGGTGGATTTTTAATGCTCAGTGTTTTAGACTCTCAATTGCCATATTTCTTATGGCAGAAGTGCACACAGTGTTTGGGGTTTGTTTTGAAATGTAAAGATGTACCATGTGTATACACTTGTGTACATACGAATATATGAAAGAGGAGAAAAGGGATAAAAATCATGAAGGTGAAAAATATAAACAAAAGTGAACTTTATGTGTCTCAACTCAAGCAGGTGACCAGTTTGTCAAGTTCTTCTCTGATTTTCCCTGATTTGGGACCATTATATTTTGCTGAATTTTATTTATTATGTATTCCATGTCTTTTAACTAGCACTGTTCATTAGTGCAAAATTAAATATTTATTCTATATCTTCTGTTGTCAAACACGCACTATGGACACATAGAAAATTTTGCCCTTAGATCACAAACTAATGGAATTCACACCTATTTTGAGTAATCTACTTTTTAAAAAGTAAGAATATCTGATTTAACTCAGAGTTCGATTTTTCTAACCTCCAAAGCACCTCCCGTGACTGTGGAATAAAGGACATCTTGGGGCAAGTGAGAACATTGATTGCCTTTATAGAGACTAAAATGTTAACATTGAAGATTCATGGATGAACCTAGATTTGAGGTAATCACTGTTTTCTAACAAAATGTTTGGAGATGACTTTTCTTTTTTTCTTTCTGTGATCATCAACTTAGAGGCAAGTCATAAATTTACAGATTTTGGCCTTTGATGTGCACTTCAAAAGAATACTGTACAGCCAATAATTCTGGGTAACCCTTAATTTATTTGGATTGCAGGTGAGAACTGTAAAAGCAAAATTTTTCAAATTTTATGTTTTTGTACAATAATTTATCCAGTTAATTTTCTCAGGGCATGATCAGTGTTACCATATTCATTAGGTGTTAGCATAGATGAGATATCTAAGAATTAAGCATTGCTGTTTTTCAGTTTATATGCATATAGCCATACATATGTATATTTGTTTCATTTACCACTCTTCATGGAAATTACATTTGTAGGACATTTGAATATTATTTACTAAATACCCACTTAAAAAAAATACTGTACTGTAAACAATTCTTCCAAAGGAAGCCTTAAAACAATTTGAGTTCAACAAGAGTTTGCTTGTGCCTGTGTGCCTTGGCAGTTATTTTATAGCTTTTCTCTACTATATACTATTATGTGTCCAAGAGCAAATTTTTTAAAACAATTTGTATTACTACCGTTCCATTTGGGCCACAAGTTAAATTGAGTGTTGTTAAGCACCTACGTTTCTTTTAAACCTTTAAAAACTTGTTATGACAATGTTGGTAATCATTTTTTACACTTCTTTAGTTTTAGTTTAGTTTGTTTATTTAAGGATCAGTTGTGTATTATTTTAGACAAATAAGTGAATCTCATGTTCCCTTTCCTGATTCTTTGGTTTCTATGTAAATCTAACTTTATTTTCAGGGAATATCCAGGGCAAGTGAATGAGTTATACATTGATGCAGCGTCATATCAGCATTGAAATTATAACCTTAGTCTTTCACTCCTTAATCAGTATTCTTTCTACTCCACTGTATTGCCTCACCATCTAAAACATGATGTCTGCACTAGGCTAATTGAAATAGGCTAGCCAGGTGAAAGCTGATAAAGTGGGGCTTTGACTAAAATAGGCTAACCAGGTGAAAGCCATATCAAACACAACTTTTCTCCCATTAATCATCTAACTTGAAAAAGCATATATTGTAATAGCCATAAATTTGATTAGTTTCACATTTCTTTCCTCCTCATCCTTTTAAACCAAATGCAAGATTAAAGCCACAAAGTGCAAGACTTAAGTGTATAATCTATAATTTGCATACTTAATTGCTGTTATTTTTGTTTGGGATCTTTCATGTTTATAGGGAGAATATCAAATACAATTTTTGTCTTGGACAATGACTTTAGAGTTGTAGTTTCAAAAAAATTACATAGACTGCCGCCTTTCTCTTAGGAAGATAAGACATTATCCCATTTTAAAGTAACCAAATCAAAAGGTTTTTAAGCCGACTGTCAGATAAACAGTATAGGGGTACTGGGGACCACCTCTCCTAGTATAGTATTCTTTTGATTCTATCACATTGACTGTGATTTTGTGACTTGGTGATGCTGCTTTAGCCACGATCACATTCTCTTTTCTGAAAATTCAGCTTTAGGAGAGATTGGAGCTGTGCATGCAGCATTAATTAAGAAAGAGGGCCTCCTGGCTAGCCAATCTGATTGGCTTAGATGAATCCAGGGGGAAAAAAGGAATGACAGGTATTGCAGCCAGATTGCATTTGTTCCAAGACCAAGGAAGCCAGGTGTCCTGCAATATATATAAATGCAAATTAAAAGTTACCACAGTTGTCTTTTGTAGTATGGTTGATGTATGAGTCTACCATTCAAGTTCATTTTTTTTTTCTATGACTTTCCTAGGAAAGTCTAAGATACATTTTTTCTTTTTCTTTCTTTTTTTTTTTTTAAATGGTGTCTTGCTCTGTCATCCAGGCTGGAGTGCAGTGGCATGATCATAGCTCACTGCAGCCTCCAACTCCTGGGCTCAAGTGATCCTCCCACCTCTTGTCTCCTGAGTAACGGGGGGACTACAAGCACACACTACCATACCCAGCTAATTTTATTATTATTATTATTATTATTATTATTATTATTATCATCATCATCATCATTTTGAGTCAGGGTCTTGCTATGTTGTCCAGGCTGGTCTCAAACTCCTGGGCTCAAGTGATCCTCCCACCTCAGTCTTCTAAATTTCAGGCATAAGCCACTGTGCCCAACTGGTATTTTTTATATCTCGTTTCTTAGGAAGAATCAGTGTGTATATCATTCAGCAAATACCTGAGCACTCACCAACATGCTGAGCGCTGATTTAGGTGCAGGATATGTTAGCAAACATAACAGACCATAGTTACATTCTAGTAAGGCAAGCAAAAGATAAATATACTAAGTAAATTTTATGATTTATTAAAGGTTGATAAATACTATTTGTAAAAAACCAATGGACTTCTGGTTTCTGATGCAGCATGTAAGGAGCTTGAAAGTTGTCACTCTGTCCTAACAAATAGCTAAACAAACTGAAAATCAACAACTCTTCTTAGATCCATCAGAGAATGGAGGTCACAGAGCAAACTGAAGCCCCCCAAATTGGAGAAAGACACGTGGATACAGAGAATCACAACTTACTGGGAACAAGCAGAAACCTCCGTGGGAACAAAGGGCAGAGTAGGAAAAACCTAAGCTATAATTGATAAACTGCTGGAAGCTCAATGTGAACAAATCTGAGAGTTAACTTGTTGTGGGGGAAGGTGATGGATATGTTAATTTGATTGTAGTAATTATCACACAATATATGTATATTAAATCATGTACACTTTGAATATATTCGGTCTTGACGAATACTTTAAAAACAAAACCTTGGAGGGGTATCAAAAATGGATCCCCTCCCTTTTCTGAGTTTTATCTCTAGGAGCCCTACCAGGTTCTCATAGTGAAGATTGAGAAGAAAAAAACCAAAATCTCATGTTTCCAGCATGGGGAGAGGAAAAGGAACCATTTTGAAATACACCAGAGCATTCTGTATTTCTTAACAAAGCCTGGCCTCAAGAGAAATTATTTTACCAGAGCCTAACCTCCTGCCTACCCAATTCAGGGAAAGGGAAATACCCAACTTTAGACACCTCTAGCTTTCCATGTGGGAGAAGGGAAATCTCCAGTTCTATACTTCTTATCTGACTTAATTGGGAGTGGGGGAGGGGAAGCTAAGAAGCATTTGTTTAGGTCACAGCACAGAAGCACTAGCTCACTAAAAGACTGAGACCTAATCCTAGGACTATAGAATGCTTCCCCTCCCCACCACACCTTAGCACTACATCACTAAAGGCCTATTTACCTCAGTTCCTTTTAACCAGCACATTGTGGTTAGCTTTCAACAAAAAAATTACAAGGCATACTAAAAAGATAAAAGCACCATTTGAAGACACAGAGCAACCATCAGAAGCAGACTCAGATATGACAGATGCTGGAATTATCAGACCAGGAATTTTAAATAAGTAGGATTAATATGCTAAGGGCTCTAATGGAAAAAGTAGACAGCATGTAGGAATAGGTGGGTAATATTAGCAGAGAGAGATTCTACAAAAGAATTACAAATGCTGGAAATAACACTAACAATAAAGAATGATTGGCTAGTACACTGGGCACAGCTGAGGAAGGAAGCTTGAAGATAATATGTCGGTAGAAACTTCCCAAATAAAAAGCAAAGAGGAGAAAAAACTAACTGGAACCAAATATCCAAAAACTGTGGGACAACTACAAAAGATGTAATATACATTTAATGAGAAGACCAGAAGAATAAAGGGAAAGAAGCAAGTATTTGAGGAGTAACGACTAAGAATTCACAAGATTAATGTCAACCTGCAAGGCTGTTTAAACACCAGACAATCAGTTAATGTAATCCATCACCTTAACAGGCTAAGAAGAAAAATCATATATCAATAGATGCAGAAAAAGCATTTGACGAAATCTAGCACTCCTTCGTTACAACTCTTGAGCAAACTAGGAACAGAGTAGAACTTACTTAACTTGATAAAGAACATCTACCTGAAACCCACAGCTAACATTATATTTACTGGTAAAAAAAACTTGAAGCTTTCCTACGAAGACCAAGAACAAGGGAAGGATGTTCTCCCTCACAGTTTCTTTTCATTATCTTACTGGAAGTGATAGCTAATGTAATAAGACAAGGAAAGGAAGTAAAAGTCATACAGACTGGGAAGGAAGGAATAAAACTCTTTGTTTGCAGATGACATGATTGTCTATGGAAAATCCAAAGAAAATGGCAAAAACAACTGATGATAGCAAGTGATTATAGCAAGGTTGCATAATACAAGGTTTATATACAAAAGTAAATTGCTTTCCGATACAGAACAAAGAATAATTGGAATTTGAAATTAAAAACATAATACCATTTACATTAGTACCTCTCTCCCAAAATGAAATACTTTGTTATCAATGAAACAAAATATAAAACACACATGAGGAAAAATACAGATCTCTAATGATAGAAATAAGAATAAATGAAGAGAGATTCCATGTTCATGAATTGGAAGACTTGATATTGTCAAGAAATCCGTTCTTCACAACTTGATCTATAAATTCAACACAATCTCAATTAAAATCCCAGAAAGTTGTTTTGTGGATATTGACAAACTGATTCTGAAATCTATATGGAGAGGCAAAAGATTCAGAATAGCCAGTGAAATATTTAAAGAGAAGAAAAGAGTCAAGAGGTCTGACACCACCCAACTTCAAGACTTACTATAAAGCTACTGTAATTAAGACTGGTATTACAAATAGATCAAAGTAACACTATAGAGTCCCCAAAAAGAGACCCACACAAATATTGTCAACATTTTTGACAAGGAAGCAAAGGCAATTCAGTGGAGTAAGTATAGTTCTTTTCAACGTACAGTGCTGGAACAAGTGGGGATCCATATGCAAATATAAGCAAATCTAGGCCTTAAACTTTTCACAGAAAGTAACTCAAAATTGGCCATACCTAAATGTAACATGGAAAACTATAAAACTCCTAGAAGGAAACCTAGGAGAAAGTCTAGATGCCTTTAGGTCTAGCAGTGACTTTTTAGATACAACACCAAACCACGATTTGTGAAAGACATCATTGGATTTTATTAAAATTAAATTTTTGTGTTCTTCAGAAGACACTATCGAGAGAATGAGAACAACAGACTGGGAGAAAATATTTGCTAAAGACATACCTGATAAAGGACTCACCCAAAATAGACAAACAGCTCTTAAAACTCAGCATAAGAAATGGAACAACCCAATTAAAAAATGAGCAAAAGATCTAAACAGACACCTCGCCAAGAAGATATACAGATAGTAAGTAGGCTCATTAAAAGATGGTCAGCATCCTCTATTAGTTAGGGAATTGCAAATTAAAACAATGAGATATCACTGCACAACCATTAGAATAGCTAAAATCCAAAACACCAACAGCACCAATGCTGGCAAGAATGTGGAATAACTGGAAATACAATTTACTTCTGGTGAAAATGTAAAATGGTACAGTCACTTTGGAAGACAATTTGGCAATATCTTACAAAACTAAACATACTCTTACCATATGATCATGCTTTTTAGTATTTACCCAAATGAATTAAAACATCTGCACAGAACCCTGCAATTAAATGCATACAGCAGCTTTACTCATAATTGCCTAACTTGCAAGCAATGAAGATGTCTTTCAATAAGTGAATGGATAAACTGTGGCACATTCATACAATGGGATATTACTCTATTCTATAGGAGGAGGAGTGGCAAATACTGTAGGTATCACAACCAGACCCCTTGTATCCCTTTACCATTTTGATGCACTCTGGCTGCCTCTCAGTATCACATAGAGAGCTTGAGGTGTCTGGGAAATCCCTAAATAAATAAGTTATCAAGCCATAAAAAGACCTGGAGAACCGAAATCCTTATTGCTAAGTGAAGAAGCCAATCTGAAAAGACTTTATACTGTATGATTCTAACTAAATTATATTCTGGGAAAGGCATATCTTTAGTGACAATAAAAAGATCAGTGGTTGACGAGAGTTTGGAGGAAGGGAGGAACGAGTATGTAGAGCACAGAGGATTTTTAGGTGGTGAAAGAATTCGGTATGATATTATGGGAGATAATGTCATTACACGTTTGGCAAAACCTGTAGAATGTACACCACCAAGAGTGAACGCTATGTAAACTATGGACTTTGGGTCATAATATGTATCAATCTTTAGTAACTGTAACAAATGTACCACACAGGGACATTGGCTGGGGAGGCTGTGGGTGTGTGTGGAGAGATATATATGGGAACTCTCTGTACTTTGCTCAATTTTGCTGTGAACGTAAAATTGCTCTTAAAACGTTTATTTGAAAAAAAATGATGTTGCTATTTCAGATAGGGTGGTCTGGGTAAGTCTGGCTAAGAAAGTGTCATTTGAGTCTTAGATGAAGTTTAGCTATATCTGAGGGAAGGGCATTTTGGGTAAAACAGCTGATTTTTAAGGAAAAATGAGGCCTGTGTGGCTGGAGTGAGGAAAAGCAAGTTGGTAAAGAGTAGAGATAAAGTCAGAGAGATGGGGAAGAGAAAAGCAGATCATGAGGCTTTGTGTGTCACGCTAAGGATTTTAGCTTTTATCCTGAATGAAGTGAATAAATGTAGCTCTGCCACTACTAGATCTGTGACCTGAGGCAAGTTATTTTACCTCATTTTTTCACATATCTGTTGGCCATTTGTATGTCTTCTTTTGAGAAATGTCTATTAAGATCTTTTGCCCATTTTTAAATTGGAGTATTAGTATTTGCTATTGAGTTGTTTGAGTTCCTTATATATCCCGGTTATTAATCCTCTGTTGGATTAATAGTTTGCAAATATTTTCTCTCATTCTCTAGGTTATCTCTTCACTTTGTCGATTGTTTCCATGGCTGTGCAGAAGCTTTTTAGCTTGAGGTAATCCCATTTGTCAGTTTTTGCTTTGGTTGCCTGTGCTTTTGAGGCCTTATGAAATCTTTGCCCAGATCAATGGCCTGAAGTGTTTTCCCAATGTTTTCTTCTAGTAGCTGCAGGTCATATATTTACGTCTTTAATCCATGTTGAGTTGATTTTTGTATACAGTGAGAGAGATAAGTCTATTTCATTCTGCAAATGGATATCATTTTCCCAGCATGATTTATTGAAGAGACTATCATTTCTTCAATATATGTTGGTGCCTTTGTCAAAAATGAGTTGACTGTAAATGTAAGGATTTATTTCTGAGTTCTCTATGCTGTTCCATTGGTCTATGTGTCTGTTTTTATGCCAGTACCATGCTGTTTTGGTAGTATATTTTGAGTTCAGATATTGTGATGTCTCTAGGTTTGTTCTTTTTGCTCAGGGTTGCTTTGGCTATTCTGTTTGTTTTTTATGATTCCATACAAATTTTAGGAATTTTTCCCTATTTCTGTGAAGAATGTCATTGGTATTTTAATAGTGATTGCATTGAATGTATAGATCACTTTGAGTAGTATGGACATTTTAACAATATTAATTCTTCCAATCCATGAACACAGGATATATCTCCTTTTTGTATGTGTGTGTCCTTATCAATTTCTTTCAATAGTGTTTTATAGTTTTCGTTGTAGAGAGCTTTCATTTCTTTGGTTAAGTTTGTTTCTAGGTGTGGTTTTTTTGTAGTTGTTAGAAATGGGATTGCTCTCCTGATTTCCTTTTCAGTTCATTTGCTCTTGGCATATAGAAATGCTACTGATTTTTTTTTCCAAGTGCACAACTAACATTGTAGCTCCTGATTTTTGTATGTTGATTTTGTATCTTGTAACTCTACTGGTTTATCAGTTCTAGTAATGTTTTGGCAGAGTCTTTAGTTTTTTCTAAATGTAAGATCAAGTCATCTGCAAACACGGACAATTTGACATCTTCCTTTCTAATTTGGATTCCCTTTACTTCTTTGTCTTCCAGTAGGAATGGACTCTGGATGGGACTTCCAGTACTATGTTAAATAAAAGTGTTGAATATGGGCATCCTCGTTGCGTTCCAGATCTTAGAGGGAAGGTTTTCAATTTTTCACCATTCGATATATATGCTATTCAATATGCTAGCTGTGGGTGTGTCGTATATGGCCTTTATTATGTTCCTTCTATACCCAGTTTGTTGAGAGTTTTTACAATGAATGGGATGTTGGGTTTTATCAAATGCCTTTCCAGCATCTATCGAAATGATCATATTTTTTTGTCCTTGATTCTAGTAATGTGATGTCACACTTATTGATTTGCATATTTTAAACCATCCTTTCAGCCCTGAGATGAATTCCACTTGATCATCATGATCTTTTTTACATGTCGTTAGATTCAATTTACTAGGTTTTTATTGAGGATTTTTGCATTTATGTTCATCAGAGATATTGGCCTGTATTCTTTTTTAAAAATTATTATTGTATGGTTTTGGTATCAGGGTAATGCTAGCTTTGTAGAATGAGTTTGGAAGTATTCCCTCCTCAGTTTTTGGAAACACTTTGAGTAGAATTAGTTGTTTTAATATTTGCTAGAATTCAGCATGAAGCCATCGGGCCCTGGGGTTTTTCTTTGATGTTAGACTTTATTACTTCTTCTTTCTTGTTACTCATTATTGATCTGTTCAGGTTTTCTATTTCTCATATTTCAATCGTAGTAGATTGTGTGTGTTTAGAACTTTATTCACTTATTCTAGGTTTTCAAATTTATTGGCCTACATTGCTCTCATAATAGTCCCTAATGATCCTTTGAATTTCTGTGGTATCATTGTAATGTCTCCTTTTTTATCTCTGACTTTATTTATTTATTTATTCTTAGGTAGTCTAGCTAAAGATTTGCTTATATTGTCTTTTCAAAAAACCAATTTTTGTTTTGTTGGTATTTGTATATTGGTAGCCTCAATTTTATTCTGCCCTCATCATTATTTTTTCCTTCTGTTAATCTTCAATTTGGGTGGTTCTTGCTCTTCTAATTTTTTAAGGCAAATCACTAGTTTGTTTATTTGATGTCTTGCTACTTTTTTGATGTTGTTTATTGCTAGAAACTTCGCTCATAGTACTACTTTTGTTAGGTCCTGTAAATTTTGGTATGTTGTGTTTTCATTTGTCTCGAGACATTTTAAAATTTCCTTCTTTGCTTCTTCATTGACCCATTGGTCATTCACGAGCATGTTTAACCTATGTATTTGTTTAGTTTCCATAGTTCCTCTTGTGATGGATTTCTAGTTTTATTCCATTGCGGTCAGAAAAGATACCTGATATAATTTTGATTTTATTAAATTTGTTAAAGATTTATTTTGTGACCTAACATATGTCCTATCCTAGAGAATGTATGTCCTAGTCTCGAGAATGTTCCATGTGCTGATGAGGAGAATGTGTATTTTGCAGTAGCTGGATGAAATGTTCTGTAAATATCAGGTCTATTTGGTCTAGAGATGAAGTTTGATGTGTTTTGGTCGATTTTCTGAATGATCTGTCCATTGCTGACACTGAGATGTGGAAATCTATTAATACTATTGTATTTCGGTCTCTCTCTTTGGATTTATTAATATTTGCTTTATGTATTTGGGTGCTCTGATGTTGGTTGCATACCTATTTACTACTGTTATATCCTCTTATTGAATTGACCCCTTTGTCATCCGGAAAAGTTGTCTTATTCTCCTCTCAGGGCCTGCAATGGGGGCGTGGCTCGCTTCTTAGGTGCCCCACTGCTCATACCCCTAGGCGGAGCATACAGACGGGCTGGTGGTGGGGAGTGCTGACCCTGGGCAGTGTCTAGGGTTGAGTATTTACAGCTCCCAAAGCCCCAGTGGGTGTGTGTTACAGTGTGCTTTTCAGTTTTGCTGTCCACAGGAGGCTTGTGTTAATCAGCTCAATTAGACCCTCTGCTTTATCGCAGGGACAAAGGGCTTTTTGTATCCCAGGTTCTTGCCTTAGTGTACCAGAAAAATCGGATCACATGTGGGCTTGGAGATGAGTGCAAGGTTTTATTCAGTGGAGTAGCTCTCAGCGAGTTGAATGGGGAGGACCTAAGGTGGATGGAGTGGGAAGGTCGTCTTCCCCTGGAGTCGGGCTGCCCAGCGGCAGACTCTCCTTTGATCGCCCTGGCTGAATTCCATGCTGTCCCGCATTGATGGCCCGTCAGCATTTGCTGGTACCTGTCGGTGTGCTCTTCCACCCCTCTGCCCCTCTTGACCTCCAGGCACCTGTGTGTTCTTCTGCCAGTGTGTTCCTCTCAATGTCCAGCTGCTTGTCTCTGTGCCCGCTAGGGTCTTGGGTCTCAGGGTTTTCACAGGCATAGGATGGGGGCGTGGCAGGCCAGGGTGGTCTTGAAAAATGCAACATTTGGGTGCAAAAACTGGTGTGTCTGCCCACCTAGGTCCACGGGCACAGGCCCGAGGGTAGAGCCCTTGCCGGGGACCCCTCATGTCTCTACCCAGCACTTCCCTGCCCCCCTCCCATATCATTTACATAATCACTTTGTCTTTTGATAATTTTTTACTAGAATTCTATTTTGTCTGATATAAGTATAGCCACCACTGCTCTGTTTTTGGTTTCCATTTGTGTGGATTATCTTTTTCCCATCCTTTCACTTTCAGTCTACATGTGTCATTGCAGAGGAAGTGAGTAGTCAGCATATAGTTGGGTCTTGCTTTTATTTTTGTTTTTAAATCTATTCAGGCACTCTGTCTTTTGATTGGATAATTTAGTCCTTTTACATTTACCATTATTATTGATAGGTAAAGACTTACTACTGCTATTGTGTTATTTGTTTTCTGGTTGTTTTGTAAGTCCTCTTTTCCTTCTTTGTCCTCCTTTGTGGATAAGTAATATTCTCTGGTAGTATGTTTTAATTCCTTGCTTTTTATATTTAGTGTGTTTATTATAGGTTTCTTCCTTTGTGACTACCATGAGAATACCACAATTTTGAACTTTCCCCCCAAACACTGAAAAGTATATTGTCTTTTTCTTTTTCTTTTTTTAAAGTTTGACATGATGAAATATGAAAGATCATGGAATTAGTCTGAGCTGTATTATTATATTAAACTATTAATCTGAGAGTTTTATAATTTATAACTAATTATCACTGACATTTATGACTGTCACACCCAGGTACCATGGAGTTATATCTAATTCATTCTTGGATGTGAACATTACCTTTCTTTAAAATTCCTAAGAGGAAAAGACAAAATGCTTCCCAAGAAATAAAACCAATGGGAAAGGCAACAAGTAACATAAAGGCATTTGTCTTCATTAACCAAAATTGAGAATACAGTGTGTGAACTAAACTTCCAAGACTTTTAATCTAGCTAATGCTAGAATTGTAATGTGCAATATCATCAAATGCTTCTTTTTGGGTAGCAATCTTTAAATCTGGAAGAAAAACCTTGCCTTATTTTTTATATTCTTTTTTCATAATTTCTGAAAAATTTAACCCTTTATTTTGTGAGTTACTGGTTTTTGTTTTTCCTTCTGATCTTAAATGCTCTGTGTGTATGAAGGGTATTATGTTGTCAAGTAAGTCACATATATATTTTTAGTTGTAGGTAGCTTTTTTATATAAACTATAAAAGTAAAAATATATATAAAAGTACATAAATTACAAATGAGATTTATGATGCATATAATTGTAGTTTGTTCATTTGCATTGCTATATAGTATTCCATCATGTGAAGATACCACAATTTATATCACCATTCTGCTGTTGATGAATATTATGATTTCCTTTTCTGTTTCAGGCTTCTATGACTAATGCTGCTATGAACATTTTTGAATGTGTCTTTTGATAAACATATGTATGTCTCTATGGTATATACCTGAAAATGGAATTACTTATAGAATATACAGATATTCAGATTTACTAGATACTATTTGTATTAGTCTGTTTTCACGCTGCTGATAAAGACATACTAGGGACTGGGAAAAAAAAGAGGTTCAATTGGACATACAGTTCCACATGGCTGAGGAGGCCTTAAAATCATGGTGAGAGGCGACAGGCATTTCTTACATGGTGACGGCAAGAGAAAATGAGGAAGAAGCAAAAGCAGAAACCCCTGGTAAACCCATCAGATCTCATGAGACTTATTCACTATTATGAGAATAGCCACGGGAAAGACTGGCCCCCATGATTCAGTTACCTCCCCCTGGGCCCCTCCCACAACATGGGGGAATTCTGGGAGACACAATTAAAGTTGAGATTTGGGTGGGGACAGAGCCAAACCATATAATTCTGCCCTGGCCCCTCCAAATCTCAAGTCCTCACATTTCAAAACCAATCAATCATGCCTTCCCAACAGTCCCTCAAAGTCTTAACTCACTTCAGCATTAATCCAAAAGTCTCCAGTCCAAAGTCTCATCTGAGACAAGGCAAGTCCCCTCCACCTATGAGCCTGTAAAATCAAAAGCAAACTAGTTACTTCCTAGATACAATGGAGGCACAGGTATTGGGTAAATACAGCCATTCCAAATGGGAGAAATCGGCCAAAACAAAGGGGTTACAGGGCCCACGCAAGTCTGAAATCCAGCAGAGCAGTCAAATTGTAAAGCTCAAGAATGATTTCCTTTGACTCCAGGTCTCACATCCAGGTCATGCTGATGCAAGAAGTGGGTTCCCATGGTCTTGGGCAGCTCTGTCCCTGTGGGGCTTTGCAGGGTATAGCCTCCCTCCTGGCTGCTTTCAGGGGCTGGTGTTGAGTGTCTGTGGCTTTTCCAGGTGCACTGTGCAAGCTGTCAGTGGATCTACCATTCTGGGGTCTGGAGGATGATGGCCCTCTTCTCACAGCTCCACTAGGCAGTGCCCCAATAGAGACTCTGTATGGGGGCTCTGACCCCACATTTCGCTTCCACATTGCCCTAGCAGAGGTTCTCCGTGAGTGCCCTGCCCCTGCAGCAAATTTGCCTGGGCATCCAGGCATTTCCATACATCTGAAATCTAGGTGGAGGTTCCCAAACCTCAATTCTTGACTTCTGTGCACCTGCAGACTCAATACCACATGGAAGCTGCCAAGACTTGGGGCTTCCACTCTCTGAAGCCACAGCCTAAGCTGTACATTGGCCACTTTCAGCCAAGGCTGAGGCAGCTGGAACACAGGGCATCAAGTCCTTAGGCTGCACACAACACAGGGATCTTGGGCTTGGCCCACAAAACCACTTTTTCCTCCCGGGCCTCTGAGCCTGTGATGGGAGGGGCTGCCGTGAAGGTCTCTGACATGGCCTGGAGACATTTTCCCTGTGGTCTTGGGGATTAACATTAGGCTCCTTGCTACTTATGCAAATTTCTTCAACCAGCTTGAATTTCTCCCCAGAAAATGGGTGTTTCTTTTCTATCACATAGGTGGCAAATTTTCCAAACTTTTATGCTCTGCTTCCCTTATAAAACTGGATGCCTTTAACAGCACCCAAGTCACCTCTTGAATGCTTTGTTGCTTAGAAATTTCTTCTGCCAGATATCCTAAATTATCTCAAGTTCAAAGTTCCACAAATTTTTAGGGCAGGGCAAAATGCCCCCAGTCTCTTTGCTAAAACACAACGAGTCACCTTTGCTCCAGTTCCCAACAAATTCTTCATCTACATCTGAGACCACCTCAGCCTGGATTTTATTTTCCGTATCACTGTCAGCAATTTGGGCAAAGCCATTCAACAAGTTTCTAGGGAGATCCAAACTTTCCCACATTTTCCTGTCTTCTCCTGAGCCCTCCAAACTGTTCCAACCTCTGCCTGTTACCCAGTTCCAAAGTTGCTTCCACATTTTTGGTTATCTTTTCAGCAATGCATCACTCTACTGGTACTAATTTACTGTATTATCCCTTTTCATGCTGCTGATAAAGACATACTCGAGACTGGGACAAAAAAGAGGTTTAATTGGACTTATGGTTCCACATGGCTGGGGAGGCCTCAGAATCATGGCAGGAGGGCCAGGCGCGGTGGCTCACGCCTGTAATCCCAGCACTTTGGGAGGTCGAGGTGGGCGGATCACGAGGTCGGGAGATTGAGACCATCCTGGAGAACACAGTTGAAACCCCGTCTCTACTAAAAATACAAAAAAATTAGCCGGGCATGGTGGCAGGTGCCTGTAGTCCCAGCTACTTGGGAGGCTGAGGCAGGAGAATGGCGTGAGCCCAGGAGGTGGAGCTTGCAGTGAGCAGAGATAGTGCCACTGCACTCCAGCCTGGGCGACAGAGTGAGACTCTGTCTCAAAAAAAAAAAAAAAAAAAATCATGGCAGGAAGTGAAAGGCACTTCTTACATGGTGGCAGCAAGAGAAAAATGAGGAAGAAACAAAAGCAGAAACCCCTGATAAATGCATCAGATCTCGTGAGACTTACTATCACGAGAATAGCACGGGAAAGACTGGCCCCTGTGATTCAGTTACCTCCCCGGGGTCCCTCCTACAACAGAAGGGAATCCTGGGAGCTATAGTTCAAGTCGAGATTTGGGTGAGGACACAGCCAAATGATCTCACTACTGAACAACTTTCCAGAGTGGTTGCATTAATTTACACTTCTACCAGTTGATATATAGGGTTCCATAGCTCCAAATCTTGCCTGACATTTACTATTGTTTGACGTTTTCATTTTAGCCATTCTAGTGGATTTATAACGAGCCTCTCAAAATTTTAAGAAACCATGATTCTCAGAAATTCTCTGGTGGCTATTTTTTTTTGAGAGACGTCAACTCCTGTGCACTCTCTATGAAATTATTATGGCAGTACCCTGATGCCCCAAGTATCAATAAATAGCCTCAAAATATCCTTTTAAAAATCTTTTTTTTTGCAATGTTATCCTTATCTCTAAATATGACTTATAAAAGTCCTAGCATGCAGTTATTGTGCAACTCTCAGAATTACTCTTGATAACATGCTAACCTCCCCCAGATACTGTATATTGGATCCTACCACGGTAGTGAGCATGGTTAACTCCTCTTTAGCACATTTTTTCTAAAAATCATTTTATTTTGCAATTAATATTGTCAAAAATCATGTCACTTTTAAGTTTCTTTTGTTTGGTTAATGTTTGTTAAAAGCTTGTTCATTGCTTTCACAAAAACATAACCTTAAAATGGTGTTTCTGCATCTCTATGATTTTTCTATTTTAAAACTTTCACTTCTCCCTACAAGTAACATTCTTCTGACTCATTACATTCTAATGTTGGGAAGAACAGGAAATAAATATTTTGGTGATTTGAGATAAAATTGTGGAAAATAATGTAGTGAAGTCTTGTCACCAACCTAGGAGGATATTGAGGTGTTGATGGAAAAGCCATCAGCATTTGCCCAAGTTGGTGTGGTAAACTTTGTGTTGCTTCTGCCATTTTTGCTCAGATAAACAAATTCACCCCAAAAAGAGAAAATTCAACATTAAATGCCAAAATACTGAATATAGGTTAGGACTTGGTATTTCACCATATTTGGCTACAGGGAAAATAACTTTCCAGAAATAAAAGAAGACCCGAATGGACACATTGAAGGAGTCTATTGGTTCCCCAAGAAAATTGACTAGAACAATTGACTCAGAGACACACTATAGTAAAACTATTAAAGATTGTTTTAAAAAATCCTTAAATCCTTCAGGAAAAAAATTTTAAAAGGCAAGAGATTGAGAGACATTATACTTTCAAAAATATGAAAGCACAAGCACAACAGTGGAACATCATTTTGAGGAAGTTTAGTGTGAACTAAGATATATCCATCAAAGTTAACCTTCAAGTATTAAGGCTATAAGCAGTTTTGAATGTGCAAGATCTCAGGCAATGCTGTAAACATGTACCCTTCCTGAAGAATCTACTAGATACTGAGTATTACTAAGCAAAAAGATGACTGTGAAAACAAACACCAGCTGTGAGCATTTTGTATATTTGTAGAAATAACATTAAAACCAGGGTGGAATGAAGGGCAGATGAACACTAAATATTCTGACTAAATATTTAGAGAGAACACAATCTAAAAAGGAGAGGTATATATATCAACACCACAAGAAGATGTCACTTCACACCCACTCAGAAGCCTATAATTAGCAAGACAGGTAAGAATACATATTGAGGAGGATGTGAAGAATCTGGAACCTTCATAAATTGGTGATGGGTATGTAAAAGGGTGCAGCCACTTTAGAAAACAGTCTGGCAGTTACTCAAAATGTTAAACAGTTACCACATGACCCAGCAATTTCACCCCTAGATATATACCCAATATAGGTGAACACATTCATCTACACAAAATCTTGTACAAGAATATTCATACAACATTCATAATAGCAAAAAAGGCAAAAATAACCCAAGAATCCATCAGTTGATTCGTGGATAGATAAATGTGGTATAGCCACAGATTGAAATGTTATTTGGCAATGAAAACTAAGGAAATACTGATAATGCTACAACATGGATAAACCTTGAAAACGTGAAAAAGCTAAGTAAAAGAAGCCAGTCACAAAAGACCAAATATTGTATAATTTCATTTATATGAAATGTCCAGTATAGGCAAACGTAGACATAGATTAGTGGTTGCCTAAGGCTGGAAATCTTTGAGGAAAATGAAGAGTGACTACTAATGGGTACAGGGGTAATAAAATATTTTAAAATTGATTGTGGTGATGACTGCACAACTCTGAATATAATAAAATAGTTGAATTATACACTTTAGGTAGATTAATTGTGTGGTATGTGAATTATATCTCAATAAAGCTGTTAAAAGGGAGAAGGCAGAGAGAAAGCTTAAATAAGATCATCAATCACTGTATAGATGAAACTTGAAAGATACATAAAAGCAACATACCATATAGTAAAAGGTTAATGAGAAATAAGGGGACTAGGGCATTATTTTAAAACTATTAATACAAAGATAACCATCCAAATAAAAAGGCAAACCTTTCTAATACCTAAATAAATTTTTAAAAAGCAAGAAAGGACACATCAAGTAAAGGAACACAATGAATACAACATAAGATGACAAAATTGAGACCAAACCTGAACAGAGGTATAGTGTATTCTCCTTATGTACTGTGATCTTTTAGAGACCCACAAACTAGTATGTTACTCCACCAAATCAATTTTTGTCTTTGAGGAGCAATAATGCCACTATTGAGAATGTGTGGTATACAGAAGTAATAACCAGTTAGTTGATGCAGTGGATGAGAAAATCCCAATTATGTTAGCAAGAAAAACAAATTACCTAACAAGAAATGTTCAAAAGCTACATACACATATATAGATACATATGTACACATACTATATATATATACACACACATATATATACACACACACACACACATATATATATACACACACACACACACACATATATATATATATATATATACATGAACACACTGTAAAATGCACCTGAAGGACAAGTAGACTTGAACAATTTGAAAGATAATTCTTGTTCTTGCTTAGGCATCTCAGCATCGTCCAGATATTTTCCCTAAGTTACAAATTTAGTGCAAAACAAAAAAATGCCAATGAGTTTTCATGGGGCTAAAGAAGTTGATGTTAAAGTTTTTGTAAGAAAACTAATATGCAAGAATACCTAGGAAAACACTGAAAACAAAGCTATGAGCATTACCCTATCAGACAATAAAAGATACTAAAATTAAAAATGGGATACTGGCACATGTAAAGGCAGACCAATAGATTAAAGTGGAAAATTCAGAAATAGGCCCTATTACAGGTGGAAATCTATGTAATAAAGTTGATAAATCACTTGGGAAAAAATATTCTAAATAAATGGTATAAGGACAGCCGTATAGCTCTTTGAAAAAATTAGATCCATTCTTTCCACCACACACAAGAATGAACCCCCAAAGGATCAGAGACCTAAATGTAAAATATAAAACTGCAAGTAACTAGAAGATAACATAGGTGATTTCCTTTTTAATGTGGGTATAGGGAAAACCTTTTAAACTATGACCAAAGTAGCTAATAGAATAATAGAAAAATAACCTAAATAGATAAATAGACATAAATTTGTAAAAAAGACATTCAGCTCTACTCATAAGATAAATGTAAATTAATGCATTTTTCACCCACCAGCTTGACAACATGTAAAAGTTTGACCATATGCTCCATTTGCAAGGCTTTGTAGACAACAGGCCCTGAGGTGAACCTTTGTTGCAGTGGCAGCCCTACTGGTGGGAAAACAATATTGCACAACCACTGAAAAGGAAATTTAGCAATATTTAATATAACTAGGTATACATTTTCTTTTCACTCCAGCAGTCCCATTTGTAGTAATTTACCCTGAAGATACATCTCTAACAATATGAAAGCACATATGCATAAAGCTAGTCATTGAAGCATTATTTATAAAGGCAAAATATTGAAAAATAATTGTTCAAGCAGATTTGGATATTAGTTGAATAAACTATGATATATCCACAAAATAGAATACTATGCACCTATACAAAATATATGAAGGGAAGTCTTTATAACTGATACGGAGTGATTTTTAGGAGACAGATTGTTCAGGAAAAAAAAAGCAACATGTATATACAATATTACCTGTTGTGTAGTAAAAGGAAATAAGCACACATTTGCTTATCTTTATAGAAGGAAGACAATTAAATTCGCTATGTACAAGTGGTGGTGATGCAATAGGATAGAAGGGTGGTCCTTCCCACAGGACAGAGAAACAACTCTGTCCCTCTGTGGACTTGTTTACAGCCCCATTTGGCCTTGGTTTTACCAACAGGACTAGCCACTAAGGAATCTGGGAGGAGCTATCCCCACCAATGTGTTGGTTAACAGGCCTTGTGATCATGGTCCAATCGCTGATTCTGAAGTGGCCCTATAACCCAATTCCAACCCCTCTCGATGGTCTGGGAGCAATTCTGCCCACCCATGGACTCACACCTGTCTGTATACTTGGAGGCAGACCTGCAGACCTCAGTTTTGGCTGTGGCACCTGAAGAGTGACCCAGCCAAACTCAATTCCAACCCCTTTCAGCCACAGTCTGGGGTCAGTCCTGCCCACCCAGGAACCCACCCAGACACCTGGTGGTAGCCCTCCCAGGGACCAATGTAAAATTTAAAACTGTCCAAGTAACTTGAAAGTAAAGAAATCACTGGCAAAGATAAACATATAGTCAAATTCAGTATATAGTCACACTCATCTGTGCACTTGGCAAGAGGTCTGCCATCTCTAGACACAACTACACACCCTGAAGTGAACTCTTGTTGCAGAGCCAGCCTTACTAAAGTACTGGTGGCAGTCCCATTCACTCAGGGACCAAGAAAGATCCACACCTCTGGAAATAGGTTTGCCAACTGCAGACCCAACTGTGAACCCAGCAGCAGCCACATGACCCAGCTTCAGACTTTCTCAATTGTGATCCTAGAGGCAATCCTATCAGCCCAGGGACCCAACAGGAGATCTTTACCTACTGAGACCAGTCTGTAAATGCCAGAAGAGGTGCTTGCTCCTTCAAATGCACAGGCACAAGTGGAAGCCTACATGGATTATGAAGAATCAGGCCAACATAACACTTCCAAAGGAAACCAGTAAGGTTCTAGTAACTGATCTCAAGGCAATGGAGATCTACAAATTGCATGACAAAGAATTCAAAGTAATTATCTTAAGCTAAATGAGATACAAGAGAACAGAGGTAGACAATTAATAAAATCAGGAAGACAGTGATTGAACAAAATGAGATGTTTAATAAAGAAATAGAATATATTGAAAAGAACCAAACAGAAATCCTAGAGCTGAAAAATACTTCGACAGAACTTTTTTAAAAAAAATCCAATAGAGAGCTTTAACAACAGACCTGATCATGCAGAAGAAAGAATTAGTGAACTCAAAGGCAGGTCATTTGAAATTAGCCAGTTAGAGGAACAAAAAATGAAAGAGAAAACATGTGAAGAAACCATATGGGATCTATGGGATACAATCACATGAACAAATGTACGCATTATGGGAGTTTAAGAAGTATAAGAGCAAGAGAGAAAGAGGGTAGAAAACTTACTTAAATAATTTCCTCAATTATTTCCCACATCTGGTGAAAGAAATGTACATCCAGATCCAAGAAATAAAGGACACCAAATAAGATGAACTTAAAAAAAAAATCCACAGGAAAACACATTATTATCAAATTGTTAAAAGTCAAAGATGAAGAAAATTTTGAAACAGCATGAGAAAAATGACTCATGTACAAGCCAATTTCCATAATGCTATCAGCGGATTTCTCAGTAAAAACTTGCAGACCAGGAGGAAGTGGAATAAAACATTCAAAATACTGAGGGGAGCTGGGCACAGTGGCTCACGCCTGTAATCCCAACACTTTGGGAGGCTGAGGTGGGCAGATCACAAGGTCAGGAGATCAAGACCATCCTGGTTAACATGGTGAAACCCTGTTTCTACTAAAAATGCAAAAAATTAGCCGGGTGTGGTGGTGGGCACCTGCAGTCCCAGGCAGGAGAATGGCGTGAACCCGGGAGGCGGAGCTTGCAGTGAGCTGAGATCGCACCACTGCACTCCAGCCTGGGTGACAGAGTGAGACTCCATCTCAAAAAAAAAAAAAACAAAAAAAAACCTGAGGGGAAAGAAAACTGTGAACCTAAAATATTATACCCAGAAAATCTGTTCTTTACAAATGAAGGAAAGATAAAGACATTCCTAGACAAACAAAAGCTGAGAGAATTAATCACCATTAGACCCTTATAAGAACTGCTAAGGGAGTTCTTCAAGTTGAAATAAAAGGATGCCAAGTAACAACATAAACATTCTTGAAAGCATAAAAATCACTGGTAAAGATAAATATATATTCAAATTCAGTATATAGTTGACTCAAGCAATAAAAGGGTTGGGGTGCTGGCCCCCCACACAGTTGAAAATTCATGTATAATCTTGACTCTCTTTCTAGAAACTTAACTACTATAGCCTATTGTTGACTGGAAGCCTTACAGATAACATAATCAATTAACACATTTTGTATGTTGTATGTATTATATACTCTATTCTTACAATAAAGTAAGCTAGAGAAAAAATATTACGAAAATCTTAAGGAAGAAAAATATATTTGCTATTCATTGAGTAGAATTGAATCATCATAAATGTCTTCATTTTCGTTGTCTTTATGTTGAGTAGGTTGAGGAGAATAGAAAAAGTAGTAGTTGGTCTCACTGTTTCAAGGGTGGCAGAGGTAAAAGAAAATCTGCATATAAGTGGACCCACACAATTCAAACCCATGTGGTTCAAGGGTCAATTGTACTCAAATACTGTAATGGTGTAGAAATCACTGTTAACTTTGCTATAAATATTTAAAGACAAAAGTAATTAAACATAACTGTAGCTATAATAATGTGTTAATGAATACATTCACAATATAAAAAATATAAAGTATAAAATAAATAGTATAACATATTGGGTAGATGGAGAAGTAAAAATGTAGAGTTTTTGTGTGCAATTGAAGTTAAGTTGTTATTTACTTGAAATAGACTGTTATAAATATATTTTATATAAGCATGGCAATCACCAAAAACCCCTCATAGTACATACACAAAAAAGTAAAGAGAAAGGAATCAAAGCATATAACTCCAAAAATTAACAAATCACAAAGCAAGAGAGGCAGAAAAGAGCTACGAAACAGAAAACAAGAAAATGCTAATAGTAAGTCTTTACCTATCAATAAGTACCTTAAATATAAATGGAGTAAATTCTCAAAATTAAAACAAACATAGTGGCTGAATGGATTAAAAGAAAAACAAGACTCACCAATATGCTGCCTACAAGAGACTCAGTTTATCACTTTAGATTTAAGGACACATACATGCTGAAAGTGAAAAATGGAAACATTCCACGCAAATAGTAACTAAAAGAGAACGGGGTGGCTATACTTATATCAGACAAAATAGACTTTAACTCAAAATCCATCACAAGATACAAAGAAGGTCACTAATGATACAGGGTCAATTTATCAAGAGGGTATAACAATAGTAACTCTATATGCACTCAACATCAGAGCATCTAAATATATAAAGAAATATGAAGAACCTGGAAGGGAAAAAAACACAGCAATGCAATAATAGTAGTGGACTTCAATACTTCACCTTCAAAAATGGATAGATTTTTTAGACAGAAAATCAGTAAGAAATAGCTGACTTGAACACTACTATAGATCACATAGAACTAACAGATATATATAGAACATTCCATCCAACAGCAGCAGAACATATATTCTTCTGAAGCACATAGGGAACATTCTCTAGGATATATCATTTTAGGCCACAAAGCAAGTCTTACGAAATTTAAGAAGACTAAAATCATATCAAGTATCTTTACGAACCACAATAGTAAGAAGCTAGAAATAATGAGAAAAATTGGAAAATTTTTAATATCCACAAGTATGTGATGAGTATTAAGTTTTTAATATCCACAAGTATGTGGATATTAAACAGCACACTCCTGAAAAAAATAGGTCAACAAAGAAATCAAAGGGAAGTTAAAAAGTATCTTGTGTAAAACAAAAATGAAAAAACAATATGTCAAAACTTATGCAAGGCAGCAAAAGCAATTATAGAATTAAAGTTTAAGACCAGGTGCAGTGGCTTACACCTGTAAACTCAGCACTTTGAGAGGCTGATTGCTTGAAGCCAGGAGTTCAAGACCAGCTTGACCAACATGGTGAAACCCTGTCTCTACTAAAAACACAAAAATTGGCTAGGCATGGTGGCATGTGACTATAATCTCAGCTTCTTGGGAGGCTAAGGCATAAGAATTGCCTGAACCCAGGAGGCAGAAGTGGCAGTGAGCTGACATCATGCCACTGCACTCCAGCCTGGGCAACGGAGCAACACTCTGTTGCAAAAAAATAAATAAAATAAAATTTAAAATGTAAAGTTTATTGTGATAAATGCCTAAGGAATATATCTTAAATAAAAAAACTCATTTTATACATCAAGGAGCTAGAAAAAGAATAATAAACTAAGTCCAAGGTTAGCAGAAGGAAGTAAATAATAAATATTGGAGCAGAAATAAATGACATTAAGATAGTAAAACAACTGAAAAGATCAATGAAACTAAAAGTTTCTTTGAAAGGCTAAACAAAATAGATAAACCAAGAGCTGTTTTTTTTTTGAAAGGATAAAATAAACCTTTAGCTAGATTAACCAAAGGGAAAAAAAAAGAAACTCAAATAAATACAATTGTAAATGAAAGAGGAGACATTACAACTGATACTATGGAAATACAAAGGATTGGGGGTGGAGCCAAGATGGCCAAATAGGAACAGCTCCAGTCTACAGCTCCCAGCGTGAGCAACTCAGAAGACCAGTGATTTCTGCATTTCCAACTGAGGTACCGGGATCATCTCACTAGGGAGTGCCAGACAGTGGGTGTAGGACAGTGGGTGCAGCGCACTATGCGTGAGCTGAAGCAGGGCGAGGCATCGCCTCACCCAGGAAGCGCAAGGGGTCAGGGAATTCCCTTTCCTAGTCAAAGAAAGGGGTGACAGACGGCACCTGGAAAATCGGGTCACTCCCACCCTAATACTGCACTTTTCCAACGGGCTTATCAAATGGCACAACAGGAGATTATATCCCGCACATGGCTCTCAGGGTCCTACGCCCACAGAGCCTTGCTCATTGCTAGCACAGCAGTCTGAGATCAAACTGCAAGGTGGCAGTGAGGCTGGGGGAGGGGCGCCCACCATTGCTCAGGCTTGAGTAGGTAAACAAAGCGGCCAGGAAGCTTGAACTGGGTGGAGCCCACCACAGCTCAAGGAGGCCTGCCTGCCTCTGTAGGCTCCACCTCTGGGGGCAGGGAACAGACAAACAAAAGACAGGAATAACCTCTGCAGACTTAAATGTCCCTGTCTGACAGCTTTGAAGAGAGCCGTGGTTTTCCCAGCGTGCAGCTTGAGATCTGAGAACGGGCAGACTGCCTCCTCAAGTGGGTCCCTGACCCCCAAGTAGCCTAACTGGGAGGCACCCCACACTAGGGGCAGACTGACCCCTCACACAGCCGGGTACTCCTCTGAGACAAAACTTCCAGAGGAACGATCAGGCAGCAGCATTTGTGGTTCACCAATATCCGCTGTTCTGCAGCCACCGCTGCTGATACCCAGGCAAACAGGTCTGGAGTGGACCTCCAGTAAACTCCAACAGACCTGCAACTGAGGGTCCTGACTGTTAGAAGGAAAACTAACAAACAGAAAGGACATCCACACCAAAAACCCATCTATAGGTCACCATCATCAAAGACCAAAGGTAGATAAAACCACAAAAGTGGGGAAAAAACAGAGCAGAAAAACTGGAAACTCTAAAAATCAGAGCGCCTCTCCTCCTCCAAAGGAATGCAGCTCCTCACCAGCAATGGAACAAAGCTGGTTGGAGAATGACTTTGACGAGTTGAGAGGAAGGCTTCAGAAAATCAAACTACTCCGAGCTAAAGGAGGAAGTTCGAACCAATGGCAAAGAAGTTAAAAACTTTGAAAAAAAATTAGATGAATGGATAACTAGAATAACCAATGCACAGAAGTCCTTAAAGGACCTGATGGAGCTGAAAACCAAGGCAAGAGAACTATGTGACGAATGCACAAGCCTCAGTAACCGATGCGATCAACTGGAAGAAAGGGTATCAGCGATGGAAGAAGAAATGAATGAAATGAAGCGTGAAGAGAAGTTTAGAGAAAAAAGAATAAAAAGAAATGAAGAAAGCCTCCAAGAAATATGGGACTATGTGAAAAGACCAAATCTACGTCTACTTGATGTACCTGAAAGTGACGGGGAGAATGGAACCAAGTTGGGAAACACTCTGCAGGATATTATCCAGGAGAACTTCCCCAATCTAGCAAGGCAGGCCAACATTCAAATTCAGGAAATACAGAGAATGCCACAAAGATACTCCTCGAGAAGAGCAACTCCAAGACACATAATTGTCAGATTCACCAAAGCTGAAATGAAGGAAAAAATGTTAAGGGCAGCCAGAGAGAAAGGTTGGGTTACCCACAAAGGGAAACCCATCAGACTAACAACAGCTGATCTCTCAGCAGAAACTCTACAAGCCAGAAGAGAGTGGGGGCCAATATTCAACATTCTTAAAGGAAAGAATTTTCAACGCAGAATTTCATATCCAGCCAAACTAAGCTTCATAAGTGAAGGAGAAATAAAATACTTTACAGACAAGCAAATGCTGAGAGATTTTGTCACCACCAGGCCTGCCCTAGAAGAGCTCCTGAAGGAAGCACTAAACATGGAAAGGAACAACCGCTACCAGCCACTCCAAAAACATGCCAAATTGTAAAGACCATCAAGGCTAGGAAGAAACTGCATCAACTAACGAGCAAAATAACCAGCTAATATCATAATGACAGGATCAAATTCACACATAACAATACTAACCTTAAATGTAAATGGGCTAAATGCTCCAATTGAAAGGCACAGACTGGCAAATTGGATAAAGAGTCAAGACCCATCAGTGTGCTGTATTCAGGAAACCCATCTCATGTGCAGAGACACACGTAGGCTCAAAATAAAGGGATGGAGGAAGATCTACCAAGCAAATGGAAAACGAAGAAAGGCAGGGGTTGCAATCCTAGTCTCTGATAAAACAGACTTTAAACCAACAAAGATCAGAAGAGACCAAGAAGGCCATTACATAATGGTAAAGGGATCAATTCAACAGAAGAACTAACTATCCTAAATATATATGCACCCGATACAGGAGCACCCAGATTCATAAAGCAAGTCCTTAGTGACCTACAAAGAGACTTAGATTCCCACACAATAATAATAGGAGACTTTAACTCCCCACTGTCAACATTAGACAGATCAATGAGACAGAAAGTTAACAAGGATATCCAGGAATTGAACTCAGCTCTGCACCAAGCAGACCTAATAGACATCTACAGAACTCTCCACCCCAAGTCAACAGAATATACATTCTTTTCAGCACCACACCACACCTATTCCAAAATTGACCACATAGTTGGAAGTAAAGCACTCCTCAGCAAATGTAAAAGAACAGAAATTATAACAAACTGTCTCTCAGACCATGGTGCAATCAAACTAGAACTCAGGATTAAGAAACTCACTCAAAACCACTCAACTACATGGAAACTGAACAACCTGCTCCTGAACGACTACTGGGTACATAACGAAATGAAGGCAGAAATAAAGATGTTCTTTGAAACCAATGAGAACAAAGACACAACATACCAGAATCTCTGGGACACATTCAAAGCAGTGTGTAGAGGGAAATTTATAGCACTAAATGCCCACACGAGAAAGCAGGAAAGATCTAAAATTGACACCCTAACATCACAATTAAAAGAACTAGAGAAGCAAGAGCAAACACATTCAAAAGCTAGCAGAAGGCAAGAAATAACTAAGATCAGAGCAGAACTGAAGGAAATAGAGACACAAAAAGCACCTCAAAAAATCAATGAATCCAGGAGCTGGTTTTTTGAAAAGATCAACAAAATTGATAGACTGCTGGCAAGACTAATAAAGAAGAAAAGAGAGAAGAATCAAATAGACGCAATAAAAAATGACAAAGGGGATATCACCACCGATCCCACAGAAATACAAACTACCATCAGAGAATACTATAAACACCTCTACACAAATAAACTAGAAAATCTAGAAGAAATGGATAAATTCCTCGACACATACACTCTCCCAAGACTAAACCAGGAAGAAGTTGAATCTCTGAATAGACCAATAACAGGCTCTGAAATTGAGGCAATAATTAATAGCTTACCAACCAAAAAAAGTTCAGGACCAGACGGATTCACAGCCAAATTCTACCAGAGGTACAAGGAGGAGCTGGTACCATTCCTTCTGAAACTATTCCAATCAATAGGAAAAGAGGGAATCCTCCCTAACTCATTTTATGAGGCCAGCATCATCCTGATACCAAAGCCTGGCAGAGACACAACAAAAGAGAATTTTAGACCAATATCCTTGATGAACATTGATGAAAAAATCCTCAATAAAATACTGGCAAACCAAATTCAGCAACACATCAAAAAGCTTATCCACCATGATCAAGTGGGCTTCATCTCTGGGATGCAAGGCTGGTTCAACCTACAAAAATCAATAAACATAATCCAGCATATAAACGGAACCAAAGACAAAAACCACATGATTATCTCAATAGATGCAGAAAAGGCCTTTGACAAAATTCAACAACCTTCATGCTAAAAGCTCTCAATAAATTAGGTATTGATGGGACATATCTCAAAATAATAATGGCTATCTATGACAAACCCACAGCCAATATCATACTGAATGGGCAAAAACTGGAAGCATTCCCTTTGAAAACTGGCACAAGACAGGGATGCCCTCTCTCACCACTCCTATTCAACATAGTGTTGGAAGTTCCGGCCAGGGCAATCAGGCAGAAGAAGGAAATAAAGGGCCATTCAATTAGGAAAAGAGGAAGTCAAATTGTCCCTGTTTGCAGATGACATGATTGTATATCTAGAAAACCCCATTGTCTCAGCCCAAAATCTCCTTAAGCTGATAAGCAACTTCAGCAATGTCTCAGGATACAAAATCAATGTGCAAAAATCACAAGCATTCTTATACACCAATAACAGAGAGCCAAATCATGAGTGAACTCACATTCACAATTGCTTCAAAGAGAATAAAATACCTAGGAATCCAACTTACAAGGGATGTGAAGGACCTCTTCAAGGAGAACTACAAACCACTGCTCAATGAAATAAAAGAGGATACAAACAAATGGAAGAACCTTCCATGCTCATAGGTAGGAAGAATCAATATTGTGAAAATGGCCATACTGCCCAAGGTAATTTAGAGATTCCATGCCATCCCCATCAAGCTACCAATGACTTTCTTCACAGAATTGGAAAAAACTACTTTAAAGTTCATATGGAACCAAAAAAGAGCCTGCATTGCCACGTCAATCCTACGCCAAAAGAACAAAGCTGGAAGCCTCACGCCACCTGACTTCAAACTATACTACAAGGCTACAGTAACAAAAACAGCATGGTACTGGTACCAAAAGAGAGATATAGACCAATGGAACAGAACAGAGCCCTCAGAAATAATGCCACATATCTACAACTATCTGATTTTTGACAAACCTGAGAAAAACAAGCAATGGGGAAAGGATTCCCTATTTAATAAATGGTGCTGGGAAAACTGGCTAGCCATATGTAGAAAGCTGAAACTGGATCACTTCCTTACACCTTATACAAAAATTAATTCAAGATGGATTAAAGACTTACATGTTAGACCTAAAACCATAAAAATCCTAGAAGAAAACCTAGGCAATACCATTCAGGACATAGGCATGGGCAAGGACTTCATGTCTAAAACACCAAAAGCAATGGCAACAAAAACCAAAATTGACAAATGGGATCTAATTAAACTAAAGAGCTTCTGCACAGCAAAAGAAACCACCATCAGAGTGAACAGGCAACCTACAGAATGGGAGAAAATTTTTGCAACCTACTCATCTGACAAAGGGCTAATATCCAGAATCTACAATGAACTCAAATCAATTTCCAAGAGAAAAACAACCCCATCAAAAAGTGGGCAAAGGATATGAACAGACACTTCTCAAAAGAAGACATTTGTGCAGCCAAAAGACACATGAAAAAATGCTCATCATCACTGGCCATCAGAGAAATGCAAATCAAAACCACAGTGAGATACCATCTCACACCAGTTAGAATGGTGATCATTAAAAAGTCAGGAAACAACAGGTGCTGGAGAGGATGTGGAGAAATAGGAACACTTTTACACTGTTGGTGGGACTGTAAACTAGTTCAACCATTGTGGAAGTTGGTGTGGCGATTCCTCAGGGATCTAGAACTAGAAATACCATTTGACCCAGCCATCCCATTACTGGGTATATACCCAAAGGATTATAAATCATGCTGCTATAAAGACACATGCACATGTATGTTTATTGCGGCACTATTCACAATAGCAAAGACTTGGAACCAACCCAAATGTCCAACAACAGTAGACTGGATTAAGAAAATGTGGCACATATACACCATGGAATACTATGCAGCCATAAAAAATGATGAGTTCACGTCCTTTGTAGGGACATAGATGAAGCTGGAAACCATCATTCTCAGCAAACTATCACAAGGAGAAAAAACCAAACACTGCGTGTTCTCACTCTTAGGTGGGAATTGAACAATGAGAACACATGGACACAGGAAGGGAAACATCACACACCAGGGCCTGTTATGGGGTGGGAGGAGGGGGGAGGGATAGCATTAGGAGATATACCTAATGCTAAATGATGAGTTAATGGGTGCAGCACACCAACATGGCACATGTATACATATGTAACAAACCTGCACATTGTGCACATGTACCCTAAAACTTAAAGTATATATATATATAAAAAGAAATACAAAGGATTGTAAGAAATACAAAGGATTGTAAGAGACTACAATGAACAGTCACACACCAAAAAATTGGATCATCAAAGAAATGGATAAATTCCTAGAAACATAAACATATCAAGACCAAATCATGAAGAAATAGAAAATCTGAACAAATGAATAACAAGGAGAGAGAAGTAGTAATAAAAAATCTCCCAACAAAGAAAAAGCCCAGGAACAGAAAGCTTCACAGGTGAATTGTACCAAAAATTTAACCCTTTTCCTGTTTGTCCTAAGAATACTCACCAGCGGCACTTGCAGCCACAGCATTTACCCCAAGATAACTTTGCTTTCAAATATATTGCTTTTATTATTTTTGCATTACTCTAGTATATCAACTTTGGAAACAAAATACATCATTCTATTTGTAGCATTCTGTTTTTAGTAGGGGTATCTTCATTTACAAAATATAGTAATTCTCAATTGCTGAAAATGTCAAATCCTGGAAAGCATTGCATTCCTACACATGATGTTAACATCGTTCTTGAACAGTTGTTGACTGAAGATTCATTTGATGAATCAGATTTTTCCAAAATAGATGATTCTGATGATTGAGACGATTCTGATGTTAGTTCTGTTTAGAAATAACTCCAAAAACAGTTTTCATATTTTATTTTCACAATGAAAATCAGTCTGATTTGCTTCAGCCTAAAAGAGTGTGCTTATGTAAAATTAAATGAGTGCTGGCAGCAAGCTGCACTTTTATTTCTAAATTGGAAAAGGGTTAAAGAAGAGTTAATGGGCTGGGCGCGGTGGCTCACGCCTGTAATGCCAGCACTTTGGGAGGCCGAGGCAGGTGAATCACGAGATCAGGAGTTCAAGACCATCCTGGTCAACATAGTGAAACCCTGTCTCTACTAAAAATACAAAAATTAGCCAGGCATGGTGGTGCACATCACATTATACATCTTAAATATGTACAATTTCTGTTTGTCAGTTATACTGTAATAACTCTGGAAAACAAAAACCAAACAAAAAAAAAATAAAGATAGGAAGGGGAGTGGGAAACAAACAAAACCTGGAAGCAAACATATACACTCAATCCTACTTGATTGTATTCCTGTCTTGGGGGTTGCAGGATGGAGGAGAATGGCATACAAACTTTTAAAACATATTTTAAGTGAAATTCACATAACATAAAATTAGCTGTTAAAGCGTAAAATTCAGTAGCATTTAGTACATTCATCGTTTTGTGCAACCACTACCTACATCTAGTTCCAAAACATTTTCATCACTCCAAAAGAAAACCCTATACCCATAAAGTAATCACTCCTTATCTCCCTCTTACCCCAGTGCCTGGCAAGCATGAATCTGCTGTCTTTATGGATTTAGCAATTCTAGATATTTCCTATAAATAGAATCATATAGTATGTGACTCTTGTGTCTTGCTTCTTTCATTTAGTATACTTAAGATCTCTGAACTCTTTATAGAAGATTCTTTTTTGGGTAGTGAGATGAGTGAAGCAACTCTTAAATTATTAATATTTTATATGTATTATAAGACTGAGCAAATGAGGAACTATGTTAAGGTTGTTAGGAGTCAGCGGGCTTATTGTGGAAGAAGGGTCATACAAATTTGGAATGAGGAAAGGCAAGAAAGAGCCCTGTGGGAATGGACAGGCATTGGGGTAACAATGTGAACTCATGATTTATAAAATATATTTACTTATGTATGTACATGTATATGTATAGGTGTGTGTGTATATATATACATCTATGTCTATATGTATATACATTCATATATTTCCTAGCTCTATCTGCTGAAAGGACCCAGAAACAGACGCCTAAGCAACAATGAGTACTCCCAGCTCATTAGATGAATCTATTGTTACCCTCATACTAAAGCCAGATAAAGACATAACAAGAAAGAAAATTATAGGCAATATCCCTGATAAACATAGATTCAAAAATCCTCAACAAAATACTAGCAAGCCAAATTCAACAGCACATTAACGGGACCATAAATCATGACTAAGTGGAATTTATCCTTGGAATGCAAGAATTGTTCGACATACGCAAATTTGTGAACATAGTATATCATATTAACAGAATTAAGAATAAAATCCATATGATCATCTCAATAGATGCAGAAAAAGCATTTGACTAAATTCAACATTTTTTTTTGTGATAAAGCACTCCAAAGTGTCTGGATCTTGGTTTCTATTACTCCATTAACAGGGAGCAGGGCTCTTTAGAGAAACAGCTGAATCTAGGGCTGAAGAATCCCTGAAACTTCTTCTTAAATCAAAGCAAGAAAGTACTCAAAAAATTGACAAGGGCCTGTCACAAGCACACAGGAACCAGCTTGAAGGGACTCTCAGAGGCCAAATCACGGATTATTCGGACACCAAAATAATTAAGAACAATAATTAGTTATAAATCATTGAAAAAATAGAAAGCCATGAATACATATCCTTGATGGATTCATAAATACTTAGGGAAGAAATTAGGATCTTTGTGCAATGCCAAAAACTGACCCAGAGAGAGTCAGAGGATAGAGTGCAGAGATTAGAAAATAATTTTTCAACCATCATAGTAAAAACAAAAGTCATCAACAGATGATAAACCTAGGAAGACATTTTGATGAACAGCAAGATATTTGTATGACTGTAAAGTAAGTCCCCACAGATTGCTTACTAGCTGAAAGGAAAAATGCTCTCTACAAAAAGGAGAAATCCAAGAAACACCTTGACTATGTGATCAAAATTAACCTACCAAGGGGAGGCAGATGAACATCATTTGCTGTGGTTGTGATATGCTAAGAAGGATACAATATCACATTCATATTCCTGATGGGAATGTATAACTGGAATTTAATCAGGAGGAAATATCAGATAGACCCAAAATGAGGAATCATGTTTAAAAAAAAAACACTGTTCTTCAAAAATGTTAATGTTATAAAAGACAAAGTCTGTGAAAATGATCCGTTAAAGCCAACTACAAAGACATAACAATAAAATGTGATACGTAATCCTAAAATGGCTTTTGTAGTGGAGAAGAAATTATTATTGGGTCAGTTGGCAAAATTGAAATACAAATGGTAGCTTGATGAAAACAATGTACAGGTGTCTGTTCTGTAGTTATGTAAGATAACAGGTATATTCTTAAGAAATACACAGCAAAGTATTTAGTGGTAAAGTGCTATGATATTTGTAACTTACTCTCAAATAGTTCTGAAAAGTAATATTTGTGTGTGTGTGTGTGTGTGTATGTGTGTGTGTGCACATGCATGTGGAGAGAGAAGAGGAGTAGGGAGAGAGTAAATGATAAAGGAAATGGAGTAAAATTTTAACAATAGGTAAATCTGGATAAAGGATATATGAGACTTTTATTATTCTTGCAGCTTTTTTGGTAAGTTGGAAATGATTTTAAATAAAAAGTTAAAAAAATTATTCCATGATTGCCTGACATTTCCATAAAGAACTAGTTTAGCTACATGAAAAATAAGTATTTTTCATTGATTTCTTGACTAGAAACCAAAATATTTTAAATTTGGGAAAATAAAAGTCTTTTAATTCTTGATAGACATCTCTCAAAGGCACAGCCAGGCAACCCTTACCTCTACCTCCTTTTTAATGTTAGGGTGCTGTTTCTTTTACCTAAAGGTTTTAAGAATTTCCATTAGCTTAGAAATATTATACTATGATTACTGTATCCTCATGCTTTATTTGGCCTGAGTTAAAATTTTGGCTTTCAACAGGAACAGGCTGAGAAGTTAAAGAGCAACCCTGAGAAGTTAAAGAGCAACCCATTCAGGGTAAATGAACTGGCCTGGGTTCTTTGCAGCCTATAGGTAGCAGCTCTGTGTAAGTATCATTGGTCAATTTGGCTACACATTGATCAATTTGTTGATATCATCAAATAACTGGCTTTTGGTTTTATTGACCTTTGTCTATAGATTTTCTTTTTATTAATATCTACTTTTTATTACTTCCTTCTGCTTGCTTTGGGTTTAATTTACTTATTTTAAAAAATGTATATTATTTGTCTGAGAACTTGCATCTTTTTAAATGTAGTCATATAATGCTATTGATTTTCCTCTAAACGCAGCTTTAGTTGCATTCAAAAAATTTGGTATGTTGTATTTGATTTTTCATTCCATTCAAAACATTTTCTAATTACTTTTGAGACTCCCTTTTTGACATGTGTGTTCTCCAGAAATGTGATATTTAGTTTCCAAATATTTGGGGGATTTATCCATATAAGTTTCTGTTATTGATATTTAGTGTGGCTATGTTATGGTCAAATAATATACTATATATAATTTCAATTATTTTAAATTTGGTAAGGTTTGTTTATAAGCCAGAATACGGTCTATATTTTTTATTTTTATTGAGAGATAATTCACGTACCATTAAGTTAACCATTTAAAAGCATACAGTTCAGTGGTTTTTACTTTATTCACAAGGTTGCACAGCCATTACCTCTATTTAATTCCAGATCATTTTTCACCACCTTTAAAAGAAGCTCTGTACCCATAGCAGTAACACCATTCTCTCCTCCCAGCCCCAAGCAAGTAATTGTCTACTTTATCTTTATGGATTTGCATATTTTGGACATTTCATACAAATGAAATCATATAATATGTGGCGTTCTGTTTCTGGCTTTTTTCACTGAGCCTGTTTTCAAGATTTATCCAAAACTTGAAAATGAAGTATTGGTAGTTTATTCCTTCTTATGGCTGAGTAATATTCCATTATATGGATATATGGATATACCACATTTTATTTATCCATTCATCAGTTAAAGGACATTAAGTTGTTTTGTCTTTTTGTATATGATGAGTAATGGCTATAAGCATTCATGTACAAATTTTTGTATGGACATATATTTTCTTTTCTCTTGGGTATATATTTGAGGCTGGAATTACTAAGTTATAGGGTAACTCTATGTTTAGCATATTTAGGAATTGCAAAACTGTTTTCCAAAGCAGATAACATTTTTATTAATACTTGTCATTATCTATCTTTTGAGTCATTCTAATGGGTGTGAAGTGGTATCTCATTGCATGTGTGTGTGTGTTTATGTATGTTTTAAGAGATGGGGTCTCACTGTGTTGCCCAGGCTGGCCTTGAACTCCTGGGCTCAAGTGATTCTCCTATGTCAGCCTCCCAAGTAGTTGGAACTATAGGAGCACCTCACCACATTTGGGTTTATTGTGGTTTTAATACGCATTTCCATCTATGGAAAGTTGAAGTTTGCATATGGAAAGTTGTTGAAGGTCTTTTCATATGCTTATTAGTCACTTGCATGTCTTCTTTGGAGAAATGTCTATGCAAATCCTTTGCCTACATAGAATTTAGTAATTGGGTCTTTTTTATTATTGAGTTATAAAGGTTCTTTAGATATTCTAGATACTAGATTCTTATCAGATATATGATTTGCAAATGTTTTCTCCTGTTTTGTGTGTTTTTTCACTTTCTTGGTGATGTCCTTTGAAACATAAAAGTTTTTAATTTTTATGTAGTCTCATATATTTATTTTTTCATCAGCTTCTTGTGTTTTAGGTGTCATATCTAAGAAACTATTGCCTAATCCAAGATATGGAGAGTTGCATCTCTGTTTTCTTCTAAGAGCGTTACAGTTTTAGCTCTTGCTTTTAGGTCCTTGTTTCATTTTGGGTTATTTTTGCGTATGGTGTGAGGTAGGGGTCCAAGTTCATTATTTTGCATGTGAAAATCCAGTTGTCTGAGCACTACATTTTGAAAAGACCATTCTTTTTCTCCATTAAATTGTCTTGGCACTCTTGCTGAAAATCCGTTGTCCATAGATGTGAAAGTTTATTTATGGATTCTCAATTTTATTCCATTAATCTATATGTCTGTTCTTATGCCAGAAACATAGTGTCTTAATTACTGTAGATTTGTAGCAAATTTGGAAATCAGGAAGCGTGAGTTCTCCAACTTCTTCTTCTTTTTCAATATTATTTTAGCTATTCCTTGTTCATTGCATTTCTATATACATTTTAGGATGACTTATAAATTTCTAACAAAAAGATAGTTGAAATTTTGATAAGAATTATATTGAATCCATAGATCAATTTGGTAGGCACTATCATCTAGCAATATTAAGTCTTTCAATATATGAACACAGGTTGTCTTTCCAGTTTGGTATCTTGACGAATATTCTTTTGTTCTTGAAAAGAGTATGTATTTTGCTATTGCTGATGGAGTGTTCTATAAATGTCAATTTGGTTGACAGTTTTTTCAGGACCTTTATATATGATTACCCTGAAAGGAGTGTTGAACTCATCATTGTGAATTTATGTATTTCTTTTTTTAAATATATCAATTTTTGCTTAATGTATTTTGAAGATCTTTAATGTGCATATACATTTAGGATTTTTGCATTTTCTTTCTTTTTTTTTTTTGAGACAAGATCTCTTTCTGTTGCCCAGGCTAGAGTGCAGTGGCATAATCACAGCTCACAGCAGCCTTTACCTTCCAGGTTCAAGCAATCTTCCCATCTTGGCCCCCTGAGTAGCTGAGACCACAGGGATTCATCATCATGCCTGGCTAATTTTTAAATTTTTTGTAGAGATGGGAGTTTTCCTATGTTGCCCTTGTCTCAAACCCCAGAGTTCAAGCAATCCTCCCATTTCTGCCTCCCAAGGTGATGGGATTATAGGTGTGAGCCACCATGTCCTACCTGTATTTTCTTAATGTATGTAATCTTTTATTATTATGTAGTATCTCTCTTTATCTTGAAATTTTTGCTCTGAAGTTGGCTTTGATATTAATATAGCCCCACTGGATTTATTTTGATGAATATTTGCATCATATATCTTTTTTTCATCCTTTTACTTTTTTTTTTTTTTTTTTTTTTTGAGACAGAGTCTTGCTCTGTCGCCAGGGTGGAGTAGAGTGGCATGATCTCAGCTTACCGCAACCTCCTCCTCCTGGGTTCAGGTGATTCTTCTGCCTCAGTCTCCCAAGTAGCTGGGATTACAGGCACACACCACCATGCCTAGCTAATTTTTGTATTTTTTCTTTTTAGTAGAGATGGGGTTTCACCATGTTGGGCATGATGGTCTAGATCTCCTGATCTCATGATCTGCCCGCCTCAGCCTCCCAAAGTGCTGGGATTACAGGCGTGAGCCACTGTGCCTGGCTTCATCCTTTTTACTTTTAACCTATCTATATCATTATATTTCAATTGGGCTGCTTGTAGATAGCATGTGGTTGAGTCTTGTTTTATTTATCTAATCTGATGATCTCTGTCTTTTTATTAGTGGGTTTAGACCATTTCATTTTAATGTAATTATTTGTATGGTTGAGTTTAGGTTTACATTTTATTATTTGTTTTCTGTGTGTCACTTCTGTTCTTCGTTCTTCTGTTCTCTCTTTCTTGTCTTTTTTGGATTATTCAATTACTTTTATTTATATTTACTTTTCATTTTCATATTGATTTTTTTTGGTTATAATCTTTGTATTATTTTTCTACAGGCTGATCTAGGGATTGCAATACATACCTTAACCTTTCATAGTCTTCTTAGAGTTAATGTTTTACCACCTCAAATAAAATGTAGATTGGTAAACAGTATGGATGTTCCTCAAAAAGTTAAAAATAAAAATATTGTATGCCCAGCAGTCCCACTCTTGTGTAAATATCCAAAAGAAACAAAATCAATATCTTAAAGAGATGTGTACACCCCCAAGTTTATTGCAGCATTTTTCAGAATGGCCAAGATATAGAAATAATCTAAGTATTTGCCAACATGTGACTGGATAAAGAAAATATGAGATACACACACACACACGAGGGGGTCTTCAAAAAGTTCATGAAAAATGCATGTTATGAAAAAAACTATGTATGGTTTTCAAAGCTTTTTGCACCAAAAGAAACCTGTACTAGTTTGTTATAACATGTCTGAACAAGATCTAGTTTGAGATACTAATTTGTTATAACATGTCTGAACAAGATCTAGTTTGAGGTACTAAGTTTCAAAAGGACATCCATTTGAAAAAAGCTTCTATTAGAGCAACATGAATTTAGCTAAAATTGGAGCAAGAAGAAACATCAAATTTATGGTGAAGCTTGGGTGGAAGAATTGTTAAATCCCTGATGCTTTACAAAAAGTTTAAGGGGACAATGCCCCAGAGAAATCAGCAATTTGCAAATGGATAAGTCACTTTAAGAAGGGATGAGATGGTGTTAAAGATGAAGCCCACACTGGCAGACCATACTCATCAATTTGCAAGGAAAAAATTCATTTTGTTTGTGCCCTAACTGAAGAGGACCTATGAGTAACAGCAGAAACAATATTTACTACCATAGACATCTCATTTGGTTCAGCTCACATAATTCTGACTGAAAAATTAAAGTTGAGCAAACTTTCTATTTGATGGGTGTCAAAGATCAGCTGTGCCTAGATCAGTTACAGACAAGAGCAGAGCTTTCAATAGAAATTGTAAACAAGTGGGATCAAGATCCTGAAGGATTTTTTTTCCCAAAGAATTGGAACAGGAGATGAAACATGGCCTTACCACTATGATTCTGAAGACAAAGAACAATCGAAGCAATGGCTACCAAGAAGTGGAAGTGGTCCAATCAAAGTAAAAGTGGGATGGTTAAGAGCAAAGGTCATGGCAACAGTGTTTTTGGGGATACTCAAGGCATTTTGCTGGTTAACTTTCTGGAGGGACAAAGAATGATAACATCTGCTTATTATGAGACTGTTTTGAGAAAGTTAACCAAAGCTTTAGCGGAAAAATGTCTGAAAAAACTTCACCAGAAAGTCCTTCTCCACCACAATAATGGGCCTGCTCTTTTCTCTAATCAAGGTCAATTTTGTTAGTTTCTATGGGAAATCACTAGGCATCCACCTGAGCTTCCTACTTTGGTTCCTATTGATGTGTTTTTGTTTCCTTTTAAGTCTTTTGTTTTTCTTTTAAATCTTTAAAGGCACCCAGCTTTTTTTAAGTTAATAATGTAAAAAAAAACCAAAAACAAAAACCAAAAAAAAAAAAACCTACATTGATGTGCTTAAATTTCCGGGACCCTTAGTTTTTTAGGGATGAACTAATCAGCTGGTACTATTGCTTACAAAAATGTCTACTTCGATGGAGTTTATGTTGAGAAATAAACCTTACATTTTTTATTTTTATCATTTAATTCAATTTTCCATGACTTTTTGAAGTCCCCTCATGTGTATGTGTGTGTGTGTGTGTGTGTGTGTGTGTGTGTGCATATAAAATGGGATATTATTCTGCCTTAAAAAAGAAGGAAATCCTGCCATAGGATTCACCTTGAGGGCATTATGCTAACTTAAGCGAGACCCAGAAAGTCAAATACTATATGATCTCACTTATATGTGCAATCTTTTTTGTTTTTTGAGATAGGGTCTTGCTCTGTCATGTAGGCTAAAGTGCAGTGGCATGATCTTGACTCACTGCAACCTCGGCCTCCCAGGTTCAAGCGATTCCTGCCTCAGCCTCCCGAGGAGCCGGGACTAAAGGCATGTGCCACTGTGCCCAGCCAATTTTTTGTATTTTTTTGTAGAGACGGGGTTTTGCCATGTTGGCAAGGCTGGTCTTGAACTCTTAGCCCCAAGAAACCTACCTGCCTCGGCCTCCCAAAGTTCTGGGGTTACAGGCATGAGCCATGGTGCCTGGCCTTATATGTACAATTTTAAAAAGTTAAACTTGCCAGGCACAGTGGCTTATCCTTACAATTCTAGTACTTTGAGAGGCTGAGGCAGGTGGATTACTTAAGCTCAGGAGTTCCAGACCAGCCTGGGCAAGATGGCAAAACTCTGTCTCTACAAAAATTCCAAAAATGTAGGCAGGCATGGTGGTGTGTGCCTGTAGTCCTGGCTACCCAGGGGGCTGAGGTGGGAGGATTGCTTGAGCCTAGGAGTTCAAGGCTGCAGTGAGCTGTGATTGTGCCACTGCACTCCTGCCTGTGTGACAGAGTGACCCTATCTAAAACAAAAAATAAAAATAAAAAAGTTAAACTCATAAAAGCAGAGATCAGAATTGTATTTGCCAGGTGACATCAGCAATATGGCTAACTCGAGATGGCTGGTGCTCATTCTCCTCAAAAGAAAGGACCAAGACAATGAATAAACAGTTAAGATTTGACTGGAGTGCTGAAGGGACAGTGCCGGAGTGCAGTGGGAAAGTGGAGATGCATCTCCAGGAGGGCAGCATGGAGGCGTGTGGATTCTGCAGCCCATCTCTCTCCCAGATCATATCTGCCCAGAGTCAGGAGGGACTTCACATTTTGGGGAAAAGGTAAGCAGAAGATCCGATTCCCACTAGTCCCCATTGCCAAATACCTATAGTCCTTACTGCAGAAGGATCCCACAGTCCTTCCAAGTCCTGAATCCAGTTTGGAGAGCTGCCAGGAATTTGCACAGCTGTATTATCCAAATAGGGTGCCCTCCACATCCCTCATCCACCACCTGTGAGCCAAGCTCCTGTAGCATAGCAGAATCTTGAGACCAGAGCCACCTCTGGAATGCACCCTGCTCTGAGGGCTAGTAGTGACTACACCTCTCCATCTTCATTCCACCAAACCCACACATGGATGAATACCAGTGTGCCTGGAGCCCAGGACCCAGATTGGCTGTAACTCTGGTCATGAACAACCCCTATTACTGCACTTCCAGCTGGAGCAATAGTCTGGCAGCCCTGCCCAAGACAAACTCACTCTTGAGCCAGTCAAACCACTGTGTGCCCATCCCCAAGTGGGAGAGACCCCTGAGCCTCTGAACAGATGCTATGTTCGTGGGGCTGTGGAGCAGCTACATGTTCATGCTCAAGACCTGAGAAAGAGCCTGAAGTACCCCATTTGGCAGACACTCCCCAGGCATGGCTGAGTAGCATTGTACCCATGTGCCACACCTGAGAAACAGCCCTGGAGGGCTGCTCCTGGTGGGCATACCCCTGAACGGGCTGAACAGCCTTGCACTCATGCTCCAGACTGAGAAACAGCCCTGTAGGCCACCCCTGGTGGGCATACCCTAGGGCCATTTAAGCAGCCCTGTACCTGCATACTAGGCCTGAGACATAGCCCCATGGGTCACCCCTGCAGAAACACCCCCAGGGTGTTTCCCTCACCCTTTTCCTTCTCTATACTTCTGGAATACCCATATACTTAGGGAACACCCATAATATGAGTATTTGTTTTCTTAATGATGTCCCATAAATCATGCAGACTTTCTTCATTCTTTTTAATTCTTTTTCTCTTTTTGTCTGTCTGTGTTATTTCAAAAGACTTGTCTTCAAGTTCAGAGATTCTTTCTTCTGCTTGGTCTAGTGTTGCTGAAATTCTTGATTTTTTTTTATTTCATTGATTGAATTCTTCAGCTCTAGGATTTCTGTTTGGTTCTTTTTACACACACACGTGTATGTATATATATTATATGTACACATACATACATATATATACACATACATACATGTATATATATAATTTCTCATTTGAATCGTGAATTGTTTTTCTGATTTCAGTTAACTATCTGTTTTCCCTTATATCTCACTGAGTTTCCTTAAGTATTAATATTTGAAATTATTTTTCTGGCATTTCACATATTTCCTTATGATTGGGATCTGTTACTGGAGAATTATTGTTTTCCTTTGGAGGTGTCATGTTTCCTTGCTTTTACATGTGTGATGTGTCTGTTCCTACAGTGATTTCTATGCATCTGGTGGAAGAGTCACTTCTTCCAATTTTATGGAGTAGGTTTTGAAGGGAAATACTTATTCATATGAATGGGTCATAGAGTGTTGGTTTGGTTGGGATGTGTTGCCCTTGCTTCTAGGTGGATGCAGTAGTGTAGTCTCCATGTAGTTTCTTCATCTGTAATACACACTACTGATATTTATGAATGTCTCAGTGGCCTAGGCTGAGAATTTGTGGGGGTAGTGCCAGAGTGGGTTGCTGGGTTGTTTCTCACATTGGGAGAATGTGTATGTGTGTGTGCGCACATGGTGCATTGGCCAACTTGGGTTCTGACTTGCTGAGATTGGAGCTGATACTCTGGCCAGGAGCTCAGGCACATGGTTGTTCAATCAGCCTGGGGCATGCCTGCCAGGAGTGGGCCATGGAGCTGTTTCTCAGGCCCAGGATGCAGGCACACTGCTGCTCAACTTGTGGGGTGTGTCTCCTGGGGCAGCCCAAGAGGCTGTTTCTCAGGCTCAGGATATGGTCACATGGTTTGTCAGCTGGCCTGTGGGTGTGTCTGCTGAGGGGGTGCCCATGGGGCTATTTCTGAGGTTTGGGATTTCGGTCCAAGGCTATCAGGCATCCCATGGAAGGGTCATGCCTATCAGTGGCATCCTACGGAAGAGGGGCTGAAAACTTGGGAGACAGATGAACATCCAGGTCCAGGAAGCTCAAAGAACCCCAAATACATTCAACCCGAATAGGTCCTCTCTGAGGCACATTATAGTCAAACTGTCAAAAGTCGAAGATAAAGAATTCTAAAGACAGCAAAATAAAAGCATCAAGTCATATATAAAAGAATCCACATTGGGCTAACAGCAGATTTCTCAGCAGAAACCTTACAGGCCAAGAGAGAATGGGATGATATATTCAAAATGAAACTGCCAGTGAAGAATATTATGCCCAGCAAAGCTACCTTTCAAGCAAGAAGAAGAAATAAAATTTTCCACAGAGAAGCAAAAACTAAGAAAATTCATCACCACTAGACCAGCCTTACAAGACATACTCAAAGGATACTCGCACCTGAAAGTGAAAAGGCTATAACCACCATCATGAAAACATGGAAAAGTATAAAACTCACTGGTAGAGCCAGCACAAAAAGGAGAAAGAGACAGGAAGTAAACCTTATTACTATGGATATCTCCCGGCCACAAAAATAAACAATAAAAGAGGAAGTAGGGAACAAAGAATACACAAAACAACCAGAAAACAATCAATAAATGACAGGGCCAGGCAGGGTGGCTTATGCCTGTAATCCCAGCACTTTGGGAGGCCGAGGCAGGCGGATCATTTGAGGCCAGGAGTTCAAGACCAGCCTGGCCAACATAGTGAAACCATGTCTCTATTTAAAAATACAAAAATTAGCCAGGTGTGGTGGCACATGCCTATAATCCTAGCTACTTGGGAGGCCGAGGCAGAAGACTCTCTTGAACCTGGGAGGTGGAGGTTGCAATGAGCCAAGATCTCACCACTGCACTCTAGCCTGGGTGACAGAGCAAGACTCAGTCTCTAAAATAAAATAAAGTAAAATAAAATGACAGGAGTAAGTTCTCACCTATCAGTAGTAACATTGAATGTAAATGGATTAAATCTCCCATTTAAAACATATAAACAGACTGAATGCATAAAATTTTTAAAAAGACATAACTATATGTTGCTTATAAGGAACTCACCTTAACTGTAAAGACACACATAGACTGAAAGTGAAGAGGTGTGAAAATATACTCTTCACAAACAGAAACCAAAATTGAGCAGGATTAGCTACACTTATATCAGACAAAATAGATTTCAAGTCAAAAACTGTAAAAAGAGACAAAGGACATTATATAATAATAATGGGGTCAATTCTGCAAGAAAATATAATTGTAAATATATATGCACCCAGTAAGAGAGCACACAGATACATAAAGCAAATATTTGATTTAAAGGGAGAGATAGACCCCCAATACAATGATAGTTGAGGAATTCAACACCCCATTCTCAGCATTTTACAGATCATCTGGACAGAAAGCCAATAAAGAAACATCAAATTTAAATTATACCATAGACCAAATAGACCTAACAGACATTTATAGAACATTTCACCCAACAGCTGCAGAATACACATTCTTTTCTTCAGCACATGGAACATTCTCTAGGATTGACCATATGTTAGGATACAAAAGAAGTCTAAGCAAATTAGAAAACACTGAAATCACATCAACTGTCTTATCTGACCACAATGTTATAAGAGAAACATTAGAAACTATGTGAACACATGGAAATTAAATAACATGCTCCTGAACAACCAATGGGTGAAAGAAGAAATTAAGAAGGAAATTGAATAATTCCTTTAAACAAATGAAAATAGAAACACAACATACCAAAACCAATGGGACACAGCAAAGGCAGTATTAAGAGGCAAGTATATAGCAATAAATGCCTACACCAAAAAATGAGAATAATTTCAAATAAACAATCTAATGATGAATCTCAAAAACTAGAAAAGCTAGAACAAGCCAACCCCAAAATTAGAAGAAGAAAAGAATAAAAAAGTTTTGAGCAGAAGTAAATACAATTGGGTCTAGAAAAACAATACAAAAGGTCAGTGAAATGAACAAACAAATCATTAGCTGGACTAAAAAAAACAGAGAGAAGATCCAAATAAATAAAACTAGAAATAAAAAAGGAGAAGTCACAACAGACAACACAGAAATACAAAGGATCATTAGAGGCTACTACGAACAACTATATAACAATAAATTCAAAAGCCTAGAGGAAATGGATAAATTCTTGGACACACACAGCTTACCAAGATTGAACCAAGAAGAAGTAGAAAACTTGAACATACCAATAAGTAATGATATCGACTCACTAATACAAAGTGTCCCCCACAAAAAGTCCAGGACTGCATTTGATTTACTGCTGACTTCTACCAAACCCAATTAATACAAATTTTCTCAAACTCTTCCAAAAAATTGAAACAGAGGGAATTCTTCCTAAGCCTGCATAACCCTGATACCAAAACTAGACAAGAACATAACAAATAAAGAAAACTAGGCTGGGTACGGTGGCTCACACCTGTAATCCCAAAACTTTGGTGGGCTGAGCTGGGTGATCACTTGAGGTCAGGAGTTCAAGACAAGCCTGGCCAACATGGTGAAACCCCAACTCCATTAAAAATACAAAAATTAGCTGGGTGTGGTGGTGCACACCTGTAATCCCAGCTATTTGAGAGGCTGAGGCAGGAGGATCACTTGAATCCAGGAGGTGGAAGTTGCAGTGAGCAGAGATCACACTCCTGCAATCCAGCCTGGGTGACAGAGTGAGACTCCATCTCAAAATAAATAAATAAATAAATAAAACAATAAAACTACAGGTCAATGATGAACATGGATGCAAAGATTCTCAACAAAATACTAGCTAACCAATCCAACAACACATCAAAAAGATAATACATTATGATTAAGTGATGATATATCATGATTAATCATCTGCACATTCCTGGGAAGTATCCAGGAGTACACAGATTTTCCAACATGTACAGATCAATAAGTGTCACATATTGCATCAGTAGAATGAAGGACAAAAACCATATATGATCATCTCGATAGATGCAGAAAAAGCATTTGATAAATTCAACATCTCTTCATGATTAAAAACTCTCAATACATTTGATATAGAAAAAAAGTACCTCAACATAATAAAAGGCCAATATGACAAACACTATACTGAACAGGAAAGGCTGAAAGCTTCTCCTCTAACAACTGGAACAAGAGAGGAACACCAATTCTCACCACTCTTATTCACCATAGTACTGAAAGCCCTAGTCAGAGCAAATTAGGTAAGAGATAGAAATAAAGGGCATCCAAATTGGAAAGGAGAAAGCAAAATAGTTCCTGTTTGCAGACAACATAATTTTACATGTAAAAAAACCTAAAGATTCTACAAAAAAGTTCTTAGAACTAACAAGCAAATTGAGTTAAGTTGCAGATACAAAATCAATGTACAAAAATCAGTAGGGTTTCTGTACATAAACAATGAACTAGCTGAAAAAAAATCAAGAATGCAATCACATTTACAATAACTACCAAATAAATTCAATCGAGGGGAAAGATCTTCAAAAGGAAAGCTACAAAGCACAGAGGAAAGAAATAGAAGATAGAAGCAAATGAAAAGACACCCCATGCCCATAGATTAGAAGAATTAATATTGTTAAAATGAACATACTACCCAAAGCAATCCACAGATTCAATACAATTCCTATAAAAATACCAATGACATTCTTCACAAAAGTGGGAAAAAATTCCTAAAATTTGTATGGAACCACAAAAGACCCAGAATAGCCAAAGCAATCCTGAAGAAAAAAGAAAAGTTGGAGACATCACACTACCAGACTTCAAAATATGCTACAAAGCTATAGTAACCAAAATAGCATTGAACTGGCATAAGAACAGACAAAGACCAATGCATGAAATAGACAACCCAGAAATTAATTCATATACCTACAGCCAACTGATTTTTGACACTGGAGAAAGGACAGTCTCTTCAATAAATGGTTCTGGGAAAACTGAACATCCATATCCCCCAGCTATTACACTATGTAAAAATCAACTCAAAATGGATCAAAGACCCAAATGTAAGAGCTGAAACTATAAAAGTACTGGGAGAAAACAGGGGAAATACTTGAGGACATTTGTGTTAGAAAATATGTTATGAACAAGACTTCAAAAGCACAGGCAACAAAACCAAAAATAAACAAATGGGGATTATATCAAACTAAAAAGCTTCTGCATAGCAAAGGAAACAATCAACAGAGTCAAAAAGCAGCCTATGGAATGAGAGAAAATATTAGTAAACTATTCTTCTGACTTGGAATTAATACCCATAATATACAAGGAACTCAAACATCTCACTAGCCAAAAAAATAAAAAATAAAAAAATAAACAATCTTACCATTTATTTGATGAAAAAATGGGCAAGTAATCTCAACAGTCATTTCTAGACAGAAGGCATATATATGGCCAACAGAGAAATATTAAAAAATGCTCAACATCACTAATCATCAGGGAAATGCAAATCAAAATCACAATGAAGTATCATCTTACCCCTCTTAGGATGGCTGTTATCAAAAAGACAAAAAATAACAAATGCTGGTGAGAATGCAGAGAAAGGGACACTCTTGATGGGAATGTAAACTTGTCTAGCCGTTATGGAGAACAGTATGAAGGTTCCTCGAAAAACTGCAAATAGAACTACCATATGATTCAGCAATCCCACTACTGGGCATTTATCCAAAGGAAAGGAAATCAGTATATTGAAGAGATGTCTGCACCCCCATGTTTACTGCAGCACTGTTCACAATAGCCAAGATATAGAATCAACCTAGATGTCTAACAACAGTTGAATGGAGAAAGAAAATGTGGTATATATACACAATAAAATACTATTCAGCTATAAAAAAGAATGAAATCCTGTCATTTGCAGCAACAGGCATGGAGCTGAAGGACATTATGTTAAGTGAAATAACCCAGGAAAAGAAAGTGAACACAGTGTGTTTTCATTCATATGTGGTAGCTAAAAAAAAGTTGATCTTGGCTGGGCGCGGTGGCTCATGCCTGTAATCCCAGCACTTTGGGAGGCCGAGGTGGACGGATCACCAAGTCAGGAGTTCGAGACCAGCCTGGCCAATGTGGTGAAACCCTGTCTCTAATAAAAATACAAAAATTAGCCAAGTGTGGTGGCACACGCCTGTAGTCCCACTTACTTGGGAGGCTGAGGTGGGAGAATCGCTTGAACCTGGGAGGCAGAGGTTGCAGTGAGCCAAGACCACACCATTGCACTCCAGCCTGGGTGACAGAGACTCCATCTCACAAACACACACAAAAAAGGTGATCTCATAGAAATAAAATGTAGAGCAGAAGATACTAGAGGTTGGGAAGGATAGGGGAAATAAAGGGGTAGAGAGAGATTTGTTAAAGGACAAAAAATTACAACTAGATAGGAGGAATAAGTTCTAGTGTTCTATATTCTATACCATTGTAGGATGACTGTAGTTAACAATAGTGCATAGTTTCAAATAGCTGGAAGGAGGATATTGAATGTCCCCAACACAAAGAAATGATAAATGTTTGAGATGACAGATATGCTGATTACCCTGATCTGATCTGTATACATCATATGTATGGAAACATCATTATGTACCCCATATATGGGTACAATTATTATGTGTCAATTTTAAAAAAGTATAAATAAAGAACTGTAGTTGCCGGGAACTGGGGAGTAGGGAAATGGGGAGATGTTAGTCAAAGGGTACAAAGATTCAGTTATTCAGAATGAATAATTTCTGGGTATCTAATGTACAATATGATGACCATAGCTAATACTGTATACTTGAAATTTGCTAAGATAGTTATCTTAAGTGTTCTCACTACACAAAAGAATTGTAACTATGTGAGTTGACAGATATGTTGATTGGCTTGATTGTGATTCTCATTTTACAATGTATATGTATATCAAAATCATATTGTACACTTAAATATTTACAATTTTTATTTGTCATGTATACCTCAATAAAGCTGGAAAAATTAAAATGTAGAAAACTTATAACTATATAAATTGCTTTACACTGTCCATGCTATAATTGTCATATATGTTACATCTGTATGCATTGAAAGCCCTACCAGATGTAGTAATTTTTATCTTAAAATCAATCATATTTTAAAGAACTCATAAGGAAAAAATATATTTACCCTCGTTATAGATACCCAAGTGTTGGTTGAATTGTGCCCTTCAAAAAATAGATATGTTGGAGTCCTAACCCCCAGTACCTCAGAATGTGCTTATTTGGGGATAAGGGCTTTATAGAGGTAATCAAGTTAAAATGAGGTCTTTAGGAAGGCCTCTGTCCAATATGAAATAGGAAAAATTTGGGCACAAAGATACAAGCACAGGGAGAACGCCATGTGAAGACGAAGGCAGAGATCGGGGGGATGCATCTCCGCTGACACCTTGATCTTAGACTTCTAGCCTCCAGAATGATGAGACAAACATTTTCTATTGCTTATGCCACCCAGTGTGTGGTACTTTGTTATGGCAGCCTTAGCCAATGAGTATGCTAAATATTTCCCATTTCTGTTGTTACTCCCTCATTCCTGAGGTCTCAAGCTTCCCTCTTATTTTTCCCTTCAGACTGAGCAACTTCCTTTAGTGTTTCTATTGATTTATCTTCAGATTCACTGAATTTTTCCTCTGTCTTCTCTGTTTTTGCTACTGAGCCTGTAATGGGTTGAATAGTGTTCCCCACAAACTCATGTTGAACCAGAGCCTTAGAATATGACTTTATTTGGAAATAGGATCTTTGCAGATGTAATTAGTTACGGATCTCAAGATGAAATCATCCTGGATTTAGGGTGGGTTCTACATCCAGTGACTTTTTGTCTTTATAAGGAAAGAAGAGGGAGATTTGGATAGGAAAAGCATAGAAGGAAGAAGGCCATGTAAAGATGGAGACAGATATTGGACTGATGCTGCCACAAGCCAAGGAATGCAAAAAGCCACAAGGAGCTGGAAGAGGGAAGGAAGAATTCTGCCTTAGAACTTTCGAAGGGCATGTGACCCCACTGATACCTTGATTTCAGACCTCTAGCCTCCAAGGCTGTGGGAGAATATGTGTCTATTATTTTAAGCCACTCAGTTTGTGGTAATTTGTTACAGCATCCCTAGGAGACCCATACAGAGCCTTTCCAGTGAGATTTAATTTTTTGAATGAATTTTTTAGTTTTAAGATTTGGCATTCAGTTCTTCTTTAGCATGTCTATTTCAGAGAACTTCTATCTTTTAAATTACTTAATGAATACTTACCTTTACCTCTTGCAACCTGGTTATAATAGTTACTTTAAACTCTGTCAGATAATTAATTCTAACATCTCAAGTTAAACATCTGTTCATCATTTCTCCCTTCCCAGCATTTAGCTGGATCTTTGTATGTTGAGCAATTCTGGATTCTGTCTTGGACATTATGATTATTACTCTTGGTCCTGTGAAAATCTGTTTGGTTTATGTTCACAGGAAATCAACCTAGTAGTTGGTTTCAAATCACAGGTCTCATCTCCCCTTCTGTAACCAGTGTTTTGATGTTGGGGGTATGAACCTTGGCAGGATCCTGCCTGCCATTGGTCACACGCATGCACAGGTCACAGGTGGGCCTGGGACTTACACCTGATCAGACACAAGGCTTAGAGGATTCCCTTCTCCAGCTCTTTTCTCTTTGGGTTCCCGTATGTAATCTTGGTCTCCCAGGGACCCATTGTCCCATTCCTCTGGACAGAAAGATAGGTTTCTTTTAGAGTTTTAGTTACCCATGATCCTGCCACCAGTTCTGCATGACTGATTCAGTCCCTGGGCAGAGTGGTAAGGTAAAAGAGCAAAAAAAAAGACAGTAAGAGTCCTGAAATCCCTCCCCGGCTCTGCCCTTTAGAGCACAGGGTCTTTCTTTCCCTGTTCCTACTGCCAGAAAAGACCTTTTTTTTCCTCCTCAAAGTTGTAGCTGCCTATACGGCTACTGCACATTTCCCTATTTGGGGCCACTCTAGTGGCAGGGTGAGGAGAGTAAAAACAAGACAAATAAGAAAAAATGTTCAGAGAGTTTCTCCACATTTCCTAGCTCACAGTGGACCTCTCCACCATTCTCTGTCAAAAGAGGGAGCTTCACCCTCTGAGTTGCTCATACCGGCTGGGGTGCTCAGTTCCACAACTGAGGCCTTCCGTGGATCAAACGTGAGAGACAAAAGAGGAAAAAAATCAATAGGAAACTCTCTCATGAGGCTTTCTTCCTCAATTTTTGTTTTCCCTTTCCACTCTCCCTGTTACTGTCTGCCTTTCAGATAGCTGCTTTTTGAATTTTCCAGATGTTTTAGTTGTGCTGTTTAGTTGGACCGAGAGGCTGTAATAGACTTGCTCCATCTTGCTTGGCATCGGGAGTGGGTCTATCTTTTAAAATTTCTTTTGTTTATCTTTCATTTCTACATGATTGGACAAAGGGGTGCTTCAAAGTCTTGAGTTTAAGCCACGCACAGTGGCGTAGGCCTGTAGACCCAGCTACCTGGGAGGATTGCTTGAGGCCCAGGAGTTTGAGGCCAGCCTGGGCCACATAGCAAGTCTCCATCTCTAAGAAAAGAAGAAGCATAAACTTAGAGTGCCATCATCAACTGAAAATATTTGGTGCTTAAAATCAAAACTGTTATTTAATTTTTTTGAATATATGTAACACTAACAGAAAAGATTCCTCTCAAAGACTTTGCAGTGTATAGAAGTTATTGGAAGTTATGTTTTGATGATTATATGATCATTGTCTAGCATGGAATCTGGCGTATTGAAGATGAAAACTATTTTTATGAAGTTAAGGCTCTAGCATTCATTCTGGTCAAATATTCTGGTTGCACAAAATAGAAAACAACTCCAAGAGGCTGAAGTAAAAGGGGAAGTAGTTGTGTGGGCTCTGAAATCTCATGGAATCCAAGAAAAAGAAGCAAGAGGTTCATCTCAACTTCCTAGCAACAACATTTGGAATTTGGAGTGCTAGGAGAAACCAAGGCAGCTTCTTTCCCATACATACATATATATATATATAATTTTTTTTTTTTGGTGGGGAGGCTTGCATGATTCCTTACATTTATTACTCTCTATTTGCTTAATCCTCTTTCTCCACAAAGTTATCAGCTTCTTAGTGACAGTACTGAGTTACTGCATCCATCTTGCCCAAAGCCAGCTCTGCCTCAGGTTAAAATAAATTTCATTTATGTGAATCAATCCATTTTCTGTTATATTTTAGGCACTTTGGGTTGGCTCGAATTGCAGAAGAAATCACCCTAAAAAACCATTCACCTCTTTATCCTATTCAAGCTTCCATCAGCTTTGAGATTCCAACTCTCTTCTCTTTCTCTAGATTTATTTTTTTATTTTTTATTTTATTTATTTTTTTGAGACAGAGTCTTGCTCTGTTGCCCAGGCTGGAGTGCAGTGGTGCAATCTTGGCTCACTGCAACCTTCGCCTCCCAGGTTCAAGTAATCCTCCCGCCTCAGCCTCTTGAGTAGCTGGGATTACAGGCACACGCCACCTTTCCCAGCTAATTTTTGTATTTTTAGTAGAGAAAGGGTTTCACCGTGTTGGCCAGGCTGGTCTGAGCACCAATTAAACCCAACACTGTCTTATGTATTTTCCATGTATTCACACATTTAATCTTTGAGGATATGCATGAGATATGTGAAATTATTTCCCCTTTTTCCATATGAGGAAACTGAAGTCTAGAGAAGTTAAGTAAATATAGTTATGAAATGGCAGAAGCAGGACCAGAACTCAGGTTTCTCTTACTCTAAAGCCTAAATTCTTAACGACTTCACTTGAATGCCTCCCAGAAACTATCAGGCCGTGGTCCTTTTACCAAGGAAGAGTTTGTGCTTTGTGTTATCAATTAGGAAAAATGGGGAAAAAAAGATCATTTCCAGGGAGCAGTGAGAGCCAGACCATCTCTTAAATATGTCTGTGTGCATGTGTGTGTGTGTGTGTGTGTGTGTGTGCATGGGTGTATATGCTTCAGGCGTGGCGTCTCCATGGTTTCTTTGAGTAAATGTGAAAGGTGATTTACCTTACCTAATTAGATTAATGGAATATTAGCTTAAGAGTTATTAATGTTGGTGACAAATATCTCCTTCATACCCAGTGGCTCTAGCTCACCTGTTATACCTGAGAACAAGTAAGCATTGCTCACCATAACTGTTTCAAGGTTTGCTTTTGCTCATGCTTCTGGACAAAGCAGACAAGATAATTCACCTGGATGTGGTGGAAAAGGTCACTGCTTTGTGAGGACTGACTTGGAAGACTGTGGTAGGTGATGTTAAACTTTGTGTGTACACACAAGCTCTCAAAAGTCACATTGTAGTGGCAACACAAACATGCCCTGCAGGGTGGCACACCAGCGAAGAGCCAGCTGGGAGCCCAATCTTTCTTGGCATCCTCAAGGTTGAGTTGATCCTAGTACCAAGTGCTGTCTTTTTGGTATTGGCCAGAAGCCCTTGCAGAGATAGAAAACACCTGGCTTAATTTTCCAGGCTGGGGCAGGATGGGTTAGCACGTTAGAAAGAGATAAAGGCGATGGCAGGACTCATCGCTTGTTTTTGTGAATACAGCAAGACTGATCCAGCAGTCAAATGATGAACATGGTAGGTGGTGAATAAGGCAGCTCCTTACAGCACCCCTGGAGTTGATGCTTTTCTTTTGGCTTCCATTAACCTTCAATAACGATGGGATTCCCAAGGGCTTCAGCACAGGTACAAAGAAGTGGAGGAATTAAGTAATAGCTTAGAGGAAGCAATAGAGTTTTCCCTATTGACTCCCCCCTTCCCCTTGTCAGCAATACAGTGAGTTGACAGATGATTGTAGCTTACTGCAGCATTTGGTTCCAGCTGTGCACACGGCATGAGTAGTAGCGGGAACATTGCATTCCCCACCTGTTCATCATGTTCAGACTAGCAAGTGTGTGTTTAAGTTCAGGCTGTGGTGGGGGCAGGGGTGGGTGGGTGGGGGGGTGGCCTGTGTTTATGTGTGTGTGTGACCAAATTGCTTCTATCTGTGAGGATTTTGTCACAGCCTAGGAGTCCAGGCTAAATGAGTCATGTTTTCTTTTTCTTAGACAGTCAAGTCTTTTTTTTTCAAAAAGTAAGCAATTAATATTCTCTCCCAGCCAGCTCCCTCACTTTTGTTAGATGAAGTCACCATCAAAGACATAGAAGCCAAGACAAATTTTGGTATTGCCTGATACTTTAGTTTCAGATATAACATGAGGACAGATGATTTATCTTAAGAAGCTTTCTTTTATTGGCAAATTACCTAGCTGATAGTTATAAATTTATCTTCCTCTACTTACATATTCCTTTTAGGAAAAAAGAGAATGAGAGAATCCTATACTTATATCCTTGAACTAGTTAAGCTACCTCAACTATTAAGAAATCCTGATTTTGGAATAAAATGCTAGCCATCGTAGTCACCAACTTCACCAACTTCTGGGCCCCTCTTGCCTCTTTGATAGCTTCAGTGTAAGTAGAATTCATTCATTCATACATTCATCCATCACACATTTATCAAGTATCCATGCTCTGTGTGTTATATTTTGGTATTTATTGAATTACTCATGCACTTGTTAAAAATGCAAACACCCAGGCCCCGCCTTCATCCTACTGAATCAGAATCTCCAAGGAGTAGGTACTAGAAATATGATTTTTAAAAAGCCTGTTTTAGAGATGCTCTAGGAATAGAGATGAAAAGGACAGTCCTTTCTACCTGCTAGATCATCATACAAATGAATAGATAAGCTAGAGCAAGAAAAGTCCATCTAAGCCATGATAAAATATGTATGGCACCCATGAGAGAGAGAGGTTGCTTCTACTAGGAGGAGGAGGGGTTGCCTAACCAGTTGGTGTAGTGCTTGCTCTCCATCAGCTTGGCTGTTGGGGAATGGTCAGTCTCCTAGAGTGTATGTGACGTTGCCTCCAAGAGTGGGCATTAGATACAGAAAGAGGGAATACATCTTGCCTTGTACTGTCCTAATCTAGTAGACATCAATGGACTGAAAGGACAGGGCTAGAAGGAGGATGTGCTAACTTGTCAATGTGCTCATTTCTGATGAACATTTTGCAGGTTTCTCTTTGGCAGTGCGATCAAGGCTGGAGATTCACAGTAAGGAACTTAGAAAGCTCATTGGGCTTACCACCAGGAAAAATAGAGTTCGGCTCTGTCCTTGCCACTTATTAGCTGGACAGTTTACTTAGTCTGTTGCCTAGTTTCCTCCATCTACAAAGGCAGATAATAAAATCTACATTATGGGATTGTTTTGGGAATTATATAATATATAGTACATAAACTGCTTGGCATTGTGCCTAGCATGTGGTTGGTGCTAATAGGTACTATTTATTTTTAGTAATAATATAAGTAATAATGGACCCCCATTTGGGTCCCCAGAAATGACTCCTTCTCAGGCCATCAAACCCAAACTCCATATTTACAGTGGCTCTCAACTATTTGCTCTGTCCCAGCTCCCTGGAGGGCTATGACACTGTCATAGCAGTCTCACTGGCTCAGGGCAGTGATTCTCAATCTGGGGCCCACTCTTTCTAGCTCAAGTTGGCTTCCTACCCCGGGTAATTTGGACACTGCCTCCTGTCCCCACAAGGGCACTTGCTCATCACTCCTGTCCCCCACTGAGATTTATTGCTTTGGGTGGTAAGTCTTCAGCAGGGTGTGCACACCTGCAGCTCTCAAGGAGTTTTGTCAAAATACACATGCTGCATCCCACCTTGGACCTGGTGAATAATTTCCCTGGTGGGGCATTGGTAAGTGTATTTTGTCTTCCTAGGAAATGCTGATCTATAGGCCTGGTTGAGAATTATTATATTTGTGGATATCTTTCTGCTCAGCAATGTCTCACTCAGCTTGCACAGCATGAAATCTTCTAGCAAAAATTAATGGTGTCCACATAGCTTTTCAAAGCTCAGAGATACTGACCCTGTGTGACAAACTGAGGAGGCAGAACCTTTGGTGATAAGGAACATGTGACAGGAATAAGAACTCTGTGTATAAAGGGGCCATGTATATCACCCTACACATGGTGCATACATCATGGTACTTAATAAAATGCAGCACTTGTTATTATTGGTATTCGTTGTGTATTGGCCTCAGGGTTCCTGGCTCTGAAAAGACCTGTTCCCATTTTAGGAGAAAAGACTCCAAATCAGGGAATTAAGAAACCACCTGGCTGTTTGGGAAGCATTTAGAAAATATGACAAGAGGTGTCATACACAGGCTAGCAGCAGAAATTTCAAGAAAGATAATTACTGTAAACTTTGTTTTTATTTCCTCTTTTGATTCTGAAATTAGGAAGAAGAGCAGTGTGTTGGAAGCTGGGGTGCAGATGGTAAGTGATGGTCTCCTAAGACTCAGTTCCCGAGTTCTACAAACAGCAACACAGCAAACCCCAGATTGCCACGGGCTCTGATTTTTGTCTCTTAGTATTCATACTTGAAGTGTGGGGTTCCTAGTTGCTGTGCAAAAATGACTGTAGCCATGTTTCCAACTGAGCCTACTGGCGATGTCCAAAGCCCCTGCCAAGAGCCTCAGAGCAGAGACTTTAGTAGAAGATGGAAAATGAGTGACTCAACAGAGCGAGGAAATTGTCTTCTCAGCTTCCTTTAGATTGTCCAGAAAGGGAGATTAGAAAGGCTCCTCAGAACTAACACTGGAAAGGGAGTTTATACCATTAGGGCAAAGATTGGGAGACAAAGGTACTGAAGTCAAATGAGACTTCTGTGAAATACTTTGGAAAGTACAGATTTTGAGACTACATGAACAGCAGCAGCACCAATAACTGTATCACTGGTGCGGGCTATAGACATCAGCTGGGAATGAAGGTGATTCTCAGGGCCCTTAATTTAGCCATCAGCCCCCAGCCAGACCTAAGCCTGCAGCTGGCTGCACAGAGAGGCAGCCTGTTCCATCCTTGGAATTCCAACTTAGGTGACTGCACAAGGCATTTTGGTTTAGTGGTTCCTTAAATAAGACGACATTCCTTTAAGTCTAATCTCTCTCCTGCTGAAATTTCCTACCCTCTTGGGTTTTACCATTAAACTGCTTGCTCTCATCTGAAAAGTGCAGCTAGCAGGGTGCAAGCTAGTGCTCTAGTGACCGTTAAAATCTATCCTAGGACAGCTAGCACGCACGGAAAAACTTGCCATTCGCCGCACACCCACTCCCCCCCGCCCCCACCGCTATTCTTATCAGAGAGAACATGGAAAATATTCTACTCCCTCTTCCCCTTATTGAAGGATGCTGTGTGTACATCTGAATGGGGGTGGGATGCGGGGCGGGAGTGGAGTCTAGCTTTCGGTCCTCAACAAAAACATAATGATTCCCAGCAAGCCAGAGCTGTGCAACCAAGGAGGCAGGATCCTGGCCTCTCTCGGATCTGCAGGAAGGGTGGGCTGTGCGGGTCCAGAGTGGGATGCCCGTTCTGGCCGGCGGTGCCTGCTGAGCCCTTCCTGATGTGACTTTATTAGACAAACCCCCACTCCCGCCAGGGGTAGACACACGAGTATCTGCTTTAGGAAGATTTCTGCAACACGGCAGGGTGCAATTCAAACTCTGGGTTCTCCTTTCCTGAGCTTAGAAACCAATTTGTTCGGAGATAGGAGAAGGCTCTGTTGGCAGAAGACCTAAGAGACGGGAGGAGGCGCCTGGCGTCAGCGGGTCGCTTCTCAGCCGTGACCACGAGCGGCCAGCAGGTGTCAGTGCGTCCTCGCTTTGCCCTGGCGCTCGGCTCCTGGACCCCTCCCCACCTCGGTCTAAGGGGGCGCGGTCCAGACCCCGGGTCTTGCGTTTCCCGCAGACAGCATCGCGGCTGGGAGGACACGTAGCCGCTTCTTCCCTAAGCGGAGGTCTGAACTCCGGCTTGTACCACTTCCCCGTGGGTGCTGTCCATTCCGCCCCAGGGGTTCCATCCGAAGCCGCGCCTTCCTCCCTCTCCAGGACCCCTTTCTCCCCAGCCTCCAGGAGCACCTGCGGACCGCGTCGGCTCTGGCCCGGAGCTGGGCTGCTCCAGACGTAACTCACACCGGAGGTTACTTCCCTCGATTTGGGCGGGGATTCCCTTCCATTTTTTTCTTCCCTTTTCTCCCAAGATCCAGCTTCTTGGGGGCACTCACGGGTGCCCGTTGCGTTCTGCTCCGTCGGCCCGGAGCTGCATGGCCAACTCCCAGCAGGGGCCGCTCCTCCCCTACCCCCCACCCCCGGGCTCCCTCTTTAAGTCTCTAGCTCAAGGTACCCGCCTCTCCAAAGGGCTCGTCCCGCCTGAGGGCAACGCTCCCCGAGGTCCAGCGCTAGGCGCGGGCGCTAGACTGGCGGAGGGGTGGTGCGAGGGGCGGGGGAGGGTCGGCTTCCCACGTGGGGGCTGACGCCGGCTGCTCAGCAACGCTTGCTTGATCCTGGGGCTATAAAACGAGTCCACCGTGAGCGCAGCGGAGCAGCAGCAGCTCCAGCTCGGTGCAGAAGCCCAGCAGCCGGCGTGCCGCCGCCCGGCCACTCCAGCGCCTTCTTCCCCGCCTTGCGCTCCTGCCCCAACTCGCGCTGTCGTCGGACCCCGGCCCATCCAGCAGCGCTCGGCGCCCACCAGGCGGACGCCCAGGAGAACCCCTGCCTCCGTCGCGGCTCCTGGAGAGCTGATCGTTCACCTGCCCCGGCCCGCCTGAGGACGGGGGTGCCTTCATGCGGCCCCCACACTCCTCACCCCGCCGCCGCCGCCGTCCCGGAGCTCCGCACAGTGTGCCCCAGCCCCAGCAGGGCGCACAACTTTGGAAGTCTCGCGGCGCTCCGAGAGGCGGCAGAGTCCGCGCCCCAGCCCCGGGCCGGGCCGGGCCAGAACCGCAGCGTCTGGGGGAAGCCAGAGAGTCGGTAATCGCTTCGGGGATGTAAGGCGACAGACATAGGACCCCCGAGCTCGCATCAGCACCCTTCGGCTGCCTCCCGGGGTGGGGGCGGGCCCCGCACACGGTAAGACCTCTTGCTTTCGCTCAGGCTCAAGATTCAAGATACAGATATTGATATGTATATATATATTTAATTTCCTGTCATCCTTCCAAGTTATCAGGCCACCGATGATTTTTGTTCTCCCTTCTTGAAGAATAAATCTCTCTTTACCCATCGGCTCTCCCTACTCTCTCCCGCCGCTTAGAAATAAAACTTGGCTGTATTAGGAGCTCGGAGCAAGAAGGCGCCCACCGAGAGCGTCTGAAGCGCGAGCCAGGCGCAGTTCGCGGGACCCGGGCCATGGGCCGCTAGCGGTCCTCCAGTTCGGGCCCGGCCTCCCTGCGGCCCCCTCCCTATGTGAGCCGCAGCCAGGCGAGCGGGGCGCCGGAGGAAGAGGAGGACCCACGGGCGCCGGGCCGGAAGGCAGCTGGCAGCAGGCCCAGGCCAGCGGGCGCCCGCGTTCATGTTCCGCCAGGAGCAGCCGTTGGCCGAGGGCAGCTTTGCGCCCATGGGCTCCCTGCAGCCGGACGCGGGCAACGCGAGCTGGAACGGGACCGAGGCGCCGGGGGGCGGCGCCCGGGCCACCCCTTACTCCCTGCAGGTGACGCTGACGCTGGTGTGCCTGGCCGGCCTGCTCATGCTGCTCACCGTGTTCGGCAACGTGCTCGTCATCATCGCCGTGTTCACGAGCCGCGCGCTCAAGGCGCCCCAAAACCTCTTCCTGGTGTCTCTGGCCTCGGCCGACATCCTGGTGGCCACGCTCGTCATCCCTTTCTCGCTGGCCAACGAGGTCATGGGCTACTGGTACTTCGGCAAGGCTTGGTGCGAGATCTACCTGGCGCTCGACGTGCTCTTCTGCACGTCGTCCATCGTGCACCTGTGCGCCATCAGCCTGGACCGCTACTGGTCCATCACACAGGCCATCGAGTACAACCTGAAGCGCACGCCGCGCCGCATCAAGGCCATCATCATCACCGTGTGGGTCATCTCGGCCGTCATCTCCTTCCCGCCGCTCATCTCCATCGAGAAGAAGGGCGGCGGCGGCGGCCCGCAGCCGGCCGAGCCGCGCTGCGAGATCAACGACCAGAAGTGGTACGTCATCTCGTCGTGCATCGGCTCCTTCTTCGCTCCCTGCCTCATCATGATCCTGGTCTACGTGCGCATCTACCAGATCGCCAAGCGTCGCACCCGCGTGCCACCCAGCCGCCGGGGTCCGGACGCCGTCGCCGCGCCGCCGGGGGGCACCGAGCGCAGGCCCAACGGTCTGGGCCCCGAGCGCAGCGCGGGCCCGGGGGGCGCAGAGGCCGAACCGCTGCCCACCCAGCTCAACGGCGCCCCTGGCGAGCCCGCGCCGGCCGGGCCGCGCGACACCGACGCGCTGGACCTGGAGGAGAGCTCGTCTTCCGACCACGCCGAGCGGCCTCCAGGGCCCCGCAGACCCGAGCGCGGTCCCCGGGGCAAAGGCAAGGCCCGAGCGAGCCAGGTGAAGCCGGGCGACAGCCTGCCGCGGCGCGGGCCGGGGGCGACGGGGATCGGGACGCCGGCTGCAGGGCCGGGGGAGGAGCGCGTCGGGGCTGCCAAGGCGTCGCGCTGGCGCGGGCGGCAGAACCGCGAGAAGCGCTTCACGTTCGTGCTGGCCGTGGTCATCGGAGTGTTCGTGGTGTGCTGGTTCCCCTTCTTCTTCACCTACACGCTCACGGCCGTCGGGTGCTCCGTGCCACGCACGCTCTTCAAATTCTTCTTCTGGTTCGGCTACTGCAACAGCTCGTTGAACCCGGTCATCTACACCATCTTCAACCACGATTTCCGCCGCGCCTTCAAGAAGATCCTCTGTCGGGGGGACAGGAAGCGGATCGTGTGAGGTTTCCGCTGGCGCCCGCGTAGACTCACGCTGACTGCAGGCAGCGGGGGGCATCGAGGGGTGCTTAGCCCCAGGGCACTCAGAAACCCGGGCGCTGCCTGCTCTGCGTTTCCTCGTCTGGGGTGGCTCTGCAGCCTCCTGCGGGCGGGCGTCTGCTGCTCCTACAAGGGAAGCTTCTTGCTGCCAGGCCCACACATCCCCAGTTGTTGGTTTGGCCACTCTTGACCTGGAGCCATCTTCCTAGTGGGCCACCCCTAATCACTATTGCTTCCTAAAGGTATTTTCACCCTCTTCGCCTGGTACAGCCCTCACAGCTCTTCAGAGCAAGCACTGGACTACAAGGGCATGGCTCACAAAAGGTTAATGGATGGGGGTTACCTAGCCCTGGCTAATTCCCCTTCCATTCCCAACTCTCTCTCTCTTTTTAAAGAAAAATGCTAAGGGCAGCCCTGCCTGCCCTCCCCATCCCCCGCTGTAAATATACACTATTTTTGATAGCACACATGGGGCCCCCATATCTCTTGGCCTTGGTTTTGATGTTGAAATCCTGGCCTTGGGAGAGATGCCTTCCAGGCAGACACAGCTGTCTGGTTCAGGCCAAGCCCCTTTGCAATGCAAGCCCTTTCTGGTGTTATGAAGTCCCTCTATGTCGTCGTTTTCACCAGCAACTGGTGACTGTCCCTTCGACACGGACCTGCTTTGAGATTTCCTGACAGGGAAAAGATTTCTGTCCATTTTTTTCCTGTGCCTAACAGCATAATTGCCTTTTCCTATGTAAATATTATGATGGTGGATCAAGACATAAGTAAATGAGCCTTTCTGCCTCACATCAGCCCTGTGTATAAAGCCATTATTCTCTGATGCACTGTTTGCCCCAGTAACTCACTTTAAAACCTCTCTTTCCAGTGTTCCCTCTCTCCCTCCAGGGCCACTGCTTGAAGAAGAATATGTATGTTTCTATCTTGTATGTCTGTGTGCCCCTCCTGCCCCGAAAGTGCTGACTATGGGGAAATCTTTTAGCTGCTGTTTTTAGACTCCAAGGAGTGGAAATTATGTGGAAGAAGCAAACCTGATACAATTTGCCCAAGGTAAACAGTTTGAAAAGACAAATGGGCCTGCCAAACTGTACAGTTTCTTCCCCAAGAGCTGTTAGGTATCAAAATGTTGTCCTTTCCCCCCTCCGTGCTTTTCTGGTTGAGATCATGTCATTGATGAACTGCCAAAGTCAGGGGAGGAGGGCAGAGACTTTGTGTTTACATCTGCATTTCTACATGTTTTAGACAGAGACAATTTAAGGCCTGCACTCTTATTTCACTAAAGAAAAACTAATGTCAGCACATGTTGCTAATGACAGTGGATTTTTTTTTAAATAAAAAAGTTTACAGATCAAATGTGAAATAAATATGAATGGAGTGGTCCTCTTGTCTGTTATCTGAGTTTTCAAAAGCTTTAAGACTCTGGGAACATCTGATTTTATGGATTTTTTAAAAATAAAAAATGTACATTATAAAAATTTTTTAAACGTTCCATCAGTAACAAAGCTACCATTTACTAAGTGTTTCTGACATGCTAGACACTGTGGTGAACTGGTTGTAGGCATTGCCTCGTTTACTTTTCTCAAGAACGCTATGAGGTAAGTTTTATTACTATCCCCATTTTACAGGTGAAGAAACTGAGTCTCAGAGCAAGTTTGTTAACCTTGCTCAAGGTTAACAAGTGGTGGAAATGCATCGTACCCAGCTTTATCTGGTTCTAGGGCCTGCACTCTTAACCCCAGAACCTTTCCAGAGTTTTGGCATTAGCCCTTCTCAGAACACTCCCAGTGGAGAGGTGTCTATGCAGTGTGCTATCTATACCAGGTGTGAGATATATCCCAGTATTTAATATACACAAGGTGTATACATACCCCAGTGTCTACATGACCTAATGTGTCTATATACCTCAAAGTGTGTATCTACTCCAAAGTGTGGTATATGCACCAAGTGTGGAATATACTCCAAAATGTATATCACACCTTAAAGCATGATAATATATGACATGTAGCATATACTCCATAGTGTGGTTATGCACTAAGTATGGTCTAAAACCTGAATAGAACCATGTATTAGTTGGTGGTTTGAGTTGTCTCTGGCCAGAAGGCATGCATCCTTCTTGTTGCATTGCTATAATATCAAAGTCTGCTCTGCTGTCTAGGAGGGCTTATGGCCCTCATACTATGGTAATGGCACTTTGAAGCTGGAAGGGGCCTTAGTGATCCAGGAGTCCAACCCCTCATCTGACAGATGAGAAGGCAAATGCAGATGCAAGAGGAAGCGACTTGCTCAGGATCCCAAGGCGCTAGGTGACAGGGCTCTGGCTCCAGGCTGCCCGGGTTAGGGCGCAGCTGAGAGATGTGTAGTAGTAGTTCTGTGTGTGTAGTCAGATGCAGTACTGATGAATAGCCACTTATGGAGGAGGGGGGTTTGAGGGGCAAACACAAGCGTCAGGTTGTGGTTTTGGGGGAGGCCAGCTTTTGTGAGCCCAGTCACCTGTAATATGTGCGGACCAGCTTTGGACACCCCCCAGAAGCAGGTCCTCTGCACCCTCTGGGCCATGCAGCATCTCCTCATCTTCCTTTGCTTCTCTCGTGCAGGAGAGGGTGTCTGTGTATGCAGCAGTGGGAGGGTAGAGAGCCCTGAGAAATGATCTGGGCACTGAGGGGCCTGGGAGAGGGAAGACCATGGCTCTGAGGGGGTGAGGAGTTCCTGCCGTCACCTGGATCCTCTGAGCCGGCACACAGGAGGATGGCCAGGTGCTGGGCTCCAGTGACCCTGGCTCAGAGGCTTCAGAAAACAGCCTCCTGGCCTGTGGTGCCACGGCTGGCTCCCTGGTCTGGTTCTGTGGCCTGCTCCCCATCCCACCCTCACCCCAGCCTCTCCTCTCCCTCCTCACTCCAGTGTACCCATTGCCCCAAAGGCAAACAGTGCCAGACAACAGCCTGCCTGGCGAGCCCCCAGGACCCAGGCTGTGTGTCCCAGCCACAGGAGCAGATACAAATACTGCTTGCTGTTGACTCTCAGCTCTGTCCTGTCTGTCAGGGAAGTGTTTGCCTTGCCTCCACCCGCCGAGGGGGAAGAAGCATGGGCTGAGGTGCTACACGGAGGGGCCTCTGGTGTCATGCTCCCTCCTCCTCGATACAGAAGCAGAGAAACCTCAGAGGTGGATGGAGGTTGCAGAAAGTGGGGGAGAGAGGGCTGGAGCCCAGGCATGGGTGGGTTTCTGAGTTCACAGTAGGAATCACTGTTTATTCATTTGCAAAGGGCTCAAGCAACAGTCTGCCAAGGTGTGGGGTGGGGAGGGAAATTAAGGTGAAATGGCTCCCACAGGGATCTTGGCTTAAAGAGCTAACCCCACATTTTCCTGTGCATAGTATCTGTTCCCGAGTATCTGGGCCAAGAGGGTCTGTCTTCGTGGCCGAATCTCCTGTTTTATGTAACTTTGGTTGGGATATTGAAAGCCATTGGCTTTTGGGTCTGAAGTGTGTCTTGCTAGATTTACTCGTGCAAGTGTGCTGGGTTGGGGGAAGGGTAGTGCCTTCATTTGAGCCTGGGCACAAGCACAGTCTCCTCCTCCCCAAGGCTTTGTTCAATTTCTTCTATGCTAAAAGGCTGGGGGAGAGAATGATGAAAACGTGGCTTGGGCTTTCCCCTGTCTATGACTGTATAATCAAATCAGAGATTTAGAGCCAGAAGCATCCTCATCAATCCTTAACTCTTACCTTGTAGTGGCAGATCAAGGGACCTGAGACCTAGAAAAGCTGTTGGTTATGTAGCATTCCAGGAGCCCCTGAGCCCACTCTTCCATGTGACTCTCCGTCTGATGCCATATGCACCCAACATGAATTCTATTTTGTTTTGGGATGTGGTGAGTTGCTAATCAACCCCAGAGGATCCCCTGTGCCTGCTTTGTGTCAAGGACCATCCTAGGCATTGCAAGGCAGTTCTCTTCCTTCCCTGCATGCACTGTGCAAAGCTCACCACTTGTCCCTGTGGAGTGAGATTAGGGCCTGCCTCTGCCCTCTGGAAGCTTTGGAGCTACATGGGGAGACAGGATGTTCCTGTGAAAAGCACTCATTAGCCACACACAGTGACAGTGTGGCAGTGGGGGAGAGGATGCTGTGTGCCCACCAAGGGTAATAGGCATCTGTACTGTGAGTGAGCAGTGGGGGAGAGGTGGCTGTGGCTGGGAGCTCAGGGCATAGAATGTGGGAGTTGGGATGTCCACACTCTGAGAAGGCTAGGCCCGCGAAGGAAGCTCTGGTTCTAGCAGCTGAGTCCTGTGGGACCAGTGCCAGGCCTGGGCAGTGGCACCTAGGCCCAAGTCAGACCTCAGCTTTCATCCAACCTCATCTTGGGGATGGCATGACAAGGTCCTGTCCCCATTTGGGGACACCTGTAAGGAAGTCTACGTCCTTGACTCAGTAGCATAATAGGATCCAGGTACCGAGGTCCAGAGCCCAGTGCCAGGTTAGCCCTTTGGCCTCTGCCCTGGGCCCTGCCACCCCTCACAGTGGGCCTGAGAGTCCAGGGTGCAGGAAGGGGCACCTTCCTTAGCAGAGGGCACGCGCGAAAGGGAGGCCACGTCAAGTCACGGAGCAAAATCACTAACACTCAGATTTGTTTTGGAAATAGCATTGATCTATTTGATTACCAGAAATCCTGGGGCTTAGAGTTAGTTAAATACAAAAAAAATAGAACAGGGTCTGTTGGAAATAGCCTAGACTGAGGATTAGGAGGCCTGCGTTCTAGGCCCAGTTTTGTCTTTTACCAGCGATGTGGTCTTGAGCAAATCCCTCTCTGAGTCCCTGCTTCTTCATTTATGAAATGCAAGTGGTTGGTCTAATATTATTTAACAGTGTGTTCTGTGCAGTTAATTCAACTACAAAATCTATATTATCTACATTATCTATTGACATTATCATTCTATCTGTCTCTACTGTCTGTCACCTACGTATCATCTCTTCCCTGTCTGCCACCTATCTGGTGAAATGCTGGGGTAAGCAGTCTTTAATAGGTACATCTCCTTCAGGATCTCTCAGAGCCTTTAATGTGCCTATGTGGTTTCCGATTGTCTGAGAGAGGATGACGTGGTGTGCTGTTTCCCAAACTCCCTGGACTGTGGAATTTCATTTTTTTTTTTTTTTTTAACAGAGCATCTCAGAGACTCATGTTTGCTGGAACTCTTGTTGGGTAATACTGGGTTAAGGGATCTCACGGGGCTTTTCTGATGATCCATTTTATAATTCTATGAAATGCCGGTCTGCTCTCTCCTTCTGTCCAGGCCATGGGTGAGGCACACTGGACAGGGCCAAGCCATGTGCTCTCTGTAGGGAGATCTGGCGCTAACGGCCATTGGCCTTATTGAGGCTGGGGTAGAAGTGAGGGTTTGGTGTGTTTTCCAAACATAGGCTAAGCCTATGTGTATGTGTGTGTAACATGTGAGCGTGTATGGGTGTGTGAGTGTGTATGTATCTCTGTGTGCGTGTAAACAGGCACCAATGGACACTGAGGACCACTTTGCTCACCTGGGCCTGGCGTGGAAGCATCTGGGCAGTTGAGGGTATATGTGTACACACCAGGGGAAGAGGTCACAAAGGGAATTAAAGGGGAGTGTGGTGCGTCTCACTGGTTGTCATGTCAGTTGGCCCCTCCCTGCCTGCGAGTCTGCTCCCCCGAGGTGGAATGCCACTCCCCTTCTAGGGCAATGGAGCCAATCTAGGAGGAGGATGGGATGATGCAATGTGCGCATTCTGGGGCAGCCAACACTGCTTCTCTGGCAGGCATATTCTGTAGCCTCCAGGCTGTCCTGTTCTCTGTGGAAGGAGCAGTTTATCTGACTACAGAGAATTCTGGAGGGGATGGGAGGCAAGAGTGAGAGGCTGTTAATGTTGTCCCCAGGACTTGAGACCTCTTTAAAATCTATACCTGAGAAAAACAAGATGGCACCCTGTGAAGGGATGAAAGAAGGGGAATTGAAAACGGACTGTTCGCAAGGTACAGGCAGGGTTAAGAGAAACTTACAAGGGCCAGGGAAGTACCCTGGGACATGCACAGTGGGAAGCTGTCAGCACCTTCAGAAGGGGCGAGGTGCTACCCACACTACTGGAACTGGGACTTCGGGGAAGGATGCCTGGCAGGCATTGCTGGCAGAGGACCCCTGCAGCCATTGCTAAGCTGGGTCTGGACAGGGAGATTGCAGAGAGAATCGGCACATTCTCCACTCTCACTCCTGCACCCTGATCTGCTGGTGGCTGTCCTTAGGCAGAACTCAGAAAGCACAGAAGAAAGAGTAAGGGGGCGGCTCACAGGGCTCAACCTTCCAGGGCCCAGCATGGACAAGGGCAGAGACTATAGCTGGAGGTGCAAGTAGAGAATATCTACTGTAGAACCCAAAGCCTGAGAAAGGCAGAGTAACAGCACTTTGGGGAACAGGCTGGAGGGAGGCCAGCTGCCTGCTTTCTGCAGTTTGTCCAAGGGCCAGCTGCTTGGGTCACTGGGCATCTGTAGAAGAAAAGCACAGGCCCTCCTTCCTCCCTGACTATGCAGATGCAAGGCTGTGTGTGGGGTTATTATGTGTGTGTGTGTGCGCGTGCGCGCACACACACACACACATACACTCCCCTTCCCTGTCTTCCCTGCAACCTGGTCAGGTGAGAGAGAGAGAGCCCCAGGGACCCATGTGGCTGGCTCTTGGCCACAGTTCTCTGGGTAATCCCCATCCCATGTCTGTGGCTCAGACACAGCTCAGAGCTGCCCAGCAGTGATGGCCACTGAGGCTGGGGCCCGGGTGAGGGGAGATGAGGACTGGCCCAGGCTGATGTCCTCACCTGTCCCCTGGTTACACTGGGGAGTCTGCTGCTCTGTTCTCAGCATGCTCCCTGAACACACTTAAGGGATTATTTTTTATGCCCTAGCCCTAGAGGAGACACGGAGACATTTAATGAATGAATGATAGAGTCCTTCCTTCCTTTATTCATTCAACTATGTTTTGGAGCTGCCCCAAGCTAATGTCACTAACATCCCTCTGTTTGTACTAGGTGTTGGGGTAGAGTGGGGAACAAACTAATTAGGATCTTTACCTCACAGAGCTTCTTTTATTGGGGGACAGCTTCCTCTTGTGTTGGGGCAGAGCTTCTTTTGTTTCGGGAGAGCTTCTTTTGTGGGAGAAGAGCTTCTTCTTTTGTTGGGGGAGAGCTTTTTATTTTGTGAGGGGGAGAACTTCTTCTTTTGTTGGGGGAAGAGCTTCTTTTGTGGTGGGAGCTTCTTCTTTTGTGGGCTCCAGCAAGTGGTAAGCCTGGTGATGCAGGTGCCAGGGTGGGTGGGGAAAGCTAGCCCAGATGAAGGCATTGGGGAGGGAGCCCAGAGAAGTGTGCAGCCAGATGAGAGATGAGAGATGGGCAGGAATAGGTCCAGCGAAGGGACTGGGAGTGCCAGGGGTGGGGGACATTGCATATTCAAGCAACTTATGAAGTCCACTTTAATAGGACCATGAGATGTGAAAGTGGCGAGGCTGGAGGAAGATAGTCCAGATCATGCAGCTGCAGGTAAAGGATTTTATCTTGAGGGCATGGGGAGCCATGAGAGGTTTTTTAGGCAAGGGAGGGACCTGATCAGATTTTTTTTGGTTCAGAACAATCATTCTGGCTGCTGGGTGGAGACTGATTGGGGAGGGTTATTGGGAGCAGTAATTCAGTCAAAGTATTAATAGCCTGACTAGGTTGCTGACACCACAGGGAAGGCCAGGAGCCCTCACTCCCTCAGGGTCACCCAGTGGCAGCGCCAGTGTCTGTGCAGACCCAGATATTGGGATTTTAGAGCTTCCCCTGCCTGCAAAATACTGTGAACCACTGCTCCTACCCTCCATGAATTTCCATCTTCAAGGAGTGGCTCCTTGGCTCAGAGCTTCCTATTCATGGTCAAATGCAAACATCTCCTGGAGTGTGAATTCAGTCAGTCATGGTGGTATGTTGACCTAACAGGCCACGGGACCTGACCTGGTGTGACGCGCTTCTCGTTTCCGAATGTCACCTGTCTTATCGACACAACCAGCCAGGGAGGATTTGAGGAGAGACCGTGGAGCACAAGCATGTCATGTCCCCAAAGATTAGTTGATTATGAAGGGTGAATGAGAGCTTGCAAGGACTCACCCCGGCCAACCCCATGGATTCTGCTTGGGATCAGAAGATCTGATAAGCCCCAAATCTGGAACTTGTGCTGCTGACTCCTGTTCCGGGCTGTTCAGGCCCTCAAAGATAAAAGTCATCCATTTCCAAGAAGTTAGGGAACCTGTGACTTGACAGAGATGTCTACTTTGCCCGCCGTGAGGAGCTCTCAGCAGCGAACTCACTGCTCTTGGCTGGGCCTTTTCCTATGACCCTCCACATTTGCTTGTTTGCCTGAAACCTAATCCTTCCATTTTTTAAAAATATATTTTTTAATTGTACTTTAAGTTCTAGGGTACATGTGCACAATGTGCAGGTTTGTTACATATGTATACATGTGCCATGTTGGTGTGCTGCACCCATTAACTCGTCATTTACATTAGGTATATCTCCTAAAGCTATCCCTCCCTCCTCCCCTCACCCCACAACAGGCCCCGGTGTGTCATGTTCCCCTTCCTGTGTCCAAGTGTTCTCATTGGGATTTTGAACACTTACTTGGAATGGAGCTGTCCCTCCCAGGAGCCCCCAGAGAGGGCAGCCCAGGTGAAGGCATTGAGGACGGAGCTTTGGGTTCTATATTAGATATTCTCTACTTGCACCTTTGGCTATAGTCTCTGCCCTTGTCCATGCTGGGCCCTGGAAGGCTGAGCCCTGTGAGCTGCCCCCTTACTCTTTCTTCTGTGCTCTCTGAGTTCTGCCTAAGGGCAGCCACCAGCAGATCAGGGTGCAGGAGTGAGAGTGGAGAATGAGCTGATTATCTCTGCTCTCTCCCTGTCTGGACCCAGCTTAGCAATGGCTTCAGGGGTCCTCTGCCAGCAATGCCTGCCAGGCATCCTTCCCCGAAGTCCCAGTTCCAATAGTGTGGGTAGCACCTCGCCCCTTCTGAAGGTGCTGACAGCTTCCCACTGTGCAATTCCCAGGGAGGGAATGGCTGGTATTGCTGAGAAGGGCACTTTAAAGCTAAAACTTTGGAATCAGGAAGACCTGAATTAAAATCCTGGTTTCATCACATAGCTTTGGTTTAACCTTGAACAGATGGCTAAGCACCAGTTTCTCCACATGTAACTTGTAGAAGAAGTTGCCAGTGTTTTGGTAGGTTGCTTAGGCCTATGCTTGGCATCTGGTAGAGGCTCAGTAGTGCTAACGTTTTCTTCTCTAGTTTGGGAGTTGGGTGGTTCCTTTTACTCCTGTAACTGCCCTGGGCTGAGGTGGGCTGGGTGGGGCAGTGTTTTAGGGTGATTTGTGACAGAGATTTGACCACTTAGGTCTTAGCTTTCTCTTTTTCCAGCCTGATGGAAGACCTTGTGTCTTCAATAGCACAAGAGGGTGGGCCTAGAAGAGCTCCAGGACCCATACGAGACCTGTAACGACCACGATGCATTTCTAGACTTGAAACTGAGATCTCCTGGTGCCAGGTTAGTGCTCCTTGCTGCTTCGCTGCACCCCAGGTCATTTTAACTATCTTCTGAACATAATGCTCATTTCTGCCTCCATAACTCTGCTTAGATTCTCCTGCATGTGGAATGCCACATACGTGATCCCTCTGCTGCCTCCCAAAATCACACCACACTTTAAAGCCAAGATACACCACCACACTTTTAAATTTTAATAGTGGAAAGAACCTGGGGTTTGGCATCAGTTATACTGAGGCTTAATCCTTGGGTCTGTCTTCCTGTCAGTTCCACTCTCCATCTCCAAAGGTGGCAAATGCCCAATAGGGGTACATGGTGGAGGGCACCGTGCTGCTGCTGAGAGGAGCTACTCATGGGCCTGCCCCCTGCCCTCCCATTCTGGAAAGCTCTGAGGGAGGGTCTTTTCATCACTCTTTCTTCTCATTCAGATGGATTGGGGCCAGAGACTGGTATCTTCCCCAGTTCTTCTGTGCCCACTACTGGAGAGCTTTTGGTGAGAAGAGTTTCAGAACTAAACCAAAAGGGCCGGGTGTGGTGGCTCATGCCTGTAATCCCAGCACTCTGGGAGGCTGAGGCAGGTGGGTCATTTGAGGCTGAGAGTTCAAGACCAGCCTGGCCAACATGGTGAAACCCTGTTTCTACTAAAAATACAAAAATAGCTGGGCATGGTGGCGCATGCCTGTAATCCCATCTACTTGGGAGGCTGAGGCATGCGGATTGCTTGAACTCAGGAGGTGGAGGTTGCAGTGAGCAGAGATCATGTCACTGCACTACAGCCTAGGTGATACAGGGAGACTCTGTCTCAAAAAAGAAAGAAAGAAAGAAGTAAGAAAAGACGTAAACCTAAAGGAAATCCTAAGACATGCAGATTTTCCCCTTAGAGGGGAAAGGTTTCTCCCATCTAAGCTACCCCTAACTCATGAGTTCTCCAAAGCTCTTCAGCATGGGGCTATGAAGAGCTTAGATTTTGGTTTCTGATGGACTGGGGTTTGCATCCTGGCCTCAACTCTGGCAGTCTATGTGACGCTGGACAAGTTGTTTTTTCCCCATGGCATCAGGTAAAAATGGGTAAAATATTACCTATCTCATGGGGCTGCTGTAGAATTAAACGAGGTGATGACTTTGCAGTAATAACTCAGCATTGGATATAGAAGATGGCTTTGGTCCTGTGAGCTGTAGGTCTGGGGGCAGGGCTGCCTCTGTGTAATCTCTGGACACTCTTCGATTCCATCTCCAACACTTGCTTCCTGCTCCCCCAGTTTTGTGGAATGTGGCCTGTGGATCCATATTTCACTTCAGGGCCGCGCCAGAGTTCCCTGTTTTTGTCCCAGTGTAAGTTCTGAAAGGGCAGAGCAAATAGGAGGAAGTGAAGGGAGCTAATTGGAGTACTTTCTTTACTGCTTTATGCTTTGGTTTACTCATATGTAAAAATTTTTGTTTGCTTTTTTGGTAAGAAACAAACAAGTTAATGTAAGTTAAGTGTTTAGAACAATGTCTGGTGCAAAGTAATTGCTCAGTAATGATTAGCTATTATTTACTTATTTATTTGGCACTTACTGTGAATTTGTCACTGTGCTAAGTCCTGAGGATACAAAATGGGAAAGATCTAATTCCTGTCCTGAGTTTCATGTTGGAGATAAAGTTAATAACTAGAGTAACTCACTGTGTTATAGGCAATGGCAAGAAATTAGAAACAGTAGTTCTCACCAATAATAGGGGATTAACTGCAACGTTTATTTCATTTATATACTGGAATATTTTGTGTATTTAAGAAGAAAACCAATCTATGTGAAAACTGTTCATAATACAGATTTAAGAGAAAAAGACAGATGATAACCAATACAGTATGATCTCATAGAAATTGAAACATTAAAAAACAAAAAAACTGGAAACACCAAACTGTTAGTAGTTACCTGTGGGTGGAGTGTTTGCAGTCAATTTTTTCCTAAAATTTTCATCTTACATTTTTCTGTAATCATCATGTATAACTTTTGTAGCAAAATGAAAAATTCTTTGAAAGCATGAAGGAAACACTATAGTGTCTCCAGTTTAGAGGGAAGATATGTTATGTCTATTGAAGAAATGAAGGCTGTGATGAGAGAAGATGGACATAATCATTCATAAAAATTCAAAAATAGATGTTTACAGCAGAAAAAAAAACCAGTTTCACCAAAAAGGAAATCAACACAATGGGAAAATACATTAGGTAGAAAATATTCAGAAAAATTTCCAATCCTGCACATTTAAGACTGATTCCTTATAATAAGAGGAGTTTGATATCAATGTTGATGATCGGCACATAGGGAAGTAAATGCATCTCCATTTGGTTAATGGAAAAACTTTCTAGCAATGAAAGAAATGAGCCTGAGAACAACTGTGGGATATCTCACAGTAAAAAAAAATATGGAAATAATAAAATCGCATAATAAAATCACAGTAAAAAGGAGAAATCATAGAATGCAAGGCCAGGAAAGCCACGGCTGTGCTGGAGGTCGACAGCAGGTGTCCGTTCTGACTGCTGCATGCTCATGCTCTATTGGGTGCTAATATTTTAAATAGCCCACCTAGAAACACATGTCTTCATACATACCTGGTATGATATGTAAATTGGGCCTTATCTTCTGGAGAGAAATCTGGCAATATTGTAAGATGAGCCATAACATTACTTACAATATTATTTTTCTCCACTGTCACACTCTTGAAAAACACTCACTAAAGAACTAATATTAAGAGAAAAAAGATGCCCACAATAATGCTGTCTATGTTAGCAAGCATTGAAAACTATCCAATGTCCACTCATAGGGACATGGCATATTCTCGTAACACCACATATGCATCAGGGTTGTTTGCGATGCCCTCTTCATATCTGAGTTCTCGTGCAGTACCACAAGCGGGTGCATATTGTCATTCTGACTTTGTGGTGGATCTATGTGACACGCCAAAGTTACTCAGAGTTTAGTCTCTGCTCTACCACTTCTTCAGGAGCACAGTCCACAGCTTTTCCCATAGCGTGTGGCTGCCTGTTTATGATGCCACATCCAAGGACTTTGTTTCCTGCTGAATCTGAGTCACCTACAACCCATAGTAGGCATCCAGTAAACATTCGGTGGATGAATGAGTGAATGATACTTAATGTGATGAAATACACCTAAGTCAGTAGATGGGACCATTGAGAACCACGTTAATGCAGGAATTGTGAATGCAGAGATGAGAACCTGGTGTCAAGTGTGACAAGGCACACACGTTACATGGCTGCTCCACACCTGGATGTGCACAAAGACAGAGGGAATCGCTCACCTCACAGGGGCTAAGTTCCGCAGGAAAGAGAATGTAAGTACTTGTGTTTTAAGGACAGAGGAAGTGCTGTCCGCCAGGGAAGAGCCTGCCTCCTGGCTGGCAAAGTCCTCGCTCTTAAATTATCAGTGGTTGATTTGGTACAAGGGCTAAGATCAAACCTGATGAGATCTGCAGATGTCTGACTTCCCAAGACCTGTGTCTCTGATGCATTTTTGTGCTTGAAACAACTACAGAGTGAAGATGGGATGTACAAAGACTTGTGTGGGTACAGTTTGTATTAGCCAGGGTTCTCCTGAGGGACAGAACCAATAGGATATATGTCTGTATGAAAGGGAGTGTATAGGGGAGAGCTGGCTCACATGATCAGAAGGCAAAGTCTCACGATAGGCTGTCTGCAAGCTGGGGAAGAAAGAAACAAGTAGTGGCTCAGTCCAAAAGCCTCAAAAGCACGGAAGCTGACAGTGCAGCTGTCAGTCTGTGGCCCAAGGCCTGAGCGCCCCTGGCAAATCACTGATGTAAGTCAAGAGTCCAAAGGCAGAAGAACCTGCAGTCTTCCAAGGGCATCAGAGGAAGAGAAGGAAGCATCCAGCATGGGAGAAAGATGAAGCCAAAAGACCCAGCAAGCCAGCTCTTCCCCCTTCTGCCTGCTTTGTCTAGCCATGAGACAGATGATTAAATGGTGCCCATCCACATTGAGGGTGGGTCTTCCTCTTCCAGGTCACTGACTCAAATGTTAATCTCCTCTGTCAACATGCTCACAGACCACACCCAGAAACAATACTTTACCAGCTATCTAGGCATCCTTCAATCCAATCAAGTTGACACTTAATAGTAACCATCACACACCTATAGTCTGTCAAGGGCTGGGATAGGCACTGCCTGGAGGGTTGTGGAAGGATCCTCAGAGAGAACAGCTTTGTGCAGGATCTTGAAGATATGGAGGAGTGGATGTGTGTGCATGCACAAGTGTGTGTGTATGGGATACACACACATGTCATATACTATACATGTACATATGCCTTTCCTCTGTCTCTCTCTGTATATATATCTATATATATGGCAATGATTGCTTTGAGTTGGGGGAAAGCCTTAGCTTTTAAACACAGAGAGAGGGATTGAAAACAGAACCCCGATCTAGGAGTTTGCCAGTGCTCAGGACAGTGGAATTGGAGGAAGGTGTTCTTGTCCCAGCTTTTAGGCTGGAGGCAAAACGTGGTCTCAGCTCATTAAGTAAGGATGGCCCTGGATCTGTAGGGAAGAACCAGAAAGGAGAAAGGGGTCAGAACTAATAAGCTCATATGGCTCAGGGCTTGACAGTACCATTCCTGGTCATCCTTTGTGTGTGCAGCAACAAAGGTCAGCCTTTGTTTTGCTCTCTGGGTGACTCCTGTCCTCCATGCCACCCTCCATGGAACCTCCATGGATCCCTGCCTCAAAGTCAGGGTCACTTGGGCATGTATTCATAGCCACTTCATCTGGGTTCTCTGTTGTGTGGCCTGGGTCGGGCAGGGTCTTGGCACCCCATCACTGCCCTTGCTCATCTGCAGCAGCTCTGGTGTGTGCTCACTGTTCGCAGTGTTAGTCCTGAATCACTCACCACAACTCACTTGCCTTGTGCTGTCCAATCTTACTTCAGTTGTCCTGATGACTAATGTGGTCACTTCCTCTCTCAGTTCTTAATTGTTTTGGTTTGTATTTGGCATATGCTGTTGTTGTCTTCTGGGTTTTGTCTCCTCTTAGTGATGATGATGATGATGATGATACCTATTTGGTGATAATGATTCCTCACTCTCTGTCCCAGCAATACAATGGAGAATGTCTTATGCACATTTTCTCTGACCCAGCCCTGGGCTGCTACTATCATGAAGCAGGGATGACTCAGATTCTGCTGGTCTCAGCTTTGCAGATGCGATCTGGACCATTTCCCTGCCTGGGAGCAGGATGGGAGCAAAATTGATGGAAGCAGTAGACATAAGACACTCTTTGTGAGGTGTCAGCTCCAGGCTCTTTGTGGGGTTGGAGACTTTCTTGTACCTTCTGCATATTCCCTGCTTTTCTGCAGCACTCCCAGCAACCTCTTTTCACTGGGGCAGAGAGAACCATGGTGATGGTATTGAGGGGATTGGATTCAGTCTGTAGCTCATCAGGGTCATGTGTGGGATGGAGGCCATGCATGAAAATCAACCTGCTTGTTATGTGGTGAATGTCTGTGGTTTGCCTCCCCAGCCATCATTCTCTCTTCTGGCAATAGCCTCACTCCCATCTATGTATTACTCTCAATCAGTGTGTTTGGGGTGGGCTCCAAGGTGACTCTATGAGCTAAGCCCAGGTTTGTAGCCTGCCAGTGTATCCCCCACTGTGACCACAATGAATGGGTCAGGGGCCCATCCCTGAATCGGTCAGAGCCAATAAGTTTCCAGAAGACTTTCAATGGAATTGTTGAGAAAGAGGCAGTGTTTTTTCCCACTGGATGTGCCATGTCCATCCACGACCTAGGCCACCGTGGAAGATGGAAGAGCTCTTAAAGAGGAAAAGAAATGGAGCCCTAATGACACCAATTGAGTCCTTAATCTAGTTGTGTGTGAAGTGAGACCTATCTCTAGACTTTTAAAAAATTTCATGAGCCAGTACATTCCCATTCTTTTAATTAAGCCAATCTGAGTTGAGTTTTCTGTCACTTACAACAAGGAAGTCCTGACAGATACAGTCCTGTGACCTTTGGGTCAAAGTCACCTCATCAATATGCTCAAAGATTGTGTGAATTTGAAGTGAATTTCTTTGTTTTGCTTCTTTAGTTGGGTGTCACTTTGTCCTTGTGTTATGATCAACTTTCTAATTCAAACTATGTTGACACTGCCTTAAACAGTTCTTTGAACTTATCTAGAGTCCATCAAACCAAGGTCAGAAACCCATAACCCACGTGCTGTCCTATGGGGACCAACAGGTCGAGTATATAAGGTTACTTGGAACAACTCCTTGGGAGGGTGGGAGGAACTTTCAGTTATCCATCAATTTCTGGGATTCTTTTATGTTATTGGATAGGAGGTAGAGGACTTCTGACCGTCTGGGCTTCCAGTCTCAGGGTCCAACTTACCATTTGCATGTTTCTAAAGAGGACAGAATGGTCGTTCTCACAACTATTTCCTGGCTCTGCAAATAGCACAACACCATCATCGTCCCAGAGGCATGGCCCAAATCCTGGCTGTCCTGTAACAGGAGCTGTTGCCACCAAGTGACTTATTTCATGGTGAAACCTTCCAGAAATGGGTTTAGACATCGTTGGAAAGTGTATGTATTTTTGTGCATTGCATTTTGGGGACATTATTTGATCTAGTTGGCAAAGTGAAGCCAGATGAGCTGAGAGCATAGGTCATTTGGGCTGCCAGCTTTCTGCACTTAAATATTCTGCTTTATTCCCCTCACATTTCTATAGAAGTTCAGCTTTCAGAACTATGCAACAGTATTTGGACACAAGACTCTGTAAATGCCAATAATCTCTGTAAATCATCTATGTGTGTACATGAATCCAGTGAAAAATAAAGGAGCATTGTGGTCAAATGTGTGGACCCTGAAGTCTGCACACCTGGGTTCCTCATTCACCTGAGGAATGAGGAATGTCTGTCTCAAGGAAGAGAGGAATGTTGGGGACCACATTTCTTTTGTCTTTCCAAAATCAGCTGGGGTGTCACTGACTCACCAAATTCCTCCATGTTTCCCATTTACAGTCTTTTTGGGCTGCTTCATCACACCACGAAAGGGGATGTATTCTGGATCCTTGTCTTGCCACATTATTTGATTATTTATTATTTATTGGTCTATGTAAGCCTTTCCTCCCTCTCTAGCCTGAAACTGCTGGGTGGGTCAAGGCTGTGCCTATCCCGCTCCCCACCTGAGGTCTATCACAGTGCCTGCAGGTTGAGGGTGTTTGGTATGGCCTTGTTGACCCTTGGGCTCTTGCTGCCATGGTGATGGGGTTGGTCAGTAGGTGTGAAGGAAGAGCCTGAGGGCAGAAGTTAGGGGTGGGAGGAGAGGTGTGGGTGGGGTGGCCCAGGGAGTGGGGGTCCAGTGAAATAAGGAGGCTAGAACTTTGCTTCTTTGTCCGAGGAAGGTTCATGTGGCCCATTAGCTTTACTGAGAATGGACCTGGATTCGTGGCCTGAGGTGGAGCTAGAGACTTGGAAGCAACCACGGCCATTTAACCAAGGTCCATTGCCCTGGTGATGTGGGGTCCTTCCCCTGGGCCAGCCCTTCTCTTGGGCCAGTTCTGTTAGGTGGTCTGTGTCCTGCCCCATGGGGTCTGAAGGACATAGAGGGGCTAATGGCCAAAGAGCTATGGGCAAAGGACTTGCCCTTATTCTTCTTGTATGGGAAGCATGGAGGGGACCTGGAGTTGGTCCCTGATCCTCTACTGTCTGCAGCCATATCCTCAGGATCTCATGGAGGCAGGAAGACCCAGCCTTGCTCTCAAAGCAGCAGGCCCTGATTCCTACCACCTCTGCCTCAGCTTGCCCACTGCGCCTCCGTGGGAGCCCCTCCTCAACCATATGCCCCAGCACATTGGCAGCATGCTCAATTGTTGGCCAGGGAAGAAACTTACAGCTCACTAGAGGAGTGACCCTGCCCCTCCATCCCCCACCTGAGATGGTCTGGGGTCTCTTGCTGGATCCCAGATGTGCTTCTGTGTGTGTGTGTGTGTGTGTGTGTGTGTGTGTGTGTGTGTGTGTGTGTGTATGAGGGAGAGACAGAGAGATGGAGGGGGAGAGAGAGAGAGAGAATCACTATAAAATTGGGGGAGGAGAACAAGTGGAAAGTCACAGAGAGCACTTCTTCCCTCTTGGCTGCCCCAGTCCCCAGCCCTATGGAAGCTGCCTGTCCTGGGCATGAGGAGGCTGGGAAGGGAGTGCAGTACAGAGGGCACAGTGCTTCCAGGGCTTCTTACCTCCAGGAGTATACTTTTGGGAAAGGAACTCAAATGTACAGCAGCTCCTCCTGGGTTACCAAGTGTGTAGACTTGTATAGGCAGCTGGGCCTGGCCCCTGAGCCGAGCCCCTGGGGCCGTGCAAAGAGGCTCTGACCCTCCCATTTACTGTCTTCCTGACTTGAGCACACCATCTCCCCTTCCACTGTTTCTACTTTTTCATCTGTAAAATGGGTATCCTACCACCCCACTCCAAAGGTAAGTCTAAGGAGACCACAGGTGAGGCAGCGCTTTGCAAACTCTAATGTTCCTTGCCACAGTGCTGATGGACATGGTGGATGACAGAGCACAGGAGCCCCGCACTGAAGTGCTGGGGGTCCGCAGAGGGACAGGGAGGGACAGAAGAGGCTGCTCCAAGGAAGGGCGTTTGGTTCCCACAAGAGTCGTGGATCTTTGTTTTCTTGTACTGGGCCACAAGGAACCAGAGGCTCAGCAGGGCTTTGGGGTCGTGGATGCAGGCAGCTGCAGGGGATGGAAAAATAGGCACAGTCCCTCATTGCCTCAGATTTATCTAGTTCTTTGTCCCTGGTTGCAGAGGGTACCTTTCCAGACTGTGGTGGGAACTACAGGGGCCCTTGGACCTTCAAGTGTGATTTTATTTATTTATTTATTTTTATGGAGGTGGTTCTAGGGAACTCAGGAAGAAAACTGGCATCCTGGCATTGGCCACCCCTAAAAATACGATGTGATGTGGCTAACGAGAAAGCATAACAGGCCTGGCTCTGCATGGCCTAATATAGCCTGGCATTCAAGCCTCAACCTTGACGTAAATGGGGATTGGTAATTGAAAGCACGAGAGGTCTCTTGGATGGGATGACGGGGAGCCTGCTGCGATCTCTGAGGTGGGCATGCCAAGGGGATCGGAAAAGCGGCCCCAGGGGACTGTCCTGGGTTTCCCAGTGTGGGTAGGGTTGGGGCCTGAATGAGGACAGCCCCCTGCAGCCTCCTGCCCACACTCTGCCTAGCGGGTCAGCATCAGACTGACCAGTCCAATTAGCCCTCATGGGGAGGAGTGGTGGGCTCAGCGCCACCAGAGGTCATAAATTCCATCACCCTGACCTCTTGAGAGCAGAGTGGACCAATCTCTCCATTCCCTTGCCTTGCCAGCACCCTGGCTAGCTGGTTTTGGCCCTACATGGACTTTCTGAGAGAATGTGGCCCAGTCCTCCCCCTCAAACAGAGTATTGATGCCAACCTCGAGTGTGGAAGCATCATGGAGGCAATGCCAGACGCTTTTTCTTCCTCATCCTCTCTCCTTCTCCTGCAAAGACACAGATCCATGAGTCAGCGAAGAAGCTAAAGGACTCTGATGTTATTTGGTACTGACTTGCGACTCAGGTCTGGGGAGGTAGAGGGGGCAGAATGTGGGAGAGGAGAAACAAGTTTGGGAGTGAGAATGGTTTCCCTGGGGCCACCTTGTAGGGTGACCACTTCATCTCTGTTTGCCTTGGGCCTTCCTGGTTTTGGCACTGAAAGTCCCAAATCCCAGAAAACCTCTCAGTCCAGGGAGAACTGGGATGGTTAGTCATCCTTTCCCATCAAAACCTCTGAAGTCTGCTCCTCATGGGAGAACCATCTCTGGACTGGTGTCCCAGGTGACTCAGCCAAGGACCCAGAGCCTCCTGCTGGCAGAGCTAGGACTTGAATACAAATCCAGGGCTGTTTGCCCCCAGCCTGCATTACTCAGGTCCTTCCATGAAGTGGGACACCTGGTTCTCTCCAATGATCTTGGCCAAGGCCTTTCCCCAGGATGGAAGTGGTGGTGAAATAGCCAAAAGAGGGAGGAGAGGGGTGAATGAGTCACCCCTGGAGATACAAAAATAAGACCCTGCAGCTCACCCTGGCTCAGAAATGTGGGATCCCAAGAGGGGAAAGATGCGATCTCTGCCCTTAAGGAGTTCATATCCTGCTTAGAAAAGTGCAGTGGACTTGCCTTTGGGTGCCTGGCTCAGGTGCCACTCAGTGCCACCTACACACACTCACCAGGAAACAATAGACAAAGGGTGTGGCTTATCAAGATTGCATTACTCTAATTTCCCTTATAGAATGTATTCATTCAAGAAATATGTATTGAATATTTGTTCTTAAGCATGCTGTTCCTTGTGTTTGAAACATACTCTTCTCTTTTTCCCTCCTTCTCCTCTTTCACCCCCACATCCCAATTCCACCCATTCCTCAGGTCCCAGCTCAATAGGTAATATTTATTGAACACTTAGTATGGATCAGGTGCCATAGTAAGCACTTTGCACTGCTTTAATTGAATACATTTAATCCTCATGAAAGCCATATGATTCTATTATACCCATTTCACAGATGAAGAAACTGAGTGGTTAACCGGCTTGCCCCGTGACACATGGCTGTTCTCTGTTAGGCTGGGTTGTAGCCTGGCGTGCACCTTCCCTGCAAGGAAGGCTTTCCTGAGCCCCGGTGCCCACTTTCCAAAGCCCCTATAATTAGTCTCTGCTGGAGCACTTGCCACCAGGCTGTGACACACAGTGTCCTTGTCTGTCTCCTCCATGAGATGGGGTTCCTGGAGGGTTGGACTCCTTCCTGCTGTATCCCTGATAGTAGGCATTGAGGAGGAGTTTGGTAAATACCTATTGGATGAATAAATGAATGAATTGATGGATGAATGAATGAGTTGCCTCAATGGCCACAGAAGCTCTGAGGTCCTCAGCAAAGGCCTTTGTTTTCTCGCTGAGGGGCACTCCACACTGGCAGCATTGGACCAAGAAGCTCTTGATGGCACAAGGCAAACAGCCCTTCTGAGTAACCATATAACTGTGACATCAGGAAACAAACTGATTTTTAAATACTAAAATAAGTTTAAACTTTTTAAGGTAAATGACATTCATGAATTCTCAGGATGAAACTGAGATTTGGAGGAAATTTAGTGCTTGTGTTGGTGTCGACAGACAAGTCTCAAATTTCACCCTTCACCCAGCCCCCTGCAAATTCTCCTCTGCTGTTGGAGTGATTTGGGGAAAAAGTTTGAGAAATGCCGCCTAGAGTAGCTGGCTGGAGCTCAGGACATGGGATGTCTGGATTCAGCGTGGGCTGAAGGAAGGGCATTTCAGGGAGGGGCACTGCAGGAGCAAAGGTACAATAATGGGGACAGGCGGACCTCTGCTTGTTCCTTGTTCCTGGAGCTGGGTGAGCAGCCAGTCCCTGTGAACGGCTCTGAACATGCCAATAGCTGTTGCAATATATGATTGGCAGCCACATCCCGAAGTACCACCACCACCATCACTTGGAAAACCTCACACTATTTTTAGTCCCTTTAGCTCAAGAAAATATTATATCATCTCTTTTCCTCCCTACAAGCCAATTCATTGTTGATCTTGTCCCGTCATAAAACCGTGTTCTCCTTTTTAGCTGTGCGAGACCAATCAGCGGTGGGGTGGAGTCCCTCTGCTATTTTCATATTTTGTGTCACTTGTTCACATGGGAAAAATCATGACATTTTCCCACGTTGGGGCCCTGTGCAACCTGGCTTTGAATTTTAAGCAAGTAATTGCTCTGGATCATGCGAGGGGGCCGATGAGAATGACCGACCTGCAGGGCTCAGGGTTCCAGGCGCCTGATGTTGGCATGACTGGGGCTCGATGCCTATGATCTTGTTGATTTTAGAAGCATTTCCAAGAAAAAGAGGAGGAACCAGTGCCCTGTAGAGTGGTGGGAGAAAAGAGGGGCAAGATCCTCCGTTGGAGGAATCTGCTCTGATTCAGCAGGAAGGCCGGGAGATGCTTGGTAGTTCCAGTTCATTGCAGGTTTACAAAATGCTTTTCCACCTTGATCTCTTTTGGTCAAAGTTCTGGGAGTTGGGTTGGGCAGAAGGCATGATCTGCCTCCTACAATTGAGGAAACAGAAAGGGCCAGAAAAACAGCCCGGCACCCCATGGAGCTGGAAGGGGCAGAACCGGGCTGCAACTGGAGCGGCGTAGTGACTGATGTGATGGGTCAGGGGTTCAGAAAAACATGGGTATGTATCAGGCTTTTCCATTTACTGGGTGAGTATCTGCACAGTCACTTCTCTTCTCTGAGCCTCAGTTTTCTCAGCTGTAAAATGGGGATGATATCCTCTCACAAGTTGGGTAGAATGTGATGATGGATGTGAAGTATGTAGTAAGTGCTCAATGTATGGTCCGTATTCATACTATCAAAACTATTTCTTGCTGCAGATTTCCCCTGTCTCTACGTATCTTGCCCAATCTTCACCTCTCTCTTTACCAGAGGGTCCCATCTGTTATCTCTTTCAACTTGTAGCCAAAGAAGCTTAAATACTATGTAAATAGTTTAAAAATTCAAGGCACAGACATGTCTGTTGTGTTCTGGATCTGCCAAGAGACATCCTTGCCATTTCTCTGCCACTTCTAGCTCCATGGGCCCCTGGGCTACTTTTCTGCCCATTTGTTTTCTCAGTTATAGGAGGAAGATGATGCCTTCTGCCCACCCAAAATCCCACAACTTTGGCCAAAAGAGATCAAGCTGGGAAAGCATTTTGCAAGCTGCAATGACTTGGAGATATGCGTGTCCTTTCAGCAGTGAAAGGGGATTAAGAGAAGCTGCCGCCATGGGCTGGAGTCTGACCTGGCATCATCTGGACAATGGCTGGCATTTGTGGGGCTGTGAGTTTCTAAGAAGGAAATTACCTTGGCACCTTAGCAGTATTAAGCAATGGGCAGCTGTCTAGAGCCCCATCTGTAGGGGACACACACAAAAAAACCCACTGGAAATTTAATGTCACAGGCAATGTTTACTCAAGTGCTTACAGGGAAAGTTTGATGAAATGGGAAGATCCTTTTTGGATAAGCTGCGTGGGATACAGCATAGTCTCCCAGAGTGAGTGCCAAGAGCATAAGATGGTCCCTAAATAGGGTGGAGACAACCATCTGAGGAGCTTTCGGTTTGCTGGGTGTATTTGGGGCCAAAGCTGAATGGCTTGGGGAACCCGCTTGCTGTGGGATACGTGGGTCTCTCTATCATGAGTCCAGGCTGAGGCTGGAAAGGTGGAAAGGGAGGAAGGTGCAGTGAATATCAGGCATGTGACTGTCCTGCTATTAAGTCATTTACCCAGACTGTCCCACCCCAGCCTGAGGTTGACGTGATAGGGGCGCATATATTAGGCAGATGCTGTGGGAACTCCCTGAATGATTGCCCAGCTCTGGGATGGACCTGGTCATGCTTAGAGGAAAACAAACCCTGCCAGGCATTCAGGTGGCCCGGGAGGTGGGGGTGCTGGCAGTGAGTGTGTCTCACAAAGGCCACTGCCCTAGAGGCAAAGGCTGGTTGGAGGCTGGCCCAGTTCCTTCTGTTCCTAATCCTACAGAATCTCCTTGAAATTTCATGGGCCTCAGGGGTGACCATGGGCTGAGGGATTGAACGCTCCATGGCAGAAGCTTCACTTGGTAGTGAAAACAGCAACCTCTCCACCACCCAGTATGAATGAGCCACAGCTCCAGGCCTCCTGCCATTCACATGGTCTAGGCAGATGGTCCAGCTAGTAGCTGTGCCTGTGCTGAGCTCCTGCTGTGTGCCAACTACTCTGTTAGGTGGCTCCTCCTGTACCCAGTTTTTAATCCTTCCAATAAGCTTGCAAAGTCAGTATTAGAATTCCCATTTTATAGAGGAGGAAGCTGAGGCTGGGGTTAAGGATTCAGCCTCTAGGGGGTTGGGGACTCAGTCCTGGTCTAGAAGGACCCTCCCTCCCATGCATGTCTTCCAGTTCTAAAGTCCACACTGGATGAGATTTCCAGTGTCCTGCCCTGCTTGCTGGGTCCTTGTGGGTTTTCGTTGTGGGTGAGGGAACTTCAGGATTCACAGATGCCGGCTGACTTAGGGTCTGGGGAGCTGGGCTCCCACCCTATTAGGGACCAGCCATAGCTGCTGGGGCCTCCTACTTAGGTGAAGAGGAAGCAAATAGACAGTTGTTTGTGGGGCCCTGCACAGAAGGTGGAGGCGTGCTCAGGGGAATGGGGTGGGACTCCTTCTCCCTGCACCTTTCCAGCTTTTCTGGGCACTTGGTAGTGGGAACCCCAGGGGCCAGTACTGCTTTTCTTCTGCTTTTTGGGGTGGAGCTGGGAGGTGTGAAAAGGAAATGGAGGCCCTGGGCAGAGGTCAAGCACAGAGGATCAAAAGACCAATGTGGTATTTGCTTGTCCCATTTCCTTGCCAAAGGCCACTCCTGAAGCACAAAGCCCGGATCTTCAGAACTTGAGCCTTGCTATCCTTCTGGAATTCTGGACTGAGACAGGGCAGGGGGCCATGGCCAGATGGATTCTTGCCTCGTTCTAGCCAGGGGAACAGCCGACTTGTTGGGCTGGACCAGGAATATGGCTGGCCCCTCACCCACTTTAGGAATCCTAATTGATTTCTTTTTTACATTGCACTTTGCAACTCCCTTCTCCTGCAGGTGAAAGGGGAAATTGGAAGGTAAAACCTGCGGTGGCAAGGCCTTGAACATTTCTTATCATCTCCAAGTGCAGGGTGGAGAGAGTGACAGCTTTATGATGATTAACCTGTGGGTCTGCTGCGTTGGAAAAAAATTAATCTCGAGGCCCAAGACCCCCCGGCCCCCGGGCACTTTTAAATGCTACTTTCTCAAGGCTATGAACTTGATTCTTCCCCTCCAACTCATTGTGTTTATTTTGAATAGTACTTCTTAGGAACTTTTACATTAAGCTTTACTAGCTGATGTTGCTTAGTTTGGACTAACGTCTATAATAGGCTTATTTCCCTGGTGTAATAATGGAAAATATGCTTCATTTCATGTGCCGCCTCGGCTAAATTGTAGTGGTAACATGGAGCTCTGTATTGGGAAGAATCTGGGGCCAAGACCAGACTCACCAGAAAGTAGTGCTGTGATTGATTAGCAATGCCTGTCATGGCCATGGGAGGCAGGAGTGGGGACACCTGTGCCATCCCCTATTTAGGAGATTAATTTCCCCACTCCTATCTGTCTAGTCTGTAGCAAACAGACCTTTAACATAAAGAGTCAATGCTCTTCTGCAAGGGTCCAATATGCTGTGCCCAGTAGGGCACCTTATGCACTCCAGAATAGTCTTGATTTTCACCCAGCTTTTGAAGTGAAAAAAAATTTTTTTTTTTGAGACAAAGTCTCACTCTATCGCCAGGCTGGAGTGCAGTGGTACAATCTCGGCTCACTGCACCCTTCTCCTCCCGGGTTCAAGCGATTCTCCTGCCTCAGCCTCCTGAGTGGCTGGGACTACAGGCGCCCGCCACTATGCTCAGCTAATTTTTGTATTTTTGGTAGAGACGGGGTTTCACCATGTTGACCAAGATTGTCTTGATTTCTTGACCTCGTGATCCGCCCTCCTCGGCCTCCCAGAGTGCTGGGACTACAGGCGTGAGCCACTGCACCCTGCCCAGAGTTAATTTTCTACAAAATAGATACCATCAGCTCCCTGCCACCTACAGCAACACACATAGCCCTTCAACACGTGGACCCAACTTTTCTCCCTGGCCTCATCAGCAATACTCCTGCACGTGCACCTTATAGTCCAGGTGTGTGGAATTTTTCTCATTGTGTTCGGAATTCACAGTGCCCTTTCCTACATTCTTGCATTCTCATGTATGTTCCCTTTGCCTGGAACATCTCTTCCTTTCTTCTTATCCTTTAAGATCCAGCTGGCCTCTTCCGCTGCGTGCGGGATCCTAGCGCAGGGGCAGCGCAAGTTCCAGGCGCCCAAGCCAGGGAAGAGGCAGCGGCGGCCTCTGAAAGGAACCGGGGCCGCAGGAAAGACGGTCGTTTTACAGCTCCCGAGAAGGCGTGCGTCGGTCAGCAGCAAAAGCTTAAGAAGAATCTAGAAGTCAGGATCTGGAAGAAGATCGAACATGCCGTGGTGATGAAAGCCAGCAACAGCCTGCCCAAGAAGCTGGCACTGCTGAAGGCCCCGACCAAGAAGAAAGGGGTGGCTGCTGCCACCTCCTCCAACAAGACACCTTCCTGAGGATGCTGGCCCCAGCACAGGCCAACACTGCAGCCCCCACCTCCATGATGGGACCTTACAGGTGATCCCACAGGCTGCATTGTCAGGAAGACCACCCTGTCCCCCAGCACTGGGTCTCACCTAGAACTTCATTGGGGGCCTGGCCCTTGGGCAGCAGATCCTAGGGTGCTGAGAACCCAGCAATGGCCAGGAAGATACAGTCACCAATCTCATCTGCCCCTGTCCCCCTTCCCAGGTCCTACCTTCACAGGTTCAACCCAGAGCAATAAACCTGGCTTTGTCATTTAAAAAAAAATCCAGCTAACATGTCAGTTCCTCCGTGAAGTCCTCTTTGATCCCTCCAGACAGATTCGTCCTTCCCTCCATCATCTGTATTCCCACAGCATTCTGTTCATTTTTCTGTCATAGCACAGGGCCATATAGACAGACAACTAAAGACGCAGCAAGCTGTTTCCCATTAGACTGGCAGCCTCTGGAGGGCAGAGACCACCATGGGATGCCGCGGTGTAGCACTGCCCCTGGCTCCCAGAAGACGCTTGGTGAAGGATGACTGAAGCAATCAACGTGAGGATGAATGAACTCCAGGATGTGTTGTAAAGTGACTTGAATTTTGATTCCCATTTGTTCGAGCCTGCCAAGGCTTAAATCGCGTTTGTTGGAATGCGAGGAAAGGAGGAAGAGTGGTGATTGAATGTGCTTGATAAAACTTCTCTATTTTGTGTTTGGAATAAAAATGGGAAGCTTGAGATAAAACGGTGCTTGTTTCAGTGCTGAACAGGCTTCTCCAAGCAGGGCCTCGTGTCTAATACTCCCCTAGAAGTGGGGAGGGTGGCACCAGGCTGGGCACTGTCATGGGGTCAGTATAAGGGGTGGCAGTGGGATGGAGGTGGGAGACACCGTTTCCCCGGTGGGAGGGCATGGATGGTTCCACAGAGGGGCAGCCAGAGCCCAACATGCAAGGGTGGGGTTTGTCGGGTGGGGCAGCTGTTCCAGGCAGTGAACAGCATGTGCAGGGCATGAGCCGTGTGCATTAACTTCCACCACACGCCGGGCGCCGTGCTGAGCAGGGGGAGTGTTCCCTGCTTCTTTCTAATCCAGATCCCCAGCTCCACCAAGCTGCATCCCAAAATGTAGTGTTCACTGGTCTGTTGATTTTACTTTTCTTGGGTAGCTAGTAGACATAATTTGTGTATCTGTGTGGAATATGGCATCTCTTGGAGGTGACTGGTGTTGTAGGCTTCCTACAGAGTTGGCTGTGACCCTGTCATCATTCTCACACTTGGTGATATGGTTTGGCTCTGTGTCCTCACCCAAATCTCATCTTGAATTGTAATCCCCATGAGTCTAGGGAGGGACCCGGTGGGAGGTGATTGGATCATGGGGGCAGTTCCCCCATGCTGTTCACGTGATAGTTAGGAAGTTCTCATGAGATCTGATGGTTTCATAAGGGACAGTTTCCCCTGCAAGCTCTCTCCCTCCTGCCGCCTTGTGAAGAAGGTGATTGCTTCCCCTTCACCTTCTGCCATGATTATAAGTTTCCTGAGCCATGTAGAACTGTGAGTCGATTAAACCTCCTTTGTTTATGAATTACCCAGTCTCAGGTATGCCTTTATAGCAGTGTGAAAATGGACTAATACACTCAGCTTCTCTGGCTAACAGGAAAGGCAGGGAGGGAGGGTGACACTTGCAGAGCTGCCATTGCAGCCCACCATACCTCCCATCTCATGACCAGAAAGGGCAGAACGTGAGAAGCAGAGCCGGGATTTGAAGGGAGTCTGTGGGCCCCCTGGGGCTGAGCATGTGTAGCAAGCAGAAAGAGTTTGGGCCACTTTGAGTGTCCCCAGACCCTTCCCCCATCTCTTCCCACAGAACTGAGCTGGTGACGCTGCCTCACAGGGCCGAGGAAGGTCAGTGCATTCAATCTGGTCCCACAGAGTCTCCCCCAGGGGGCAGCAAGGATTTCACTTGGGGCTCTGCCATGGTCATTCTCTGCTGACCCTGACCAAGGCCACGTGGGGTGGCTGGCACCACGCCCTGGAGATTACCTGTCCTCCATGTGCTCAGAGCTCAGTAGAGAAACAAGATTAATACTGACAGGCAAATAATACAGTTTGGATACAATCTGAAGCTATTTGGGACACAGGTACATCCTGTTCCTTACAGCACACCCCAGTTCAAACTATCCACATTCAAGGGCTCAATAGTGGCATGTCCTTAGTGGCTATCGTGTTGCGCAGCAAAGCCTCAAAGACTTAAACAAGTTATTTAGCCTTTCTGTGCCTCAGTTTCCTCATCTGGTGGATGGGGACAATAAGAGTACCTACAGATAATACACACATAGGGTTTAGCACAGCCCCAGGCTCAGGAAAACTTTGATAAATGCTCATTCATTATATTGCTAGCGTTGAAGGCAGGATTGGGGGGTGTGCAGTTCTCCCACTTTGGGTTTGGCTTTGGGAAGCAACTTTCCTTCAACTTGGATCCTGTGTCCACCTCGGTATTAGCTCTTACTGCCCTTTAGTCTACTGGTCCATTCCTTCTGGCTTGCTAGGACTCCCAATACCTCCCTGGGCAACGAGCTGCTGGGCTATTATACTGGTGGGTGGAGGGGGAGATGTTTTCCAAAGGAGAGGACCACACCTCTGATCTCCTAGGGGACTACTTTGTCAGCTTGGTTTGTATCATGGGTATCTGGTTTATTAAATCCATGTGGCAGCTCATGACTCCTTTTAGCATGTTCAGGAGAAAGGCCAAAAGCCTAGGGCAGGGTGACCTGTATGGCATTTTGCCATTTGGCCAGTTTCTGTCATGTGCAAATACGAGAGTCCTTACTGGGCGCTCCAGAAGTGGTGTTGTCCAGAGCAGAGGGGCCCAGCCTTGCTTCTTGCCCCTGGGCTGCGCTTAGTGCCTACCAATCAGAAAGCCTTCCGTGATTAGGGTTGAAGATCAATGTTTCCTCAGCCCTTGGTAGGATCCATCAGCTCCCTGGAGAAAACAAGTTGCCTATCACAGCCAAGTAAGGGGTCAGGTCTTGGTGTGGATGTCAGCCCTGGTCCTGGGCCCCCCACTGTGGGCTGTTGGGCCTAATGGGGTCTCCCTGAGAGGCCTGCTCCTTGCCTCACCTCCTTGCCTTGTCATCTTCCTTTCATCGTTTCGTGGATTCCACAATTAATTCCTCCCTTTCTTCATTCATTTAACTAATATTTATTGAATACCAACTGTTCGCTCGGCACATGGTATACAATGGTAAACGCTGGATCCATGAGCTCACTGTCTAAGAGAGTAAGACACTAATCAAACAATCACACAAACAAATGTGCCACTACGACCACAGCCAGCGCCTGGATGTGAGGGAGGGCCAGCTGGCTTGCTTGGTTTGGTGTGTGGTTGGGGTGTTGGCATTGTCTTTAAAACTTTCCAGGTGATTCTAAGGTGCAAGCAGGGCCCGCCAGTAGGGGCAGGGGCTGGGGTGGGGGTGGAGGGAGAGCATGTGGTGTGGGTGGGGGTTGGGCAGGAGGGAGTGCTTTCAATTCTATACCTGGGCACTCTCTGCAGCCCAGGTACAAAATCCAAAGCACTCCCTCCCACCCCTCTCTTCCTATCTGTGTGACTGTATGTGGGACATTTTGATACAGCCCCATCAAAATGCAAAATTGCTGTTTTTTATTTATTTTTTATTTTTTAGAGATAAGGTCTAGCTCTGTCACCCAGGCTAGAGTTCAGTGGCGTGGTCATAGCTCACTCCTGGGTTCAAGTGATCATCCCACCTCAGCTTTCCAAGTAGCTGGGACTACAGGCAGGCCACCATGCCTCGCTAGTTTTTTTTTTATGTTTTATTTTCATAGAGATGGGGTCTCACTATGTTGCCTAGGCTGGTCTTGAATTCCCAGCCTCAAGTGATCTTTCCACCTGATCCTCCCAAAGTGTTGAGACTGTAGGCCTGAGCCACTGCACCTGCCCCTTCTTGCAATTTCCAAGTAACACACCCATCAGTTTTTTTTGACCTTCTTTTTTTTTTTTTTTTTTTTTTTTTTTAGCTTAAATGGTACCTGAGCCTCACTCCAGGATTAGGGATAGGAGGAGGCTGAGGAAGTGGGGAAGGATATTTGTTTTCACATAGTACTTGGTAAATCATGAAGAAAGTTGAAAACATAATATTACAATTTTTAAATTTATTTTCTTGGATAGGTAATATATTCATGTGGTTACACAAAAAGGTTTTAGAGTGAAAAATCTCCCTCCCAGTTTTAGTTCTGTGCAATTACCACCCCCTATCCTTAACAGGCAAGCACTTTTATTTTTTGTTTTATAAGTTTTAGTTTAAAAATCCTTTCCACCTCCCAGTTTTTTATACCAGAAGCAGTATAATGTAAACACTGGTCTGCCCCTGAACAATATATCTCTTGGAGCTCTTTCTACGTCAGCACATAAAGAGCTTCCTCATTCTTACTTTTTTTTCCCGAACAGCTGCACAGTACTCTGTTGGATGGATGTACTGTAACATCATAATTTATTCAACCAGTCCTTACTGATGAACGTTTGTTTGTTTCCCACCTTGTTCTGCTATAATACATTACGCTGTAGTGAATAACCTTATAAATATGTCACTTCACATGTTTGCAAGTCTATCTGTGGGATAAGTTCTCAGAAGTGGGATTACTGTGGGTAAAGGGTATAAGCATTGCAATTTTGATAGATTTTACCAAATTGCCCTCTGTGGCGGTTCTTCCACCAGTAACGTGTGAGGGAGTTTGTTTCTCCACAGCCTGTCCAACAGGTGAGTTCTTAAACTTTTGGCTCTTGGCCAACTTTGTTAGACAAATGATATTATCTCAGTGTAGTTTTCATTTGCACTTTTATTATGAATAAGGCTGAGTATCTTTTCATAGAGTTAAGGGTCATTTATACATTTGTTTTCTTTTTTTCACGTTTAAGTTCAGGGGTATATGTGCAGGTTTGTTATATGGGTAAACCCGTGTCATGGGGGTTTGTGGTACCATAAATTTGTTTTCTATGAACTGTCTACTCACATCCATTTGTGTGATTGTCCTTTTCTTAGCAATTTGTAAGAGCTTGTACATTTTAGAAAGATTAGCCCTCAATTTGTGATATGGCTTATAAATATGTCCACTTAGATTTTTCTTGCTTATTGTTATTTTTTTTTGAGAGACAGGGTCTCACTCTGTCACCCAGGCTGGATTGAGGTGGCACAATCACAGCTCGCTGAAACCTCGACCTTCTGGGCTCGAGCTATCCTCCCACCTCATCCAATCCCATCCCTCACCCATCCCTAGCTGGGACCATAGGCGTGTGCCACCACGCTTGGCTAAGTTTTAACTTTTTTGTAGAGACAGAGTCTTGCTATGTTGCCCAGGTTGATCTCGACCTGCTGGCCTCAAGCAAACCTCCTGCGTAGGTCTCCCAAAGGGATGGGATTACAGGCATGAGACTGCACCTGGCCTGCTTGTTATTATTTTTTTCCATGCAGAAGTTTTAATTTTTATTAATCAAATGGATCAGTCTTTTATGAGTTCTGGAATTTGAGTGTTGACTAGAGATGTTACCCATGGCTTTATAGGAATTCTGCTGCTTTCGTCCAGGCATTTTGTAGTTTCGTAGTTTTTAGTTTTAAGTTTTTGATCCCTTTGATGTTTATCCTGAAATATAGTGTGGGGCATGATTCCAACTTTATTTTTCTCCAGATGGCCACCCAGTTGGTCCCATACTATTTATCGATTCAACTATATTTTCCTCACTGATCTGAGATGTCACATTTATCACATCCTCACTTCCACACATAGCAGGGTCTATTTCTTATATTTTTATTCTGTTCTATTGGGATATTTGTCTGAGCATATGCCAGTGACACTCTTATTACTGGGAATAGATAGCATGCTCTTTTTCATAGCTCTCTTTTTCCATTTCTGTGGATATGTTGGTTTAGTTTTCTACACGAACTTTAAAATCAGTTTGTCTGCTCCTGTAACGTCACCCTCCACCCCTAATTGTGTTAGTATTTTATAGACCAGTGGTTAGGAATGTAGATGCTGAAATGAGACTGCCTGCATTCAAATCCCAGTTGCCATTTTCTCTGTGAGTGGGCAAATTTCTTAGTTTTTTAAAACTTCAATTTCTCTATTGAATATTCCACACAGTATCCTGTTACGACAATATTCACAGAAGGAACGCAGCTAACACTGATTTCATTTACCAGGTACCAGGTACAATACACTTATTGCTGATGTTATGATTCTGATAATCATTACTGAAGTGTCTCCATGACAAAGTGTCCCCACACCAGAACAACCATATCTCAATGTCATGTGTCACTGGAGGGTGGCAGAAGGAAGGGCTCTGGTAGCTTAGCTTGTCTATGACCATGAGATTGGGTGTGGAGGGCCTTCATGACCTCTTGTCTCCAGTGGGAGAGCCTCATGTGTCCTGAGATTTAACACACATTGCAACCTCTGGGGGCTGGGAGTGTTGCCTGGACACACTGTGCCCTTCTAAATCTCAAAACACAACCCCCATCTTTTCTCCTCTCTCCACTTCTCAGCACCTTTCCTCATCATAGATATGTTCTTTGATTAAAGAAGAGAGAGGCCTGAATAATAAGAATGATGATAATAACAACATTTGCTGATATTTCGTGTCTCTTATCCTCCGACAACTTGGAAGGAGTAGCTGGGAAGGAATCTAAATCATGGTGACCATTCAACAATTGTCAGGATTTTTGGTTTTGATGCATAGCTTCCAATAAACCCTGTTGGGCTGGAGCTTGGCATCTTCCTCTTGCTACCTGGAGATGTGCAGCAGTGAGAGTCAGTCTCAGGCCAGATTCCACCATGTGAAGAATGAGAGGTAAGTGTCCACCAAAGCATCACCCCCATGCCTGTGAGTGTGGAGGGTCCTTGGCATTTGGACAAACACTGTGTGTAAGAACACTTCAAGAGAAGGAAACAGTGTTTTGGTGGCAGAACCTGCCATCCTTCTAGGAACACGAGGTGGCAGACCCCTCCATCACGTAGGGGTTGGGGCACACAGAACCAAAGGGAATTCTAGTCCCAGAGCTGTGCTGTGCCTCTGGGTTTCTGCATGCTTAAACTCTGTTTATGCAAAGGCTAGAATGCTGGACAGTCTTTCTAACCAGCCCTGATTCTTGAACCCTGTTTTTTATCCACGACAGGTGTGTCTGACCTACATGAGGTTAGGCTATAAGCCCTATGAAGTCCTTGATAGCACCTTCTAGAGCATGGGTTCCTGATAGGGAATTTCAACTGTTTACTTATTGCCTTAGGGTGAAAATGAAAGTAAATTTATACACATGTCTACATTTCCTTCACATTGTCTATACTTGAGTGTTTTAAAGTAATTAATAGATGAGATAATAGGGTCTTAATTCAACTCTGACTTCACACATGGGGAAACTAAGGCTGAAGAAGGCAAGTAACTTGCCCAAGGTTACATGGCCACTAAGTGGGATTCTGGAATTGAAACCTAGGTCTCTGCTGCCCAAAGCCTAGGCCTCTGCCCTGCCCAACTTTCCCCGAACAAGACTTAGAGCTCTCACAGTCCTAGTCCAAAGTCTCTCAGTAATGTCTGATGTAAGGTCTCTGACTTAGGGTGTCTTCAGACCCTTGGTTATGGGTCCCTGAAAGCTGGTCCCTGAAGGACTGAAGGAACTGGGGGGTAGGAGCCCAGGCCCAGATTCAGGCCCTGCAGTCAGGCCTTCTATGTCCAGCTGTGTGATCTGAGGCAGGTTACTTCATGTCCTGAGCCTTAGGTTTCCCTTCTGAAGAGTGAGAAGGATGATTCCTGCATGAAACAGTGTGTATCAAGATTTAATTCAGTGCCCAGTACATACTAGATGTCCACAAACTGTTGCTGTCATCAGAAGGAATAGAGCACTCAACACAAACAGGTTTAATCACATGAAAGGTGATGTTTGGTTCATGCAACTGGAAAGTCCAGAGGTGGGTGGGTTGCAGGATTCGTTGGTCCAGGGCCTCAGTGCTGTCACCAGAGACCCAGTCCTTTCCATCCCTCTATTCTTGTCTACAATGACTGCCAGTAGGCCCATGCTTCGTGGCTGAACTCATAGACTGAGCCAGGGCCTGGTGATCCCTCTGAGTAGATGGGCTTCAGTCACAGGCTGTCTTTGGGACCAATGACCCTGGCCAGGAGATGGAATATGCCGGTTGGTGTGAGCCATTGGGGCCTACCCCTTGAACTGGAGGCTTCACTTCCTCCAGAGCACATGAGTGTGTGTGTGTACATGGAAAGCAGGTGGCTGTTCCAAGGCCAACCAGGGTTCAGTTAGGAAGAGGAAAAGAGGGCTGGGAGCTGAGTGGGCTGCTAAAAAATACTGCGGTTTTTCTTATCCTTTCCCTCTTCTTCAGAAAGTACAAGGAAGGTTCCTCCTATGACCCCATCCCTACCTTGTGGCGAACCAGTTTCTTCTCTGCTGCACAGACAGCCAGGGGCCACTGCTGTCTTTTGTTGCTCGCATCTGTTTGACACCTCCAACCTGTCCAAATGGGGTCCTCCAGGAGGTTTCTCTAAGAAGTCTTCTGGAGACCCCCAGCCCTCAGGGAGCTGTCCTCCTCTGAGGACCTCGGCCTCACAAGTTGGCGCTCAGGGACACTTTGTCCCACCATGCTTTTCTACCCTGTGGTGACTGACTCCTCCCAGATGAGTGGACACTTAGGAGCCATTGTTCTGACCATGCCTGTGATCCCACTCTTGACCCTTTGCCCAGCAGACGTCACCCCAGCCTTGGGTTGAGCTGCTCCTCACACCAGCGCAGGGCTGGGCACTGGCCTTGCTGCCTAAATCCTCCTGCCCTTTTCCCCCTTAGTGCCTTCACACTTGCTGCATCTTCTGCCTGAAAAGTTCTTCCCAGCGCTGGAGCTTCCATTTCCATTACAGCCTAGTGCACATGTCACTTCTTGGTGAGGCCTCTCACCACCAAAGAAAGCCATACTTCCTGTGATTCTTTATCTCAGCGCTTATGTTTCCTTCAGGCACTTTCCACAATGTGCAGTTGCTTCATGTGTAAGAACGCTGTCCCACAGAGGCTGGGGCCATGGCTGCCACATTCACTCTTTCATCCCCAGAGTCCACAGCAGATGAGACAATCAACTTTCATTGAATGGACTACTGAGGGTAAGTGTTAGTAAGCCTGAAATCCAGCATGCACGTGGGGTATCCGTGTGACAACCGCTGCCCTTTATCCTCCCTCCTTGTCTCTGCCCATTCGTCTATTGTGGTTTCTGTTTGGGTCCCGGTGAACATCCCTGTTCCAGCTAGGCCTGGAGCCACCCTCTGAGTCACAGCCTGCCTGGCGGGGGTTCCAAGCTCCCAGCTAGCTGTGCCAGTCTCTGCACTTCCCCAGGAAGAGGCCTCAGCTCCTGCATCTCGAGCTTGTCAGCACCCTGAAAGCATCAGGTTCTATGGGTGTGATGGGGACAGGGTGCTTCCCCCCATTCATTGCTTCCACACCAATCTCACCTGGGAGGCCAGCCTGGTGTCTTCATCTGTTTATCTCTCTTCCTCCTTGAAACTGCGTGACCCCCAGCAGCCCTCCAAGCAGAGGTCTTACACTAGCCCAGCTAAATTCTCCCTTTCTTCCTCTCTTCTCTCCCCTTCAAGGGCCTTGTCCTTGCTTCGTCACCCCCACTTCCCCTCCATGTCAGAGCCAGGGATAGTAACAGCCACAGCCCTCGTGAGCCCTCTCTGTGCGCCAGGTGTGCTGCAGGCATATCCATGAACGAGCCCGGGTGAGTGCTCTTCTCTCCATCTCACAGATGAGGAAACTGAGGCAGGCACAGTTTGGGAAGTGAGCTGTGTTTGTTGGCCAGGACTTCTTTTGACTGGTGACTACATGGTCCAGGCTGGCTCATCAAAGGGTGCTCTTGTGAGTGGCCTGCCACCAGTGGGGACCGACGGGGTTCCCCTAGTGCTGCCAATGAGAGCGGTGGATGCCTCCATGTGGACTCCCATCAGTAGCCCAATATTCCTGACCTCTCTTCTCCCAGGGGGATAGGTAGGATGAATGATTTCGCTGATAGGTGAATTTGGGAGAACAAACAGGTCTCAGGAACCCTCACCTTTTTCGCCTGCCTGCAGGGTGCCTGGGTTGCTACTGTTCTTGGTCACAGAGTGAGCCAGGGGAGTGGCAGCCTCCCTCCCCTGCCCGAGCTGCCCTGGAGCAGGACTGGGAGGGTTCAGGGCTGCAGGAATAGAGTAGATGATTTGTCTAGTTCTGGGGTTTGATATCAGAAGGCCCAGGTGCTTGCAGCTCTCAGCCCTATTCCCCCAAATCAGCTTTCTCAGCTGCTAAGGTGATATTTCGGTCTCTCCTCCTCTTCACTTCTCTCTCTTCACCATTGTTAGGACCTAGCAGGCAAGAGAAGGCCATTTACTGGGCCCCCTCCAGCCCTAACCCACAGCAATGAGGAGGTGCCGGGGGTTCAGTGGGGCTCTCTGACCCCTCCCAGGCCACCTCAGGGGGTGCCTGAGTGCCATCTCAGAAGGCTCTCTGGGTGACAAACCATTTTGGAGGGTAGTGTGCTGCCAGGCGAGATAAATGAGGGGTTTGGGGTAGGGTTGCCAGATAAAACACAGGGTGCCTGCTTAAAATAGAATTTCAGATAAACAATGGGTAATTTTTTAGTATAAGTATGCCTCAAGCATAGCATAAAACATAATATATTAGAAAAATTACTCATTATTTACCCAAAATTTGAATCTAACTGGGCACCCGGCATTTTCATTTGCTAACCCTAGTTGTGTTTGGCAATGCTAGTTTGGGTAGGCTCTGGATGTTTTGCAAGCATGACGTAGGGAGAGGAGAGGAGATGGAGTCCCTATATCTCTCAGAAGGCCTGCAGCTATCAGTAAGAAAACCCTGAGTCAAGGGGCATAGTCAGTGAGGAAATTTATCGTCGCTCATAGCAAGGAGTCCAGGGCCAGGCAGGTTTCCCCCTCAGGCTCCGGAGCTCCAGCTCTACCCACCCCGAGGCTCTCTCAGCTCTGTCCCTGGGATGACCACCCCCAGGGTGCAGCATCCAGCTGTGGGTGTGATGGCCCGGGCCCCCTGCAAGGAGCCCTGTCCCTGTGTCCCTCCGGCAGGCTTGTGTAGAGAGGGGCGGGGGTGCCTGAACTATTTGGGGTCTCCAGCTCTGAAGGAGGGGGGAGGTTGAGATGACGCCTGCCTCTCCCCTCAGGGTGGGCTTTGGTGGAGGTGGTGAGCTCTAAGATCGCCCTCTACTCCATGGAAGCTTCCAGGACACACCAGCACCTGCAGGCGCGTGTCTTCCTTTCCCAGTCAGTGTTTCTCTGAGCATCCTGATTCAGATTCCAGGCACTGAAAGACCCTCCACAAATGTTTCACTGCTTCAGGTGCTCATGCCTGCTGCCCCACCAGGATTGACCCGTGCTCCCCGGTCTCTGTCCTCTGCCGGGAGTACATCTCCTCCACCGGTCTGTAAGTTCCTCTCTGAGGAACGTGCCCTGTATCCCCACGCAATCATTTCCAGGAGCCCTATGAATCTGCATTGTTACAGAATCTGTGAGAGGTCCCTGTGGACCTGCCCAGCCGCCCCAGGCGACAGGTGTTGGCGCTGCCATATCCCTCCCTCCCTCTGCACATCGAGCACTGGTCCTCCCCTGTTCCTAGCACGCAGCCTGGCACACGACAGATGTCCAACTGTTAACTGAGTTGTCCCAAATAAGCCTAGTGGCAGGAGCCCCGGCTGGCTGGGGATTGGGGGTCCAAGGCCACAGACACCCTCAGGTCTGTCCCAATCCATAGGTCAGACAGTGGGTGGGGGTGGCCCTTTAATCGAGGGAGGGGTGCGTCAGGCCGAGGCCAGAACGTTCAGGCTAAAGCTGCTTGAGCCTGACAGAGCTGGGAGCAAGGCCTGCTGGGGAGGTGCCCGGAAGGAGCTGTGATTTCAAGCAGCTCCCTTAGCGTAAGCTCTGGGCTTCTGCAACCCTGCAGAGCACCTGTCTCCCTGGGTAGGGCTTAGAGGGTGAGGCCCCAGCTTTGTGACCTTGGCTCCTGCTGACAAGGGTGAGGAGGTGAGGGAAGCAACTGCCGATATCTGCTTTAGTTCAGACCCGGGAGCCATGAGTATTCTCCAGCATGATTCAGTTTAATGAACACTTGCTTAGAGCCTCCTCTGTGGTAAGGCAGGGTATCTCTCTCATGGGGTGTAACGCCCACATTTCTGCAGTACCAAATGCCAAGAATCAGGTTAAATATTTTAGGTATCTTTATCTCTTTTAACCTCATGACATCCCTGTGAGGTAGGTATTATTCTTATTCTTGTTCTCATTTTTCAGATGAAGAAACTGAGGTTCCAAGAGTTTCGATGACCTCACAAGTACATGGGCAATGCACAGCAGTGTGGAGGCCCCAGAGAGGGGAGCAGAGTGGGGCTGCTCCTGGGGGCCACTGCTACTGCTGAGACATGGGGAGGAGGTCTAAGGGCAACCCCGAGGCCATGGAGCAGATGGCCTGTGTAGCAGTGGTTGTCAGATGGGATAGTGTGACTGTCTGACTGTCCTGGCAACATGGTAGTCCTGGTCTGGGGGTCTGGGGTAAGGACAGGCCAGTGTTTTCATGGGGAGCAGGCTGTTTGGACACTGCCACTTCCCTGGCCAGCTTATGCATTGATTCTTTTTCCCATTTGGCTCCCACAGGGCTTGGTAATGGAACTGAAGAAATCTGAATGAATTGTCTGATGCATCGTGACTAAGCTTGGAATGTGCCAACTGTCCCCCAGGAGTGGCCCTTGGACAGCAGAGCTGGAGCGCCGGGACTCTGAGTGCAGGAAGGAGGCCGTGCTCCAGGAGAGCCATTGACAGAGCTGCTCTGGAGTTCTGGAAGTGCTTGGAGGGTGTGGGCGTTGTCACATGAATCTGTGGCACCAGCCTGTTGGCTTTCTGGTGAAGGGGTGGTGGCACAGTCTGCTGTCGTGCCTCTGGTGGTCCACACAACCTTCACACAACCTTCTTCATTTCTGGTCAGCTTTGGATACTCCCAAGCTTTGTCACTGATCTCATTTTGACTTACCAGGAAGCTCCACATCTTGTTCTTTGTTAATTTCATGGAGGCTTGCAGGATAACTCTCACTTTATTTCCATGAACGCTCCATTTCAAGAATGTTCAGGAAGACTTTCATCACCTCTTTTGGGCCTCCACTTCCCTCCCACCTCCTTCCTACATCTGTTCCTCTCTAGAGTGAATGGTTTCAATTTTATCAACGTTTCTTCCTGTGGCTGTATGTTTAGGTCCTTTCCCCATGCTGATCACCAAATATAAGATTTATTTATATCCTACCTAACATGTACTCTTTAAAAATCAGGTGCCCATAATAATGATAGTAGCTAGGAGCTTTTATTGAGCTCAAACTATCCATGTACTTCATGTTCATATTCTCTTTTAATCTCACAATCACCTTTTGAAGTTGATATTGTTACCTCCCACGTTATCAATGAGGACACTGAGATTCTGGAAGGTTAAGTACCTCCCTTGCTCAAAGTTACACAGCAAACGAAGAGTAGAGCTGGGATGAGACCTAGGAATCTAGGCTCTGAGGCCCTCCACCCTGCTACTCAAATTATGGCCCAGAGACCAGCGGCACAGGCAGCCACCAGGGCCTTGTGAGAACTGCTCACTCTCACGCCCACATCCAGACCTCCTGGATCAGGAGGCTGGTGGTTCACATACATGCTTAAGTTGGAGCAGCTCTGGGTCTAGTCTCCTTGGAAGGAAATGGGCCACTTTAATTCCATTGGTGCTGCCTTGGAGCATGTTAGATTTTGGTGTCACAGCCCCTTTTCTATACCCTTAGTTGGTGCTGTCCTCAGGCTCATCTTTGTCCTGCACAGGCCCTTCCTACAGGAGACACATTTTCTCAGAATGATAGTATGATGGTTAATTTTATGAGTCAACTTGGCTAGGCCATGGTACCCAGACATTTGATTAAACATTATTATAGATATTTCTATCATAGTGTTTTTTAGATGAGATTAACATTTAAATCAGTGGACTGAGTAAAACCGATTACCATCCATAACATGGGTGAGCCTCCTCCAATCAGTTGAAAGTCTTAATAGAAAAACAAAACCAAAAAAACTGACTTCCCCCTTAATAGAAAAAGACTGAAGAAGAAGGATTTCTGCCAGAAAACTGCATGTGGACTTGAACTACAACTCTTCCCTGGATCTCCAACCTGCCAGCCTACCACATTCATGCTCTCTCTCTCTCTCTCTCTCTCTCTCTCTCTCTCTCTCTCTCCTGTTTCTTCTTTTTCTCTGGAGAACCGTAACACACCTTCTCTTTTCTGGAGTCAGAATTCAGTTTTAAGTAGACTTGGCTCTAGGGGTCAGAGGAGATGGATGAATACAGAGGGAAGCCTGGCTGATGTTTGACCGAGGGACAACCCTTATTTCTCTGAAGAAATAGATAGTGTTCCTCATCCTATAACTCTCACTGGGCTCTGTTCTGTAGAGATGGACAGTGGTGTGCACCTGGGCTCTGACCTGTGTTATGCAGTCGCATCTCACATGTTTACACCCATGCCTGCTGCTCCCATGGCTCTGGATCCTCCTGGTACGTATCTCGCTGGTGACCAAGCTTAAGGGTAGGTACCTCTCCTTCAACTCTGCTGCTTGGCCCAGGGCAACTCTGAGGTCATAGCAATGTCCCAGTCAGACTGGTTAGGAGGAAGAGGGGTTGGGGCAGAGTGAAGCAAGGGAGGCTTTCAGCAATTCAACTATCATGTGTCAGGTTTTGCTGTTTTGTGGTTTTATTTCTAATTTTCTTATCCTACTTGAAAAAAGCAGGGTAAAACACTGAGCTTCTTGGTTCTGTAAGTCAATAGTTTTCACCAAATTTGGATTTTTTTTCTATTAATGTCTCCAAAGATTTTCCTGGAGAAATTCCCATTCTCTTTTCTTCTAGCATTCAAATTATAGACATACAAAGTCATTTGATATTTTCCTATTAGTCATCAAGGCTCTGGTTATTTTTCTTTAATCTCTTTCTGTTCTTCAGATTAATACTTTCAATGGATTTTTTAGTTTATTAACTCTTTCTTCTGCTCTCTCCTATTTGATGTTAAACCCATCTAGTAAAATTTTTGCATTAGCAATTGTACAGCTCTCGTTTTTCTTCCTGTTGAGATAGCCATCTGTTTATGAATTAGGATAACATTTTCCCTCAATTCCTTTAAGTCTGATATCTTATTTGGGTACTCAGCATGTTAATGAGGTGTGGGTCAGAGTGCTATGTCCACCAGCACTCTTCACCCTCTCTATTATGCTTTCAAACTTGTAGTAGGCATTCTCTGATAAGACCTAGATAGTTACACCCTGAACATATACAGCCCACTCCTCGGTCTTCAACTTCCAGGGTGCAAGACTTCTAGACTTCTGTCCTCAGCTTTTCCCTCTGTGATATCCTGCCCTGCAACTCCCAGCTTCTCCAGCTGCCTTGAAGTCTGTTTTCTGCCTCTTCAGCCCATTGGTATTGCCATGCTTTGTTCAGACTCATATGCATTACTCTGAAGTTGGGAAATTTCCCTAGAAAGAGAGTAGGGGGTGATTATTGAGCATTACTTTTGTTTTCTCTAACATAACACCTAGTAAATCTTTGAATTTTTATCTTCTATCTCTTATGTTGGGCCATAGAATTGAGTAGTTTCTCTGGCCTTCTTGGTTCTCACACAATGGCATCTTGCCTTTCAGTTCATCTGATTGGTCACAAGACTCTCCTCCTCCTTTTTTTTTTGTTTTTGAGACAGGATCTTGCTCTGCCACCCAGGCTGAAGTGCAGTGGTGCAGTCATGGCTCACTGTAACCTTGACTTTTCAGGCTCAAGTGATCCTCCCACCCATCCTAGCCTCCTGAGTAGCTGGAACTACAGGTGTGCACCACCATGCCTAGCTAAATTTTTCATTTTTTGTAGAGATGGGGGTCTCAAACTCCTGGCCTCAAGCAATCCTCCCATCTTGACCTCTCAAACAAAACACTGGGATTTCAGACATAAGCCACAGTGCCTGGCCACAAAGGCCTTTTTTATTGTGATAGGTAGTATTTATTCCCACTATGTGGCACTCACTGTGTGCTAGGCATTGTGGTAAATGCTATGCAACTATTTCTCACTCTCATATCAGCCTCTTCAGGGAGGTGTTCATATCACCCCCATTTTACATGTAAGGGAGGGGAATGTAGAGGGGTGAAAGGGCTTTCAATGGTCATAAAATAAGGAAACAGCAGTTGAGACCTGAACTCAGGACTCTTCCATCTCATCCCATGCTCTGAGCCATTGCTGTCTTGTTTCTATACACCTATACGCAGCCAAACTTCTCTGCCATTTCAGCCACTTAAAGCACTAACATAGGTTTCTGGAAAACAGTTTCCTCTGGCACTGATTGTTTCTGCCAATGTACAACACAGTATACCCCTGCACTTGATACCCCTGCACTCACCAGACACTCTCTCCTTTCCCCACCATAGCAGCCTTCGATCAAATCGTTTCCAGCACCATCTATGGGTACAGCAGTATCCTAGGGACCCTGAGAGATGATGCAAGAACAATTTTGTTAGCTAAAGGGGTCTTAGAGACACTTAGTTATGTCATCCATTTTGCAGAGGAAAAGACTGACCTAGAAGGGACAAGCCTTGTGAAAGGCACATAGCTGCGACAGTGCCCGCACTAGAACCCAGCTCTTAAGATTTCCAGGTCTATCTGTTAAGATCCTGGCAGGAAGCACATAACACTTGGGTTGCAATTGAAGAAAATTCAGTGAGGGGACTGTTTACAAAGAGTGGGCAGAGTTAAAGGACACTAACAAGGGATGATGAAGGATGCCAGGATTAGTAACAGCAGAAAACCACTGGTACACCTGTGCCTGTAGAGTTTAGAGGAGGGAGAGCTAAAGCAAAGGAGAGGGCCCCCTGACAGGAGCTATGCCCTTGGGTAGAGGAATGCAGCCCAAACAAGCCCTGGCCCATCAGGGAGGGATTTGGGGAAATAAATACCCTGACTTGTCTCTCCTCCCACCTTCTGATCTCCTTTTAGCACCTCCCATTGGCTGAAACCATCTGGAAGCCAGACACCAAGGAAACCTTCTTGATGCAGTTCATGGAGTTTGGCCTCCCTGGACAGAAAGCAGAGCAGAGAAAGGTGGAGGGAGGCTCTGGAGGGGCAAATGGAGAGTAGCCAGCACCTCATACTGATGCCTCTACTCCCTCTGCTCCAGAAGACAGATCATCTCTACTCTTCAGAAGTTTATAAGTCCAGATAGAGGGGCAGGTGTGAACAGGTAACCAATAGCCCAAGACTGAAACCCCTGTGTGGAGCAGAAAGGATTGGCCACCAGGCTGGATGTGCATATGCCCCAGGGGATGGGGTTCTTAGGGAGCAGTTCTTCCAGGTAGGACTTTCTACTCTCTGCACCTCTGGAGAGAATAGGATTCTCTCAATGCAATTAAATTGAACAAGCATTTACTGCATGTGTACTGTTTGTGAGGTGTTGGGTCTCTAAGGATGCATAGGCGTAATCTTCCTCTGCCTTTGAGAGATTCAGAGAGGCATATAGGTGACCAGCACAACATTACTTTTCTGCATGAATGTTGGGGGAGACCGATGTGCTTTTTGGTTCACCACTTGACAGGGTGAGATTTCCATGATGGGTGTTGAGTGTGTGCCTGGACTTTGGCATGGCTTTGGGATAAAAAAGTTTTAAATCTCTGCCTTCTGCCCTGCCATCTCCCTCACTTTCTAATTATAAGAGGAGTGGCAAAATGTGGCCATTATGTGAGCAATCAGGGTCTGGGAACTTTCCAGGGTAGACATTTTCCTGTTTGTTCTGAACTAAGACATCTTTATCCAGTGGCTACTCTGAGAGTATGGGGAGTGGGAACGGGTGATGGTGGAGATTCCCAAGTGTCTCAGTGACAGGCATTATAGGATGGTGGCTCTTTCTCTATTGGAGGTGGGGGGGGTCTGTGAGTGAACATCAAAGATTGGAGCTTCCAGTCCTTTGTAGGTCAAATCCTACAACTGTGCCTTGATGGTATAACAGTGAAAATAGCTAAAATATATTGCCAGGCACTATGTTAAGTGCTCTGCAAGCATTCTCTCGATATATTCTTACAACAATCTTAAGTAGTAGGTACTAGGAGCAAACCGAAGCTATGAAGGATTAGGGGACTTGCCCAGGGTCACACAGTTGGTACGTGGCAGAGATCGAATTCCACTCAGCCCTGTGTGCCTGTGGAATGTTACCTGGGTGTGGAGGTGCTGAGAATGGTGTTGGACTTCAGGAAACAGTTTGCCTCCTGAACCATTTTGCCCATTGTTCTCTGCTTGGGAGGATTGGACCCTCTTGTTCTGAGCACATGAAGGACTCACTGACCTTTTCTGATGCTCCTCAGGGCCCAGGGTTCTCCTCTGAGTGATAGAATATGCAGGAAGCCAGAGCAGGCCTCTGGAGGGCAACCCAACTTAAATAAGCTCCCTAAAAAGCAAGGAAGGTGGAAGGAGGTTGGGGACAAAGAATGCAATATAAAACTTCACCTCCCAGGCCTCCCTCCCCACCTGACCGGCCAACTCTCCTTCCCGTCTTTCCATAAGGCCAGGAGAAGGCATTAGAGGCAAGCAGAATTGATGTGAGACATGATGGCATAGAAGACACTCATCCTTCAAAGCTCAGACGCCCTTCCCTGGAATACGACCCTATCGTTACTCTTTGTTCTTGGTTGACCTGCTTTAGTAGGAAGCAGGATGTGCTCCACTCAGCCCTCTGGTTCACATCCTTCTCCACCGGGTGTGGTGTCAACTGTGCTGTTGACCAGTGGCTCATTCAGCCACTCATAATATGTGAGGACTCTACGGTTCACAAAACCTGTTCATGTTTCATTTGATCTTCACAACAGCCTCATGAGGAAGGAACTCACATCATCCCTAGTTTAGAAAGGAGGAAACTGAGGCTCAGAGGTGTCAGCTCATCCATCCCAAGTCTCCAAGCCAAGATGGGTCTGGTGGTTTATTCCACCAGCATTGGTTGAGCCCCTGTCAGCTCCAGGCCCTGCTAAGCAAGCTGCCTGGACAAATGTGGTGCCTGGGCACAGAGGGCAGAGTCAGCACGTTTCCCAGTTTGCTGCCTCTGCCTTCAGGAGTCAAGCCATTTCCTGAGTACCATTTCTGAGCTAGGCACTCTGGTGGGTGAGTGACGGGGACACCTGCTCAGTTACATCATTCTTGCCCTCTAAGAACCTGCAGTTTCCTTGGAGAGATGAGAATTTTGGGTGTAATAGTAACCAATGCCACGAGGCCAAATCAGGGCTGCTTGGGAGAAGTAAAAAAATTCAAGAGGCCAGTTGGCCTCCGCTGCAAATGGTCCTTAGAGTGTCAGAGGAGGTGGGATTTATGCTGTTTTCTACAGGAAGAGCAGTACATGTTCATGCAGGGAGGACATGGAATAGTATTCTAAGAAGGAAGACCATCATAATGGCCTGGAGGGAAGAGAGCAGGAAACTGGAGACAGGAAGGACAGTCTGACATAGACCAGGGGAGAAGAGGAAGGCAGCGTGGGTCTTTGTACAGGAGAAAAGAGAGATGTATTGAGTTCCAGAGGGAGCTCTCAAGCTCAGTCCTGCAGGGGAAGAGAGAAGACTGAGATGGTGGGTGTTTACAGAGGGTCTTGTCCCTTAGGCTGCTGGGTTTAGCGCTAGCAGTCATTTACCCTGAGGGCTTTGGCCTCAGCTTCAGGCTGTGTTGTTCTGCGAATACAGCTGACTTTTCCCCATGTGCTTCAGGATTACCTCTGACTCCCCTTGCTATGAGGGAAGGATACCCAAGGATCTGGATCAGGCCATGAACACATACCCAGGGTCTGCACAAGCGGCCCCCCACTCACCTCTCTGAGCTCACCTCCAACCACATCTCCTATCACTGACCACTTCATTCACAAAGCCCCTGCCACACTGACCTTTGCCCATTCATCCAGTGCAGTGATCTCTTTCTGCCACTGGGCCTTTGCACTTGCTATTCCTTTTGCCTGGAATAATTTTCTTCTAGCTCAGCACATGTATGGCTCTTTCTTATCCTTGAGCTTCACTGGTCAGAGTGACCTTCTCTGACCTCTCCATGTTCAGATGGAGTCAGTCCCTCCTACCTCCCAGTAACTCTTCGTTACATCACACTATGTCCATTACCTTGAGGGCACTTACTATCTGCTGTAATTTCCTGATTACTGTCTTTGTATTCCCTCTAGAATATAAGCCTTGTGAGAGTGTGGACCTGGTCTATCTTGTTGCCCACACAACATGTACTGGTCATAGTGGACAATCAATCGCATTTGCTGAATTGACGAATGAGCACCATTTCTCCCCAAATCTCCTTGGTCACGCTCAGACAGTATTAAGGGTGGACGGGGCTTGGGGAGTGAGCAGGTCTGTAGACCTCTTGGAGTTATAGGCATGCTTCTATATTTGCATGTTTTTTTTTTTTTTTTTTTTTTTTTTAAGATGGAGTCTTGCTCTGTCACCAGGCTGGCATGCAGTGGTGCGATCTCGGCTCACCGCAGTCTCTGCCTCCCGGGTTCAAGCAATTCTCCTGCTTCAGCCTCCTGAGTAGCTGGGACTATAGGCACATGCCGCCACACCCAGCTAATTTTTGTACTTTTAGTAGAGATGGGGTTTCACCATGTTGGCCAGGATGGTCTCGATCTCTTGACATCATGATCTGCCTGCCTCGGTCTCCCAAAGTGCTGGGATTATAGGCATAAGCCACTGCGCCTGGCCTCTATTTGCATTATTTTCCCTAGGAAGTAGATTGGTGGTAATCATTATGTTTTTCACCAAATGCTTCTGGCTCTCCATCTTCTGGGCAAAGGATAGAATTGTACATCCTTGGCTCCTTTGAAATGAGGCATTGTCCTGGGATTTCTTTTGGCCTCTGAAATGTGAGTGGAAGTGATGTGTGTCTCTTTTGGGCAGACACCATAAGAGCAATGCATGATTCACCATGCTCCTTCCCTCCACCATGATTGCATCATGATCGTGGGTTGTATATTGAGATGGAACATCTATTAGTCTGAGTCTCTGAATGACTTCAGTGAGCAGAGAACCCACTGACCCATGCAGGAAATGTAGCAGGAGCAGGAATTAAACTTTGGCTGTGTTAAACCACGGAGATTTTGCTTATACAGCCTAGCCCATCCTGACTGATAAAGAGTCCCAGGTTTTTATTAGGTTCTCAGAGGAGTCTATTAGCCAAACAAGAGCAAGAACCACTGGTTCGGGGGTCAGCTGGAGCGGTGTGGAAATGCAAAGAAGGTAAAACTCGTGTGTAGTACATGCTCCATTATGTGCGAGATGCTTTGCTGGGTGCTTCATGTATGTTATCTCATCAAATCTCCAACAACCTTGTGAGGCAGCTAGTATTAGCCCTATTTTGTAGATGAAACAGGCTTAGAGAATTTAAGGCATTGCTACTAGAAGTGTGGTCTGCAGACCAGCAGCATCAGTATCACCTGAGAGCTTATTAGAAATGAAGAATCTTGGACCCTTTCCTAGTCCTATTATATAAAAATCTGCATTTTGACAAGGTCCCAGGTGATTTGTGTGCATGTTAAAGTTTGGGACACATTGATTTGGGGAGTTCATTTGATGATCTCTGTCTAGCTCATAGACAGGGAACCCAGGCAGCGATCTTTCAAGAGATAGGATAGCATCCCCACTCTGCCCTGCCATCCCTTGGGAGGAGAGTGAGAATCAGGATGTGCAGGACTTGAGTTAGGCATTTGATATCCCTCCCAGCTCATGTTCATTGGCTCCCCTGGCAGATACATCCTCAGCCAGTTTGAATGGTTGGTGGTAACCAAAGCTATTTATTGACTTAGAAAACCACTCAGACCATGTGTTTAGGGGGTGTGTTCCTCCCAGCTGTGGATCTGTTGAACAAATAGCAGTCATGGGCTGGAGGTGAAGTCAGACTCGGGTCTACAGTGGAGAAGTCTCACCCTCGCTGTACTTGACATGACTGGGGAGCTGGGGTAATATCTTGATAATGGCAGTCACATGTCTTGGTGCCTCTGAGATGACAGAATTGGGTCCCCTTGGCATTGAACTTGGTGCATCTGATCTTGAAGTGCCCCAGTGGGTGCTAAATCTTCCAGAAGATCTTGTGTGTTGTCTGGATCTGCCAGTGGCCAGAACACAGATCTTAGTACCCTATAGTTCCTGCTTCCTTCTCCAGAGGCTGAGTGATGCTACTCTGTTATCATGTTATAGATGAGGAAATGAGCAGGAAACTGTGCCCAGAGAAAGATTGCAGCCCCCTGCAGACATGGCCAGGGCTGAGCATCTGTGGGAAGAAGATTTCAGTGGCTCATGGCCTCGGGCACCCTTATCAGTTGATGGCATTCATCTCTGCAGAGTCACAATGGAGTTGCTGAGGAAATTGAAGCTCTTAGGCAGAGGAGCACAATTTGGCCTCTCCCTAGTAAAACTACCAGACCGTTCTTAGCTCTTTTCTTTCCACATGTTTAGATTTCCCATGAAAAAGGCACAGCGTCCTCTCCCTCAGTTAAGATCTAGTTATCCATTTGGCTAAGTGAGAAATCTCATATTACAGAATTATTAATTCAACAAATATATATTGCATACCTGCTGAGTGCCAAGCACTGGGGCTAGGAAAAGTAATAAAGTGTTTTTTGCATTTATTTAGGCCCTGGGCTGGTTCAGATATAAGGAATAAAACAACAGTGCCCCGTCTTCAATTGCCCATAGTCCAGGGAGGCAGGATTTCATGTTGCTGCGATGAGGACAATTGAGGTGTACGTAGAGTAATTCCTGGGCATGCACAGAAGTAGATGACAGTGAGGGGCAGTGGCTTAGTGTGCTGGCTGAGGACTCAGACCTGGATTCCTGTTCTGGCTATAGAATTTGCTCCCTGAGAGCCACATCTATTAGATAGAGATAGCAAGAGTATCTGGTGGTGAGATAGAAGGAGAGCACTGCCATTGGTTGAGCTCTTATTATAAGCCCAATGTTGTGTTAAGGTACCCGAGACACAGGATTATTGGAGGCTTGTGCAGCTGGTACTTAGAGGAGGTTAGGGGCGAAGGGACATTACCATTTGAGAGCCTCATTTATTAGCTGGGGAGTGAGTTGCCCAAGGTGCCAGATCCAGCTGGTGGCAGAGTTGTCTCTTGTTCCCAGGCCTTCGGTTTCCTTCTGCGTTGACTGGGCACTTGCCCCACTTTCCCAAGCTGGGCTCGGGTTTTGTTCCGATATGGAAATGTGGCTGCAGAGGGGCTGAGGTTAGCAGAGGCTCACCCAGGATGGCCGCCAGCTCCCTTCCCATGGATCAATGGAGCCCGCACCTCCAGTTGGCAATCTGTAGAAAAACAAATTAAAACAGAGAAGCTCTCATTTCCTTTTCCCCCCTCACCCTGCCCGGACAGATTTATTTTGGAAAGCGACAGGAGGCTAATGGAATCACTTAATTTCCCTGATAATAAATTACCCCCAAGTGCAATAATTAAACGTTTCACAACAAACAGTTTCCTTCTGCAAAACCTTCCTCATAGGTCTCTCCTGATTTGCCAGTCCTCCTTCCTCCCCCTTCCTCCCCCCTGCCCCCTGCTCCGCCCTGAGTTAGCCTGGCCTGTCTAGTGAGTCATCTTTCATTTCTGGGCTTAAGGAAGCTGACGCAGGCAATCGCCTGGGTCCAATAGGAGGACCCTATAGGATTGCGGGACAGAAAAGAATGTGTCATGAGAGAATCAACCAGATCAGGGTTTGAATCTTGGCTCTGCCACTTCCCAGCTGCATGACTTGGGAAAGTCACTTAATTTCCATTTGCTTCAGTTTTCTTCATTTGCAAATGGGGATAATACTGCTCAGCTGGCAGAGTGCTGATAAGGCTTAGAACCAGTACGTGCAAAGTCCCTGGTGCATAATAGGTCTTCAGCAAATAGGAACTGTTAAAAATTAATGTTTCCAGTCTATTTTTGTTTTTTTGACATACACTGCCCTGAATTGTTGGAGTGGGAGAGAGAAAGAGAGAGCCAGAAAGAGTGACAGACAGACAGAAAGAAAGAAATAGAAAGAAAGAAATAGAAAGAAAGAGAAAAAAAAAAGAAGGAAAAGAGGTGAGCTGAGGTGGGCGTCTCAGATCATCGCAGGGCTGAAGAGAGCAAGTGAGGCTTTGTCAAGTGGTGCTCAAACCTCTATGTAATCATGCACACCACAGCCAAGGGACGGCACATTAGCCAATCTTCCTAGCCAGATGTCTGAGGCTTTGCAGCAAGCCGAAAGGAGCCAGCTGGAATTTGGAGACCTGCCTCTCTTCCCTTGCAGCTCAGAAGCTGGGTGCCCGTCTGCATATTAGCAGATTTGGAAGCAACGATGGCATTTTCCCCTATGATGCATGATTAATATACAATTGACTGTGGAATGCACAGCTGTTGGATATTTTCAAGGCAAATGACTCCATAAGACTAAGAACATACATGGGTTTATGTGATACAAGGTCCAGCCTTGGTGTTAGTTATAGACAACAGGTAAGGGTCAACCGTGCCAGCCCTCTGGCCTGGAGGATGGGAACAGGGTATTCGGTCATCTTCTCACTGTTAGCATCCCTGGGAACGATGTTCTGCAAAACATCCTGTTTTCTCATGGTTTCCTCCTGTGTCTTCCATGTGTCATCATGCATGTCTGGCTCCAGCACTGGGCTCAGCTCAATTGGGATCCACAATGGACAAGGCCCTCCAAGGCCAGTCCAGAGGGCTGTGAAGGGTGTTCACATCTGTCCTAAGAAGGGCAGAGGAAGGGGAAAGTGTTCTAGGTTGGGAGCTGCAGAGAAGCAACCACTTTTAATTGGCAAAATGAGAAACGCTTTGCGGACTAGTGAGTGAAAGGAATTCTATGAATTGAGCCTATCAAAAATGTTTTCAGCCTGTTTTTTGGATCTGACGGAAGCTATGACTTTATTTTCTTGCAGGGTCAGTCTACCTCCTTGTGTCTCAGTTCCATCCTTTATAAAGAGAAAAGGATAGTTTCTGCCTTACTTGAAAATTACATGAGGTAATGCCCATAAAGAATACAGCACATGCTTGACCTGCCTGAGTGCTTAAGAGTAGGCAGCTACTCTCATGCTCTTGGGTGGACTAATTCAGTCAGCCTCATGGGTAGCGGGGGTCCTGCCCTGATCCCAGGGTTCCCTTTCAGTCCTCTCTCCCTTGCTTCCATGAGAGAATCTTGACTCCTTTGTGCTAGAATTGCTTTTCGGGCCCTGAGCTACCTGAGGGGCTGGGCAGAGTGGGGACAGGTTGCTATAGCTCCTCCTTCTCCTCCCCGTGTTCTTTCCTGCCTCCTTTAAGGGTGCTAAGACAATGAATCCCTCATCCGCTTGGACCAAGAGCCACCTTGGGATGTGCATCCTGCCTGCTTTCAGCCAGGAAAGCAAGGTGCCTCTTGGGCCTTACTGCAGCTCACTTGAGAATGAATTTCGGTTTGTTTCAAAGGTTAAGTTTTAAGTTAAGGGAATTTATCTGGGAACTTGGTGGGGTGTGTGTGTGTGTGTGTGAGGGGTAATCCAATAACCACAACACACGGAGGAGGAAAGCTGCAGATGCCTCACTTTTTGTTCAGGCAACCTACGAGATTAACTGGGTGGGAAGGCAGTGTTATTTACCCATCGATCTTGTAGAGAATGTGTTTCAGGTGGGTAACCTGACAGGCTTGAGTGGCTGGAGCTGAGCTGGTGAATTTCAATTTCAATTTAGAACTGAAAAGACCTTTACAGCCCGAGAATTTCCTTTACAAAAGCCGGGGGACCAATGCTCAGAGAGTCCAAGAGTCTCTTATAAGCAAGTGACGAGTGTTCAGACAGGGGCCCTTGGTTATCTGTGTCCACCCAGCTTTCTGTTCTTTTGACTGGGGCAGGTTAACTCAGACCTTAACGACAGCCACCTGCAACAGGTGAACTGTCTCCTTGAAAGGAAAAGTATTCTGTAGCTGTGTGTCCCATAATCAACAAATATTTGTCAAGAGAAGGGATTTGCTCCTTTGATTTAAACTATTATTTCCAGAAAGCCCAGTGAAAATGCAAATATGTTTTCTGGGCGAGTCAGCCTGTTAAACTATTAAGCTGATAACCCCAGTTTGTTGACTTAGTTCTGGTTACCTAACGCCATCTTCAGGAGCCCCAGCAGGTCATTTTGGTGGCCGGATATGGAAGCTCAGGACAGGACTACGGAGTGGGGTTTTCAGCGCAGGGCCAGCCAGAGAAGTCCCACGCTCTGGAGAAGAATGGCCTAGTTCCACATTTTGCCAATTCTGTTGGCAAGGTTTCGGACACTCCAGAGGAGGAATTGAAAATCATGTCCCTTCAGAATCTTCCAGGTGCAGGTTTCCAGAAAGGAACTAAAGTTGGCCAGCTTGGGAAGTGTCCCCCATTGCCAGCTTGCCAGCTATTGTATTGAAACAATTAAAGGGAAATTGAGAACTATCCTCATCACTGTGTTGTCACTGAAATGCAATATATATATATTTTTTTTAAGTTCCCATTTTTTATGACCATGTGTACTCAATGTTTAGCTCCCACTTATAAGTAAGAACATATAGTATTTGGTTTTCTGTTTTTCTGTGTTAGTTTTCTTAGGTTAATGGTTTCCAACTGCATCCATGTTGCTGCAAAGGACATGATTTTATTCTTTTTTATGGCTGTGTAGTATGCCATGGTGTATATGTACCACGTTTTCTTTATCCAGTCCACTGTTGATGGGCACCTGGGTTGATTCCATGTCTACTCTTGTGGGTAGTGCAGTGATGAAAATACAGGCGCATGTATTTTTTTGGTAGAATGATTTATTTTCCTTTGGGTTTATATCCAGCAATGGGATTGCTGAGTTGAATCAGGTGGTTCAACTCTCAGTTGTTTGAGAAATCTCAAAACTAGTTGCCACAGTGGCTGAACTAATTTACATTCCCACCAACAGTGTATAGGCATTCCCTTTTCTTTACACCCTTACCAACAACTGTTACTTTCTGACTTTTTAACAAAAGGCATTCTGACTGGTGTGAGATGTTATCACACTGTGGCTTTTGCATTTCTCTGATGATTAGTGATGATGAGAATTTTTCATATGTTTGTTGGTTGCTTGTCTATCTTCTTTTGAAAAGTGTTTGTTCATGTCCTTTGCCCAATTTTTAATGGGGTTATTTGTTTTTTGCTTGTTAATTTAAGTTTCTTATGGATTCTGGATATTAGACTTTTGTTGGATGCATAGTTCGTGAATATTTTCTCCCATTCTGCAGGTTGTCTGTTTACTCCCTTTATAGTTTCTTTTGCTGTGCAGAAGCTCTTTAGTTTAATGAGGTCCCATTTGTCAATTTTTAGTTTTGTTTCATTTGCTTTTAAGGACTTAGCCATAAATTATTTGCCAAGGCCGGTATAGAGAAGGGTATTTTCTAGTTTTTTTCCCCTGGAATTTTTATAATTTGAAGATTTCCATTAAAGTCTTTAATCCATCTCAAATCAATTTTTGTATATGGCGATAGGTATGGGTCCAGTTTCATTCTTCTGTATGTGGCTAGCCAGTTATCCTAGCACCATTTATTGAACAGAGAGTCTTTTCTCCATAGTTTATTTTTGTCAACTCTGTTGAAGATCAGATGATTGTAGGTGTGCAGCTTTATTTCTGGGTTCTCTATTCTGTTCCATTAGTCTATGCGTTTTTGTACCAGTACCATGCTATTTTGGTTATTGTAGCCTTGTAGTATAGTTTGAAGTCAGGTAATATGATACTTACCTTTGTTCTTTTTGCTTAGAATTGCTTTGGCTGTTTGGGTTCTTTTTTGGTTTTATATGAATTTTAGAAGGGATTTTTTTCTAATTCTGTGAAAAACAACATCAGTAGCTTGATAGCAATAATGTTGAATTGTAAATTGCTTTGGGCAGTATGGCCATTTTAGTGATGTTGATTCTTCCAATCCATAAGCATGGGATGTTTTTCCAAATATTTGTGTCATCTCTGATTTCTTTCAGCAGTGTTTTGTAATTCTCCTTTAGAGATCTTTCACCTTCTTGGTTAGCTGTATTCCTCGGTATTTTAGTTTTTTTTGTGGCTAATGTGAATGGGGATTGCATTCTTGATTTTGTTCTCAGCTTGAACATTATTGGTGTATAGAAATGTTACTGATTTTTGTACAATGATTTTGTATTTTGACACTTTAGTGGAGTCATTTCTCAGCTCTAGGCGTCACTTGGTGGAGTCTTCAGAGTTTTTTTAAAGGTGTATAATCATATTATCAGTGAAGAGACATATCTTGACTTCTTTTCCTATTTGGATGCCTTTTATTTCTTTCTCTTGCCTGAGCCCTCTGACTAGGACTTCCAGTACTATATTGAATAGGAGTGATGAGAGTAGGCAGTCTTGCCTTGTTCCACTTCTCAAGGGGAATGGTTTCCACTTTTGCCCATTCAGTATCATGTTGGCTGTGGGTCTGTCATAGATGGCTCTTATTATTTTGAAGTATGTTCCTTTGCTGCCTAGTTTGTTGAGGGTTTGTATCATAAAGCAATATTGGATTTTATTGAAAGCTTTTTCTGCATCTATTGTGATGATCGTATGAATTTTGTTTTAAATTTTGTCTATATGGTGAATCACATTTATTGATTTGTGTATATTGAACCAACCTTTCATCCTAGGGATAAAGGCTACTTGAGTGTGATGAATTATCTTTCCGATGTGCTTCTGACTTCAGTTTACCAGTATATTCTTGAGGATTTTTGCATCTATGTTCATCAGGAATATGGACCTGGAGTATTTTTTCTTGTGTCTCTGCCAGCTTTTGGTATCAGCATAATGCTGACTTTGTAGAATGATTTAGGGAGGAGTCCCTCCTTGATGTTTGGAATAATTTCAGTAGAATTGGTACCAGCTCTTCTTTGTATGCCTGGTAGAATTTGGCTGTGAATCCATCTGGTCTAGATCATTTTTTGGTTGGTAGTTTTTTTGTTTTTTTGTTTTTTTAAAATTACTGATTCAATATTGGAACTTGTAATTGGTCTGTTCAGGTTTTCAATTTCTTCCTGATTCAATCTTGGAAGGTTGTGTGTCTCCAGGAATTCATCCATTTTTTTGAGATTTCCTGATTTGTGTGAACGGAGGTGTTCATAATGGTCTCTGAGGATCTTTTGTATTGCTGTGGTGTTGGTTGTAATGTCATCTTTGTCATTTCTGATTGTGTTTATTTGGATCTTCTTTTTTGTTGTTGTTGTTAATCTAAGTAGTAGTGTATACATTTTGTTTAACCTTTCAAAAAACCAACCTTTGGTTTCATTGATCTTTTGTATGGATTTTTTTGCATCTCAGTTTCATTCAATTCAGCTCTGATTTTGGTTATTTCTTTTCTTCTGCTAGCTTTTTTTTTTTAAATAAAAAATGTTTCTAGTTCTTCTAGGTGCGATGATGGATTGTTCATTTGAGATCTTTCTAACTTCTTAATGTAGCTATTTAGCTCTCTAAACTTTCCTCTTGACACTGCTTTAGATGCATCCTAAGATTTTGATATGTTGTGTCTCTGTTTTCATTTATTTTGAAAATTTTTTGATTCCTGCCTTAATTTCATTTTTTACCCAAAAATTATTCAAGGAGATCTTCTTGGTATTGGTTTCTATTTTTATTGCAATGTGGTCTGAGAATGTGCTTGGTATGATTTTGATTTTTTTGAATTTACTGAGACTTGCTTTATAGCTGAACATGTGGTTGATATTAGAATATGTCCCATGTGCAGATGAGAAAAATGTATATTCTGTGATTGTTGAGTAGAGTATTCTGTAGATGTCTATTAGGTCCAATTGGTCAAGTGTTGAGTTTAGGTCTAGGATTTCTTCATTGGTTTTCTGCCTTATGATCTGTATAACACTGTCAGAGGGGTGTTGAAGCCTCTCACTATTATTGTGTGGCTGTCTAAGTCTTTTCATAGGTCTAGGAGAACTTGCTTTATGAGTCTAGTGCTCTAATGTTTGGTGTGTATATATTTAGGATAGTTATATTCTTGTTGAATATAACCTTTTATCATTATGTAATATTCTTCTTTGTCCTTTTTCACTGTTGTTGGTTTAAAGTCCTTACATTATATAAGAATAGTGACCCCTGCTCTTTTATGTTTTCTATTTGCCTGATTGATCTTCTCCATCCCTTTACTTTGAGCCTGTGTGTATTGTTACATGTGAGATGGGTCTCTTGAAGACAGCAGACAGTTAGGTCTTAATTTTTATCCAACTTGCCACTCCCTGCCTTTTAAGTGGAGGCATTTAGATCATTTACATTCAAGGTTAATATTGATATGTGAGATTTTGATTCTGTCATCATATTGTTAGCTGGCTATTTTGTAAACTTGATTGTGTAGTTGCTATATAGTGTCTGTGGGCTATGGATGCACTATTTTACATTCCTACCAGCAAAGCACAGGGGTTCCAATTTCTTCATTTCCTTGCCAACACTAGTTATTTTCCACTTTTCTTGGTTAATTGCCATCCTAATAGGTTTAATTATATAACTATATATATATAGTTATATAAATGGTTATATCTATCAGGATGGCAATTAATATTTGGTTATATTAATAGGTAATAATAGGTTATACCTGTTAGAATGGCAATTAATATATATATAATACATATATATATTTAAAGTTGCTCTTTTCTTGGTCACAAATATCACAAATGTCTTGGAACAAGAGCAAACACATTGTTTTAATTCTTTAAAATAAAAACTGTCTGACTTCAACAAACAAGTGACACATTATGCAGGTTCAGCAAGCATAGTGACATATAGTCAGGTGAAACCAGCAGATATTTGATAATGTGCATGTGCATAAAATTGGGCACAAATAGTAACTGGTTACCATAAAGGAAGGAACTTTGTCAAATTTTATATAAACAAAATAAATGGATTTTTTTCCTGCTAATTTTTCCCAGTATCATACTCAGCATCTCATGTGAGAGAGATGTTTTGCCCAGATGCTTTCCCTTGGTCCTGTCTCTAGTTCAGACAAGACACCTTTTCTGCCATAGAGTTAATCCTTCAGTTCTGTTCTCTGCTCTTTTTTCATCCTCTTGTTTTGGATGTTTGTGAGATAGATACAAATACAATTCTGGGTCCCAAAGCTAAAGGTCAGAAAAGAAATCTAGCAAAGCCACAGAAGCATGGTCTGTATACACGACAGATATCTATTGACCACCATGCCTGGCCTGGGTGACATATAGCAATTCCCCTCTTATCTGAGGGGCATGTGTTCCAAGACATCCTGCTGATTCTTGAGGCCTCAGGTAGTACCAAATCTTATATATACTATGCTTTTTCTTAAACATACACGCCTATGATGAAGTTTAATTAATACATTAGGCAGAGTAAGAGATTAGCAAATGTAACTAATAAAATATAACACTTATAACAATGCAGTATAATAAAAGTAAGTAAATGCAGTCTTTCTCACAAAATATCTTATGGTACTGTATTCAACCTATATTTAGACTGCAGTTGACTTCAGGTAACTGAATCTGTGGAAAGTGAAAGTAAGGATAAGGGGGTCTACTATAACTTCTCAAGTATTGATCCTGTGGAACCCCTACAACAAGGCGTGGGGAGATACTTTTATTTTACAAATGAGGAAATTGTTACCCAGAGAGGCAAGTGATTTGCCCAAAGTCACCCAGGTGGTTAGTGTCAGAGCCAGGACTTAAACTTGGGTCATCTGACTGAAAGCTTTTCTTCCTTGTAATACTGCCTTTTCCTTCGTAACTGAGGTGGTTGAATCAGAGGCGTGTGAATAATTGACTTCCAACAGCACCACAGGAGAGCGCCTCACACAATAGTAAACATTCATTGTGCTGCAAATATTTACCAGGAGCCCACTCTGTGCCTTCCCTGTGAACACAACCTCCAGTGTTGCCCAAAAGCAGGAGTCAACTTTCAAGTGGCCTGTGTGCTTTTGAAATTTCATTGTGAAGAGATGGATCACGTGAGGAAAGTAATTCCATCTCAGACCTCCAAGAAAGCCTCTTGAGTGCCATTGACCATTTAGGAGAACAATGCAAGAAAATCGTCCGCAGATGGTTTTCTCAGTTAGAAATAGGACCTGCATATTTAAAAATCTTATCTTGGGAAAGATATTATGCTTTTCAATTTCTTTTTCTTGGTTATTTTTTTTTTTAGTTACACAGGCTCTATTGCTGGGATCTTAATGTTCTTGACAATGATGACACTGAGGAAGGAGCTAATATTTACTTAGCCAGATGATTTTTTTTTTAACTAACGTTGAAGTTTATTTATTAACTTATATGTGCACTCAAAAATATTGACTTGGTACTTGATATGTACGAGGTATTCGAGATTTAAAATTAAAATTGACCAGGACATGACCCTGACCCTTGCCCAGCTCACTATTCATGAGTAACAGTGGAGGCAGATACCTAAACCTTTAACTAGCATGGAATGTAAGAAGGGTTATGGTAGACAATTGTACAAAGTACTGTGGCAGCGGGGATGTAGTAACAATGATCTCACCTTACAGAGATCACTGAAAGCTCTACTGAGCAGGGGACACTGGAGTGGGGTATTGGAGGATGAGTAGAAGCTTATAATATGCAGAAATGGAAGATTAATGTGGGAAGTGGCTGGAGGATGATTAGAAGCTTGCAATATGCAGAAATGGAAGATTAATGTGGGAAGTGGCTAGAGACTGAGCTTGATAAGATTCATAGAGGGAAGGCTGAGGCATTTGGACTTTTATCTATTGGCACTGAGTACCTGTTTAAGGAAAGGTTCTGAATGAGTTACTGAGAACACAGGGCTCCTTTCAGCACCTTGTTCCCTGACCACCCTTTCTCAGCAGGCAACGATGCTAGGAAAATTGGTAAACCTGTGTGTCTGAAAATGTGCTTGTGATAAACATTCTATAAACCATAAACTAGCTTTCAAATTACCTACAGGATACTTTTGGATATTTTTTCAAGTTTCTGAGGGATATTCTAAGTTGCAGTAGTTTCAAAACACTTTTCAGCTCTTCACCTCAAGAGCCTCCCTGCTAAACTGATTTTACCTTTATGGGCTGTTCTTAGGGTTTAATGAGCTCATGGCCATGATGTTCCAGGTGCATAGGACTGAAAGAGTGGGATTTCATCGAGCCACCTTGCTGTTTTACAGGTGAGGGAGCTCAGCTATGAAGAAGGTGAATGTCTTGAACAAGAACACACAGCTGGTAAATGGCAAAGCCAGGATTTCAACCTGGTCGGTCTGGCTGCGGAACCGTGTTCTTAACCATGATGCTGTTCTACTCCAACAAAAACTCTTAAGTACAGCCCAGTCACTCACAGTCTGCAGGGAGAGTCTTAACATTTACCAGGGAACACTGAATAATGGAGAGAATATGGATATGGAGTTAGATCTGTGGTTTAAATCTTGACTTCATACATTCTGAGTCATTAGACTTCCGGCACGTCACTGAACTGCAGAGTTAGGACTTACCTTGGGGAGTGATTGCGAAGATGAGAAACCATAGTCAGAGAACATAGAATAGGCCCCTGGTTCATAGCCCCTGAAGGTGATTTATAACAGTAATAATTGTAATAATTATCGTGAGTTTCTTTTGTGAAGTAGGGATCTTTTCCTCACCTCAGACTTCAGAATATTAGGTAGGTGTTTATGTAATAAGGATTTTTGGGAATGTTGATAAACCCTTCTTTTTAACAGGAAATGAGAACCTTGGAAACTCAAGCCAATGCACACCAATCCCATGTACGTGGTTTATGCTCCATGCAAAGCATGGAAGAGCAGGAAGTGGTCTTTCTTCCCTGTAGGAGCCGACATCCTTCTTCTCAATGGCTCTCCATATCCTCACCTCGCCCCCACTGTCTGGGAAATGCTGGAGAGAAATAAAAGAAAATGCCCCGTGAGCACTAGAAAGAGGTCGTAATTCTGGCTAGTGAGAGCTGGGAATACTTCAGGAGAAGGTGGCTGCAGCTGGACCCTAAAGGACAGGAAGGACAAATGGAGATGCCTGGGGACAGGAGACCTTTGGGGTGAGGGGTAAGGGCAGGGAAAGCAGCTGGGAGCACTTTGCTTCTTAGCTGAAGATTGAGCTCCCAGGGATGAGGGAGGCAAGCGGCCTGGAAGAGTTCTGGAAGGTAACGAAGATAGAGGAAAGGGGCTGTGAAGAGGCGGCATGGCAGCGAGTCATGGGACTGGCTGTGGTTCTGGAGATGAGCGACCAGGTCACCAGCGTGGAGCCGGCTCAGGGGTTTTCAGGATAAGCGTACAGAGGTGCTTTGCTGAGGCCGACAGAACCTGCCCCTAATGCATCCAGGGGACACTAACCGCTTTAGTCTATTCTCTGATGAATAATTTCTCCAACTCTAACTACATTAGGGACACACAGGGCCGGGGCTCGGTGCTCTGTCTGTCAGATATCGTTGCCACTTAAGTGAGTGATGCAGTGTGGGCCGGCCACGGTGCCCGGGCCTGCGGACAAGGCAGGCAGCCAGGAGAGCTGGCCCCAGAGGTCTTATTTCTTTGGTAGTGTAATCAGATTGGAGGCAGAATGTTTTTCTGTCTCCTCCCTATAATCTCTGTTTTGGTACCGTTTCCTCTCCTCTACGATTCTGATCCCTGTTTTCCCTGCCTGTTGGTATGGCACACTGTTCTGCCTCTTCTCCTTCCAGGCCCACTGCCCATGCAGGACTGAGACAGAGGGAAGACGCCAGAGTGGCCCATCCTCTATTCTGTACTCCCAGTTGGTGGAAGAGGAAAGGGAAATCGTGCTTATTAAAAATCTCAAAGGTGCAGCTCCAGGTTGTTCAGGCATCTCATGACAGCAACAGGAGTCAAAAGACCCCACCCTGCAGGCTGGAATTCAGGGCAAAAATGATGGCATTCTGCAGGGATAAATTAAAGGCTGGCACTTAGGTTCAAAAAGCCAACTATACAAGGCCAAGAAAAAAAGCCTCTGAATTGTATTTTTTATGAAAGACTTAACATGGACTAATTGTGTGGTAAAGCTACCCAAAACACTGAAGTTTACAATACAAAATGCTGTTGTTAGGAAAGAAACTCATATCCATTGCAAAATAACTTGAAAATTTACAAATATGAGAGAGAGCAGTCGAGAGAGAGCTGCGTGTATGGAGATTACTTAATCCCATCTCTGACAATTATCTGTTAATCCACTTGATTATAACCTTCTATTTCTTTTCCCTAGGCAGGTATTCAAGGTATATCTATAACATAATTGTATTTTTGAAAAGATATATTTGCAACTTGGCTTTTTTTTTTTTTGAACAGTCTTGCTCTGTTGCCCAGGCTGGAGTGCAGTGGCGCGATCACGGTTCACTGCAGCCTCGACCTCCTGGGCTCAAGTGATCCTCCTACCTCAGCCTCCTGAATAGCTAGGACTGCAGGTGTACACCACCATGCCTGTCCAAGTTTTAAATTTTTTGTAGAGTTGGGGGGGGTCTCTCTATTTTGCCCAGGTTGGCCTCAAACTCCTGGACTCAAGGAATCCCCTCAGCCTCCCAAAGTGCTGAGATTATAGGTATGAGCCACCATACCTGGCCACAACTTGACTTTTTTATATAACTAAATATTGTAAATAACTTTCAAAGTCATTACTTTTCCATAATGCCATTTTTATGTGTTGTAAAATATTCTATTTTATAAATTTACCATAATTTATTTATAAAATTGTATTTTGTACATTGATTTTTCCTCGATTTTTCTGTAATATAATGAATCCTGGGCTGAATCACCTTGGAAATAAATGTTTGTGTACACCCTTGAGTATTTCTGTAATATAAAGCCCTAGGAGTAAAAGGTATAGAATTTAAAGGGTTATGAACATTTTGAAGGTTTTGATTTACTGGTTTGCTTATTTGTTTTTGATGTGTCTGGTCAAATTGTTCCACACCACCAAGTGTGAGAGTATCTCTGTCTCTCCATATTTTCCCCGGTATTGGGCACTATGATGTTGAAATATCTTGCCAGATTTATATGTGAAATGTGGTATCATGCTTTAATTTGTATGTTTTGAATTATTAGTGAGGTTAAACATTTTTTATTTCATATTCAACATTTTAAATCTTATGAATTACCTAGTTGTATCTTTTGCCTAGCTGATGATATTTTCCTTTTCTTAGTAGCTTTAAAAGTTTTAAATGTTAAGACTACTCTAGCCCTTTGTCTGCCATCTAGGTTGCAAATATTTCTTTTCACTTCTTGCCTTTGATTTAGTGTATGTGTATTTCAGGTTTTACATTGGCAAACTCATCAAAATGTTACTTAATTTTTCTGTGGTGTCATATAAAAACATCTCTCCTGACCTAAGATTATATGTTCACCTATATGCCCCCTGCCCATACATTTTAGGTTTTGTTTTTACATTTAAATCATCACAGTTCTATTACAATGCAGCATAATATCCAAATAAAAGGAGGTAAGTTTTGGGGATAAAGATTTTGACTCAATACAGAATGAAATTTCTAATGATTAAGAGCTATATAGAAAGTAAGAGACTGACAGCCGAGGAAGCAGCTAATCCCATTGCTTGACCTTCTATCAAGTTTTAAGAATTGCATGTCATTCTGTAAGTGCTCAATTAACATTTGCTGAGTGAATGTTGGAACAAGTGACCTCCACAGGATCTTTCAACACTGATTCCCTGATCTTGGTTCATTCCATCTCCACAGATCATTCCAGACTTGGAAATTGTGGTTCCTAGGGGTGAAGCAGGCAGGCAGGGGGATGGGAGGTGGCATGGAGAGAGTCTACTTCTCAATTCTCAGCTTCCAAGTGTAGCGTAAAGGCTTGCTGGGCTCGGCCGTTTGCTGGACACTGGGATGGGAGGGAAATAGATAAGTCAACCGATCCCTAGCCAAAGGGAATTACAAGCAGGTTGGGGATGTGAAGCAGGCATCCCTGAGAATTGAAAGAATAACATAAAGGCAGAGGGCTGTAGCAATGGGCGTGTGTGTGGGGTGCCGGGTGGGGGCGGTGTGGAGTACTGCTGCTATGAGTTCTGAAAAATAGGCACTATGCATTTTATGAGTCCCAGAGGTTTGCTCCAAGTGGTTCTCTCCTGAAACACTCTGAAATTCTCCATTATGGAAAATTGAAGAAATCACACCAAGAGTTAAGAGTCTTTTCTCTACTTTTTCAAATGACTCAGTGACTTAGCGGAGAAGAAAATGTGCATACTCATTGGATTCATAAATGAAGATGTGAATACACATGTGTCTATACACATACATACACATACAAACCCGTGTAAGTACATGTACATATATGCCTGTCTGCTGTTTCTATTTTTTCTGGATAGAGATCACTGTACTTTCCAGATTATACCAGCCTGGGCTAAAAGTAGGGTCTTGATGATAGAGGAAAAATAAGGATTTCTCTGGGTCTACCTCATGCATTCTATGGAAATGCCAGCTCTCCTTAAAGGACTGGTGAGCACATCTGTTCTCCTGTTGGTAACCCAAGGCATCTGCTATCTCTGGTGCTCCAGCTCTGGCTTTCTCAACTCGGGGGATGCAGACAGCAGCAGCTCTGCCTCCATTTCTGTGGCTGTTCCTGCCGTCTGCTGTCTGTGCCCAGTTGGCCAGCACCCATCAGGCGGAGGATGATGTCTGCATCAAGGTGCTGCCTGCTGTAGCAAATGAGTCTGCAATTGTTTACCCTCCATTGACAGGATACACGTGGGTCTTTGAGGGTTGGGCTGGAATATGGTTTCATGGGCAGCTGCATGTGAAGCTTCTACCCGTTCCTGACACTGGCTTGTCGTGTTTGGACAGGACTTGGACAACTCCACTTCTCTTTTTTTCTAGTCTACTTATTTCTTCATGCAAGGCCTTCTCATCCAGATGTGGCTGAAAAGTCTAGGATAGACATAGTTTATGGGATGTCCTTAACTGCTGGGGACTAACATGGTAGATTTGAGCATGGGCTCTGGAGCCAGCTGCTTCAGTTTGTATCGGCTGAGTGATCCTGGCCGGCCACGTGGCTTCACTTCCGAGCCTTGGTGCTCATACGTAATGTGGAAATGATAACAGTGTCTACCTCACATCATTGCTATGGAGATTCTCTGAGTTAATTTACATGAAATGATTAGATGAGTGCCAGGCGGAGAGTTGACCTGTAGGTCAAAAAAATGTTAGCAATGATTATGGTGACTTCAGACTTATTCTCCTGTTTATTTAGATTTTGTTTGGTTGGTAAGTTCTAATCTGCATACACTCTTCATGGACTCCAAAGAGTTGAAAGGATAAAGAATAAAAGAGAGTATTATATAAATATTATAATAATTGCAGGTTTGAATTCCTATATTAGTCTTTAGGGGCCTCCAAGTGCCAAGCCCTGGAAGACCAATGGCCTACCTGGACCAGTTTTCCTTCCTTCTTTCCTGTGTCCTTCCTCAAATACTTTTTTGAGCAAGAGAGACCTGGCTTATATTCTTAATGAGCTCCAGTTATTATAGATAAAATAATGAATTGGGAGAGAGGGAGAGAAATGAATGATTCATTGAGGGGAGAGTGGTGTAGGGCATGAAATATTGGATAAAACACAAGTTTTGGAGTCTGACAGACCTGACCTCATCATTCCTAGTGTGAGCTTAAGTTGATTCACCATTTTGAACTCAAGATCTATAAAATAGTCTTACTAATTACCTATCTTATGGTGTGGGGATGAGGCTTAAAGGAGAATATTCATATGGTAGCTACTCAAAAAGTGTTAATTTCTAACCTCTCTCCTGCCCTTTCCCCAACACAATAAAACCAGTGTCATAAATTGCCTTCCCCTGATACAGACCTTGGAAGAATTCGTAAGTCATTAAAAGATCATTTTTAAAGAGTTTACCAGGAATATCCATCCCTATAATGTTTCCTCTTATCAGATTTGTTTTTGTTTTTGTCTTTTATAGACTAGGGCTTGTCTACAGTGGGTACACATGAAATCTGCCAATGATAGTGGAATCCATAGATGGCAGCGCCATTGCTGACTGACTTCCACTTCTGACTGCTGGTGTGAAGTGATGCGAGCGATTTGTGCATTTTGTCACTTTCCATCTGTTCCCTCTCCCCTCTCCTCCCCGTCCCACATCGGTATTTTTGGAAGAATGGTTAAGTACATCAATCTTTAAAAAAAGTAATTATTAAATCTTTCTTGTCATCAAGATGTAGTGGGGTTGTGTGTCATGCATGACCCTTGGCAGCATCTAAGTCTGGATTTTAGAAACAAGATACGTTTTTCCCTTGGCCTTTTAATTTTACTTTTTCCTTTTGAAAATGTTCAGCTTCTGCAGCAATCTAATAGTTACTTTTCAGATATTTCCGTGACTTAACCAGTAATGAAATGATTTTCCCCCATTTTCCCATCTGAATAGCTCTGCTGAGGTCCACCAAACCACACAGGGCTGAGTGGTCACTGCAAGGAGTTTCGCTGCTTACAAAATATAGTTTTTCAGGTTGGTTAACTTCTCTTCCCTGGAGCCTAAAATGTGAGGCTTTAGAAATATGCTCATTTGAGCCTGCTGGCTGGTTGGGCTTTTGGATGAATGAATTGGGGCTCAAGGTGGCTGCTACTGAGGAGTAACAACTGTCATGTATTGAATACCTGATTACCCTGTGGGGGCAACTGGAAAAGTGCTTCCACACATTATTTCATTTAAGCTCCCTAAACAACAGCTAGTATTAATCGAGGGCTCACTGTGGGCTAGGTTACGCTAAGTGATTTCATGGCATTTTTATTTGATATTCATATTATCTTATGAGGTGCAGTTACTTGTTTAGGATGTAAGTGACAGTACTCAACTCAATTCCTTTGATGCCCACACTCATTTTATTGGTTGATGCAATGAAAAACAAGTCCTTGGGTTAGATCTTAATGACTTTAGATTTGGCTGGATCCAGGTGCTCAGATGATAAGATCAGGACTCCCTTTCTTTCTTTCTCTTCATACTACTTAGCCTTCCTTTATATTGTCTTTGTTCTCAGTAGGAACTCCCTATGAGGTGACCAAGATGGTCATCAGTAGCTCCAGCTTCCATTCTACCAGCTTAGAAACCCAAGTAGAAAGAAAGTGCTTTTTGCCCAGTGGCTCCAGCGTTTGCTCTCAGTGGATACATTGGGTCTCGTGTTCATACCTGGACCCAGAAGGAGGACAAGGCTGCTTGGCCAGAGCCAGGTCATGTGTGTTCCCCAGGTGCTTCAGGGGAGGAGCAAGGTCCACTCCATCCACAGCACATGGACTGAGAGTGGGAGGAGATGATGCTCCCAAGGAAAATTGAGGCCACTTAACCCAAAGACGACAAATGTTAGGCATCTAGCATTGTCCTGTTATAGGGTCCATTTCATAGAGGCTGAGGGTCAGAGGATTTATGTAATTTGCTCCAAGATCTCACCACTGGAAAATGCCAGAGCTGGGATTTGAACCCTCATCTGCTGTATCCTAAAGCACATCTCCTTTTCATTATTTGGCTTATTTTTTGGACTTTCCAAAGATATTACAATCCCTGCCTCAGAAGCACCTACTGTGTCTTTCTGCTGGCTTGGGTTCCTATAAGTCAACTGTGAGCAACTGGAGCCAATGATCAAACAAAAAATTAGCCAGTAACACAGGCAGGGTATTAGAAAAGAGCTCTGAAGGATGTACTACTAATCCAGTTCCTGTACATGGGGAGTGGAGCTCGAAGAACAATGTCATGGCAGATAGGCACACAGCCAGTGTTTCTCAGGAGGCAGGGAAGTCACCAATGGCTACTTCCTCCTGAACACTACTTCCTGGGGCCTGGGACCCTTTCCCCTTTGGTACAGGAAGCCCCAGAAGCCACAACCTGAGAGTTTTGAGGTGATGCCTCCTGCTGCTGTTCAGGAAGGGATGTGATGATGTGGCTTCTGCTGCTTCCCCTACTGAGGGAGGGGCATGAACTTGCCACCCTGATATGTCAGTAGAAAGCCTTCTGCTGGGCAGTGTTCTCAGGGTGCATAGTAAAGATGGGCATGTGGGTTTAGTCTGTTCTGGCACTAGCAGCTCCCCTGCAGTTACATCAAGGCAATTGCTCCAGACACTGAGAATGAAAGCCTTTCATGTGCTCCCTGGCTACTTGCCCACAACCCTGGAGTCTTGTATCTGCAAGTGCTGGATGGAAACCTCTGGTTGCACCTGGGATGATTTCAGATGGGACATACATGGGTATAGCATTAAATAACAGGGATCACGTGGTGGGAAACATATTCTCTTCTCAATTCTCCATCACTCCTTCTGATAAGAATCTCCCTGAGACTTTGTCCTTGATGTACACAACTCCCAGCACCAGACCAACTTTCATTTTCTTTCTGACACTAGCAGGATGAGCCAGCTCCAAATGCTTGGAGCCTGTGAGAGGCAGGAGCATCCAACTGGAATTCCATGGCATTGAATTGGATTTTATTGTATTTCTCTTTATGGCTTCCTTCTATTATGGAAGGTGGTGCTAGTTTTCTCCTTATAGAAAGGAGGTAAATTTTGTGTGTAAAATACATTTATTTTAGTAAAATTAGGTGAGTGGATTGAAGGCAAACTTTCTAATGATACATATCTGTCAGAGTTCTACCAGAAAAAACAGAGGCATAGGAGATATATAGGAAGAGATCTATTGTGAGGAATTGGCTCGTTTGGTTGGGGGGTGGTCTGGCTAGGCAACTCCAAAATCCACATTGCAGGCTTTCTGGAAGGGCAGTCTGGAACTCTGAAGCATGGGCTGACTCTTGAGTCTGCAGGTGGAATTTCTTCTTCATCAAGGAAGCCTCAGTTTGGCTCTTAAGGCTTTTAAGGCTGATTGAATCAGACTCACCCAGATTACCTAGGATAATCTCTTACTTAAACTCAACTCATTATGGGCCTTAATCGCATCTACAAAATACCTTCACAGCAACACCTAGGTTGGTATTTGTTGGAATAACTGGGAACTGTAGATAGCTAAGCCGACCTGTAAACCATCTCATTATATAACAGCAAGTGATACAGAGTCTGGTCCAGGCTGTGAAGGAGATCAGTAAATGATGAGCAGTTGGCAAACCTAAGCCTAGCAGGTAGGGGGAATGGCTAAGATGTTAGAGTCCGGGTGAAGGAGCCGGGAGTTTGACGTCTGCCTGGGAGTGAGGCTTTTTATGTTGGGTAAAGAAGGCAGTAGGGGGTGGGACGTGAAGTGGCAGGGAGCAGAACACAGCATCCTGCCTTTTCTGCCTCCTCTTCTTAGGTACCTTTTCCAAGGGGCCAGCTTTTGCTTGCTTCTACTGCCCTGATTTTATCACTGGTATCTGTTCTACTTAATAGGGATAAGTTTATTCTTAGTCTCTGAAAAAGGTGGATGCCAATCATTTAACCACACAGTGACTGCAGTGCTCACAACCCCACCCTATCTCCCATGGCACCCCTTTTACTGAAGACTTAGATGTCAGAATTATTGATAGACTTCATTTTTGCAACTCTGCAGTCACCTCATCCAATGATAATGGTCACCGAATTGGAAATGGAATTACATAATTATTAATCATCAAATGGTTTTTTTCTCCAGATTGAAGAAACAACTAGGACGGTCCAGAGGGAACTTTTTCTGTGAAGGCAATTAGAAAGAGATATAGAAATTGTGCTAAGATGAGAAGATTGACCTTATGCAAGTCTCCTGGGGACAGGAGGAGGAGGGGAGAGGAGTCGATTTTACTTTTTAAAGACTAGGATTTTCTGTTTCCTATGGAGACCTTAATTAATTTTCTGGACGGTGAGCTGTGTCTTTGTGAAACACAGAGAGCTGATCAGATTTCCGGGGCCTGACCTTGGAGTCATGGTGGTAAGCCAACATTGCTGCTGACATCTGAGATTGACGTGCTGACAGGTGAAGTGTGGCCTGGAAATCTCTTTTCCATGACTGCCAACTGTACCGTTGTTTGTCAGGGTAATTGCTTTGTGCCAGGCCTCTTCCCGAGCTTTGGAAGCAGGAGTTCCTGCTGGTAGACCAGTTGAAGGGTTGGATCACTTCCTAGTGCTAGTGAGGGGGGATGGGGGATGGGTAGGTTTGGGTGCCTCTTTATTATCACTGGTATCTGGGAGGCAAATACTTTGCTGAGGGTCTCTAGGGGTAAATTGTCATAAGTCCATTGATATGAGAAAAGTACATTTTAACTCTGTTTTTGCGGTCTGAAATTTTCAAGTTTGCAGATAACATCAAGCCAGATAAATAGGTCTCATTTCAAGGGCCAGCCTTAACAGAGTGGTAGGGGTTGCCTGGAGGGCAGAGAGGATTCCAAGCCTTCCCTGAGTGGAAAGGGGAAAGGATGATGCAGCTCTTACTAAAGTCCGTCACGGTTAGCGTGCGTGTGGGTAAGAAAGTGGCAGAGGAATGAAAAGCCAAGCTGATAGTGATGAAACTATAGAATGTAAAGGTGAATACGACGACCAGTGGAGAATTTCTCTGCTCTGTTTCCTCAGTTAGATTGCAAACTACCTGAGGGCAGAGTTTGGGACTTGTCCATTCATAAGACAGTGACTTTGTCATGTCTGCTCCCCTCAGAGCTCTGATCCTGCCAAGGATATTCAGCTGTGGTGATGAATAATGCTGATTTTTCTGAAAGACGGGGAGGTAGGCTCGTGGCTCACCTTGGAGCAGCCCTCCACCTGAGTCTCCTTTGGATTATTTGGGATTTGCATTTGGCTGCATGGGATGCTAGCTTGACTTCGTGGCTTAACCCCAGGTGGATTTATTTTTTCTCACATAACGAGAATTCTGGAGGTGGAATTGCCACGGGCAGCAGCTCTGCCATGGTGTCAGTTTTCCAGGTGTGACCTATCTTTGCACTCCACCATCTCTAGCATGTGGTTTTCATTCCCCTGCTCGTTGTCACGTGGTGGCAAGATGACTGCTTTCCCTGTTGGCTTCAGATCCATGGTCCAGGTAGGAAGGAGAAGAGGGGAGGGCATCAGACACTTGCTAGTCTCTTTTTATCAGGAACATCCAGCAGAATTCTCTTTCCGTGTGTTTATATCTCACTGGCCAGAATTGGGTCACATGGCTGCTTCCAGATGCAAGGGGATCTAGCAGGGTAATTGCTTTGTGCCAGGCCTCTTCCCAAGCTTTGGAAGCAGGAGTTCCTGCTGGTAGACCAGTTGAAGGGTTGGATCGCTTTCCAGTGCTAGTGAGGGGGGATGGGTGGATTTGGATGCCTCTTTACTATCACTGGTATCTGGGAGGCAAATTTTCTGAGGGTCTCTAGGGGTAAATTGTCATAAGTCTGTTGAGATGGGAAAAGGTATATTTTAACTCTTTTGTGGTCTGAAATCTTCAAGTTTGCAGATAACATCAAGCCAGATAAATAGGTCTCATTTCAAGGGCCAACCTTAACAGAGTGGTAGGCGTTGCCTGGAGGGCAGGGAGGATTCCAAGCCTTCCCTGGGTGAAAAGGGGAAAGGATGATGCAGCTCTTATTGAAGTCTGTCACGGTTAGTGTGCATGTGGGTAAGACAGTGGCAGAGGAATGAAAAGCCAAGCTGATAGTGATGAAACTATAGAATGTAGAAGTGAATACTAAGACCAGCGGATAATTTCTCTGCTCGGTTTCCTTAATTAGATTGCAAACTACCTGAGGGCAGAGTTTGGGACTTGTCCATTGGTAAGACAGAGTGACTTTGTCATGCCCGCTCCCCTCAGAGCTCTGATCCTGCCAAGGATATTCAGCTGCAGTGATGAATAATGCTGATTTTCTGAAAGATGGGGAGGTAGGCCCGTGGCTCACCTGGGAGCAGCCCTCCACCTGAGTCTCCTTTGGATTATTTAGGATTTGCATTTGGCTGCATGGGATGCTAGCTTGACGTCATGGCTTAACCCCAGGTGGGTTTATTTTTCTCACATAACAAGAATTCTGGAGGTGGGATTGCCACGGGCAGCAGCTCTGCCATGGTGTCAGTTTTCCAGGTGTGACCTATCTTTGCACTCCACCATCTCTAGCATGTGGTTTTCATTCCCCTGCTTGTTATCTCATGGTAGCAAGATGACTGTTTTCCCTGTTGGCCTCAGATCCATGGTGCAGGTAGGAAGGAGGAGAAGAGGGGAGGGCATCAGGCACTTGCTAGTCTCTTTTTATTAGGAACATCCAGCAGAATTTTCTTTCCATGTTTATACCTTACTGGCCATAATTGGGCCACATGGCTGCTTCCAGATGCAAGGGGATCTAAAGGGACATAGAGAGGTTTTATGCTTAAGCAAGAAGGGCAGAACAGACATTGGGTAGACAAACAGCAAGGATAAGCACAGCCTCCCAGCCACCTCTTGCCCTGCCCCTGTGCCCTGAAGACATACCCTTCACCTCCAACCACATTCCTTCCAGCTTGTAGCCTCCCAAGGATCTTCTTCTGCTTCCTCCCCAACCCTCTTCTACTCCTGCAGCCCCTGGGTGGTCACGGAGATGCTTTGCTCACAGATATCTTCTCTGTGGGGAGCACAGTTGCTGAAGAGACTCAGCTGCCTACTTTTGGGTCCACTGTGACGTTCATGCTGAGACCACGCTTCCTGTGGGCCCCACCCAGCCAGTGACTGAGCACAGTGAGGACACTAGAGTTGGCCATTCCTGCTCGGTGTGGGACTCCTCGAATGGGCAACCTTTGCTCGGAGCCTCTTGATCCACCCGGCAGAGACTTTCCCAGAGCTGGTCTACACTCTGAGGCTCTTTCTAGCCAATCTTCCTTTTTCCCTTTTTCTCCTGTTGTTGGTGTTAGACCTGCATTGTGACCCAAACATTCTCCTCTCCTCTCCTGCTCCCTTTTCTTCTATGCTTTACAGACATTTCCCCAAATAAATCTCTTGCATATCTATTGCTCTCTTGACATTTATTTCTTGGAGGACTGAAACTGACATGCCTGCCTTCCAACATATTCGTGTCCTTTCTCTTACCTGGAAAATTTTCCTTGTCTGTGATCTTTGGTTTGCAGTGAGAGAGGCATAGTTTTACCTGTAATCTCCTCGTTATCCCCTGACTTCTTATAACAGGAGTGTCCAAGATGGATTCTTTGTTTGAATTCTTAGGCTACTTTTTTTTCTTTCCTTTTTTACTTTTCTTACTTTTTTTTCAAAATCAATCAATCACATTTGTTGAGCATCTGTTATGTGCTAGGCCCTGTTGTAGGTGGTAGGGGATACCAAGATTTATCTGTCTGAGGCCCTACCCTGGTGGCGTTCACAGGTTGGTGGGTTTAGGAAAGAGCCTCATTTTCCATTGGTGGATGATATGTTCTCCCCACCAACCATCTCTCTAAACTCTGGCACCTTTCTTGTCCAGCATTTCTACCTTTTGAGCCTCTCTGCCACTTTTCTGGCAAATTACAGAAGAAGCAAAGCAGTTGTTGCCCCTGCATCCAGCACATCAGAAGTCCAGGTAATACAGGCCTGGAGTAACCATGGCAACCTTAATGGAGCTCAATGACCCAGCATAAATCTGGCCGAGCTCATTGTGAAATGTGAGGGAGCTCTGTCTGCTTCAAACCGTTTGGAGGGAAAGGTGCCTTGCACTCCGTGGGTGACTGACAGAAGGTTTCCCCAGAGCGCAGAGGAAAAGCCGGGGGATGCGACACTCAGAGTGAAAAGGAAAGGAAGACTTGATGTTGACGAGGAATGGTTTTCTATGGTCTGTTGACATGGCCTGCTGAACCCGGCTGACATATTCATCTGGTCATTTATTTCCATGCTCTGGGCCTGTCTTGAGCTTGCTAAATACATTTAAAAAAAGCTCCAGCTATGGAAGGAACATGAAACATTTTCAATACAACTACACACGTGCATGTGCACCCACCGTTTCAGGCATGCAGATGAGATGGAACTGCCTGGTGCTCAGCTCCTTAACGAATGTCCGTTCTCTCCTTTCCCTTTACCTGGCTGGGAAGGGCTTCACGTGGTGTGTACTGCTGATGCCGCCTTTTGTGCTCCCTTTGCTGGAAGCTGCCTTCCACATATCCTCCAGGCTTTGACCCAAGTGTCACACCCTCAGAGTGGCCCTCCCTGACACTCAGAGCAGGTGCCCACCCTTGTGACTATCATCGTTTTCCTTTTTTTGTGTGTGTGTGTTCCCACACTGATTTCTTTTTGTGCCTGTTTGTGATCATTTTCCTCAGTATTGCGAATTCACAGGGAACTACAAGGAACACTTCAATCTTGAAGGATTTTTTTCCCCTAGAAGCTGCTCTTACCTGTTCCTCTAGATGCTGTGGCATTTAGGTAAATTCTGGCTGCAGGCAGTCCATTCATTCTCACCTGTCTGAGAGCACAGTGCTTCTACTCTTGGGTAGCAGGGAATCAAGCATAGAGGAGCGGTGTGGGAGGGCAGCAGGAAGAGCTGGTACGACTCTCCATTTCATGTGTGAGTGTGGTGCTTATACCCCTTTATACTATTGCTTTATTAAAAGCAATCTGAGCTATGTACAGCAAGCTGGGAGGTCGCAGGTAGAACCACACAAGTGTCTCTATTTAATTCACAAGCTGATTACCTCCTGCTGTTTCTAAAACAATAAAAGGAAAAATAAACACTCCTCAACCCTGCCTGTTTTGAACTTCTCTTTCAGAAGATGCAAGTCCTGATCCTTTGGTAATAGCTGTGCAGTAGAAAGGCTTGTGTCTACTGTCACTCTCCTGGGTTCTCATCTCCTACCTCCCTTGCAATCCTGATAGGGATAAACAAGATTACTGATCAATTGAATGGCCTATGGCTGGAAGATAATTTATTTTTTTATTTTTATTTTTTGCCTTTTCTATTTTTTTTTTCAATTTACTTTAAGTTCTGGGATACATGTGCAGAATGTACAGGTTTGTTACATAGCTATACATGTGCCATGGTGGTTTGCTGCACCTATCAACCCGTCATCTAGGTTTTAAGCACCACATGCATTAGGTATTTGTCCTCATGCTCTCCCTCCCTTTACACCCCAGTGCCCCAACAGGCCCCAGCATGTGTTGTTCCCTTCCCTGCGTCCATGTGTTCTCATTGTTCAACTTTCACTTATAAGTGAGAACATGCAGTGTTTGGTTTTCTGTTCCTGTGTTAGTTTGCTGAGAATGATGGCTTCCAGCTTCATCCATGTCCCTGCGAAGGACATGAACTCATTCTTCTTTGGGGCTGCATAGTATTCCATGGTGTATATGTGCCACGATTTCTTTATCCAGTCTATCATTGATGGGCATTTGGGTTGGTTCCATGTCTTCGGTATTGTAAATAGTGCTGTAATAAACATACACGTGCATGTGTCTTTATAGTAGCTTGATTTATAATCCTTTGGGTATATACCCAGTAATGGGATTGCTGGGTCAAATGGTACTTCTGGTTCTTAGATCCTTGAGGAATTTCCACACTGTCTTCCAGAATGGTTGAACTAATTTACACTCCCACCAACAGTGTAAAAATGTTCCTATTTCTCCACAGCCTCGCCAGCATCTGTTGTTTCCTGACTTTTTAATAATTGCCATTCTGACTGGCGTAAGATGATATCTCATTGTGGTTTTGATTTGCATTTCTCTAATGACCAGTGATGATGAGCTTTTTTCATATGTTTGTTGGCTGCATAAATGGCTTCTTTTGAGTAGTGTCTGTTCATATCCTTCACCCACTTTTTGATAGGGTTGTTGATTTTTTTTCTTGTGAATTTGTTCAATTTCCTTGTAGATTCTGGATAGTTAGACCTTTGTCAGATGGGTACATTGCAAAAATTTTCTCTCATTCTGTGGGTTGCCTGTTTGCTCTGATGATAGTTTCTTTTGCTGTGCAGAAGTTCTTTAGTTTAATTAGATCCCACTTGTCAATTTTGGCTTTCTTGCCATTGCTTTTGGTGTTTTAGTCAGGAAGTCTTTGCCCGTGCCTATGTCCTGAATGGTATTGCCTAGGTTTTCTTCTAGGGTTTTTATGGTTTTGAGCTTTACATTTAAGTCTTTAAACCATCTTGAGTTAATTTTTGTTTAAGATGTAGGGACGGGGTCCAGTGTCTGTTTTCTGCATTTGGTTAGCTAGTTTTCCTAGCACCATTTATTAAATAGGGGATCCTTTCCCATTGCTTGTTTTTGTCAGGTTTGTTGAAGATCAGCTGGTTGTAGATGTGTTGTGTTATTTTTGAGATCTCTGTTCTGTTCCATTGGTCTATATCTCTGTTTTGGTACCAGTACCATGCTCTTTTGGTTACTGTAGGCTTGTGGTATAGTTTGAAGTCAGGTAGCGTGATGCCTTCAGCTTTGTTCTTTTTGCTTAGGATTGTCTTGGCTATAGAGGCTCTTTTTTGGTTCCATATGAAATTTAAAGTAGTTTTTTCTAATTCTGTGAAAAATGTCAGTGGTAGCTTAATGGGATTAGCATTGAATTTATAAATTACTTTGGGCAGTATGGCCATTTTCACAGTATTGATTCTAGAAGATAATTTATAAATGGCCCTGATATACTTCTGTCTAGCCTGGTGCTGGTAATGCAATATTTTGGGGCAGGGCCTGGATTAAATGCCCTTTGGACAAAGTTTTGGGGAGAGGATGATGTAGTAGTCTCACATTCCATTGGCCAGTGAATGCAGCCATAGACAGACATTTGTACCAGTCCCAGTAATGTTGAAAGTTTTTCAAGCCGATGATTGCCTTCTCCCTTCTTAGATTGCCTGCATGCCAGCCTCTGTATCTGGAGAGCCGGGGGAAGCCCAGTCCTACCAGGATGAATGGGGAGGGACTGGCAACCACATCAGCACCATCTCAGCTTGCCTGCTCTCTGCCCCTCACCACCCCTCTCCCTTGCATTGAATTGTTTTTATCATAAACTCACAGAATGGCTTGGTTGTAATGGTGTGGTCCCTTGGTAAGGACTGCTCTTGCCTTTTGGTTGAGCTCTCCAGTTCCTGAGATTTCCTGATACTTTATTGTGAGCCCTCACCTTCTGCTTGTGGTCCTGCCACAGACAGGCTTGACTGTCCCTTGCTGAGGCTGGTGTGATGAGCTCCAAGTCTGTCCTAATTAATGTTGTTTCCTAGGTGCTTTGTAGTTATTGAATAATTTTCATTTCCCGGCTTACTTGTTCCTTTAGCCACAATTGTCACTTTCCTATACCTCTGGAAACATAAGGCTTCTGATGTCAGCTCTACCACCACCAACCTCCACCCCCCACAACAAGACATGATAAATGGCTGCAGAGGCTGAGCTGTCACCTGATGTTGGGGAATAGTTTATTCGAAGTGATATTTTGTTTGCTCCCCAGTGGCTTTTCAGATTCCTCCAGCAAATATTTTCAGAATCACTTAATTCCTCAGAGCCCATCAGAATTCTTCTTGTGCAAACAGGGCTGCATTCTTGATCACATTAAGGCACTTAAAATGTACTTAAGGGATTTGATTTCCCCAGCCATCACCCACCTCCTCTCCTCACCAAGTGAGGGCTCCTTTGACTTATGGATTTTCAGTGTAAGATTAATTTTCTTTGCAACATCTTTGACTCTCAGGAGTGGTGAAATTGTTGTGGTTGGATCAGTCCTGGGAAACCTTGAGAAGGTTCATGGGCTTGAGGGGTGCAAAGGTGGGATCAAAGAGGAAAGAAGCATTGGCATGTGAGACTGAGAATTTACAAACTGCCTTCACATACAAGTCCTTAAGACCATCATTCTTCTGGTTCTGGATGTTTCTTGTTAACTAAGCAGAACAAAGTGGATCAGCTGTACAGTGTCAGGCATCCTATGCTGGGCTAAGGGGGGGCAGACAAAATCTCTGTGCAAGATGTCTCTGAGGTTGTGCTGGCATGGAGGCTGTCATTCAGTCCTGCTTCAACAAATGGTATTTCAGGAGAACAATAACAACAGTAAGAAATGAATACTGATTTAAACATGTTCAGTGTGCCAACAAATATTTTGACATATCTATAATAATATTGCTAATTAAATATAGATATCATTCAATGAGTTGTTAGCATGTGTTTTGAGGTGCTTTGCATATATATATTATCTCCAGTCATCACAAAAACCATGCCCATGCACGCAAGTGGAATTATGTCCAATTTAAAGAAAAGACACACCACAGTGAACATGTCCAAAGGGAGCTCTTGATTCACCCTGTTCCTTCCCAGGCTTGCCCATCAGAACAAATAGCACTGCTCTCCACGGTGTAGAAGCTACAAACCTGACTGTCATCCCAGATTATCTCCCCTCCCAACTCCTGGCCTTCAGCCCATAAACTTGTGCCATTTCTATCTTGTACCTTGAACTCATACATCTCTCTGTTCCACCTTTACCAGCCTTGTTCAAACCTGAATTGTCTTCTGATTTCTTTTGCTCCTCCAAATGTTTCCTCCACATAGCATCTGAACAGTCTTTAGAAAACACCAGTCACCAGGGCACTGTCCCATTTAGCATTCTCCACTGACTCCCCATTTCCAGTTTCTCCTTCCACCCCATCACACAGGACTCTCTATTCCAGTCCCTGAAGGACACCCCTATGCTGGAGGCTTCCTGTGTTGTTCCCCCCTGCCTGGAACACTCTGCCTCCTGCTGCTCCTATGACCCTTCCTTGTATTCTTTAGGTATTGTCAGTCTCCCTTGTGATTCTCTATCCATAGATTCAGCATAATTTCCTCATAAGTTTAGGGCAGGGCTCAGAAATCTGCATTTTTAGCAAGCTCCCCCAACCCTGGGATTCTGATGCAGCTGATCCGCACTTTGCACTGTCATGGGAAATGCATAGGACAGTTTTCTGATGTGCTGCTACAGCTCAAGATAGTTTTTCAGGAAGCCCCTGCAGAAAAGTTTAATGAGATTTGAGACTTTCTATGTCCGTGATAAGAGCAGCAGGTATTTTGAAAACCACAAACTCATTTCTCAGCTTGGTTCTCCAGTTGTGTACCAGGCTTGGCTCCAAATGTCTCATTCTTTGAACCTCAATAGGAAAAGTTGCTACCATTAAAGATCTGGAAAAGGTAGTTGCAAAATTAATTTGGGTAACTTTGTATTCGGAATACTTGTTCAGTCTCCCAAGGGGACTGCTGTGGAGAGGGATGTTGTCTGTGGAAATGGAGGTGTCTGCTTTGTGGTCCCTACAGCAGTCCTAAACCTAGGGAAAGCTCCTCTAGTGTGAAGGGTGCTTGTGCCGAGAGTCACTGCAGAGCATTTTGGGTTAGACATTCCCCATTTTTCATTTGAGAGATTTGATGGAGTCTCAGAGCCATGGATTCTAGAGCTACACTGATTCTGCAAAGATTTGGAAATCTTGAATATCCCCAAGGGATGTGTGCAATTTTTGGAAAGAGGAAAGAAAGGGTTATGTAAAGAAGATTAACATAAAAAAAGTGAAATAACCAGTAGGGGATGCCTTCAGTTCTTTGCTTATTTCAGTTATTTGGAATCTAGGAAAATGGAATTTTGCCATATTGAGTTGAGTTTTCCCTACATAGATAGTCTTCATTTATAATTGGCACCTCTTCTTCAAATGATTCCATTTTTTACCAAGTTTTTATATAAGTCTAAGCTTCGATTTTCTGGACTTCCCTTACTAAAGTAAATGAAGAAAAAAGAAAATATACATACACATACACACACTTTTTCAAAAACAGCTTTCCTTCAAGTCATCTAGGAAACTATTATTTCCTCTATTCCAAACATAAAGGAGAAATCAGTTAGAAAAAGAGAACCAACCAACCATCTTCTTCTTTTCTCCCCTTTCGTTTCTCATCTGTCCTTCCACAGACATTTACTGAGCATTTATTTTGAGTCTGTCTTATACACATTTGCATTCCCAGAATGTAGGATAGCAACTCGTATAGTCTTTGTCCTCACTAAGCTTGCAGTTTTGGGACTGGAATGGAGAACAGGGAGATAGGCATTCAACAGATAATAATGTTATTACTATTTTCCTAAATATGAAAAAAATACAAGGTTCCATGGGAGCTCAGTTTAGAAGGGCAAGAAGACATCCCTGAGAAGGTGGCATTGAAGCTGAGAGCAGAGAGATGGGGAAGGTCATGGTGCATTTGAGCAACTAAAGGAAGGCAAATATGGTGTAGAATGGTGAGAAGTGAGATTGGAAGACATGCAGCCTTCTGTAAGCCAAAGCCAAGTCAATGTACTTAATTTCAAAAGCAGAAGAAAGCCATTGGTGTTTATGCGATGGCTTAGTTCTTAAATCTCCTCTAGTGTTGAAATTGATTGAAGAGACAAGACAAGCCAGGAGGCAACAGAAATATCCTAGCAGTAAGATCATGGTGGTTTAAAAGGTATGATAGAAATGAAGTTGGAGAGTAATGAATATATTGGAGAAGTATCTGGGAGGTAAAATTACTGATGAATGAGGGAGAAAGAGGTGTCAGAGTGATCGCAGCATTTCTTTTTTGAACATACAGAAGTGCTTTTTTTTTGAGATATGGAGCCTGGAGAGGGCTGGGGTGGGAGAAGATGACTGGTTCACTTTTGCACTTGTGAAGTTGAAGCTGCCTGTGAGTCATCAAGAAAGCAACTCTGTCCCAGAGAGATACATTTTTGAAATTTCACCATTTGCTAGTGCAAATTTTCCTTGATTTTGAGTGACTCGTGCTTAAAGAACATTAAACTGCTATGCAGGATTCACGAAAGTGCCAGACATTTGTTCTACCAACTTGCATTTTGAATAAGTGGTGTATGAAATCCCTTCAAAGTGGAAGTCTCTTAGCACTGTGCTATCTCTACAACTTCTGTTGTTTAGCTGAGAGTCTAGTGCCTAGAGAGCTAGGGCAGCGGGCACAGTGGTACCATGCTTGTCATCAGCTAGGGAGCAGATGGGAATAGCACACCTGAATGTCTAGGCTAGAGAACAACCCATGAGTTTTAAAAGCCATTGGAAAGTCAGGTAAGCAAGCTCCAAGGAAGGAGATCAAGGACACCAGGGGTCAGGGAAAAGCCTTGAGTCAGGAGAGGTTGGTGGGAAAATCAGTAGAAACCAGCCTCTGGAATGCCCAGGGCATGGGGTCATAAACAAATGCGTGGTGCTGGGAAGGGTAGAGGCCCGTGCTACCCAAGCTTCCCATGGGAGGAAAAAACCATAACTGTTGGAACTTGAGTAGAGTTCCAAAATGATATGAAATCACTACAGAAATTGTGAAAGGTAGCTCATAGTCCTATTTGTTTAGCAACGACATAAAAAGCACCATCTTCTCTACCCCCATCAAAATAGAAAAGAGAAGCAGAGAAAAGCTAAGAAGAAAAGCAAGGGCTTTTGTTTGGACGTTGGAGTTACTTTTTCATGGGCTGTTCTATCCAACAGTCCTATTTCCTAATATTCTCTCTCTCTCTCTCTCTCTCTCTCATTTGCTTTTTTTCTTTAAGTTATAAAATCACGAGACCCACTTAGATTTGTGAGTGTTTTTCCCTAGCTGTACTGTGTTGGGTGGGTCACTTAATCTTCCTGCTCTTCGTTGATTTTACCACAAATTTCAGATGACAGTGATAATCCCTGTCCTACCTTCATGACAACTTAAAAAATAAGGATTAAATAAAATAATGTATAAATTCCTTAAAAAGAAATTAGTTATTGTTATTACCTTTCTTAGGAGTTTGGGGTAGTTTGCAATAAAACTCATATGCAATAGAGCTGTAGAAATATGGGTTAAAAAAAGTAACAAAGCAATGCAATGGAATGCAGAAGAGCGCCTTCATATAGCAGAAGCCCTAGGCCAAAGGAAATTCCTACACAACGCTGAGTATTGAGCTTCCTGGCAGACAGGGAATAAAGGGAAATTAGCGAGTAAAGGATGCTCAGCATTTCATCAGAAACCATCAATGTTTTACCAGCAATTACTGCTGGTAATTTCACCCAAGTTTCTAACTTAGGGTAGGCTTGGAAGCTATTTGGTGAACTGAAGAAACATAAATGAGACATGGTCCTTGCTCTCTGCCTAGTAGGGGAAGAGTTTATTATGTCAACCATTGTGTGAGGAACCAAGTACACAAGAAGGGGCTTGTCTCCAAAAGCGATTACCCCAAACCAGGAATTGTCTTTTTAGGATCATTTCTTTTATTGAATCCCATCATTTAGTCAGTTAATAATTGCTTTTGGGTCACCATTGGTTACAGATACTGCACCAGTTCTGTGCGGAGGTAAAGGAAGGTTGTATGTTTCAACTTCTAGAATTTATCTCCGTAAAACACCCCTCATGGGCACAAAGAGATGTGCACAAAAAATTCATGGTAGTATAGTTTGTATAGCAAAAGTAATGTATATAACACAAAGCTCATCAATATGAAAGTAGTTAAATAAACCACAATCCCCCCTAAAATGGAATACTATGCGGCTATTAAAAAGAACAAGATAGAGCCATGTGCTTCATCAAGGAATTGTGCTCCTATTTTACATTGCTTAGTGACAAAAATAAGTTGCAAAACAGCATGTAGACAATGATTTCATCCTTAGGAAAAATCTCAACATTGATAACTTATTATGTATGTATGTATGTATGTATTTATTTATTTATTTATTTATTTATTTATTTATTTATTTTTTGAGATGGAGTCTCACTCTGTCACCCAGGCTGGAGTGCAGTGGTGCAATCTCAGCTAACTGCAACTTTTGCCTCCCAGGTTCAAGTGATTCTCCTGCCTCAGCCTCCTGAGTAGCTGGGAATACAGGCACCTGCCACCATGCCCGGCTACTTTTTGTATTTTTAGTAGAGACGGGGTTGTACCATGTTGGTCAGACTGGTCTCAAACTCCTGACCTCAGGTGATCCGCCCTCCTCGGCCTCCCAAAGTGCTGAGATTACAGGCGTGAGCCACCACGCCCAGCCAACTTATGTATTTTTAATGTACCACTTGTTGGCAGAATATGCACCCAATTGACAGTGATTATCTTGCGACAGTGAGAATCTTGGGACGTTTCAGAGCCTATACTTTGTATTTCCATAAGATTTGAATTTTATATTGCCTAGTATTACATGTGTTATCAGAGAAAGCAATAAAGATACTAAGCACTGTGTGGGGAGCTGGGGAGAGCATAATGCATAGGTTATAGACCCCACCCTTGTAAAGATTAAAGTCTAGTAGGGGAGAAAGCCACATTAACAAGTTATACCACCATCTGAGCCTGCAACCATAGAACCGTGTACAAGGGGCACAGGAGCTGTGGGGCAGTGTATGAGGTAGAGGCTAGAAGGGGGTAGCAGAGAAGGTGATCTGAGTGTATTCTGGAAGGACACATAGAGTGACCATGACAAGGCAGCTCTATGCCAAGTAAAGATCCAAAATGGTCACGAGCATGTTGGTAACTCAGAAAGTAGCTCAGTCCCCGGGACATTCTGACTCATGAAATGCCATGGGAGGCCAGACAGTGCAGGGGACATTTAGAGACAGATGGTCCAAGGGAGGAACAGTGGGTCAACTCAAATTTTCTACAGACCAGCCACATGATACTGCTTCTTCCCTCTCTTGGAAGAACTTGGCATTAAATCAGAGCTTAGTTGGCGATCCAGGGACAAATTCCAGACAATCTAATTAACCCCCAAGCTTCCTGTAGCACATTGTTCTTAAATCTCGACTTGATGGTCCAGAGGCAAGACACACATGTCATCAGAGTGAATATTTATCTAGAGATGAAATCACTGAGATACTATGATTGATAGGGTGAAGAATACAGCTTCAAGTTTCTTACTGACAAAAAGAACTCTGCATTTTTTGCACTGTTTTTATCCCATGAAGGGGTCTAGTGGACACTTTGGAGACCTGCTTCCATTTTCTCTGGCCTTTAGAGTTGGAGTCTCTGGTGTCACAACTACCTGGCAAGCTCTTTGCTTGACCTTGGCATCCTGACTTGGTGAGGTTGTTAGGGAAGGTAGTTTAGGGAGGAGAAAGTGAGCAGTCTCTCTCCAACCCTATCTTATGCTAGAGTTAGGAAGAAGGAAAGAGAGAGAAATAGGCAATTTGGTGGGAAAGATGGGAGAGTTAGGGCAAGAGCTGCTTGTCTGAAAGAAACTATATGTGATCAGAGATTTTAATCCATGCTGAGTGGGAGTCTATTTCCTATGGATTCTTTTCCCACTGCCTGGCCCCATACATAGCCTCTGGACTCCCCTTTAATCTGTAAAGCAGGCTTTGGGGGTGCTCCCATCTCTCTCCTAATACCATCCTCCCTTAAAATGCTCCCGAGGATCTTTTAGAGCAATGTATATGGTTTTCTCCCCACCCCCCAGCAATCTTATTGTACATAATTTCCTTTTTGAAAACTGCACGAGTCATAAATGTATCGCTTGATGAACAGTCAGACACAGAACACACCTTTCTATTCAACACCCAGATGAAGATAGAATATTGCCAGCAACCAAGAAGCTTCCCCTGTGATTTCTTCCAGTCAATACTTGTCCCCTACCACCCCATAAGAGATCTGCTATCCTAACTTCTAATGCCATAGTTCAGATTGTCTGTTTTTGAACTACAAATATAGACTCATACTTTTGTGTGTCTCTGGTTTCTTTGGTTCAAGTTTATGTTTTTGAGATTCATCTCTGTTGTTGGATTTATTTGTAGTTTGAACATTTTAATTCTGTAGTATTTTTATGAATACTTATCCTACTATTACTAGATGTTTGGTTATTTGAATTTTAGGACATTATGAGTAATACTGCTATAAACGTTTTTGTACATGTCTGTAGGTTAACATGGATACACGTATCTGCTGGTTATATTGCCAGGAATGAAATTTCTGGATACTAGGGAATGCATATGCTCAATTTTAGTAGCAATTGCTAAACAGTTTTCAATGTGCTTGTACTAATATACATTCCCACCAGTGGTGGCATATGAGAGCTCTAGCTGCTTCACATTGTCCCCAACACTTGCCAATGTTTGCCTTTTTCATTTTAATCGTTCTTGTGGGGGTATAGTGGTATCTGATTGCGGTGTTTCAATTTTGCATTTTCCTGATGACTAATGAAGCCAAGCACGTTTTCATCTACTTATTAACTAACTTGGATATCCTCTTTTGTGAAGCACCTGTTCAAGTCTTTTGCCTATTGTCTTATTGGATTGTCTGCCTTTTACTTATTGGTTATAGGAGTTCTTTATATATTTTTGGGCAAGTTCTTTTTAAAAAAATCCTCTTCATAATATCTCTTAACGTACAGAAGTTCTTAACTTTATCAATTTTTTCCTTTATGGCTAGTATATTTTGTGGTTTAAGAGATCTTTGTCTACCCTAATGTACTAAAAATAGTCTCATGTTTTCTTCTGAAAGTTTTATGGTGTTGCCTTTAGCACTTAGATCCACAGTTCATCTGAAACTCTTGTTTGTGTATGGTATGTAGTAGAGGTCAGGACTAATTTTTTCCCCATATAGATATCTAAGCGAATCAGCATCCATTATTGAAAAGGTCATCTTTTTCCTGCTGCGCTGTGTATCCGCTTTTGTTGTAGACCAGATGACTGCCATCTTTCTGTGTTTCTGGATAGACTTCTGTGTTGTTGGTCATTTTGTGTTCATCCAATACCTCACTGAAAATTTGATACCAGGTAGTGTAAGTTCTTTGTTGCTATTCTTCAAGACTACTTTTTGCTTTACATGCATCTCTATATATTTTAGAATCACTTGTCACCTTCCAAAGGAAAACCTGCTGGAATTTTGAGTGAGTTTACACACAACTGTAGATCAATTTGGAATTTGACATCTTTCCAGAATTGAGTCTTCTAATTCATAAGCATGCTCTATTCCTCCATTATTTGCATCTTCTTTCATTTATTTCAATAATGTGTTGTAGTTTTCAGTGTAGACATCTTCTATTTGTTTATTTTATTATTGTATTGATCAGTTGTCCTAGGAATTTATCCATTTTGTTAATCTTTCAATGTCTCAACTTTGAAAACTTTGTTGATTGAAGCCATGTATTTTTTTTTCTTTTTGGAAACATTGTTTTTGCTTCAGAAGTTTTCTTCTGAAGTAATTTTAGAGTTACAAGAAGAATTGTGAAGATAGTACAGAGTTCCCATATATTTTTCACTTGGATTACCCTAATCTTAACATCTTACACAACTGTGGTACATTTCTGTGAACTAAAAAACTAGCATTGGTACAACAAATATTAACTAAACTGCAGGCTTTATTTGCATCCCCACAAGTGTTTCCACTAACATTTTCCCCCTCTGATTCTGGAGCCAATCCAAGATACTACACTACATTTCGTTGTGATGTGTCCTTAGTCTCCTCCAGTCTGTGATAGTTTCTCGATATTTCCTTTTTTCTTCATGGCCTTGTCACTTTGTTGGTTCAGTGTTTTGTAGTGTCCCTCAGTTTGGTTTTGTCTGTTATGTTCTCATGATCAGACAGGTTATGGACTGGGGAAGGGTGCCTCAGAGATGATGATTCCTTCTCATTACCTCATATCAAGGGCTATATGATATCAATATGACATAGTACTGGTGATATTAACTTTGATCACTTAGTTAAGATGCTGTCTGTCAGGTTTCTCCCTTAGAAAGTGATGGTTTTTCCCTTTCTATATTCTGTTCATCAGAAGACAGCTGCTAAGTCTAGCCCTCACTCAAGTGAGGGAAAGTAAGCTCTGCTCCCGGGAGAGAGGAGTAGCAAAAATTTTGTGAACATTTTAAAACTTTCACTGTAATCAATAAATATTGGTGGAAGATACTTTAAGCTCTGCAAATATCCTGTTTCTCAAAGTTCACCCACTAATCTTAGTATACATCAGTGGAGATTGCCTGCAGCAGCTAGCTATTGCTATGGTACTCTGATAGTGATTTTCTACTTCTCTTATTCCTTCCACTTTTAAAAAAGCTGGAATTTTTCTATTAAAAAATTGTCTCTTCTGGCCAGGCATGGTGGCTCACACCTGTAATCCCAGCACTTTGGGAGGCCAAGGTGGGTGGATCATGAGGTCAGGAGATCGAGAACCATCCTGGCTAACACAGTGAAACCCCATCTCTTCTAAAAATACAAAAAATTTAGCTGGGCATGGTGGCACATGCTTGTGGTCCCAGCTACTTGGAAGGCTGAGGCAGGAGAATTGCTTGAACCCTGGAGGTGGAGGTTGCAGTTAGCCGAGGTCGCACCACTTCACTCTAGGATGGGAAACAGAGTGAGACTCTGTCTCAAAAACAAAACAAAACAAAACAAAACAAAAACTGTCTTTTGTCCCTCATTTATTCACTCATTCATTCATTTAAATCAGTATGGATTCGTGAATGTTTACTCTTTGGGTTATAATCTCATACTATTAATTATTTTGTTGCTCAAATTTTTTGAGCTGTGGCCATGGGGAACTCTTTCAGGTTGGCTCCTGTGCCTTTTTGACTGATAATCTCTCTTTCTGTACTTTCTTATTTTCTGGTACTATTGGGTGCTTCAGACCTGAGACTAAGAACCAGTCATTTCCTTTTATAGGGAAATGGTATTTAGAAGCCAAGATCTGCTGTTAGTTGTGCTCGTTGCTACTGGCATGTCCACTGGTTCTTCTCAGTGGACAAAGCTAGTAAATGTTTATATTTATTATAAATATATAATTAAATGTTACATAGAATTATATTTATTATAGAATACATAAAAGTACACATATACACACCTATGTGCAATATTCCACATCTAAATTTATTTCTGAATCCATTTATATATGCTTGGAATAAACATGAGTTTCTGTTGATACATCTCTGACTGAAATCCAGCACCACAGGGCTCATTTTAACCCCTTCCACCTTTGCTTGTTTCTTTTTTCTCTGATAGTGAAAAACCTGGTTCTCATTATGTACCATATATTTATTGTTCAATCCTAGTTATATATTTAGTTTTAGACTTGCGAACCTGTGCTCCTGTGAGAAGCAAATTTATCAACTAGAGTGCTATGTTATTGTACAGTTCTTTATGTCTTTAGCCTGTCAGTATCTGGACAAAACATTGTTTTCCAGAGGGACTTAGATCAGCTCTGTTCTTCTCTCTCCCCTTCAGTGAGGTTATGTCATACATTTGTAATCTGGTTAATTCATTTGTCACTCATGTAAACTTTAATCAGGATAAATCTTCCATTATCTGAGAGGAGCAGATTATGCATCCAATAATACACTTAAAAGGGAGTTAGGCCAGGTGAGAGCTCCCCTCTCCTTTTCTCAAGATTCTAACCATTTGGAATAAGCACATGATGCCAAGTGGGAATCAGATCACAGTATTACCCTTGTTATTGATTGCAGAATACATCAGGGCATGCTCCTCTCAAGTGGAACTTAACACTTCTGAGGCAGAGGTAGACAGCAGCAGATCTGACTTGCAGTGGGGTAGAATAAGCGGAAGGTGAGAGAGAACAAACACTCTGTTTAGAGAATGTGGGCGACTGGGATGAGAGGGACAGTGCAGAGGAGATCAGCTTAAATTTTGAAGGGCCTGAGGATTACAAGGACCAGGCGGATATCTGGCTGTTTGGGATGTGGGTGGGTGTGATGGGCAGAAACTGCAGTACTCATTTCAGTACTATTGCCATCAGGAGAGGAGTGGGGCTCTCTTCCCTTAAATGGAAACCTGAGTGGGAAGTGTTCCCTCTCTAATGGTTGCTTTACCTGATCCATAGACTTTAGGCTTGCTATACCTTTCACTGAAAAGCAAGACACTGCAGCTTTCCTGACAAAAACAAAGGAGTGCTAATTAAAAAAATAGGATTTTGGCTTTTATGAGCATAATATTTAAAAATATTTATAAAAATCAAATATAAATAATAAAATTAAACACTTACAGTCCAACTGTCCAAAAAAAATAGCTGTTAACATTTTTGAGTGTTGTTTTCTTTTTCTTTTTAAAACCATCTATTAATCATTTCAAAGAACCAGCTTTTGGTTTTATTGATTTTTCTCTATTGTTTGTCAGCATTTACTAATTTTCATTTTTAATCTCATTCTACTTTGGGTGTAATTTTTCTGTTCTTTGTCTAGTTTCTTAAGGTGGAAGCTTAAATCTTTGATTTTAGGCCTTTCTTTTTTCCTGCATATGTATTTAAAGTGATAAATGTCCCTCTAAGCACTGCTTTAGCTGTATTCTATAGATTTTGGTATGTCCATTTTTTTAGTTCCATTCAGTTCAAACTATTTCTTAGTTTCCTTGGTATTTTTTAAAATTATACTTTAAGTTCTGGGATACATGTGCAGAATGTGCAGGTTTGTTACATAGGTATACACATGCCATGGTGGTTTGCTGCACCCATCAACTCATCATCTACATTAGGTATTTCTCCTAATGTTATCCCTCCCCTAGCCCCCAACAGGCCCCAGTGTGTGATGTTCCCCTCCCTGTGTCTATGTGTTCTCATTGTTCGCCTCCCACTTATGAGTGAGAACACGTGGTGGTTGTTTTTCTGTTCCTGTTAGTTTGCTGAGAATGATGGTTTCCAGCTTCATTCATGTCCCTGCAAAGGACATGAACTCATCCTTTTTTGTGGCTGCATAGTATTCCATGGTGTATATGTGCCACATTTTCTTTATCCAATCTATTGTTGATGGGCATTTGGGTTGGTTCCAAGTTTTTGCTATTGTGAATAGTGCTGCAATAAACATATGTGTGCATGTGTCTTTATAGTAGAATGTTTTATAATCCTTTGGGTATATACCCAGTAATGGATGACTGGTTCAAATGGTATTTCTGGTTCTAGATCCTTGAGGAATCGCCACACTGTCTTCCAGAATGGCTAAACTAATTTACACTCCTGCCAGCAGTGTAAAAGCGTTCCTATGTCTCCACATCCTCTCCAGCATCTGTTGTTTCCTGACTTTTTAATGATCACTGTTCTAACTGGTGTGAGATGATGGCATCCCATTGTGTTTTTGATTTGCATTTCTCTAACGACCAGTGATGATTACCTTTTTTTCATATGTTTGTTGACCATATAAATGGCTTCTTTTGAGAAGTTTCCGTTCATATCCTTTGCCCACTTTTCTAGTAAATTTTTTCAAGTTCCTTGTAGATTCTGGATATTAGCCTTTCGTCAGATGATAGATTGCAAAAATTTTCTCCCATTCTGTAGGTTGCCTGTTCACTCTGATGGTAGTTTCTTTTGCTGTGCAGAAGCTCTTTAGTTTGATTAGATCCCATTTTTCAATTTTGGCTTTTGTTGCCATTGCTTTTGATGTTTTAGTCATGAAGTCTTTGCCCATGCCTATGTCCTGAATGGTATTGCCTAGGTTTTCTTCTAGGGTTTTTATGGTTTTAGGTCTTATGTTTAAGTCTCTAATCCATCTTGAGTTAATTTTTTTATAAGGTGTAAGGACAAGGTCCAGTTTCTGTTTTCTGCATATGGTTAGCCAGTTTTCCCAACACCATTTGTGTTCTCTCTTATTTCCTTGAGCAGTGGTTTGTTGGTTTGTAGTTGTCCTTGAAGGAGTCCTTCACATCCCTTATAAGTTGGGTTCCTAGGTATTTTATTCTCTTCATAGCAATTGTGAATGGGAGTGCACTCATGATTTGGCTGTTTGTCTATTATTGGTGTATAGGAATGCCTGTGACTTTGCACATTGATTTTGTATCCTGAGACTTTGCTGAAGTTGCTTATCAGCTTAAGGCGATTTTGGGCTGAGACAATGGGGTTCCAATCCAGCAGCACATCAAATGCTTATCCACCATGATCAAGTCAGCTTCATCCCTGGAAGGCGAGGCTGGTTCAACACATGCAAATCAATAAATGTAATCCATCACATAAACAGAACCAATGACAAAAACCACATGATTATCTCAATAGATGCAGAAAAGGCCTTCGATAAAATTCAACACCCCTTCATGCTAAAAACTCTCAGTAAACTAGGTATTGATGGAACGTATCTTAAAATAATAGCTATTTATGACAAACCCACAGCCAATATCATACTGAATGGGCTGGAAAGCATTCCGTTTGAAAATCAACATGAAACAAGGATGCCCTGTCTCGCCACTCCTATTCAACATAGTATTGGAAGTTCTGGCCAGAATAATCAGGCAACAGAAAGAAAGAAAGGGTTTTCAAATAGGAAGAGAGGAAGTCAAATTGTCTCTGTTTGCAGATGACATGATTTTATATTTGGTGTTTCTTTTTTGACCCCAATTTGTTTAATTTCCAAATATTTGAGGATTTTTCAGATCTTTTCTCTGATTTCTTTTTAACCTAATTTCATTGTGGTCAGAAAAACATATTTTGCTGATTTAAATTCCTTTAAACTTACTGAAATTTATTTTATGGTCCAGATGATCTATCTGGATCCATGAACACTTGGAAACAATGTATATTTTGTTTTTGTTAGGCGATGTGTTTATAAATGTCAATTAGGTCAAATTGATTCAAAGTGCTGTTTATATCTTCTAGATCCTTAGAATTTTTTTCTATTTTAATTGAGAGAAGAGTGTTGATACCACTAACGATAGTTCTAGTTTTGTCTGTTTTTCCTTTGGTCTGTTAGGTTTTGCTTCATGTATTTCAGGATTTCTTATTGGGTACATATACATTTAAGATGATATCTTCTCAAAATGCCTCCTTTATTTTTATAAAATACCCCTTTATATTCCTGGTAATGTTCCTTCATCTGAAGTTTTTTTGGTCTGAGATTAAGATAATCATTTCGGCTTTCCTTTGGTTAGTGTTTGCATAGTTTATCTTTTTTTGTACTTTTAATTTGCCTGTGTTTCTATATTAAAATTGGATTTCTTGTAGACAGCAAATTGTTGATCTTGCAGTTTCCCCTCTGTGGCAGTCTCTGAGTTTTAACTGAAGCGTTTAGACTACTTACATGCAATATGATTATCAATATGGTTATGTTTAAATCTGCCATCTTACTAGTTATTTTCTAGTTGTCTGATCTGTTCTTTTTTCCTTATTTCCTGCTTTCATGTGGATTATTTTTCATATTCTGATTTTACCACCAATGGCCTATTAGCTAAATATCTTTGTTTTATTTTATATTTTAGGGGTTGCTCTTAGATTTACAAATTTGTGTATGATATAAGAAACTTGCTCTGTATACTTCAATTCCCTCCCTTTTTCTATTGTGGTGGTGCATTTTACTTCTACATATATTATAAATCCCACAATACATTGTATTATTTTTGCTTTAAAAAGTCAAATAATTTTTAAATACTTTTTTTAAAATGGGAGAAATGACTTTATACTTACCCATATGTTTACCCTTTCTGGAGCTCTTCATGCCTTTGGGTTAGGTTAAAATTTCCATATGAAAATTAGTTTTCCAGTTTCCATATTTCATATATTTTCTGTCTGAAGAACTTTCTACAACTTTTCTTGTACTTCAGGTCTACTGTAGACAAAATAATGGAGCTTATGTTTGTCGGAAAAAGTCATTCTTTTGCCTTCATTTTTGAATAGATTCAAATACAATTTTAAGTTTACAGGTTTTTATTTTTTATTTTTAAAAAATCACCTTAAAGCGGTCATTCTGGCTTGTATTACTTATGACTGGAAGTTTACAGTCATTCTTATCTTGTCTGTATGTAATATTTCCCTCCCCCATACTCCATTGCTTTTAATATTAGTATCTTTTAAGCAATTTTATTGTATACTTTGGTGTGGTTTTCTTTATGTTTATATTGCTTGGGATGAATTGAGCTTTTGGAATCTGTAGGTTTACAGTTTTTGTCAAATTTAGAAAAATTTTGACCATTGTTCTTCAAATACATATTTTTTGCTTTATCCTCCTACCTCCAAGACTATAATTATATACTGTTCAATGTTGTCTGACTAATCACTGGGACTCTGGTAATTTTTGTAAAAAAAAAAAAAATCCCTTATTTCCCTTCTCTCTGCTTCAGTTTAGGTAGTTTATATTGCTAAATCTTCCAGTTCTTTGATCTTTTAAATATAGTGCCTGATATACTTTTAATAGTGGGTGGTTAATTTTATGTGTCAACTTGACTGGGCCATGGTGCCTACATATTTGGTTAAACATTATTCTGGATGTTCTGTGAGGGGTTTTTTTGGTTTTATTTTGTTTTTGTGGATGAGATTAATGCTTAAACTGGTGGATTTAGGAAAGCAGATTGACCTCCATAATGTGAGTGGGCCTTATCCAATCAGTTGAAGGCCTCAAAAGAAAAAAGGCTGACTTCCCTTGACCCAGAATTCCTGAGAAGAAATTCTGCCAGCAGAGAGCTTTTGGACTTGAACCGAAACATCATCTCTTCCCTGGATCTTCAGTCTGCTGGCCCACCCTGTAGATTTTGGACTTGACAGCCTCCACAATTGCATGAACCAATTCCTGGAAATAAATCTCTCTATGTATATTCACATCCTGTTAATACTGTTTCTCTGGAGAACATTGAGTAATACAATTATATTCAGTAAATTTTTCATTTTTGCTTATGTTATACCTCTAAAATTCCATTTGGTTCTTTTTTCATGACTTTTATATCAGTACATTCTATGTTCATGTTATGTTTTATTCCTGAACACATTTATAATACATGTTTTAAAACCCTTGTCTGCTATTTCCATCATTTCTGGATCTGTTTGATTTGACTGCTCTTTGTTCAGTTATGGGTCACATCTTTCTGCTTCTCTGTATGTCTATTAGTTTTTTTTAAACTTTTATTTAAAGTTCTGGAGTAAACATGCAAGTTTATTGTATATATTGTGTGTCACGGGGGTTTGAGAGTTCCCTTTCCTCCACAACCTAGCCAGCATCTGTTATTTTTCGACTTTTTACTACTAGCCATTCTGACTGGTGTGAGATGGTATCTCATTGTAGTTTTGAGTTGCATTTTTCTAATGATTAGTGATGTTGAGATTTTTTTTCATATGCTTGTTGGCCGCATGTATGTCTTCTTTTGAAAAGTGTCTGTTTATGCCCTTTGCTTACCTTTTAATAGAGTTGTTTGTTTTTTGCTTGTAAATTTGTTCAAGTTCCTTATAGATGCTGTGTATTAGACTTCTTTTAGATGCATAGTGTGCAAATATTTTTTGCCATTCCCTAGGTTTTCTGTTTACTCCGTTGATAGTTTCTTTTACCGTGCAGAAGCTCTTTAGTTTAATTGATCCCATTTCTCAATTTTTATTCTTGTTGAAATTGTTTTTCACATCTTCATCATGAAATCTTTTCCAGGGCTTATGTCCAGAATTATATTTTCTAGGTTATATTCCAGGGTTTTTTTTTCCTATAATTTTAGGTTTTACATTTAATTATTTAATCCATCTTGAGTTGATTTTTGCATATAGTGTAAGGAAAAGGTCCAGTTTCAGTCTTCTGCATATGACTAGCCAGTTATCCTAGCACCGTTTATTGAATAGAGAGCCCTTTCTCTATTGCTTGTTTTTGCTGACTTCGTCAAAGATTGGATGGTTGTATGTGTGTGGCATTATTTCTGGGCTCTCTATTCTGTTCTATTGGTCTATGTGTATGTTTTGGTAGTAGTACCATGCTATTTTGGTTAGTGTAACCTTGTAGTATACTTTGAAGTTGTGTAGTATGATGCCTCTAGCTTTTTTTTTTTTTTTTGCTTAGGATTGCCTTGGCAATTTGGATTGTTTTGGGTTCTATATGCCTTCTAGAATAGTTTTTTTTTTTAATTCTGCAAAGAATGTCATTGGTAGTTTGATAGGAATAGCATTGAATCTGTAAATTGCTTTGGGCACTATGGCCATTTTAATAATATTGATTCTTCCTATCCATGAGCATGGCATGTTTTTTCCATTTGTTTGTGTCATCTCTGATTTCTTTGAGCAGTGTTTTGTAATGCTTGCAGGTTGTTTAATATCCATATAATTATATAATTTTAAGCAATTTTCTTAGTATTGATTTCTGTTTTTATTGCACTATGGTCTGAGGGTGGTTGGTATTATTTGTTTTTTTGAATTTACTGAAGATTGTTTTATGTCTGATTGTGTGGCTGATTTTATAGTATGTACCACATGCAAATGAGAAGAATGTATTTTCTGTTGTTCTTAGGTGAAGCATTCTATAGATATATATTAAGTTAATTTGGTCGTGTCTAGTTCAGGTCCTGAATATCTTTATTAGTTTTCTGCCTTGATAATATGTCTAATACTGTCAGTGGGGTGTAGAAGTCTCCCACTATTATTGTGGGGTTATCCAAGTCTCTTCGTAGATCTCAAAGAACTTGCTTTATGAATCTAGGTGCTTCTGTGTTGGGTGCATATGTATTTAGGATAGTTAGGTCTTCTTGTTGAATCAAGTCATTTATCATTATGTAATACCCCCCCCCCTTTTTTTTTAAATCTTTGTTTAAGGTCTGAAATTAGAATAGTAATCCCCGCTTTTTTCTGTTGTCTGTTTGCTTGGAAGATTTTTCTTCACCCCTTCAGCCTGTGGGTGTTATTGCTCATGAGATGGGTCTTTTGAAGACAGTATACTTTTGGGTCTTGCTTCTTTATCCAACTTGTCACTCTGTGCCTTTTAATTGGAGGCATTTAGACCATTTACCAAAATTAGTATTGATATGTGTGAATTTGTTCCTGTCGTCATGCTGTCTATTAGTTTTTGACTGCATGCTAGACATTTTGAATTTTACATTATTTAATGATGGGTTTTTATTGTTATTGTTGGTATTAGTTGGCTAGAATTGCCATAAAAAGTATCACAGACTGGATACCTTAAACAGTGGTAATTAATTTTTTCACAGTTCTGGAGGCTGGAAGTCTTAAGTTGTTGGCAGGTTTAGTTTTTCCTGAAGCCTCTCTTCTTGGCTTGCAAATAGCTACCTTCTTACTGAGTTCTTACATGGCCTCTTTGTGTGTTCATTTCCCTGGTATATTTTTCTTTTCTTACAAGTACACTAGTCATAATGCATTAGGGTCCTGCCCTTATGACCTCATTTAATTGTAATTATCTCTTTAAAGGCCCTGTTTCCAAATACAGTCACATTGGGGCTTAGAAATTCAACATATAATTTTTTTGGAAAAACAATTCAGTCCATAATATTGTTGTTTTAGTTTCCTTTAACGAGTGCCAGGCTTTGTTCTGAAAGGTAGTTTTGTTGCTTGGGGATCAGCTTAATCTTTTGAGGATTGTTTTTAATTTCTTTAGGGCAATTTTACAGTAGCCTTTACTCTAAATCTGGTTTAGCCCCACTGTTATGGCGTGGCCCTTCTAGACTCTCTACTGAATATTGCAATGATCAGTAATGAGTCTCTACTCTGGCTGGTCAGAGCTTAAGTTTCTCTTAGTGCTTTTAGTTTTGGGAAGTGTTCAGCTTATAGATCCTGGTCATAATTTTCCTGGCGTTGTGGAGTTTCACCATACTAATGTACAGCTTAGAACTTAGCAACAGACTATAGGGGACCCTTGAGTTATCTGAAGCTCTTTCTCTGCATAAATCTCACCTGTCTGGAATTCTGCCCCCACAAAGTCGAGCTGTCTCAGCCTACTCAAATTCAGGTTGCTGTATCCTCAGTCCAGCAAGATTTCCAAGCCCTGCTTGGCATTCTCCTCCCTGTCTATGGTCTGTAAAGTGCCTCCATCAAGTTGCTAGGGCAATAACAGGGCTCACCTAATTTCCATTTTTTTCATAGGTCACAGTCCTATATTGAATATCTGGAAACCATTGGCTGTATGTCCCACTTTCTAGTTGCTTACAGTGAGAGGCCATATCCATTATTGTTGCATATTAAGATCTGTACTGTCTAGACTTTTGATCTGCTTTAAAAAAAACTTTGTTTCAAAAGTATTTTCCCCATCATTAAAAACTAGGAACATCATTTTAAATGGTCACCTCTTATTCTATTGTATAAGCCTGTATATTTTGACTGAAGAGCAAGGAAGGCCAGGAATGGGTTCAGGTGTGTGCTGGAACTTGGCCTCGGTCTTCAGATTGGCAGATGGAGGGGGAGAAGGAGGCACTGAGCTGGGGTAAGTAGGACATTGGAACTCTGGGGCTCTATAAGGACAAAGGGGGTGTCCTCTAGGATAAGAGCACTTTCATTCATTCTCTCAAATCATGTCCTGACTTTTCATTTTGTCAAATAATTACTTATACTTGTGAATAGGTATCCTGCCATCCAAGCTGCTGGACATAAGTGGGAAAAGTGTGGCTGCTGGAGGTCAGACATATTTAGCTTGAGGTTCAGCTTTTTCACTCAATAGTTATGTGGTGTTAGGAAGATCATGCTACACCTTCATAGCTTCTTTTTGCTCAAGTGTAAGGTAGGGAATGAGCATAATTTGCTCACAGGGTGATCTGCAAGTTGAACTGAGATAATATCTTCAAGTGCACTGGGTATAGTGTCTGTGTCATGATAGGTTCTCTCTAGTTGGCTGTAGGGTTTATTTATAAAATCAGGTGTAAAACACCGGGCTGGGGGCCTCTAGGCCCCTAGGAGTCCCCTAGCCTAATCAATTAATTAACTAGGCTAGAGATTACCAAACAGGGTCCAGAAAGAATGGAACAAAAAACAAGTACATTTTGATGGAGCTAGACTCTGGAAAATCTGGAGTGTGGAAGATCAGGAGCAATTAATGTAAATAGGAGGAGGACGAAGCTGGGCCCCATGTAGCATGCAGGAGGATGAGAGTGGTGCGGGGAGAAGGCATGGATAGGGATAGAGTAGAGAGGCACAGAGCATGGTGCCACCTGATTCCCCAGTTGACTCTCTGTGTCATTTCCTTGTCTCTCTTTGCTCACAGACCAGAAAAGGAAACCAGGCAGATGATCTCCACTAAGGTTATCATCAAATTCATGGTTGTGAAAGTCTGGTGAGTCTGCCAGATAAGGCTTATCTTTATCTGACAGTGGTCAGGCCACTGTATGGGCAGCTGTTTTAGTCCCTCACACATAGCGTGGCTGGTCAGCTGTCCAGCCTTCCCAGAGGGCTGCCAGCAGCTGCAACCAGGACAGGCTGTTATGCTAATGAGGATCACCACTGAATAATCTGCGTTCAAATTATAGCCACTTAGGTGCTGGACCTTTACAAAAGAATTTTTTTTTCACTCAATGTGAACAGACAGGCTGGGCTAATAGTTTTTATGAATTAACAAAAATCAAAAGCCCAGAGAGTCTTCAAGAGCAAAATGTTAAAAAGCGCTATGGCAATAATTTATCCTAATCATCTTTGGATAGGTTCCTCATCCAGGCAGAACCAAGCAGTGCTAAGGGAAGGCTCAATGGTGTTCCTGTCTGTTTAGAAGTGCAATCCTGTCAGTGCTGCCATGCACACTGCACATTTGTGCACTGCACAACCTGTTCAACTGTGCATGGCAGCCCTGGACTAGGAACTCCTTTGTCAAGATTGGCCCTTGGGACATTTGAGAAGTTGTGAAGTTGGTCTTCATCAGACTTTCATTTCAATTCCTTTCTCTTTTATTTTCCTCTCCTTTTCTTCCTTTTCTTTTTAAATAGCCAACATGTAAAGTGTGTATCTTGTACTAATCCCTGTGCTAAATACTTTGCATGCATTATTTCATTTGATCCTCACAGGCATCCTGTGATATAAGTGATGCTCTCTCACCATGTTACAGATCAGGAGTTCAGGGGCTGCTTGAGCTTAGAGAGTTGATAAGTGGTTGAGGGTGAGCCACTGTGCTCTGTGCTTCCCTACTCTATCCCTGTCCATGCCTTCTCCCAGCACCACTCTCACACTCCTGCTTGCTAGACAGGGCTCAGCTTCATCCTCCTCCTGTTTATATTAATTGCTCCTGATCTTCCACACTCTGGATTTTACAGATTCTAGCTCAATCAAAATGTACTTGATGTGTTCAGGCCCAGCTCTATGGGCAGCCATTTCTGTCCCATTGTTCTTTTCTTCCCCTTGTTCTTTGTTTCATTCTTTTGGGACACTGTTTGGTAGTCTCTAGCCTGGTTAATTGATGCAAGCACAGTGGGTAGGTGCTAGTGGGTTGAGACTACCCCTTTGAGTCTGGCTATGCATTTTTATCTAGACAGAGAGCACACATTATTCTCAATGATTTCTGAGATGGTGGAAATTTCAGGTACCGTAGTGGTTGCTGGGAGATCTTTAGATTGAGGAGCTGTTCAGCCTCCTATTCAAAGCACTTCAGCAATGAGGAAAAGAAAAATCACTGCACATATTATGAAATCTGGATTTCAGTCTTGGTTTTACTGTATTCTGCTTGTCAGAATTTCTAACTTACCACATTCTGCTTGTTAAAATTTCTGATTCCTGTTTTCTTCATCTTTAAAAAGGGAGGTATTTGATATCTATGACCCACATGAGTATTTTAAAGCTAAATCTTTCTTGTGAGAGTGTGTGTAGAATTCATGTGTTCTAGGCATCCTCCATATGAGTCTCAGCTCCTGCACACCATTGCAACCATTATTTCCATTGCAGGAGGTGCGAGCAGGTGTTAGTGGTGAAGGGTAAGCAATGCATGTTCACGTCATCTCATTTGTTTCTTGCTAGTAAAAAAACTCCAGTTTCATTTTCTTGTTCTCCCTCTTCTTTACTTTATCTGGCCAGTTCTTTCCTGATCTGTTCATCATTTCTGCTGTTCTAGTATCTCTGTGTCTTTTATTACCTCCTTTTGGAAAGCCTATTTCTCCATCCTTGTTGGTCCACCCTGATTCATCCCATAAAACTCACCCCCTTTTTGGGTCACATTTTCTTTCTTGCCACTCACTCTGATTCGAGTTCTTATTGTACCAGTTAGTCATTTCCTGTTTTTTCCTACACATGGCCTGACACAGAGCAGGTATTTTATTGAATAGCTGAGGAAATGGGAAGGGAAGATAGTTAATCATTTAATTTGATAAATAGAACAATAGGGGTCAGAGAAATTAAACAATGTGCTCAGTACTCACTGCCAGCTAGGAGAGACTTGTTAAAAGAGGGCATGCTTTCATGTTGCAAGAATGTCTTGAGATAGTCACAGGTGCATGGCAGCATGGGAAGATTCTAAAGGTTTTTCCAGAATCTACTGGAGACGTGGCCAAGTACTTGTTTGCTTGGTTGTTCCTTTATTTCCTAATTTATTCAATATTTATTGTCCTCATGTGCCATATTATTGTATGTGCTAGAAATATGACTAGTGATCTGACAAAGGGCTAATATCAAGAATCTACAATGAACTCAAACAAATTTACAAGAAAAAAACAAACAACCCCATCAAAAAGTGGGCGAAGGACATGAACAGACACTTCTCAAAAGAAGACATTTATGCAGCCAAAAAACACATGAAAAAATGCTCATCATCACTGGCCATCAGAGAAATGCAAATCAAAACCACAATGAGATACCATCTCACACCAGTTAGAATGGCAATCATTAAAAAGTCAGGAAACAACAGGTGCTGGAGAGGATGTGGAGAAATAGGAACACTTTTACACTGTTGGTGGGACTGTAAACTAGTTCAACCATTGTGGAAGTCAGTGTGGCGATTCCTCAGGGATCTAGAACTAGAATTACCATTTGACCCAGCCATCCCATTAGTGGGTATATACCCAAAGGACTCTAAATCATGCTGCTATAAAGACACATGCACACGTATGTTTATTGTGGCATTATTCACAATAGCAAAGACTTGGAACCAAGCCAAATGTCCAACAATGATAGACTGGATTAAGAAAATGTGGCACATATACACCCTGGAATACTATGCAGCCATAAAAAATGGTGAGTTCATGTCCTTTGTAGGGACATGGATGAAATTGGAAACCATCATTCTCAGTAAACTATCGCAAGAACAAAAAACCAAACACCGCATATTCTCACTCATAGGTGGGAATTGAACAATGAGATCACGTGGACACAGGAAGGGGAATATCACACTCTGGGGACTGCAGTGGGGTGGGGAGAGGGGGGAGGGGTAGCATTGGGAGATATACCTAATGCTAGATGACGAGTTAGTGGGTGCAGCGCACCAGCATGGCACATGTATACATATGTAACTAACCTGCACAATGTGCACATGTACCCTAAAACTTAAAGTATAATTAAAAAATAAAAATAAAATAAAAAAAGAAATATGACTAGTGAACAAAACAAAAATCCATGTCTTCATGGAGTTTATATTCTAGTCAGAGACAACTAATAATAAATAAGTAAAGTCAGGGACAACTACTAATAATAAATAACTAATGATAAACAAACTAATAATTTCTTTAATAAAGAGATCTGATAAGCCCATTGGGGATTAGCATTATGAAGAGAAATAGGTAGCATTAGGGACAGGTGGAGTAGGGGGAACTACATTACCTGGGATGATCAGGGAAATTTTCTTGGAGAAGCTGCATTTGAACAGAGACCTGAATGAAGTAAGGAAGCAGCTATTTATATATCCTCCTGGTTTTAAAAAAATGTTCTAGGCAGAAAGAAGAGTGAGGGCAAAGGCCCTGGGGTAGAAGCAGTCTTGAGAAAAATAACCACTATATTTTCCCTAATCACAAGATGACTGCAGACCTTTCATTTTGTATTTTGTCCTTTTGCATCATAACTCTTACAAGATAAGCCAAATAATGTTACAAATCTGCCTGATTATAGATAGTGGGCATATTCCTGGAACTGTGGATGTGTCCATATGAATTTAATTTTTGCAATTGAATCTTATTTCAAGGCATACGAGGAGCTTGCCATTTTAAGAGCCCCCATGGTTAATCCTTTTATGGGGAGAATAACCAGCCTTAGAGGATGCTTCAGGGTCTTCTCTTTCTAAAACCTTACGGTTTTATGTCTCTAGAGAGGCTGAACTTTCACGTATTTTCATGAAGGTGGAGATAATACAGAACTAAATACATGTAAATGGCAGCCAGCAGTCAGGCAGGTGAAATTTCAGTGGAAGAGATTGAGTTTTTTATTCTTTCCTGAAATGTAAGGCTTATCAATCTTCTACCTTCCTTCCCAGCAAGTATTAATGTTATGCAAAGGTGACAAATCTTGGCATAAAGAAAATAGAAATGTCTGTTGACTAGGAAAGACAAGACCATCAAGCAGCTGTTTCTAAATCTCTGTTTAAAAGAATAAGGCAACATTTCTTCTCTTAATGTCAGTAACTCTCTGCCTTTCTTTATTTTTTTCTCTCCTCTCCTCCCTTCCTTCCTTCCCTTCTTTCCTTCTTCCCTTCCTTCCTTCTTTCCTTTCCTCCCTTCCTCCTTTCCTCCTTTCCCTTTCTCTTCCCCTTCTCTTCTATTCCTTTTCTTTCTCTTTCTCATGGAATCTTGCCCTGTCACCAGGCTGGAGTGCAGTGGCATGATCTCAGCTTACTGCAACCTCTGTCTCCCGTGTTCAAGCCATTCTTCTGCCTCAGCCTCCCGAGTAGCTAGGACTACAGGCATGCACCACTATGCCCAGCTAATTTTTGTATTTTTATTACAGACAGGGTTTCACTGTGTTGGCCAGGATGGTCTCGATCTCTTGACCTCGTGATCTGCCCGTCTCAGCCTCCCAAAGTGCTGGGATTACAGTTCACATTTACTGTGTAGTGATAGGAACAGGTAAGGATGGTTCAGTTCTGAGCCTTCTTCCACTTTCCTGATATTATCTTAGTTATTATAAACAAATAAGGCATAAAATGAATCATGCCAATTTCATGTGTGCCTGTGGGATTTCATATGAGAGTATTCTCATGAAAAGGCTTGGTTTTGGCATGGTGATATGGTTTTGCTGTGTCCCCACCCAAATATCATCTTGAATTGTAGTTCCTACAATCCCCACACGTCGTGGGAGGGGCCTGGTGGGAGGTAATTTAATCATGGCGGTGGTTACCCTCATACTGTTCTCATGATAGTGAGTAAGTTCTCATGAGATGTGATGGTTTTATAAGGGGCTTTTCCTCCTTTCCTCAGCACTTCTCTCTCCTGCTGCCTTGTGAAGGACATGTTTGCTTCCACTTCTGCCATGACTGTAAGTTTCCTGAAGCCTTCCCAGCAATGTGGAACTGTGAGTCAATTAAACCTCTTTCCTTTATAAATTACCCAGTCTTGGGTATTTCTTCACAGCAGCATGAGAACAGACTAATACACATGGTGAGTCCATTTAAGAGCCCAGCACAGGGATGGTGTTGACAACATGGCTCCTCCTTGAGATATTTCTTGTGAATAGATTGTTTGTTTGGGTGCCTAGCTAGTGTGTAACATGACAACTTCATAAGCTGTTTAAACCATTCATTAAAATTTTTTTTAGCTACTAAAGCAAAGAGAAGAAAAAAAGGAAGGCAGAGAACAATAAAGTAATATTCAAGGATAGAGTAATATTCTAGCCAGAACACAGAGCCAGCCCTCAAAAAAGCCAATTCAGAAGGCATCAGCCATTCATAGAACCTTTCAGGCCATCATCACTAAACAGAATCACAGATGCAGCCTGGACTCTGTTTGCAGCCTGCTTTGCTCAGTAGTTAATGGGGGCAGGAAGGCTCTTTTCTTTTGGCCTCTGTTTTTACCAGTAGTGAGGCAGCAGGAATGCTATGGCTGAAGATGATTTCCTATGCTGTGTTTGTTTCCCAGCCGTACACAGAGGGAACTGTTTTGTTATGATTTTGTTGTGTCTTCTGAAACTTGGGAGGCTCAGGCAGTTCCACATTTAGGCAGTAAAGATGTACAGAGTTATAACCCTGAGAGTAACTCCCATCAGCAGGGCCATTTATTTGGTATCTGTAAAGTACTATCACCCATGAGATCATCATCACCGTAATTTTGTAGCTATCATCTTCATCTCCATCCTCAGTCTGATGGGGGACAAATGAAGTTATGTATGGAATTGCCCATGGCTGAAGTTCTTAGCCTTTCCATCCTCAAACACCTTCTGAGCTCTTTTTGCGTTGAGCTGATGTGGCTCTGATTTGACCCACTCATTTGTTGCTCTTCACATTCAAATTTTGGATGGAGTTTGTCTATCTTTAACTGGATGGTAAGCTCTTTAGAGATGCCACCCAGGCATTCACCCTATAGATAGATACTTTATAATTGCTCTGGGTCAGGCACAGTTCCTGGTTCTGGCTGCATAGGACTCACATGGTCATGGCAGTGCATGTTACCACTCTAGAGTCCACTTACCCCTGGCAATCTTTTATGTGGACATTGCACCTCCAATAGGCCCTGAATCACTGCCAAGATGTTAGTGCTGGCAGGAGCATTGATTCCAACCACTGCTTCTTTGGTCCAGTTGCCTGTAAAGAATGTTTACGTTAATGATACAGATGGAATGAATGGCAAGGATCATGATTCCATTGTGGAGTCAGAGAAAGACGCAGTCACTTAATTCACTTTTATCCATTTCTTCTCATATCCTCGAGGTGAAGGTCAAGATTTCTCTGTCTCCTCCTTTCCTATTGGATAGTTGGGTAAAGAACTTCCTCAAGTTTTCAACTCTAATAAATAGCTTTTATATTAGAGTTATTTAAGAAGTAAATTAAACAGAACACAACACAGATATTTAAAAGGTTTTTCTCTTCAGTATGTTATTGTTGAACTAAATATCTTGTGAGAGGTTAAAAGTAAAATGATCATTGAGTGGACCTCATTGCATGTACTTGACCTATTCTTGGAGGGTTGCGTGTTAACTGAATTTTGTAACTCAAGTTCTATTTTAAATTCACCCTGAAGGGTTGTTATTTAAAGCAATCCAGTAAAGAGAATAATCACCAGACCCCTGCTGAATATTAGGGTTGGCGGGGGCAGTGGATTTTTTTTTTTTAAAGGAGGGTGGGAACATGACTCTTACGGCCACCCTGATTTTATCCCCAGGCTGGTGGCGCCTGGGAAAGTTTGTTTTTTTTTGTTTTTTTTTTTTTTTTAATTTTTTTTTTCCAAAGGAAGTTTGGGAATAGTGAAAGAAGAGAAAGTGGATTGAAAGTCCTGTAGAGAGTGGACAATGGCTGCATTTTTCTCCATTGCAGGAAATGGATTCTCTCCTGGAAAGGATTTGATGAAATGGCCTCAGTTCATTGTGAAATGGCTGGAGGAGAGTGGGGACATGCCCTACTCTCACAGCACCTAATCATTGGACAGAGTGTCATTTCCAGGAGCCCAGGATGCAACATGATAGGGAAAGGGGGATTTCCATTCTTATGGGGAGAGGTTCCTAGGATGTTATTTGGAGAAAAGGCAAGATCACTTGTTGGAATGTCTGGATTGGCCACAGAAATCCTATAATTTGCATTTATTAAGACATTTTGTGGGTTGTTATCTTGAGAAGAAACCCAGAAAAACTTGGTTCCAAACTTAACATTCCACAAGGAAAATGGAATTTTCACTGCTCTTTTCTGACATAAAAAGGTCATCTTGTTGTTTATCTACAAAGCCAGGGGAGCCTGAGCTGTTGACTATTTTGCAGTTGGAAACACTGGCCCAAATTCAAAGCAGCCTGATGCGTTCTCTCTCCTTCCTGTCCTGTTTTTATTTAAAGAAGTTGGCTTCATGAATCATTGGATAAAGGCTTGGAATACAGCTCCTTATGTTTCAGAAGATGAGGGCCTTGGTCCAAAGAAACCCAAAGTCAAGGACACCCCAAAACTCCTAAGAATGTTGATAGTAAGAATAGAGCTGCTATAATTATAATGCTCCTTGTCTCTGGGCTACAGGATACATAGACTCTCTTGTACTCAATGAAATCACCGAAAACCTTTGGCAAGATGGGAATCTTAGACCCATTCTGAAGTTTCCTGCAAAACCTCAGAATAGTTACCCTCCGAGCAGGGTGGTGACATAATAAATATGGCCCAGTGAAAAATGAAAATTTGGAGCCCCTTGTTCAAAGAGCAGGAAAAAAAGTACAAAGTTATTAAAATATAAGTTTTTCCTCTAAAAATATTTTATTACTTATATAATGTAGTCCTTATAACTTTTTATACTATTATTTATAGTGATAATGATACATGAGTAACAAAAATATTTTTGGTGTCATACTTATATAATACAATAAAAAGTAATTTAATTTGACATCTTATTGACAATAAGATTTTTCTGACTCCCTTTTTCTGCAAATTATTAGGTTATCAAAATTTATCAAACTTTTATCAATTTCATCTTTAACTGATACAAAACTGAAAATGACGTGTTGTTCTTTGCCAAGATTACAAATAATTTTTGACAATTTTTAATTTTCAGAAGCATATTTCTGCTAATGCAACTGTTACTGGAATTGTGTAGGAGAATCTTATTGGCTGTAGCAGGATTTGGATACATTTCTGAGAAATTATTTTGAAAAAAGGCTTTAGGGTCTGGGCATGGTGGTTCATGCCTGTAATCCCAGCATTTTGGGAGGCTGAGGCGGGTGGATCACATGAGCCCAGGAGTTTGAAACCTGTCTAGCTAACATGGTGAAACTCCATCGCTACTAAAAATACAAAAATTAGCTGGGCGTGGTGGCATACACCTGTAATTCTAGCTACTGGGTGTGGCGGGGATCTGAGGCATGAGAATTGTGTGAATCTAGGAGGCGGAAGTTGCAGTGAGTGGAGATTGCGCCCTGTACTTCAGCCTGTGTGATGGAGTGAGACAATGTCTCAAAAAAAAAAAGTCTTCAGTATATACCTAGAACTGATGATTCTTGTCAAACAATTTTTCTAAAAAGATTTAACTCTTTGTACAAATCTGTTTTGTGTAAGTTTGGATTTAATTATAAATGTAAATATATATATATATAGTGGCATTTTTATGTGTTCTCAGGCATTTTCTGTAACTTGTAGAGAGCCTATAAGCAACTGAAAGTAGCTTTACAATTTGTATATACAGTTAACACTTGAACAACACAGGTTTGAACTGTGTGGGTCCACTTACACACGTTTTCTTTTTTTTCAATAAAAGTACACTGAATGTGCCTGCTTCTGCCTTCATGTCCACCTTCTCCACCTCTGCCACCCCTAAGATAGCAAGACCAACCCCTCCTCTTCCTCAATGAGAAGACAATGAGGATAAAGACCTTTATGATGATCCACTTCTACTTAATGAATAGTAAATATATTTCCTCTTCCCTATGATTTATATATTTTAAAATTATTATTTATTTACTTTTTTTGAGAGGGAGTCTGGCTCTCTAGCCCAGGCTGGAGTGCAGTGGCACAATCTCGGCTCACTGCAACCTCTGCCTCCCGGGTCCCTGTTCAAGCAATTCTCCTCCCTCAGCCTCCTGAGTAGCTGGGATTACAGGCAGGTGCCACCATGCCCAGCTAATTTTTGTATTTTTAATAGAGATGGGGTTTCACCATGTTGTCCAAGCTGGTCTTGAACTGCTGAATTTGTGATCTGCCTACCTCGGCCTCCTAAAGTGCTGGGATTACAGGCGTGAGCCACAGCACCTGGCCCTGCCTCTTCCCTGTGATTTTTAAAATAACATTTTCTCTTCTCTAGCTTTATTGTAAGAATACAGTGTGTAATACATACAACATACAAAATGCATGTTAATGGACTATGCATGTTATCAGTAAGCCTTCCAGTCAACCGTAGGCTATGTGAAGTTTTGGAGGATTCTAAAGTTATATGCAGATTTTTGACTGTATGTGGTGGGGTGGCATTCCTATCCCCTACATTGTTCAAGGGTCAACTGTGATTCAAAATGCCTGTTTATATAACCTATCGTGTTTCTTCAGTACGAGAAAATTTTTTTTTTTTTTTTTTTTTTTGACACAGAGTCTCGCTCAGTCGCCCAGGCTGGAGTACAGTGGCACGATCTCGGCTCACTGCAAACTCTGCCTCCTGGGTTCATGCCATTCTCCTGCCTCAGCCTCCTGAGTAGCTGGGACTACAGGCGCCCGCCACTACACCTGGCTAATTTTTTTTTTGTATTTTTACTAGAGACGGGGTTTCACCGTGTTAGCCAGGATGGTCTCGATCTCCTGACCTTGTGATCCGCCCGCCTCGGCCTCCCAAAGTGCTGGGATTACAGGCGTGAGCCACCGTGCCCGGCTGGAAAATTTAATCCAAAAATTATTTCTTCTTAATAATTGGTTCATTGAAGTTTTATATGAAAATGGCATTCTTATCTGTTGTGACAATTTCAAAATTTAATTTCTAATTCAAAGCCTGTGAATATTTGCTTCGTAATGTTGCAGGAGTTATCAAAACTGGAGATTCTGAACTCTAAAACATTCTAATAACTCTTGGATATACTTTATTGCAATGTTCATGTATACATTTTTATTTTGTAATGATTTACTAACAAATTATATTGCCTGAGCACCAGCAAATTCTGTCCTGGCACTGAAGATAGAGAGTTAATATTTATGGGGATATCACAGGGATGGGCTCCAAGGACTGATGGGCAAGCTGTCTTCCCACTGCTGTGATCATTGCTGCTGCTTTGCTGCTATTGCTGCCACTGCCATTACCCATCTGGGCTCAAGTCCAGTCCCTAGTTGTCCCCTGAGGACCCCATGGCAGGCTGGACTGCCTCTGGTATGCCAGTTCAGTTGCTTGGCATGCACACAGCCCCTTGCATGCAGTGCCCCAAGGCCTGTGCCTGCATGTGTTGCTGCCTGTTATATCCTGCTCTGCTCACACACATGCTCTGTTGTCTCATCAGACTTCACTTGCAAAACTCATGTGCAAAGATAAAATGATTAAGAATTTCAAGACGGTACCAGTAGATCATTAAACCAAGTACAGGGCCCCTTCTGAGAGCGATTCTGGGTGTCACTCACATGCAGAGGCCATGTGTTCATGAAGTCGGTCCCATCTTGAGATACAGAATATGGCAAGTTAAAGGGATACAAGTTACTTACCACATGCAGCCTACCTTAGTTTTTGTAAAGCATCTACATTGCCAGGAAGTTCACCCACATATCTAACCCTGGCCTCAAATTTATCCTTTCTTCAAATATTTTACTATTTATATTTATTAATATGTATAGCCCCTCAATTAATTTATCAAAGTTCACCTAGTAAGCACAGGCTCACCTGAGCAAAGACTAACACCTGTTCTCTTATCTTGGGACACTGATTTCTGATATTCCTGGCTTTCTTTATAGACCATGAAATTTCAAAACTAGAAGGGGCTTCATTGTTTACCCAATCCAGTGGGAAACTGACCTGGCTGGTTATCTGAATATCATGAGGGCTTATAAAATAATTGTATTTCCTGTTCATCATACCCCTAGAGATTCAGATTCAGAAGATCTGGGATGAAGCCCAGGAATCTACACTTTAACAAACAGCTGGGGATTCTGGTGGACAGCCTGGTTGGGGAATGCCTCGTGATTTTCCCGGTTAGGAATTTGTTTGAGGCTCTATAGTCTTGTTTCCTTCTCTGTCCCTGAGTCCAGTGCTCATCTCACTTTCCCTGCTCTGTCTTGGCTTTATCTGATTCAGCAGTCCACGTCCCGTCTGTTGTGCTTTCCCCTCCTCAGCCCATGGTTATAAAATGGAAGAGGCCACTCTCTCTGGTTACTCCTTTTATAGGAAAACCTTCTGTAGCTCTGTGTAGCTTTCAACCAATGGAACAAGGAAGGTACTGGATTGCCAAGTCCTTGATAAGCTGGCACCATCCAATGAAGCAGGTTGTGTGAGTGCATGCATGTGTGGGTGTATCTATGTATGAATGGGCTAGGCAGTGATAATGGTGGATGAAATATATCACGATGGACTCTAAGTGCTAGGGTACTTCAGACTGGAAATACCAAACCTGTTGAGGGATTGGATCAAAGCCGAAAACTCATGAATGGTTCAGAAAAGTCAGCATGGATTAGCTAATCGAATTTGTGAATATACCTTTAGAGGCATAAAATAAGTAGTACTTTTACCATTTACAAGACTGTTTTGTGGCTATAATAAACAACCCCCCTCCCAATTTTAGTGGCTTTAACAACTCACATCACATGTCCGTTACACGTCTACTGGAAACTTGGTTCTATTTTGACTCTTTCTGAGACTGTTGGCTGATGAAGCAAACCATCCCAAAATACTGTAGTTTTTCTAGCAGAGGGAAAGATAAGTTTGGAGCATCCTGCACAGCAGTGTAATGCTCTGGCCTATAAATGACACATTACTTCTGTTCACAACTCATTGGCTAGAACTGGTTAAATGGGTCATAGACAGGAGAAATAGGATCATGCTAAAATGATTTGTAAACTGTAAAGCACTCCACAAGTTCATTGCTTTTTTTGAGGTGTCTTAAAGATGGTACAGCTTTAACCAGTAAATATACAATCTGAGGAGTAGGAAAATCCAGAAATAGGCCCTTTTAGAAGGACTAGATCTATGCATGAATAATAGATTCCTATCAGTGAAAGCTAAGAAGCACTTGTTAGCTGGAGGAGCCACTTTGGAGGCTCTGGCTGAGATGAAAATGTTTTAATATAGTACGTTGTATCACAGACCCAGGTGGTAAACTGGGCTTGTTCCTGGTCCATTTTCTGGGAATTTTTCTAATTTTTAGTCTTCTATCCCCACCACCTTGTAAATCTTGATGTTGAGGTTGGAGCTTGGTGGAAATGATTAGAGGTCCTAGAGTCTGGAGGGGACAGCATGGGAATTGGATTTTTAGTTCTCCCACAATTTTATGTTGTCACCTAGCTCTTTAATCCTTTATCCCCTGGCTGCCTTGTCTCCTCATCTCAGTATCTGATACTCTATTTTCTTACTTTGGACAAAAATTCAAATGAAACTGGAGGCCCTCATTCTGCCTTGGAATTCAGGAAGGACTTTGAGGTTATTACGAAGAGATGCAAAACTGTGTGTCCCCACATGGGATTTAGGACAGCCAAATATGATCAAAGCATTTTATGTTCGTATTTCAGTAGCGGTGAAGAGTAAGGCATGGAAGGAAAACTCTCTCACATACACCCCTCCCAAAACAGAAACAGAAAGACCTCAACTCTAGACATCCTAACACTTGGAGAAGACATTCAACTTTTAGGAAAACAGGTTGATTTTTTCCTTGCCATATTGTGTCTTAAAAACGGTAGCTTGGGGAAGGTGGCACATGAATTCAAAGCACAGCTCTGCTACATATAAGCTGCGTGAACTTGAACAAGTTACCTAACATCTTTGTGTCTCATTTTTCTCCTTTATAAAGTGAGATGATTAAAGTGCTTATTCCTAGGGTTGTCTTTGATCATAAAGGGAATACGTAATAAACTTGTAACTACAATCTATTGAATGCTCAGGGTGCTGTGTATACCTGGTGCTGTGTTGCTGCTGGTGTTGGTATTGTTGTCATTGTCATTGTCATCCTCATCCACAACAGCAAATTCTGTCTGGTCTCAGTCAGAATGAATTGGGAAAGACAGAGTGATGGGGTATGTGGAAGAGTCTAGTTGTCTTCTGGTAATATTATTCCAGGTTCAGTTACTATATAAGTTTCTTTTCAATATTTTCCTTCTCCTTTGTATAATAAGTGTCAGTCTCTCTTTCAAGGAGCATTTCAGTCTATGTGCTTGTGTTTTCAGTTAACACATTACTCAGTAAACTAGTAAGTGCCACTTACAGAAATATGGATCTTCTGAGCCTCTTTAAGAAAGGCAGAACACAGAAGTTTCTGCAGGCAGCAAACTGCTTTGCCCAGTTAAATGAATCTGGGACCCCAAAGGTGAGTGTTGGCCTAGAGGCTCATAATTCAGAAAGTTCAAGAGAGTTCCAAGATTGGAGGGGAGGGCTTCCCATCATCGCTTTGTTTCTGTTAAGTAAATTTATATTTAATACACCCGACAAACTCCATCACATTTTAAAATGTCAGGTTTATTGAGGCATAATTTTCATAAAACAAAACTTACCATTTTAAAGTTTACAATTTGGCGATATTTGACAAATGTGTACAGTCATGTAGCCACTACAATAAACATACATTTTTATTACCCTCCAGAAGTTCCCTGTGTTCCTTTGCAGTCGGATTCCTCCCTGCAAACTCTGCCCCCAAACCCACTGATCTGTTTTCTGTCCCTATAGTTTTACCTTTTGCGGAATGTAATATGAATGGAATCATAGAGTATAGTGGAGGCTTTTGTGTTTGGCTTCTGTCACTTAACATAATGCTTTTGAGATTCATCCGTGTTGTTGCATGTGTTAGTAATTTTTTTTAAATTGCCAAGTAATGTTCTATTGTACTGATATAATTTTGTTTATCCACTCACTTAGTGAAAGAGATTTGGGTTGCTTGCAGTTTTCAGCTATTCTGAATGAACTGCTATAAACATTTGCATACAGGATTTTGTGTAGGCATAGATTTTCATTTCTCTTAGACATTAAACTAGTAGAGAGATTGCTGGGTTGTATGGTAAGTATATAGTTAACTTTATAAGAAATTGTCAAGTTGTTGTTTAAAGTGGATGTTCCATCTTTCCTTCCTGCTCCACACATCATCAATACTTGATGTTGTCAGTTCTTTTAATTTTAATTACACAGGTGAGTAATGTGAGCATCTTTTCATGGATTAGCTAATTGTTTACAGTTTTTGGTAAAGTGTCTATTCAGAGTTTTTATAAAATTTCTAATTGCTTTTTTCTTATTGAATTGTAAGATTCTTTATGTATTCTGCATTCATGCTCTTGGTCAGATAAATGATTTTCAAAAATTTTCACCCAATATTGTTGCTTTTCTTTTAATTTTTACAGCAGTCTTTTAGACTTTTGAAGAACAAAAGTCTAAAATTTTTATGAAGTCAGATTTATCTTTTTCTTTTATGGTTCATGCTTTTTGTATCCTATCTAGGATATCTGGAATAATCCAAAGTCACAAAATTTTCTCTTGTTTTCTTTTAAGAAGTTACATAGTTTTAGCTCTTGCATTTAGGTCTCTATATATGGTCTGAGATAAGTATTAGAGACCCTCCCTTGCCCTCCCTCCCTCCCTCCTGTACATCCATCCATCTGTCTATTAATATACAACTGTTTCAGAACCAGCTTTTGAAAAGACTCTCCTTTCTCTATGACATTGCCATGAATTTTTGTTGAAAATCAATTGGACTCTCCATTTTATTTCTCTATATGTTTATTCTTACACCATTACCACACTGTTTTTTATTTTTGTGGCTCTACACTAAGTTCTGAAGTCTGTTAACACGTGTCCTCCAATTTCGATGTTCTTTTTCAAAATTACTTTGCTATTCTAAGTCACTGGAATTTTCATATACATTCTAGTATCAGCTTGCCAATTTCTGTGAAAAAATCCTAAGATTTTAATTGGCATAACTTTTAATCTATGGGTTAATTTGTTGAGAATTGACATCTTAGTTATGAGTCTTCTACTTGCATTGTGTATCTCTTATTTATTTAAGTCTTTAATTTTTCTCAGTAAAATTTGTACTTCTTGATGTACAAATACAGTAAAAATTTTGTTAAATTTATTCATAAATAGTTTGTTTTCTTTGAAGCTATTGTGAGGGTATTTTAAAATTTCAATTTCCAATTGTTTGCTCTTAGTATATAGAAATATACTTGACTTTTGTATATTAACCTTGTATCCTGAAGTCCTGCTAAATTCACTTATTAATTCTGGTAGGTATTTTGTTTGGTAGATTCATTAGGATTTCCTACATATTCAATCATACCATCTACAAATAAAACACTTTTGTTTATTCCCTTCCAATACATTTGCCTGTGTTTCCCTCCCTCACTCCCTCCTCCTCTCCCTCCTTGTCTTCCTCTTTCCCTTCTTTCCACCTTACTGCACTGGATAGTACCTTTAGTATAGTGTTCTAGCAGAACTAGTGAGAGCAGCCATCCTTGCTTGTTGTCAGTCTTAGGTGGAAAACTTTTTTTTTTTTTTTTTAATCACTAAGTATAACATAAGCTGTAGGTTTTTCATAGATCCTTTTTGTCAGGTTGAGCAAATCTCATTTTTCCCCTAGTTTACTGAGTACTTTCATCATGAATAGATGTTGAATTTGTTAAGCACTTTTTTCTTCATCTTTTGAGTTGATCTTTCTCTTTTAATCTGTTAATGTAGTGAATTATTATAAGTTGATTTCCAAAATTTGAACCAATCTTGTATTTCTGTGACAGTACCAACTTGGTCATGATGTATTATCATTTTTTATATTTTTCTGTATTAGATTGGCTAATATTGAGGATTTTGTGCCTACATTGACAAGAGATATTGATCTGTAATATTTTTTTCTTGTACCATCTTTGTCATATTTTGGTATCAGGATAATGCTGGTTCCTGGAATGACTTGGGAAGTATTACCTTTCATTCTGTTTTCTGGAAGTATTTGTGTAGAATTGCTTATATTTATTTCTTAAAAGGTAGGGCCAGTTGCAGTGGGTCACACCTGTAATCACAGCACTTTGGGAGGCCGAGGTGGGTGGATCGCTTGAGCTCAGTGGTATAAAACCAGCCTGGGCAACATGGTGAAACCCTGTCTCTACAAAAAATACAAAAAATTAGCCAAGCTTAGTGGTGAGCACCTGTAGTCCTACCTACTTGGGAGGCTGAGGCAGGAGGGTTGCTTGAGACTGGGAGGTAGAGGTTGCAGTGAGCTGAGATTGAGCCACTACACTCCAGCACTCCAACCTGGGTGACAGAGAGAGTCTGAAAAAGAAAAAAAAAAAAATTCATCATTAAAGCCATCTGGATGGACTTGGAACTTTCCTTGTTGGAAAGTTTTAAACTACAAATTCGATTCTTAAATGTATACTGTATTATGATTGTTATATTTTATCTTGAGTGAGGTTTGAGAGTTCATGTCTTTTATAAATTTGCCATTTCATCTAAGCTACTGAATTTGTTGGCATAAAGTTATAAATTATGTTTCCTTATTATCTTTTAAAAGTTTATACTATCTGTGATGATGTTCCCTTTTTAATTCTTGATATCAACAATTTGTATCTTCATTTTTTCTGTGTTTATCTAATTGACTTTTTCAAAGAAACAACTTTTTTTCATTTATGTTCTCTCTTGTTTTTCTTGATGTCTCTTTCACTGACTTTTGTTCATCATTTCCTTCTACTTGTTTTGGGTTTAATTTCATGTTAATGTTCTAGTTTCCTAAAATGCAAGCTTAGATATTTTTATTTTTTAATTAATGCAGTTAATATTATAATTTTCCTTCTAAGCACTGATTTAACTCCATCTCATACATTTTTATATGTTGTGTTTTCATTTTAATTTACACCAAAATATTTTCTAATTACAATTCTTATTTCTTTTTTGGCCCATGGGTTATTTAGAAATGTGTTGCTTAATTTTTAAATATTTGGGAATTTTTAAGACATCTTTTTGTTTTTGATTTCTAGTAACTCCATTGTGGTGTGAAACATATTTTTTATAATCTAAATCCTTTCATATTTGTTGAGATTTATCTTATGATCCTGGATATATTGGTGAATGTTCCTTCGCACTTTAAAGAATATGTATTCTGCCGCTGTTAGAGCTCTGTAGATGTCAATTTGCTCAAGTTGCTTGAAACCGTTATTCAAGTCACACATCTTCTTATTGATGTTCTGTTACTTGTTTTAAAAATTATCAGTAGAGGAGTGTTGATCTCTTCAACCATAATTGTAGGTTTGTCTATTTTCCCTCTTTGTCCTTGCTTCACATAGTTTGAAGCTCTATTATTAAAGATATAAATTTAGGATTGTTATTTTGTCTTGATTAAATGACCCCCTTATTACTGTGTGATAATCCTCTTTATCCGTGGTAAATTCCCCATTTTGAAGTCAATTTTTTCTCAAACTAGTATAACCACTCCAGTTTTCTTTTGATTGGTATTTGCATAGTTTATCTTTTTGCCAATCCTTTTTTAATATATGTATGTTTTTGTTATTAAAATGAGTTTATGTAAAATTAGATCTTTTTAAAATCCAATTTGACAATCTCTGCCTTTTAATTAGGCTGTTTAAACTATATTTAATGATGTTATTGATGCAGTTGAGTTTAGACCTACCGTTTTGCTGTTTGTTTTCTATTTGACCCATTTGTTATTTCTCCCGTTTTAATCTTTGTTTGCCTTTCATTGAATTGAGGATTTTATGATTCTATTTTATCTGTGTTGTTGGATATTAGTTTTTTTTTTATTTTACCTTTTACTGCTTACTTTAGGATTCACAATATACACTCAACTTTTTAATAGTTACTTTAAAATAAAATTATATTACTTCATATATAGTATAAAAACCTTAGAATATAATTCCATTTAATTTTTCCTATTCTTTGTGTTACCGTTATCATCTATTTTACCCTATGTTTGATATATGCATACAATGTTGATATAATAAACTGATTATTACATTATACAGTTATCTTAGAGACATTCAAAATAAAATAATATCTCTTGCATTTACCCATTTGCTTCTGTTTTTGCGGCATTTTCCTTTTCCTACTCCTTTTCTTTTTTTCCTTCTGTTAAATTGTATAGCCACATGTGTGTCTAGTATCATTTTTCATTTATTTAAGTCACGTAACATTTCTCATAGTGTGAGTTCTGCTGGCATTGAATTCTTTCAGATTTTGCTTATCTGAGAAAACAGTTGATTTGTCTTGTTTTTGAAGGCCATTTTTACCATGTGTAGAATTCTGTTTTCCTTCCTCCCTTCTTGCAGTACTTTAAAGATACCATCCTTTTTTTCTGACTTGCATAGTTTTAGACAAGTCAGCTATCATTCTTCTCTCTGTTCCTTTGAAAATTTTTTTCTATTTGCTTTGAAGATTTTCTCTTTATTATTACTTTTATTAGTTCAGTTAATATGTACCTAGGTGCATTTTTTAACAAATGTATTTTTATGCTTGAATTTTTCAGTTTGTTGGACCTATAGTTGGTTGTCTTTCATTAATATTTGAGGATTCTTGATGATTATCTCTTCAAATACTTCTTTTGCCTTGTTTTCTTTCTCTTCTCCTTCTGGAATTTCAATGTTGTGTTTTTTATATCATTTTATGTTCTACAGCCTTTAGATGCTCTGTCATGTGGGTATATTTCCTTCTTTTTTTTGTTATTTTCTATTGAGCGATCTTCAATTTCACTGATTCTTTCTTATACTCTTTCCAGCCTTCTGATAAACCCATTTAAAGGATTCTTCACATTTGATATCATGTTTTTCATTTCTAGTACTGCAATTAGACTCTTTTCGAGTTTCCATCTTTCTTTTGAAATCTGCACATGTTTATCCATATTGTACACCTTTTCCGCTAGATCCCTTAATAATAACTATTTTAAAGTCTCTTCTAATATCTAAGCCATCTCCTTGTGTGAATCTGTTGACTTCTTTAAGATTTGACAATGGATCACTTCAGACAGCATCTTTCTTGCTTTTTTTAGTGAATCTTGTACAATTTTCCAGGCATTTTGTATGAAAGAATAGTAGAGCTGAGGCAGACAGTATTTATGCCTAGAAATGGGCATACTGCTTCTGTTTTCAGCTAATTAGCATTAAGTCAGTGTAATCAGGAGTTGAACTGGGTCTGAGTTTTGCTGTTGTTATTGTTACCACTAGTGCAACACACACTTTAAATTACTCCAGTACTGCATTGCTTCCACCTTGTGCTTAATGTAAGGCCTTAACATAAGGCCTACAGTACCTGCAGTATCAGTGTTCCTGCTCCACCCAGCTTTCAGCAGGTTCAACATACTACACCATAGACTATTCCTCTCTCGCTGCTCCTTTTCTTCCCATAGTTTGATTGCTGTTGTTTACAGCTCAGTGCAAGTCTTATGGTGGGAGGAGGGGGGAGTCTTGGTTGTCCTGTGATAGCCTCTGTCTTAATCAGGTCCTGTGTTTTAGAACCTCAGGGGTAGAGTTTTCTTAATAACTCTGCCCTTCCCCCAGTGGGAATAGACCTCTGATTTATCAGTGTAGGATTCTTGGCTTGTGTGTTTCTTGACCCTTCCCTGCAGCCAATGGTTTCCATCTACTGTCAATGTAGCTTGAAGAAACAGCTTTTCTTTTTCTTTTTCTTTTTCTTCATTCCTTTTTTTTTTTTTTTTGAGATGCAGTCTCGCTCTGTCACCCAGGCTAGAGTGCAGTGGCGTGATCACTGCTCACTGCAAGCTCCGCCTCCCGGGTTCATGTCATTCTTCTGCCTCAGCCTCCCGAGTAGCTAGGACTACAGGCGCCCGCCACCACGCCCGGCTAATTTTTTTGTATTTTTACTACAGACGGGGTTTCACCATGTTAGCCAGGATGGTCTCGATCTCCTGACCTCGTGATCCGCCTGCCTCGGCCTCCCAAACAGCTGGGATTACAGGCTTTAGCCACCGTGCCCAGCCTTGAAGGAACAGCTTTTCTATCCTACAGCCAGTGGCAACTGGCATTTGTCTGAGACTGCGAGGTCAGAGGAATGCCAGTGAGGGAGAGCTACTCAGATGTCTTGTCCTTCACTCAGTCTTTCTCCTGGGCACCTATTAGAGGCCTACATAAAAGAGCTGGTTAGTGGATGTGGGCTTTCCTTGTGTTTGGGACTCCCAGGGGTATTAAACTGTCATGTAAACCTACAGTTAACCTTTAAGAATTTGTTAAACTTTCAGTTGTTTTTTTATTACCAGATTTTATAGTTGCTACCTTTTCTCTCATGTTCTGCAGAAGGCAAATGGCTTCTGTGTTCCCATCTCTGCTCTCAGAGGGGTTCACTACTCTTTGGAACTCAGTTTACCTGATTGCCTTTCAATTCCAACTGTCTGCTGAGCTTAAAACAGTTATTGTTTTTAGATTATCCCACTGGTTTTGTCGTTGTTAGAATGGGAATGATGTTCCTTTGTGACTTCCCACATCTTAAGCAGATGTGGAATGCTCTATCCGTATTAAACTGTGTATGTACACTTCTCAAATCTTCCTTGAATTCTAAAAGGAAAAAAAATGAATGCTTCCATAAGATTTACTCACACGTTCAACTAATTGTATACCAGTTGCTTAATTTTTTTAAATCACTTTGGGAATATAAAGAATAATATAGAAAATCCACTCCAGAAAAATGGATATTTGTTCATTCAGACACAATTTTTAATATAGCTTAAAGTGATTCCATTCCAGTTCCAAGAAGAAGGGTCTTGGTAAATATAAAAAAAGGAGAGAGCCTACTGTCATCATGCTGGCTGATTCATTCAAATATTAGATAATTTTTGCTTTTTTTTTTTTTCCTGGTTCACTTATTTTCTGTTACCATGATTCCTGGTTACTTTGTTAAGAGGGCTGAAAATGCCTTGAAACAGTGGAGTGCAGCAGAATATACTGGAAAGTGTCCTTGAGCTTGGAAACAGGAAAACTTGGGTTTAATCTTGGGTCTTTCACTAGCTAATTGTTTGCCTTTTGGTAAAGCTCTTAATCTTGCTATTCTTCAGCTTTATTCTCTGTAAAATGGGGACATTGAGGGAGCAGAATCTTCAAGCATACAGGAGACAAGAATTGGGTCAAAGCAAGCATATATAATTTGTTATTTATTTAGCCTTATCATTGTAATTGAAAGGCTACTAAGGCAACAATTATAAGACCAGTCTCAGAATGCTGCCTGTATTCTGATTACACACACACAAGCGTGTGTGTGTTTCATACATACATACATATATACATATACATGCATACATATATATACACATATACATATATATGTATGTATATATACGTATACACATATACACATATACACATATATACACATATAGACACACACATATATATACACACACACATATACACACACACGCACACACACACACACACACACACACACACACATATATATATATGGGGAGAGAGAGAATAAGAATGAGAATGAATATGAGACAGGGCCTCGCCCTGTCACCCAGGCTGGAGTGCAGTGGCGCCATCTTGGCTCACTGCAACCTCCACCTCCCAGGTTCAAGTGATTCTTGTGCCTCAACCACCTGAGTAGCTGGGATTACAGGCATGCGCCATCATGCCTAGCTAATTTTTTGTATTTTTAGTAACGATGGGGTTTCATCATGTTGACCAGGCTCCTGACCTCAAGTGATACACCCACCTTAGCTTCCCAAAATGCTGGGACTACAGGTGTGAGCCACCACACCAGCCTTTACACACATATTTTTTACCTTTGCTTATTATCCTCTGGAATCTAGAGTTTTTATAGCATGTTGGATAAAGAGAAACAGCTTTGATATTACTTTGCTTAGTTTGAATCTTGGCTCTACTGACTGAACTAGGGTAAATTACTAAGCAACTTTGTCTCAATTTTTCCATCTATACAATGAGGATAGTAATGGTACCCTCCCCACCCATGGCAAGCTGTGAGGATGAAAAGAGATAATGCATATAAATTAGTAGCATAATGCTGAGCTCATAGTAAGTGCTCAGTGTATTGAAACTATCTTTTTCACTTAAAATTACATAAGTGTTGTTTCACATTTCTATGTAATCTTTATAATTGTCCTTTTTATGTCTGGACAGTAGTCTATAGTGCAAATGCAGACCACTTTGACTCATTTACGTTTTGTTTGACAGGCTAGTTCCAGTTTTGGGCCATTCAAGATAATACTATTATAAACTTTTTTTTTTCCCCCCATATAGTATGCTTTTTGCTTTAGTTTACTGCTTCCTTTAGAAAAACCCTTGGAATAGTATTCTGGGTAAAGAGAAGGAACCTTGACATGGTCTTGCTGCATATCCAAGCATATATCTTGGACTCACAGTAGAGTGGAGAAAGGTATTACCCTCTATCTCTGATTCTCCTGGGGACCAGAAGATACTCATTGCTTGTTTTATTTCTTTGAAAGAGACACCTTGTCTGTTCCTCTTTTGGGTGAACTGTCCTGGCCTTTCCTACTTATTCCTAATGGCTCATGACTCACGCCCATCACCCATCTCAGTGGTTCTGAAAAAATTGCAAATCTCATTTTCATGTCAGCTGCTTCTGCTTGGGATCCCCTCAAGAAGGAAAGCATCCTGGTGTGGGCTGTGGGGTGCCTATTCTGCAGCTCTCTCCTTATTTGGCTCAGCTGAAAGTGCATGTTTTCTGGGAGAGACTGGTTTGGAGCTGCTTAAAAGTTTTCCAGCTAGTGAGAGAAGCAGGCCTCAGTGTCCCCTGCCTAAGGGATCTTGTTTCTCAAGCAGATGCCATTGCTTGAAGGTAAAACTTAGGGAAGACAGGCTTTCCTATTCCAATAGTCCCAGCCTCCAATGGCTACTTCCACCACAAGACCTGTTCATTCCCTTCCCCTGCCATCTCCTCTCAGGGTCTTGCTCTCCTAGCCATCTCACTCTGTATACTTGTTTGCTAGGGCTGCCGTAACCAAATACCAAAGATGGCATGGCCCAAACAACGGAAACTTACCTTCTTACAGTTTTGGAGGCCAGGAGTCCAAGCTCAAGGTGTAGGCAGGTCTGTTTTCTTCTGAGGCCTCTCTCCCTGGCTTGCAGATGGCCACCTTCTTGCTGTGTCCTCACAAGACCTTTTCTCTGTGTGCCCCATTCTTGATCTCTCTCTCTCCTTATAAGGACAGCAGTCATATTGAATTAAGACCCTACTCTTATGACTTTATTTAACCTTAATTACCTCATTAAAGGTCCTATCTCCAAATACAATCACATCGTGGGTTAGGGATATGAATTTTGGGGGACACAATGCAGTCCATAGTATTTCACTGTTTAGATTAGAGAAAACACACACATATGTACACACAAATACATGGTTTCAAGTTAGGCAAAAGGATCCAGTTTTGCGGGGGAATTCTGCCAGCTATATTCAGATAGGACAGGAAAGCTGCCAAGTCTAAGGGAGTCAGATGTTTGGCAGGAGGTCACAGTGAGCCGAGGGCCTTGCCTGATGTTCCCTCTGAGCATGGCCTTGGCCCACAGACATTGATCATATAGCTGTAATATTGAGCTCATCGATTGGATGTGCAACTCAGTTGGTTCTAAGTTGACAGTATTTAGGGTAGGCAATACTTATTTATTTATTAGATTGGTGCAAAAATAATTGTGGCCATTGAAAGTAATGACAAGGCTGAGGCGGGTGGATCACGAGGTCAAGAGATTGAGACCATCCTGGCCGACATGGTGAAACTCCACCTTTACTAAAAATACAAAAATTTAGCTGGGCATGGTGGTGCGTGCCTGTAGTCCCAGCTATTCAGGAGGCTGAGGCAGGAGAATCGCTTGAACCCAGGAGGTGGAGGTTGCAGTGAGCCGAGATTGTGCCACTGCACTCCAGCCTGGTGAAAGAGTGAGACTCTGTCTCAAAAAAAAAAAAAAAAAGTAATGAAAGAAGTGCAATAACTTCTGCACCAACCTAATATTTACTTATTTATTTATTTAGAGACAGAGTCTTGTTCTGTCATGCAGGCTGGAGGGCAGTGGCACGATCTTGGCTCACTAAAACCTCTGTCTCCTGGGTTCAAGCAGTTCTCCTGCCTCAGCCTCCTGAGTAACTGGGATTACAGGCACCCACGACCACGCCCAGCTAATTTTTTCTATTTTTAGTAGAGATGGGGTTTCACAATGTTGCCCAGGCTGGTCTCAAACTCCTGAGCTCAGGTAATTCACCTGCCTGAGCCTTCCAAAGTTGCTAGGATTATAGGCGTGAGCCACCATGCCTGGCCAAGGGTAGGCAATATTTAAATTCATAGATGCTGTGAGTTCACTCCTGATTTTTCAGTGCACAGCCATTAATTTGGGTTTCCCCATGGCCACTCTCTCCTGCCCTGTTGCCATGCCTGGAGAGCCACAGAGAACACAGCAAAGGCTTTGACCTACATCTTCTGAAATTTAGTGGCCTCAGATCACCAGTTCCTCCACGATTCTTCTCTTTTTTATCTCAAGTCCTATTGATTTTTCAAGTTCTTTTATCCCCACCCACCACCTGACATGGTTTGAGAGCAGGCTTTCCACCTCTCTCCCCTCTCAGATTCTTCCTTATCAGGACAATTAAAAGTGCTCCTTCCCTCCTAGACCAGGTGCACCTGTCGCACACCTGCCTTTTCTCATGGGCTTCTCCCCTGCAGCTTCCACATGTTTATTTCCTTAAGAGCCAGGTGGTGTGGGAGTGGAAAGAGATTTAGAGATCAGAGAAGGAGAGCTTTGGAGGAGGTGTGTCCTTTATCTAAAAGGCTGAATCTACAGGCTTTGAATTCCTCTGAGAAAAAAATGATGGGAGGGAGGGTTCTTATTACTGAGAGAATAGTATGCTCAAGCAAAATACTCAGTGAAAAATAAGCATCCTATTCAAAGAAATCACAAGCTCATGAATGGTCCAGAAAGCCACTTTGATCTACCTGCCTTAATGATTCTCTTCAGTTTGTGTCAAAATCATAATGTACTTGTCTTATTTTAGGAAAGCCACATTTGTAGATGAACACAGTGTATTCCTCTCTAAGGGGCCCTGAAATATTCCAAATACACTTTTCATTTGTAAAAACAAGTCATGGTAAAGTTAGAGGGACAACGTGTGAGCTCTGTAGCTCCTTTGGGGGTGGAGGCAGTGGCACCATTAATGCCCTCATGTTCCTTGTTCATGATGGCTCCTTTACCTGGGCTTTTTCCACTGAGGCCTGAGCGATGATAAACTGGTTTCTGAGAGAAGACCCAGGAGTACTTTGTCTTGATTTAATATCAACGGACACTTTGGGAGGCCGAGGTAGGTGGCTCACTTGAGGTTAGGAGTTTGAGACCAGCCTGGCCAACATGGTGAAACTTCATCTGTACTAAAAATACAAAAATTAGCCAGGTGTGGTAGCACATACTTGTAATCCCAGCTACACGGGAGGCTGAGGCAGGGGAATTACTTGAACACAGGAGGTCAAGGTTGCAGTGAGCTGAGATCGTGCCATTGCACTCCGGCTTGGGCGACAGAGTGAGACTTCATCTTAAAAAAATAAAATAAAATCGGAGCTTCCTGGGCACCCAGAAATGGAAAGAGAGAGATACAGGGGCTTTTCCAAGCCACACACTCTTCATGTGAGGCAGCAGCTTTCTTCTACACACCTCCAACCCCTCTTGTAATGTTTCTGAGAAAAGAATTTCTGTTAGTATAGTGCTGACTTCACCCACGGGCAGATAACATACACGCTTAAGGTGTCAGCAAGACAGACATCCCAATGAGGAATTCATTTTCTTTTAATGTCAATATCGATATTCATACACATGGGACGCAGAGGTAGGTACCATATAATATACATAGATCTTAAAATGAGACCAATTGCCCATGAATATCAATCTTTTCCTATATCTACATCTATCTACATACATATATATACTGGAATGATGTGGGGTAGCAGTTGGGGCCTCAGAGCTTTCGTGTGTCCCTGAGGAGATAGGTTCCTTGACTATTGTAAACCCTGGGATGGACACCATGACCACCTGCAGCATTCTTTTCCCTGCAATTACTGAATAAGGAGGGGAAAATAAATCTTTCTGGGGGGAAGCTTTTCCCCCCAGGGCCTTTTCCAGATGTCCTAGATGTCTCAGGGTGGTGTGACAAGCAGCTCAGGACTTCCTTGCCATTCACAGTGTGGAGAGGTGCCTGTCTTGTTGTGACAATGGTCAACCAAACACCCTCAATTTGGGTCCAGCTGGGTGTGAGTGTGACAGTAAGCACAGTGAGTTTGGAATCTGTTGAGTTTCATGATTTTTTTTTTTTATTCCTAGGCAATTTGCTAATTTCTAACAATTCCAGAAACGAATTCACCCTTGACTCATTGGGAAAATGTGTAGGATGTGAACTGGGAGCCAGGGAGTCCTGGGTTAAACTGTCAGCTCTTGCACTGGTCAGCTGTGTGAACTTGATAGTTACTTAATCTCTCTGCGATTCAGTTTCCTTGTCTGTAAAATAAAGCATAACATGGCCTACTTCACAGAGTTGTTAGGATGCCTAAGAAATGTTCTCTTCCCTCCCTAACCACCACCCTTCTTTTCTGAATTCCTTCCTCCTTTCTTTTCCTCCATCCTTCCCTCAGATTCTACTGTTTCCCATACCAAATCTTGGTATATTTTTTGGGAAAGATCCAAAAACTCAGCTGGAGGAGGAGCACAGACAGAGCCCATGGATGGGGCTGGCTGGGAGAACGCTACGGGCATGGGAGGGCCCAGCAGGCAGGGTTGTCTAGGTAGGGAAGGTTAGATCAGGATTTGGGGTCCTGCAGCCTACCGAGGGCAGAAGGCCTGGCTGTGCACCCCACTTCTTGTTAACAGAGTCAGGGGCCTCCTGGAAGATACTACACACCACTCATGGGTCACGATCAGAGACTTCAGATGACTTTGACTGTGGGTGACTGCAGCAGGTGTTCAGAGTGGGGAGGGCCACTCCAGGAGTCCTGGAGTCCATCTTGTGACCCAACAGGATTACGCCGAAGGGCACTTGGGAGAGTTGGATGGGGACAAGTCTCCTTCGGATTGTGTAGGACTCTCCAGCTCCTTTTCTGAAATTTCGGTTCTAATTTCTTTCTCACCGTTGCTTAGCCTTGCTCCAAATCCGCAGAATGCACTGGGAATATGGATCACATTAGAACCACTTGAGTGTCATTCTGATTATTTGCCACGGCTAATATGGATATTTTTCTAAAGCAAGCTCAAAGGAGAATGAATGTATGTTCTCTCCAAATTAATTTGTTGTGAAAACAAAGTCACTTCAATTCCCTGGATTCCTTTAAATACTTGATCTTTCCTCCAGTTTTCTGGCCCTGGTCCTTCATGACCCATCTCTTTTCTGAGAACTTTTTCCTGGCTTAGAATCCCAGCCCTGCTCTGAATGAGGAAGAGGGGAGGCTGTCCCCAGATCACTTGGGAGGAGCCAATGGGAGCCACCCACCCCCAAGTCTTTTGAGCAATAGAGGCGCACGCCAAGGTCCTCAGCAGAGACTCTGTTTCTTAACATCTGTCTGAAAATAGCTTCCCTGTCATAAAGTAGGTCCCAAGGGGATTGTCAAACTGTCCAAGGAAACTATGTACATTTTATATATATGCATTACATATATAAAAATACATATGCATTATATATAAATATAAAACATATATAAAAATCATAAATTTTATCCATGTAATCTCCTGTATAGTTTGAATTTAGTTTGTTGGCTTTTGAAAATGAGTCATTTAATGTCAGCTGTTTTCTCAGATCCTTCTCAAACCTCCTTCTCCCACTCCCTCTCCAGCCTGGCTAGAGCCAGAATCAAAGCTGACACATAAGAGTATGTCCTGGTAGGAATTAGGGTTCGCTGGTGTTGCCCTTTCACCTGGCTTCCTGGCTGATTGGTCATGGCGTAGATCAGGGTATTGTGGATATTGTGAATAATTTTTTCTTCTATCCTTCTCATTTATTTTAAATTATTTTACTTATTCTTCAAGCATATATAAAATATTTGCTATATCCCAGATGCTGTGCTCAGTTCTGGAGGGAAGAGGGGTCTGAAATTGAATGTGGGTTGTGGCGTTGGCAAGGGCCTTGCAGATTGGTCAGAGGGATAAGCTATGTTCCCAACATTACAAAAGAAATAATAAATGACATTTGTTGAGTTCTTACTATTTGCTAGACTGCATTAACTGGTTTTCATATATGATTGTCTTTAATTTTTATAATACTCAAAGCATGTATTTTTCCCATCTTAGAGATGAGAAAGCAAAGGTTGGTGGAAGAGAATAGCTTGCTCCAGCTCCTAGGACCAGAGCAAGGATTTTAACCCAAATCCATCTAGCTCAAAGCCTGATAAGGTAAAAAGTGATCAGTACCACAGTAGTGATAATTCTTTTATTTCTCAGTTTCTTATCAAGAAAACAGGGATAGCCACCCTGCCATCCTCCTCACAGGGCTGTTGAAAGGATGAAAGTGAACATGAGAAAGTACATTGAGCTGTTTTAAGAGCCACAGGGAGGACCAGATGGCACTTTTGTGTGTGTGTGTTAGTTTATGGTTAGAGAGTCCAGGGAGAAAAGAATACAGCCTGTTTGACCTTTCCGCCCACATCAACTGCATCAGAATCTCTAAAGAAGTTGGGGGGCCCATGTGACGCCACGCTCATCAGCGGGGAGCAAATCCAGACCTGCCCTGTCCTAGCTATGTGACTGCTATGGTTTGACTGTTTACCCCTCGAATGTCATGTTGAAATTTGATCCCCAATGTTGGAGGTGGGGCCTCATGGGAGGTGTTTGGGTCATGAAGGTGGGCTTCTAATGAGTGTCTTGGTGTCATCCTCATGGTAACCAGCATGTTCTCTCTGTATGAGTTCCTGCCAGAGCTGGTTTGCAAAAGGAGCCTGGTGCCTCTCCTCTCCTCTCTTGCTTCCTCTCTCACCATGCTGGCTCTCCTTCCCCTTCCATCATGAGTGGAAGCAGCCAGAGGCCTTTACCAGGTACCCAATTGTACAGCCAGCAGAATTGCAAGCCAAATATTAAATCTTTCTTTCTTTATAAATTACCCAGTCTCAGGTATTATTTAATAACAACACAAACAAAGACAATGACCTTTGCCAAGTAAATTCTCCTTGGAGAGCCTCAGATGTCTCATCTGTAAGTCGGGAAAATGACACCTGCTCTTATAAGGATTGCAGTGACAATGGATCATGCCTGTTAAGCATTTGGCATAGGATGGATGCCTACTCAGGGTGTGTTGGATATCCCTTCCTTCTTCTGATTTTTCCACCTTCCTGGAGTCTTGCTTTCTCTGTAGTCCATATTGCAGTCCCACTTTCATGAGGACAAGTTAGCAGCATATGCTAAATTAATTTCTGAGATCTTGGCTACTAAGTGTTTATGGTTTAATAACCACCTTCCTGGCTACTGACAGAGGAAAGAGATGGGAAAACACTCAGAATCCATAGGGATGACTCTGTAACATGGAACTCCAGGCTCTACCAGAGGTTGGGGAGAAAATCACCATGTAGGAAGTGGCTAACTCTAAGCCCCTGCTAGGCTACCTTCTGACCGTTTGAGAACATCCAGTACTTGAAACCCTGCACCTAGCGTTTTTGTTTCTCTGCAGTTGTTTAGCTCCTCTTCTTTCTGGTCTCCTTTGCCTTGATTTTTCTCCACTAAAAAGTGGAGGAAAAACAGAAGGAAACAGCCATCTCCCTTCAAATGGGCTGTGTTCACAGTTTCCATGGAAAGAACCCGCCCCTTGAAGGGCGGCAGAAGAGGTGTTAGAGTCTGACAAATGTCAAGAGAAATTGATCACAGGAAGGTAAGATGCCAGGGAATCAATGCTGTCCCTCCTGGGGAGACACATTGGACAGACAAGCTGTCAGGAAGGACACGCACAGCTTGTACCTTGTAGCTGTGTTTGGGGTAGAGGAGGGAGCCACCTCCATCCATCTTTGTTTATTCAACATCCTCAATGTGTGCAGTATAGCTCTCAGTGATATGAAGGGTACATATGTGATCTCTGGCCCCAGGAGCCCCAGACTCACCAAGGAGGCAAAGCATAGAACTCAGGAAACTCTTGGCAACTCATCTTGAGGATGTTAGGTTCTCAGCCAAGGTTCAGGAGACCCAGAGGTGAGTTCATCCTACTAGGCTCAGAGCAGCTTCCTGAGAGAGCTGAGCCTGATAGCCATAACAGCAGGGGTGACTATTTTTTAAAGCCTGTTCACATCTTCTTTGCACAGAGTGAGACAAGTCAGACATGTTGCAATAAAACTCTGTTCATAACACTAGGGAAGGCTCATTCTGGTGCTTGGCATGCTAAGTGCTGTATGTCTGTCAGCTGCTCTAGTAAGTGTTATTATTTTGTTGTTGTGGTTTTCCAACCTTTTTGGTCAAAGTCTCAGACACCATGCCTGGGTGAGGCTGTCATTGCAGAGGTATACTGCTATGACTCACTTGAAAATCCTTTGATGGCTCTGAAGCCCAAATTTCATTGTGGTCCCCTCCCCAGGAAATTGCTGCTCTACTTATGGACTTAGAGAAGTTACTCTGTTCCTGGGCTCCTGACGACCTGTCCCAGGTCATCACGGCCATGCCCCTTGAACTGGATGCTTCTGCCATGCTGAGCTATCATGTGGGTCATGCGTACTCATGCCTTTGCCCAGGTAGCTCCTTCTATTCCTCAGAATGCTGCTTCCTCCCACCGTGCTCCACCTGGAGGACACCTACTCATCCTCAAAAGCTTCCAGCCTCAGCCCTTCCCCTGCACCTCTGCACAGTCTCAGCAAAGAAGGCTGAAGTGCTCCTCCTTTGTGTCCCAGCACACTGGACACACACTTTCATCACAGCAATTCCTTTGCATCAATTTTCCCACCAGCCTCTAAACTCCTTTAAGGGTGGGGACTGGACCTTGCTCACCACTCTTCCTTCACCCAGCTGCTAGCACTGGCCTGGTCCATGGTAGGTCTCTACACATGTTTGTTGAATGACTAAAGGACAATGAGGGGGATAGAAACAGCACCAGACTGAGAATCAAGGGACATGAACTCTAGACCAAACTTGGTTGGGGAGGAAAATAGCTTTGTGACCTTGGCCAAAGCAGCCCCACCTGTGTGAGATTACCTTCACAAAAGCACTTGGGAAGTACACATAAGAGGTCAAGGTTCACAGACAGCTGTCTTCATTTCAGGGTAGGCCTGTGACCAATGTGGAGAAGAGCCAGGGGACATGCTTCTCATCATGAATGGAAACACACAAAGGTTGGCTTCATTCCAAATATGAAGCCCTCAAAGCCAGTAATTTAGTTTAATCATCTACATGAATTGAATGTTTAGTTCCGGAAAAGATGCACAGCGCCTGGAGTTTGGTTCCAGTGCCCCCTGTTGGCTGGGCTGGATGACTTTGGGGAAGGCCTCTGACTCTTCAGGTACCGCAAACGTGCTTGTCTATTACTTGTCAAATGTAATTGTCAAATGTAGCTGCCCTCACAAGGATGCTGCAAGCATCACGGCAGGTGATTAACAGGAAAGCACTTGGGAAGCCATGGGGTGCTTAGAAACAGAGGGGTTGCAGGAGTGGCTGCTGTGGGAGGCCCCCCATCCCTCCACCCCAGGTGCTGAGAGTCTCGGCCTTGAGGGTGCACAGCTGTGGCCTTCTCCTGAGACCTGTCCTCAGGGGTACAGGTGTCTCATCACAGAGCATCCCCTCCACTCTCCCTACCTCTGACAGCCCCAGGCATGGCAGATGACATGGAGGAAGGCTGGCCTCCTTGCCATAGGAGGGGAACAATGTGTGGTGCAATTGGTGCCCCAGCATGCTCCTCCAGGGTAGCCTGTAAATCCCTAAGCAGTGTCTCTTAAGTGCATTGCTGTCATAGTCATTCGGTAAGTTCTCCAGAGAAGGTCATCTAATCGTATATCAAATATCAAAGTCAATAATAGAATAAGAGTGACTATAGCTTTCAAACACAGCCTTCACAGCCCTGGGGTTCTGGAGGCATGCCACTGGGACTGCTGGTGTGTGTGTGTGTGTGTAAAAGGGAGCCCAGAGGGTGGTGAGGGCTCCCCTGGACTATTCACCCTCCACATTTTGATGATGAGGCAGCTGAGGCCCAGAGAGGTGAAGTGGTTTCCTCAAGATCACACAGCTAGTCAGAAGCAGAGCAGCGTTCAGAACTCAGCTTCCCTTAATCCAAGATGAATACCTTTTCCATGGCACCTCTCCACCAGCCAGAGCCCTGCCAGGAAACACAAGTCTGATGGATGATTTGGTGAAAGGAAGACTTTCAGAGCAATGGGCAGGGTTATGAGGATCAACAAGGGATATTGAGGCACCCACAGACAAGCAAGAGCAGGGGTCTTTACCACCTCTTGGCTTGAAGCATCAAGGTCAGAGAACAGTGTTATTGGAACCCAGTGAGAGCTGAGGGGGGAGAAGTGGCTGCCCAGTAGGGGCTGACGTGCAGAGGGGAGAAGACCCTGCCAGCACAGTGGCCCAAAGAGGGCCCTCTGACCCCTACCCGACCCTCGAATCTTCTTGCCTGCTGGTAGGCAGGCAGCAAAGGAGCCCTGAAGATGCATTTCCTGGAGGCCACCCCCAGGGCAGAGAAGGATGGAGATTGATGCCAAGGAAGCAAACAGAATGACCAGCACAACTTCATGATGCAGCCATTCCCTCCATTCAGGGTAGTGGACGGTGACAGGGCAAGACTCCAGCACATTGCAGGGCAGCTTTCCTGGTCCCTCTGTGTAATTTGTAGTGAATTTGGTATTTGTGAATGTGCCTCGTGTTCCCTCAGCTTCAGAGCCATCTACTGTTCTGAGAGGGGCTTGTCTTCCTGAGGACCATGGTGGAGGAAAATGCTCCTCTTGTGAGACAAAGGGAATGAGTGACAGGACAGAGAATTTCCTGGACGGCTCTGTACCAGAAATGTACCAGGTTCCACAGTAGATGGGCTCTGCAGAGTTGGCATGAGTGATTCACAGGAGTGTGCTTGGTGAGTTTGGACAAACATTGAAATTGGGTTTTGCTAACAAAGCCCTACTCCACCATGAACAGGCAGGGTACCTTGAATCCTAATTTTCAGATTCTGAGGGACAGCATTTGCATGCTGTCTCTATGAAGAACTTTATTCAAAGCTCACTATTGATTGTGGTCTTGCAGGTCCTAAAGAGAAAACTTGCTTCTACAGAAATTTATGATTCATGAAATGCTGTCTCCTTTATAAATTCTTACCCCTGAGAAGCAGACCCTCTCCTTGGCAGGAGTTCTTCAGGGAATACCCTGGGGACCAAGCAACACTCCAGTTATTTTTAAATTGAGCATATTCACACTGATTTCAAGGACAGTGTATGCGCTTATTGATTCAATAAACATGATCCTGCATAAGGAATTATTGAGTAGAAGGCTATGCTGGAAGGTGGAATTGAGAATCTGCCCTCACGTTCCCAGAACTCAACAGGACCAAAGGAAGTGATGCACGTTGAAACTATGATTCTGTTTTACACGGTCAGGCATAGAGCATCTGCCACTACAGCCTGTTGGCTGCTTGCCTTGCCATGCAAATTTGCTTTCCATCCAGGCCAATTTGCTCTAGTGAGGGTCTCCCTGGATGTCATTAGCAATGCTTTATCTTCTGATTATGTGAGGAGTGTTGTGTCTCTGAACATTATTGCCTGCAGATTCTGGTGAGTGCAGTGAAGAAAGTTGATGGTATCTCAGTAGATCGTCTTATTGACCCTTGGGAAGTTTCTTCCTCTCCTTTGCATTCTTTTACTAGGGCTTTAGAAAATCTGTTTAACTTCGAGATATTCCCACATTATATAGGCTGGATATGCAAACATCAGCCTACAAGGATCAGCTCTTTGAAATGTCTCATAAGTCTTAGCAGAAATTGTTAGAGAAGCTGAGGTACAGCTTAGCTTATGTAATTATATGGACAAGCTGGGCGTGGTGGCTTATGCCTGTAATCCCAGCACTTTGGGAGGTTGAGGTGGGTGGATGACTTCAGTGTAGGAATTTGAGACCAGCCTGGGCAACATGGCAAAACCCCATCTCTACTAAAAATACAAAAAATTAGCTGAGTGTGGTGGCACATGCCTGTAGTCCCAGCTACTCCAGAGGCTGAGGCGGGTGGGTCACTTTAGCCTGGGAGGTCAAGGCTGCAGTTAAGTAATGATTGTACCACTTGGGCAACAGAGTGAGACCCTGTCTCTCTCTCTCTCTATATATATATATATGAACAAGCTAAGAATGCCTCTACCTTTTAGTGTTTGGTAGCGGTGACAACTTATCAGCCATTTCCTTTTCATTCCTCTTTTACTCAATAAATATTTATTGAGAAACTATTGTGCATAAGGCATGTGGTAGGCACTGGGGATATGGCTATAAAAGAGAACCAAAAAATCCTGTGTAAGTGTAGCTTTTTATTTAAAATGTGTTGGAATCTTTTGGTTCATCCATCCATCCATCCCCCATCATCTATTCATATGTTTGTTTCACATTGACTTGCATTACCACATAGTTCCATGTGGCTGAAAGAGCTTCAGAGAAACACTAAGCCCCACGCCATTATCTATAATTTAGCTAACAGGTCAAGTATATCTACAGCCTATGCAGACTGTGGAGACCATGGTGCCTGAGACCCTGTTAGTAGGACTGGAGGATTGGGGTATAATGTTTCCCATGTGATGAGAAGGATATAGAATGTCATTTGAAAGAGGGAGAAAATCTTATGGTCCATAACTTTTCTCTGGTAGCTCTTGATATTTAAATTTATAACCTTTCATTGATTGCTGCATGCATTCATTCAAGAAATGTAGATTAATCTTCGGCCATTTGCTAAGTAATAGGAATATAGAGATGAATACAATGTCATCTGTACCTTCAAAGGGTCACAGGCTAGAAGATTAATCTAATCCTCAGGAAATATGAAGCTAGAAATCAAGATGTGTCTCCTTTGTTCTCCAATCTCAAGCTATTTGACAGTTTGAAAGAAGTGCTCTTTGTGTACTCATGACTCTTTTCCCAGAAGGTTGGGTCAGGTTCTCAACATCCCGTAGCAGTGGACTTCAGCACCTGCACCTGCACCTTTGGGATCCCTTGGTGGCAGGGTTTCTGGCAATCAAATGTTCATGTAGACTTGGGCTGGGTGTGGAAACCCAAGGGTAGCATAGAATTTTTCAGCTGGCGTTCTGGGGCCAAGACTGCCCAAACGTAAGTCTAGCTCTTTGCTTACTAGTTGGATGACCTCAGGCAAAGTTACTTACCTCTTTTTCCTCCCATTTACTCATATGTAAAATGGAGATAATTATAGTCTGTAAATCATATGTAGATCTCTTCTGTATGGAAGTGTGGTGGTGGGGCACGTGATTGTGTATTTCTTAAAATGCATAGAATGACAAACCACAAAGAATATATTTTACTGTATGTAAATATAGAAAAATCAACCAGGGTGTCTGTATGTGTGTGTGGGTGAGTTAGAATGCAGACTTAGGGCAAAGGAATGTAACTGCATTTAAAACAAATCACGTAATTCCACTGAAGGGAAGAAAGGAGTTAACCGAAGGAACCTTGGAATGCAGTGTATCTAGTAAAACAGGCAAAAGAATTGCACACAAACATAATACTCTAGTTGATAAACTTGTTTCTCATAAAGGTTTGGGTTAAAAATTCTGAAGCTGCTTAAATTTATCCTGATCATGACTAATGATTTTTGAATCTGAGGAATCTCTCTTTTACCCTGAAAAATTCCTACGTCATGTTTTTGGATGTATCCTTTCCTTCATCATCTATTTTCCTTACTTCTTGCTCTTTATTCCATACTCCTTACTTCTCTTTCACATTCCCCATCTGCTATCTCTATGCAATACTTTCAGTAAATTTTGATATTGAATGTCCATTTACTGATACTCTCTTTGGTTGGCTATGTCTACAGTTTAACCAGTCATTTACCTATGTTTTCTCTTTTTCTTTAAATTTCAGTGATTATATTTTTATTTCATAAAATTCTGTTTAAATATGTCTAAAACCAATTTTTTTCTAAATTATCCTTTTATTGACTCGGAGCTTCTATACTTATGTTTATCTTTTTGAAAAATATTTTACAACAGTGTTAAAAATGTTCCATTTAATCTATTTTAACTTTATTTTTGGAAAATTTTACGCTTACAGGAAAGTTCCAAAAATATTACCAAGAAGGCCAGTAAACCCTTTACCCTGCCTCCCTGTATATTAGTGTTTTACATAACCATAAAATAATAATCTCTGAAATTAACCTTGGTACAGTATCATTAAACTACAGAATTTATTCAGACTTCAGCCATTTCTCCACTAATGTCCTTTCTCTATTCTAAGATCCAATCAGATCCCATGTGGCATTTATTTCTGTATTTCCTCTATCTCCTTCAATCTGTGACAATTTCTCTTTCTTTCTTTGTCTTTGGTGACCTCAACACTTTTGAGGAGCACTGGTCAGTTATTTTGTAGATGGTTCCCTCAGTTCAGGTTGTTTTAACATTTTCTCCTGATTATACTGAGCTTATGTATTATTGGGGAGATGCTGCAGAGGTGGTGTGCCTTTCTCAGTGCCTTGCACCAGGAAGCACATGATATTGATAAATACTACTGATGATGTTGACCTCAATTCCTTGGTTAAAGTGGCATCTGTCAGGATCCTTCACTGTAAAGCTACTATAGTCCCCTTTTTAATTACTAAGAATTTTGGAGATACTTTGAAACTATATAAATATTCAGTTTCTGCTTAAATTTCTCCCCACTCATTTTAGCATCTTTTTATGGATCTTGTCTGCATTGATTATTTTTGTGGTGTTTTAATAGTGATTTTGTATTTCCCTGATTCTTCCACATTCACAAACTGAAATTTCTTCTGTAAAGAAAAGTTGTCTTGTTTCCCTTTCTCTCTTTTTTAATTTGTCTTAACATGGACCTATGGAGATTTATTTTATTAACTGGGGGTGTAATTCAGTTCTACCCCTACTTGTTTTGTTGCTCAAGTTATTCTAATTTTGGCTACTAGGAATTCTTTCAGGTTGGCGTCTGTGCTCTTTCAACATGGCACCATCTTTTTAAAAAGCACTTCTTTAATTTCTGACGTCAGAAGAAGATGCAGACTCATCTTTCATTTATCCTGCCTCAAACGTGGTATCAACCTGTTCTCCAAGGAGCTCTTACTTCTTTTATTGAGAAATGGTAATTAGAAACCAAGTTCTGGGTGCAAGGTGTGCTCACTGCAACCTGGATATCATTGTCTTAGCAGACAGAAGTAGAAAACATGTGTGTGTGTGTGTACTAACTCATATACACACACAGCTCTCTCCCATTCCCCACTCCAAAATACAAAAATGCTGGGTTCATATTGATACATCCCACCCTAATCCAGCACCATAAGATTCACTCTGGCCTTCTTTTCCTTTACTTATTTGTAACTTCTTTCTCCTACATAGTAAGAAACTGGCTGTCACTGTCTATAACATATTTACCTACTTGTTCAACTTTAGTATACTACAAACGTATATTGCATTCCAGAGTTACTTAGTTCAGTTACTTCTTCCTCAGGGTGGCTATGAGATTAATTTGAAATGTAGTCAGTCATTTATTAGTCTGCCTTCCAACTCCCCATACCCCACATACTGGTTGATTGAAAAAAACACGATATAAAGTTCATTATTTTGGTGTACAGTACTATGGATTTTAACAAATGTCCAGACACGTACTTACCACTATAGTCCACTACAGAACAGGTGTATCATCCCTTAAATTCTCTGCTGTCCTTTTACATCCGACCCTCTCTCCAGCAGCCATTAATTTATTTTGCTTTCTTATAGTTCTGCCTTTTCCAGAGATTCATATAAATGAGATTGTTTAATATGTAGCTTTTTGGGCATGGGTTCTTTTATGTAATAAGGTGCATTTAAGATTAATACATGTTCCATGCATCAATTGTCTGTTCCTTTATTGCTGAGTAACATTCTATGGTATGAATGTACCACAGTTTGTTGATCTATTCATCAGCTTAAGGACATTTGGATTGTTTCAGTTTGAGGAGATTATAAATAAAGCTGTAATAAACATTCATATGCGGCGGTTGATGTGAACATAAGTTTTCATTTTTCTTGGATAGATAACTAGAAGTGGAGTTGATGGATCATATGGTAGGTGTGTGCTTAAATTTGTAAGGATCTATCAAACTACTCCCAAAGTGGCTGTTTAAATTCCAATCGACAGTTTTTTGTGAGCATTCCAGTTGCTCTGTATTCTCACCAGCAATTGATATTGTTAGTGTTTTCTGATTTTAGACATTTTAATAAGTATGTAGTAGTATCTTATTGTGTTTTCTGCATTTCTGTGATAATGCCAAAAACCCTTCCATATACTTATTTGTTATCCATTGATTTTTTAAAATGAAATATCTATTCATATCTTTGGCCCATTTTTCTATTTGGTTGTTTGTTTTCTGGTTGAGTTTTCAGGGTCTTTACTATGTGCTGGATAAAAGTCCTTTGTCAGAAATGTTACTTGCAAATAATTTCTCTCAGTCTATTCTTCTTATTTTTTAGCAGTCTTCTACAGAACAAAAATTTTAAATTTTGATAAAGTCCAATTTTTTTTTGGATTATGCTTTGGGTGTAGGATCATTGCCTAACCCAAGGCCACTTAGATTTTCTCGTAGATTTTCTTTTGGAAATATTATCGTTATATACATTTCATTTATAACCTATGCAGCTAATTCTTGTGTCAATTGTAAGGAATAGGAAAACGTTTAGTTTTGGGACATGAACTTCAAATTGTTTTGGTACTTTTTTTTTTTTTTTTTTTTTTTTTAAGACGGAGTCTCCCTCTGTCGCCCAGGCTGGAGTACAGTGGTACAATCTTGGCTCACTGCAACCTCTGCCTCCTGGGTTCAAGCGATTCTCCTGCCTCAGCCTCCTGAGTAGCTGGAACTACAGGCACCTGCCACCATGCCCAGCTAGTTTTTGGATTTTTAGTAGAGACAGGGTTTCTCCATATTGGCCAGGCTGGTCTTGAACTCCTGACCTTGTGATCCGCCCGCCTCAGCCTCCCAAAGTGCTGGGATTACAGGCATGAGTCACCATCCCCGTCTGGCACCATTTGTTAAAAACACTCTCCTTTCTCCATTAAATTGCCTTTGCCAAAAAAACGTTAACTGTGTTTGTGTGAGTCTTTCCTTTGTGGGCTCTCTTTTCTGTTCTACTGATATATGTGTCTATCCTTTAACCAATACTTTGCTGTATTGTTTTCTGTATCTTTATAGTAAGTCTTTAAATTGTGTGGTGTTAGTCCTGCAATTTTGTTTTTCTTTTTGGCTATTGTATTTTCTAGCCTTTCAATGGAAATTTTAGAATCAGCTTGTTGAGATTTATAAAAAGGCCTGCTGGGATTTTGATGGGCATTGACTGCCCTGATTGTATAGATTAAAAACATGGAAAATTGACACCTTAACAATACTGAATTTTCCAGTTCACAAATATGTTATATACCTCCAGTCATTTATGTCTTCTTTGATTTCTTACATCAGTGTTTTATAGTCTTTAGCACATAGGGCCTGCACAGTATTTTGTTAGATTTATACCAAAGTATTTTTTAATGCTGTCATAAATGGTATTATTGTTAAATTTTCAAATTCCAAGTGTTCGTTACTAGTATATGGAAGCAGAAACACATTTTTGTGTTGATTTTATAACCTGAACCTTGTTAAACTCATTAGTTCTGGGAGCTTTTTTGGTAGATTAAAAAAAAAAGACTTTCTATATAGATAATCATGTAGTCTAAGAATAGAGACAGTTTTACCTATTCTTACTGATCTTTATGAGTTTAATAGTTTTTCCTGTGTTAATGCACTGTGAGGACTTCCAGTACAATGTTGAATAAGAGTGAGAAGATATCTTTGCCTCGTTCCCAATCTTAGCAGGAAAGCATTCAGTCTTTCTCCTTAGCTGTAGGTCTTTTGTCCTTGATATTGGTAATTTTGTTATCTCTCTTTAATTCTTGGCCACTCTGGCTAAAAGTTTATCACTTTTATTGATCTTTTCAAGTAACCAGGTTTTGGTATCATTGATTTATTTTTGGTTTCACTTATTTTTGTTCGCTCTTTATTATTTCTTCTGTTTGCTGTGGTTTCGTTTGTTCTTTTTTTCTACTTTGTGAATAAGAAAGATTAGGTGATTAATATGAAACTTAAAGTTTTCTAATATAAGTTATTAAATGCTATACATTTCTCTCTACTGCTTTAACTGCAACCCACAAATTTTTGTGTTACATTTTCACTTTCATTCAGTTCAAAGCATTTTAATCTACTTTGATAGTCCCTCTTTTATGCATGACTAATTTCTAAGTATGTTGCTTAGTTTCCAAATATTTGGGGATTTTACAGATATTGGTTATTGATTTCTAGTGTAATTCTTTTATGGCTGGAACACATATTTTGTATTATATCTCTTCTTTTAAATTTGTTCAGGTTTGTTTTACGGCCCCAAATACAACCTATCTGGTTGTATTCTTAAATATTTCACGTTGAGTGGAGTGTTCTATAAACATCCATTTAGCTCTTGTTGTTACTAGTGTTGCTCAGTTCTTCAGTATACTTGCTGATTTTCTTTCTACTTGTTCTATTGATTTGCGAGAGAAGAATATTGAAGTCTCCAGCTAAAACTGTGATTTGTCTTTTTCTCTTTCCAGTTCTGTTGTTTTTGGTTTATGTATTTTGGTTATGTATTATGTGTATACTCATTGAATATTGTTTTCTCTTGGAGAACTGTTAATTATCTTGGAGAAATGACCCATTTATTGTTAGGTAATGTCCCTGTTTGGTCCTGATAATATTATTTGTTCTGAAATCCACTTTGTCAGATAGTAATACAAGTATTCTAGCTTTTTGTTTAGTGTTTGCAGGGTGTATCTTACTTTATAATTTTTCTTTTACTTATAAAGATGCATTTCCTTTAACTTATGTCTTTCTATTCAAAGTAGGTTTGTAGCAGACAGCATATGGCTGGGTCTTTTTTGTTGTTGTTTGTTTCTTTTTAAAGTCAATCTGACAGCTAGTCTATTCTTATTTAAATGTGATTATTGTAAGTTCGGATTAAAATCTACCACTTTGTTAGCTGTTTACTATTAATTACATTTCTTCTTTGTTTCCACCTCCCCAAATTTTTATGCCTCTTTTGGGTTATTTAAGCATTTAAAAATAATTCTTTTGTAAATTTCACTGAATTATTATTTTTGTCTCTAAAAATTTTTTTGTGGTTTCTCCAGGGTTTACAGTATACATTTATAATTGTCTAGAATCTTCCTTCAAATAATATGATGCTGCTTTGGTGTATTATAATGACCTTATAATATTTCCAATTCCTTCCTTCAATCTTTCATGTTGTTGCTGTTATACATATTGCTTTTACATATGCTTTAAACCAACAATATGGTGATACTATTTTTGCCTTAAATTAAAAACAAGAAAACAAATCCATTTCATTTTGCCTTCATTCATTCCATTTGCATTGCTCCTTATTTCTTTGTGCAAATTGAGGCTTCAGTCTGATATCATATTCCTTCTGCCTCAATAGCTTTCTTTAACATTTCTTATAGGGTAAATCTACTGGCAAATGAATTCCCTGTTTTAGTTTCTCTAAGAAAATCTTTATTTTTGTTATTGTGATAAAAACACATGAATTTACCCCTTAACAATTTAAAAATGTATTACACTATTGTTAACTATATGTACATTGTTGTACTATTGATTTCTAGAACTTTTTCATCTTGAATAACTGAAACTCTATAGCAACTGAACAACAGCTTTCCATTTCTCTCTCCTCCTATACTCTGGCAACCAGTATGCCACCTTATGTTTTTATGAGTTTGATTACTTTAGATACCTTATATAAGTGGGATCATGCATTTTTCATTGTTTTTGTGATTGACTTATTTCACTTGGCATAGTGAGCTCAATGTTCATCCACATGGTAGCAAATGATAAGATTTCTTTCTTTTTTAATGCTGAATACAATAATATTCCATTGTATGTCTATACCACATTTTCTTTTTCTGTTCACTTATTGATAGACATGTAGGGTCATGTTCACATATTGGCTATTATGAATAATCATTCAACTATCTCTTCAAGTTCCTGTTTTTAATTTTTTTGGAAGTAGGATTGCTAGATCATATGGTAGTTCTATTTTTAATTTTCTTGAGTTCCTCATGGCTGTTTTCCACAGCAGCTGTAACATTTGCTAATCTTACCAACAGTGTACAGGCTCTAATTTCTCCACATCTCCACCGACACTTGTTATTTTCTGTTTTTTTTTTCCGTTGTTCTGAGACCTCAACTCTTTCATGGATTAAATAAAGGTCACCTTGAGTTAGAAGTTTGTCCACGTGTTTTCCATTGTAATGTGTGAGTGTGATACCCATTTTAGCTCTTTACATCCCTGAGTGGAAGCCAGAAATCATGCTTAATTGATTTTTAATGGTTTCCAGAGTATTTACTTTTTTCTTGTTGTATCTTTTGACCATCTCTTATTGTAATTTGTATGTTACACAAGTTCTTACTTTGAATCCATCTTTAGTGAGTTTGTTTCCCATGAATCTTAAGTGTTTTAAATTGTGGAGATGCCTTTATAGATTATTTTGTTTTACCTTCTATAGCTTTCACTCATTCTAGAACTTTAAAAAATCTTTTTCTTGGCTTCCCCCAGCTCTCTCTCTCTCATTTTTTTGGCAGCACATCTCCTGGGTAGTTCCAACTGGAATGCTACATTTCATGTGGCACAATCCTAGAATTTTGATTTTTTCATAGTTGATCTTTTTCACCCAAGACCTAGAATGGGCAGCCTGCTTCTGTGATGTATACCTGAACAATAAGCCGAGTTTTCCTTTCTCTCCATTTTCCAGTAGGACAGTCTTGTCGAGCTTCTAGTTTAATGGAGACAGAGAGGTTCTGCCACCTTTGTATACACAGAGCCTGTGGAGTTAATGCTTCCAGACCCTAATGTGTGTAACAAGCTCTAATTGCACTGTGTGTATCCCTCCTGCTCAGTTCTTTGGATTTGAGTCTTTTTTTCATTTTTGTCATTGGGGGATTTTCTTTTCCCGCTTTCTGGTCCATCAATGTGTTTAAACGTGTTGTTAGTTGTTTTTGCCACCCGTCATTTCTGTATGTCTAGGGCAGGGTTGGGACTTCCTGCATTAACTCAGTCTTGCATATTGACCAGAAGTTAATTAATGTAATTATTATTTGAAATCAAGTGACCAAATAGTGAATGAAATAAGTCAATTTAAAAATTAAGTTAATTTTTAACAAGGTACAAAACCATATTTCCATAAAGCTTGGCCCTGGATTGGGTGGGGTTATAGGATCTAAAAGATACTATGTCCCTTAGCCTCAGGTTTCTCTCTTTAACCTAAGGCATTAGATGTGATGATCCCAGAGGTTTAGTGACTTGTTCTAAGGCACCAGCTAGATGAATACAGAGCTGGAATAAAAAGTCCCCATCCTATATTCTGTCTCAAGTTGAGAGAGTTTATTTAAATTTAAAAGCCATCTCCTCCAGGAGGTCTCCTAGAACTGTCTTCTTTGCATTTGAGCTGGGATATGGAAGTAATCTGTAGCCTTCACTTTGTGTCTGTGCTTTTGCTACCTGTAGTGTCCCTTGTTATTATTTTTCTCAGATCCAAGGAGCTGACAGTTTAATGAGGAGGTATTATGCAGGTAGACAGGATTTTATGCTCTTTGAACAGTCTTTTCCTCCCATCTAGCTACAAACATACCCAGCCTCTAGCTTGCAGTTGGGCACTCAATGAACCATTGTTAACTCTATAATAAAATCTTCAGGGGTTGGAGATACCAGGCAAGAAGGAGAACATTCCTCAAGTACCATATGCAAAAATCAGTGAATAGAGGAGAGAGAAAGGGAAGGCTTAACGGAGGGATATAGCCATGTGGGGAGTAAGAGGGAAAGCAACAAAAAGGTGAAAGGAAAGTTGACGAGGAAATGTATAGTGTGGAGAAAAGGAGGGAGCTGGGGCTCAGACATTGAGTTTTCTTCTTAGCTACTTTCATCTCTGTTGTGCAGAAAATTCTCTTACTCATCAGATTATATCAACCTTGGGAAACTTGAGCTGTAAGGGACTGTGTTTATTTCATGTGAGTAATTATACAAAGTATCTTCATCATGGAACCAGAAGTACACTCAAGCAAGATCATCTCTTATTTTCCTTAATGGAATAAATAACATGATTTTTCTGTGCTATGTTCTATGAACAGAAAGTAACAGAAATAAAATCAACAAAGTTTTTGTAAATAGAACAGAGAGCTGGGAAGATTTCTCTTCTTTGTTGACACCTGGCCTCAGCAAGCTATCAGTATAATAAAGGCTGTCTGCTAGCTGGTCCCACATTGGGCCATGAAATGTATCTATTCTATGCCATGCCTTTGTGATTGATACTGTGACGCTCAAGGATAAAGGGACTATCAGTCGGAAAAACAGAAACAACTCTAGTTATTTTAGCATGAAAATATTTAATAGAGGAAATCTGCTGCTTACAAAATCTTCCAAAGACTTGGGAGATAATGGTCAGGAAGCAACATGGACAACCTTCAGAAAATTGGAGAATGTTAAGATCTCAGCATGCTGCTGGTGGTGAACCCAGCTGCCTGCCACACTGAAGCAGGTGATTAATGGAAGATTGCCCAAGATTTACTGCAAAACTCATGTCTGTCAACCACCCTGAATCTACTTTCCACCGTTGGAAGAAGATAATGAATAGTACCTTCTTCTCTTTTCCCTTCTAAATCTTATGTGAGTTGCATTCATTAGTAGATTCTAAATCAGAATCTTGCTGACAGTAGAGTTTGAAAAATGTACTTTCTAGGCACCCCCTGGGATACAGGGCAGAGCTTTAAAGAGAAGACATAGTGCTGAGAACCAATAGACAATGCCCAACAAAATAATCTCCCACCGACACTCAGAATTTAACTATGTTGCTGTTTTATTCACCTCATGTCTTCTTAATAAGCTGATAGTCTCTAATGAGAAAATATTATCCAATGGCTTCTCCATGGAGCTGGTAGGATTTCTTTTCCTGGGTGTACTCCAGGAATTGAAAACTTCAAGGGGAAATTATTTTGGATTACTTGTTCTGATCTCATGAGCAAAAGAAACAATTACAAATAAAGGGTCAAATATAATAACTAATGTTTATTAAATGTGACAAATTATTGACATACATGATTTTATTCTGGATATGTTGAAGTCTCCAATCTTTTGCTATTATTTCCATTTTACAAATGAAATTGAGGCTTTAGGAGTTTAAGTCAGTTGCCAAAAAGACACAGCTAGAAGTTAGAGCCCAGATTTGAACTTGACTACTGAACTCCCCTGGAGTCTGAGAGCTTCACCACAATGCTATTTACCAGCCAAATCGTGCTGTTTCATAAGGGGTGGATTAGACAATGTGTGGGATTATGATTAATCTATTCACTTGTCTTCATTCCCCACAATTGCTCCCTAGTACAGACTGTAGCAATCTCTTTCCTGGAAACCGTAGTAGCCTCCCAACTGGTCTGCCCTTCTCCAGCTTGCACCAACCCTGAAATTCATTCCTCACCTGCTACTTCAAGGATCTTTCTAAAATGCAGGCCTGATTGTGCTCCTTCTGTGGCTTTGCGCATTCCTCAGGATGGTGGTTGAAAGCCCCATTTTCAGCCTCTCTCTGCCTCTCCATCATTCCCTCCCCTCATCCTCTTGCTTGCATTCTCTCATCTCTTTCAAAGAAACCATGTGCTCTGGCTTTGAGACCTTTGCACATGCTTTTTCCTTTGCTCGGCAAATCCTTGTCCCACAGCCTCTTTCTTCTGGCTGACGCCTGCGCGTTCAGCTCTGAGACTCTGGGCAACTTGCCTATTGCTGGATGACATTATTCCCTGCTGCATTTGTCCAACATTCCGTTGATTCTGCTTAGGTAACACTCCCTAATTTCATCAACATAATTTCCCCCCCAAATTCTTTTTTGTTTATTGTGAAACTTTTGACGATGTGCATCGTGTCTACTTCAAATTCCCAGCACCTGGCTCAGTGACAGCAAGAGTAGATGTTCAGTAAGTATTTGTTGAATGAAGGGATTCATGTTGGCAGTACTGATAAGTGTCTGCTCAAAAAGGAGTCTATCCGTTGGGTGGCTCTAATCCTACTGTCTCCTCTAGCTGCCTTTTTCTTTCTGCCTCCTATTCTCTTTTTTCCCTTTCCCTTCCCAACCTCCTTCTCAAGCATGGCAGAGTTGGAGAGCCCTTGGGGAGAATCCTTACTTCCCACCCCAAGCCCTCCTAGTTTCAACTTTCTTCTTCCCATACTTGGATGCAGCAGGATAAAGGGTAACAGATCCAGTCTCATGGCATGAGTCCGTGAGACACCAGGGAAAGCTGTGTCCCCAGGTTGATTATGTTCTCCTCTTTTCTTGTCCTGAGAGCCAACATACCTGTGGTAAATCATCCTGCCACTGAATGCTGCTAAGCAATCAAGCCCTTAGCACACCAAGGAGGCACAGTTTATTTTTTTATTTCCACCAGCCACTTCTGAGTCTATCTCATACTTGTCTTCAGAGACAGATGGCATTTTCTGAAACAAGACTGAAATCAATCAACAGAGAGAGTCCTGAGAACCCCATGGTGTTTTCACATGTCCCTCCCTTGAGCCAACATCGTAACGTTTCCCACCCTGGCAGCTGGGGCTGTCTGTGGGTGCTGCCATTCATTTAGGAGCTGGATTGTTGCAGCAGCCAGGCTAATGACTTGCTCCTGCTCACCCACATCCAGCTCGCATGCCAAGCAGGGAAGCTGGCCAATGTATTTAACCATAAGGAGATTCAATCACAAATGTCTAACTTGAGCTCTGCTTTCACCCCAATGAATCACTGAGTAGGGCTAGTGGGGGCCTACATTGGGATTCAGCTACTTCTCTTCTCCATGTTTACCGACTCTTTTGGTTCAAGTGTAGCTTCTGAGCACCATAAACCTCCCATAAAGATGTTTATTAGTAAAACATCTAGGAAATATTGCTAATTCACTTGCAAGAGTAGCCATCTACTGAGTAGTACCAAATGGTGTTCATTAGCAGAGAACAGGAACAAACATGATTTAAAACTACTGGGGAGAGAGGCAGGAGTGAATGTTCTAGGCTGTGCCAGGAGAAGCAGGCATGAAGGTAGTTGGGGAATGTTTTCTCAGAGTGTCCCACAGCCCATCTGGCTGACGGCTTGGTTTAGGTTCCCCTAAGAGTGTAGACCCTGAGAAAGGATTTGGTGCAGTCAGTTTATTTGGAAGGCAATCTCAAGAAGGAGTTGAGGAAGTGATATGGTTTGGCTGTGTCCCCACCCAAATCTCACCTTGAATTGTAATAAACCCATGTGTCAAGGGCAGGTCCAGGTGTAGATAATTGAATCATGGGGGTAGTTTTCCCCATATTATTCTCATGATTGTAAATAAGTCTCATGAGATCTGATGGTTTTATACATGGGAGTTCCCTGCACGAGTTCTCTCTTGCCTGCCGCCATGTAAGATGTGACTTGCTACTTCTTGTCTTCCATCATGATTGTGAGGCCTCCCAATAGTTATGTGGAACTGTGAGTCAATGAAACCTCTTTCCTTTATAACTACTTAATCTTCAGTATGTCTTTGTTAGCAGTGTGATAACAGACTAATACAGGAAGTGAGCCAAGGAAGGGAGGCGATCCAATAGAGGGTGAGCTCATGAGTGGGACTACTGTAGGCATCTGGACTCAGCCCTGTTGCTGACTCTCTGGGAAACTGTATGGAACACACCTCAGAATTGTCCTTACTCCTCACAATGACAGGAGAAAGAACTGGGGTCATTCATCAGGAACTTCTTTTCTTCATTGGTTGAGAGTTGCACTGGGGTTGTGAACTCCCTGACACTTGTAGCTTCCCTACAGATAGTTGAGTGTGCCTCCCATGGAGACCTGGGAAGCCAGCAGCTATGGGACCCATCTGCAATTGGCTCTGGGGCAGGGGCATGGCATGGCTATCTGCCTCACCTTTTGCAGCAGAAAGGACACTAGCTTCTGGTTAGCTTCAAACCCTAACCTCCTCATTTAAAAAATTGGATCTGATGGACCTCAGAGGGAATGTGCTCATTAGAGAAATATTTAAACTGTGGAAAATGCCTTTCGGTGGCCATTTCAACTCTGGCTTGGCCAGTTTCTCCCGGGAGAAGTGTGTGGAGTGTGGCATGAGGCTTGCTGGACTCATTATCCCACAGCATGGAACTCACATCCCAGCTCCTCTATGAAACCTCCATGACCAGCTCACCTGGGCCTTATGTTTTCAGTGGCCACTCCCCACCCCCTGGGACTTTACCATCTACAGCCTTGCTGGGTGTGTATCAGTTTTTTGTCCTTGTGCATATCTGATCCCTCAGCTAGGAGGCAAGGCTCTTGAGGGCCAGGACCATGACTTAGGCAACTCTACCCTGGACACTGAGACCTCTGAGCTATTAGCAGTGTGATTCCAACAGAGTTAAATGCAGTACATGCCACCATATACTCACAGGGTAGCCACTTCAGTTACCCAGTGGATTATTGTACAGTGTGTTTTCCTTCCTGGAATTAGAATTAAAGAGGACTTGATTTTGCAGATAATTAAAACATGACTGTTACTGGAACAGATATAAAAGCAATTGTGACTGTGACATGTATTAACTTTTAAAATTCTTACCAGTATCCTATTTTGTGGATGAGAAATCTGAGGCACAAGATAAGAAACTTGCCCAGGGTTTCTCACGGGAGAGCCCTGACCTAGGTTCTCTAGATTCCTTCTTTCCACAGTGCTATAGGGTTCCCAAAGTGGGGACAGTCGGAGGGGTGAGGTGTGTGTTCATTGGAAGGGGTGATATCAGTTTCTTTGCTCATGTGTCCATCCGGTTGAATGAGCAGAAACCCATGTAAACCACTGGGGGTTTTATGGAAGCCAAGTCAGGGATGGGCGCTGGGTTTCATGACAGGCTGGAGCAAGAACTTGAAAGGCACCAGGAGATGGAGCAGCTTCCCTCTCTGCAGCTTATTCCTGCATCCTGTGGGTGTCTGCTCCCTTCTTCTGTCTGTCTCAGCAGCTTGATCCTCTCTGCACATGGGTCAAAATGTCCTTGAATTTTAAACACTGAGATTGGCCATAGGAACTGTGTTCCAATCCCAGGGGAGAGTCTGAAGGGTCTATCCCCATCCAATCTACCATGGCGGGGGATGGGGGCCTTAGTATCAACTCACTTTCCCCTCCATATTCCTACCTCACCAATGCCTCAATCAGAGATGTCCATTCAGCTGTCACTCTCCTGAAGGAAGATCTGGAAGAGGCACCAACCATCTGGGCTTTAGCCTGTGTTCTCTTCTCTGCTGCTTTATGCATCCAAGTTCTGGGTTCCTCAACCTTTGGTGAAGCCCTGCTTAATGCAAGTTGGAAACCTGAGTGTCCTGAGGAAGGAGAGAGCATATTGAGGAAGGGGGACCCTGATGTCATGTTAGATATATCTGGGCCAGTTTTACTGAGGTGCCTTGGAAGTGACAGAAAGCAGATAGAAGAATGGTTCTTTCTTGGCTCAGTAGTTCTCAATCCTACTTGGGGTGATTTCTCTGAAAAGTCTAATTTTTATGTAGATGGGGCTCAGGCATCAAAAAAATTTAAAATGACTCTGGTGATTCTAATGTGTAGCCAGAGCTAAGAACCCCTATCTTGACGAAAGTAGTTTTGAAAGAGAATGCAAGGTCCCAAGTGGAGCTCCAAGGATCAGCTCCTGGGAAGTGGCTTATTTTCTATCAGATATGCTTATCTGCTGCCTTGGCCACCAAGTTCACAATCCGCACTTTATACTACCACTTTGTATTAGTGGCACCAGGGTGTGAATCCCTTCAAAGACTTCTGATAGAGGGAATGCAAGGCAATTTAGTGGGCTGGGGCAGTTTTGCATCTTTTCCAAGTCTGCCCAGAGGCCCTCTCTTGGAGCGAGTATCCGTGTGGGTGCTTGCCACAGGAAGACTGTGTTAATCCATTTTTGTGTTACTGTAAAGAAATATGTGAGGCTGGGTAATTTTTTTTATTATTATTATACTTTAAGTTTTAGGAAAGGTTTAATTGTCTCATGGTTCTGCAGGCTGTAGAGGAAGCATGGCGCTGACATCTGCTTGGCTTCTGGTGAGGCCTCAGGAAGCTCACGATCATGGTGGAAGGCAAAAGGGGAGTCTGTGGGTTACATGGCACAAGCCAGGGGGGAGGTGCCACATGCTTTTAAACAACCAGATTTTGCATGAACTCAGTGCATAAATCAACTTGAAAGTATGTCTCTTTCATCCCTGATTAATAGCTTGCTTTTGTGCCCTGCAGAGAGTTGTGGATGCCTGACTAGCATTCTGCCTGGGAGGTAAGAGGAGAGCAATGCAATAGGAGGCCATGAGGGAAGTGACTTGTGGACATCTCGGGCTCTATACACAACCATTCATTTTTGGAAGTGAAAGATAGTTGTGGGAATCTTCACACGTGGTGATCAGTGTCCCAAGAAGCGATTTAGAAAAGCTGACACAGGGATTAAGTCAGGACCCTTCAGAAGAATTTCAGGTGCAGGACTGGAGTGCACAGAAGCTGGTGATGAGTCTCTTGTAGAATTAGGATGGCACTTACAGCCACTCTGAAGCTTAGATTTCAGGTGAAGACTGAGATAGTTTCACCTGAAACATTCATTCATTCATGAACCTTATACTTATGTCTATCTCTTCTTGGTTTAAGCACACTCTGGTAAGTTGCTTCTATGGAAGAGGCTGAAGGTCCTACCAAATTGTTGCTTCAATAAAATTGGGAGTGATCCTGTTTTACAAATCTCTCCCTGATATTTGGCATCTTCCTCCATTGAATAAATTAGCTCCCAGTGTTAGTGGCTATGTTAGTTGAATCAGTTTCACAAAAACAAAACAAATAAAAATACCAAAAACCCAACTCTAAGTAGATTGAGAGAAAAGGGGAGGTTTTCGTCTTTTGTAAGTGGTAAGTCCACAGGCTTCAGGCATGGATGGATCCAGGGCTCAAATGATGTTTTGAAGCTCCACTTTCTCTCCACCTCTTGGCTCTGTTCTCCTTAGCACATTTCTTCATTCTAAAGGGACATTCTTCATTTGGAAGAAAAGATAACCCCTGGTGGTCCCACGTCAGCATCTCTAAGTTTGCAATCCAAAAAAAGGAGGATCTGATTTCTTCCAGTACCAATATGTACATTCTCAGACAAGATTCTAATCAGCTCTGCTAGGTTCATATCCCCAACTTGGAATCAACTACTAAGGTTAAGAGGTGTCACACTCAGCTAATCATGGTACAATGCCCACCTCACCTAGAGGTGAATCTTACTCCAAATACATGAAATAGGCTTCCTGTGGGAAGGAGGGGTTCTATTATCAGATGAAAAGGGGGAAAGGGATGCTGGACAGATAGAAGTAATGACTATACAACACAGCAGTCAAGCTTGTTTTTTTCTTGGCCTAAAGGATAGTGTTGTGGGCTCTGTTTACACTTCCTCTTACCATTGTGAAGTTATTTAATTGCTGCAGCTGCATAATTGGCTAAATTGGCTAATGTGCCTCATTCTGTGGCTCCATAACTAGCCTCTATGCCCTCTTTTTTCTTTCCCCATTCCTGTCCTGTCCCCGTCACCATCCCTGTGTGAGTCACCTCTAACATCTTTCCAGGAGTATACTGCTTTGGGAAGGATAATTCCTTACTTCTGTCGGAAGAGGATGAGAGCAATTAGCTAAGGAACTCAGGCCAGCATCCATCCAGGCCTCCTTGGAGGATTCTGTGTTCTGTGGGAGGAGAATAATCTGGTTAGAGATAATTTAGGAAAGCCAATGGGATGAGGATGGCTCTTGGGTTTGCTGAAAGAGTACTTCCTATCACCAGAATGGAGCATTCTGAGTATCACAGAATGAGGAACTTGTTTGGGGGAGATCCTGTGTTTTGAGGCTCATTGAGCAATGACTCCAGCACTGCACTGGGAGAGGGGAGAATAGAAAGCATCATTCTTGCTTATAAGGGATGCTCAATCTACTTGGGAATTCTTGGAATACAGGTGCAAAGCATTGGGGTTCAATGAAAGGCTGCACATAGTTATGTGTAAACCATATTTTGAGTTAGAAATGCAGAGACAAAGATGAGAGAGGGCTAGAGCAGCCAGGGAAGGCTTCTAGGAGGTGGTCTTGAAGCATGAGTGGGAATTGACAAGGTAATGGGAAGAGGCATGCCTGATAAAGGAAGTGCTACAAACCAGAGAGGAGAAAATGAATGTGTGTTAAGGGGTCAGTTGAACAGTATCCTGGAAGGAGGGGTAGAGGCATCGATCAGGGAAGGCTGGGTGATAAAGAATCTAGAATGTATAGTTTGAAGTCAGGTACTGTAACCAAAACAGCATGGTACTGGTACCAAAACAGAGATATAGACCAATGGAACAGAACAGAGCCCTCAGAAATAATGCCACATATCTACAACTATCTGATCTTTAACAAACCTGACAAAAACAAGCAATGGGGAAAGGATTCCCTATTTAATAAGTGGTGCTGGGAAAACTGGCTAGCCATATGTAGAAAGCTGAAACTGGATCCTTTCCTTACACCTTATATGAAAATTAATTCAAGATGGATTAAAGACTTAAACGTTAGACCTAAAACCATAAAAACCCTAGAAGAAAACCTAGGCGATACCATTCAGGACATAGGCATGGGCAAGGACTTCATGTCTAAAACACCAAAAGCAATGGCAACAAAAGCCAAAATTGACAAATGGGATCTAATTAAACTAAAGAGCTTCTGCACAGCAAAAGAAACTACAATCAGAGTGAACAGGTGACCTACAGAATGGGAGAAAATTTTTGCAACCTACTCATCTGACAAAGGGCTAATATCCAGAATCTACAATGAACTCAAACAAATTTACAAGAAAAAAAACAAACAGCCCCATCAAAAAGTGGGCGAAGGACATGAACAGACACTTCTCAGAAGAAGACATTTATGCAGCCAAAAAAACACATGAAAAAAGCTCATAATCACTGGCCATCAGAGAAATGCAAATCAAAACCACAGTGAGATACCATCTCACACCAGGTAGAATGGTGATCATTAAAAAGTCAGGAAACAACAGGTACTGGAGAGGATGTGGAGAAATAGGAACACTTTTACACTGTTGGTGGGACTGTAAACTAGTTCAACCATTGTGGAAGTCAGTGTGGCAATTCCTCAGGGATCTAGAACTAGAAATACCATTTGACCCAGCCATCCCATTACTGGGTATATACCCAAAGGATTATAAATCATGCTGCTATAAAGACACATACACACATATGTTTATTGTGTCACTATTCACAATAGCAAAGACTTGGAACCAAGCCAAATGTCCAACAACGATAGACTGGCTTAAGAAAATGCGGCACATATACACCATGGAATACTATGCAGCCATAAAAAATGATGAGTTCGTGTCCTTTGTAGGGACATGGATGAAGCTGGAAACCATCATTCTCAGCAAACTATCGCAAGGACAAAAAACCAAATACCGCATGTTCTCACTCATAGGTGGGAATTGAACAATAAGAACACATGGACACAGGAAGGGGAACATCACACTCTGGGGACTGTTGTGGGGTGGGGGGAGGGGGGAGGGATAGCATTAGGAGATATACCTAATGCTAAATGACAAGTTAATGGGTGCAGCACCCTAACATGGCACATGTATACATATGTAACAAACCTGCACATTGTGCACATGTACCCTAAAACTTAAAGTATAATAATAATAATAATAATAATAATAATAAGAAGAAGAAGAAGAAGAAGAAATCTAGAATGTACTGACCACAGTCCAAAGTGCAGCATTGTCTTCTTGACTTAGCTATGTTGGAGGCTTTGTCTTTGTTCTACAGCCCTCCAATTTTGGCTCTGTTTGATTCCATTCGTATCAGATACTGGGTAAATTCCAAGTGATGGTTACTACATACTATGGGAAGTGTAGCTCATCCATAAGGCTAAAAAGCATATAGTAGAAAGCCACCTAGAGTTCTGGGATGTCCAAGGTTTATTTCTTAGGAATTAAAGAGGCTTTGGGATTTGATTTTTTTTAGTAGAGTTTTGTTTGTTGAATGTTAGGTAAGGCACAGGACATAGCAACAGTGGCTGACAATCTGGACAGTACCAAGTTCCCATTATGTACTTGGGAGTTTGGTTTAACAAGCATTTGCAAAGGCCCTTCCATGTGATTGGGCTAGGCAGTGCAGGTGACACAAAGGTATTTCCTCACCTGCAAGGAGCTTATCATCTAGGAGTGTCTTTAGTGGAGAAGAAATGGGGTACAATAGCAAACATGATAACTCTATGACCTTGGAAAAACAGCAGAACTTCTTAAGTTTCTTCATCTGTAAATTGGGACTAATACCTGTCCTCCAGAGTTTTTGCTGGGATTAGAGATAATAGGTGAAATTAGGCTTCTTGGCTCACAATAGGTAATAAATAAGTGTGAGTTATCAATATGACTTAGATGGAAATCAGTACAGCATTTTCCACCGACGTGAATTTTGGACGATTGGTCTCCCTTAGAGCATAATAAAGAGGAACCTGAACCTACTTCTTGGTCAGTCTTCACATTTCAGAGCACTTTTAATTGAAAATACAAATACATCTGTGTTTCCTGGTCAGCTAATATAACATTGAGAGGAAATCTTCTAAAAGGCTGAGATTTGGGCAATCTCAAGTTATAAATTTTGATCAAGGCTAATGAAGTAAATGGCTTTAAAAATGGTTTAATGGTTTAAAAATGAAGTGAAAATGGCTTTTAGGATCTCCTCACTAACAGTGACTGTACTCTGTCTCAAGTTCCTGGCATAGTTGCCCCATTGGGTATTTAATAAATATTTATTGGGTGCTTATTATGTGCTCAGCACTGTTCTAAGAATTTAATTTTTTTATTTTTCATAACAGGCATAGAAAGGTTAAGTAATACACCAATGGTCAACCCAGCTGACACTGAGGGAGCTGCATTCAAATCCTGGCAGTATGGTCCTTGAATCCAGTTCTCAACCATGAAAATGGATTGCCCATTCCCACAGAGGTCTGCTCCCAGGTGTTGGCTGATGTTATATAAACTGCAAACCCTCATAAGCATGTTCACATTTTCCTAGGGGACCCTTGAGGATAAGCAAGGCACCAGAAAACAGTCTCATTGGTGAAACGATAGGATATGGGGTTGTTTAATAGGGCCAAGTTTTTCTCCAGAACACCTGGGGACTGCAAGTGGCAGCTGTTACCCTGGTGGTCTAAGAACTTTCAGGATCCTTCTTAGGCAAAATAGTAGTCAATTTCAGGATTCCTAGGGAAGAGTCAGGGGCTGCCTTTTAAAGCAGAAAGAGTTTAGAGTTGACAGAGCCAACAGACATCATCTAGCTCAAGCTTCTGTCTAGTACGAAGTTCATCAAAATTGGCCAGGAAGGCCATGACATCCTTTCTCCACGTGAATACTGCCTCTGGCAGGTGGCTCACTACAGCTGCCATTCCGTTGCTGGACAGCTCCAGTTGTTAGAAAATTTCTTTCTTGAGTCAAAATCTGCCTCTTTCTAACACCCACCAATATGTTCCAGTTTTCCTGATAGAACAAATCTATTTCTTCTGTTGGATGACAAAGTGGTGGGACGAGTGTGTTATTGTTGGCATCTGATGTAGGATTGGCAGAAACTCCCTAACTTCCAGCCACTCTTTCGTCCCACTTAAAGATCAGCACCCCTTCTGACCTCTGTACTTCTCTCTCTAGGGAAGAGAGACTTGTGCCCTGGATCTAGCTCCCCCAACTCCTGCTTTCCGCAGGAATCTCTATCTACCAGTTATTTCTTTTCTCATCTTTAACCTCTCTCAATTGGCTCAATGCAGTCAGCATTTAAATATATTTAAATATTTCCATCTTCACAACAAAAATAAAACTCTCCACAGTGTCTTCAGCCCACTTCTCTTGCTTTTCCTTCTCCTTCACAGCCTAACTTCTGAAACAATTGTATCCATTCAGTTTTCCAATTCCTCACCTTCTGGTTTCTCCTCAACCTGCTCCAAACTGGCTTTCCTATCACCCACTCCCTGCAGTGAAATGTCGCCTAAGATGTCTTTGTCCTTAAGACCTAGAGACACTTTTCAAGTCTAATCTTATGTGATCTCTGTGTTATGTGACATCATGAACCACTCTTTAGGAAAACATCCTCTTCATTGGGCTTTCCCTGACACACAGTCCTCTGCACCTCCTGTCTTCCAGTCACTCGTTAATCACTTGGAAGACCCATATTCCAAAGTATGAAGTATTAGGTCCATTGAGATTCTGTCTTGGATTTCTTCTGACTTGGGGTACTCACACTCAGCCACGTGTCTTTGATCACCACCCATGTCTGGCAACTCCGAAGTCACTATATTGAGTTGTGTCTCTTGAGTTCCAGATCTATATTCAATGGTCCACATAGCATTTGCAGATGGATATTTCACAAATTTCCCAAACTCTGTACACATAAAATTGAATTTGACCTATTTTCCTTCAAATTTGCTCATTTTCTGGTGTTTCTAACCCAGTATTTGGCAGCATCATCCTACCTATTGTTCATCCAGAGACATTGGGATTATCTTTGATATTTGCTGCTTCTTTTTTCTCTATATAAACTACTTCTTCCTTAGCCACACTTTGCTTATTCTAGTGCCTAAATATTTCTTGAAACAACCATCTTCTCTCTGGTTCCTCTGTCACTATTCTTATGTAGTTCATTATATTTTGCCAGGGATAATGCATCAGTCTCTAACTAGTTTCTTGTTTCTTCTCTCCATTCCTTGCATTGAGGTCAGCATGATCTTTCTAGAGGTCAAATATGTTGCCATTACTCCTCTGCTTAAAACCTCTCAGTGGCCTCAGATTCTTCTAAGGGTACAGTTCACATGTTCATGTTGCACACAGTGATCTGAGGTAGTGGTGGGCTAGGTTGTGGGCACGGATTTTAAATCAAGAGATGGAGTTCAGTCCACTGAGGTTGGGGAGTGTTGCAGAACATGTGACTATTAAGAGTGGATGTGGTTGTAAAGGCATAAATTGGAACTATATAACTCGAAGATCAGTACTAAAAAGTTGAACATGGCAGGAGCCATGGACAGATTAATAAGCCTGGGCTACAGTCACCACTGAGGCAGCACCAGGGACAGCTCCAATGTCTTGGTCCAGTCTTAGCAATTGCCATCCTTTTATGTGGGAATAGGTTCAGAATTTATTAAAGTCTTAGGGATCTTTGATGCTAGGAAGACAGACTGAAGGATACAATTGACTGATCCATTAAAGCAAATTCTGATCCTCAAAGAGGTTACATCCTTATCTTTTTAGAACTTTCCAAGGTTTGGGGGAAGACAATGCCATTGTTTTGGGTTGGTGATTTGGGGTTTGGGAAAGGGAGTATGGGGAATGATTCCTTCTTGTCCTTAGAGTTCATCTCACCAGATTTTTTTTTGTTTCAGACCTCTAATACTTTTATAGTTTTGAAGGTTAAACATTTGCATACAGCCCTCATGTGGTTCCCTTTTTGTCCCCCTTCATGGCAGTTTCCCCCTGCTCCTGACCCCAAAAAGTGTATTAGCCCCATCCTGTACTCCAGTGGATTTTCTTCCTGGTACCATTGTGAATTGCTGAGGAAATATTACAAGCAGATGCTTGAAGTCCCCTCCCCAGAGCTTTCTGAGGGACTTGCTCTGTCTAGGGATCTTCAGGAAAGGAAATGGAGGAAAATCACTGAGACGTGTTTTCCTATGTTGCTTTCTTCAGGAAATCACATGGAGCTCTGTTCCATGGACAGGCCTTTCATACTTTTTTTTTCTAATCTGTTCTTCCCCTAGATATTAGAATCATTCTTCTGGAAGTTTTCAGGGGAGATGAGAATGGGACTGGGGAAAAAAACTCCAGTTCTAGTCAGCATGAACAATAAATGAGTTTACTGGGAAAACTGCTGACTGCACAGAACTCAGGGACAGATCCCAGATATTTTAGAGATATTTTAAGGAAAATAAATCCAAATTATAGCATTTTTGTCTCCCAGGCTCAGTCAGAAAATGTATCTCTGCCTCCTGGGGAAAGAAACATTTTTCTTGCTGGCATGGTAATGGGGAAGATATTATTATCCTTTTAGGTGGGCACAAGAAACTGAGAACTGTTTTTGGGGGTGGGGTGGAAATGGCGAACTCATTTTCTCAAAGACCAGACTAATTCCCTCAAGTCGGCAGGCTGTGGTGGTTCGATTTCTTCAAGACTCTTTATGTTCAAGGGAAGTAAAAGGCATTCATTAGTTCCACTCGGATATTTAATAATAGCAAATGCACAGGATGGAAAGTGGGCTAGATTGACTTTATCGTGAAGCTGTCCTCTGAGATGAAAGCCTTGGGAATGCTGTGGTGAGAGCTGCTGGCTCTTCTCCAGCAGGCAGATGAAGCCAGCCTTGGGGAGGAGAAGAAATTCTTAGAAAACTAGCCAAAGTCTCTGCAAGGCATACACTTGGGCTCCAAGCTTAGATCCTGAGCTACCCTATGTTATTAAGAGTGGGAACTAGAGGAAGTGTTTCATACCCATTGTGCATTAGGTGATGGGGCACGGGGGGAGTGGGAGGGTGCACATCTGTTAGTTGTGAAGACAACTGGCACCTGACGTCACAGCTTCCTGCAGGGTTGTCTTCATCTAAAAGTTAACTCAAGAAGTTAACAATTTGTAAGTGAAGGAGTCCAAAGAGGAACCCTAGGAAGAGCTGGAGGGAGGCCCAGACTTACAAAAAAACTTCCATGTTCCATGACACTACTAGTGGAAATTTTTATAACTTGAGGAACATTTACCACCAATGTTCTTTGGAAAAATTTCAGCATGATGGTCTACATATTGAGTCGACGCTGGTTGCTTGGGGCCAGCTGCCTGGCTTTCAAAATTTGGGGATACCAAGAAATTACTCTGAAAATTTGCAGGGGGACGTCAAAGTCAGTCATGATTCTCAGTATGCTCTGATAGTTCCATCCATCTCAAGTTTTTCCACATTTGTAAATGGAAACTCCTGATATGGTGAGAGGTAATCTGGAGGTGAAAGGCATGGCTTTGGAATGGGACATGGTTTGAGGCTGGGTACCGGTTTTGTCATTTCCTAATAGGGTGAAATGGGGCAGGTAAGCTCTCTGAGTCTCAGTTATTTGCATAGAAAGTGGGAAAATGGCCCATATCAAAGCACTACTATAGGGATTCGATGATGAGTATAGAACAGCCAAGGTGGTGCTTAGGAGCTAATGGGTATCTAATAATAACCAGTTGTGTGAAAAAGAGACTAGAATTTTGGTTTAGTCTCTCCTAAATGCAGCAGTTCTAGGAGGAAGTTACAGCCTATACCTTGTGGTGTGTGTTGATCGGGAGTGTAAGCTCTGAATTCATACATATTTGAGTTCCAGTATCAGCTTCAGCGCTTAGTAGCTGAGTGATCTTGGATAGATCTCTTAACCTCTCTAAATCTCAGTTTTTCAGTTATAGAATGAGATTAAATACCATGGACATTGCTGAGTTGCTGTGAGAATTAAATAGTATACATAAAGGGTTTTGCAGAGTGTTTTTTTGCCCAAAGAAAGTGCCCTCAAATTTAACTGGTTAACATTGTTATTGTGTAATTATTACTTAAATGGCTATGTCCTGGGTTAGCTTATCCTAATAAAATGAAGGAAAATATGATTTAGCTCTACCAGTTAACTGAATGTCCTTGATACCAGAATGTTTTTATCCCCCTACATTGATGTATGTAGTACTTTCATCTACTTAAATCTTAGCAAGAACTTAATGTTTTCTAGGCTTCAAATTTATTTATTTATTTTTATAATTTATTTTAGATCCAGGGGGTACATGTGCAGGTGTGTTATATGGGTATATTGCATGATGCTGGGGTTTGGGGTATGATTGATTCCGTCACCCAGGTAGTGAGCATAGTACCCAATAATTAGTTTTCAAGTCTTGTCCTCCTCTCTACCTTCCCCTTTTAGCAGTTCCCAGTGTGTATTGCTGCCCTGTTTATGTTCATGAGTACCCAATGATTAGCTCCCACTTATGAGTGAGTACATGCAGTATTTAGTTTTCTGTTCCTGTGTTTGTTTGCTTAGGACAGTGGCCTCCAGCTGCATTCATGTTGCTGCAAAGAACATGATTTTGTTCTTTTTATGGCTGCATAACATTCTATGGTGTATATATGCCACATTTTCTTTATCCAATCCACCATTGATGAGCAACCAGGTTGATTCCATGTCTTTGTTATTGTGAATAGTGCTGTGATGAATGTAGAAATGCTTGTGTCTTTTTGGTAAAACCATGTATCTTCCTTTGAATATATACCCAGTAATGGAATTGGTGGGTTAAATGGTAGTTGTGTTTTAAGTTATTTTAGCAATCTCCAAACTGATTTCCATAGTGGCTGAGCTAATTTACATTCCCACCCACAGTGTATAAGTGTTCCCTTTTCTCCACATAGACCTCAAATTTGGCAAATGTTTTTTGTTAAGTGCACTTGCTAACTCAGCTAGTTTTATCTGGGTGGACCGGCTAGTTTTATCAATTAGCATAGCTCCTTATTGAATGGCAATACCCTGATACTATATTTAGCAATGATTCTGTCCCTGAAGGGGCAAGGAAGGAATAAATGAACTCAATTGGCATTAGTGTTGGTAAGTCCTAGCCTTCAGTTACTGTTCCTAGAGTTTGGGGCCCAGGGATCATTGGGTCATAATTGAGTTAACCTGAGAATTAAAGCAAAAGCCAGAGGAGTTGGAGCACAGGGTCTAGAGAACCCTATGGAAAGAAGCTAAGCTCTTACTTGGTACTTTACCATTTAATTCCCTAAGGGTCAGAAGGGTGTTGGGTTTCTGTCTCTGGTATCCTGAGAAGGTTTCCCCCAGTGCTAAGGCTGTCCCTCCAGGAATGGGCAGAAACAGATGTAGTGATTTACCTTGGCCTGCCCTGGGTCACATTTGGACAACCAAAGAAAAGTTGTTACTTCTGCTCCCAGCCCAAAGGTGAGTGCCTATTTGAGCCTTGTTGGAGAGGGAAAATAGCTGATGGGCTTCCTGTCTTGTAACTAAGTTATCTACTCTCAAGGAATTCAACACATGCTTGGGCATCTACTATTGTTAATAGTGCTCCCCAGCTATGGATACCCAGAATAAGGGTGTCTTCCAGTCTCTATCCCGGGAGGCCATTTGATCCTTGTGTTGTTTTCTAGAGGTTTTGAATTCCAGAGTGGAGCTTGCTTAAGCCCTATGACCTCTAATGCTTCTGCCCTCTGGTAAAAAATCTGGAGCCAATCAAGTTTGCCAAATGTTGATAGGTAAGAATATATTTGGATGGTCCCCTTTCTCTTCTACATTATCTTCTTAGACAAGGCACATTTGAAGCAATGACTCCTAAGTGGTGATCCATAAAATATTACAGGCATACCTCAGAGGTACTGTGGGTTCAGTTCCAGAACACTGCAATAAAGCGAATATTGCAAAAAAGAAAGTCACACATTTTTTTGGTTTCCCAGTGCCCATAAAGGTTATTTTTACATGACACCGTAGTCCATTAAGTGTGCAATAGCATTTGTACATAAATATACATACATTAATTTAAAAATGTTGCTAAAACATGCTAGCAGTTATCTGAAACTTGGAGTCAATAATCTTTTTGCTGGTGGAAGGTCTTGCCTCGATGTTGATAATTGCTGACTGGTGGTGGTTGCTGAAGGCTGAGGTGGCTCTGGCATTTCCTAAAAGAAGACCACAATGATGTTTGCCACATGGATTGACTCTTCATTCCACAAAAGATTTATCTGTAGCATGTGATGCTATTTGATAGCATTTGACCAACAGTAAAACTTCTTTCAAAATTAGAGCCAGTCCTCTCAAACCCTGCTGCAGCTTTGTCAATTAAGTTCATATAATATTCATATAAATCCTTTGTGGTCATTTTGACAATGTTCACAGCATCCTTCACCAGGAGTAAATCCCATCTCAAACCAGTTTCTTTGCTGATTCATAAGAAGCAACTCCTCATTCATTCAAGTTTGATCACAAGATTGCAGCAATTCAGTCATATCCTCAGGCCCTACTTCTAACTCCAGTTCTGTTTCTCTTTCCACCACATCTGAGGTTACTTCCTCCACAGAAGTCTTGAATCCCTCAAAGTCACCCATGAGGATTGAAATCAACTTCTTTCAAACTTCTGGTAATGTTGATATTTTGACTTCCTCTTATGAATCATGAATGTTTTTTAAATGGAATCTACAATAGTGAACCCTTTCCAGATGGTTTTCAATTTACTTTTCCCAAATCCATCAGAAGAAACACTATCTATTGCAGTGATAGCCTTACCAAATGCATTTTTAAAATAATAAAGCTTGAAAGTAAAAAATTACTCTTTGATCCAATGACTGCAGAATAGATATTGTGTTAGCAGGCATGAAAACAACATTAATTTCCTTGTATGTCTCCATCAGAGCTCTTGGGTGACCAGGTGCATTGCCAATGAGTAGTAATATTTTGAAAGGAATCATTTATTCTGTGAGCAGAAGGTCTCAATGGTGGACTTAAAGTATCTAGTACACCATGCTGTCAACAGATGCATTGCCATCCAGGCTTTATTGTTCCATTTATGGAGAACAGACAGAGGAGATTTAGCATAATTCTCATGGGCCCTAGGATTTTTGAAATGGTAAATGAGCATTGGCTTCCACTTCAAGTCACCAGCTGGATTAGCCCCTAACAAGAGAGTCAGCTTGTCTTTGGGAGATTTGAAGCCAGGCCTTGACTTCTCCTCTCTAACTAGGAAAGTCCTAGATGGCATCTTCTTCTGATAATTTGTTTTGTCTACATTGAACATCTGTTTAGTGTAGCTACCTTGATAAATTATCTTACCTAGATTTTCTGAATAACTTGCTGTGGCTTCTGTATTGGCACCTGCTGCTTCGCCTTGCACTTCTATGGTATGAAGATGGCTTCTTTCCTTTAACCCTATAAACCAACCTCTGCTAGCTTCCAACTATTCTTCTGTAGCTTCCTCATCTCTCTGTCTTCACAGAATTAGAGAGTTAGGGTCTTACTCTGGATTAGGCTTCTGGCTTGAAGAAATGTGAAACTCTGTTAACAATTAAAGTCTAAAACTTTCTCTTCATCGCCAATAAGGCTGTTTGGCTTTCTCATCATTTGTGTATTCACTGGCATAGTACTTTTAATTTCCTTCAATAAATTTTCCTTTGCATTCACAACTTGGCTGACTGTTTGGCACAAGAGGTCTAGCTTTTGACTCAGCCCTTCCTCACTAAGGAAGTCCTATGAATTCTCAATGCTTCTGCCCTTTAGTAAAAAATCTGGAGCCAATCAAGTTTGCCAAATGATGAGGGGTAAGAATTTATTTGGATGGCCCTTCTTTCTCTTCTACATTATCCTCTTAGACAAGGCACACTTGAAGCAAGGATTCCCAAGCTTGGCTTTTCACATGCTTTCCTCACTAGGCTGAATAATTTATAGCTTTTGACTTAAAGAGAGAAGTGTGATTCTTCCTTTCACTTGCACACTTAGAGGCCATTGAAGGGTTAGTAATCAGCCTCATTTCAATATCGTTTAGATTCAGGGAATGGGGAGGCCCAAAGAGAGGGAGAGAGATGGGTGCATGGCCCATTGGTGGGACTGTCAGAACACACACAACGTTTATTGATTAAGTCGCCATCTTATATGAAGCGATTTGTTGTGCCCCAAACAATTACAATACTAACATCAAAGATCACTGGTCACAGATCACTGTAACCGATATAATAATTAAAATGTTTGAAATATTGTAACAATTACCAAAATGTGACACACAGACAGCAAGTGAGTGCATGCTGTTGGAAAAATGGCACCAATGGACTTGTTCAACCCATAGTAGCACAAACCTTCAGTTTGTAAAAAACAAAACATTATCTGCAGAGATAATGTAGTAAATAGCAATAAAATGAGGCATTCCTATAATCTTATGAGATGATTAATCAGAAAGAGCCCTGGGATGAATACATTTGAAAAATGCTGATCTAGCTCTTCTCTCTTGTGGAAATCAATTGCAGCATTTTGGTAGGGGTGCTGGGGGCAGAATCGGATGACCTTTGCTATTTTGCTGGGTCTTCCCTGGGCCTAAGAAGGTTAACTTTAGAGGATGGTGGTAGAACTCTTTCTGGGACTTGACCTGCAAGGCAGCTTCCTAGAGGACTTGCTAAAGTCTGTGAAGTAAGTGCTATGTTCCCATCCATGTGCCTAGAAGCCATCACCTGGTGGTTTATCTTGGTTCCAAGCAGAGAAAAGTAGAGGTTTAAAATGGAACAGTGTGGGCAGCACATGCACATATAGACAAACTTATGCGCAGATGTAAATGCATCTTTTCTTTGGGATGCAAAACACTGAAATAGTCTATAAGCTTTTTATTATGGGGGAAGCTGAGTTAAATTGTTAAAAAACCTAACCAAATTTGAACTGCTCTTCCATCAAAATCATATGTATATTTCATCAGATGTGTACTCTTCAACAAGACTGGAATGTATTTTGTTACTTCCTCTGGAAAGCAATTATTACCACACCTTTATAATAGGCTATCTCCAACAACCCCTTTGTCACATTAATTCATCCCACAGCCTGTGATCAAGTAAAATAAAACATTTGGTTACAAAGCAGAGTTGTTACTTTTTTTTCAAAGTAATGTACAGCATAAATAAATGACAGGTTTGCAGATGTAGGTGATGCTGATAAATTCTTGGGCTTGGAAAATGTACCTTCTCATGTGGTTGGAGGCAATCTAAACTAAACCTCTGCAGAGACTCCAAATCATATATAGACCCACTCATTTCTCCTAATAGCCAAGGTACAGGTTGTTGCCAGAAATTTGGGCTCCTACGTAATAAGCATCTTTACTTCTTAATTTTAGCATGAGATAGTTGCAACTGTCAAGACACACTTTTGTAAAAATTCTAAGCTCCATGGGAATCCAGATGCCACTGTGAGAATGACAACAGCCAGCCCTGATATTGTCCCCCCACAGCCAAACAAGTAGATTTTTCTGATGTAAAGTTTCATAGAAAGACAGAGTGCTACAATCAAGACAATCTAGCATGTGGTACACATTATAATAGTGGGAAAGGGACCAGTTTGGGCTAGAGAGAGAGGGGACCCAATACTTTCTGAGCCTTATCTAAGGGCCAGGCAGGCATTCAGGCACTTGGCATATATTAACTGCTTTAATTCTCAGGGTAATCCTGTGGGCCTGGTGTTATTATCACTGTAGGATGTCCATTAAATCTGGAAGTCCAGGTATAAGGGACATCCTATAGTGATCATATATATATATTTTTTTATATACATTATATATTTATATATAAATAAAATTTTTATTACATATATACATTATATACTTATACATAATTTTTTATTTTATTATATATTTATATATCTCTATTATATACATTATATAATTATATATCATATATTTATATATGATATAATTATATATCATATATTTATATATGATATAATTATATATCATATATTTATATATGATATAATTATATATCATATATTTATATATGATATAATATATATGTATATAATATATAAATATATATAAATATATAATATATATTTATATATATTTTATATATATACACATATTATATATGTGTATATTATATAATATATACACATATTATATATGTGTATATTATATAATATACACATATATCATATAATTATATATTATATAATATATATATTATATATGTATATATTATATATTATATAATGTATATATTATATATTATATAATGTATATATTATATCATATATAATATATTATATATATGTATATATTATATATGATATATAATATATAATATATATGTATATATTATATATGATATAATATATACATATTATATATGTATATATTATATATGATATAATATATACATATTATATATGTATATATTATATATGATATAATATATACATATTATATGTATATATTATATAATATATACATATATATGTATATATTATATATGTATATATTTATATACATATATAATATATGTATATATTATGTATATATTTATATACATATATTATATATAATATATATAATATATACGTATATAATATATAATACACTATATAATATATACGTATATAATATATATATTAGATATAATATATACGTATATAATATATAATACACTATATAATATATACGTATATAATACATATATACTATATAATATATACGTATATAATACATATATACCATATAATATATACGTATATAATACATGTATTATATACGTATATAATATATATGTATACAATATATACGTATATAATATATATGTATATATTATATAAATTATATATTATATATATGTATTATATAAATTATATATTTTTTCACACTTTGAAGACATCTTTAATGACTATACAGCCTTCTCTGTCTAAGCATATGTATATAATCAAGACAATCTAGCATGTGATATACATTATAATAGTGGGAAAGGGACCAGTTTCCCACTATATATGTATAGTCATGAAGGATGTATTCAAAATGTGAAATAATAAAAATATTTCCCCTCTATTTTCTAAGTTGATGGAACCCTGCATTTGTAGATGGGTAAGATGAAGTTCAGCCAGTAATATGGTCACTGGGAATTGGACCTCAACCTGTCTGATTTCAAAGACCAGGTTTTCTCACGGACACCTCGCAGCTATGACCAGGAGTTTGACTTGCTTTGCAGGGAGGGAGGGCTAGAAAGAGGTCAGAGGTTTGCAGGTGAAACCTGACCACAGCAGGAATCACTGCAGGCATATAGGCTGTTTGGGAATTGAGCTATCTGCAGAATCAGCAGGACTGGCCTTTTAGAGGAGGGTCAGCTGGGCCTCCAGGCACAAAGTGATGACCCTCTCAAGAAAAGTGAGCAGAATGAGTAAGTGGATGGCAAGTTGGACTTAAGAGTAAAGGTGAGAGGACGTGGGCTGCCTTCCACCCTGGAAAAAGAAAAAAAAAAAAAGGAGTTGCGGGGCTTACCCCAAATCCCTTTAGAGAGTGCTCTGATTGGAATAGAAAAACAAAATTTTAAGATCCCCTGCAAGCACCCAAAAAACTCCATTCAGATTTAGAACTCGTAATTCACCGGATGTTTGCTAGGTTGGACCTAGGGCATGAGCCTTAGCTATCATTTTCTGCTTGCAGTATCTTATTTTCCACAACTCTCTTAGTTTTGTGGTTTTCAAAATCCCTACCACTGCTTTTGTTTGGAAATTAGTGAAGAGAATCTGAAGGCTGTTCTCTCCTGGAGGCCTAGCTAGAATTCCAAATAAGCTGCTCCCTCCTTGAGGCTCAGGCGCAAGCCAGAGGCAAGTGCCAAACCAATAGCGCCTTGGGGCCTGGGCCCAGGAAGTTCTGTGCCATGCAAGAAGCCCTGCCTTTGTCAAGGAAAAGAAAAATGAGGGAGGCCCATTTGGCCTTTTTCTATCCTCATGTAAAGGAGGATTTTGTGCTTAGAGATGATAACTTATGATGTGCCAGATAAAGTGATCATTGGACAGAGCGGCTAAGCTCTCAGTTTTACATTGATGTTGAGGGAGATGTTACATACAGTATATAATTGTATAGTTAGTTCTCCAGTAGCCTGTTTATTGTCTTCTTCACTGAGCTCTAAAGACCATGAGGACAGGTTCTACATCTGCTTCGTTCATTGCTATCTGTACCCTCAGGTTCTAGCACTGAGTACATGAGAGATATTTAATGGGGACTCATGAATGAACGAGCATCAGGAATGGGTAGTTATGAGTTGTGCACTGAGCACAGGCCATGGGATAGCCCAGAGTCTGTCTCCATCACAGGATAGCCAAGGCAAGGTGGCTTTTAGATGTGTCACATGAATGAGAAAAGGAGGCAGCAAGTGTGGGAAGGAGTGCAGAAGAGAGGGAGATCACTGAGGCCTGGGATAGTCAGGGAAGGCTTGACAGCAAAGACAAGCTCAAAAATGCCCTCAAAGTTGGGTTAGGAGAGGCCACACCTGGGGCACCTGATAGCATGAGGAAAGGCAAGCTGAAGAAGATGAGAAAAGTACATGGTGGATGGAATATTACTCACCATGTAAAGAAATAAAATAATGTCTTTCACAGCAACTTGGATGGAACTGGTGGCCATTATTCTAAGTGAAGCAACTTAGGAATGGAAAAATGAGTATCGTATGTTCTCGCTTATAAGTGGGAGCCAAGCTATGAGGATGCAAAGGCATAAGAATGATAAAATGGACTCTGGGGACTCAGGGGGAAAGTTGGAAGTGGGGTGAGGGATAAAAGACTATATATTGGGTACAGTGTACATTGCTTGGGGATGAGTGCACTAAAATCTCAGAAATCACATGGAAGAACTTACCCATGTAACCAAAAACCGCCTGTACCCCCCAAGTTACTGAAATAAAAGTAAAAATTAATAGAAAAGTACATGGTGGGAATGAAAGATGACTGCCAAAGCACCCAGGTTTTTGACAAGTATCTTGGAGATGGTGGGAAGTTAATTGGGGATGGCCTGGCAAAAGTATTTTAAACATACACACTAATAGGCCAGGCACGGTGGCTCACATCTGTAATCCCAGAACTTTGGGAGGCTGAGGCGGGTGGATCACCTGAGGTCGGGAGTTTGAGACCAGCCTGACCAACATGGAGAAAACCTGTCTCTACTAAAAATACAAAATTAGCTGGGCATGGTGGCACATGTCTGTAATCCCAGCTACTCGGGAGCCTGAGGTAGGAGAATCACTTGAACTCGGGAGGCGGAGGTTGCGGTGAGCCAAGATCGTGCCATTGCACTCCAGCCTGGGCGATGAGCGAAACTGCATCTCAAAAAAAAAAAAAAAAAGATTTTGCATTAATTCCTGTTACTCATACATCAGGCCTGTGAGTTAGAAACTATTATTCCCATTTTCTAACAGAAGAAACTGAGACACAGAGAAGTTAGGTCAGTCAGTGTAGACTGTAGTTGACTCCAGATTCTTTGTCATTACTGTCACATAATCTGTCTCTTCACTCAGGTCTGGGCTTAATCTCAGTTTGGGGAGGACTATTTACCAACACCCCTCCTGATCTCCCAATCAAGCCTTCACGTAGGTGATGGTATTCTTTAATGTTTTCATCCTGACTACTGTCATATTTGACATTTGTTCATTGCTATATTCCCAGATAATCCTTAACAGAGTTGCTTTGGGGTCCTGGAATCAGATATTAGTTGGAGAGGCAGGAAGATTTTGGAGTCTGAAGGGCTTGGCTCCCAATCTCTACTGTACCCTTCACTAGCTGTGGGACTCGAGGGAGAGTTGTATAATCCATTTGGCAGCACTGTTGGGTGAGGGTATCCCCTTCAGTCCACAGAGGAGGGAACTGCTGCTCAGAAAGAGCAAATGAATGTGAAGCGCCCAGTCTAGGGCTCTGCATGTGGATTAGAGATGCTTAAAAAATGGCAGCTATTTCAGTGCATAGGTTTTAGCTAGTAAAGGAAGTTCAGTTTATCACATTGTACTCTCTTGTACAAATGTCCAAACTTTAGATGAATTGTCAAAAAAAGTAAAAGCAATACATCATGTTACTGTGTTGCTATTTTGACAGCCAGAGAGCTAAATGGGGAGTTTGAAAAGGCAGTGAAGAGCTCTGCGTGCCCGCAAAAGGCAGGGAAAGGGGGTGAATTGTGTGGCAGGAGTGAAGGACAGATATTCAGGGAAAAAAATGTTGCTGTGGTTACAGCCTAGAAAATAAAAACTCTGCATGCCAAACAGAAGTCGCTTAAAATTCAGTTGGAATTTATAAGCTGATGAAACAGGTGTTCTTGGAATTTAATTAAACACCAAAACATTGTTCAAGTCTGGTGAGGAGTTGCCAGCAAATGTGTTTCCGCTGCTCAGGGATGTTGGGGCTGGAATGTTCTGTGGCGTGAACTCTGGCTGTGAGCTAAGAGCATGTCGCTTGCACTCACACGATTGCTGTGTCCTGAGTGTGTCTCTTGCTTCAAGTGTGAAAATAGCTACAGGGACTAGGGTGAGGAGAGGGGAACACTCCCTTTAGGAGGGAAACTGGAGGGTGTGCCCAAGACTCAGTAATCAGGATAAATAGTATTTTAATGCACTATTTTAAAAACTCAACATAAAAACCCATGATAAACAAAAAATAAAATTTTGAATAAGCACAGGAATTGAATAGCACCCTGCCATCTCTGAAACCTAAATTCAGCCTTTATGTTCCAATGTTTAGATAAGAGAACACTGTCTGGGACTCTCCAACACGGTGGATTTTTGACAGTCATGATGGCTTCTAGAATGTTCCATGGTCTCCTGTCAAGGGAACTGTTTCTTCCCCCCTTTATCCCTCCTCTTCTCCCCTCCCTCTCAGTCAACAAACATTTATGAAGCACCTGCTGTGTGATGCTGTGCTCCTCTGTACCGAGGACTCTGAGATAAACAGGACACAGACCCTGCTTAGTGAGTAAGACTGACAGGTGAACTGATGATCACAAAGCCTCACTGTAGCAGCAGATGTGCTAACAGCTCTAGGGATTGTCCTTTTGCCTTTTTACGTCTTATTTCCTCAGCAAGGCTCCAATTCCTTTGTGACCAGCGAGGAGTCAGAATACTCAGTGTGATGCTTAACTTTACATGTGGACTTGCCTGGGCTAAGGGATATTCACATGGCTGGTAAAGCATTTTTTTTTTTGAGTGTCTGTGAAGATGTTTTCAAAAGACATTAGCATATGAATCAGTAGACTGCGTGAAGAAGGTCTGCCCTCAGCGCTGTGAGTGGGCATCATCCAATCCCTTGAGGGCTTGGACAGAACATAAAAGGTGAAGGCAAGGCAAATTCTCTCTCTCTCCCTCCTCCACTCCCTCACTTCCTTGAACTGGGTCATTAATCTCCTGTCCTGGGACATTGAAGCTCCTGGTTCTAGGGCGTTTGGACTCCTGGACTTAACACCTTTGGCTTCTGTGGTTCTCAACCCTTTGGACATGGACTGACGTACACCACGGGCTTTCCTGGTGCTCTAGCTTGCAGGTGGCAGATTGTGGGACTTCTTGGCCTCCATAATCTGTGAACCAATTCCTATAATAAATATATAATATAAATATATAAATATATCTTCTATTGCTTCTGTTCTCTGGAGAGCCCTGAGCAATGCCCTCAAGCACTGCATGATCGTGCTTAAGAGATCAGTGTGCAGCATCTAAAAGCCTAGTTTTGAATTCCACATTTGTGACTTACTGGTTATGTTAGATGCTTGGACTTCTTAAGCCTGGGTTTTCTCACCTTTGAAAAAGAGCTGTAATAGTCTCTACCTTGCAGATTCGCTGTGCAGATATAAAAGAGACGCACGGAGAGGGTTCAGCCCAGCATTTGGCTTGTGGTGAGTGTTCACAAGTGTTGGAATCATTCGAAAGGCATGAAGGGAGCAAAGGAGACACAGCCCATGTGAAACAGTACAAAGGGACAAGACCGCTGAAAGGCATCTTTCCTGAGGTTTCTGTAGCTAGAGGTGCTTTGGAGTGACTCATACGGCCCCTGATGACAGTCATAGATGAGGCAAAGTTTCATTTTTCCAGAGTCTCCCAGGATTAACTTATTGCATATCCTGATTTAATTGTCTGCCCTTGTCATGCTGTCTCCCAGTCATAGACATATGAGCAACAGGTATAATCATATTATTTTATTGTTAGACACTGATCATAGATAATGTACTTTGTTTATATTGGCTTTAGGAACTCAGAACATCAACTGGAGTAGACATTGTTGAGAACTTTATAAGCCATTTTCAGCTGATAGCCACCCCATGTATGTGAATGACACAGTCTGGCATTGCTGAATTCTGATTCGTTGAGGTTTCTAATAGGTCAGCTGATAGTGATGACCTGTAAGCTGTGATAATGGTTTTTGTAGTAACATGATGTTTCCCTTGCTTTGCATCTATAAAGTGTGTGTTTATTAAAAATCTTTTTTATCATATATGCATCCAGAAAAATGCACAAATTATAAATGTCTAGTTTGATGGATTTTACTAATTGAACATAGGAAACCAGCACTCAAATTTAAAAAATGGAACATCACTGTCTCAGAAGCTCCTCCTGCCCCTTCCTGACCCCCTTCCTGTCACTACTGCTTCCCTCCCCTATCCTGACTCCTAGAAGCATTAAGTTTACCTGCTTTTGTATTTTATGTAAATGAAATCATAAAATAAGTATTCTTTTGTGTTTGGCTGCTTTTGCTTAATTTATGATTGTGAAATTCATCCATGTTGCTATTATTGGTTGTAAAACTTTTACTCTTGGTGCTGTACAACATTTAATAGTGTTACTATCTCACTATTTATATATTCATTCTGCTATTGATTGATGTTTGGGCTATTAAAAATGGTGCTGTTGACAGACATATAGAACAATGGAATAAAATAGGAAGCCCAAAAGTAAGTCCTCATGTATATGGTCAAACGATTTTTGACGAAGGTGCCAAGACCATTCAATGGATAAAGGGCAGCCTTTTCAACAAATGGTGTTGGAAAAACTTAGATGTCCACCTACAGAAGAATGAAGTTGGACCTTTACTTTAAATGGATAAAAGACCTAAATGTAAGAGTTAACACTATAAAACTTTTAGTAGAAAACAATAGGGGGAAACTTAATGGCACTGGATTTGGCAGTGATTTCTTGAATATGACATCAAAAGCACAGGTAACAAAGAAAAAATAGATTAATTGGACTTCATTAAAATTAAAAACTTTTGTGCATTAAAAGGCAAGATAATCAAATAGAACCTTCCAGCAATTATCCCCTGCAGGAACACCAAATTAAACAACTATACATGCAAGGGAGCACCTTCATAGGAACAAAAAATCAGGTGAGCAATCACAGTATCTGGTTTTAACATAGTAACAGGAAAGAGGGATTGAAGAAGGTACAAAGGGCAGTCTTGCATTGCCTACACCAATCCTTCCCAACCCCAGGTAGCTCAGAGACAGAATCTGTGTGCTTGATGGAGGGAGAACAAAGTGAATGAAAGACTTTGCCTTGGAACACAGTGCTGCCTTGTCACAGCAAAACAAAACACCAGGCAGAATCCACCAGTGCCCATGAAGGGAGCATATAGATGAGTCCTGGGATAGAGGGAAATGCTCTGCTCTAGTGGGGGGAAAGTGAGTCCTGCCCAGCTTCATCATTAGCTGACTAAAGTGACCTGGGGCCCTGAATAAATTTGAGTGGCAGTCAGGCCACAGTGGCTGTAGTCCATGGAAAAGCGCTTGTGCAGTCCTGGTCTCAGTGGCAGTGTGCTTGGGGTGTAACCCAGTGGGACACCAGCTGTTGTGGCCACAAGAGTGCCTGCATAAACTTTCCCCCAGTTCTAGGCAGTGCAGCTTGGGGAGATACTCCTTCCACTCGGGGGAAGGAGAGGGAAGAGTACAGAGGACTTTGTCTTACAACTTGGGTACAAGCTCAGCCACAGTAACATGAAGCACCAGGCAGATCCCTGAAGCTCTCAATTTTAGACCTTTACTCCTGGACAGTGTTTCTAGACCCACCCTAGACCAGAAGGGAATCTACTTCCTTGTTGGTATGAACCCAGTCCAGGCAGGATTTACCACTTGCTGACTCAAGTGGCCTAGGCCTTGAATAAACATCAACAGCCTGGCAGTAGCAGCCATAGGCTTTGGAGGAACTTTAGTACTGTGCTGGTCTGGAAGGCCCTCAGCTCCAGGTGTGACCCAGTTTGGTGCCAACTGTGGTGTCCATGAGATAATTATCCTTCAAACATGAAGGAGAAATAAAGACTTTCACAGACAAACAGAAGCTGAGAGACTTTGTCAAAACCAGACTTATATGAAATGCTAACATGAATTCTTCAATCTGAAAGAAAAGAACATCAATGAGCAACAAAAATTAACTGGTAAATATAAGTACACAGAGAAATACAGAATACGCTACCTCTATAATTGCAGAGTGTAAGCCACTCGTATCATTAGTAGAAAAACTGAAAGACAGTTCATCAAAAATAATCACTCCAACAATTTTTTTAAAGATAGACAATATGAAAACACATAGAGACAACATAAGGTCAAAAAGCAAAGGGGATGGAGTTAAAGTATAAAGTGTTTTAGTTTTCTCTTTGCTTGTATTTTTTTCTTTGTTATCAGAGCTAAGTTGTTATCAGTTTAAAATAATTGGTTATGAGATGTTACTTGTAAGCCTTATGGAAACCACAAAGAAAAACTTAAAATAGGTATATAAAAAATAAAAAGCAAGAAATTAAAACATACCACCAGAGAAAATAACTTTTACACAGAGGAAGACAGGAAGGAATTGAAGGAATTAAGAAGAGAGGATAAAGAAGACAACCAGAAAAGAAATAAGAACATTGCAGTAGTAAGTCCTTAACTACCAATAAGAACATTAAATGTGAATGGACTAAATTCTCCAGTCAAAAGACATAGTGCCTTAATGGATTAAAAAACAAAAACAAACAAAACCCACAAGACCCAACTATATGCTCCTGCAAGAAACTCACTTCATCTATAGATTCACATAGACTGAAAACAAGGAAATGGAAAAAGATACTTCATGCAAATGGAAACCAAAAAAGAGCAAGAGTAGCTATGCTTATATCAGAAAAAATAGATTTCAAAACAAAAGGAGATAAAGAAGGTCATTATATAAGGATAAAATGGTCAATTCAGCAAGAGGATAAAACAATTATAAATACATACTCACCTAATACTGGGGCACTCAGGTATATAAAGTAAATATTACTAGAGCTAAAGGGAAAGATGGACCCGAGTACAATAATAGCTGATGACTTCAACACCCCATTTCCAGCATTGGCTGGATTATGTAGAGAGAAAAGAAAGAAGCATTACACTTAATCTGCACCACAGAACCAATGAACCTGATAGAGATTTATAAAACATTTCATCCAATAGCTGCAGAATGCACATTCTTCTCCTTACCACATATGTTAAGCCACAAAACAAGTTTCAAAAGATTAAAAAAAAATTGAAATCATATCAAGTATCTTTTCTGATCGCAATGGCATAAAACTAGAAATAAATAATAAGAGGAACAGCATGGTACTGGCATAAAAACAGACATAAAGACTGATGGATGGAACAGAATAGAGAACCCAGAAACAAGTTGATGTATTTACAGTCCACTCATTTTTTGACAAAAGAACATATATTGAAGAAAGAATAGTATTTTCAATAAACTGTGCTGAGAAAACTGCACATTCTTCATATGTAGAAGAATGAAAATAGACCTGATTCCTCACCATAAGCAGTAATCAAATAAAAATGGATTAAAGACTTAAATGTAAGATAAGAAACTATTAAGCTACTAGAAGAAAGCATTGTAGAAACACTACAGGACATTGATGTGGGCAAAGATTTCTTGAGTAAGACCAAAAAGCACATGCAACCAAAGGCAAAATGGACAAAGGGGATCACATCAAGCTAAAAAGTTTCTCCACAGCAAAGGAAACAATCAACAAAGTGAAGACACAACCCACAGAATGAGAGCAAATATTTGCCAACTACCCATCTGACAAGGGATTAATAAGCAGAATATCTAAGGAGCTCAAACAATACGAAAAAAATAATTTAATTTAAAATGGGCAAAATATGGCTGGGTGTGGTGGCTCACACCTGTAATCCCAGCACTTTGGGAGGCCGAGGCAGATGGTTCACCTGAGGTCAGGAGTTCAAGACCAGCCTGGCCAACATGGTGAAACCCTGTCTCTACTAAAAATACAAAAATTAGCCGGGCGTGGTGGCGGGCGCCTGTAATCCCGGCTACTTGGGAGGCTGAGGCAGGGGAATCACTGGAACCTGGGAGGCAGAGGTTGCAGTGAGCCGAGAGCACCATTGCACTCCAGCCTGGGTGACAGAGCGAGACTCTGTCTCAAAATAAATAAATAAATTAATTAATTAAAAAAAGACAATAACAAATGTTGGTGAGGATTTGGAGAAAGGATAATCCTCATACTGTTAGTGGGAATGTAAATTGTTATAGCCACTATAGAGAACAGTATGGAGTTCCTTTAAAAAATTAAAATAGAGCTACCCCATAAGACCCAGCAATTTGAAATCTATTTTGTCTGATATAAGTATAGCTACTACTGCTGGCTTATACATTCAAAAGAAAAGAAGTCAATGTATTGAAGAGATATCTGCACTCCCATGTTTATTGCAGCACTATTCACAATAGCCAAGATATGGAATCAACTTAAGTGTCCATCAATAGACTAGTGAAAAAATAAAATGTGGTACTAATACACAATGTAATATTATCACATCATAAAAAGTATGAAATTTTATTATTTGCAACAACATGGATGGAACTAGAGGACGTTATGTAAAATGAAATAAACCAGACACAGAAAGAGAAATATTGTATGTTCTCACTCATATGTGGAGGCTAAAAAAATAGAATTCATGGAGATAGAGAGTAGAATGATGCTTACCAGAGAGTGGAAAGGGTGGTGGGGAGGGGAGATAGAGAGGGAATGGTTAATGGATACAAAAATTCAGTTAAAGTAGAAGGAATAAGATCTAGTGTTTGCTAACACAATAAGGTGAGTATAGTTAATAATTTATTGTATATTTCAAAATAACTAAAATAATGAATTAGAATGTTTCTAACCCAAAGAGATGATAAATGCTTGAAGTGATGGATATTCCAATTATCCTGATTTGATAATTCTATATTGTATGCTCCAATATATCACAATACCCCATAAATATACATAACTATTATATATCCATATAATTAAATATATATATATTTTTAAATGACATTATTAGAGTGAAAAGACAATACATGGTGTGATTGAAGGATGCAATATTGATCCTGGGTGTGTCTGTGAGGGTGCTGCAAAAGGAAATTAACGTTTGAGTCAATGGGCTGGAGAAGGCAGATCCACCCTTAATCGGGTGGGCACCATTTAATCAGTCACCACCAAATATAAAGCAGGCAGAAAAATGTGAAAAGGAGAGACAGGACTAACCTCCCAGCCTACATCTTTCTCCCGTGCTGGACGTTTCCTGTCCTTGAACAATGGACTCCACGTCCTTCAGTTTTGGGACTGGGGCTGGCTCTGCTTGCCCTCAGCGTGTAGACAGCCTATTGTGGGACCTTGTGATCATGTAAGTTAATACTGAATAAACTCCCCTTTATATCTATCTATCCTATTAGTTCTGTCCCTCTAAGAGAACCCTGACTAATATACATGAAATGAGAGAACATATTAGCAAATTATGTATCTGATAAGGGATTAATATCCAGAATAGATAAGTAACTCTTAGAAGTCAACAACATCTGCAAAAAGCAACCTGATTAAAAAATGGGCAAAGGACTTGAATAGATATTTCTCCAAAGAAGATATACAAATGGCCCATGAGCATATGAAAGATGTTCAACATCACTAATCATTAGGGAAATGCAAATAAAACCCACAGTGAGATACCACCTCACACCTTGGGATGGCTATTAAAAAAAAAACGAAAACAAAAACAAAAAACAGCAACAAGTGTTGGCCAGGATATGAAAAAATTGAAACCCTGTGCTTTGCTGGTGTGAATGGAAAATGGTGCAGCCTCTATGAAAAACTGTATGGAGATTCCTCAGAAATTAAAAACAGAATCACTATATGATCCAGCAATTCCACTTCTGGGTATAAACCCCAGAGGATTGAAAGCAGAGATTTTTGGGGTACAGAAATATTTGTACAAATATTTGTGCACTCATTTTTCATAGCAGCATTATTCACAATAGCTAGAAGGGAGAAGTCACCCAAGTGTCCACCAATGAATGAATGGACCAACAAAATGTATATACAGGCAATGGAATATTCAGCTTTAAAAAGAAATTCTGACACATGCTATGACATGGATGAACCTTGAAGACATTATGCTAAGTGAAAGAAGCCAGTCACAAAAGGACACATACTATATGATTCTACTTATATGAGATACATAAGGTATCTCAAATTCATAGAAAACAAAAGTAGAATGATGGTTGCCAGAGGCTGGGGATATAGAGGGTTTGGGTGTTATTGTTTAATGGGTATAGTGTTTCAGTTTGGAAAGATGACAAAAATTCTAAAGATGAATTTTGGTGATGGTTGCTTAATAATGTGTTTAATGCCACCAAACTATGCTTAAAAATAGTTAAGATAGTAATTTTTGTTATGTATACCATGATTAAAAAAATAATAATGGTGCTATTATAAGTGTTCTTCTAATACATATCCTTTGATAAACACATCTATATTTTTGTTTGAATTATTGGGACATAATCTATGCATATGTTTGGCTTTAGTTGATAGTGCCATTATTTTTCCAAAGTGATTGTAGTAACTCACAGCCCCAGCTCTGCAACAGCATGTGATAGTTTCTCATGTTCCACATCCCAACCAACACTTGATAATATCTTTTTCACATAGACCATTCTGATGATGTGTATTATTATCTCATAGATTTAATTTGTATTTCCTGGATGACTAATGAAATTGAGCCCTATTGTTCTCTTTTGTGAACAATCTATTTAAATCTTTGCTACTCTTTCTATTGGCTTGTCTTTTTCTTATAGAGTGAATTATTGTTTTCATTTGCCTTAGGTAAATGTCTGATTATATCTGATGTGATGGATTCTGAAAATAAAAGGCTCTTATCCATCTAAATGTAGACATTTTCATTGTACAGTTTATAAAAATTAAATTTATAGGAGTGTAGCTAGGTTTTCCAGTATCTCTTTGTTAGTATTTGTGTGTGTGTGTGTGTGTGTGTGTGTGTGTGTGTCTGTGTGTGGTCTACCGTAGCTGGAGACTGTCAGCAGATGCCCTAAGATACCACTTTCTTGATGGCTAGTTCTGGTTAGTGTGCCAACCCCAGATACCCAGGACAGACTCAGCATAAGACCAGTTTCAGCAGGTCTGACCAAGAGTCAGTTACAGAATTGTATAGACTGTATTACCTGAACACCCAGTCAGTTGTGTTAGGTCTGCTTTGATTGTGCACAGCAAATGTTTAGCTTTCACAGGCTTCAGTAGGTCTGCAAAATATCTAAAGTTATATACAGAGTGGTATTTTGGGAGTCTGTATTTTTTGGAAGGAGAGCATCCAAGGCTTTCACTGTATTCTCAAAGAGGGTAAGGGGGGCGGTCTGTAGCCTCTAAAGAGTGAGCATCCTTAGTTCAACATGACGCCAGTCTTCTTGGCTGATCCTCAGTTAACTTCTGTTGCCTATTTCCTGTCCTGCCTGTCTATATTTGAGGTAAGGCACAGCAAGTTTAATATTAACCTAGTTTCCCTTAGAGTAAGAAGGATAAGTAGAAGTTATGATAGGCTGAATAATGTCCCAGAAAGCTATCCAGGTCCTAATCCTTAGATCACATGAATGTTACTTTATTTGGCAAAAGGAACTTTGCAGATGTAATTAAGTTCAGGATTTTGAGATGGGGAGATTCAAGTGGACCCGAAGTGTAATCACAAGTATCTCTAGAAGGAGGAGGAAGAGGGCCGGGCGCCGTGGCTCACGCCTGTAATCCCAGCACTTTGGGAGGCTGAGGTGGGCAGATTCCCTGGGCTCGGGAGTTTGAGACCAGCCTGGGCAACACGGTGAAACTCTGTCTCCACTAAAATACAAAAAATTAGCCAGGCATGGCGGCATGCGCCTGTAATCCCAGCTACTACTCGGGAGGCTGAGGCAGGAGAATCGCTTGAACCCGGGCGGCGGATGTTGCAGTGAGCCGAGACCGCACCACTGCACTCCAGCCAGGGCGACAAAGCGAGACTGTCTCAAAAAAGAAAAAAAAAAAAAAGACTTGACTACAGAAGAATGAAATGTGACAATGGAAATAAGCTGTGACACTCCTGGCTTTGAAGATGGAGGAAGGAGCCATGCACAAAGGAACGTAGGCGGCCTCAAAAAGACGGAAAAAGAAAGAAAATAGATCCTCCTCTGGAGACTCCATAAGGAACTAACGCTGTCGACACCTTGACTTTAGCCCAGTGAAACTGATTCCAGACTTTTGACTTACAGGATTGGGAAAGAATAGGTTTACATTGTTTAAAACACTAAGCTTATGGTAATATGTTGCAGCAGCAGTAAGTGGATTTTTGAATTATCCATCCGTGGGGATTCAGGGAAGCCAGGTCTGCTGGTGAATGGGCTGTGTTTAAGACCAATTTTGAAAAGAGTGTGAAATATGTCACTAGGATGTGGGTCTTTGTTTTACGGAAAGGCTAAACTAAGCTCTGAGAGGCATTTTGTGGTAGCACTATGCCTCAGTGCTCTCCCAGGAACAGATGTGCCACGGAGCATAGGCTCTTCTCAGGGATTTGGAGACCCGGACTCTTCTCCTGGCTGCGTAACCTTGGGAATTTCAGTCATCTCTGGGTTGACGGTTTCCTCTTTTATAAAAAGAAGTCCCTCTTGAGGGTTGGATGACCAGGAGGCATGTCATGTAGGATCTCTCTTCCTCGCTCAGAAGTGTTCTGTTAATGGTCAGGCACAGTGGCTCACGCCTGTAATCTCAGCACTTCGGGAGGCCAAGGCGGTGGATCACCTGGGTCAGGAGTTCGAGATCAGCCTGATTAATATGGTGAAACCTTGTCTCTACTAAATACAAAAAAATTAGCCAGGCGTGGTGGCACATGCCTATAATCCCAGCTACTTGGGAGGCTGAGGCAGGAGAATCACTTGAACCCGGGAGGCAGAGGTTGCAGCGAGCCAAGATAGTGCCATTGCACTACAGCCTGGACAACAAGAGCAAACTCTGTCTTAAAAAACAAACAAACAAAAAGTTCTGTTGAGGCCGGGCGCGGGTGGCTCACGCCTGTAATCCCAGCACTTTGGGAGGCTGAGGCGGGCGGATCATGAGGTCAGGAGATCGAGACCATCCTGGCTAACACGGTGAAACCCGGTCTCTACTAAAAATACAAAAAATTAGCTGGGTAGGTGGCAGGCGCCTGTAGTCCCAGCTACTCAGGAGGCTGAGGCAGGAGAATGGCGTGAACCTGGGAGGCGGAGCTTGCAGTGAGCCGAGATTGCTCCACTGCACTCCAGCCTGGGCGACAGAGCGAGACTCTGTCTCAAAAAAAAAAAAAAAAAAAAAAAAAAGTTATGTTGATAATGCTTCCTTTGTAACTCTGGAATCTATTAATATCTGCATCCATGGCCATTACCCAAGAAGTCACTTTTACTTTCCACTTATTCTATTACACTATTTTCTAGTTATTTTCTGCCTCCACCTTTGTCCCAATTTGATTCATTATCTACATGGCAGCCACACTGACATTTTAAAACACAGTTCTAATCAAGCATCCCCAAGCACAATCCCTTCTTTAGCTTCCCATGCTCTGAGGATAAGATCCCATCCTGTTTGTTGGTTTTCTGTCCTTTGCAGGGACATGGATAAAGCATGGATCATTCTCAGCAAACTAACACAGGAACAGAAAACCAAACACTGCATGTTCTCACTTATAAGTGGGAGTTGAACAATGAGAACATATGGACACAGGGAGGGAACATCACACACCCAGGCCTGTCGGGGGGTTGGGGGCAAGGGCAGGGATAGCATTAGGAGAAATACCTAATGTAGATGATGGATTGATGGGTGCAGCAAACCACCATGGCACATATATACCTATGTAACAAACCTGCATGTCCTGCACATGTATCCCAAAGCTTAAAGTACAATAAAAAAACAAAGCCGGGTGTAGTGGCTCACACCTGTAATCCCAGCACTTTTTGGGAGGCCAAGGCGGGCGGATCATGAGGTCAGGAGATTGAGATCATCCTGGCCACCATGGTGAAACCCCATCTCTACTAAAAATACAAAAAATAGTCGGGTGTGGTGGTGCACACCTGTAGTCCCAGCTACTGGGGAGGCTGAGGGAGGAGAATCGCTTAAACCCAGGAGGCGGAGGTTGCAGTGAGCTGAGATTGCGCTACTGCACTCCAGTCTGGGTGACAGAGTGAGACTCCGTCTCAAAATAATTAATTAATTAATTAATTAAAAAATTCCATCTTGCTTGGCCCTCCACAGTCTGGCCCCGCTGCCTGCCAGTGTCCCCTCAGGCTGGTCTGCCTGCTCAGCTGGCCTCTCACCACTGCCTCCTGCCTCATGGCTTTGACCCCAGTGGGCTTCTCTTTGTAGAAGTCTCTGTAAGCCACTGTTGTTAGTTCCTATTCTTCTTTTGGATCTTAGCTTACATGTCACTTCCTAGTAAATAGGTTACTTCCCAAATTAGGTCAGGATCCGTATTACAACTCTCGTACCCCCCTGTACTTTTTAAACTGTGGTATTCCAGATTGTAGTTCTGTGTTTGTGCTATTATTTGATCAAGACTTTCCACTTCTTTCAAACTGCGCAACTTCATGAGCATAGGAACTCTGTCTGCTAGGAACTGGAATCAAACACAAATCAAACACAGAGTAGATGCTCAATATACATTGGATGGATGAATTGATGCATTAAGCTGAATGACTGGGTTCATTCTCTTCTGTCACTGCCTCCTTTCCCACACTGGCTCCTTCCTGCCAGCCAGAGATCCTGACCTTAGCTTGGTGACATAAGAAGATGAGACGCAGCAGCAACACCTAGAATCTCACTCTTCCCCTTAGCAGCAGCCACAGTCAACTCTTCAAATCCATCAACAAGTGGCCTTCTCTCCTCCACTGTGCCTGTCAAGGTTGGGATGAAGGTCTCTCAGGACCTGGCTTTGAAACTGACTTCATCTTTCCTTAAGCAAAGTCTCTGAGCTTAAAATCCCTCCTCTGGGCCAGGTGTGGTGGCTTACGCTTGTAATCCCAGCACTTTGGGAGGCTGAGGCGGGTGGATCACTTGAGGTCAGGAGTTCGAGACCAGCCTGGCCAACATGGTGAAACCCTGTCTCTACTAAAAATACAAAAATTAGCCAGGCATGGTGGCATAATCCCAGATACTTGGGAGGGAGGCTGAGGCAGGAGAATTGCTTGAACCCGGGAGGTAGAGGTTGCAGTGAGCTGAGATTGTGCCACTGCACTCCAGCCTGGGTGACAGTGAGACCCCCCTCTCAAAAAAAAAAGGAAAAAATTCCGCCGCTGTAAAATGGTGATAGCATCTTCTTGTTCTCATGAGATAGTGACAGGGAGTAGATGAGAAGGGTGACTATAGTGACTATATGTTGTATACCTTATAAAATGCTGTTCCCTGGAAAGGGGTCCTTTAGCAGAGATCTGTGTTAAGAGGGAAGCAAAACCAGAAACTCTGGTCCAGAGAAAGAAATACTTCATCTTTGCTCTGTTCATCCTGGTGACCATTTGAAGGCATCTCCTCCTCTTCTCCTTCTGTTCTATCCTACCTGCCATCAGGGGTCAGCTGGATGGCTCCCTCCTCCTGGAAGCCTTCTGTGACTCCTGCCTTAGCTCACAGAGATTGTTCCCTCCACCCCACTCCCACCCCCCAGCTTGGTGGTAAGGCTACTAAAGATTGATTAGGAGCCACATTTAAATGTGGCTCCTAATCAATCTTTAGTAGCCTTACCACCAAGTCTTTTCTCCCTAGCTTCAGCAAAAGCAGCTTTCTGGTTCAATGGCTGCCCTGGACTTCTCTTCCTAGAGGCCAGATACCTCAACTCCACCTCCTTGGCTATTTTCCCGGTGGCTTCTAAGTGACTGGATGTCAGTCTATAACCCCAGGCCCAAGGTCTGCATTTTTGCTCCTGCATTCCAGAGTCGCTTTGACTGAGTCCTCCATTCTAGAAGTTGGACGTCCCCCAGGGAATTGACATTTAGGTTTGGGCTTTGGTTCCCGTGAGTTGATAGCAGCATAGCCCTGAAGTTAAGAGCAGGAACTTAAGACTCAAACTTGTTCTAGGTTCAAATTCCACTTCCCACTTATTATTTTGTGGCCTCAGGAAACTACTTGATCTTCAGTTTCAGGTTTCTCATGTGGAGATAATAAAGGTGTTTAAATACTTTTATGATGTAATTTAAATGTATGATATAATAAAAATGGAGACAAAGTATACAACAGCATTTTTTTTGCAGAAGGAATAGTCCATTTCAAACTTTTAGCCCTTAATAAATGATCATCCTCACCTTATCAGGGATACAGCTTTTGTGTTTCTGCTGTTGTTTTTTTTTTTTTGTTTTTGTTTTGTGGAGATGGGGACTCTTTCTGCCCTAAGTGAAAAGTGCTCAATGCCCTCCCAACCCCATCTGGTCTCCTTGGCTGGACTAGCTTTAGTCTGAGAGGTAGGCAGTTACAGGATCACAGCAGTGTGGCGTCTTGTCACTGGCTTACCCAGGAGGGCCTTCCGGGGTCCTCTTCCTCACCTGACAGAGGCCAGGTTTGCCCCACAGCTGTGCATGTCTGTGAATGGTCCATTCAGGCATGCAAAAGGCTGGTGGTCCTTGAGGTGATCTACCCCTTATGCCAAGCCAGTGGAAAAGCCTTCCCAGCAAGCTCGACTTTGTCTTTCAGAGCAGTGCTCACCAACCATCACCTTAATTAGACGCCTTATTGTCTCCTATTCTGAGGATGGAGAAAAGCCATAGGTGTCGCCAGGTGAGCTCCACCAGGAACAGAGGCATGAATCCCTAGACAAAGCAGAGAAAGCCAGTCAGCCTGTTGAGGGGAAACAGAGACAGGGAGATAGGGACTGCCTCTGAGGTCGTAAGCCTGGCAAATGACTCTCAGGAAACTCATGATTTCATTTAGAAAATATGCCAAGTGTTCCTAAGACAGAAAAATCTGTTAGATTTATTTCCTCTGCAATGAAGGCAAGCTTATCCCAGCTCCCCCTCCTGCTACTCACCCCCATGTTTGTTGCTGCCAAAGTACTTGGAAAAGCAGAAAAGTGAGTTCTGCAGGTTGCAGCTCTGCTACAGGGGACTGTGAAGACAGGAGGCTCAGTGGGCTAGCAGTCACCCAGCTGGGCAGAGGGGACAGCCTTCTGCAGAATGGCTCCAGAGGGTCCTGCCTGCTCAGTCACTGCCCCTCCCAGCAGCCCTGGCAGTGAGACAGACAGAGACAGTTTCCTTAGTCTCATTTTGCAGATGACTTTTTATTCCTTACCTTTTGTTCTTACTGGATTATTTTAAAGAAAATTCTGGATATTGTGTTGTATCACTCACAAATAATTTAATTTGTATCTCTAGCAAAGATTTAACAAATATAACTCCCATGCCATTATTAGGAATTGCTTCATGTCCTCTGTCTATGTTCATATCCCTGATTTATTAAAGAATTTTTTTTTGGTTGATACTGTAAGAAAATATAAAACTGACAAAAAGTTGCAAGAATCTCTCATATATACCTTGCCTAAATTCACCAAATGCTTACGTTTTGCTGTATTTGATTTATTATTTATATAAACATTTTTCCTAAGTGACAAGAAGTACATTGGAGATATCATATCCCATTCCTTGTAAACATTTCAGCGTATATTTCCTGAAGGTAAAGACATTCTCTTGTATAACACAGTATAATTATCAAGAACAAGAAACTCTGCACTCCTACTATTTATCCTCGTCCACATTCAAAATTTGGCAGTTTCCCCAAAAATTATTTTTAGAATTACGTATTTTCCCTAGTCCAGATGCAGTGCAGGATCATACTTTTGGATGTCATGTCTCTTTAGTCTTTTTTTGTAGGGAACATCTCCTTTGCCCTTGTATTTCTTGACCTTTTCATTTTTTCAAAGGTACAGGCCAGCTGTTGTGTAGAATGTTTCATGATTTGAGTTTGTCTGAAGTTTCCTTATGGTTAGATTTCAGTTATGTCTTTTTGACAGAAGCACCAAAGACATGATACTGTGTTGTTCTCCATGCATACTATTGGAAGGCGATATTGGTCATGTTGACTTTGATCATTTGGCTATGGTTGTGTCTCCGGGTTTCTTCATTGTATAGTTAATTATAAGTAATTAGTGGGGAGCTTGGGAGACTATGTAAATATCCTACTTGTCATCAAACTTTTACTGACAAGTTTTAAGCATCCGTTGTGATTTTCTAAGTTTATTGTCTAATTTATTATTTGGCATTCTATACACATGGGTCTTCCGCCATTTATTTAGTCATTGATTTATTTATATCAGTATGGACTTGCAGATTATTATTTTACTTAATGTATGATAATCAATTATTTATTTTTGATGCTTAAATTTTCCCAAATTTGGCCAGTGGGAATCCTTCCAGCCAGCTCCTGTGTCCTTTTCTTATGTCCCGGTTGTTCTTTAAGCACTTCCTTAATTTCCGGATCAACAAGGTGCTCCAGGATCTCCTAGGTTTTCATTGTTCCAGCTCTGGAATTAGCGTTTTCAGAGTTCTTATTCTTTTCAGAGAATAATAGTACTTAGAATCCAAAATCTGGGTGCCAGTGTGCTCATTGCTATTGTTATATCATGGCTTCTAGGCTGTCGCAGTGGACAGAGCTAGAAAATACATGTGCACATGCATTTACTTTTATAAAACTGTAAATTATTAAAAGCTATAAATTAATTAAAACTATACATTAATACTGATGCCTCCCATCCTAATCCAATGCATTCTAGTTGCTCCCTTTCCGTGTTTGATATCTCCATACTGTAATACTGAGAAACCTGGCCCCTGTGATCCTCAATGTATTTACTTATTTGCTCAAGCCTAGAAAACACAGACAGTGGTTTTAGAATTGTTAATCCATATCACTGTGAAAAGAAAATGTATTGACTAGAGTTTAGTATTTGTTTATGTTCTTTTTTTAAAGGTAAAAAATTGATCGAGAGTGACATGTACAAATCCTGAGTACCTTTCAATGAGTTTTGACAAATACATGCACTCTTGTAATTCACGTCCTTCTCAAGATAAGAGAACATTACCATCACCTTAGAAAATCCTCTTATACCCTTTCCCAGTTTTAACTACCCTTCTAGAGCTAATCACTTATTTTTTTCACCATAGATTACTTTTACTTATTCTAGAACTTCATGTAAACGGAATCATACAATATTCTTTTGTGTTTGGATTCTTTTAGTTATGATATCTGTTAGTCCATCCATGTTGTGTATCTAGTAACTCATTCCTTTTTATTAAGAACTAGTATTCCATTGTATGAATATACTACAATTTGTTTATCAATTCTCCTGTTGATGGACATTAATCCTACCCCTCCAGCCCCCTGTTTTTGGCTGTTATGAATAAAAATACTATAAACTTTCTTGTACATGTCTTTTTGTGGACATACTTTTATTTCTCTTGAATACAAACTAGTGGGTAAAATTTCTATGTCATAGGGTAGGTGAATATTTAGCTTTTACTTTGTCAGCTAAGAGACTGATAAACTTAGGCTTTCTTTTCCCAGATGGTTTTGCAACTGTATAGGATCTAAACAAGGTCTACATATTACATTTGGTTTTTATGTGTTGATAAGTTTCCTTCCCCATTCTAAACATTTATCTATTTTTGTTTATGTTATTTTAAATTGACAAATCATACTTAAATGACATTTATGGAATGCTATGTGATGTTTTGATATATGTATACAATGTGGAGTGATTAAATCAAGCTAATTAACATATTCATCACCTCACTTACTTGACATTTGTTGTGCTGATAGATTTGAAATTTACCCTTTTAGTTATTTTTAAATATACATTAGTATTGACTATAATGACCCTGCTGTGCACTAGATCTCAAAACTTATTTTTCCCATCTAGTTGAAACTTTGTACCCTTTGGTGAATATTTCCTCATTCCCTCACTTTCCCTACCCCAAGCCTCTGACAACCATCATTCTACACTGTACTTCTATGAATTCAACTTTTTAAAGATTCTGCATATAATGGAGATCATGTGACATTTGTTTTTCTGTGCCTGGCTTATTTCACTTAGCACAAGTTCCTCTAGATTCATCCACATTCTCCCAAGTGACAGGATTTTACTCCTTTGCAAAGCTGGATAGTATTCCATTGTGTATTCACACCACATTGCAGGTTGTTGAAAAAATGCTCGGCATCACTAATCATTGGAGAAATGCAAATTAAAACCTCCTGTGAGAATGACTTTTATAAAAAAGTTGAGCTATAACAAGTGTTGGCAAGGATATGGATAAAGGGAACCCTTGGACATTGTTGGAAGGAACGTAAATTAGTACAGCCACTGTGGAAAATGGTCTGAAAATAACTAAAAAAACTAAACATGTGACTACCGTATGATTCCCTTTTCATGCCATTTTATTTGTTGAAATACTAGAACATTTAGCTTGTAGAACATTCTAGATGTGACTGATCACTATTTCATTATGCCATTTAGCTTCTTATTCTATTCCTTGTATTTCATGTTATCTTACTGCTATACCTAGAGACTGAGAAGATTCTGGTTCATTTTTTTTTTTTTAAACAGGAACACTTCAGAGGTTCATAGTGGAGTTATGTGTTTGGTATTGTAATACATTGTGAGGCATATAACGTGTGGTTCTTCCACTTTTAGTGTTGTAAAGATGGAGTTGAGTGTTTAAGTGGTGCTAGCTTGCTCTATCCGTTATAATGTTCCAATTTCATTAGTGGTTTTTAGCATTCATTCATTGTTATTGCCTAAATCTATTATTTTATTTGTGTTACCAAAAGGTGATATTCTAATTCCATCGCTCCTCTTGCCTTTATTACCTAGGATTTTTCTGTAAAGAAGAACTTGTTCTCAACATTTTCATTACTCTGAATAAAATCTATAAAGGAAAGTCAGAATAAATGTTTGATTTTTGCACATTATCAAATTTTGGGGTAATAAGTTGGTGCCTTAGCAACCTCCAGTGGTGATGAATGAGATTAGTTTTTTGTATCATGATTAACTCATAAATTTTATATATTTGATATATTTCAATCCATTGCAGTCATCATTTTTTCTCACATTATGTCATCTTAGGGCATTATGTACCTTTGGCTTGGCTCCTGAGTGTTTTTAACATGGCCCTGTTTGCCTCTGATGACTTCCTTGCTCTCTTGGCACACCACCAGAGCTCAGGCTCATGTTGTATATTTCCAGCTGCAGACTTGGACTCAGTCATTTCTACAAGAAATCCCAGTGTATTTTTGTGGACAGTGGTATTTACAGAGCGCAGACTGGGCATTTGGGTTGCTCATTGCTACTGGGTTGTCATTGTTACTAGGCCTCTTCAGTGATCTGAACTGGAAAATACATATTTTTAGAAACAGAAAAAATATGAGTAGATACTGATGTTTTCCATTCAAATGTACCTTTGCAGGGTCTTTCTTTAATTTGTCTGATTTATGCTCTTTTAAACTCAACATTTGGGTTCCTAGTGGCATCATTGTAATCATTTGCTATAAAACATGTGTAATAATTTAGCTGGGCACAGTGGCTCACGTCTGTAATCCCAGCACTTTGGGAGGCTGAGGTGGGCGGATCACGAGGTCAAGAGATCAAGTCCATCCTGGCCAACAGGGTGAAACCCCCATGTCTACTAAAAATACAAAAATTAGTCAGGCATTGTGGCACTCGCCTATAGTCCCAGCTACTGGGGAGGCTGAGGCAGGAGAATAGCTTGAACCTGGGAGGCAGAGGTTGCAGTGAGCTGAGATCGTGCCACTGCCCTCCAGCCTGGCGACAGAGCGAGACTCCATCTCAAAAACAAACAAACCAAACCAAACACACACACACAAAAAAACCATACATGTTATAATTTAAAAATAACTGTAGCCATATTACTACTTATGCAATTCCTCTGCTCCATGTTGTGTCAGTAATATTCATGTTGTGGTCAGGGTTGGCTCAAGACAGCTCATTCACATGCTGGTGCCTTGACAAGGATGGCTGGATATTTGGGCTCAGCTGGGATCTCCTCATTCTCCAACTAGCCTCAGGGCCTTTCTAGGTGGTTGCCTCTTTAGTGGGGTAGAAGGACTGCTTAAGTGGTGGTTCAGGCTTCTAAGAGAGTGAAGTAGAAGCTGCCAGTCCTTTAAAAGCTTAGGCTCTGGCTTTTAGAGCAATTTTAAAATAAGTTATACCCAGGAAAGATTTTCCTCAGTTATTTTTTAAAACTTTAAAATCTCTAATTCACTTGGGATTTATTCTAATGTATGTATTCCAATGTACGTTTATTCTAATGTACGGATTTTTTTTTCCATGTAGTCGTCTAATAGTCACGTCATCAATTATTAAACTCTGCCTTTTCTCATTTATTTGAGATACTTACTGTCTTCATCATACATTAAATTGCCCTGTCTGCTTAGGTCTATTTTTGGGTTTTCTCTTCTGGACCACTGGTCTGCCTGCCTATTAATGATATAACAGTTCACTGTTTTATTCATAGAGACATTTCATATTTTAATATCCAGTAGGACTAGCTCCCACCTCCCCAGAATTGCCTTAGCTTTTCAGGGTTTTCTTGGTTATTTTTCCCTTTTGCTTTTTCCATATGAACTTTGTTATCAACTTGTTTAGCTCCAGAAAGAAAGAAAACCTGATCATTATTGAGATCTCAATAATCATAAGTTAACATAGAGAAAACAAACATCCTTCTGATGTTATGATGTTGAGTTTTTCTAATAGCCTGTATCTTCCTATGGTTCAAACTGTTTTTGTGTTTTCAGGAGTATTTTACAGTTTTTCTATATAGATTATGCACATTTTGTGTTAGTTTAATGCTTAGGTATTTTGTTTTACTTTTTTTTTTTTATTTTGCTTTTGTGAATGGGGTTTTCTCTTCCCTTCCCTTGTATCTTCTAATTGGTTATCTTGTATATGTGAAGTCTATTGCTTTCTGCATAGGTGTTAATCAGAGTCCAGTCAAGAGACAGGCATAGCACCAATTATTTTAACAGAGACTATTTAAGACAAAGAATTGTTAACTGGTATAAAGGTATAAAGTGGATAACTGAAAAGGTAAAAAGACAATACTAAGTAATCACAGAAGAAAAAATCTTCAGGAAGCAGCTACCATCCTTAGGGCTGGGTAACAAAGGCACAGAGAGAGAGGTATTAAATCTAGAAGTTTGGGTTGGGGGAGCCATGGAGTTGAATCTCTGACTGAGGTGGAAGCTGCTCGGCTGCTGCTGGAATCTCCAAGCTCAGAGGAAAGGCCATGGGACCCGGACATTGGCCAGCAGTTGCTGGTGTCTCTGAGGGGTACACAACATAGCTGGTTCTGTAATTTTTGGAGAAATTGAAAACTGGATTCCACTGATGCTACTGGAATGAGGAATTATTGCTTGGGGACATTCACAGGAATAGGAAGCTGGCAGGAAGGCAAGAGGAAGAAGCAAATTCCTCCTTCCCCTGCAACCTGCAGTCTCCCTCCGGGGCCCCTTCCGTTGAAGCCATAGAGGGAGCCGCTGGCAAAGCTGAAACTGGATTTGTGGAGTCCCAGCTCCTGCATCACAAAAGTGAGTATAGAAGGGTGGGTTTGGAGCTGAGCGACAAGAGCTTAATAGCTGGCGTAACATGATAATTGTATATTCCTCAATTTTACTAAGAGTTGCTTGTGGTAATTTTGTCCACGGTTCTTTGCGGTTTTAGGATTATATCATCTGCAAATAGAGATTTTTTTTAAAACCTCTTCCTGTATAATTTTCACTGTTAATCTTTTGATCTTGGTTCCTAAAATATCTCAAACACAATGACTACTGCTCTTGGAAAAAATTATTGTCCATCATTGGAGATACTTTGTGAGGAGGGGAGGTGCTGGATAGAAGAAAGCTTTTCTTTATGGTCTTCCTTGATGAGTGTTTAGAAAAAGCTAATACAGCACTGAATGCTATTTCTTGACTATACCTAGGACACTGGGGGCACCTAATAATTGCTAAATACTGGTGAGACAGATGTGTAGGTCTGCCCGTCCATCCACTTTTCCTTGTTTTGACCTGATTACATCCATTCTTTCTTTTTCTGATATATGATGGAGATGTCCAGTGGGGACATTCCACATCATTGTAGTGATTGTTTCAGACAATGTTATGTGGTCTAAGCCAGGCCAGTATTTCTCAGTCTCAGAAGTTTTGCTGATGTTGATGAAAAGAAGTTGTCTGTTTTTTCCTTGAGTCTCTTCAGTTATTTGCTTCTAAGCCTGGTGCTTTCAGTGGCTACCCTTGCTTCCACTCAGAGAGAACTTATTAGTAACTGGAGAAAGATTTCTGATGGTTTCATTTGAGCACCTGGTTCCAAGCCGTGCCTGAAATTTTAGGTCTAAGGCCCTTTAAATGAGCAATAGTCTCCTTTGCAATTTAAAGTAGGTTGAGTTGAATTTCCCATTTCTTATGATTAAATGAGTCCTATTTGAGCAAGTATTAATTGTATTCATTGTTACTGGAACTTACAGGCCATTTAAATCTGTGAGAACACTTTCGGTGTCCAATACTACAGAACCGGACAAGTTTACTAGAGATGCTTTCTCTATGATGTTTACAGATCTTTCTCTGCTTTGAGCTATTTTCTTGATCCTAATGACCCTATGTCTGCTCTGGTTTTCTTTCCTTCATCATCTCACTGTGATTATCTTTCCATTCTCTCTCAAGGACAATCATGGACCATTGCCATGGTCGTCTTGAGGATGATCATAGACAAATCATGGACAGCCTCTAAGACTACCATTGCCTGTAAGCTCTAGACACAAGTGCATTTTTGTTTTAAGAACCAGAGAATCAGGGAAACCACAGTACCTACCCATCTTCTTCTGTCTTCTGGTTCTGGCTGGTCCTACATTGTGACTTCTGGTTTCCGTTCCACAGTTTAACTGAGGTGGATCCTTTGAATGGTATCACCTTATGACTGAATTGGGCATTCCATGTGCATCATATTTTTGGCTTTTATACTTGATCTCTGTTTGTACCATTGCAATCAATCTCCTTGAGGGCTGGTCTGGGTCCCCACTGGGTGACTGTTGACTAAGCCCGTAGGAGTGAGTAATAGATTATCTACAAGTGATTGATTCCATTTGGTTCAGTCATTCAGTCAGCAAACATAACCCACATCTTATTCATCTTATTTTGTTTTCCACAAGAGAGAAGACTAATACAAGAAACTCTTAGGAAGATGTGAAGGGGAGCATTATTTCATTGACCAGTGCAATTGGTACCAAGGCAGTACTATCTGATATGGCAGACAAGCAGGGGTGGGGCCCTGACTTTTGCAGGCAAGGAGGTGGAGCCGTCCTAGGAATGGAAGGTGACTTCCTCTAGGACAAGCAGCAACATTAGCAGTGTTTCTGAATAAAGCTTCAGGGCAGCCATGCTTTCTGCCTGGAACCTTGCATTCCTGGGAGATTCATCTGGCATATAAAGAAAGTGGGATGGTTGAAACACAGAGCATAGGTATGTGCACATTAAGTCCTTTTCTTTTTAGTAACTGCAGGGAAGGTGCAAAGAAGCTGGTAAATAAGGCTATGGGAAATTGATAGAAACTTTCTCACCCTGCATGATTATTATCACCATTAATCATGATCAGAATTTATTGCATGCTGGCAGTGTAGCTAGCACAGTGCCAAACACAGATATGGATGCAGTCTTCATCAAAAAAGACAGTAATCTGTAAAGCAGCAGGAGAAGAGTGATCACCTAGGTGAGGAAGGGCAAGTTGCCACCTGGTTTCATTTTATTTCTGTTTAGGACCTTCTCACCATTGAAAGAGTCCTTTGCTGTAATTGTGAAGACCCCTCTCCCTGCCACCGCCTGCTTCTAGATTTTGCAGGATGTTCATCTTTAAGAGCACAACGTTTTGCTAAAAATTTCTTCCAGCTATACTCATATTCTTTCTATTTTGTATGGTCTCCCATTTTGATCAGGAATAAAAACAGTAGTCATGCTTTGCAAAACTTTCATTATAAGAACTGAGATGAAAAGTAATGAAAGAGGCATGCTCTCAGGAGAAAAACTTAGAGCATAATATATCAGCCAAATAGAGGAATTGAACAAAACTGCTTTCTAGCTTAAGACTATATCAGACATAGGGGAAAAAAATAATAAGCCAGGTTGATTAAAACAACTTATCACCTTAAAAAAATTCAGGATGATGAAGTCTGAGCATATAAATTACATCTTTGCCCATTCAGCTAGGAGAGCAGAGTGATGAGGTTGCTTAGAGAGAATGCTCTATGATATCGCCGTAATCTTTATATCCCTTTCTTATCCTTATCCTTTTTTTTGTTTTGTTTTTTGCAGTAGATGTTTGTTTGCTTCAGTAAGTGAGAGCTTTGTCCCTTCCTTTTTCTCCTCCTCTTCCTCCTCCTCCTCTGCCTTTCCTTATTTCCAGATCTGAAAACTGACTTTAAAAGTAGCCCTCCTGGGCTCAGTTTAATAATGAAGCTATAGAAAACTTTCTATTGCTGGTCTTACTACATGGAATCTTAACTGCTTGAAATTTTTATGGTAGTTATTGGTCATTCAATTGTCAGCTGTTTGTGAGTTGAATTTAAATTTATGAACAATCCTTTAGCACTTACAAAGTGCTAGGCACCAGGGATGCTGGAGTGAAAAAGTAAGTACTGCTGCCTTCAATTTTCTTATAATCTATCAGAATAGCAGTATGCAAACCACAGGGCGAGTTTCTGCAACATGTCTAATGCTGTGTTAGGTACATGGTAGGCATCCGATGTATTTTGGGACATCCATCACACATAAATATCCTATAGGGTAGTAGGAGCCACTATAGAGGGATGGAACAAGGACCATGGGGGACAAGGAAGGGAGTGGTCAGCTTTTCCTAGGGAAATGTGGGAGGCTTCATTTGTGAGGTTAGCTTGAACTGAGCAGTAATTTACCAGGTAGGCAAGATGAAGAGGAAGAGAAAGGAGAATGATGAAAGCACATGGGGGAGAAACAGTAGAGTGGATTAGGAAAGCAGCAAGAGGTTTGGGATGAATGGAGTATGGCCTGTGAGAAGATAGGAGCTGGCAAGAAATGCTCCTGGGAAAGAAAGTGGGGGCCAGCAGAGGAAAGGCAGTGCCTGTGTGCACAGGAACTGAAATCTTCTCCTCCAGATAGTGGGGAGCTTCTGAACAAGTGAGTCACTGGATCAATTCTGCATCCATGTTTAATTTTCTTCATTTTTCTTCATTATGACTTTGCAAATGAAGACAAGTTACTACCAGTAGAGCATGCTGGCTGGCAGTGGGAATGAGTTTGAAATGAATCCCTTCTCCTCGCCTCTCTATGGGCTGGTCACACTGCTGTGAGTTAACGAACCCTCAAGGCTGGTTGAGTGAAGGGAGCATTGTTAACCTGGAGTCTGAGCCAGGGGCCTGGGCAGCTACGCTCATACCTTGAGCCATTGAGCTCCTTTGTGGCTCAAAGGAACTTCTGTATCATGAAAGGATGACTGCAACGGGGCCTGGAGTTTATGATGCATTAGAATTGGTTACTATCTGAGGCCTTGAGAGCCATCTCCTTTTAAAGTAGATATATTGAACAACACCAACCAAGAGATGGCTTGGGGAGTTTTTAGAGCTCAACAGAAGTTAATAGAAAATACCAGGGGGGCTGGACCAGACCCAGGACTTTTGGTTCTTGGCCATACTTGCCCATAAAAGGTAGCTGCTCCAGTATGGCTGCAAGAACACCTGATGGACTACACTCAGTTTTGATTAGTGGAAGCCATAGAAGCCCCACCACTGTGACTGCCTCTGTAAGTTTCTCTTTCTACTCACAAGGTCCTGATTCTGGAGATGAGAGAGGGAAAGGCTGGATGAGAGGAAGAGGGGAGGAGGGGGAAAGGGGGAGAAGGAAGAAAGAGGGAAGTGGGGAGAGAGGGAGAGGGGGAGGGAAAGGGACTGGAGGAAGAGGAAGAGGGAAAGGGGAGGACGAGTTGGAGGAGAGAGGAAAAGAGGAGAGTGGGAGGGGTGGAAGCGGGAAGGAAGGGAGGGGGGGAGAAGAGGAAGGGAAGGAAAGAGAAGGGAAAGGAAAGAAAGAGAAAAAGAAGAGAGAACTGACTCATCTGCTCAAGCCATGCAGCAAGTTCCTGGTGAAGCCTTGACTCCAAAGGTTGGTCAATGCTTTCTCTGGTGACCCATGTGCATGGCTTGATTCTAGGTGCTGTGAGTTGTGATTCACTACTATAAATAAAAATAAAATATAAATAATAGGGATATTTATAACCTAGTTAGGGAAATAAGACTGAAGCTAAGACAACTATAACTTAATAGTTATAATAGTAATTATCATGATAGTCCTATTTCTTGAGTATCTGTTATGTGCTAGGCATTTTACAGGGTGCTTTTAAACTTTTTGGCTATTAAGAGCTGAGCACATGAGACTGCTAATATTATTCCCATTTTGCAGATGAGGAAACTGAAGCTCAAAGAGATGAGGTCACTTGCTCAAGATCCATGTAAGTTCTAAGGGGGCAAGGAGTTGATCTAGGATGAGCTTAGCATTGAGACCCTGGAGTCTATCGCATGTTAATTAGGTGCTTAAAGAACATTTGAGGGGTGAGTGAATGGACAGTCACATAGTTAGAAAGTGCCCAAGGTGGGCTTGGAATCCAAGGCTTATGATTTGAAACCAATTATATCCACTGAACTCTACTGTCACATAACAGAGGGCAGCAGAAGACAATTGCCGGACTCAGTGTGGAGACAGCAAGATACTGGGGGGACCCAAAGAGAGAGAATAGATATAGCACAGGCTGTGTGTGGTCAGAGAAGGTGTTATAAGACAGTGGGGATTGAAATGGGCCTTGAAGGTCAAGCAATATTTGGGTGACTGGAGGGGAAAGGTCAGTGTGTCTTGGGTGCTTGAAAGGCAGAGGAATCTCCTTGTAAAGAGCTTAGCCTGCTGGTGTGGACTTTTCTGGGTTTAAAAACCCGGGTCTACCACTAGGAAGTTGTGTGATGCTGGGCAATCCCCTTCATGCCTTAGTTATCTCATTGACGACTGGGCATAATTCAGAATAATTCATGTAAAAGAGTTTGCAGACAGTGTCTGGGATGCAGCGTTGGCTCAATAAATATGAGTTGTCATTATGTCAAAGCTTCCTTCCTGTGGGGCAGAGAGCAGAGTTGGGAAGATAGGATGGGATCAGGATGCTCTGAGCCTTGAATACAGAGTAAGGATTCTGAATTTGACTTTCTGCTTAAAAAGTTTGTCTCTGACAAGACAACAATGGTTCTAAAGAGTACGTTGTTGCTGAGTTAGTGTCATTTTCTGCTCATTGTGCATTGACAAGTTTGGCCCTTGTGGAAAGCACTTGACTGTCCCAAGCCAGCTGATGGTTTCTATGTTCCTGCTTTTGTGTCTAGTATGTTGTTTCACTGGGGAGCTTGGATCACAGCCTAAATCTAGAGGGAACTTTACTGAGACTTAATAAATGGAAGGCAGTCTGTAGACAAAACAAAAGCCAAAACTCCCAATAAAAAGAGGATAGACCAATAAACAAACCCACAGCCTAGAGAAAGATAAGCTTTATAATAGCACTTGAAGATTGAGTAAACCTTGAAACTAGCTCGAGCATTGTCACCCTAACCTGTGTACTGAGAGATGGCTGCAATTTCTCTCAGCCTTTCTGCACATTAATGCTTGAAAAATGCAATAATCAAGTTCACAGATGTGAAATTTACTTACGAGGAAGCCTATTTGCCACAATCACTGGCTTGAGTGCTGGTACTTGGGAAAATTTTGCAAGTGGATAATAACACCAGCCTTCACCCTACATGATAGATTGACATTGAATCATAATATTCAGTGAGCATTCTTCATCTATTGCTTTGGAGTATTTTATAAGATGGAATCCTATTATTTTCACTTCATCTTAACACATCATATTGCTTAATTATTCTTTTGCCCGTCTTTTCTCAATCCTTTCCCACTATTGCTTCTGTCAGAAGATTGAAACCCTGAAGATACTTGTCAGAATAAAGGCACCCCGAAGAAGTCTGCAGGAGGCAGCCCAAAGACCAAGATCTTGGACTGTCGAGGCTTTGAAGAATATAAACTCAAAAACTGCCATTGCTCTTATTAAGACAATATTTCCCACTTAGGTCTCTACTGAGAAAGCTGGAAAAGTTAAGATGAATCAGAAAGGGGTGGCAGACAAAGAACTAAAACATAGAATTCAGCAGAAATGTTTAAAGGAGACGTTATAGTTGATAGCACTATATGGAAGGTTTGAAACAACGCTTTAAAAAAGTTATGAAGTATTCTAAGAAGAAAGATAAAGGTACCCTGTTGTCTAAGGGGGAGCAGCAGGGTATGATGGCAAGATAGAGTGGCCTTGGTGAAATCAGGAAGAACTGGGCTCCAACCTTAGATCCACTACATGCCACGATGAAACACTGGGTATGCTACTTAGCTTCTTTGACCCTCGGTTCCATCATTTATAAAAAGAGAATTATAACACTGATTTCATGGGACTATTTTGAAGAACTAAATTTTGTATGTTGAATGCCTATTGCGGTGCTTGGCATATCGTAGGTATTTACTAAATGGTAGTTAATGACAATAACAGGGGAAATGACCTTTTATTGCAAGAAAGCCATGAGTTAGATAAAGCATGCTGCCTTTGCAACCTGCTATGTGTGATGTAGTATTGTTTGGAAGCAGGAAAACAGCTTGATAGAAACTGGAATTCATGGGGAATATTTGGGGAGTAGAAACATGTTATGGAAAGTTGTCATTGACTAGCAGGGGCCATGCCAGGGTAGGAGAAAAAAAAACAATTCTTGGGAATTACCAGACAGGGATTGTCTTCGGATCCTGTGGGGACTCACTATGTCTGATGACCTTGGCCCAAGCCTTGATGACCATTGCCATAGAAACCAGCATGAGTGTGCAGTATGAGCTCATTTCTCAAAGTTTGCAGGCTGTGCCAACACAGCAGGGCTCCAGGGCTGAGAGGGCTGATTTTTCTTCCTGGGTGGAGGTCCTGTCACCTGGCAAAGAATTGAATCAGTTCAACTGGTGAGGCTACAGGAGTCCTGTTCCAGCTGGGATGGGGCACAGAAATCCTGCCATGGTTGCATTCACATACCTAAATGATCAACATGTAACTAAAAAAAAGATATTCAGACATCCCCATCACAGATCTATTGACAAACCTGGAAGACATGATTTCAAAAAGAGAGCAAAGGGCTTGCATTCTTTCATATCATATGGTGGCCTGCTCTGGGGGTGGGGAGACAATATTTTTTTTTCACGGTAGCCCTTTTCCAAAAAATGGCAAACCATCTCAGGGACCAGGAACACCCAGCTCTGTTTTAGGCTTTTTGGCTTCTGCCTTTTTCCAGGGGACCGAGAAGCTGCTAGAGTTCTTATAAGTGGAAAGTGACTTTTCACTTTGTGACATGATAAAAATTGAATGAAATTCAATACGTTTTCTTCACCCTTTCCACAAATTATAAAAAATGGCTAAATCTACACTCAGGCAAATTTCATTTCCCTGGGTACTGAGTTTATAGATCACATTTTTCAACTTGGGGAACATTTTACAAGCTGAACCTTTACATCCCTTTGACAAAAGAAGAAAAGAGAGGACCACTTTTGGCCAATGTGCTTTGCTATCAGGTGGGTGCTGGCCGACTGGGATGGCAGGGATTGGAATAATTTAAGTAAGCACCTTAGGTGGGTAAGTAGAGACCTGAAGTTCTGAGTTGAAAAATGACTTTTTTGTTGTTGTTCCATGGTTTTCCAGAATCTCAGCTGTGCCCCCACAGTAGATCTTGGGAAAGTTTACTCTCTGTGCTGCTCTGTGCTAATGCACAGGTATCAAGACTTGTCGGGAAATTTCTCTCATGGAGAGAACAAGACTGTAGATGCCTGAAGCTTGAAATAATAGTTTATTTATGTATGTTTTTCCTTTTCCCAATTAGCCCCCTGCGTACCAAATAGAAAAGGTAGAGAGGAGTTAGCTCTAAAATTCTGTTTATAAGATCCTTCCAATTTAAGACAAATTAATTTTCTAGAGATTCTGACCTTAAGCTTCCTGTGCCTGAAAGTGGTACGTGATCATTTGATGGTTCTGGCACTGAGAAAGGATCACGTCCATATTGCCCTGCAATGGGACACCAGGTATGTTGGGAGAAAAGCTCCCTGTGTCTGTCTGCTAGGACCTCCCGCGGCACCTGGAGAAGCATAACATCCATGGAGCCAGGTGTGTGGTGGCCCCTCCTCCCATCCCACTCCCAGGGCCTGTTGTCTTTCCAGGGCAGTGAACCTCATCTTCTGCCTCTAGGCCAGAGGTTCTCAAACTTGAGAAACTTGAGAGTACCTCGAAACTTGAGAGGTTCTCAAACTTGAGGGTACATCAAAATCCTCAGGGGTGGGAAAAACTTGTTAACCATGCAGACTTCCAGGCCCTTTGTGATTGTGATTCAGTTGATCTGGAGTGGGACCCTGGAATCTGTATTTTATCTAGCTCCCTGGGTGGTTCACGAGTTATACTTTGAGTCTTTCTGGGAGATTTTCCACGTTGAAACAATTCCTTCTTTCTCCATCTGGACCAGTTGTGGCAGAAATAAAATCCATTTCTCAAGGTGACTAACTTGTTAGATTCTTCATGACTTTGGCCTAGTTCTGTCTTATTTCCACATTCTCAGAAATGACCTCCTTTTAGTCCCACATTCTCCAAGGTGAGGAGTAAAGAGGCTGTGATGTGAGCTAGTTCATTCAAGTTTAAATGCCAGCTTCTTAGGATTTGGGAGCCGCTGGCCTCACCTTTCACACCTGCAAAAAAAAAAGAAAAAAGAGTGCTCATAATAGCCTGACCTGTTGCTTAAATGAAATATGTGTGGATGTCTCCAGAGCATGACCTGGCACATTGCAGGACTCAACTGACATGCTCTTTACCCAACTCAGACCCTCTCCTATGGATCCATCCACATGCTGCCATCTTCTAGGCAGATGAGCTTCATTAAGAAAAGGCCCAGGGGCAACTGCCCTGGGGTTCCTCCCAGCCTTGTTTAGGTTGTGCACTTGAACAGGGTAAGGAGGGGGATGAGGCAAGATGAGGAGGCTTTCCTTAGGTGAGGGCTTCCCAGCAGGTATAAATTAAAGCAGTCACCATTTACCCAAGAGTGGCAAGCTGAAGTTACTTGGCACCTGTATACTGTGAAACAAGAGGGGGGGAGAGAGAGAGAGAGAAAGAGAGGAGGGAGAGAGCCTTAAAAACATAAAGGCAGTTTTGAGGAATCTAATCTGTCTTGTATTTCCACCCAACTCAACCCGATTTCTGTGCTGGCCAGGAGTAACAAATTGAATATCTTCCCATGCTAAAGGGTAATTATGTCCCTGGGCTGGGATTTAAAATGCATTTTCCACCAGAGCAATGAGGCCTGACCGATGAATTGGATGTGCTGTCATCTGGTCATGCCGCTGGATGAATGGTCCCATGTGTCAGGTCACACAGCTCTCGTGCATTCAGTTCACATCATCCACTAGACACCATCTCTGTGCCAGGATCCAAGCTTCCTGTTGAACACAGAGGTCGGGGATGAGTAGGAGCCAGTCCCAGCCCTCAAGGAATTGCTGATCTCATGGGAAAGACAGACAAAGAAATGGGAACAGTGTGGTCGTGACTGTGACAGGACAAGGCAGCCTTCAGGTCGGACTACCTGGGATAAAATCTCAGCTTGGCTAGTTAGAAGCTGTGGGACTTGGGAAAGTGAGCTAATCTCTGTGAGCTTCGGGACCTCATCGGTAAATTTGGGATTATAATTTTGCCTCTTTCATGGAGTTATTGGGAGGATTAAAGAAGATAATATTAACTTTTGATACACTGTAAACATAATAATAGTAGTTGCTAAGACTTATGAGTAGAAGTCCTCATAGTGCAGCATTAGACGTAATGATATTAGGCAAGTGTTGCCCCACGTTACGGAACATTGCTCAGGCAACTAACAATTAAGTTGAATGTTAGGAGATTTGCTTAGCTGGTGATTCTGTTGATGTTTCTGCTGCTGGAGGAGGCAGCTCAAAGGGAGGGGTGCTCAGCTGGGTGGAAGCAGAACAGATGCTCAGCCTAACTGCAGCCAAAAAGGCCTAGAAAGTCCCCAAGTAGAACTCAGGCTTTTCTGGATGCTGGGCCAGGACTTGCATACTCAAAAATGAAGTGTAAGTTAGGGCATGTCCTATACCAGCAAGGAAGTAAAAACTGCCCTTCTGTAGTGGAGCTGACAGTGTCTGCCATCTTAGACAAGAAGCAGGAGAGGAGTAGGAAAAATTTCCACCAAATGGTGTTCCCAACACGAAGGGATCGTTAGGGGGTGAGTAGTTCACCAGTGTGGGGTGGGTGTTCATGAGATCATTTTTTATTCATTTATCAATTCATTCATTCAACTGTTTCATGCACCTTTTAGAATTCATGAATTGCCACAATAGCAAAGACTTGGAACCAACCCAAATGTCCAAAAATGATAGACTGGATTAAGAAAATGTGGCACATATACGCCATGGAATACTATGCAGCCATAAAAAATGATGAGTTCATGTCCTTTGTAGGGACATGGATGAAATTGGAAATATCATTCTCAGTAAACTATCGCAAGGACAAAAAACCAAACACCGCATGTTCTCACTCATAGGTGGGAACTGAACAAAGAGAACACATGGACACAGGAAGGGGAACATCACACTCTGGGGACTGTTGTGGGGTGGGGGGAGGGGGGAGGGATAGCATTAGGACATATACCTAATGCTAAATGACGAGTTAATGGGTGCAGCACACCAGCATGGCACATGTGTACATATGTAACTAACCTGCACATTGTGCACATGTACCCTAAAACCTAAAGTATAATAAAATTAAAAAAAATACATGAATTGCACAAGCATTTGTTGAGCATCTACTATGTACAAGATTCCTTGCTCAAGGCTACCCAGTTGGTAAAGGGACCTCAGGACTCAAAGGTGTTTAGTGTTAGCCTCTAGAGTCCTTGGTATAACTTGTTCTGGGAATAGATTATTAGCCCTGGAGAAGGACCAGTTGTTTCACTCACAAATTTAAGTCCTTTGTTCAATTAAATTAGAATTTATTCGTTTCAGAAATGTTAACTGAGTATCTACAAATAGCAAGGCATCCACTATGTGCTGACTGCTGGTGTGAGATTTCCCCCTACATGAGAGCAGGAGGACACTGGGGTATTTTAAGTATAAGACGACCTGCTGCTCAACATGACAGGCTAGTAAGCAGTGGTCCAGGGATTTGCACTTTACCTGGCTGTAGCTTTGTGTTTTATGTTTAGTCTGTAGTCACTTGAGGTAGTTCAGGTCAAGAGCATTATGGCTTTTCTGCCCCACCTGGGTGATTAGATTTGAGGTTTTCCTTTTGCAAATGACTGCATAGTGCTCTGGTGTCCTGTCTGCAAATGCACTGTCCAACACTTCCAGCCTTCCTTAGATGCATAAGCCACTACTCTTACCAAGGGGTGGAGTCTGTTTTCTCACCCTTTGAACCTGGGTTGCCACTGTGATTTGCTTTGACCAAAAGAATGCAGAGGACTTGATGCTGTGCCTGTTTCCAGTCTAGTCCTTAAGAGACCCTGCAGCTTTTGGGTTTACTTTCTTGGAAGCCATGTAAAGGACTACTCGGGAGGGTGAGAGACTATGAAGAAGGAGAGAAACTCAGCCAGTCAGCCCCAAGCCATTCCAGCCTCTCCCAGCTTATGGGTGAAACCATCTTTGGTTCTCTAGCCCAGTAGAGAACCAAATAGACACCACACAGAGAAAAGACAAACTGCCCATGCTGAGCCCTGCCCAGATTCCAAAATCATGAGGAAGTAAATGACTGTGGCTTTAAGCCACTGGTTTTTGGGGTAGTTTATTATGCAATGATTGATAACTGAGACAAGCATGGTAAGTATTATTTAATTATCATGACAACCATTGTAGTGCCTAGTCTCACTGACTCTGCAGATAATTTACCCTTCGCTTTGAGTGTGCATGATCTGGACTAATGTTGAGGAAACTGAGGGCTTTGCAGATGAGAAAACTAATACAGGAAGGCTAACTCACTTGCCTAAGGCCATGCATGTAGCAGTGGTGGAGGTGGGTTTCAAACTCAGGCACTCTGGCTCCTTCATCCATGCTAGTATCCACTGTGCTTCATTACCCAGATTCTCTTAGCTCCTTCAGGGGTGCCTGTACCTTCTGTGCCCTGAGTCATAGGCTTAGACCTGAGCCACAGTCGTAGGTTTGATTGCATGGGCGTTGGTTAGTTTTGGCCTGAAACAAGGTCACACGTTGCCTGCTCACTGTGGTCAGCCAACCCCTATATATTGTGTTGCAGGGAAGAGGAGGGGCAGGTACGAATGAGTGTCTTACGTGAAAAATCTCCACCACTGGATTGGCCATCCAGAATCAGGGTCTGGCAGGGCATGTCCTATTTACAACCAAAGGACTGTGCATTCTTCTAGGTAAAGGGGCTGTGATGGGCCTGGAAGGCCCCCTTCCAGATCTGAGGGAAGCAATGTCTCATCCACATACATGGGGGTCTCCTGAGACCCCACTTGAGCCTTCAGGGGAGCTGCAAGGTCACCTGGCATCTTTTTGAATGTACTGAATGTCTGGGGTTTGGAGCTGATATGGCTGCAGCTTGGTGTGGGCCATGCCTGAAGCAGCCTCCTTCATCTTCCTCCTCCTATGAGGTCAGAATTATTAGTGGCATTTTGCTAATGATGAAATGGAAGGCTAAATTTGAGCCTCACTTGGTGCTGGACTTCTGTCTCTGACTCTGCTCCCCAAGGAAGACCCCATGGAAGCCACCATGTGACAAGGTCTTCAGCTGTCGATGAGAAGGCTGTGGGCACCCTCCAGGGTTCTCAGAGTGCTCATATATGTTCATTACTTGATTCACTTCTTCACCTCACACATCCATTACCCAGGAACTCATGTTGGTGCTGGAGACACAGTGGTGAGCGAGGCAGACAGACCAAGCTTTTCCCAAGGAGCTTGCATTCTACTGGCAGGAAATGGACTCCCAAAATGAAGACATGGAATAGAGTGAAGAAACCTCCACCCACTGTGTACAGGGACCCTCCCGAAAGGCAAGGCATCTTAGGTACAAGCTATGGTGGGAATTGGGGGTTGACCTTTGGTAATGTTATCTATGCAATAGTAGGTAAATGAATGTATGTTCTCTCCCTTTGCCTGCACGGATATAAATACATGCTGTAGGCTGGTACAAGTCCTCAGGCTGCCCCAGATCTGGGATAAACAGGCTCAGTGAAAAAGCAACAAAGTTTTTCTCCAGCAGGTGGAGTTCCAGAAAACTTCTGGTCTCCGTTAAAGGGATGCGGTTCTGAGCCAAAAACTCTGAGCCTGGAAGAGAAAGGCCCCCTAATTTACTTTGCTGATTTGTTTATTTATTCAGTATTTATTTGGCGTTCAGAACTGTCCAAGAGTTTGTTGGTGATACCAAAATAGTAGTAATCCTATAAAAATATTTCAGGCTTCAGAGGGTTTATGATGTGGATGAGAAGCAGGATGTTCCCACGTAAAAGAGCTGGCATTGCTACAAACAGTGGGCAGAGTGGGGGGTGACAGGACAGATGGTGGGGGCACAGTAGTTCTCAGAAGGCCATGCCTATGTGCCGTGGCATTTGGGGCATTTGAGTTGATGCAACTCCTGCTGCAACTCAGTAGGTCTCACAGAGGGGAGAGGCAAACAAGGAAAAAGCAATTTGAGTGAGTCAAAGTGTGGACGTAGCGATAAGAAAGGAAGGAGATGGGAGAGTTAGGGCTGGTGGGAGTAGGGGGTCCAGAGAAGCCACTTGTGATCTTGCAGTGTGGCAAAGAAAGGGCCTTCAGAGATCCATTGGTGTAACTCTCTTATTTGTCATTGGGGACGGTGTGGTATCAACAGGTTTCACAAGTTAGGGGGATATGCACCAGGGCTGGAACCCCTCTGCCTTGACGGCACCAGGCTGCAGTTTCCTCCTCCATGGGGTACTTGTTAAGGAGCTGGGGGTACCGTTGGAGCCAGTCTGGAGTGGAAAAGCTGCAGATAGCAGGCAGAGGCCACAGATTTAAATCCCGGAAGCAATAGGAAGCTACTGGATGTTTCTGAGCAGGGAACCATGTTATAAGATTAATATTAGGATTAAGTGGCCATCAATGTGGAAAATTCCCCAACAGTCATTTTTCTGTATCAAACCCACTGCACAGTTACTCTGTCATCTGAGAGTTTTCTTTTTTTTCCCTCCTCCTTTGAGCCAAGCAGTCTCAATTCCTCTACTCCCCTCTCCCTCTTCAGGATTTTCCCCCAGGAAGTACAAATTTCTTATTTCTTTCTAATGCAGAGCGATTTCCTAATCAACTTTCTGTCTTTTTTATTTTCTACTTATTTTTATTTTTATAGATTTAGGGGGTGCAAGTGCATTTTTGTTTCATGGATATATTGTGTAGTGAAGTCTCAGCTTTTAGTGCAACTATCACCCAAGAATAGTGTATGTTGTTCCCAACTTTTGTGTCTTGAACTTGCTTTTGGACTCTTACTCTTCATTCTCAGCAGTTTCACAAGGCATTTTCTCCAGAGTAAATTCAGAGTTCACTCCAAAAAGATTTGGTGAATGGAGCATTTTCCGTCTTTCCCTCTCTGTATAGTCAGCATTGAAGGTCATGCCTGAATCATTGTGTTGTTTATAAAATCTCTAATAGGAAAAAGAACCCTACTTCCAAGATTGCTTTTCTTTCATCATTTGCCCAAGGAAGACTGGGAAATCTTAGACTTGAAAATCTTTGGGGACAGAAATCAGAAATGAGTTGTTGAGTTGGTGTTATTAGTCTGTTCTCACACTGCTAATAAAGACATACCTGAGACTGGGTAATTTATAAAGGAAAGAGGTTTAATTAACTCACAGTTCCATATGGCTAGGGAGGCCTCACACTCATAGCAGAAGGTGAAAGTCACATCTTACATGGCAGCAGACACGAGAGAAGATGAGAGTCAAGTGAAAGGGAAACCCCTTATAAAACCATCGGATCTTGTGAGACTTACTACCATGAGAACAGTATGGGGGAAACTGCCCCCATGATTGAATTATCTCCCACAGGGTATTTTTTTTTTTTTTTTTTTTTTTTTGAGACGGAGTCTCACTCTGTTGTCCAGGCTGGAGTACAGTGGTGTGATCTCTGCTCACTGCAACCTCTGCCTTCCAGGTTCAAGCGATTCTCCTGTCTCAGCCTCCTGAGTAGCTGGGACTACAGGCGCCCGCCACCACGCCCAGCTAATTTTTGTGTTTTTAGTAGAGACAGGGTTTTACCATGTTGGCCAGGATGGTCTTGATCTCCTGACCTCGTGATCCACCCGCCTTGGCCTCCCAAAGTGCTGGGGTTACAGATGTGAGCCACCGTGCCCGGCCCCCATTATACTTTCTAAACCACAGGTTGGATGTTGGCTCGGTTTGAGGTGTGAGGTGGTTGATATTGCAAAAGTGTGGGATAGATGTGGGAAGGGGGTACTGGGTTTGGCAGAGGGGTGTGTGTGTGTGTGTCTGATCTTTTGGGTCTCTGGATGCACAGGCCTGTGAGCATTTCCAGTCAGCAAGAGTGACTTCAAAAGCAAAGAGGCACTTAAGTCCTGCTTAGCAATCAGAAGACAAAAATCCTTATGGAAAATTTCTGTCCTTGCCACCTCTCTGTCTGTAGTGGGAAGAACATTGGTTCTGGTGAAATTTTGCTCACTCTGTAGAAGTGTTAGTTTAATAACCTGCTTCCAAGATTCCTTCTGAAGCCAAGAAGTTGAGTTTCACTATTATTTAATAAAGTTTCAAGGTAGTATTTAAAAAAGGACATGTCTGTGCTGGTGGGTGAGGAAGGTTTATTTCCTGTTCTGTATTTATTTATTTTATTTTTTGCACATAGACACTGATTATAAAAAATAGCTCCAAGGTTGATAAAAACCAGCCTTCCTCAGCCTGCTCAGAGAGTTGCCCTTATTTCCAATTATCCAACTCACTGGCTGCTAAAGTATTGCTCCTTCAGCGCTACAGACAAGAGGAATTAGTTACAGAGGCAAATTGCTTTGTTGTGTTTCTCGCCTGAGCCATAATTTATGTGGCGGGGCATCCGGCATTGTGCTAGGATCCTTACTCAAAGTGCAAGTGTGCATGAAAGCTCTCTGCCACCTCAGGCACCGCTGGGTGTGCTGCCAATTTGTCACCCAACCCAGAGCTGACAAAACAGTCTCTCCACCATTCTTTGGTTCAGGTTCACTCACATTTTGATGAAATTCCATGACTTCTAATTATTTAACATTCCAAATTACATAGATTCCCAAATGCTTTTGGAGCTAGGAGTACCTTGTAGGATGCAATGCCCCAGGGAATCAGAACATTTTTAAATGGCAGTGAATATTTGGAGGAAGTATCCTCTTCTGTGTCACTCGGATCTGGGTTTCAATCCTGCCTCTGCCACTTGTGGATTCCATTGGATCTCTGTTTTCTCATCTGCAAAAGACGGTTGATGCTTATTCGAGAGGTGATACAGGGACTGGATGAGATAGCACAGGCAAATCCTGTTGCTTGGTGTCTGATCCCTAGGAGGCCCTCGGCTAGTTTCCTTCTGTTGGTCAGGTAGACTGTGTTCAATTCACCCCTCACTGATTGAGTGCCTACTGGATGCCAGTCAGTGAGTGGACCCCTGGGGATACAGCAAGAAAGATGCAGCACCTGCTCTCTGGAGTCTCACAGCCTAAATTAGGCACTGTAGGATTTGTGGTAAACTGTTTAAAGTAAACGTATAGTGAGACTTCTACCTCTCCCTATCAGTTTGGCCCTTTTGGGAGCCTGCTTTCTGACACAGCAGCAAGGTATAATTGAAAAGCCAATTTAGCTTCCTCTTTTGTCAGTGCCTTTAGATCTTGATTTTGTCATCACCTTGCCATAGGAACTGAACTGGAATAAGCCCCTTTCCCATAGACAGCTCTAGAGTCTTGGAGACACAACTTTCAGAGCTTTGGAAGGCATGAAAGACAGCCAATCACAAGTGTCCAGTCATGCAAAATATATGTAGTCTAAACTGATTTAAAAAATCTTTAGGTCTAAAGTTTTCTCTAAATATTGAGCCTTTGGGAATCCAGGCATTTTGTGAGGTAGCACACTCTCTTTGTTTCATGCCTTATTTTGACTAATGTTGCTGTTTAGGCTCTAAGTTTTGTTGGTTCAAGGCTGGTTAGCTTGCAAGTATGCGTCTTTTTATCTGTAAGACAGGCCCAGGAAGCAACTTCTAGCTATAGAAATCCACAGCCCAGACATTACAGAAACCTTCATTTCCTCAGATTGCACTGGCTGTCCAGCTTGAGGGTGGGTGTGTAAAGAGGGGTGGGAGGGAACCTAGTGTAGATGTAGGCATCTGAGTGTGATTCTGTGGAATCTCCAGTGTCTGTACAGGAGGGGCCCTGGTCTGATTACAGGTGGGTAGGGTGTAGGATGCTAGGGGTCTTCTTCCCAAACACAGAGCAAGCCTACTCCTTCTACTTGGACTTCAAGTTTATTTGAAGGCAAGTTGTGCAGCTGATTGAGATTATCCATACAACAAATACTGAATGAGGGCCTACTATGTGTCAGGCATTATTCTAAGTATGGGCATGCATTGTGAATGAAGCAAGGACCCAGCTCTCATGGAGTTATCTTAAGGAGATGCTCAAGGACCCCCACCAACCCTTTCTCCTTTAGCTAGTTTTTACTTTCTAGCATTGTTCCTTCCTGTAACACCATGACCATATTTCCTGGGATACTCCAGAGGGGGAAATGATGTGACTTAGTACTTCCTGAAATTCATGTTTCCATACATGAACTGAGAGACTGGAAAAGAAGTAAGAAAGCAAGCAGTCTGTAAAGGTAATGGAATGGAAACCACTATTTAGCCATGTGAGAGAGGCAGGGGAATGAGATGAGCAATGACATAATACTGCATTACTACAGATATTCCTTGAAACAATAAAAGCAAAAACACAATTTAGGCAAAGTTATCTTCAGCATTTTACTGGCTTGATGTTGCTGCTGCTGCTTTTTTTTTTTTTTTTTTGAGATGGAATCTTGCACTGTTGCCTGGGCTGGAGTGCAGTGGCGCGATCTTGGCTCACTGCAACCTCCACCTCCTGGCTTCAAGCAGTTCTCCTGCCTCAGCCTCCCAAGTAGCTGGGATTACAGGCACCCACCACCATGGCCAGCTAATTTTTTTGCATTTTTAGTAGAGATGGGGTTCTACTATGTTGGCCAGGCTGGTCTCAAACACCTGACCTCGTGATCCGCCCACCTCGGCCTCCCAAAGTGCTGGGATTACAGGCCTGAGCCACCGCGCCCGGCCGACGTTGTTGCTTTTTTTTTTTTTTTTTTTTTTTGAGATGGAGTCTCGCTCTGTCGCCCAGGCTGGAGTGCAGTGGTGCGATCTCGGCTCACTGCAAGCTCTGCCTCCTGGGTTCACACCATTCTCCTGCCTCAGTCTCCCCAGCAGCTGGGACTACAGGCGCCCGCCACCACGCCCGGCTAATTTTTTGTATTTTTAGTAGAGACGGGGTTTCACCGTGTTAGCCAGGATGGTCTCAATCTCCTGACCTCGTGATCCGCCCACCTCAGCCTCCCAAAGTGCTGGGATTACAGGCTTGAGCCACCACGCCCGGCCCAGTGTTGCTTTTTAAGCAGGCTCTTTTGAGTCACTGAGAAAGGAGGCCAGGAAGGATATTATTACCTAAGCTGCTTGAATGAAGCTTAACTATTGCCAGTGGTTCCTTTTGCCTTTTGACCCTATGGATGGCCACTGGAATCTTCGGGCCTGAGACCTCAGAGGTGATAATGGCATGAAAGACTGAGCAGCCAACTGCTCTAGGGACTTAAAAATAGACACCAACTTTGGGAGGCAGAGGTGGGTGGTTCACCTGAGGTTGGGAGTTTGAGACCAGCTTGACCAACATGGAGAAACCCTGTCCCTACTAAAAGTATAAAATTAGCTCGGCGTGGTGGCACATGCACCCTGTAATCCCAGCTACTCAGGAGGCTGAGGCAGGAGAATTGCTTGAACCCGAGAGGCGGAGGTTGCAGTGAGCCGAGATCACACCATTGCACTCCAGCCTGGGCAACAAGAGTGAAACTCCATCTCAAAAAAACCAAAAAAACAAAACAAAACAAAAAAAAACCCGCAGCTTTTCTTCAACGAGATAGACAAGTATTTGTGTCTGATGTGGCGTGGCAGTGGTGGGGGTTCTCTTTCACAAGTAACTACAGCCAGCTAGCTTGGGTCATAGATGTCCTAAAATTAATTTTTATTAGGAATAGTTTCTAGGGTTCATATGACTAGGTAGGTAGATTTCCTTCTCTATCCCTGTATTTCTATCTCCTCCCTGTTTCCCTCTTCTATTCTTAAAAAGAAGCTCACATCTTCACATGGCCCCGAGATGTGTTCACACTATCTCCAGAGGGCTGAGTCTCAGGTGCTCACATGAAAATCTGCTCATGAAAGGCCCCTGTGTTAGCTAGATTCTCTTCCCTGGCGCACTTACCCCTCCTTTAATGGAGCTTCCTGGAATTTCCTTCCAAACAACCTACTAACCCACTTACTCTCAAATCCTTGCCTGGGGGTCTGCTTTGGGGGTAACCCAAGCTTAAACCTACAGATCTGAACACAGAGGCCAGCACACTCTACCCACTTTTTGATACCTTCCTTTTCCTAATTATGAAAATATCATGGAGGTTTTTTAATGTCATTCTGTGTGTGTGTTTATCTAGAGTTCCATTGTAGGGCACCCACACATTTAAACCTCTGTAGAACTTTATATTTTATGTTCTAAATAAGTCATCTAGAATAGATCTTATTTTATTTTTAGTTTTTTCAATCAGAAATTCTTATGGCCCTGGACTAGGCCCTGGGGTGTAGAAACACACACCCAAACACTAGGCTCTGGGTAAGCCAGGCCTGAATTCAAGTTCAGCTGTGCCTCATTCTAATTGCATGATCTTGGACAGGTTACTTAAGCTCCCTGAGCCTCACTTTCCTCTCTGTAAAATGGGAAGAACAAAGCCTCCCCACCTCAAAGCCTATGAAATAAAAATGAGATGATTGTAAAACACCAGACCCATGATAATAATGTTCTCAGGAAAAAAGATCCCCATCCCAACCTCCTACCTCATTCATCATGAGCTTCCCAATAGGTTGTAGCATCTGTCACCTTGCTCTGTAGTTGCTAAATCTATCTGGACTGTTATGGGACACAAAGGAAGGAGAATGGGAGAGATTAGCTGCAACTGAACACATGGAGCAGGGCATCTCAGATGAGGTGACATTTGAACTGGGTCATAAAGACTGATGAGGATTTCACTAAGAGAAGGAAGAAGGAAGGAAAGACTCTTTGGCCATTGTTCTGGGTATTATATATAGCTCATCTGGCTGGAGAAAAAAGGGGCTCAGGAAGTCCCACTTATGGGATCTGATGTAGGAGGCTGGGTGTTTTGCCTACATTAACTGTTTGAGCACTAATCTCTCATGTCGTTAGATGGCTCAAACCTAACACCAGCCTTAGCACCTCAAAGGACAGAGCCCTCAGTCCACTGGTAAATCCTGAGAGAGCTGGACGTGACAGTCCCTTTATTCCTTCAGTTCCTGAGGTCTGGGGAGCTCCTGGGACTCCTATTTTTGCCCCCAGTTTTAGAGCAGAAGTTGCACCAATTTTATTGATAGTGTTTAAAAGTGAAGATAGATCTAATAATTAAATGTTGGGAGTGTTCACTTGCAAATCTGAATACTTAGCTTCTTTTGCAAATTGGGAAGATCTGGCAAAACCCATTCCTTGTTTATGTGTGCCAGGAGTCACCTGGAGCCTGGGAGGAGCAGTTCTCCTTTCCCAGGCACTTCTGCTGCTTGCCCCAGGCCCCACCTCACCCCCTTCCTCAACACTGAGGCACAGGCTCATGACTCTTTACCTCTACATTGACACTATTATTATATTTTATAATAGAAGAATATTTATCCGTATTCATGTCTCTAAAGCAAGAAACTAAATTATAGTCAGGAGAAGGGTAGCTTCTTTCAAGAAAACTAGGAGTGGCCATTTCTTCTTTTTTTTTTTTTTTTTTTTTTTTTTTTTTGGTAGAGGTGAAGAATCTTCCTGTCTGGCCTCCTAGGCATCTCTGTAGTCTGCCAGTCCGGCCTTGTGCTTGGGAGGGGACTTGGCTGTTTCTCACTGACTTGCCGACTGAGTGTCACCGGCAGTTTCCCTGGCTGCAGGGTGGAGCGCTCAGCTCTGTATTTGCAAGCAGGTCTGTGAAGAGGCAGTCCCATTCCAAAGAGCTCTTTGATTTCCTTTTACTTTAAGATGTTCCTAAGGAGGAATTTCTTAAAAAGAAATGCCGTTCTCTCTCTCTTAATCATAATTCAGCTCCAGCAAGTGATCTGTAGATAGACAGATTTCATTATTGTTGCTGATGACAGTGTCAAATCGAGTTGGCTCTTCTCTCTCCACTTTCTAGCCCCTCTTGCCCCATCTACATCCCTGCACTAAAAGATGTAGCCCTTAGGGGCAAAGGCAATGCAGACAGGCCCAAAGAATATTGTCTAGATTATGCAGTAAAACACTTCCTGCAAGAACCAATTGCTTTTGCTCCCATGATACCAACTCTGTAAACGTGGCAACTAATCTTTAAAAATAAATCACTTCTCTGGGTCCATTAAGTCCCCTCTTGGGAGGGCATAAGCCCTTGCTTGGGGTGGTTTTGTGGCCAGTAATGCTGGAGGAGTCATTATTTTGACCAATGAGGTGAAAATTGCTTCACTTATTTCCAGGTGACACAGACAAATGAGGTGAGCCTGATTCAATTGGGAACCACAATGTAGGCTGTCTAAGGCAAACCAATGGGTCAGAAAGAAGAGGGCAGAGGGACAACGCTTTCCTCCCCTTCTTGGGCAGCATCCGAGTATACCAGATACTTCACAAGGTGGCCTCTGTCTTTGGAAAGACCTGGGAAATGTCCCCTGGGAACAGGGTGGGAAGCTGCAGAGGACATTTGTGCATTTTTCCAGTCTTTGGGGAATTAGTTGGCAGTTTCTATACCTTGAGAATTTTGGGGGAAAGGGAGCAAAGATGGCCATTTCTCTTGCAATTATGCTTAGCCCTGGGAATAGGTTTGACCTTTTGGTGGAGGTCACACTTTTACCTAGAAAACAGAGATAACTTCTTGTGGGGAAATCAGCCTCCGGGGTGTCAGCTCAAATCCAGGCCCAGAAGGTGAAGCTGTTGATGTGGAAGCAGCAGTTTTCAAACCTAGGTGCACAAGAGTCACCTGGGGCTTTTATTAAAATTGCAGTTTCCCGGATCCCACCTGGTAACATTTTGGTTTATTAGGTTGGAGGTAGTGCCTAGGGATCTGCATTTTAACAAGTACCAGATAATTCTGTTGCAAGTGCTCTTCAGATCACACTTTTGCAGAACTTCAGCTCAGTCTTTCCCAGAAGCCACTTCATAAATTTTTTTCAACTAGTAAGAAAAGTGCTTAAGGATTTATGAGTATGTCCTCAAAGCGTGGACTTCGGCACTGCTTCAACAGACAGGCTTATTATTGTGAATTTAACACAATGGAATTATAAATTATTCATCCACAGTTGAAAAAAGGAACTTGACTCAACATCTGGGAGCTGAATGCAGCGTGGTGCAAATCACTTATGCTATTTCTATAAAAATAAAATTGTTTCAATCAAGGCACATGTACGACTCCCTTTTCCCTTACCTTGCAGGTTGCTCTGCTTTCTGAGTGCCCGCAGAGGGGCTGTTACATGGGGGGAGACTGGCAATTGAGGTTCCCATCGGCTTCTTCCAGCCTTTCCTACTTTCCCTGTCCAGGGGCCCTAGATCATGGATTCCCAAATGCTGAAATGCAAGCAATCCCCTGGGGAGCTTGTAAAAAAAAAAAAAAACACATAGATTCCTGAGAAGCACCACCAAAAATTCTAGTTCACGAGGTGTAGGATGAAGCCTGAGAATCTGCATTTTAATCAGCATCCCTGGTAGGCACTGCTCTACACATCTCTAAGGGCACTCTTGGGGCACCTAGTAACCTAAGCATTCTAGGCAGAGTATCTGGGGCCTACAAGCTTTTCTGAGGCTGACAGAAATATTTGAGACCTGAAAAATTGTGTTGGCTCCAAACTAGGAATAGACAACTGCAAAATCAAAACCGTCTACCAAACATAACATGCCAGCTCTATCCATTATTAAATTTAGTATTTATAAAGATTTCATTACATTTGAAAATAATTTGTAGGCTAGATTTTTTTTGCACTTCCCAAGAGTTTCTGAATATGTATGATAATCATTAGGAAACCATAATCAATTGTATCCAGATTTCAAAGACAAAGTTATAAAGTTGTGCTTCAAGATATTTTTACAGTGAATACTTATTTATATTCACATGTATATTTGTATCTATTATGGGATGTAGCTATGATTTAATATGTTTGATGCCATGTTGGGGTAGGTGTTTGGGCCTTATGAGCTGAAGGTGTTTGGGGCTTATGAGGGATTTAAAATGCCCCTCAGGGAACATTTAAGATTTTCTTGGTCCTTGGTCAATGAGTTCATAGTACTCCATTTACCTGTGAAGTAGAGAGTGTTGTAATTCCTATTTTACAGAGGAGGAAGCTGAGTAGTTTATTGATTTACGAAAGAACCAGCAGCCAGTAAATAACAGAGTCAGAATTCAAACTCAAGTCTTAGGACTTGAAATGTGTTATATCGTGTACTTCTGTGTCAGGAACCGTACCAACAAAGACCACATGTATACTGATACCTTGGGTGGGCCAGATCTTTGTAACAGCCATGAATCAATCATATTAGTATGAGGAAATTTGAAGATTTTTGATCAGAGTAGAAATAATTTTCATATTTTGGGTCAAAAAGCAACATATTGACAATAATCATCATGTGAAGATAAAGCCAGCTAGCAGAGAGCCGGCTTCTGGGTCTGCGAAGACAGTACAGCTATTTTAGCTGAAGATATGGAGGGCAGGGAGTGGACTAGTGCTTGATCTATCTCTAGATCTGCTTCTCCAGCACATTAAAATCCCAGCGATACTGAGGGGTTATTCCAATAAAGCCTGAGCAAGACATTAATAGTATATGGGCCTTGTCACAAAGGCAGACCTGTGCTCAGAGGACACAGGGGTCTGAAAACACAAAAGCCCCATCCAGGCTGTGTCTGGAGAGCTTTTTCTTCTGAGCAGACCACAGACTCTGCCTGAGAGCCTGGGCTCTTCATGTTAACCCACGGTGACCTGCCTACAATTACTGCTCATGTGTGTCCTACTACCATTCCCTCAGGGCTATGAAAACTTTTAAAAAGTGGCTGAGGGAAGAGCTATTGAACAGGTTATTTTTCTCTACCTGTGAACAACAAGAAATACATATTCATTACAGAAAAATGAGGAAACACAGGTAAGCCAAAAGGGAGAAAAACAATCTCTGAAATTCCCCCATCCAGAATATATACTATTAATTTCTTCGCATAGATCATTCTGATCTATTTTTTTCTAAGTAAAATATCTTAAATGCTCCCTGAGAAGTCATCCTGGCCAGTCCCCTGCCTTCACATCCACTACATTTTCCACTGATTGTTCCCTTACCAGTGCCAGTTTGTGAGATGTCGTGCCAGGTCACACTTCAGGAATAATAAAGAATGAGAACACATCTTACTCCCAAACATACAATATCAGTGCTGAGATTATTCTTAAACTTGGTCCAGCAGTGAAGTCTCTGAATTTATTGTATTCTTTTGAACACCATGAAATACACCATTTTGTGATATATTAAGCCTGGTAAGTCAGGTATCTTAAAGTCGTAAAAGGTACCCATGGCTTAAGAAAGTTAATGGGAAAAATATCATTAATTGAGAAAAGACCACACATTAACTTTATCTTACATAACCTGGAAGACTGTCATTTGGTTTTAGTAGAGGAATACCACTATATACTCACTGAATATTGGTGCCCCGTGGGTCCTTAGTTTGAGAAACTCTGATTCTTAGGATCATCTCTGGCAATTTACTTCTTCTTTCTGGGCTCCAGTGTTCTCATCTGTGTCAGCGTGCTGCCTTGATTAAGACTCAGGTCCCTGACTCCCAGTGCAGCACAGTAATGCAGGTGTCAGGCTCCTGAGAGGATCCCCAATCCTTCTCCATCACCCCTTCTCATATGAAAATTCTTATTTCTCTCAGTTAATCACTTAAGTCTTAGCAAAGTTTTTTTCTCCTCTAGGATTATAGGATGAAACCTTCCTTGCATAGAACTATACACACAAACACACACCCAGACTATTTTTGTGATGTTTTTCTCTTTAAAGCTGAAGATTCATGACACTTGCATACTTACATGACTCTCTCTTCCTCCTTCCTTCCTTCCCTCCTTTCCTCCCTTTCTCCCTGACCCACCCCTCCCTCTCATTGTGGGTGGTACATCTTTTGATTAAATGCAGTCTTATGTTTTTGGAAACTGTCTTCCCGTGATTTTTTTCTCTTGAGTTTTCTTTTTGAATTTTATTTCAGATTCAGGGTGTACATGTGCAGGTTTGTTACATGGATATTTTGTGTAATGATGAGGTTTGGGCTTCTAGTGAACCCATTATCCAAATAGTGAACACTGTACCTAATAAATAGTTTTTCAACCCTCATTCCCGTCCCATTCTTCCCTCTTTTGAAGTTCCAAGTATCTATTATTTCCATCTTTATGTCCATCTTTATGTCCATGTGTACCAGTTGTTTAGCTTTCACTTACAAATCAGAATATATAGTGTTTGATTTTCTGTCTCTGAGTTATTTCAGTTAGAATAATGGCCTCCAGCTCCATCCATGTTGCTGCAAATGACATGATTTCATTATTTTTATGGTTGCATAGTATTTTATGGTGTATATATATATAAAGTGGTACAGTATTTATACATATAATGTGATATATAATCACATTTTCTTTATCCAATCAACCACTAATAAACATTTGGGTTGATTACATGACTTTGCTAGTGCAAATAGTGCTGTGATGAACATATGAGTGCAGGTGTCTTTTGATAAAATGGTTTTTTTTCCTTTGGGTAGATACCTAGTAGTGGGATTCCTGATTCCCTAGTAGTGGGATTAATGGTAGTTCTAATTTTAGTTCTTTGAGAAGTCTCCAAACTGTTTCCTTAGGGGTTGAACTAATTTACATTGCTGCCAACAGTGTATAAGCATTCCCTGTTCCCTTTTCTCCACATCCTTGCCAACATCTGTTATTTTTTGACTTTTTAATAAAGCCATTCTGACTTATTTTAGATGGCATCTCACTGTGATTTTAATTTGCATTTCTCTGATGATTAGCAATGTTGAGCATTTTTTCATAAGCTTATTGGCTGTGTGTATGGTTTCTTTTGAGAAGTGTCTATTCATGTCCTTTTCCCACCTTTTAGTGGATTATTTTTTTCCTTGTTGATTTAATTTCCTTATAGACTTTGGATATTAGTACTTTGTTAGATGCATAGTTTACAAATATTTCCTCCCATTCTTTAGGTTGTCTGTTTACTCTGTTGATTGTTTCTTTTCCTGTGCAGAAGCTCTTTAGTTTAATTAAGACCCATTTGTTGATTTTCATTTTTACTGTATTTGCTTTTAAGGTCTTAGTCATAAATTCCTTGCCCAGATCAATGTCCAGAAAAGTTTGTCTTAGGTTTTCCTCTATGATTTTTATAGTTTTGGGTCTTACATTTAAGTCTGTACTCCATCTTGAGTTAATTTTTATATGTGGTGATAGATAGGAGTCCAATTTCATTATTCTGCATATGGCTAGCCAGTTTTCCCAGTACCATTTATTGAATAGAAAGTCCTTTCCCCATTGTCTGTTTGTTGAGTTTATTGAATATCAATTAGTTGTAGATATGTGTCTTTATTTCTGGGTTCTCTATTCTGTTTCACTGAGCTATGTGTCTATTTTTTTGTACTGATACCATGTTGTTTTGGTTACTATAGTTAAGACTTCTTTTGATTTCTGCCTCTGTGGGAGAAAGATTTATTTATGCCCATTAGATTCCTTGGATTTGGTCCCATATCTCTTCAGATGGGTAATAAACTTTTCATAAACTATTCAAGGAGTCTTTTCATTCCAACTTCTTCATCTTTGTTGCTGACTGCACATTTGGCAATAAATGCTGTTAGGAGTTTTAAAACATGGTTGCAAATCTTGTGACACCTATCTGATTGAGAGTCTGTGTCCCTTCTCAAATCTGGGCATGTCTGCTTAGACAACAGAATACACTGGAAGTGAAGCTGTGGGACTTCTGAGGCTAGGTCATAACGGGCTTTAGTTGCTGGGAATACTTGTTCTTGAAGTTTTGAGCTGCCATGGAAAAGGTCCAGCATCCTTGAGACTGTCATGCTGGAGATGTCACAAGTGGGTTTTCTGGTAGACAGTCCCAGTCAAGTCTGCCTTCCATTATTCCAGACCGACAGCCAATCATTTGAGTGAGAAAGCTCTCTTGGAATTGGTTTCTCCAAACCAGCTGTTCTAGCCTTCAGCTTCCTGAGTCATGTGAGTCATCCCAGCTAAGGGCTCAGACACTGGAGCAGAGAAAATCCAGCCCTACTGTGCCATTTCCCCATTCCTGACCCACAGTATCCACAGGCATAAAAAATTAGTGTTGTTTGACACCACTAAGTTTTAAGGTGGTTTGTTATGCAACAATAATTATAACATAATATGATACCTGGAATTGGAGTGTTACCATTGCAAAACCTAAAACAAATAGCTCTGGCTTTGGGACAGGATAGTAGGTGGACACAGAAAGCAGTATTTAGGAGGCTGCTGTGAGGGCTTGCAGAGAAATGAGGGCAGTGTTGTCAGAAGCTAGAGAAAAGGCGAATTCTGTTTTGTAGTGGTGGGACATTGGTTAATACTGTGACCTACAGGGAAATCAAGAATACGTTTGATGGAATGAATGATATAACTGAAAATGTCATACACAGTGTAGAATAAGGCATGGTGCTGAAAGGGCCACTTGGCATCTCCATTATGCCCCTGATCAAATGTGAGTAAAGAAACACACATTAAAGAATGTATTGTTTGATTATTATTATTATTATTATTATTATTATTATTATTATTATTATTTTTGAGACAGAGTTTCCCTCTTGTTGCCCAGGCTGGAGTGCAATGGCGTGATCTCGGCTCACTGCAACCTCCACCTCCCAGGTTCAAGAGATTCTCCTGCTTCAGCCTCCTAGTAGATGGGATTACTGGTGTGCAGCACCATGCCTAGCTTTTTTTTTTTTTTTTTTGTATTTTTAGTAGAGATGGGGTTTCACCATGTTGGTCAGGCTGGTCTCGAACTCCTGACCTCAGGTGATCCACCCGCCTCAGCCTCCCAAAGTGTTGGGATTGCAGGCATGAACCACCATGCCTGGCCCTGTTTGACTTTTTGAATGGAATTTGGAGCAAACATAAAGATCTCTGGACAGTCATTTACCCATTAAAATATTTTCATACTAACAAAGAGCCTCAGGGGAAAAATTAAATCAAGGGCACTGTCAGGAAAAAGTGGTCTCAAGGTAGAGATGAAGGCAGGGATGTGACTGTAACCCTGGCCTCCCTACCTTTTTCTTTTTTATTTTTTCTTTTTTTTTTTTTTTGAGACGGAGTCTCACTCTGTCACCCAGGCTGGAGTGCAGTGGTGCGATCTCGCTCACTGCAAGCAAGCTCCGCCTCCCAGGTTCAAGCCATTCTCCTGCCTCAGCCTCCTGAGTAGCTGGGACTACAGGCGCCCACCACCATGCCCGGCTAATTTTTTTTTTTGTATTTTTAGTAGAGACAGGGTTTCACCGTGTTAGCCAGGATGGTCTCGATCTCCTGACCTTGAGATCTGCCCGCCTCAGCCTCCCAAAGTGCTGGGATTACATGCGCGAGACACCGCGCCCGGCCCTTACCCTTCTCTTTGGTAAAACCTCAGAATGGTTTAAGATGATGCCTCATAGACACTTTCAAATAGACAAAAATGTAAGAATCCTAAGAATGTGCCTCACAGACCCTGAGAATCTTAATGGTTTTGTCCCATAGTGACCTCATAGGGAGCCCAGGGAAGAGGAAGAGAGGGTTTATCTTGAAAAGATTTGTGGGTGTAGCTTCTGTCTAAAAGAGTAGATTTTAAATTGATCATAAGAGGCCCACAAAGTTCTTAAAGGAACTATAACAGATTGAACGGAATGGGAAAGAGACAGTACAAAATGAAAAGAGGTCTTTGAAATCTCCCCAACTCTCCCAGGAGGCAGCTGGAGAAACTACTCAGCTACAGACAGGGGCTGCCTTAGTGAAAAAGGATGACTCAGAGGGCAGAGCCCAGAGCTCTCTAGAAAATCACTCCCAAAGGGCAGAAATAAGCCTTAAAGAAGAGACTGGTATGTCGCAGCTGGATTTCAGAACAGCCATGATCCATGACTGCTGTGTGTCTCTGGTTTCCCCAACTTTGAACGAGAACGTCTATATTCATTATCTTATGCCTGTTCCACCAGTCTAAATTGTGTGTGTTTTGCGAGGTGGTACAGAAAGATAGTGTTTTTTGTTAACAGGTTTTCAAATCAAGAGAAACTATAGACTGGGTACTGAACTTGAAGAGCCTCATTTTGCACCTTGCCCTCATTTGGAAGATGATATTCAGAACCTTGGGCCTGAGCCTGATGCTGTAATGGGATGAAACTCCGAGAGAGTCTTGGAAGGGGGCTGAGCGTATTGTGTATTTTGCCTGTGGGAAGGATGTAAATGATTTGTGGCCACAGCAAGGACTGCAGTAGTTTTTAAGTGGCTGCAAATTCTTTGTCACTTTTATCCCTTTCTCTGAATCTGGGTGGACTGTGACAGCTTTGACAAATAGAGTACAGAAGAAGTTGTGGCTTCTGAGGTCAGGTCATAAGTGTCCATGCAGTTTCCTCCTCGTGCTGCTGGGAACACTTGCTTTTGGAGCCGTCAGCTTCTACATAAAACTTCCAATTACCCTGAGATGTCTGGCCATGCTGGTAAGGCCACATATGGGTGCTCTGATCAACAGCTCAGCTAAGTGAGCCCTTCCACCATGCCAGCCCAGGTTTCAGATGTGTGAATGAAAAAGCCATCATGGAGGGGGATCCTCCTGCTCCAACTGGTCTAGTCCTGACTGTTCCAGACTCCTCTAGCCATGAGAGTCATCCCAGCTTAAGGCTCAAATGTTATGGAGCGAGAAGAGCTTTTTTCTCTGTTCCCTTTCTGAATTCCCAACTCACAGAATCTGTGAGAGTCATATAATTATTACTGTCTGCCACTAAACTTTGATGTGATTTATTATGCAGCAATAGAGAACTGGAACAATGCTGTATCATTTAATTTCTTGCTCCGATTCCTGAAACATATCAGAGGCATAAGAGTCCAAGTGTTTTACTTGAAGAGAAGAGGTCTGACCACAGAAATTTCTTGGAGGAAGTTAAAGCAAAATCCTTTGCTTGGCTCATGGATGGATAAAAAGATGTGCCCATCCAGAGGGATTGCAAAGTACCAAAGGAGAGGAGAGAGTCTCTATATTGTGGGCAAAGAGCAGTGATATGGTTTGGTTTTGTGTCCCCACCCAAATCTCATCTCCAATGGTAATTCCCACATGTTGAGTGAAGGACCTAGTGAGAGGTGACTGGATCATGAGGGTGGTTTCCCCTGATGCTGTTCTCATGATAGTGAGCGAGTTCTCATGAGATCTGATGGTTTAACAGTGTGGCATTTCCACTCCACCCTCTGCCACCAGGTAAGACATGCCTTGGTTCCTTAGCCCTCCCCAGCTGTGCGGAACTGAGTCAGTGAAACTTCTGTTTTTATAAATTACCCAGTCTCAGGTAGTTCTTTATAGCAGTGTGAAAATGGACTATTACTAGCATTGAGCCAGGAAAGGCTTAGTGCTGCCTTCAACTCCAGATTTAGTGTGATGCTGAGGAGGAGGAGAACAGGTTTTTGGGTGAATGGTGGCCTTAGCAGAGAAATCCTTTAATGTAGGACTGAGAGGGACAGTTCATGGTAGGAAACCTGGTGCTAAGATTTTGCTGGGGCATAAGTAGTGTGGGCAAAGTTCTTGATCCTGAACAGAAAAGAGATCATGAGGACAATAAGCCCAGACCTTCCTTATCAGGAATCTGGGACATTTGTTTGTTGGATCCATGTCTTCGTATATCTTTAATTTTTTTCACAGTGACTTAAATGTCCTTAAGTAGAATGACTTTTGGTGTCACTGTTGAAAGTCTACTATTCTCAGATATAAAAGTGTCCTCTTCTGAATTTCTTGGAACATTAAATGGGCATCTCAGTATTTTAGGCTTGATGGTATGCAGCCATTCCTACAGGACAGCTGGATGTGTTAGGCTTTCCTTGATTGCTGAATGTTCTAGAAATCTTTTGGAACAAATGTATTATCTCTGGATTTCAGAGTAGGGACTTGTTCTTGAGTTGTTTTATGGGATAGTTTGAACAGACATTTGATTAGACAAAGGGCATGGGGAAATTGGTTCTATTACATTGACTTGGCCAATATTTGAGAAGCTTTTATTCTATGTTAGGCATTGTGCAAGACTCTGCCTTAAAAAAAGAAGTGTTTTGAATCCTAGTTAAACCATTACATCATAGAAATTTTAAAATATTTCTCTAAGCTTTGCTTCTGATTTGTTTGTAATAATATCCCTTTTATAGGTTTGTCGTAAAGATCACTTGAAATCAAAGGAGGATAAATGGCATAAGATTCACAAAATGCTTTCACATTTCTTAACTCATCAGGATCAGGGTGGTATCTCATTCAGTCATTTATTAATTCAGTAAACCTTTGTTGTGGCCTACCTTGTACCTAGCACAGAGCAGAAGCTCAGTTGACATTTGCTAAATGAATGAATGAATACAAGAGTAATAACTATTATTATTTACCTGTAAGATTTCATTCCATACCTTGCAGTCCTAATGGGCTGATATGTTTTGACTCTGTGTCCCTAACCAAATCTTATCTTGTAGCTCTCATAATTCACACGTGTTGTGAGAGGGACCTGGTGGGAGATGATTGAATCATAGGGGTGTGTCTTTCCCGTGCTGTTCTCATGGTAGTGAATGGTCTCTGATGGTCTTAAAAATGGGAGTTTCTCTGCACAAGCTCTCTCCCTTTACCTGCTGCCATCCAGGTAAGACGTAACTTGCTCTTCCTTGCCTTCCACCATGATTGTGAGGCTTCCCCAGCCAGGTGGAACTGTAAGACCAATTAAACGTCTTTATTTTGTAAATTGCCCAGTCTCAGGTATGTCTTTATCAGCAGTGTGAAAATGGACTAATACATGGGGTTAGCCAGTTTCTCAATTATTTCCCTGTTGAGGGTTTTCCGGCTGGAATAGTGGCCAGTTTGAGATTTCTTTGCTGTTGTTGCAGTGCTGAGGTGAGTGAAATGATTGGGGACCGTGATGCCTTCCTGTGTTGTCAGGGTTCTTCAGAGAGATGGAACCAATAGGATATAGCTATATATATCTAGATATAGATACATAGACATATAGATGTGTATACACACACACACACACAGATGTAGATATATGAGAGGGGATTTATTAGGGAAATTGGCTCATGTGATTATGGAGGCTGAGGAGTCTCATGATGGTCTGTCTACAAGCTGAGGACCCTGAAACGCTGATAGCATGGCTCAATCCAAGTCCAAAGGCCTAAGAACCAAGGAAGCCAATGGTATAACTCTCAGTCTAAGGCCAAAGTCCCTGAGAACCCAGTAATGGGGCAGGGGCACTGATGTAAAAATAGAAAGGGGACATATGTTGGGGAAGGAAAAGAGAAGGTGAGAGTTTTGCTCGAGGGAGTGTGTGATTCAGGTAATCTTGAAGTTGGCTGTTGCCCTCAGTCTCTCAGAGATCTGGGTAAACATTAGCCCCAAGGTAGCTAAAACCATTCCTTTGGATTTTTGAGAGCCTGATATGGTTGTAGTTTTTGTCCCCACCCAAATCTCATCTTGAATTGTAATCCCCATGTGTCAAAGGAGAGACCGGGTGGAGGTAATTGAATCATGAGGGCAGTTTCTCCCATGCTGTTCTCATGATAGTGATTGCATTCTCATGAGATCTGATGGTTTTATAAGGAGCTTATCCTTCCTGCTGTCTTGTGAAGAATGTGCCGTGCTTCCCCTTTGCCTTCTGCCATGATTGTAAGTTTCCTGAGGTGTCTCCTGCAATGCTGAACTGTGAGTCAATTAAGCCTCTTTCCTTTATAAATTACACAGTCTTGGGCAGTTCTTTACAGCAGTGTGAAAATGGACTAACACAGAGCCCCACTCCTTGCTTCTGCAGGCTTCCCTCTGCTGTGCAGCATCTGTTCCCAAATACACAGACTCATCTTGGTGCCTGCAAATTCCCATTTTTACCACATGCCGCAGGTGGAGGTGCTGCCTTCTGGCCTATTCCGAGCATCCTAGAACATCACAGGTAGAACATCTCACAGTGCCATATACCAAGGCCCTGCCACTCCCTGGTTGCGTCCACCTCTGCCTCACTGCTCCATGCCCCTTCCAAAGCCCGCATTCTGACCAAGTTAACTTCCCTGCTGCTCCCACCTCTGCATGAGGGAGTTAGGCCTCTAATTGAAATGCCTCTCTTGTAGAAAACAGCCCCACAGTCTGCCTTCCCTGGCTCCCCTTGTGAATCTGGAAAATGTAATCATCTCCAGAACTGGGATTAGTCAAATCAAGAGGGAGATTTGGTGTCATTAAGTATAGCTCTATGCTAGTAATAGCAAATTCTGTCTTTCCTTTTTAATACCTGGAGCATGGTGGGCCCCAGGAAAGCCACCCTACTCCACCCCCAGGCTTCATTGAGCACTTCCTCTGGGACAGACTCCAGGGACAAAGAGAAGTTAGGACGGGACACACATGTCAAGTGAGTTAATGCTGCAGACCCCAGAGTACCATTTCCAGGGGTCCCTGCAAGCCTGAGAAGCTTGCCCCAGAATCTTCTGCCACCTCCTCCCCATGTGGTTGCCCCCTCTTTGCTGGGCAGATATGGCTAAAGAAATCTCCAGCTGGGGCCAGGAGGGCCTCATAGTCATCAAAGGCCTCAAGTTTAGACATTGATGTTATTGCCACCCTTTCATCCTTTCATGCAGTCCCTGAGCGCCTCTGACAAGATTGAAAGAAAAAATCATCATATGATATTAAACTGTGTCTCTTTATTAGATGACAGTTTGTGAAATTTAAGCATTTAAAATATGTTATAATTTTGAAACAATGATACAGCTTTTCTTCATTTTTCAACTTTCTGGGGGCAGCAAACAGAACAAAACAAAAAATAGACATGGATTAGTCCTCTCTTGTCTCTGAAAGACCCTGGTAAGTGGCAACCTCTGTGTGTTCAGAGTCTTAAGAGGAGCCTAAGAAGGTCTCAGGGCAAGTAATTTGCTTTAAGTTAATCTGCTCAGTGGTTGTGCCTACAGCAGCCACAAAAGCAAAGGCAGACCTAGTGTCTCTGAAATGAAGTTTGTAAGGGCTCATCGGTGTATCAAAAAGGCTGAAACGGCAGGCAAGTAGTGCTTTGATATTATTTTTGGCTATCACCATGGCAGCCCCTTTAGGGACTGCTGGAAATGAAAACCAAGCTGAGAGAATGTGGGGGATAAGTGGTCAGCTCCTGTTGCCTGGGTCTGGCTTGAGAGCAGAGACATGGCTGCCCTTTAACGGTCATTCCACTCAGGATGTCATGTTCTTGTAGTCTTGGCCAATGGTCCCCTTGTTGTTGTAATTTCTGCTTTAAGAGGCCACTCTGCAACCTTGTTTTTTTCTTCCCTTTCCAAGTTTTGCAAGCTGTACCAACCCACCATTGCAAAACCATTTATACACTTTGCCTTATATCTGCAAATAAAAAAAAAAAATGCCTGACAGGAAAAGTAGGATGGTAAATGATCTGGTCCTCTCAGTGTGACCAAAAGAGGAATTAATAAAACCCTAAAAGTTTGCATGTTGACAAAGCCAAAGGTGAAACAGATACCACCAAGCACGGGCAGCTCCGTGTTACCCCATTATTAATGCTCCTCCATCAGAGAAGTACATCTTACCAACAGTACGTCCCTTTTGGTGACACCAGGAGGAAAAATTGATTTTAAAAAATCATGTTCAAGTTTCTCTAAATGGGAGAGTGTAAAAGTGTCTACTGAAATTGCCCTTTCTTCCAATATGTGCTGGCCACTGCTCAAATGGACATGTGCCTTCCTGTTGGAGTTGGCAGTGATGATGCCTCTGCCCCACTCTGCTAGGGGTTCCCTTGGGGCAGTGGCTGCATCTATTTCTTTACATCCCCAGTGCCTAGCACAGTTCCTGGAGTTTGGTAAGCACTCACTTCCATGTTTGTGGATTGGATGAGTGACTAAATAGAAGGAAGACATAAATGCATGCTGTTTAGGGCAAAAGAAAGCATGGCCTGCTCCTCATTCCTCCAAAGCTGACCAGCTGTCTCCTGATTTTTCCAATGAGGTCATTTAAGTCAAACATTCAGCAGATGCTACTTGATCAAGTTTTTTGTGCTTGTTGAACAGATGTAGAGCTGTAGTCAATGGCATCAGTCAGCCTTCCTGGGAGATAATGCAGAACAATGAACGTGTGTGGTTCCTTTGAAGTGTATAACCAATGGCTTCATTAGTCATAGGCATTTGAAGCCTTACCCGGAACAGTCTCGGAAGTTAATTTGTTTCTGCAGAACATTTGAGAGTTTACTACATGTCAAGTACTCGTCTAAGCATTCTGGCCACAAATGCTTATTTCATCCTTGTGTTTGTATGAGGTAGAGTCTAATGTTATTCTCAGTTGTACCAATGAGGCTAAGGGATTTGTCCCAGCTGACAGGTTTTGTAAATGGCACAGCTGGGATTTGAACCAACTTACGGTGTCTCAAAACCTCAGGCTGTGCTGGAAAGAGCTATTATGCCACGAAATATACTAGGACATTCCCATCAAAGATGGCGAGTGAGTGGAATAGAGAGAGGCTTGTCAGTGTGTGGTCCTGGGGGTTCTGAGGTTCTGGGAAGGCTTTGTTCATTCATTGAACTTAGTAAGTAAAGTGCAAATAATGGTGAGCCTTCTGGGATAGACCACTTTGGTTGAAAAAGGGGAACTCTAGGGTGAAGCAGAAGAAGTGAAAGTTTAAGAGGACTCATCAAATGAAAAAAATCAGATCCCAGAAAGAACACTATATAATATAAGGTCTTGAAGGGATGCCTGAGATCATCTAGTTCAGTGGTTCCTAGACATTTTGATTTCATAGGCCATAGAAATATTTGGGCTGAGTGAGTTGACAGCTTTTTGTTTGGTAGGTAAGTACATTTTTACAAAGCAACCATTGACTAGTACCAGCATTTCTTAAATAGAAATATACTTTAACAATAAAAAAATAGAAAGGGATAGAGATTCAGAATAAAACAGTCTCTATTTAGAAAAGACAAGTTGGAAACTTTACATTGGTATTTAAAAAGAAATGATATTCAGTATTTCCTCAGTTCTAAGGTGCTCTGTTATAAAGCATATCGTCAATTCAAATGACAGTCACCTTAAATCTATGTAGTTGAAGATGCATCCTGATTTTAGAAACATTAAAGTATGTTTTGGATTTTCTGTATTTGAAAAAAATGGTAAATTTTCTTAATTATTGGAAATTATATGACATGTATTTGTTTTCTTGATGTAGGTGTGCTGTGTGTTGGGGGAGGGGCAGGTGGGAGGTGTTCTATGTTCATTGATGTCCTGGGGAAGTAGATCTTGAATGCCAACTTATTTAGGTACCTTGTTGAAATCCAGTTTCACATAGGGATAGTTTGGAATGTTCTGAGTGATGTGCAGCAGCCACAAGCCTCCCTCCAGTGTGTCTGTCCTTCCCTTGCAGGTGTGTAGAGGGGGTCTCTGTGCAGGACTTCTGGACTGTGGGAAGGTCTACGGAGGTGGGGACTGTCTTGCTCACAATCCTGCTGGCCAGCATGGCATAGTCAGAAATTGATCTTAGATACCATTGACCAGGGTCTTATTTTATTTTAATTGACTAATTAATGTCTTAATATCCAGAATGGGCAATGGGAGCCACAAATTCAATCGAATCCCCTTTTATCAATACAGAAGCCGAGGCCAGAGAGCCTCACTGAGGCCTATGTTGACCCAGAGCATGCTTGGTTGGTCATCCTGGTTCTTTAACCATCTCGCGCAGTCACTGTACTGAAAACGTTTGTATTTCAGGTCCAGGAGGCAACTTTCTGTGGGTGCAGCTTTTTGTTTCCCAGGTGATGGGCACCGCTGTGCTTTGCACCCAAACACATCCATAACTGAAGACAGACCCAAATATTCCTGGGAACCAGGCAGGCAGAGGACAGGAGGTGACCAGGTCACACATGTCTGTCGAAGCCACCACCTTCTCCTGAGCTCTGGCCTATTGCTGCCAAGAGGAAAAGGGGGGCCCTGTATTCTCAGACCTTCTGATCATTTAAGAGAAATAGGAAGTCCAGATTTGAAATGAAATTTCTCACTTTTTAGATTTCGGCAATTCAAAAAATAAAAAATAAAAAAACACACAGAGAAAACAAAAGCATTGTGCAAACCAAACAAAACATGTCTGATTTGATGCCTGATTTGACATCTGCTTCCATTGTGCAACCTCTGTTCTACAGAATCATTGAGAGTTGTGGTCTTGACCTTCTGAGGTTTGGCTTGTAGAAGGCTTTGGAGGAGTAAATTGTGTTTAGCCATACGGCAGAAGGTTGTCATGCCATTATTTAAGAACAGTTTACAATGATGACAAAATAGGTAAGGCATAATTAGTGGATAAAGCAGCATACAGCATTTTTGATATACCACAGTCCCCATCCATACAAAACTGTGCCTCAGAGACCTATGACAAATGGTCAAAAGCTGCTATGTAACTCTTCTCCTCCTTCTTCATACTCTAAACTTTCCAAGTTGCCCATAATAAATATGTGTTCCTTTTTAAACCAGAAACAAAATAAACAAAAATGTTAATTTATAGTTATGCCACTCTCAGGAACATATCCTAAGATGATTGAATAAATATACAAAGGATTTTATGCACAAAGTTACTCTGGTGATTTTATTTATAATAGTGAAAAATTGGTAGCATGTCCAATAATTGGGCAATATTTGAGTAATATATGGAATCCTTATGCAATGGAGTATTTTGCAATCATTGTTTCTGATATTATTAAGTATCAATTAGAGTACTGATTATAATATAAAGTGAAAAAATAGGACATAAAATTGCATAAGCATTTGGCTTAAAATCGAGCTTAAAGACACCTCATGCGCAGGAAAAAGGCTAAAGAAAAATGCCAAAATGTTTGATAATAAGGTTTGTGACTGGCTGTTAGGTTCATGGGTAAATTTTATTTTTGGATTTTTACTTTTTTTGGACTTTTCCAGATTTTCTTTATTAAGTGTAATTCTTCAAAAAAAAAAAAAGAAAAAGAGGGGGACTGCCATTAATTCACCTTAGATATGCACTAATATATTAAATACACAAAAAAGTTATCTTTCCAATACAGTTATAGATATTTTTTCTAATGTGATTATATACTTTATTCTCTAGAAATATACTTCAAATTATTACCTTTATGCCTTGGCTGACAGGAAGCTCAGAGTTTAATTTATTGTTTGATCAAAGTAATTATATTTGCCATGGGTTTTTATTAATTTATGTTTCTTCTCTCTTCTGATTTTAAAAGTTATATGTAATGATCTAAATATTATTTTTTCTATTTATATGATGGTACTATTTTATTATAAACTACTTCAAATTCTCTTGCAAAGTAGGTTGAGTGTCAATTTTAATAAAGAATAAGTCTACAATCTTTTTCCTATGATTTTACAGCAGTGAGGGAAGTGTTAAACTTTCAAATCTCTATATAAATACATATGTATAAATATATGTGTATCTGTCTATATACATCTGTGTACATATACATATGTAAGAATTCTCGAACGCCTATGAATCTTCAATAATCCAAATGTGTTGACTACTTTTCTATTACTTTAAAAAATTGTTTTAATAGCTTGGGTCCTTATAAATCATAGACAGTATTAATGAGGGACTTCAACTCTTCAGTATTTAAAATAAGCTTTACAGAAATAGTCTGTAAAATCTGTGGATAAAGATTCAAACTAAAATTTTTCTTTGTTTTTCACTGAAATTATATCAACTCAGTGTGGTAACACTTCCGTCTCATGCTGAGTAGATTGTTTACTTTGAATTCAGAAATGTTTTTTATGCATAAAAACCCAGAAAATAAATTGTTAATTTATAATTACAGTATATTTGGAAATTTAAACTCTCAAAGCCTACTGTTTAGGGAGGGAAAAAATGGAAAGGTCTTGTTGCAGCGAAGAGATTGGGCATGTGGGTGTTTGCTCTGCCTCTGGTCATCGTGGGAGCACCTGGTGATATCACAGAATGGATTCCTCCTTGGTGGCTCCTACTGAAGCTGCTTCGATTATCAGTCTAAATTGAAATCATTTTTATTTTAAATGCTGCAGCAGTTTTGTCCCTTAATCTAATGGAGCTCCCCATTTTTGAGATTTATTATTCTGCCTTCCTACTGTTTTCTTACTCCTCAGCATTGCCAATGGCGTTGGAGCTATTATTAATACATTAGGCCAATGGATCCCATTCATTAGCACGAGGGCCCGGGGCTGGAGGAGAGCATGATGCTGGCCATGTGCATCGGCCATTGGCTAAGAGGCTGCATCAGCTGCCGCTCTTCTTTCTACAGAGCAACTGTTATTGGACTGAACAACGGCCTCCTTATCCCAGGACTCTCTTTAGGGGGAAGAGCACTGGACATAGATTTGGATAGGTTCAATTTGAGCCCTGGCTTGGCACATAATTACTCTGAGACCTTATGAAAGACTAGAAACCTCTCAGCCCCAGTTTCCTTATTAGTAAAAGCAGAATAATATTTGATCTTGTAACATCATTGGACCATTGTGAAAATTCAGCCAAAATATATACTAATTGTAAAGTGCTGTAGAATGATAGTAGGCATTTATTTGTCCTCCCAGACCCACCCTCCTTGCTTTAGGGATAGCATCACCCTTCTTCTGGGGGAGTCGCCTTGCCTTGTTCCTCATTCTCACCTGGGCTCAATGGGACCTGACATCTTGGAAGACAATCTTGCCCTTCTGGGCACAGTAATTGGTCTAAATTAAATTTTACCTGTATCTGTTTTTACAGCTTTGCTATGTAAAAAACCACCCCATAACTTAGTGACTTAAAACAGTAATGACATTATTTTCATGGTTCTTTGGTCACTGGGTGGTTCTTGTGATGCTTTCAGATGTGTTCCCTTATGTTGCTGCAGTCAGCTGATGGCTTGAGTGGGGCTGGAGCATATGGGATGGCCTCACTGACGTATTTAGGGCCTTGGTGTTGGTCTAGGCCTCTCTTTCCATGTAAATTCACCCTGGGCTCCTGTCACACAGTGGATGCACACCATGATGGCAAAAATGGAAGTGCGAGGCCTCTTAGGCTGAGGGTTAGATGTCGAAAAACATGACTTCTATTATATTTTGGTTAAAATAAAACACAAGGTCAGCTCAGATTTAAGACAAAGAGGAATATACTGCACCTCTTGATGGAGGGAGCAGCAAAATCACATTTCAAAAGGTCACATGTATGGAGACAGAAGGAATTACTGCATTAATATTTGCAAATAATCTGCAAATATTACTAATGCTGGAACGCTTTTGGGCCAAGATCCGTTAGCAGCCCTTGTTCCAGCCTTGTGGAAGGAGTTGGTGTGCAGTACAAGAGAATGCAACTGACTTCTGGAGAGAATCAAGGACAAGTGCTAGAGAGCTCTGAATCAGCCTTTAAAGCAGCTCTGTGCCTGCTCTTATTGCAGTTTGAATTATGCCAGCAAGTTATCCTGCCCCTTCTCCCATAATCTAGCTTAAGTGTGATTTCTGTCACGTGCTCTCCAGGAGCAAGCTCAATATATGCTTATTACTTTTCCCTTTGTTTGCCTTTCCTGGAGAATGGATGAAAGGATTGGGAGTAGAGATCTATGAGTTTTAAATTAATTATGTAGACTGGCACAGCAGCCCTGTCTTTCTCCATCTCATCCTCAGCCAGCTCAAAACTGAATAGGCTGGCAACTTCCTTGCTACCATTATTCACTCTTATTCTGAGGGTAAAAATGACTATGAGCTCCCAGTGTGCAGCATCTTGTGAAAGATCAGAACTTGAATGATAGCATCAGAAGAACATGAGAGTATGCACGTGCAAGTTCCTTCATTTCTTCTCAAGAACGTTTTTAAAGTTTGCACCTGGAGAAGCTCCTGAAACATCTGTCAGCAGTTTGGTAGAATCTACAGTCTTGTTACCATTTTAGATTAATTTGTTATGGCAATGAATACATCAGACTTGATCTCCAAGGGTTCTCTGTAAATCATTTCTAAACCCTCATTCTCTGGGGTCATCTTTTTGGGATAAATGGGATCAAGAGAGGTTGGTAGTCTTTTGAGACTGTAGACTTTAAAACCTTGAAATTCAGTGCTTCAGAAATAAAAAGCAAACTCTAAAATATTTAATAATCAAAAGAGGAGATGATAATCATTTTCTGCAGTTAGCCACTCAGGCTGTCACCCATGCCTTTTATCTTCAGATTTCTCTAGTTTTATGTAGAATGTCATTATGCAATTATCTTAGAAAACTTCTTCCCAAGAATTTGACTTTTTCAGTATTCTGTCATTTAATTCTCTAACTGCATTACCTTCCCAAAGCATTTCTTTAGTCCAACTCACAAACAATAAATATTTCTAAGGATAGGTCCTACACCCACCCTTGGAATGTGCTCCTTTTGTTGGAAGAAAATAGAGAATTTGGCCTGGTTTAGGGTCACCCTTTGGTGATCATCTCCAGTGTAGTGGAGATGACGCTGATGCTGATGCTGCCTCTTGGGTTGCCCTTTGGGAAGCCCTTTTCTGGGGCCCTTCTCTCAGGAAGACAGAGGAAAATGGTCATGTAGGATGTTTTATATTCCCGTTTATGAGCCTTTTCTTGTGAACACTTTTTTTCTATGCTACTTCCTGCTGGATTAGAAGACACAAAATGTGGTTGGGGAAGAAATGTAGTGGTTAAGAGTTTAATCTCTGGAATCAGACAGACTCAAGTTTGAGTTCTAATCTTGTCTTTTACTGTTCTTGTAACAAGAAGCAAGTTGCTTAGCTTCTCGGATCCCATTTCTTCATCTGTAAAGTGGGGATAACAATAACCTCCTAGGCTTGTTGTGAGAATTAAATGATGAAATATAAGTAAAGTATCCAGCACTGTGCCTGGAACATAGTAAGTGTTCAATAAATGTTATCTGTTATTACAGTATTTATGTAACTTAGCTAACTGCAATTTAATTTATCTATGGGGGTTGGAATACTGTTGTCCTAGTCAATGTGGGCTGCTATAACAAAGTACCATAGACTGGGCAGCTTAACAACAGCAGAACTTTATTTCTTACAGCTCTGGAGACTGGAAGTTGAATCAGGATAGCAGCATACTCAGGTCCTGGTGAGGGCCCTCTTCTGGGATCCAAGAATGAGGACTCCTTGGATCCTCCCATGGTGGAAAGCAGGTAAGAGAGCTCTCTGGGGTCCTTTTTGTAAGCACGATCTAATTACCTTCCAAAGGCCCCTATCCCAATACCATCACATTGAGGGTTTGGATGTCAACATTTGAATTTCTGGGCATGTAAACGCTTCATGCATTGCAGCGGTCATGGGGCAGAAGAATCACCTTGGATTTTAAGTGTAATTCCTAAATCTTAAGGCAGTCTCTCCTTTCCCAGAGTGGGTTGCAATGTGACTCTCAGAAGCAATGTATTTGCAGGATCTTCACATTGAGAAACTGAAGACAATTGCCCTAATGTTGAGATTTAAACCTGGAGAAAAGTGTTTCTAAATCTCTTCAAGAGGAAATGGCACTTGAGAAAGGCCCAGCCATTTTTTACTTTAAATCAAAATAGACAGGGATATTTATGGGTTCCTGATTAGGTATCTGGAGTCACCTGAATTGGTCTTCATGCTGGATAAACATCTGTATTCTTAAGATGACTATTTAAGAACAAATAAAACTTCTCTGTCTTCTGAGGTAAGGGTAAAAGGTTTTTATGGGAAGTATAGCAGTGCTTCTGGAGTTTGCAGCTAACTTTGAGAATGTCTCTGGAAAAGAAATATCATGTTCTGTGGAGCTCAATTGGACCCAACATTATCACATGCCCAAGAGCTGGGCTAGCATATTATCGCAGTTTTCCTGAGATAATGGGACCAACATCATTGTCCCAACATCATTATTAATAGTACCTCATTTTACTCAAAAGTGTCCTGGTTTAGGTGACAAATTATATGGTCACCCTGTCTAAAACCTCATGTTCTATCTTTATTTAAAAATTTTAAAATATTTAGGGCCGGGCATGGTGGCTCACACCTATAATCCCAGCACTTTGGGATGGTGGGCAGATCACTTGAGGCCAGAAGTTTGAGACCAGCCTGGCCAACATAGTGAAACCAGATTTCTACTAAAAATACAAAACATTAACTGCATGTCAGGGTGCTCATATATGTAATCCCAGCTAGTCAGGAGGCTGAAGCAAGAGAATCTCTTGAACCTGGGAGGTGTAGGTTGCAGTGAGCTGAGATCGTGCCACTGCACTCCAGCCTGGGTGACAGAGCGAGACTTTGTCTCAAAAAAATAAAATATTTTATTTGTAATAGACAATTTATTACAAATAAAATATTTATTTGTAATAGACCATTTATTACAAATAAAATATTTATTTGTAATAGAGTATTATCGCAGTAACATTCTCAGCTCTTAGTGGTAGAAAAATATTCCTCTATCTCAATGAAGTGGAGTTTGTCCTTTTATGAGACACTGCAGACAATGAGAAATACATAAGACATTGGGTTTCCCTTTTTGCTTTGGCTGCCAGGAAGCTCAAGGCTAATTTGGAGCTCAATTACAGGATCATCTATAGTTTCAGATTTCTAAAGCAAGTTATTTCCTTACCTGTCATTGTTACTTGGTTTCTGTTTCAATTTTTATTGTGAGATCATTTTCCTGGGATGATTTCAAATTATTTTTAAAAATAAGTAGAATATTAAAATGGAAAAGGTTGTGAATATTTTAGTTTTAGCATCTAAAGCCAACGAACTGACCAAACACAAGGTATTTCTTGTGGATATCTAGAGATGCCTCTTCTACATGGTCACTCTTGATAATGATGCGATGGTTAATTCTGGTGCCGTGGTAGGCTACATCATTTGGCCTCCCTCTATTCATGACCGATAACTTTGTAGTGCCCAACACTGGGTGTGGGACAATTGTCTTGGCTCAGTCATTCTTAGACTGGTTGATTTTTTTTCTCTGGGTATGGACAAAACTGAATAGTAAAAGCTACAACCTTGGAAATCTTGACCATGTTTAGCTGTGAGGCAGGGATTTCTCCTCTTTCAGAGAACCACAACAGCCTGTCTGGAATGTCTACCACAGCAAAAGATCTTAGCAGCATTGAGCAAGTACTGGACTGCATAGGTCTAGTTTCCATCAAGGACTTCTTGTGGCAACAAGCCATGAAAAATAGTGGCCCAAATAGATTTCAGTGGTCGACATTTAGACAAAGACTCTAGGAAGATCATCTTAGTGTATGAAGAAGAGCTGGTACCATTCCTACTGAAACTATTTCAAAAAATTCAGAAAAAGGGAATCCTCCCTAATTCATTCTATGAGGCCAGCATCATCCTAATAGCAAAACCTGGCAGAGATGCAGCAAAAAAGAAAACTACAGGCCAATATCCTTGATGAACATAGATGCAAAAATCCTAACAAAATACTAGCAAAATGAACCTAGCAGCACATCAAAAAGCGAATCCACCATGATCAAGTAAGCTATATGCCTGGGATTCAAGGTTGGTTCAACGTATGCAAATTGATAAATGTGATTCACCACATAAATAGAACTTAAGGACCACATGATCATCTCAATAGATGCAGAAAAGGCTTTTGATAAAGTTCAGCACCCCTTCATGTTAAAACCTGCAACAAGCTAGGCACTGAAGGAACATACCTCAAAGTAATTAAGAACCATCTGTCAAAAATCCACAGCTGACATCATATTGATTGGGCAAAAGCTAGAGAACCCCTTGAGAACCAGAACAAGACAAAGATGCCCTCTCTTACCACTCTTATTTAACATACTACTGGCAGTCCCAGCCAGAGCAATCAGGCAAGAGAAAGAAAGGAAAGACATCCAAATAGGAAGAGAAGAAGTCAAGCTATCTGCTTGCAGATGATATGATTCTATACATAGGAAACCCTGTAGTACCTGCCGAAAAGCTCCTAGATCTGATAAACAACTTTAGCAAAGTTTCAGGAACAAAATCAATGTACAAAAATCAGTAGCATTTCTATACACCAACAACATCCAGGTTGAGAGACAAATGAAGAATGTAATCCCATTCACAACAGCCACAAATTGAATAAAATGCCTAGGAATGCAGCTAACCAAGGAGATGAAAGATTTCTACAATGAGAATTACAAAATGCTGCTCAAAAAAATCAGAGATGACAAAAACAAATGGTAAAAAATTTCATGCTCGTGGATAGAAGAATCAATATTAGTTAAAATGGCCATACTGCCCAAAGCAATTTATAGATTAAATGCTATTCCTATCAAACTACCAATGACATTCTTCACAGAATTAGAAAAAAAAAAGATTCTGAAATTCATACGAAACCAGAAAAAAGAGCTCAGATAGCCAAGGTAATCCTAAACAAAAAGAACAAAGCTGGAGGCATTACATTACTAGACTTCAAACTATACTGCAGGGCTACAGTAACCAACACAGCATGGCACTTATACAAAAACAGGCACATAGACCAATGGATCAGAATAGAGAGCCCAGAAATAATGCTGCACACTTACAACCATCTGATTTTCAACACAATTGACAAAAATAAGCAATGGGGAGAGGACTCCTTATTCAATAAATGGTGCTGGGATAACTAGTTAACTATGTATGCAGAAAATTTAAACTGGACCACTTCCTTACACTATATACAAAAATCAAGTCAAGATGAATTAAAGACTTAAATGTAAAACCTAGAACTATAAAAACCCTGGAAGATAACTTAGAAAATACCATTCTGAGCACAGGGCTATGCAAAGATTTTGTGATGAAGACTTCAAAAGCAATTGCAATAAAAACAAAAACTGACAAATGGGAGTTAAACTAAGGAGCTTCTACACAGCAAAATAAACTACCTACAGAGTAAACAGACAACTTACAGAATGGGAGAAAATGTTTGCAAACTATGCATCTGACAAAGGTCTAGTATCCAGAATTAATAAGAAACCTAAACAAATTTACAAGGAAAAACAACCAACTCCATTAGAAAGTGGGCAGAGGACATGAACAGATAATTTTCAAAAGAAAACATATGCATGGCCAACAAGCATATGAAAAAATGCTCAATATCACTAATTATTATATAAATGCAAATCAAAACCACAATGAGTTACCATCTCACACCTGTCAGGATGGCCGTTTTTTTTATTTTTTTTCTTTCATCTTTTTGTTTTTTAACTTTTACTTTAGATTCAGGGGTACACATGCAGGGTTGTTATATAGGTAAATGCATGTCATGGGGGTTTGTTGTACAGATTATTTCATCACCCAGGTACTAAACCTAGTACCCAATAGTTATTTTTTCTGCTCCTCTCCCTCCTCCCCACCTTCATTGTCAAGTAGGCCCCAGTGTCTGTTGTTCCCTTCTTTGTGTTCTTGAGTTCTCATCATTTAGCTCCCATTTGTAAGTGAGAACATGCAGTATTTGGTTTTCTGTTCTTGTGTTAATTTCCTAAGGATAATGGCCTCCAGCTCTATCCGTGTTCCTGCAAAAGACATGATCTTATTGTTTTTCATGGCTGCATAGTTTTCTATGATGTGTATGTACCACATTTTCTTTATCCCAAGTGTCATTGATGAGCATATAAGTTAATTCTATGCCTTTGCTATGGTGAATAGTGCTGCAATGAACATTTGAGTGCATGTGTCTTTATAGCAGAGCAATTTGTATTCCTCTGTAAAATTACAGCATCGTAATTTTTGGACTTTAACAATAGCTATCGTTTTAATAGCCATTCTATTGTTAAAAAGTCAAAAAATGACAGATGCTGGCAAGGTTGTGAAGAGAAGGAACTTCTTACACACTACTGCTGGTGGGAGTGTAAATTCATTCAGCCATTGTGGAAAGCAGTTTGGTGATTTCTTAAAGAACTTAGAACTACCATTGACCAAACAATCCCATTATTGGGTATATACCCAGAGGAGTATAAATCATCCTGCCATAAAGACATGTCACTGCAGCACTATTCACAATAGCAAAGACATGGAATCAATCTAAATATCATCAGAAATAGACTGGATAAAGAAAATGTTTTGTAGTACATATACACCATGGAATACTATACAGCCATAAAAAGAATGAGATCATGTCCTTTGCGGCAACATGGATGGATCTGGAGGCCATTATCCTTAGCAAACTAACACAGGAACAGAAAACTAAATATTGCATGTTCTCACTTATGAGTGGAAGCTAAACTCTGAGTATGCATGGACACTAAGAGGGGTACAATAGACACCAGGGCCTACGTGAGGGTGGACAGTGGAAGGAGACTGAGGATTGAAAACCTACCTATCAGGTACTATGCTTATTACCTGAGTGATGAAATAATCTTTACACCAAACCCCCATGAGATGCAATTTACCTATATAACAAACCTGCACATGTATCCCTGAGCCTAAAACAAAGGTTAAAAACAAACAATTTGAGAACTACAAAAAAAAAAAAAAAAAAAGGAAGATCATCTTTGGGTTGTGTGAATGCCAAAGGGGCACATCTTAATTGAAGAAGACATGCACATCTTATCTCCTGTTAATAAGACATGTAGGGGGTCAAATTATTAATTGTAAAAATGAGAGCCACGTGATACCTGCCTGCTTGTGAAGCAGTTCAGTCGTCACTTTCAATGTGCAGGAGACGGAGAAGGACATGGAGGGAATGTGCCTCTCCATTTATGATACGGATTGGAGACTAGATGGGGTCCATAAGGAGGTGCTTTAGGAAAGGGGTGACCTCTGACTTCCTATGTAGGGTCCTAAGTTGAGAATGAATGTAATCTAGACCCAGGTGACATTTATGAAGGTGCCCAGCCTGCTGTGCTGACTTGCACAATGAGTTGCAGTGGCTGGAGCTGCCTAATGAGGCATGAGATGGAGTGTAATGCAAAGGCGGAGACAGTAACAAATTAGTCACGCAGATGGCTTTGAAAGGTGACCTGCAGCCACACAAACTCACAGCCTGAATTTCTGGCCCGAAGTGTTGTGCTGCAAAGCAGTTGCCTTCCATGTATTCTTTAAAAAAGAAAAAAGAAACAGTTATCCCCTAGAGGGCATTTCAGATTCTTGCTTCTTGTTTCACTTGCCAGAAAATAGAGATACAGAAGAAAAATTCCCTGGGAGGAAAATATAATTTGAGGGGTGATCGTCATTTATTTGCTTCATTTAAGATTCAGCAAAACCAGGACTAATCCAGCTCTTCCCTGTCCTCCAGCAAATTTGCTTTCCTTCTATTGCTGCATCAATTTCCCCTTGTTTTCCTTCTGCAGTAGAGAAAGCACTAAGTTTGCTTTCGTTTTTTTGCTGTCTTACGCTTTGCGCTGACATCAATCATGCGCTCGACAGAACATTTATTTTACCAGTTTTCTCTGAGCTGAGCATCTTCTTTTTCTTTTCTTTTTTTAGTTTAATGGCATCTCAAAGCCATTGTGAATTTATCTACTCCGACATAAACTGAACACTGGAAAAGCTGCTCTTTGGCAATCTGTTAAGAGCAGCAGTTATCTATGTCCAATATCTAGTTTCTTAAAGAAACATTTCTCTATAATTTCAACGTCTGACGTCAATTCCAGGCCCCTTGGAAAGCATCCCTAGCTATAATAATCATTAATGGAGAAAAATTGGCATGCAAATACAATACTGAAGCACCAATGAAACCAAATGTATCTCTAGGGTTACACTTACTGATCAACAACAGTAACAGCAAACATAGCTTTTGTGCAATATCAGTTTTCCTTGAGCAAGGAAGGATACTGTGTATGTAGTAGTTAATTTCACTGTTGCTCTACTATTTACTAAATGAGTGACCTTGGACAAATTCCTTAGCCTTTCTTGTGCCTCAAGTATAATGGGGAGCCACTAATGATGGTTCACATTTATTGGGCTCTTTACCAAGTGTCAGGCTATGTTTCAAGCTCTTTATCTTTAACTTACTAATTCTCCCAACAACACCTGAATTACGTGTAATTGCATCCATCCCCATTTTACCGAAGGAAAAACTAAGGGACAAAAAACGCTAACCAACTTGCCCAGTGTCACAGAACTGGAAAGTGGTAGAACCAGGGTCTCAGGCCAGGAGGTCTGACTCTGGGGTTGTGCTCTTTACCTCTACACTGGACTGCTTTGATGATCATTGTAATAATATATCCTCATTGGATTGTTGAGAGGAGTTAGAGACTGGTTCACTAAAGTACATAGCACTATGTCCAGCATGTGGCACAATCTCATTTAAATGTTCACCAGTGTTGTTAAGGCTAAATCACTCAAACTCTTAAAGAATGACCAGTTGCCCAAATTTAAACTTGAACTTTTGAACTTGAGGTTAGTTCAAATGGCTCTGATTATTCCAGTCATTTCTATTACTATCCTTTAGAAAAATAATTTTGGAACAAAACCAGAATTACCTAATGTAATCCCAACATGATGGCAACTGGTATGAACAAGAGTAGGATGACTATCAAGGTTAGTTCATGAGCAATGGTCAGCTTCTGGACCACTTTGTGACTTTCAGGAAGTGGACTTCTACTTCTCTTCCCAATATTTGAACCCATGCCCACCCCTCCTTTGCCCTGTTTGTCTTGATAGCCCTTTCTACTCTATTCACGGTGTCTACTTCACATTGATGGAGTGCTGGAAATTATACTTTATTTCATTCTGTCCTCTGGTGCTGTTTTTGCAAGGAAGCACTGTAGCCCCAGCAGAGAGGTAATTTAATTTGTTTTTATTAACAAAGTCAAGTCATATGCAAACGAATTTGTTCAAGAGCTGTTTAATTAGAAAAGGGTTTTTTCCTTCCATTAGGTGATTCCCTGATGGAGGAAGATCTCACTCAAAAATGTACCATACCTCTATTAAATGTCCCAAATGTTAGATTTAGGAGTGTTTCCATTTTGGATGAAAATTGCAATTTGGGTTTGGCGTAATTCCACACAAGTGAGTCTGTCTAAATGAGATAGACGATTAGAGCTGAAGGGACTTTTGAGGTCAGTTATCCTAACTTCCTTAATATGGCAGATGTGGAAACTGAGGAACATGTCTTCTGAGAAGATTCCTCACCAATGTTTGTCTCTGGCATCGTTAGTCTTAAGGAATTGACGTAAAGGTTTATTAATTTGATGCAATTTGCCGTCTTCATTTTCTCTCTCTCTCTCCCCGTTTCTCTCTCTGTCTCTCTTTCTGTGTGTGTATGTGTGTGTGTGTGTGTGTGTTTGCAGGTATTTCAGGCTACTGGTACTTGATGAATAGGATGAATTTATTATTGACTTAACATGTCTTAAAAGTGTTGTTATTATAGAAACTCTATGTAGGCAACAATGATTGCCTTATGTGCCTAGCACTCCTGGGCTCCATTTCTCCTGACTACTGGTCCTCTCATCCCCCAGACACCCACTATTCTCCCATTTTATCTGCATAATTCCCACAGGAGCTGTCATTTTCTTAGCTGGTTGCATCCTTCCATGCACAGCTTATTGATCTAGTGGTGGACACATAACCCAAGTGGGTCCAATAAATTATTTCCTTGGGACTTTTAATGTTAAGACTGGAAAGAGCAACAAAATAGGGTCTCTTGTAGTTAGAACTATGTGTAAAACATTTGGATGCCATTGGCTTCATGTATTCCATCAGGTGCAGAAAGTTGATCTGAAGGAAAGAGAAGAAGCCGAGACGTAACAGAGAGAAGCAAAAAGCAGAGATGGTCATGAGGATGTAGGATTGCAACTCCGGACTGTCTTAGGTCCTAGCGGCATTCCTGTTCTTCTGTCACGTAGCTCACTGCCTGTGGATTCCTTGAGGCAACCAGTCCTCTCTTTTTGGCTTGATTTAATTTAACAACACTGTGAACAAAAGAATACTAAAATTCCCAGAGAAGCAAGGGCGAGTGTCATTTTATCCAGTGTGCACCAGCTAGGCCAGATGCTGGAGGAGAAGTATTGAGGGGACAGGAAAAACATTCCCAGAAGAAATAGCCTTTGAATGATGTAGAACAGGCATTTATCCAGCTCAGCACAGAAGAGATCCTAATGCTTACCCAGGAAGGAGGATTAGAACCCCACCCCACTAGTACAGGGCAGAGGGCATTCAAAGGCATCTCCAGAGGAAAGTGATGTCTCTGGATGTGCAGGCACAGTTCCTTACAACAAATCCTTATTTCTCATAAAATTCCAAAGAAAATTCTTTGTGTATTGCTCAGGAATGTTGTCCATAGTGGATGGGCCCCACATTGTTACTGTCACTCTCTGAATTTCCACATTAGGCCAACCACATAAGCATACATTTATACCAAAATATTGTGTCTGAACAAGGCTAGTGGATGTTTGGAAAAGTGCTACTATGTAAAGATTGATTTTAAGTTTAATTCCCAAACCCAACTTGCTCATTTCTAGATCCTCAGTACCTACATAACCAGTATAGGTCACAAGTCTTGGTAAGATTCTGAGAACCATAGAATTTAAGATTATAATTTTTTTTTCCTAAAGCAAATTCAGTCCAACTCTTCTACTGAATTTCCCTCTGTACCAAAGCTGGTAGAGTGGAGATTTATTCATTCGTCCAGTTTCTACCCCTTTCCTGAGGATATGTAGGAATCTAGGAGACTTGGTGCTTTTGGAGGAGGGTGGATCCCCTAATCTTGATCCATCAGGCTCACTCTTGATCTCCTTATTGTCCCAGCTTGCCTAACTCTCTGAGGCACCACAACTTGTAATTTCTAGGCCAGGTCAAGTGTTCAGGAAGCCTTGTAAAGCTGAGAACCTAGGATCCTGGAACCAACCTCCTTAGATAGACTACAGGACCCTTCCCCCTCTGAAGTCTTACCAGCTCCACCAGGAAGCAGCAGGAGGGATTCTGCTGCTCCTGGGATCCATGTTCTCTTCCCACTTTCCAATCTGGGGAAAGCATTTCTCTCTCCCTTTCTGTTGGTCTCCTTCCTCACCTCTCTGTCCATGCACTCACTTCTCTTCAATGGATTTAGGCTTTTACAAAAGATACGAACAACTGACTTTACGTATCTTACACCTTTTCCCCAGGAAATACATTTTCCAGAAATATTGGAAGAGGACTTAATGACTGACTTGAAATGTAAAATGAGGCAGGATAGGAAATATAGGAAGAGCAAACAGTAACTCATATCTTAAATAATCTATCCAATGATACGTGTTTATCAAATAATTGAAGGTATGAGAGAGAGCACTTCAGCCCTAAATGAAAAACTATTGAGTGTTGAGATTTTTTTCTGGCATGCTGTTAAGTCACTTGTGGATCAGCTTGATGTTTACAAGGTTGGCTTTTAAGCTTTCTTAAGATATGTCCTGAGGGGTCTTTTGGGTTAATGTAGCCCCACTACTAAGGTGTGATAAAGAGTGTCTAATCTATAACATAATAGTTACAGACTCAATGATTTCTCTCTAAATTTGAGAATAAGAGAAGTGTCAACTCTTACCATATCTATTCAGTATTTTACTGGAGCTCTTGACCAGCACAATAAGTCAAGAAAAATAAATAAGGTCATATCTATTGGAAAGGGAGAAGTAAAACTGCTTTTATCCCCACAGTTGTCTGTGTAGAAAATGCGAAGGTATTTACAAACAATAAATAAAACAGAAGTACTAGAACTAATAAGTGAGTTTAGCAAGGTCACAGAAAGCAATAGAAAAAAATCAATTATATTTCTATATTCTAACAATGAAAAACTGGATATTGAAATTTTAAAAATAGCAGCATTTGTAATATCCAAACCATAAAATACTTGGGAAAATTTTTAATAAAATATGTATAAGAGCTGTTTGCTAATAACTCTAAAGTGTTAATGAAATTAAAGAAGACCTAAACAAATCTGGCATATGAACATGATGAATCTCCATAAGTCTCAACGTTGTTATGGTGTCATCTCTACTAAATTAGTGTATGGACTCAACACAATTATAATAGAAATATCAACAGGATTTTTATCTGTGTAGAAATTAACAAAATGATTCAAAAACTAAATGGAAACTCAGAACAGACAAAATAATTTTGAAAAAGAACAAAGCTATAAGATACACACTACCAGATTTTAAGACTTACCAATAGTTAAAGTAATTAAGTCAATGTCAAATTGACAAATAGATATATAGCACAATGGACCAGAAGAGAATCAGATGATTAACCCCCATATGTAGATAGCTGACAGGTTTGTGACAAAGGTGCTGAAGTATATTCAAAAGGGGAAGAGCAGGTTTTCAACAAATAATTGAAATAGTTGAAAAGATTGGATATTCATATGGAAAAATCAGCATCAACCTTTCTCTCACACTATACACAAAGTTTAACACAAAGTGTATTATAACAGCTAAAAGCTGTTAGGTTTATTATTAAAAGCTAAAATCATAAAACTTCAAGAAGAAAATCTGTGGCTTTGAGTCAGGTAAAGATTTCTTAGATATGATATAAAAAGTACAAACTATAAAATAATTGCTAAATTTTATTTCAACAAAACTAAAAACAGATGGTTTTTGAGGGAATGGTTTAAAATACGCAGTGCTCCCTCTAGGAATCAAAATGGCACTGAGGGGAACCTGGAGCAGTCCCAGAGCCTGAGCCACTGACGGGAGAGGAGAGGGCCTTGGCAGCAGCAGTAGGAGGATGGCTGTGGATGCAGGTGCTGGTGTGGACAGTGGTGCTTCTGGTGGCAGCAGTGGAGGCATGGCCATGGGGGTGATGGTAGTGGTCCTAATAGTGGCAGCAGGAGCAGCAGCAGTGAGAGGAGCCTCCAGGAAATGGATGAAAAAACACTGGACCTAAGGTTGAAGGTTTGTAAAGACCTCTGGGATTACACTCCGAAGAAACCGCAGATGGAATGCCTCATTGACTGAAGAAAATGGGTGTGAGTGCATCTAACTATCCTCATTCATGTTCCCTGAGAATAGGAGGAAATTCACATGTCCACGAGACTTTTATAGAAACATCATTCTATTCTCAGCAAGGCTATGGTTGTGAATCAAAATTGTATAGCCTCGCCCAAGGCCATGAGAAACCGTGACAGGAGAAAAAAAAAAGGAATTTCTGGACTTGCCACCCTCAAAAAAAAGTTTATTAAATGCTGAAAATCTAATTGATCTGCTGATCAAGAAGAACTGATCAGCCAAGAACTGTTGCAAGAATTGTTTTCTGTTTGGGATGTTACAGATGTCAATGCATTAGTAGAGGAATATGAGAGAACTTCAGCCTTAAAGGAGTTTTCTCTATAAGTCAATTTGACTAGACCAGAAGCTGAGACATTGCAGAATAATATGGCTGATCTTTATGCGAAGCTATATGTACTGATATAGACCTGATATTTCATGAAACTTGTTTTACTGTTCATTGTACCATTTTTGGCAGCAAGATTTCCATTTTTAAAAACACTGCTTTGTTTCTCACCTAAATGTGGGGCAAAAATAATAATGGACATCAATACAGTTTGTATTAATATGCCCATGTTTTCTGCTTTATTACTGGAAGAGATTAGGGGCTCATTTTTAACCTCCTTAAAGAAGAAAAAATGCTAGGCAAGAAGTTGCCTTTCCCAGACAAACACTAAGGGAATTCATCACCACTAGACCTGTCCTACAAGAAATACTCAAAGGAGTTCTAAACATGGAAATGAGAGGACAATATTCATCATCATTATGTACATACAAAGCTCACGGATCTTATAAAGCAATTACACAATCGAAACTCCAAGGCAACTAGCTATCAACACTGTGACAGGAACAAAACCTCACATATCCATATTAACCTTGAATGTAAATGGCCTAAATGCTCCACTTAAAAGATACAGAGTGGCAAATGGGATTAAAAAGTCTGTTACTGACTACAAGAGACCCACCTACTGGCTAAAGACAGCTATAGACTCAAAGGAGTAGAAAAGATATATCACACAAATGGAAAACAAAAATGAGCAGGAATAGCCATCTTCATGTCAGATAAGACAGACTTCAAACTAACGATGGTTAAAAAAAAGCAAAGAAGGGCATTATATAATGATTAAAGGTTCAATACAACAAGAAAATTGGATTGTTGTAAATGTATATATACCCAACACTGGAGCACCCAGATTCATAAAACAAGTACTACTAGACCTAAGAAAACAGATGATAGCAAAACAATAATAGTGGGGCACTTCAACTCTTCACTAACATCACTAGACAGATCACTGAGGCAGAAAATCAAAGAAACTCAAGTTAAACTGGACTATAGTCTAAATGGACCAATAGACATTTATAGAACATTTCATCCAACAACTACAGAATTCTACAACTAAGAATGCTTGACCACAAAGCAAGTCTCAATAAATTCAAATATATTGAAATGATAAGAAGGATATTCTCGGAGAACAGTGGAATAAAATTATAAATTAATACCCGGAACAAATCTCAAAACTACACAAGTACATGTAAACTAAACAATTTGCTCCTGAATGGCCTTTAGGTAAAAGACAAAATTAAGGAAAAAAAAAAACAAACCATTTGATACAAATAAAAATAGCAATACAACATACCAAAGTCTCTGGAATTTAGCAAAAGCAGTGGTTAGAGGACAGTTTATAGCATTAAATGTCCACATCATAAAGATTAAAAGATCTCAAATTAACTACCTAATGTTATTCCTCAAGAAACTAGAAAAATAAGAACAAACCAAATCCAAAACTAGCAGAAGAAAAGGGATAAAAATCAGAGAATAATGATATTGAGACACAAAAATACAAAGGATCAATGAAATAAGAAGTTTGTTCTTTGAAAGGATAAACAAAACTGACAGACCACAAGCTAGTTTAACCAAGAAAAAAAGAGAAAAGATTCCAAATAAGTACAATCATAAACGATAAATGTGACATTACAACTGATACTACAGAAATGCAAAAGACCATCAGACTACTATGAACATCTCTAGCCACACAAAGTAGAAAACCTAGAGGAAATGGATAAATCCTGGAAACAAACAACTGCCCAAGATTGAACCAGGAAAAAAAAGAAATCCTGAACAAACCAATAATGATTAATGAAATCAAATCAGTAGTAAAAAAATCATCAACAATAACAGCAAAAGCCCAGGACTAGATGGATTCACAGATGAATTTTACCAGACATACAAAGACGAGCTGATGCCAGTGTTACTGAAACCATTCCAGAAAATCAAGAAGGATGGATTCCTTCCTAACTCATTCTATGAAACCAGTATCAGCTTAGTACCAAAATCAGGGAAGGACATAACAACAACAACAAAAAACTAAGGCCAACATCCTTGATAAACATAGCTGCAAAAATTCTCAACAGAATACTAGCAAACTGAATGCAACAGCACATTAAAAAGAGCACAATCAAGTGGGTTTTACTCCACGCTTGCAAGGATGGTTCAACATATGCAAATTAATAAACATGATTCACTGCATAAACAGAACTAGAAACAAAAATCATATCCCAATAAATTCAGAAGACATTCAGTAAAATCCAACATCTCTTTATAACAAAAAAATCCTCGGCCAGGCACGGTGGCTCACACCTGTAATCCCAGCACTTTGGGAGGCTGAGGCAGGTGGATCATGAGGTCAGGAGATCGAGACCATCCTGGCTAACACAGTGAAACCCTGTCTCTACTAAGAATACAAAAAATTAGCCAGGCATGGTGGCGGGTGCCTATAGTCCCAGCTACTCGGGAGGCTGAGGCAGGAGAATGGCGTGAACCCGGGAGGCAGAGCTTTCAGTGAGCCGAGGTTGCGCCACTGCACTCCAGCCTGGGCAACAGTGTAAGATTCCGTCTCAAAAAAAAAAAAAAAAATCCTCAACAAACTAGGCATCAAAGGAACATACTTCAGAGTAATAAACCCACAGCCAACATCATACTGATGGGTAAAAGTTGAAAGCATTCTCCCTAAGAATTCAAACAAGACAAGGATGTCCTCTTTGACCACTGCTATTCAACATGGTACAGAGGTATTGAAAATCTTAGCTAGAGCAATCAGTCAAAAGAAAGAAATAAAAGGCATCCAAATTGGAAAAGAGGAAGTCAAATGATCTCTGTTTGTTGATGATATAATTGTATACCTAGAAAACCCTAAAGACTTCCAAAAGATCCCCAAATTTGATAAGCAACTTGAGTAAAGTTGCAGGATATAAAATGAACATAGAAAAGTCAGTAACATTTCTATACATCAATAACATTCAAGCTGAGAAACAAATTAAGAACTCAGTTTCATTTATGACAGCCATAAAAAATGCAAAACCTAAGAATATATTTAACCAACTAGGTAAAAGATCTCCACAAAGAAAACTATGAAACACTAATGAAAGAAATGGTAGATGGCATGAAAAAATGGAAAAACATCCCATACTCATGGATTGGGAGAATTAATATTGTTAAAATGACCATAATGTCCAAAGCAATCTACAGACTCACTGTAATACTTATCAAATTACCAGCATTGTTTTCCACGGAATTAGAAAAAACAATCCTACAGTTCATATGGAACCAAAAAAGAACCTGAACAGAGAAAGCAATCCTAAGCAATAAGAACAAAACTGGAAGCATCAAGTTGCCTGACTTCAAATTATACTACAAGCTTATAGTAACTAAAATACAGTATTGGTACAAAAATTGACACATATATCAATGGAACAGAACAGAGAACCTAGAAATAAAGCTACATACCTACAACCAACTGATCTTGTACCCAGCATTTCTTTATGTGTTTACTGGATGCTTGTGTGTTGTATTTTGAGAAATATCTGTTCATATCCTTTGTCCAGTTTTTAATGGAGTTGTTTGCTTTTTGTTTGAAAATTTAAGTTTCTTACAGATTCTGGATATTAAACCCTTGTCAGATGCATAGTTTGCAAATATTTTGTTTACAAAATAAAATACCGAGAAAGGACAAAAAAAAAAAAAAAACAGAAAGGAAACCCTGTTCAATAAATGGTGCTGGGAAAATTGGCTAGCCAAACGCAAAAGAATGAAACTGGACTCATATCTCTTAGTATATATGAAAATTAAGATGGATAAAAGACTTACATGTATGACCTGAAACTATAAAAATCATAGAGATAAGCCTAGGAAAAACTCTTCTGGACATTGGCCTAGGCAAAGAATTTATGATGAAGACCCCAAAAGCAAATACAACAAAACAAAAATATACAAACAGGACTTAATTAAATTTCAAAGCTTCTGCACAGCAAAGGAAACAATCAACAGAACAGACAGAATGGTAGAAAATATTTACAAACTATGCATCTGACAAGGGTCTAATATCCAGAATGTTTAAGAAACTTAAACAAATTTTCAAGCAAAAAGCAAACTCCATTAAAAACTGGGCAAAGGATATGAATAGATATTTCTCAAAAGAAGACACACAAGCAGCCAACAAACACGTAAAGAAATGCCCAACATCACTAATCATTAGAAAAAATGCAAATTATAGCCACAATGAGATATCTTACACCAGTCAGAATGGCTATTATTAAAAAGTCAAAAAACAACAGATGTTGGTGAGGATGTGGAGAAAAGAGAACACTGATACACTATTGGTGGAAATGTAAATTAGTTTAACCTCTATGGAAAACAGTATGGAGATTTCTCAATGAACTAAAAATAGAACTACTATTCTACCTGGCAATCCTACTACCAGGTGTCTACCCAAAGGAAAAGAAATCATTGTATCAAAAAGACACCTGCACTTGTATGTTCACCCCAACACTACTCACAATAGTACAGTCATATAACCAACTTAAGTGTCCATCAAGAGTTGACTGGATAAAGAAAAGGTGGAGGCCATGCGTGGTGGTTCACACCTGTAATCCCAGCACTTTGGGAGGCCGAGGCGGGAGGATCACTTGAAGTCAGGAGTTTGAGACCAGCTTGGCCAACATGGTGAAACGCTGTCTGTACTAAAAATACAAAAATTAGCTGGGTGTGGTGGTGCATGCCTGTAATCCCAGCTACTTGGGAGGCTGAGGCAGAAGAATCACTTGAACCTGGGAGGTGGAGGTTGCAGTGAGCCGAGATTGTACCACTGCACTCCAGCCTGGGAGACCAGAGTGAGACTCTGTCTCAAAAAAAAAAAATAAAAGGGTGTGTGTGTGTGTGTGTGTGTGTGTGTGTATTTATATATATATATATTTTTTATGTATATATTTATGTATATATATTTATATAATGGAATATTACACAGCCATAAAAAATGAATTAATGACATTTGCAGCAATGTGGATGCAGCTGGAGGCCATTATCCTAAGTAAACTAACGCAGAAACCGAAAATCAAGTACTGCAAGTTGTCACTTATAAGTGGGAGCTAAACAATAGGTACATATGAACATAAAGATGGAAATAGTAGACACTGGAGACTCCGAAGGGAGTGGGGAGAGTTGAAAAAATATCTACTGTGTACTGTGTTCACTATTTGAGTAATGGTTACACCAGAAGCCAAATTGCCACCAGTATGGAATGTACCCATGTAAAAAACCTGCACTTGTACCCCCAAATCTACAATAAAATAAAGTTAAAGGAAAACAAAGTACATGTAACTGAAAGGTATCAATATTCATTTTAATGTGGGCTTCATGTTCCCAGGAGCAGATGACTCATGGAAAATAATAATTAAAAAACCTTTCCCTCGCTCTCAAAAAAAAAATTAAAAAAAAAGAAAACACATTTTCCCTTTTGTTACAGAATATAAAGCATAGATTATGTTTTATTAACACTCGTACATATTTTAAGAAACTGCTTGAGCAATAACAGCAATCTGAAACCAATTACTTGCAATATTCATTTTGCAAACTATCTTTGTTAAGTGTTCCAAATTCCTACTGTACAAGGTGGTCAGGGCCTCGGTTGATAATAGTCCCAGACTTTGCTGTACTATAAGTCCCAAATAAGCATGACTTCTGCAGTGGATAATGCATGGCCAACCCTCATTAACGGTAATAATATGAATGACCATAAGTCATTAATTTTGATAAGATGAAATTTGTATCACCTCAAAGATTCAATGGAAGTCACAGAAGACATAGAAGTATTCCAACTTTGGTTTCTTTAATGAATAAAAATGTTAACACACTTACAGTCCAGCTGACAACCAGGCACCACAGACCTAAGAAAAAAATAATAAAATATTCAAATTTCAAGCCATAGATAGGGAGAAAATGCTTGAAAACATACATCTGATAAAGAACTGTGTCTAAAATACATAGAGATCTTTTACAACTCATTAATGAAATGGAAAACAACTCTATTGAAATGGGAATACAATAACAGAAATTTCCTCAAAAGACTGTATATGAAAGTCTAAGAAGCGCATGAAAAGATGCTCAACATCATAAGTCATTGCAGAAAGGCATTGTGAATCCATGTTGAGGCACTATTATGCACTCACCAGGAGGGCTAAAATTTTAACAGATGGACAATACCAAGTGTTAACTATGCTTTAGAGCAACTAGAACTCTCCTACATTGCTGGTGCTTATGGTACAGTAATTGCTTATGGTGTTTGTGGTACAGTTATTGGTACAGTAACCTTGAGAAAGAGTTTGGCAGTTTTTTTAAATAATGCTAAACATATACATTTGTTACATGATCCAACAATCCTATGTCTATATATTCACCCAAGAGAAATAACAATATATGTCCATAGAAAGACTTTACTTAGATGTTCCTTGCAACTTTATTCATTATCATAAAAAACTGGAAAAACTAAAATATCCATTAATAGTTAAATGGATAGACAGATTATCATATACCCATACTGTGATATACTATTCAGCAATAAAAAGGGCAAAAAGTTATACATTTAACAACATAGATATCCCTTAATATTCATTATAAATTTAGAAAAAAATAGATAAAAAAGACTGTGTACCAAATGATCCCATTTATATGAATGTCTGTAAAAGGCAAAACTATACCAATAGAAAGAAAATCAATGGTTACCCGGGGCCTGGGTTGGCCTGAGAGAATTGATTCAAATGGGTATGACGGAGCTTCTTGGGGGTGATGGAACTCTTCTGTATCTTGACAATTCATAACTCTAGACACCTTTAAAAATTCATCAAACTATATACTAAAATTTTGAATTTTAAATAAAGTACCTCAGTATATCCAATCTGAAATAAATCATTGGCGTTGCCTAAGTGGTGTCTGGTTTGGGGCCCTCTCTTCACAGTATTACCTTCTGACTCTTCTTTATCTCAGTTTTTCAGGAGAAATGCTGTAGTTTCCTTTCAGCCCTTGGCTTAAGTTTATGGAGACCTTCATGGTTTGTAGAATAAATTATTTAGGAGCATAAGTACCTGGGGGATGTGGGTGGTGAGTTCAGAAGTGTAAGAACAAAGACAGGAGTACATTTAAGAATATTCTTATATTTTATTTTAAATGTTTATTAAAATCCAATAATAATTGCACACTAAAGAATATATCAGTGACATTTTATATATCCTGAATGGTTAATGAATTTCCCTTCATTATCATTTGCTTAATAGGAACATATCAAGATCCTCTTCTCTTATAGTTTGACAAGATATTTGCAAAATTATCTTGCTTTGTTGCAGAAAACATTCATGTTATGTGATTTTTAGGAGTCTAGTTCTTCATGTGTTTGTGCATTTCTATAGGATCTTATGATTTGGAGGCATTATTCCTACTTCTTAGAAGCTCCTTCCTAGAGTTCAACAGTCCCATGAAGACAGTCACATGGATTCTTGAGACAAAAAATCTTTGGCTATTTATGTCAGTTTTACTAGGTAGGTCTTTCTACAACTGCTCCCTAAAGCAGTTAGGGAGATTATTGAGATCATTTTGTCTTAGTTTTTCTTATTCATTTACTTTTCCCATCCATTTATTCTTTTAAAATACATCAAGTGCCTACCTTGAGTCAGGCACTGAGCTAGGACTATGGTGGTGAGTGAAACAGACAAGGACCATGACTTCATGAAAGTCACATGGCAAGAAGAAAATCACACCTTAAATAACGATTTGCACAATTTTAAAAATGTGGCAAGAATGACAACAAAGATGCTTTGAGATCACACCAGGGAATTGGACCAAGTCTGGGGTGCCATGAAAGTCATGGATAGGATGTTAAATTTGAGATAAAATGTGGAAGAAGGAAAGGATCTGCTCCCTTTCCTTCTTCCCTTCTTCCCTTCCTACCTCCTGTTAGGCCCCACAGCCCAACAATTGGGGATCAAATTTAACATGAGTTTTGGCAGTGACAAATCACAGCCAAACCACAGCGCCAACCAAAACTCAGGGGTCTTTTTCAGAGTGAAAATGTTTCTGCTAAAATATAGACATACCTTGTTTTATTTAGCTTTGTTTTATTTTGCTTTGGAGATACTGCAATTTTTGCAAATTGAAGGTTTGTGGCAACCCTGCGTCCAGCCTATCAGCACCATTTTTCTAACAGCATGTGCGCATTTCATGTCTCTGCCACATTTTGATAACTCTTACAATATTTTAAACTTTTTCATTACTGTTATATCTTTTATAGTAATCTGAATCTTTAATGTTAGTATTGTGATTGTTTTGGGGCACCATGAACTACACCCATATAAGACAGTGAACTTAATGGTTAAATGTGTGTGTCTGACTGCTCCATCAACGAGCTGTTCCCCTGTCTCCCTCCATCTCCTCAGGCCTTGCTATTCCCAGAGACACAGAATATTGAAATTAGGTCAACTAATAATCCTACAATGGCCTCTGAGTGTTCAAGTGAAAGGAAGAATTGCACATCTCTTTAAATCAAAAGCTAAAAATGATTAAGCTTAGTGAGGAAGGTATGTTGAAAGCTGAGACAGGCCAAAAGCAAGGCCTCTTGTGCCAAACAGCCAAGTTGTGAATACAAAGGAGAAGTTCCTGAAGGAAATTTCAAGTGCTGCTGCAGTGAATACACCAATGATAAGAAAGAAAATCAGCCTTAATGTTGATAAGGAGAAAGTTTGAGTGGTCTGGATAAAAGATCAAACTAGTCCACTATTCCAAACATTCCCTTAAGACAAAGCCTAATCCAGAGTAAGACCCTGACTCTTTCCAATTCTATGAAGGCTGAGAGAGGTGAGGAAGCTGAGAAAGGAAAGAATGAAGTTAGCAGAGGTTGTTTCATGGGGCTAAGGGAAAGAAGTCATCTTCATAACATAAAAGTACAAGGTGAAGTAGCAAGTGCTAATATAGAAGCTGCAGCAAGTTATCCAGAGGATTGAGCTAAAATAATTGATGGAGGTGGCTACAATAAACAACAGATGTTCAACGTATGTGAAACAGTCTTCCGTTGGAAGAAGAGGATTTTCCCAGCTAGAGATAAGTAAATGTCTGACAGCAAAGCTTCAAAGGACAGGCTGACTCTTGTTAGGGGCTAATGCAGCTGGTGACTTTAAGTTAAAGCCACTGTTCATTTACCATTTCAAAAATCCTAGGGCCCTTGAACATTATGCTAAATCTTCCCTGCCTGTGCTCTATAAATGGAAGAACAAAGCCTGGATGACAGCACATCTGTTTATAGCATGGTTTACTGAATATTTTAAGTCCTACTCAGAAAAAAAAGATTCCTCTCAAAATATTACTTCTCATTGACAATGTGCCTGGTCACCCAAGAGCTCTGATGAAGATGTACAAGGAGATGAATGTTGTTTTCATGCCTGTTAATACAACATCCATTCTGCAGTCTATGGATCAAGGAGTAATTTTGACTTTCAAGTCTTATTGAAAAAACACATTTTGTAAGGCTATAGCTGCCACAGATAGTCCTTTGATGGATCTGGGCAAAGAAAATTGAAAACCTTCTGAAAAGGATTCTCTGTCCTAGATGTCATTATAAACATTCATGATTTATGGGAGGAGGTCAAATGGTCAATGTTAACAGAAGTTTGGAAGAATTTTGATTCCAGCCCTAATGGATGACTCCAAGGGGTTTAAGACTTCAGTAGAGAAAGTAACTGTAGATGTGGTGGAAATAGAGGGAGATAGAGAAATAGAAGTGAAGCCTGAAATTGTGACTGAATTGCTACAATCTCATGACAAAACTTGAACAGACGAGGTGTTGCTTTTTAAGAATGAGCAAAGAAAGTAGTTTCTTGAAAGTGAGTCTACTCCTGGTGAAGATGCTGTGAATATTGAAATGACAGCAAAAGACATAGAATATAACATAAACTTACTTGATAAAGCAGTGGCAGGATTTAAGAGGATTGACTTCAGTTTTGAAACAAGTTCTACAGTGGGTCAAATGTTATCAAACAGAATCAGTTGCTACAGAGAAATCTTTCATGAAAGGAAGAGTCAATCAGTGTTTCAGATTTTATTTTTGTCTTATTTTAAGGATTTTCCACAGCTATAGCAACCTTGGCAATGACCACCCCAATCAGTCCGTAGTCATCAACCTTGATGCAAGATGCTCCACTGGAAAAAGATTATGACTCAATGAAGGCTCAAATAATCTTTAGAATTTTTTAACATTTAAAGTACTTTGAAAATTAATGTATATATGGCTTTTTTTTTTAGATGTAATGCTATTGAACATTTACTAGACTACAGTATAATACAAATGTTACTTTTATATCCACTGGAGAACCAAAAAACTTGTGTGATTTGCTTTATTGCAATCTTCACTTTATTGCAGTGGTCTGGAACAGAACTCACAATATCATCGAGGTATGCCTGTATCTACTCAGACTCCCTTGCAGCTAGAGATTGCCATGTGACACGGATCTGACCAATGAGACATAAGCTGAAATATGCTAAAGATTTCTGATTAAGTTTTGCCTCTCCTAATGTAGATGCCACCTATTCTTTCTTTATGTCCCCCTTTTTTTGTGAATAAAAGAACATGACTAAGACTATAGGTAGAGCAAGCATCTTACATCCACAGTGGAGCAAGAACAAAGAAAAATCCCCACATGGAAGCACCCAGAGGGTTCCTGGAGCACTGAGAACATTGCAGTTTGTGTCTCACCCTACACAGCTTACCTCTAGACTCCTTATTTATTGAAAAATACAGACCTTTGTTTGGTTAAGCCACATAGTTGTGTTTCTGTGGCAAGGAACCAAATGCTGTAGGTTAAAGCAGTTTAGGAGAGAGAAAATGGTATCCTGGGGTAGGATGGCCACTGTGGAGATGGGGAGAAGCAAAGAAGTTCCAGAGCTATTCAGGAGACAAAATTCACACCTTCACAGGAGACCTCTGCTTTGCTCCTTCACTTATAGAAATTTCTGGAAGGCTAGTTTAGGGCCCGCTTCACTCTCCCAACCTTAATTGATTTCTCACAAGGCTTTATTTCCCAAACTTCTACATCTGCTACACTTCATTTTCTTTTTTGATTCCCAATCCCTAATTCCCTCTTTTTCTAAATATCTCCAACAGGGATATTTACATACTTCCACTGGGGACAGATATCTAAATACCTCCAGAGCAAAAAGACTCTGGTTTGCATCTTTTTTTTTTATGTTACTCACATAGTAGGTGAATAACTTTGGAAAAATATCTTAACCATCAATATATTAGCTTCTCATCTGTAAATTGGGATTTAGAATATTTACCTTATATGATTTGAATGAGATAACAACATTTTTCCTGATGCCAAGGCCATATCCCAGATTCGTTAAGTCAGAGTCTTTGAAGGTGAGATCCAGTCATCAGTATTTTAAAAGCTCCCAGGTAATTCAAAAGTGCAACTGGAATTAAGATCCACAGGTCCATAGAGGGTGTGGTTCATGACAGACCTTGTGTAAGCATTTTATACATATAATTATTATTCATTTGGACTGGCAGTTCACATAGCCTGAATCCAAAATCCTCCTAAAATATTCATAAGTGAAACCACATGTGCTCAGATTTCCTTTACCTGCACAGACACTACCAGATTGCCACTCTTCTTTTGAATTTAACTGTCACATGAAATATTTCCTTGGTTTTTCCCTTCTTCCCTTGGTATGGAGATCTGTTAGGACAGCTTTCAAGGAGAAATCATTTTCCTGCCATTTTTCATGAGTTAGTTGTGACGCGAACCTCAAAGCAAAAAAGAGAGAGTGGTTTGATCCAGTGAATTGATGGAGACTTAGAAGACGGCTGCTGGAGACCTCGGGAGTCATCTTGGCATGCCTCTAACCTTCTCTGCCTCTCCCAGAGCCTGTGGAGAACTTCCACTGTTGTTCCCACCATTACATGAGCCTCCTGGGGACTTCTCTCATTTAAAGCCAAAACCCAAGAGGCACTCCATACAGCAGCAAACCAACGGTGGCATCTGCTAACCACAGACTTGCCCTGTGGGGCTTCCACTTGGCCTCTGGCTTGGCTATCATGTTCCTAGTGCAAATGTTTTCTTAGCTGCAGGCTCAGGGACTGACCTTTCCCATATCACAGGACATCTTCATCAAAGCGATGAGACTGGGGACTTGAATGTTTAAATTGGTGGAAATGAGAACGGAGGCTGGGGGAGAGGTTTTCTTGTTTCCTTATGATGACAAGTCCTCTGGTTTGTTTTATTTGCTTTATTAAGAGAAACACTTCTAAGTTACCCTTATGGTGCTTGGCCTTTTTACCTTCTCAGATCATTCTTGGCAGTAGTCCTCTTGCATGAAGAAGCACTCGTGCGTGGATGGTCACAAACGTGGTCTGAGGACCATTAGCATCAGAATTACTGGCATGGGCAGGAAGCTTGTTAAAAATGCAGATTCTTAGGGTAGACCCCAGGCATACAGATGCAGAACTTCTGTGTGTAGGTCAGGGGAGGCCCAGGAGTTTCAATTTTTAATCATCACCCTGAGTGATTCTGAAGTACAATACAGCTTTGGAACCATTGGTTTTAAACTCAATATTCTGACCTTGGTGAGGAATTTTACCTCTTGGGTTAATATCATCTTTCATTGTTTTCTCTTTGGAGAAAAGTATTCCAGGCATGAGGCAAGAAGTGGATAAAGTTCTTGAGGGCTTGTATCTCGCACTGCCCCCAGCTCATCACCAACCCATGAAAGATGCTAGATGGATACTCTCCTGCGTTGACTATAGGTGCAGCCCATCTCACACATGCTTAGTGCCAGTTTCCACTTGGGAGCCTAGTGTTTGTAAAGTGCTGGGCTGAGGCCAGGTCAAGGGACTGGCACAATCTAATGATGCCAAGAACAAAGTTTCCTTTGAAAAGGAGATTTTTAAAAAACAGATTAAGGGCATCAGGCCTATTGGGCTGCAGCCAAGGTCTAGCTTAGCCTTATTTTAGCTGAAATGGTTGAATTATTTCTCATAATTTTTGATACATTTTAAACAGTGAATGGTAATAAGGGGCTCTTTTTTTCCTTCTTTTTCTCTGCTGACTTTGAATTCAAATTACCGCAAATAAAAATAGCTTCAGTTGTCCTGAGATGGAAAAAGAAATCTATTTGCTCAGAAGATTTTCTTGGTATTTGTTGTTGACCGTGATAAGTTACAGCTTATAGTCAAGGCAAAGTTCTAGTTCTGGGCTTGTCAGCTGGGTGAATATGGGGCTAATGGTAGCAGAAGACTGTCCTGTGTGGCTGTGTGCACTGCTGCCTGATTCATTCACCAGATTCTGCTCTGTGACTGCCCAGGGTGGATGGGGCAAAAGGCCTTGTTTTACCCAAATCTTTGACTGATTTTGAATATCGCCTCTTCTTGCCAGCTATAATCTCTGCAGCTGGGTCCCTTGAAGGTTGAGCTCTGACCTCTCCCAGGAGTCGTTAATCCCTTTGAGCCTCTGTTGTGCAAGACAAAGCCCATCTGAAAAGATTTCCATACAGTTTTTTTGAGTATGGCTTCTTTCACCTGGCATGATGCATCTGAGATTCATCCATGCTGTCATGTGTATCAGTACTGCCTGCCTTCTTACTGCTGAGTAGGATTCCATGGTAAGGATGTAATGTAGTGTACTTTTTCACCAGTTCGAGCTAATTGGATTTCTTTTTTTTTTTTCTTTGACAGAGTCTCAATCTCACCCAGGCTGGAGTGCAGTGGCACAATCTCAGCTCACTGCAACCTCCACTTCCTAGGTTCAGGTGGTTCTCCTGCCTCAGCCTCCTGAGTAGCTGGGATTATAGGCACACACCACGATGCCTGGCTAATTTTTTTCTTTTTTTTTTTGTATTTTTAGTAGAGACAGGGTTTCACCATGTTGGCCAGGCTGGTCTCGAACTCCTGACCTCAAGTGTTTTGCCTGCGTCAGCCTCCCAATGTGCTGGGATTACAGGCAAGAGCCATCGCTCCCAGCCTTTTTTGGTTTTTGTTGCTAAATATTTGTCATAAATTTTTTGTGAGCTGCATTTTCATTTGAGAGTAGGATTCCTGAGGAGCATTTGTGAGGATGTTCTTGATTGAGTGCTTCTTCCATTAACTGAAGTGGAAAGAAAGTAGGGCTTCAGCAGGACCAGTTGGAGAGTTTGATATGTGTCTCTGTGGCTGGGGGAACACAGTGGTGTTTAGTGGAAGTAATTGGCTCATATATGGATGAGAAAAGATATGGTAAGGTCCTTTGGTTGTTAGTGTTTCTTAGAATGCCATTGCCCTCTTTCTGTGTGCAAAGCAAATTCTGGTTCAAATGGGAAGTGTAGGTTCTCAGGGTTGTCAGTGCCTCTGCTTACTTTGTTGTGGGTGCAGCAAACTTCCCTTGTGCTTGTTTTTATTCTTGCTAAACTACTGTACAGTCCACTGGAATCTGTGCTCATGAGGTCTGTGTGCATTGAGATGCTGCATTGAGATGCTGTATGTATGTGGGGCAGTAGGAATGGTGGATGAGTGTATTACACATGTCTCCTCTGCTCACTTGCATGCTCCTTGGTCCCATTGAATGGAAGAAACAGCATTTCCAACTCTGGGGGTAGCCAATGCTGAGATAGGACTTTCTGGCTCCCGCAGCTGCTGTGTTTTAGAGGAAATAAATCAGGTTTGGGTACATGCTCTCAATCTTTTTTTCTTCCATGTGTCTTTTACAATTTTCATTATAGACTTGACTAGAAGTTATAAAGTAGAGCATCCTCTTGGTTTCTTGGAACAAAAATGAAATTTCTGGCTTAAATATGGTGTAGAAAACCCAAGATCTGAGCTCACACACTGCTCGTACATTGTGTGGTTTCAGGCAAATCACTTCACTCTGAGGCTCAGTTTTCTTCCCCTTAGTATAGAAATTAAATGGTATTTACTCACAGAGCAATTATGAGGATTCTGACAAGGTGAATGAACCTGGCACAGAGGAAACATGATGATTGTTAAAACCCTGGAGAAGCCTGCATGACACACTTCTGCCATCTGCTCCTTTATCTTGCCGGGATCTCCTTGCCTGCCTGTCCTCCCCAGTGGGCCTAGTACTTAGTGGTGCCTCAGGGCCCCATCCCCTACAGGTGTCATCTCCTCAGAAGGCTGGAGGTGGGTGTGTGGGTTCTTGACACAGCAGGTGCAAAACACTTCATCTGCAATTTAAAAAACCTTTAGATCAGAGAAGTGTTGGTTGACATCATTTAGTGAGCTGAAGACCCACTCCCAAGCCCATGTCCCCTTTGGCTCTGCCATTGCTGCCACCTCTAGGTACCAGGGGACCTGCTTCTGCTTTATCTCTGCACCAGCTTGTTTCATATCTCTGTGCAAGTCATATGACCCCTTTGAACTCCAATTTCCATATGTGTAAAATGTGAATAAATGGTACTTATTCTACCCACTTACCAGAGAATTTGGAAGCTACAATATACTATATCAACATAAAACATTATGATTACTATTGTTGAACACTGTATGACTGTAGTGTTTCATTTCGTTGAAAATGACACCTCCTTCATCCTTTTAAAAATAGATTAGAGAAAATAAATCCAAAGGATTGAATTTCTAATTGTGAAATTTCTAGTGCTTCAGCACGAGGATAATCTAGCTACTTGAGAGTGGGGAGAACTTCTTGATTTCCTAAAAGGGTATAATTTAGACTGTTGAGTATTTTGCTTATGTCTCAGGCTGTCTCTGAATCACACTCCTGGAGGCTCACTTCAGGCCTGTGGGCGGCTTAGAAATTTGTTTTAGAAATAAGGTTTATGTGTCGATTGCACTTCCTCTGTGGCTCTCGCATTGTCTATTTCTGACAATATTTGCATGAAACCAGATATTTGATTTTGAGAACATCTGTTCTCACAATTCATTTCCCACCTGAATCAACGCTCTTCCGCCTGGGCTGAAAGAGCTGCTTCACTCAGCAGTATTGGTGCTGCAGGGCAGAGAGAGGGGAGTGGCATGGTAGGACAAGAGGCTTTGTGAATACAAACAATTTTGCTGGGGCTTGGAGCCTTAGAGGAAGGCTGACAAGTGTGGAGGCTTTGGGGAATAAGTGTTGTTTGGCCAAAATTTTAAAGTAGGCTTTTATTCTTTTGAACATCCAGACTTAAGATGATTTAGCTGTTTTGATTAAAAACCTTTCTGAAATATGGCATTCTTCCTGGCTCCCTAAATGAGAGTGTATGAAATTTATTGAGTGCCTTTTGTATGCCAGGCTTTGTTTTTATTTTTTGCCTTCTGAAAAGGAAGCTTGGGAACACAGAGGCTGATACCTAAACTTGAACACTTGTACTGCATTATGCTGTTTGTGATGCTTTTGGGGTTTGTCAAGGGCAAGTAGCTTTATCCTAATACTCAATGTCCTGTCCCAAGGCCCGTAACTGCAGGGAGCTGGCTATGGAGGAGTAGCTGAAAAAGAGGCACTGTGGCATTTGCTGGGCCATACACAGGCTGGGGCATTCCTCACAGGGTTCCATAGCCTGGACAGAAGTCCCCACAGCAATAGGAAATCACTCAAGGGTTTTAAGCAGCAGTGTGACATGATCAGATATACATTTTGAAGGATCACTCAGACTGCAGGTAAAGAAGGTGGGGGTGGGGGGTTACAGAGGTGGCTGCTGCTGCTCTGACGTAGCCAGGAGGATGCGTGAACGTCCTTGTGACCTTGTGTCTGCCCTGTCCAGCTTTCACGATTATTGTTTGCCCTTTTTCCCCTGGTGGCTGACTATGTGCGTGCCTGTCCAGGCCCTGCTGAGACCTTTCAGTCAGACGCTGGTCTTCTGCTTTTCCATGGAAACTCCCTTTTACCTTTATGAGGCATTTTCCCATCTTGCTTTGAGTCAGGGTCAGTAGTTGACAATCCCGCATTCCCAGTGGATTACCGTTTCCTCGAGGGGATGGGGGCAGTCTGACTTATCTTTGTCTTTCCCATAGAAGTCACAAGTATGTGGCACTATTAATTAGATTGTGAATGGTTCTATAGATGTCGAGTGGCATTTTAAAACACAGGAGTCAGTGGGTAAATTTGGGGTGTGTAATTAGTCCGTTTTCACTGCTATAAAAAACTACCTGAGATTGAGTAATTTATAAAGAAAAGAGGTTTAATTGAGTCACAGTTCTGCATGGCTGGGGAGGCCTCGGGAAACTTGCAATCACAGAGGAGGGTGAAGGGGAAACAAGGCACATCTTACATGGTGGCAGGAGTGAGAGAGTGAGGGGGAACTGCCAAACACTTTTAAACCATCAGATCTTGTGAGAACTCACTATCATGAGAACAGCATGGAGGAAATTGTCCCCATGATCCAATCACCTCCCATCAGTTCCCTCTCTCGACATGTGGGGATTGCAATTTAAGATGAGATTTGGGTGGGGACACAGAGCCAAACCATATCAGGGTGAAATGAATAAATGCGTGAATATATGATAAACAAATGGGTAAAGTTAATGAGAACTTTTTTTTGTAAATTAGTTATTAATAAGATACTATAAGCCAGATAGAATTGTGTGTAAATTTAGAGTAAATTGCCTAGATGTAACTTCCTTATACTCTAGCATATTGGATTAGTAATACCAGTTTGTAGCTCCCTGGAAGTCTTGGTTTACCTCCTGCCTTTTAGCTATGTTCTTGGTTAATGAAACTGTTAGATAACTGAATGCTTCCATTTTGGGGGTAGACTGGTGAGATATTGAAGGACACCTGTTAGTAAGTTACTGCTAGGACTGATCTTGTATGCAGAATTAAAGCAGCCATCTGCATGACATAACATGAGGGGAACCCTGGAGGGAACTCTACCTTCTCTGCAAAACAATGCCTCCACCTTTTTACTACTGCATTCTTTAGGGAGGTCTCTGATTTTAAAGGCATGGCCTAATTTTTTCCTGGAAGAGGTCACACTGCACCTCAAATGTTTCCCATCAAGGTACAAATGACTGATGGAAAATCATTTCTTGACAGAACTGAGGGCCCACTGGAGCGGGGAGTATCGGGGGAAACAGCCCCCAATATTTCAGCGTTGGTTCTTTCTATTTTCCCTAAGTGTCAGCCGGTCTGAGAAATAAAGAGAAAGAGTAAAAAGAGAGGAATTTTACAGCTGGGCCTCCAGGGGTGACATCGCATGTTGGTAGGACCGTGATGCCCCTGAGCCGCAAAACCAGCAGGCTTTTATTAGGGATTTTAAAAGGGGAGGGGCTTTATGAACAGGGAGTAGGTCACAAAGTCCACATGCTTCAAAGGGCAATAAAGATCACAAGGCAAAGGCAAAACTAGAACTACTGATGAGGGTCTATGTCCTGCTGTGCATGTATTGTCTTGATAAACATCTTAACAGGAAACAGGGTTCGAGAGCAGAGAACCAGTCTGACCAAAATTTACCAGGCTGGAATTTCCCAATCCTAGTAAGCCTGAGAGTACTGGAGGAGACCAGGGCGTATTTCAGTCCTTATCTCAACCACATAAGACAGACACTCCCAGAGCGGCCATTTATAGACCTCCCCCCAGGAATGCATTCCTTCCCCAGGGTATTCCTTGCTGGGAAAAGAATTCAGCAATATCTCTCTTACTTGCATGTCTGTTTATAGGCTCTCTGCAAGAAGAAAAATATGGCTCTATTCTGCCTGACCCCACAGGCAAGTCAGACCTTATGGTTGTCTTCCCTTGTTCCCTGAAAATCACTGTTGTTCTGTTCTTTTTCAAGGTGCATTAATTTCATATTGTTCAAACACACATGTTTTACAATCAATTTATACAATAGTGGTCCTGAGGTGATGTATATTCTCAGTTTATGAAGATAATGGGATTCAGAGATTAAAGTAAAGACAGGCATAGAATTTATAAGAGTATTATTAGGGAAGTGATAAATGTCCATGAAATCTTCACAATTTATGTTCAGAGATTGCAGTAAAGACAGGCATAAGAAATTATAAAAGTATTAATTTTGGGAACTGATAAATGTCCATGAAATCATCACAATTTATGTTCTGCCATGGTTCCAGCCAGTCCCTCCATTCGGGGTCCCTGACTTCCCGCAACAGGGGAGCATAGACAGAAGGAGATTAGGGAGTGTGGATGATGACTCTTCAAATGGATCATCCTGCACGACTTCCCAATTTGAGTAGTTTCAGTTAGGATTGTCTAGGTCAGGGGTCAGGAAATATTTTCTGTAAAGGGCAAAGTAGTGAATATTTTTAGCCTATGTTAACCATGTGGTCTCTATCACAACTACTCAACACTGCCCTTGTCATGTGAAAGAAGCCATGGACAATATATAAATCAATGTAGGTAGTCGTGTTCCAATACAGATTTATTTATCAATACAAAAGCAGGCTATGCGCTGGATTTGGCCTGATAGCAGTAGTTTGTTCACCCTGGTCTAAGTTGTTCTTCATTAAACAACAACAACAACAACAACAACAACAAGAAACAAACCTCATCTTTCACAGATTAACCCCCAAAAGTGTTATTTTTGGCTGTACTAAATGTCTACTTTTAAGTCAAAAGAATGACTCTTCTCTCATGGCCACTCAGGGCCTCAGGCTGACAGGGGCTCCATGTCAACAGTGCTCCCATAATCACCTTGCAGAGAGAAGAGAGGTGGTTACATTGCATATTGGCTCTTAAATTCCCACTTGGAAGTGACACATGCCACTTTCATTCACTTTTCATTGGGCAATGCAAGTCACAGGGTCACATAGAATTTAGAATTTCAAGGAGGGGGTTGCAGGGAAGGGTAGTCTTACTGTGTGCACAGAGGGAGAACCAATATTCTAGGGTAGGTGAATTGTATTAATTACCACCACAGATGGGAACCCCCAAATTCACAGGAACACCCATATTCTCTTCTTGCTCCAAATGAGGGGACAATTGTTTCTTCCTGTCCTTTATTCAGCATCCTTAGGTCAGCTTATCTTCCCCAGGCCTGGCAAGAGTTAGCATTTCCAAAACATTCCCACTGCTTTCTGAATGCTTAGATATTCAGGATAATATCTGACCCTACTCAGGTATTATCCAAGCCAGAGCTTGCCTGGCATTCTCAATTCCCAGAGCCCATTAGAATTAGAGAATAAGTTACCCCACTGTTGAAGGCACTAAACTTTTAAAAATCTTCACTTCCCAGTTTCTTAAATGGTGCCTCGCCACTCAAATTTCAGACTCTTAGGAAGGACTAGGGTAGAGGGGTTTTTTGGCCTTGGTTGGCCTTTCAGTATGTCTCCAGTGAAAAGTCTGAGATCGATCTATATCTGTATCTATGTATATGTATACTATATCTATATCTATATAGCAATGTTTGGGCAAGACCTTTAATAATCAGGCCCCAGACTCCCTCTCCTTGTGTTTCACTGTGTCCCATACTTTACTGCACACTTCAGCCAAGCCATGCTGTGAAATACACAATGCCCTACATGTCTTCATGTTATTGCCCCTGATGTTCCTTCTGCCTAGAAAGCCACCCTTTCCTGGTGAACTCATGCTCACCAGACCTAGGTCAGCTGTGTTAATAATGTTTCAGATTTTGGGTGGGTGGTGAGTTTATTAGTGTTCATTGTATTATTAACACCGATAAAAGATGGCCATTGTCAACCAATGATAATAGCATATTATGAATTAAGCATTATGATTAATTCTTGGAACTTGAGGTCAAATAAAAAATACATGAATAAAATCCTATAGAGCTGGGATTGGCAAACTGTTGCCTGAGGATCAAGTTACACACACACATACACACACACACACATACACACACACACCCCGAGAGAAAGAGAGAGAGAAGAAGAAGGAATTAGCTCACATGATTATGGAGGTCCCATGATCTGCCACCAACAAACCTAGAGACCCAGGAAGGCTGGAGATATAGTTCCAGTCTGAATTCAGAGGCCTGAGAACTGGGAGAGGTGTTGGTGTAAGTCTTAGTCCAAAGGCAGGGTAAGACTGATGTTCCAGCTCGGCAGTCATGCAGAGAGAGTGGTCTCCCTTCCTCCATCTTTTTCTTCTATTCAGGCCCTCGATGGGATTGGATGACACCTACCATGTTGTGGAGGGCAATGTGATTTACCCGGTCTACCTATTTAAATGCTAATCTTGTCTAGAAACACCCTCACAGACACACCTAGTAGTGTTTAAATATCTGGGCACCCTGTGATTCAGTCAAATTGTCACATGAAATTAATCATCAGATACTGAAGGTAAGGTGCCTAAAGTTCACAAGGAGAAGGCAGGAGGGGAACTCCCAGGTTAAACAACAAAGGTCATTGCAGCAAGCACACAGATCCATCTCTCCCAATAACACTCCCTCTGATCTTCCCTGCTCTCATCCTGTCTTATGGTGATGTGTGAGGAGGGGGTAGAAATTTAGTAGGATACTGAGGAAATTTAGCTGAGAGAGCAATTTTCAATGTTTTGTGAGTGAAGCTTGAAACAGTATACCTGTGGGCTCTCATAGTTAAGCCAAATATTACTTCTTAAATCATTTGCTTTCTCTCTCTATCCTAAGTAATCCCAGAACTCCAGAATGATTGCAATCACTTGGAAAATAGGACCTACCTAACGGATAACTCCAACGTTAAAAAGATGCCAGAAGTAGGTGAGATTTTTACAATCCTCTTTCCTTTACCTGTAAATGCATTTTTACTAATATGGGAAATTACCCTCAAATGCTGAAGCTTGAATTGAAGTAAGTCCAATGACTTGCACACAGCACATCAAGAGAGGAAAGGACGGGCCTTGATCTTGCCAGCTCTTGTTTTTTTCAGCGAGGCAATGGTCCTCCCAGAGGAGATACCCATGCCCTTGCAGCTAAACAGAATTATGCTCCTATAGCTTGATCTACTCTCTCTCACACAGAAAGCCTGCCCCTGCTGGCCTCCAGAGCAATAATCCACGACCTTCTAACAGAGATGACAGTGAAAGGTTTTATTAAACAAATAAAATCCTGTACCCAAGAATGAGTATAAGGATGTGGGTTAAAGGATGAAAGAGGAGAGGTAGTGATTTAACTGCAAAGCTTGAATTTAATATAGAGATGAGTTTTCTTCCTCCATAAGAGTATCACCCTGTGTACAGTAATCTGTCTTCATTTCCAGCACAGAACCTGCTACACACTTTTAAGTTGCCATCAGGGACAGGAACTAAAGTGGAACATGAATCAGAAAATAGAATGAATATACTCATTTGCTAAATCCCACAGCAAATCCAAATATTAACTTTCTAATTGAATTGAACAATCGTTTCAAACCAGTGAACCAGCTCAAACTGGATCTGAACTTATGTGTTTTCTAAAACTACTAAATGGAGAAAAAGCTACTAAAAGGAAAAAGAGAGGAAACTGAAGAAGTCTCAGAGACATCTACCCCAAAGAAATAAAAATGTATGTCCACACAAAGACCTCCAGGCAAATGTTCACAGCAGCGTTAGTCAGAATAGCCAAAAACGAGAAAAAGCACTCAAATATTCATCAATTGCTGAAGGGGTAAACAAAATGCAGTATTTTAATAAAGTGCAATATTCTTTAATAATAAAGAGAAACAAAATGTTGATATATGCTACAACATGTATGAACTTCAAAAACATTTTGTTGAAGTCCTGTTTTGTTACCTTGTTTAAGAAATCTTTGCCTACTCCAGGGTGATAAGGACTTCTTCCCTCCTATAATTTTTCTAGAAGTTCTATACATTTTTTCCATTAGGCCTGTTCTTTTTTTTTATTATTATACTTTAAGTTTTAGGGTACATGTGCACAATGTACAGGTTTGTTACATATGTAAACATGTGCCATGTTGGTGTACCGCACCTATTAACTCGTCATTTAGCATTAGGTATATCTCCTAATGCTATCCCTCCCCCCTGCCCCCACCCCACAACAGTCCCTGGAGTGTGATGTTCCCCTTCCTGTGTCCATGTGTTCTTGTTGTTCAATTCCCACCTATGAGTGAGAACATGCGGTGTTTGGTTTTTTGACCTTGTGATAGTTTGCTGAGAATGACGATTTCCAGTTTCATCCATGTCCCTACAAAGACCATGAACTCATCATTTTTTAAGGCTGCATAGTATTCCATGGTGTATATGTGCCACATTTTCTTAATCCAGTCTATCGTTGTTGGACATTTGGGTTGGTTCCAAGTCTTTGCTATTGTGAATAGTGCCGCAATAAACATACATGTGCATGTGTCTTTATAGCAGCATGATTTATAATCCTTTGAGTATATACCCAGTAATGGGATCCATTAGGCCTGTTCTTGAATAAATATTTATTCATGGCATGGACAGGGAGTAAGGTTAAAGGTGTTTATTTCCCATATGGATACCTATTCATTATAAAACACCAACCTTTCTCCCATTGCACTGCAGTTATTTCTTTACTGCGAAGCAAGTGACTATATATGTATGGTCTGTTTCTGGACTGTCTATTCTGACTCATGGGTTCATTTGTCTATCTTACACTAATAGCACATTGATATAATAGCATTTTAAGAAATCTTGCAATTAGGTAGTGTAAGTCTTTCAAATTTTTTCTTTAAAATTATTTAGCTTATTTTAGATTCTATGCATTTTTCTGTAAACTTTATAACAAGCTTGTCAGTTTTCTCAAAACCTTGAGATTTTGATTGGAATTAAATCTATAGATGTATCTGGGAATAACTGACATTTCAATAGTATTGACTGTTACAAATCATGAAAATAGTATATTTCTCTATTTGTCTTTAATTTCTCTTAGCAATGTTTTCAGTGTAGAGAATTATATACGTTTCTTTAATTTATTCTGAGATATTTGACATTTTTAAATGCTACCAGAAAGGATATTTTTTAAAATTTTATTTCCCCAATTTTTCTTGTTAACATATACTAACAGTTTATTTTTGTATAGTGACCTCAGTCTTGCAACATCGTTAATTTTCTTATTAATTCTAATGCTGTGTTTTTAGATTCTTTGGAACTTTTACATACCCAATCATGTCTTTTGCACAAAGCGACGGACATTTATACTTATTTCTTTCCATATTTTCATACCTTTCATGACTTTCTGTTTGCTTTATTCGCTAGCTAGGACTTCTAGCACAATCATAAATATAAAGGATGTGGAGTAAGCCAGATCCTTAACTTGCTTCTGACATCAAGGGGAATGTTTTACATACTTAATCCTTAAATATGATGAGGTGAAATTTTTAAACTTTAATTGAGGTATAAACTACACCTATTTGAAGTGTACAATTCAATGAGTTTGACCATTATGTACACTGATAAAACTATCACTACAATCAAGATAATCACCACCATTCTATCATCTCCAAAAGATTTGGTGGTAGGCAGAGTTCTAAGAATGATCCCTAGTGGAGCTTATCCATGTATAATCCCCTCTTTGTTGAATATAAATGGAACCTGCGACATTATGAGATGCTACTCCCATGACTATATGATATTACGCTGTACAACAAAAGGGTGACTGTTCAGCTTGACCTGACCTAAACAATCACATGAGCCCTTAAAAAAAAAAAAAGAGCATTTTATCAGGTTGGGAGCATCAGAAGAAATCAGAGAAATTCGAAGCATCTGAAGGACACAACGTACCTTTGTTGGTTTGAAGTGGAGGAGGCCATGTGAAAAGGAACTGCAGGTGAATTTCCTGATAAAGCCTAGAGAGATTCCTGGCTGACAGCCAGCAAGGAAACAGAAACCTTAGTTCTGCAAATAAAAGGCAGTCCCAACAACCTGAATGAGCTGGAAGCAGATTCTTTCCCAGGACTTGCAGATAAAAGCCCAACTTTCGACCTTGATTTCGACCTCAAAAAACCCTAAACAAAGGATTCAATGGGAAGTTTAACCTATAGAACTGTGATATACTAAAAGCCACTCTATTTGTGGTAATTTCTAATGTAGCATAAAAAACTAATATACATTTGATACCTGGATGTGAGTGTTGCCATAACAAATAAGTGAAATGTGTAAGTGACTTTGGAGTTGGGCAGATGTTGGAAGAATTTTGAGGAGCGTGAAAACAAAAGCCTAGATCACCTTGGAAAGGCTTAGTAGCAATACAGACTTTGAGAATGTTGAGGGTGTGGAAGGAAGTAAGGAACATGCTGGAAGCTAGAGGAACCATATGCTACTCTACAGTGGCAGAGAGCTTAGCAATTGTCTCCAACACTTAAATAGAAAGCGAACTTATACAGTATGAACTCGGATATTTAGCTGAGAGGATTTTCCAGCAAAATGTCGAAGATGCAGCCTAGTTTCTTCTTGCTGCTTCTAATAAAATGTGAGAGGAGAGAGATAAATTGTGTGAAAAACTGTTAATTCTCCTTTGCTATGTGTTATGAAGATGAAGCTGGCTGAGATCAGAGCTTGGGTTAAGAAAGAAGTACTCACTAACATTTAGAGTGTTTTTGGCTGCATTGGATGGTCCTGCAGTCAATGTCAAATTGCCTTACTACTTATATTTTCCAAACATCAAGTCTTTAAGAACTAGTAGTAGTTCTTAGCTGTCTTCTACTGTATCAGGCAGTGGGAGAAAGTGTAAAAGGTTGGTTGAAGCACCTCTCCAGGTTCTCTCTTCTAATTATTCCCTTTCTTCAGACCCCATCTCTATTCTCAGGGATGATTCTCCTGACTACCTTAGTAAACTACCACCAATCTCAAACAATCTCTGATTTTTATGGGACATTTATTATTCAGCACTCAATTAGGTATGACCTTTTGCATTATAGTTTTGATCCCTGGTTTATTCCTCCAGATATAATAAAAACTAGTTAATTACTGAGATCAAGTCTCTAGAGATAGTGATTTCTATTGAATGAGTAAATGAACCAAAATTTGAGCTGTTGGGCTGGGTAAAATTTTTGTGTAGGTGCTATATGTGAAAAGCTGTCTGCAATATTTGGTTTAGATATTTTGGTAGTAATAAATAGAATTTCTTAAATTTTCAAATTATTTACTACGCTACAAAGAAGATAATTTAACTTGAATATATTCCAGAAAAATCAGGGCACAAGATTTTTTTGATATATTTTTTTCCCATATTTGCCCTAGAATAAAGCATTTGTTCATGCTAACACATTTTGGTTTTCAAATTTTTATTACAGTTGATCTTTGAGTTAGGGGACATGGTAGCTGCTGATTCAACTATCATTGAACCTCCTTATTGAAGAATGACATTGCCAAGATAGCACCAAGTCTCAGAATCTGAAAACTTAATACAGTGATTTCTAATTCAGCTAGTCATCAAAATCACCTGCAGAACTTTACAAAAATTTAAATCATCCTGCCCAGAGATTCTATTCAACAAGTTTTGGAGCAAACCCGGAAACTGAATTTTGAAATGTTCCCAGATAATTCTGTCGATCAGCCAAGTCTGGGAATCTCCAGGTGAAATGCCGAGGACTTGGTCCATCTGCAGGCTCATCTCATGACTACAGCCTAGCCAAGGTAAGCATGGCAGTTGCATTTGCTGGGTACTGTGTCCCTTATGTGAAGAGAAGCAGTGTGGAGATGTGGAGAAGCCTATTGGAGAGGAATCATTTCTTTTTTGGTGTTTGCACAGCTAAGGATGCAGAATTTGCTTGTGTTAAAAATTTTACCTGCGTGGTCGATTCTATAAGACATCAGTGCTAGGCTTCATCTCATATTCCAAGGCTTTGCAGCTCTTAATGCAAGAGTAAAAAAGAATTCCAATAAAAATTTCTAATAAAAAAGGCAACAGAGCAAAAAACATTTTAAAACAGACTTTTATGTGAGTACATAAGAAGATGAATAAGAGCTCATTTGAATGTGTTACCTGGGACAGTTAAGAAAAAGAGTAAGCATTATTATTTTTAAAAGGACATTTTCTGTGACCCTTTGCCAATTATCTTGGTTAATTCAGGCTTCTATCCTTGGAATGGTTGGCTGTCCTCATCTTCTTTAGCCCTAGACACTGGTACGCAGGTTGAAAAAGAACTAGAAGTGTTGGTTGGTTCCATTCTCATTGGGTGTGCTGTGCCTAAACAATTCTTCCTGCTTTGTTTCAAGCTTCCACAATCGACTGAAGCACCCTTTTGGGCTGCAGAAGAGAGGTAATCTGATATGCCAATCAGATGAAGAGTTTTAGGAGTATTGGTATCTGACTATTGTGAAACGGACAAATAATAATCATTTGAGCTGGGCCCGGAGAGATAGATGGGCATTACCTTGAAGGATAGACATGCTGGGTTGTTATAAGGTTTTTTTTTGTAGCATTGGTTTATACATCATAGAGTATATGGGTCATTTTAAACTATATTCAACAGCATTCTTCAATGAGTCTTATGAAACACAAACCCTACATGCTGCTTTCAGTTAAAATGATCATGAGGTCCCATTTCAAGGGGCTGCAAGTGCATTACCCCCAGTTAATCTCCCCCACTAACTTGTAAACAGAAAGTTGTACACAGCATTCTTATTCCAGAATTTAACACAGTGCCTTAGAGAAGCAGCTCAATGAACCAGTCCAGTGGTTCTCAACCAGATACGATTGATTTTGCTCCCCAGGGGACATTTGGCAATGTCTGGAGTCATTTCTGGTTGTCATATCTGGAGAGTGAGGAAATGGGAGTGTGTTACTGACATACAGTAGACAGAGGCAGGGATGTTCATACACATGTTACAATGCACAGATGCCCCCTCACGGCAAATAATTATCCAGAATTTAAATAGTGCTGAGGTTGAGAAGCACTGCACTAGATTAAGTATATAGTTAATCCCAATCTACTCCTTTGGATGCCCATAAATTATTGTCTATTTCCATGGGCCATTTGTCTCCAACAATGGGAATTCACTGTGTAACTCTATCAAAAGCTGGAAAGAAATGTGATGGAAAGAGAGGGTGGGCAGAGTAGGGAACTGAGAAAGAAGGTAGTGTATTTCAAAGTTGAAGTAACAGCGTTTTTCAATTATTCATGGTTTTTAATGATCTATACCTTGTTTACCTCCAATAGTATGGATAAATGAGAGTGATTCCCATGGTAAATTGAATATTATGTTATTCCTTATACAATGTGAGTATACTGGAGACCTAGAAGAAGAAAGCTTTGTTGTTGCCAAAAATGCAGTTATTAGTTTTTAATATAATGTTTACATGATCTGAGCTTGGTGTCATAATTGGTGTCTTACCCAGTCTTTATTAACTGATAAGTTTTGAGTGCTTTCTAGGGGCTAGGTCCTGTGCTTAGCATTTACATGCAGTATTGCCCTGAAGCCTCCTAATTACTCACTGAAAGTGTATAGTAAACTAAGGCTCAGAGAGGTTTGGTGTTTTGCAATTATTCACAAAGTTAACCTCTACCACTTCTCAGAACAAGTGAGTAAGTGAAAGAAATAGAAAGAGAGTTTAGATCCTGACCTCCTTGTTCTACCTAAAGAATATCTTTAAAATTAAAAAAAAATGTTCTCAAGGAATTTATTGAGATTTAATTCCATAACATTAATTACAATTTTAAACAGAAAGCTTAAAGATGTTAAAGACCAAGATTTTAAAAGGTTACTGTCCAGAATAATTTTCTCTCCCTGGCCCCTATCCCCCACCATAAACTCTGATGAGTGCATTATGGTGGAGAACATATAGGAGGTCATGAGGTCATTTCGAAACATCGAGGTTACACTTGCTCCTGGAATTTCTGGCTCTGAAACTTGTGCACCTATTTTCTCACCTGTAAAGAGGAGCACTTTACCATCTGCTTTGCCTCCCTCATTTAGCTTAGATGCAGATCAAATGAGATAATGTCCATAAATGTCCTTTGTAAGCTTCAGTGTATGGCACATACCTGTCAGAATGGTTTATTTCCATTAAATGCCTGTGGTGGATACTCTTACAAAATGGATGTGCTGTTTTCCATGGTGCAGCTAGGGATACATCAGGGACTCAAATCTGCCCCAACAAACTGTTGGCCACCTAGAAAAGGAGAAACCCAGGGACAGAGTTGCTGGGCTCTAGGAGTGTCTCAGGGCCTGAGCTTCCCTTTGAAAAGACCGTATTATGACAGAGGCATCTGAGCACCTGGGGCAGCCCTTCAGAAATTTTGCTCTTTGAGCTCTGGGCATTTTTAAGATTATTCTTTGGTGAAGTTCATCAACCCCTAGCAATATGTCACATTTCTCCCTGTGCTGGTTCTTTGAAGACAATATTTTAAAAAAAAAATTAGGAGAGAAAGGAGTACCTGAGAAATTCTGACAAACTTTGGAACTCTGCTCCCATACTTTTTTATTGATTTATAAAAATGGTGAATTCCCTTTACAAAAGATTCAAATAATGCAGAAAAGTAAAAAAAAAAAAAAAAAGCTATAAATATCCTCAAATCCCACCACCCAGAAATTACCACTGAGCATCATTACAGATGTAGCCTTCTGATTCTATGTGGAAATAGTGGGGTGAGCAAGAGAGAAAACATAAAAGAAAGAAGGGTAGGGAGATGGATGGATGGGGTCAGAGAAGTGAAGAGACCCCCTCTGTGATGTAGGTGGTGCTGGTCCTGGTCACAGTGGGATCTAATCCAATGTGAAAGGCCACTTATTTAAAAAAAAGGAAAATCATGATGAAGATTGAGATATAAAATGAACATGTGTTAAAGATTTTATTTAATTCACCTGTTAATGACAGAACTGATAACGTTGTTACAATCAGAAAATCCAAAGAACGTACGTATTTAAAGATCAGAAAAGTGAGAGAGGAAGAGATATGTCATTCTACTGGGAAAAATTCAATTGCATGTGTATAGTAAAAACTTATTTTGCATTGCTATCATTTATCTATAATGTAGAGAGTTTTAAAATTTCTCAAAGGCAATGAAAGGCTAGAATCAGTTAATCCTGAAGGGTATGAGCAAAACACTGCATAATTTTCCTTTGGAGACACTCAATAATATGTTTTGCTTACTCCAAATTTTCTTACACCCACATGTTCCTGCTGCAAGCCCAGGGCCCTTTTCTCACATCACACCGTGATTTTCTGAGGCTTCTGTTTCTTACCCTTGCCAGAAAAAGTTTCTGAGCACTGCAGGTACAACCTCAAGAGTCAGAAAGGGCAAAAAGATTTCATTGTGTGCTTTTTCCTTCTTTGTTTTTTTTTTTAAAAATCATACAATTTAAGAAGTGAAAAAATATCCAAAAATATATAAGGGAAAGGTTGTAATTTCTACTGTACTCCCCTTCTTCTCCCATGTCTCCTGCCCCCAGGGGAAATCAATATGGTTTAAGATATGTCCATCTATACCTTCTGCATGTTCAACAATCACACATAAATATTTAAGCACATATATAGGGATTTTAGTCATGAAAGTTTACATAAGTGGGAATTTGGGAATATACCATATATGTCTGTATCTTTTTTCATTTAAAATAATGCATGGAGGCTATCTCAGGTGCACAGATACCAATTGAATGTATGTAATGGTATGCCATGACATGGATACGCCTTCCCAGTCTAGTCCTGGGGATTCATTCTCATTAAGTAGGGAGCAAATGCACGTAGTTGTGGAATAGGAAAGGAATTGTCCTTCTTGAAATAGCCATGGTGGGAAGGGGAGAAGGAGGACAAATTTTGCCATTTGAATTGGATTGTGGGGGTGGCACAGTTAAACATCTTTGTCCAGGTAGAACACACACCAGCACCCTCCAATCATTATGGTGTTTCAGAATCCATCATGCTGTGTGTAGGGAGCATTGCTCATTAGTTTTAAAGAAAACAACTCTTTCCTTGGTAATAAAAACCAAATAATTTTCAAAGAAAATTATATATTTACTAGTGGGAAAATGAGTCTCCCTACCCGGTCTTCCAAGGAATACTGAAAATCTACCACAGCAGCTTTAGGAGGACATCAAAGAAATGCTTGCTGCATACAGCAAATTAAACATTCATATCCTGGTGAAAGCCTCCCCTGCATCATTAAAAAAATAAAAACTGGAAGTTGTTTGGGGTATGTTGAAAATTAGTTATTAGAAAGGAACTTTCTCTTACTAATAGAAACTTAGGCTATCTGGAGCCAAGAAAAAATGTTAGGTGGAAGAATGGGAAGGAAGAGGAGTATAGGAAAACCATTCCTGAAAGATAATGCTATGAAAGTCGCTCCTTTTGTAATATTTTTTCCTAAGCCAAAGGGAGGCAAATGCTTAAACCATTATAATCTTGTTAACCTGGAGGACGCAAATCAGAACCCCTGAGAGGAGGGAAGCAAGCCAGCAAGAGGGGCCTTAAGCCAAAGGGCTCCTGAATTGCTCATTTCTACTCATCCACAGGCCTCAGAGCCTGAAGTTTTAAACAACATGCTGCTTTACACTCTCAGTGGTACATTTCTGTTCTACTGGCCTTTTGTTTCAATCTGTCAATCAACACATGTTTTATTGATCATGTACTAAGTACCAAGAGCTACGGAGGTTATAGCTTCCAGATACAGTAAGCTCCTTAAGGGCAGAAATCATCTTGTCATAGACAAAGAGCATAAAAATAGAAATAATATACAAGGCAACATAAAAGACATTTTTAATAGTGAACAAAGGCTTTCCACTTCTTGAAAATTTTGCAAGTTTTCAGCGAGGGGAGTTCTGAGAGGTATAGAAAAGTGTTTTGCTTATAGCAGAAGCTTAATACACGTGTGAGGTTTAGAGGGAGAGACCTTTATGAAGCTGGGCTCTTCAAAAAGGTCATAGTGAAGCAGTATGGTGTCCTGGTGCCATAGTAATAAAAATAGTAGTAATGATACTGGCGGTGGTAATTATAATAAGAGCAGCTCACAGTTATTCATCTCATCATTTCATTTAATTCTCACAAGCACCCTATGAATTGGATATTTTTATTATTCCCATTTTAGAGATGAGAAAACAGAGCCCAGGCCATTCAGGGAGCAAGTGAGGATGTAGCAGAGTGATCAGAAACCACAGACTTTAGACCACAGAAACACACCTATAGTAGAAAAAGTTGGGTCAATTACTTCTTGCAATACACATGAGGAATACACATCATGTGAAACTGCAAGTTTTCTCAGTTCAGGATGTTAGAAAGAACCTATAATAAGATTTAGGATTTGTATGGGTAATTTTGGGAGTGTCCAAGGAATTGGATATTCTCTCTGAATTCTGCAATTCTATGATAAACTATCTTAACAAATCTTATCTGTAGGGAGGGCAGACTAGAGTGAGAATAAAGTTGTAACTGGCAAAGAACTAGTAGCCACTCATTTAGCCAAGGGAAAAAGGGGGTTTTGTATTTTGTGTTGTGAAGTGACCCTGTCTGAGTGGATGTTTTGTGAGATTGTGACAAGCAGGAGAACAATATGATTTTACTGTAGGCAATAGCTATATTTGTACTATCATAGAGGGTCAGTTATGAGTTCCCTGATGTAAAGGGCTGCCTTTTTTCCCTTCTAACTTTTGAGTGGTTTGTGCAGTTGACTTAACTGGCTCAGCCTGTTGCACAAACATCTGTACAGTAGACCTGTCATGAAAATTAGATGTCATGCAGACAAAGGACCTAGCACCTAGCATGCAGGGTACTCTCCATCACTGGGCTCTTCCTGGAGGAAGACCAGAGATCACGGGAGGACAGACAGGTTTTCCATCACCCAGGTGATGGAGAGGGCATCTAGATGAACAGCGGGAGCAGAGGCAGGAATATGGAGAATATCTTATACCCAGAAATTCCCACTAATTGGCTAGACTCACATTTCAACTTCTTTTAGAGTTTGAGAGCTATGTTCGTAAGGTTTTTTTTTGTTTTGTTTTTCTTTTTTTTCTTTTCCTTTTCTTTTCCTAAAGGCAAAGACATCCTACGTGATTTCACCAGCAAATGTTCTCTTTGTCTCTTTGTTTTTCTTGGCACATCAAGTACAGTGCTAGCCCCTGGAGACTCATTGATTTTCAAGAAAAGGTGTTTTTTGTTTTTTGTTTTTTTTTTCTTTCCATTGTCTACATTGGCAAAATAAAGCTGAGCTCAACATCTCATCTTTTCCTTTGATATGGTTATAGACAACATTTATATCTCAGGATTGTAGAAAGCCCTGATAGAGCAAAAATCTTTGCTGCATAATTAATTTGTTCCAGCACATCAGGTGATGGTTGGAACTCAGCTGTCTCAAGTTCTGAAGTTCTCAAGTATCTGAAGATAGGAAGAAGTAGAAATAGTTGTTCAATTTTTAAGTGGATTTTATAGTTTTAAGTGAGTAAATCCAGTAAGTAACTGTTATATGGTTTGTTTGGAGCATTTTTAGTTAACAGTGAGCTCATGGTAGTAAATATCCTTCAAGTGATTGTTAGGTAGCTGGGGGTGGGTCTCCTTCCATTCTTTGAAAGTGGGCACATTTCAGTAGAGCAACTGTTATTGTGTTGGGGAACATACAATGTTTTGCCATTTTAAGAACAATTACTGTTCTTATGAATAATATAATTAAAGGAAATGACAGTGTTTAGCAACATCAGCAGTATAAGAACTGCAAAAAATGCAGTATGCTCCTGGATGACAAATACTTCCCTTCCAAAGATAAGGCAAACATCTCTAAACATGAAAACACCTAAACCCTGGAAAGAAAACCTTAGACAAATACCTCACTGCTCCGTTAGCACTGATTTTCCACATCATAAAGTGACATCTAGACCAAGCCAAACAAGTGAAAAAAGAGGAAGTGAGGGGCGTTTCTGGAGGTTTTAGCTTCTCTTATACCAAGGAATTCAGGAATTGTTCAATATGATTTGTCTAAACTAATTTTGCGAAGAAACTTGCCCAAGGTCAGGTTCATTATCCATGAAATTGAGATAATAGGTTTGTAATCATATTCTTGTCATCAGGGGAATCTGAGATTTGGGATCTATTTGTCTCTAAAAAAGTTTTATTAATATTTGGTTGCAGCCAGCACTTAATCCTCAAGGATTCACACACATTTTATCCTGTTTGAGCTCGGTGATTTACATTATGGCTGTGGAAATTAAAATCCAAAGAGATAACCAGATTAGCCAGGATTGACCACATAATATCTGTGTAGGATGCTGAAATTTATCCCTTCTGGCTTGCCATTTTTCTCTAGTTACATATCACGCTTATTAATGTTTATCTTACACATTTTAAGTTAGTTTTCCTATGGTTTATAGTTAGAACCTAGAGACAGAATCAATCTAATGATTACTGACTTACTTGGAACTTGATTTTCTTTGTTATTGTTTATGAAGTTTGAGCTTCTACTCCATTGGAGTCTCCGCACTAGAAAGATTTGAAGGACGGAGCACAGAGCACCATTGAATGGGTTTACAATCAGGTAGGGATGCATAAATACACATTAGCACCTCTATTAATTGGGCACTTTTAAGTTGCAAGTGACAGAATTCTAACTCTATTATTTCCATGTGACCCCAAACCCTATGGGAGACAGAAAGTACAACAGGGCTTCAAGGACCACTGGAGCCCAGATCCCAAATATGCTAGTGATAGCAGTGGAGGGACCATGAGCTTTGGAGGCAGTCTTGATTTAAATGCTGAATCTGCACCTGTGTGAGCTCATCTTGGTGAAGAAATGTGCCCATGTTCACTTTCCTCTATAAAATGGAGTTTGTAGCTATGTCCTCATAAAGTAGATATTTAATGATATAAAATTGGTTTCCTTTGTTAAGGATTGAGGGCTGGAGGGCTGGGAAGGCCAGGGATGGCAAGCAATGCCCAATTTTCCTGCAATGTGAAAACAGCACTGTTAGGAATGGAGAACAAAACTCAAGGTCAACTATCACTATACTTTGTGTGGTTTTGATCTAGCTTCTCAACAGCCATGTGATTTTATTCTGATGTTGTAGGAGGAATGAATCCTTAACGTGAAGATTACAGAAAATAGTAGGAGGGGGGGAAAAGCCATTTTCACAGCAAGTGAGGAACACTATCACACAAAGGTGGCTATGTGGAGGAAAAAATGCTGACTTCACAAGATAGCTGAAGAGCCTCAGGGTTTTGTGACAATTTTACTCCCAGATGGGAAAATAAATAAATGACCAAAAAAGACTCTAGGACAGGTAGAAACTAAAATACTATGGAATCTAGTGTTAAATGTTGTGAAATTTGTAAAGGATTATTTTCCTTGCAAATACTTTCAACCTTTAGGAAACAAATCTACCTAGAATTTTAAGCATAAAAATAGAATAAAGTACTTCTAATTACTTTTATTAAAATATAGCATTAGCACTAACATAAGTCCAAAGAGCACATAAAACTATCATATGTATTATAGCTATTTTATTTGGGATTTGGACATCTATAATCATCAGCAAACAGAACCCAGCAGTACGTTAAGGGAAAAATCACCATGACGAGGAAGCGTTCTTTCTATGACTTCATTAATTGTTTAATATTAGGAAATCAATGGTTATAATTCAATTTACTAACAGCAAAAGAAAAAACATAATACAACTTGATATATGCTGAAAAGCATTTGATAAAAATTAACATCCATTCTTGATACAAAAACTTTCAATCAAGTATCAATAAATGAATATGCTCATAGCATTATAAGACATACATTTAAAATCCATGGCTAGCCTCAAGCTCAGTGTTAAAATTCCCGTTAAGATCAGAAACATGAAAAGAATGTTCATTGTCATAAACATTATCTGGTGGTGTTTTTTCTAGATGTGCCAATTCCATTAGAAAAAGAATTAAAATGAGTGGTGGAGACACCTTGATGATTTGCAGACTAAAACACTGTGAAGCTGTTAAAAAGAGAGTAGGATTCTCTATGTTGAATTATAACCATGCCCACTCCATATTGAGGAAAAATAGGATATGTAAGTCACTAGAATATTATATCCTTTCTGTAAAATCAGAGTACATAATTGTGTGTTGGGGAAAGCAAAATGCATTTAAAAAAAACATGATTTTTTTTTAACTCATGCTTGTATTTAGTAAGGTATTAACTGTTCTACTTCTGAATTATGGGTTTACAGGACACTGTTATTTCCTTCTCTGTGCCTTTTGAAAATTGCTTGACTCTTTTTTTTTAAACAATACACATGAGGATAATAATTGTTAACTTTTATTTATCAAACATGTGCTTTTGGATTATGCTTCACCTCACTCAATCTTCACATTATTTTCTATCTCTTTCTTTATTTTCCAGATGGGAAAACAGGCTTAAGGAAGGATAAGTAACTTGTTCAAGGTAAAAGGCATTCTGACTTTAAATTCATGTGCTCTTAACCACTCCTCTATTGCTTTTATTATTAGAAAAAGAAATTGTCATTTCCAAAATACATATATATAGAGAGAGAGATATATACACACATACATACATAAATATATTCTGTGATAAATGGTATATATAAAGATATTTCATACCTTTGTATATAGAAATGATGTATATATATTTTAAAAAGATAGTTTTATAAATCTATAAGTATATATGTATGCATATGTATATATATACACATATATGTGCACCCACAAATATATATAAAAAATATAAAAAGTTTATATAATACAGTGCCTAGAAAATGGTCATTAAATTGTATTTATTCATCTTCCTAAAGCCTCCATGCTTGGAATATGAGCAAAAACTATGTTTATTTAGCATTGTATCCCCTAGCAGCAAGCAGGTGTCTTTCACAGCATTAATATTAAACAAAGATCTTTTATACATGTAAATATAATAAACAATAGAAAATTGGATTATATTGCATGCCCAGCAGTGAGCTCTTCCTGCGATACCCCCACTGCCTACTGTCCTCTGCGATGAGCACTGACCTTTCTCTGGGCTGTGGATGGAGTCACAGCAGGGGTCAATAGGGCCATGGTGTGGATTCAAAGCCTGGCATTGGCCAGCCTGCTCTATGATATGAGTAGGCGAAGCCTCTAGAGAGAGGTTCGCTTTTGGATATAGAAGGATGTGCCTTTCCTCTTCATAGAAATCTGGCCTTTGCAATAGCCTAAATGAAGACCTCATCCTTTCTGCTCAATGTCATTCTTCACGGATGCTCCGAGGAGGAGGCTGAGGATATAGCCAGGCCATGGAGTGGGTGAATGCTGTTTATGGGTCCCAGGTGGTGCCCAGAGTCCTGAAAGCGCTAATTGAGTTTTCTGGAAAATACCACAGTTTACCTTTGTTCAGCTAGAATACAGCCCCCACCATGTTTTTCCTCTAGTACTGGCTCCTGAGCTCAGAGAAGATAAGGAGAGGATCATGCTGGCGTGAGCACTGACCACAGAGGGAACGAGAGACCCAAGAAATACCCTTTCCCTGTGGTGACAGGATGGAAACTGCCAATCTCTCTGCAGGCGCCCCTCTGGCTGGTAGGAGGCACCAGAACACACTGCATGCTCCAGTGTGTGATATGCTGCTGTTTCTTAAAAGCCTGTGTGAGAGGTCAGTGCCACCAAGTGGCTGAAAGGTGAGTGGGCAAATGGAAGGGTATCTGCAATACAGTGGCTTCCTAGTACTTCCCCTCCCCTTCCTCCTGCCTCTACCACCCACCCATTACCCCATGTCTCTCAGGACTCTATGCTGTCCTAGGCAGACTATAGGGTACTGGATTAATCTCCTCTTTTAAGTTAGCTCTCAGGTGTCCAACTCTCCCTTTACACCTTAATCTAGACTTTGGCCTCCTTCCCTGCTTTAACTGATTGATCTCATCATGAGGAAGAACTCGGTGACTACAGACCAAAGACTCCTTCATTGGGTAGGAAAGACTGAGAATAAATCAGTGTTCCCTCTCTATCGGTGGATACTTTCATGTTTGCTCTGAGGTCTGGCTTAACTCAAGGAACTAACTGGTAATGAAGGAAGTTCAGGCAGGCTTGTGGGAGAGATGGATGGATAGACATTTTTTATTAGCACTTCTCTAATCAGTTGAGTTCAGATAAGTGACCACAGATGCAAGATACCACATTCTACAATAAGAGGAAACACCCAATATATATGTCATATTTGTGCCCTCAAGGAAGTGGTAATTCAGTAAGGCACATAGATCATAAACACATGGATTAAAAAATACAGTCATGCAAGTATTTAAAAATGATAGAATAGCATAAGATAGGCATAAAGTATGCAGAACCAATCAAGGAAACAAAAGATGAACTGCAAATGATGGTCACTGAGTATCTGTGGCATGCCAGATACTATCAAGCACTCCCATAAATTTTATTTTATGTAATCCTCCCTAAACTCTGTCATATTTCATGGATCTCAAAAGAAAACACCCAAACTCTTTCTTTTTATCTTTCTTTTTAAAATTTATGTAAATTTAAGGAGTACAAGTATGATTGTATTATATGGATATGCTGTGTAGTGACGAAGTCTGGGCTTTTCGTGTAACCATCACCTGAATCATGTAATTGATTTTTAAATGGTGCTTGAGTCAACATTTTGCAAAGTCGAAGGATCAACATTAGATCATTCTAATCCCCCCTACTCTCTAGAAGTCAACACTTTTCAAAGTGTGCCATGTGTGAGTGGCATTGGGATAAATATACATAATAAAATTTAACAATAATGCCCTTTAAAACTAACAGCCAAATTTGTGCTAATCCCCAACAGTCTAACCTTCTACTTAAAGTGTAGTCTGTAAATCAGCAGCATTAGCATGACCAGGGGCTTGTCAGAAATGCAGAATCTTCGGTCCCTTCTGAGACCAGCTAAATCAGAATCTGCATTTTACAAGAACTTAAAGCGACTTCAGTGCACATTAAAGTTTAGGAAGCACCCAGATGGAACACAGGAATAATTTTTCCTCAAGTATCTAATTATCTGTCTCCTGGTCTTCTTGACTGTTGTAGTACACAGTACTAAGTGGTTAACCAGTTGCCCAAGCCATTGAGATTAAAAGATACAAATGAAAGAAAAGATTCAGAGAGTAATTAGGATCAGGAATAAAAGAAAGAGAATGAGAGTAACAAAGGAGAAAGCTATGAATACAGAAGTAGGCATAAACACACACACACACACACACACACACACACCTGCATTATTAGAGTACTATAATGGAGCCCTAATTAGCATTCTGAATCAAGTACAGTGCCCTGTACATCATTATTCTAACAAATATTTATGAGCCCTTACTGACTAAATCAAAAGTTTGCCTATGGTTGTGATTCAGCCTCTTTTCTTTTTTTCTTTCTTTTTTTTTTTGATGGAGTCTTACTCTGTCGCCCAGGGTGGAGTGCAGTGGCGGGATCTCGGCTCACTGCAACCTCTGCCTCCTGGGTTCAAACAATTCTCCTGCCTCAGCCTCCCAGATAGCTGGGATTACAGGTGCCCATCACCACAACCTGTTAATTTTTTGTATTTTTAGAAGAGATGGGGTTTCATCGTGTTGCTCAGGCTGGTCTCAAACTCCGGTGCTCAGGCAATCCACCCACTTAGGCCTCCCAAAGTACTAGGATTACAGGTGTGAGCCACTGTGCCCGCCCCAATCTCATTTTTAAGGAGGTAGAGGAGTTTGTCTCAAAATGAAAAGTGATGTCAAACTTAGGATTCAAATACTTTGAAACATGTTAAATGTGTGCTAAATGAATTTTCTCAAAATCTAAGATTGGCCACTTTATTCTTAGATAACTGGCACCTTACAGCCCTACCCATGCCCACACACCCACCCCACCCCACACACAAATGAGTAATTAAAATTTTATTTTAATTGACCTGAAACCTTTTCAATGATCTTAGAAGAAATAAGGGAGACAAATAGGGGGAAGAAAAACAACAGAAAAATATTTCTTAAAATATTGTTATCAGTTTTTGCTGTTACTTGCTGATCTAAATTTATGGATGAATATGATAATTGTATTTCCTAAATAGCTACATATTATAGACCATCTTGAGATAGTCTTCAATATTCTGTGGCTTCCTTGTCTGAGGATCAGGAAGCCTTGAACAATCAATAGACACCAAGCATTGTGGTCCCATCTGTCCTTGGAAGACTTTCAAGACCTCAGTTCCGTGTGGCTTTGGGGTGCAGTCTGCAAGGTCTGTGTTAAAAGCTTAGAGATAGAGTGCTCCTGTACACATATACGTAGACAATTCCACACAAAGAAGTGCCTCATTTGCCATTTTAATCTCCTTGCATAGCTAGTCACCTTGTCTCTTTGCGAGTGTGCCTTTGTAACTGGGGAACTAGCTCTATTTTTTATTTCAATATTACTGAGAAAATATCTTAGATAAAAGCTAAATAGTCCCAAAGGTTCAGGAAAGCTGCTAAATATAAAACCCGACTTTAAAAATTGAGGATACAAGACCAATATGTAAAAATCAATTGTATTTCTGGGATTTATTCCATTCCGTTGGTCTATGTGTCTGTTTTCATGCCGATACTAGACTTTTTTATTTTTTAAAATATATATAGCTTTGTAATATAGTTTAAAATCAGGAAGCGTAATGCCTCCAATTTTGTCCTTTCTCAAGATTGCCTTGGCTATTAGGGGTCTTTTTTGGTTTCATGTGAATTTTATGATTCTTCTTTCTGTTTGTGTGAAAATTGCCATTGGAATTTTGATTGAGATTGCATTGAATCTGTACATCTCTCTGGGTAGTATGGACATTTTAACAATATTCTTCCAGTCATAAACAAGATAAATATTTTCATTTATTTGTGTCTTTCTCAGTTTCTTTCATCAATGTCTTGTAGTTTTCAATATACAGACTTTTCACTTACTTGATTAAATTTATTCCTAGTAATTTTTATGCTATTGAAAATATGATTGCTTTCTGATTTCTTTTTCAGATAGGAAATTGATCTTAGCAATGATTTTTGGGGGGATATGACACCAAAAGCAGAAATTAACAAGTGGGACCACATCAAACTGAAAACCTGTGAGCAGCAAAGGAAACAATCAACAACAGGAGAAGGGAACCTAGTAAATGGGATAAACTCTGTGAATGAGATACATATGTGTAGAGGAAAATTGTGGGGACAAGAGAGAGTCCTCTGAACAAGAATATGGGACTAAGCTTGCCATCGGTCTACCAGCGGCAGGTTAGAAACAACTTACAACTTCAGGAGAATGTAACCATTGTGAAAACTCTCTCCTCAGTGCTTCAAGTGGTATAGGACGTACTCTTGGTGTTACCTCTCTTTTAGACAGACTAGGGGAGAAAACCTTGTGGCTGTCTCTTTGGACTTTGTTTAGAGATTGAGAATTATGGGAATTACCCAGTATGCTTTGCAACCATTGCCCAATCTGTGGGAGGGTAGCTTTTCCCTTCACTTACACCTTCTCAGGCTTCTGTATTCCTTAAGGTGCTTCTGGCTTCCCTTCATCAAAGATACTTTACAGGAAGCTGATTTAAGCAAAGGATGACAATTAGGTATTTTTTTTTGCCAATTCAGATTGATTGATACTGGCTGAGGGATGAGTTTGTTAATTAAGAAGGATTCCCGGGTTTGGTGTCATTTCATAAATAACATGTGTTTGCGGCATAGGCGTGAAGCATGTGTGTTAGATATTTACCATTCCTACTCTAGGCTTAGAAGGTGGAAGATCCCTTGACAGACTAGTGGGACACTGGTTTATTAGTCCTAAACCATATCACCACTAGAAGCAGCCCCACACACAGTTTTCCTCTTCCTCCCTTTGTTCAGCACCTCTATGTCACATTTGACAATGATGTGCAAGTTTTGGCCTCAACAGTTATTTCTAATTACCTCATCAGATATGATCTTGTTTGATGCCTTGTCATTCTTATCATCTATGCAGTGGGCATCTCTAAAAAGTCAGTGGTTTCCTAAGTAAGAAAAGAGCAAGATGTGTTAGTTTGCCTGGCTGGCTTTCTTTTGAAATAATCAGGTTGTCTCTTCCCTAAAGAGTCTCTTCCCAGCTGGGAAGTCATCACCTGCCACTTGAGTCAATTATTGAAAAACACTTTGTCCTGCTCATGTTGTGAACTGTGATATAACCCAAATTCCCGTGGTGTAGAGACTTTCCAACCTTTCAGTAAAATCCTCCTTTGAGATTGAAGCTATGGTCTCTAATTACCAGCTTGGGCCATTTTTGCAGGATTGTTTTACTTTGGCCTTAAGAAAAAGTGACAACCCTGTCTCTACTAAAAAAAAAAAAAAAATACATATACAAAAAATTAACAGGGCATGGTGGTGGGTGCCTGTAGTCCCAGCTACTCTGGAGGCTGAGGCAGGAGAATGGCATGAACCTGGGAGGCGGAGCTTGCAGTGAGCTGAGATCGCACCACTGCACTCCAGTCTGGGTGACAGAGCGAGACTCTGTCTCAAAAAAAAAAAAAAAAAAAAGAAAAAAAGTGACAAGACACAAAAAGATGAGTTAAAACCCTAATAAGTTACACAAGTCAACTCTAAAATGAGCTCCGGGTTTGCTGGCCTTCAGTGAATGGTTTTGTTTAGTGGGAATTGAACTGGTTCATCCAGATAGTCCTAGGTCAGAATTCTGTCACCAAGTGGTGACCTAGAGCAAGTCATTAGCCTCCCTAAGCCTTTATTTTCTCAGTTGTAAATTGGAAACAATAATAACTACTTCCTTGCGTTGGTGTAAATATTCCGGGTACTCAAGATCTCCCTTGATAGTTTTCAAACTCCTAATGCAATAGGTACCCAGCAAATGCACTTTACCTTCTTCTTCCCTTGTGTTTGATGGAAGGTCTTATTATGTTTTATTTTGATTTGATTTTAATCCTAATAATTAAATTGTTCTCAGGTATTGTACTGTTGCCATGAGTTTTTCCAGGTAAAAATCAAGTGTTAATAAAACTGAGGAGAAAGTGAGGCCTTAGTGACACCAGGACCCAGAGATCAGTTGGACAGAGAGGTGGGTACAGTTCACAAGGCTCCAGGTTGCATGAATCTTTAAGGGATTGCCAGATTATTAGACTCAGGGCCTCATTTAGGCAGCTGAAATATGACAAGAGAAAAGGTACTTGGGAATGTTTAGAAATATGTCCTCCAAACAAGGTTGGATTCAAGCCAAATTGGGATATAGGTGATATTGCATTCATTCATTAATCTATTCAATCATTCATGTCCCAAATATTTACTTAATGTTTCCTGTGTGCTAGGCACTATATCAATTCTTGTGTCAAAGAGCTCGTGATAGAGTGATGGAAGGGTAATTAAAATACCATGTGGCATGTATCTCTATTTAACTAAAATGGTGAAGATAAAGCCACTTTTACTAAGTATTTTAGGGCTCTAAAACCAGCCTTCTCTTATTAGTATTTGCCTCCCACCACCATCTATTCTCTGTTTTTTCTGGATGTAAAAAAAAAAGGGGGGCATCCATAGAGAGATTGCATGTTCCGACAGTGCTTTCAGGTTGGTGTCACTGAGTTCTCCCTACTAGAGTTTGAGCAAACATGATGAGTGCAACTTCTGTGTCTTTTATTTAAAAGGAAATCCCTGGCTACAGATTTCCACTATTTATTCTCCACTGGCTGGAAAGGCAATGCCAAACAACCTTGGAAAGCATATGTTGAGAATAACAGGGACTTCCTATTTGCCTGTTTCCCTGGATAACTTCGTGGAGCAGAGTTGGCCAGCTGCCCCGGCACATGAGAAAACAATGACCTTCTAAGTACTTTAAGCCACTGAATTAGGGGGAATCTCTTAAATAGCTTCTACTGTAATAGATTAATCATAATTTTTTGAGGTAACGTGGTAACTTAGAAGAATATGAACATCATTTGACTAGTAGAAACTTAGATTTTGTTAACCACATCAAATTCCTGGGTATATAGATGTCAAACTCTGGGTCCAAGCTCCAACTCCAGAATGATTTTATATCTAAGACTTTATACATTCCAAAACTGAAATAACTTCTCAAGTTTCCAGGGTATAAAAGGGTCAAGGTTCAGTCTCTTCCTAAGGCTTTATCTCTTCACTAATCTAAGATTTGTAAAAGCAGTGAAGAAACAAGTGAGCATGGATTCTCTTGGAGGGTTGGGTATTGGAGACAAACAATTTAAGGGTGACAATGGCAGCAACAAGAAAGCCAGGATCTGACAATTCAAAGTGATAGTTGAGAAGACAGTGCCAGTAAAAGAGGAACGGGGAATCTCTTCAGGGTTCATCTTGTGTTTTCAACCCAGGCAACCCAGGAACTACCACCTCTAGACATGAGCCTCATCCTAGCCCCATTCAGCTGAAGTCTCCTTGTTTGCACTATGTCATATCCTCAGAGTCAGCCTTTCTGTGACTGTCAAGAGTCAATGGCCATTGTAATCTGTATGAATGGGAGAAGATCCTTTCCCTTTATGCACCATTCATTTATCAAATAGTTACTGAGTGTGTATTTTATGTCAGGAATATTTAGATATCTGTTTTAAGAGGGGACATGACCAAGAAACCCTGTCCCAGAAATACATGACTAGAATGTGCAAGAAGCATAAAACCTAGGTACAAGGAAGGTAAGAAATACAGCAGTAACCAACAGGAACTATGCAGGAGTATGGAGGCACAGCACAAGGCAGGTGTCTGCGGTCAGTCAGCAGCTTGTATCTACTGTAATAAAGGCACATGATTAATTACACACGGAGACTGTATGTATGTTCCTTCACTTGCTAATTGCAATTAGCTGCAGAAGCAGTGAACATATTGCTCTTGGTGAATGTCAGGACATTTCACTGGATTTCCCTTGGTTCTCTGTGAAGCCACAATTAACTTCACTAATTATTCCCTTTACCACATGTGCTTCACTTAATGAAGAACCAAACTAATGAATGCTGATCTTTTTAAAAACTTTTTCTTTCCAAAAGCCAACTTGGCTACCATCCAACAATGGCTCCTTAGACAAAATTATGAGTGTCAAATTCATCCAAAGCTGGGAGGAGAGAGGAAGCAATTTTCAGTTTCTAGAATTTTGTTTCTTCAGGGAGAGAGAGGCTCTCTGCACTCACAGTAAGCCATGTTGCACTTTTGGCTGGATGTGTTTTAGAAGTTAATGTAGCTGGCCAGGCCGTCATCTCTGCGGCAACCCATCCTTAGCAACTGGTAGTGGTGGGGAGTTGACACACCATAGATCGCCAGCATGCCAAGGAGTAGGTTAGGAATGCAGGCCCTCTACAAATGAACAAAAATCCTGCTCTGATGCCAGCAATACACCCATAGTTGAGCAGGGTGCCTTCCTGTCTCTTATGGTATAGATAACATTGATTTAAATGTTTTCCTCCTTGAACTTTTATGACTTTTCTTAAGATGGCTGCAAATCTCTTCACCTGCCTCGTTTCCCTCTGTATATGTGTGTGTGTGTGTGTGTGTGTGTGTGTTTGTGTCTATGTATGTGTATATATATGTAGCAAATGGCTTGGTGTTTGGGTTCTTATGTCCACATATCTTGCTTTTATCCCACATTATGCTGATTCAGATGTGAAACTCAGCACCCTTTATGACTTACATACACATGTGCATGTGTGCCTGCACACACACACACACACACACACACACACACACACACACACACACACATTCTTACATTCCCAAAGCATTCATGAAAACCAGAATTTGGGAGCAAGAGAGTAGATGGATATATTAGTTCATTTGCACATTACTATAAAGAAATACCTGAGACTGGGTAATTTATAAGAAAAGTTTAATGGGCTCATGGCTCTGTAGGCTATACAGGAAGCATAGCAGCATCTGCTTCTAGGGAGGCTTCAGGAAGCCTCCAATCATGGCAGAAGGCAAAGAGGGAGCAGGTAAGTCACATAGTGAAAGCAGGAGCAAGAGAGTGAATGGGGAGGCGCTACATACTTTTAAAGGACTAGATCTCATGATAACTCACTATTGCGAGGATGGTACCAAGAGGGATGATACTAAACCATTCATGAGGAACCCACCCCATGATCCAGTCACCTCCCACCAAGCACCACCCCCAGCATTGAGGAATACATTTCAATATGAGGTTTAGGTGGTGACGTACATCCAAATTGTATCAATGGATTCTTAACACATCATCCCAAACCAGCTCAAATGGAACTGTTGGCATCGCTACCTTAAGAAATCCTTCAGACTCCTCACTCCATGGTGCTCTTTATCCCATTGAGTTTCAACTGGGTCCACCTTGTAAGGAACAGCATATTTCCTTCTTTTTCTTCTGCAAAGCAATTTAATAATTCTCCTCCGAAACCTTGGTGATTCTGCACCTCAAGTGTATTCATCATTCCCCCCCACCCCACCCAGAACAAGGAGGAAGAGAGAGAGGCAAGAGAACATTCTCTTCTTCAGAAATTCTTGTGCCAGTTGCTAGGACAATACTTCATTTAATCATTACTGCAGTGTATCCTCCTATTATTTAAAATCCCTGGAGCCCCAGAGAGTCTTCCAATACACCACCACCTCTGTTGAGTGTTGCGATAGCCTTGTGAGCCAGGCTGGGTAGCCACATTTTACAGATAAGGAAACTGAGCATTCAGATGATGAATACCCAAATGTGCATAGCTTATTTTTGGTGAAGTGTTCTTTCTCCCTTGTCTTGCTCTCAGATGGCTGTTTCCTGGGGGTGTTGGAGAGATCAGAAAGTGGTGACCCATCTAACTGGCCCCTTCTCTCCCTTGTTTTCCATCTTGCCTTGAAGCAATGCTCTGAAATATGATTTGTGAAGCAGAATGTGAAAGAAGCCAGCCTGCATTGGGTTATTTGCAATGCTTCTCAATCTTGACCCTATGGAAATTTTGTTGCCAGATGATTCTTTGTTATAGAAGCAGGAGGGTGTCGTATATGCCATGTAGATGTTTAGCAATATCCCTGGCCCCTACCCACTAGATGCCAGTATAACCCCTGCTCCCAACTCCATAGTTGTGACCATCAAAAATTTCTCTAGATTTTGCAAATGTCCCCTTGGTTGAGAGCCACTGGATTATTGTTACACACTCATTGTGATGACTGTTTACTATCTTTATGACTTGGACTGTGGATAGTCAGTTATGTTGAACATCTCAGAAATGAGATGCCAACCATGTCCAGCATAGAGAGAAAAAAGGAAAGTTGGAATTTTGTGTTTCCTTTTCACTGGAAAGAGGTGACATGCTTTCACTTTGGTGGGGCAAGTAAAGAGAAATACAATGACTCTTTCCCATGGCATGCGCTGTTCTGATGGGTTATTGCTGCTGATAGCCCTTGTTTTTATAACGAATAGCCAAAGCAATGTCAAGCACCACCAGTCAGTCCCTTGGGGGAAAGTCGGGGCATTTGAATAGCATACCACTGTGAAGGCATAAATTGTTGAAAGAGCAAATGTAAGCTGGACAGATTTGTAAATGTGGCAGACAGTAATCCTGGTATTTCATGTTAATTGTTCTTCCCAGGCAGGAGGCCTCCTGTGATTTACATTCTGGAGCAGGATGGGGGACTGAGCCAGATAGCTCTTACCTCCAAAGAAGACCAGTGGGGATGTGACAGCTGCCTAGCAAATGAAAGGGGAAGAAGGGTGCTTTGCTGCCTTAGAAGCTCTCATTTATTCTAGAGCACTGGGGTGCTGTCACATGCCCTAGGGGAGGCCAGGCAGAAGAGAAGAGAGTGGATAGCTGAAGGAGGACTGAAGAATAGGTGGCAAAATCCCTTCCCATCCAAGTGCTCAAGAACAACTTGCAGGCAAAGAGCAGGGAAGTCACCAGATAAGCACTTGAGGTTTGGCTTCCCTGGCTCTTCCTGTAGCTGGGACTTGGCCATACCTAGTGAGGACAGGATTAGGAATTAGGGAATTCAGAAAGTTATTTTTTTCTTTCTTAACTTTTATTTTAGGTTCAGGATACATGTGCAGGTTTGTTGTAGGGGTAAATTGCATATCACTGGGTTTTAGTGTACACATGATTTTATCACCCAGGTAGTGAGCATGTTACTTGATAGGTAGTTTTTTGATCCTTGCCCTCCTCCTACCACCCACCCTCAAGTAGGCCCTGGCATCTATTGTACCTCTCTTGGTGTCCATGTGTACTCAATATTCAGCTCCTACTTATAAGTGAGAACATGAAGTGTTTGGTTTTCTGTTCCTGCGTGACCTCCAGCTGCATCCATGTTGGTGCAAAGGACATGATTTCATTCTTTTTTTTATGTCTGTGTAGTATTTTATGGTGTATATGTATCACATTTTCTTTATCTAGTTTATCACTGATGGACATCTAGGTTGATTTCATGTCTTTGCTATTGTGAACAGTGCTGCAGTGGACATACAAGTGCATGTGTGTCTTTTTGGTAGAATGATTTATATTCCTTCGGATATATACCCAGTAATAGGATTGCTGGGTCGAGTGGTCATTCTATTTTCAATATTTTGAGGACTCTCCAACCTGCTTTCTACAGTAGCTGAGCTAATTTACATTCCCAACAGCAGTATATAAACATTCCCTTTTCTCTGCAACCCCACCAGTATCTGTTATATTCTGACTTTTCAATAATAGGGATTCTGATTGATGTGAGAGAAACAATGAAAAAAGAAAACTTCAGGTCAATATCTCTGATGAACATAGACACAAAAATCCTCAAAAAAATACTAATAAATCCAGCAGCACTTCAAAAAGCTAATCCACCATAATCAAGTAGGCTTTATTCCTAGGATGCAAGGTTGGTTCAACATATGCAAATAAATAAATGTCACTCGTCACATAACAGAACTAAAAAACCATATGATCATCTCAATAAAGGCGGAAAAGGCCTTTGATAAAATTCAACATCCCTTCATGTTAAAACCCCTCAACAAACTAAGCACTGAAGAAACATACGTAGAAATCATAAGAGCCATTGATGACAAACCCACAATCAACATCAAAGTGAATGGGCAAAAGCAGGAACCATTTCCCCTGAGACCCAGAATAAGACAAGGATGCTGACTCTCACCACTTCTGTTTGACATAGTACTGAAAGTCCTAGCCAGAGCAATCAGGCAAGAGAAAGAAATAAAAGGCAACCAGATAGAAAGGGAGGAAGTCAAACCTATCTCTTTTTGTAGATGATATGATTCTATACCTAGAAAATCCCATAGTCTCTGCCCAAAGACTCCTAGAATGGACAAACAACTTCAGTAAAGTTTCAGGATACAAAATAAATGTAAAAAATTATCAGTAGCGTTTCTATACATCAAAAATTCCCAAGCTGAGAGCCAAATTAAGAATGCAATTCCATTCACAATAGCCACACAAAGAATAAAATATCTAGAAATAAAGCTAAGTAAGGGTGGGGAGAGGTAAAATGTCTCTACAATGAGAATTATAAAACACTTCTCAAAGAAATCAGGACACAAATGGAAAAACAGGGCTTTTATACAGAACAGGGAAACTTTTGATCTGTAAAGAGTGCGATTTTTACCCTTGCTTAGCTGGTACATCTAAGGGATAGTTGTGAAGAGGAAACAGGAAAAGATTGGTTGTCTCCCAAGTTATAGGTTCCTTTGTCTTTGTTTCAGTCTTCCTTGGGGCACTTTGTCCAGAAGCTATTCCTCCTTTCTCTAAACCACAGGGATGAGATAATCCGCTTCTGCCCTTAGTGGGGCTCTGTCACTGGGTTACCTTTAAACTTAAGCAGAGAGGGACATGGTCAGAGGAGGCCCTGGCAGACAGTCATAGAAGGTAGGAAAAGAAGTTTATGTGTGGACAGGATTGGGCCAAGGAGCCATCAGTGTCAGCAGGACCCTTGGAGAAGCTGTAGCGTTGACAAGGCAAGGTTAGCTCATTAGGCAGTTTTGTGTCAGCTTGGCAAAAGCTAGAGCTATTTTCAGAAATCTCATCACTGTAGGGTTCTGGGTCAGAGTGGAACCAAAGATGGAAGCAAAGAGGACTTTGTGTGGATTTAGAAGATGGCAGTGAAACAGCTGCCATTCCTTGTGGAAAGTCATCATGGCCATCTGTAGTGACAGAGGGACCCTTGTGCTCATGGGTCGTGGCTTGGCCGTGCTGTCTTTCTCCCTGCTCGGCTCATCTTGCTGATGGCCAGCCCCTCTCATTGGTAGTGCCCCAGGTCCACAACCAGCCACTTGGTGTTGACCCCCAAAGGCAGCAGCTGCACAGACTTCTCTATGAGCTTCTCCTTTGAGGCCTTTGAGCCACGCATCCTTGGCCTCTTGAACTCCCCTGTCAGCTCCAACTTGTTCACCTGCGTGAGGTAGACTAGGCAGGCTGGTTAGTAGCCATCACTTTGATTCTCTGAGTTCACTTTCCCAGCTCCTCCCATAGCTGCATAAGGCCTAATTCTGTTAAAAAGACCTTTTCTTTTGCATACTATGCAGAGTATTTTGTTTTCCCACTTGAGCCTGACTGGCCCAATGGAGATGGCTCCTCAGTAGTTTGGTTCCCTGTTTGTTAGAATCAAATCTCATGTGGTCCAAGGAGAATAGGCTGCCTTAAAACTGGATATTGAGCAGCCCAGAAAAGAGTTCTGGAGAGTGAATGATCCCAGCATTCACTCATTCACTCACTCATTCCTTCACTCTTCAATTAATAGGAATTATTTCAATTAATAGGCTGTGCCAGGGAATGTACTAGAAATACAATTAATTGGTGACTAAAACAGACATGGCTATCTTCTTCAGAGAGTTTAGAGCTTAAAGCAGAGGATGGGAAGTTAACAAGTAATAAACATGATTATAAATTATTTTTATCCCATGGCACTTATCAGAAACATAACGTAATAGAGAATAGTGTGGGTGAGGATGAGACCCCTTTAAATTGGGGTGCTGTAGAAGGCCCCTCTTAGGAGCTGATGTTTAAGGGAATGCTTGAAGGGTGAGATGAATTCAGCTGCAGGAAGTGCTGATTCCAGGCTGATCAAACAGTGTGTGAGAAGGCCCTAAGGTACGGCAGATACATCACAGCACACAGATGGAGAGCAGCAGGGATTTTTCTTGTGCAATGGTGACAAGCTCTTTCACTGGAAAAATAACAGCTTCCAGCCAAAATAGAGTAGGACCCAAGAACCCCAGAACTCCTGAAGCCAATTAGTATAGGACCACATGAAAGCAGAAAACAGACATAGAAGTCAGAGGAGGCAATACTCAGGAAGAGAGGGTCAGGATTGTGTATAGGACCAGAGCTGTTGCTGGTGCATATACTGCCATTGTGCAAAGCAAAATAGATGCCCTTTCCTCTAAGCAGTCGAAGCCTGAAGCCAACATTATTGGCTTACAGGTGAAGCCTGGGCTGAATTTCGGCTCCTACTAAGCACAGTCTAGCCTGCATTTTCATATGCAGTGCCTGGATCAGAACTAGGAGATTATGTTAGGCATGAAGCTGCCTGAGACCAGAGGAGTTTCTGAATGTCTTGCTAAGGAGAGATTTTGTGAGTGAATATACTGCATCTAGTTATGTGAAGGGCAGCTAGCTGTTGGTGAACCTAAGCTAACTTAAGTCAATTGGCGCTTCTGATCTGTTATTGTTCATCTTCACTTCTTTGGTTATTTTAAGGGTTTTTTTGGTTGCTATTAACCAGGTGTGCAAAAACAAGATAATCCCCCTGGCCATCACCTCAGGATCTGGGTGCCAGGCCTCAAGGGGTGCACAGGTTACACAGCTGGGGCTATCTGAGGTTTGAGTGTAGCTGTCAGTTTTCTGTAGTGGAGAAGAGAGGGAAAGGGGAAGGACTCACATTTACTGAACTCTCACTGCATGTCAGGTTGTGCTGGATACTTTACCTACATTTGTCATTTAACTCATGTAACCATCCGTGAGACAGGTGCTTGCAACCCTATTCTACCTAGAAAGACTCTGAAGGTCAGATAAATGAAGTGACCTACCCAGAATCTCCAACAGTAAGTGCTAGAATGGGGTGTGGTCCCAGGTCTGTGGGTGTGGTCCCAGGTCATCAGGAGCCTGTGTGAGGAAATGAAAAGCACGTGCCTTTGAAGTTGCTGTCACTGATGCAGTTTTGAAATAGACTCAGATGGTGGCCTTGGGCATTGGCTAGATTCCTTTTGCCACCTGTGCCAATGAAGTACCTGTCTTTATTTTTCTGGGATGAGTAATCCTGCACTGGAAATTGAGAGGGATTTTCTGCTGCAAGTAGCCTTCGTCTGTTCTCCCGTGAGTAGATCAATCCAACCGTTCATCGTCAGGGGTCTCTGATGTGCTCTGAGGACATGGTTGCCTGTCGGGCAGCTGAGCCATGTAGGAATCCTAGTGTCACCTTGGGAACAATTCCTGGAGCTTCTCAATATAACATTTCCAATTGACATTGAACCTGGGCTTTGTATACCTGGCCTGAGACTAAATTCAGCTTCTTGGCTTTCCTGAGGAGAAAAGGGAGGCCATGTCTCTGAGCAGAAAATTCATCTTTGAGCAGGAAAGGCCCAGCCCTGCTGGATCCTCACCCTCTAGACTGTCAAGAGGAGAAGAGATACCTGTCTACAGTACACACATACAGAACCCTCCAAGACAGAGGGCCCCCTCCCTGAGCAGGCCCAGAGCTGGCATTTTGACTTTATGTTGGTTTTGATTGCTTTATCAAGCTGTGACAAAGAGTCTCTAGGGCAAGAATCTGAAAGTAGGGTTTCCTTGGTTCCAGGCAAACAAACTCAAGTCTGAGAAGTAAAATGTCAGAGAGAGAGAGAGAGAGAGAGAGAGAGAGAGAGAGAGAGTGTGTGTGTGTGTGTGTGTGTGTGTGTGTGTGTGTGTGTGTTTATGACAGTGGTGCATCCATGCAGGAGAGAACCATCTATATTTGATTTAAAAGAAGTCTGGCATTGGTACAAATCAAACACCCATAGGTTTCTTGTCCTTAATAATAATGCCTACCAGAGATCGGAAGCTTTAAAAGGCTGCCCAAGTTGTGAAGAGCCATGCTCTGTTTCTCATGGCTGCATATAGATGAGGCCAGGGATTCTCACTTTTCTTCTTCCTTTCCTAAGGTTTTGAAACAATGTCTACCTGTTGAGTGCCAGCTCCTCAGAGAGATCTTAAGCTGAAAGCAAGTATTCAGGCATGAGGAGAGCCTCATTTGGCCGGTCACTTGAAGTGATGAGCTATGTGACCCAGGGAGAGTGTTGAGTCAGGTTACTGCCTTTTGGTGAATTGAAAACATGGCAGCAGAGAAGGAGTGATTAACACAAGTTATAGCAGGTTGGCAGGTACAGAGGAAGAGTCTGACTTGGGAGAAAAAACTGAAAAGTTGATTTTATCTTAGTTATAATTGCTTATGGACATGGCAAAGCTTTTGCCTGGCACCTAATCAATGTTAGCAACCTTCTGCCTTCCTCCAAATTCTTCATCAGCTTGATGCTACTGACTCACAGAAACCTCTCCTTGCTACCTAAAATACCGGGGTTCCTCTACCTGTTTCTTTTCTTAACTCCTTGCTCCATTCCCTCCAAAGAGTATTGGTCACAGTGATAGAATCCAACTCAAACTAAACTGCTCAGTGAAGGGAACCCAAATCATGTAACTAGGAAATTCAGGGATGATTGGATTTAGAATTTAAGATAGCTCCATATCTACATCCCATTGGCTCCACAATCCTAGTGGAGTCCTCCTTCTCAATATTATAGCACCCATACCTGATGCCCTTGGCTCTGAACAGCCTGGCTTAGGTGACGTATATGCCTGGAGCCATAAATAATCACTGTGGCCAGAAGAAGATGTTGATTAAGAGTCAAACTCTGTAAAATATTTGAAGAGATTTATTCTGAGCCAAATGTGAGTGACCACGGCCTGTGACACAGCCCTCAGGAGGTCCTGAGAACATGTGCCCAACGTGGTCAGGGTACAGCTTGCTTTTATATGTTTCAGGGAGGCATGAGATATCAAATACATTTAAGAAGTACATTGGTTTGGTTCAGAAAGGCAGGACAGCTCAAAGCGGGGCTTCCGGGCTATAAGTAAATTTAAACATTTTCTGGTTGACAATTGGTTGAGTTTATCTGAAGAACTGGGATAAAGAGAAAGGATATGTTCAGGTTAAGATAAAGGATTGTGGAGACCAAGTTTTATTGTACAGGAGAAGCTCTCAGATAGCAGACTTCAGAGAGAGCAGGTTGTAAAATGTTTCTTACCAGACTTAAAAGGGTGCCTGGCTCTTAGTTGATTATCTCCTGCATCTGGAAATGAAGGAAGGAAAAAAAAGTGGGGGGAAGGGGGATTCTCTATAGAAGGTGGATTTTTCCCAACAAGGGATGCCTTTTAGGGTCATTTCAAGATAATGACAGAGAAACATGTTTTGGGGTAAAATAATTTTATTTACTTTCTTTTATGCCAGAGTCAGATTGGAAAGTAAGTCATGATATACAGGGTTAAATAAAAAACATCTGATGAGAATTTGTGGTTTGTAGGACATGACTCCTCAGACCCCTTAGATAGGGATTTGGGCAAGATAAAAAAAAAAAATCAGAGCTTAGTCCTCAAAGCTAAACTCTTTTTGACCAATCCTGGGCTTTCTGCCTACTCCTAGAATCTGAGAATAGAAGCCTCCCCAAATGACAGGGACTGAGAATGGGAGAGGAATGCAATTATCCAAAGGAAAAATTGATTTCAGGCAAAGGAAAACAGTAAATATTTACTACAATATCATTTTCTTAACAATTTATCTTATATTAAAAAAACAGACAAAAATGTCTATGACCTCCAACAAGTCTATAAGTTCCATGGAGGTACAGAGTTTGTCCATTTTGTTCACCAATAGACCGTTAGTGTCTCTCACGGTGTGTGACACATGGTAAATATTTAATAAACATCAGCTGGATATGTGGATGCATGAATGCATGCATGCTTGGGAACTTGGTATCCCTTGTCTGGTCTTAGAAGAGCACAATGATGAGCCTTATACAAAGAGGAGAAAGAGAAGGATCAATCAAGTTTGTCACTTCTTTAAAGATTCTTTTGTAATTTTAAATTTTTGATGGATTTTCTTGGCTTGTATCCTTATATGTTTAGAAGACTGGAATGTTCTTAAAGAGGCTCTTCAAAACAAGACTCTAGCTGAAAAACAGGAGACACCTGCCTACCTTTATTTTCATCTCTGCACATCTCTGGTTACTAGGGCTTCTTACACGTGTACTTCCCCTGCTCTCTCACTCCTTGGTAACTGTCTCTAGGGATTCTGTCCTTTCCAGCACAAAGGCCTGTAGGGAGGGGTGCAGTTAACAAAAATACCTCCTGTTGGCCCAGAAGGAAGCCCATAGGATCTTTTCTGATCAATGTAGGGGAGAGATGAGGTGTAACAAACTAATGAACCTGAGATATTCCAGACTTTTCCATGCTCTCAGACACGTGGTCTCTGAGCTGCACTTTTCAGGTTTTGAGAAGCTAAATGGCAATCAGAGTGTGCTCCACACTCCAGAAGTGGCTTCCTCGGGAATGCGAGTAAACTCATCTCCTCCTTCTGACTCTTCCTCTAAAAGAGCCCCTCTGCTCAGTCTGAAACCTCAATTAAGATGGTTTACTGGATGCTTTCTTGACCTCAGTGGGCATATATATACCAAAGATCTTTCCACCAGGGTGACATTTTCCCACTGAGCCTCTCCACATGTAGAATAGAAGGTTCTGATTTAGGGGTTACTTCCCAGAAACTCCACATCCTCTCTCATAACACTCTTCTGTGTCTGCCAATCCTCATGGTCCTCAAGATATTCTTGAGGTCCTGCCTCAATTTTTCTTGCTCTCTGTTGACCTCATGTCCTCCCTTCCCATTGGAAATGGAGACACAAGCTGACAATAATGCTTCATTAGCTGGTACTCACATCTTTTTTTTTTTTTTCCAGATGGAGTCTCACTCTGTTGCCCAGGCTAGAGTGTAGTGGCATGATCTCGGCTCACTGCAACCTCTGCCTCCCAGGTTCAAGCAATTCTCCTGCCTCAGCCTCCTGAGTAGCTGGGATTACAGGTGTGACCCACCATGCCCAGCTAATTTTTTTTTTTTTTTAAGTAGAGACGGGATTTCACCATGTTGGCCAGGCTGGTCTCAAGCTCCTGACCTCATGATCTGCACACCTCAGCCACCCAAAGTGCTGGAATTACAAGTGTGAGCCACCACGCCCAGCCTGGTACGCAGATCTTAAAACCTTCCCTTTCCTCTAGATCTTTAGGTCTGATTCTGGGAACTATTTCACAGAAGAACTACAGTTTTTAATAGAGTAGTAAGGGAAGACTTCATGAGTAATTCACATTTGTACCAAGATTTGAAGACGGTATATTAGGCAGTCTCTGTAGGAAATGGTTGACTAACTCAAATGAGTGTCTCAATGGAGTTTAATGAAAAGATGGTTCCCCAAAAATAAGAATACCTAGGAAGGAAATGTAGGAAGCAAGGTGAAGCCCTCAAAAACTGTAGCCACCAAGGCTTGAAGGTACTCAGTGACCATTATAGCCGTTGGAGAGGGTTTGCTTGGCATGAGCTGTGCCTTCAATGGAGCAACACAGCCACTGCAAAATTGAGGCTGGAAGAGAGGGAGTTGAGGAGGAAATGCCCCAACCTTCTTTCTTCCTTATGCCTAATTCTTGTCAATGCTTCCCATTGGTTGAACTCAACCAGAAATCAGAAGGCAGAGGAGCTTGATGATGCTGTCCATAGAGGTCAGCCTCTTGAGACTGAGCAGTGGAAAGTGATATGGAGGGATAAAGAACAGAGAATATCTAGCACAGAACATGAGCAAGCTAGCTCTATCCAAGCAGGGAGAACAATAAGTTCAATTGTTCTGAGATCCGAGTGTGCCTGGAGTGCTTGAGTAGCTGCAAGAAGGCGGATGTGCCTGGAGCAGAGTGAATGGAGGAGGAATTGTTTTTGAAGATTCAGAAGATATTCCTGGCTTTGACAGTGCCTTCAGTAAAAACTATTATGCAGCATGATTAATCTAGCCATTGCTACCTGGAATGTTATAATTAATAGAGATTTTGACTTACTGACAATTTTATTACATCATCCTTCATTTTCAAATTGCTAACTGCTGCATGTGAGTGTGGCAGGGTGAGAGGGCTGGGAGGCTCATAACTCCAGCTAGAATCACCTCCCTCTACTCAGCTCCAATTGATCAAAGGCAGAGGATCAAGGAGTGAGAAGTGGGTCACACCAAGGCACTATATAGCTGTTTCCAAACAAGTGAGCTAAGACCCCCCCACCCCCATGGAACAGAATGGGAAGAAAATGGTGTAGAGAGACAGTGCTTGGTACCTAAACTTTATATTTCTTTTGGTTTTTAATCCTTTGTGTTTCTGGTAACTCTTGCTTGTTAGTTTCTGATTGAAGCATTCTAGGAGCAATAATTTCCCTGGCATTTCTCTTGATTCTGTCCTCTTATTGCGCCAAGGTATTTCTTCTCTTCCCAGGAAACACACAAAAACTTGGCACAATTCTGTGTCAGTGACTATTTAAACCTTTTGTTGTTTTGTGCACACAAATGTCGTGTGTGTGTGTGTGTGTGTGTGTGTGTGTGTCTTTCCCGCCTCCTTATAGACAGTGAGCTGCTCAAGAAAGAGGCAATGCTTGTTACAGACTAGAATCTACCCAGTGTTTTCAGTTCTAGTTCTAGAAACCACTGGCTACTTAACAGAAAGCAACATGTTTTAGATGCATTTTTTAGGAAGTCAGTATCAGTAGGCTGAACATGGAGTTACTGGGAAGTAATTTGTGATGGAGGTTGGGATTAAGCTTCACTGTGAGGATAAATAAAATTTTGATAGATGAAGGGGAGGAAAGGGGATGTTTTCAGCCAGTGAGATAGAATAGATTGAGCAATGGCTTGCAATTGGGTAGAATTGTGATTTATTGGAAGAAAGTGTGTGGCTGGAGTACCGGCCATGTGCTAATGAGAAGCAGGAGGTACGTCTGGAGAGAAGAGTTGAAGATTTTCTACTCCCCTTTTTAGTAAGTGAAGGACATCAGATCAGGAATGGGTTTGACTAGAACTAAATTAGAGGTGATTCATTATGGTAGTTTATAGCAAGAGGGCAACCCAAGTTGGTGTTAACAGAAAAGTAGAGAGCCAAGGAGGTGATCAGGACAAAATATGCAATCAAATGAGCTTCTGTAATGTGGATTCCATCCAGAGAACATCACAAAGAGGCCTCTGATCTTAGGGCAAAGGAAGAAATCTGGTTCTGAGGCAAAGAAGAGAAGGACAAGATTAAATGGGTAAAGTGGGGAGTTGGAGGATAAGATTGGGGATCCACTTGAAAGGCAAACAGCAGGCAAAGTCAGGGTACATCTCTGAGGCTATGATTTCAGTCTGGGACTTTCTTTTATGGAGGACCTATTGATGCAAGATTTTTTTGGCACCTGCACCAGCTGGAGACTTCCATGGCTGGCTATGCCCCTGCCCAGGGCCTTACTCGGCTCTGGGCTTGCCACAGGAGGTACCCTTCCTACTTGGCCTGGTGGGCTGCCCTTGGCTTGCACTCCAGCCTGGATCCCATGCTGGCCACAGGATCCATGTTCAGCCTGCAGCTGGGGCAGGCGTGCTGCAACCTGCTTTTACTTTGGGCACTGGCATCTGGATGAGGGGAATGCAGTGGTGCCAGAAAAACTTGGAGCCCCAAACGGGGTATTATTACCTGCAGCTCATTGGACAGGGGCATGTTAACAGCTCTTTAAGTCCCATTGCCCCACTCTGGCCCATGGCTCCTGGGCTCGCTTAGCCCCACCACTTCTTCCCATCATGTAGGGCAGCTACCTGGCACTGGTGGAAGATGGAAAGCTTCAGTGTTACAGCCTTTTCCATACCCACATTGGGCAAGTCTCAAGTTCTTGTCCTGTATCCAAGAAGAACAAGGTTACACTGACAATCAGAGGGTAAGTAGAGTGCAGAGTTTTATTGAGCAATGGAATAGTTTTCAGCAGAGAGGGGACCCGAAGAGGGTAGCCCCCTACCTGAGGCTGGGTAGCTCTTTCAAGTGTGGCTGAGTCCAGGACTTTTATGGGCTCAGGACTAGGGAGTGTGTGCTGATTGGTTTGTGAGTATGCAAAAAAGGCCACAAAAAGGCACCATTTAATGATGGGCACAATAGTGTAAAAAAACAGTTAGGGGAGGGTAGGTAGGTATATGTAAAATAGGTGAAGGATGGGGATCAATCAGAGGAAACCATGCCAAACAGGAAGAGAGGTTCTCAATCTGGTTCATGGATTTATTAGAGACTTGTAGCTTGGTTTTCAGGCTTTAACCTCTTTGGTTTGAAGGTTGGATTTCACCAGAGACCTGCCCCCTGTCTGCCTTCTGACACTATCACTATGAATTTGCCCATGGGTAGTAAACAAGTAGCTGTTGAGGGTTCCTGGGCCTGGGTTACCCTGAATGCCAGGCTGAGATGTTTGATTATAAAACTCTTCTCCATTGAGCCATTTAGAAGCTCCAGAATCCTTACCAAGATAGAATTTCAGGAAACCATTGCCAATCCAACTTATCCGACACATAATCCTTGTGCCTAGGCTCTGTGCTGGCCACTATAAAGGACACAAAAATGGATGACTCATCTCTCATTTTTTAGAATTGTAATGCATTTTCTCATTCTCAGCTCACATCCATTCTGTGGTTATGGACTTTGCAGAACCGACTGCTTAATTCCCTTCAGATGTGTTAAGTCCTATGACTTAGATATGTGCATTTGGAAAGGTGTCCTTGTTTCTTTCCTGTCCTTATATGAGCATCCACCTTTCTGCAGTTGAAAGAGGAAAGTTGTAGATGTGGGTCCTGGCTCTGTCTCTTCTATTTCATATCATTTGGCAAATTACTTTAATCTCATCGCAACCTTGTGAAAGAGACATTATGATTACATTGAACATAGCTGGAAAAGGGGAGGTTGAGAGTTAACATAATCAAATGTGCCTGACATGAGGCCCAAAACATTGGTGCTCACTGTGTTAAGAGAAAAGAAGGTGGGAAGGAGACTAATTGAAGTAGACACTGTGCCTACATATAGGCAAAAATGAAACAAACAAAAAGTCTAAACCAAGCTCTATCAATCTAAACCAAATTAAACCAAACTGAAACAAACAATAACAAAAACCCTTGCAGCCAAGTCACTTTTCAGCTATCCATTATCCAATGAGACTAAACAGGACTTTTCCTGCTATTATCCTCCTCTGCCCCCATCACTAAATAGAAGACCTTCTGTTCTAGGTAGCTGTTCATTAATCAGCATGCAGCTTCTTCCCTTCAATTCTCTGTCTCCCAATTATCCAAAGAAATAATTTGGCCGAGTGATGAAGGCCTGCATGTTTGCTAACAAAGGGATGCTTCTGCTTCTGTGGGATATAAATGAATATTCTGTGAAATAGCATGTAAGCAGTCGCTGTGGCAATTTGTGACCTGAAGCCCCTATGATTCTCAGTGAATCTCTGGTGCTCAATTATGCCAAGGGTTTCTAGAATCAGCCTCTAGCAGTTTCCTCTGAAAACACCATCAACTACTGTATGGAATCTAAGTAGATGGATCAGAGTAATAACAATTCAAAGAGCTGATTGGAGCCTGGGATAATGAGCCAAGACTGGACTCAGGACTCAGGGCTCAGTTTAAGTCCCATAGGCCACATAGATTACATTTCCATTAGCACCATGGAGTATTTGTTGTATGGAGAAAGAGCAACCACCTTGATGCCAGAAAATATACCTGATATGGTTTGGCTGTGTCCCAACCCAAATCTCACTTTGAATTTTATTAATCCCCATGTGTCAAGGGTGGGGCCAGATGGAGATAATTGAATGATGGGGGTGGTTTCTCCCATACTGTTCTCATGGTAGTGAATAAGTCTCACAAGGTCTGATGCTTTTATGAATGGGAGTTCCCCTGCACAAGCTCTCTTGCCTGCCACCAGGTAAGACATGCCTTTGCTTCTCCTTTGCCTTCCATGATCATGAGGTCTCCCCAGCCATGAGGCACTATGAGTCCATTAAACATACTTTCTTTATAAATTACCCAGTCTCGGGTATGTCTTTATTAGCAGCATGAGAACAGACTAATACAGTGCTCCAGAGCAGTGTTTCAACCTCTACAAAGAGGGTCTGGGCTTTTCGAAGACAGTTCCCTGGAAGGAGAAAACAGGCCCTTCCTAACTGGCCTAAAAATTTGTTGGGTAAGCGGAACACCCGAGTCAACTCTGAATAGTCCATCTGTAGCTCTGCTTTCTGTGGTTCTGAGGAATGTCTTCTTGTGTATTAATGAAATTAATGGTAAAGATACCAATTACTGCTGGCCTCTATTGAACCTGTTGCAAAGTGCATGGCATGTGGAAAGAACTTTATATACATCATCTTCATAAATCCTTAAAAATGCTCTATGAAACATGTAAAATTTTTATCCATATGTCACAGATATTTGGGACTTGCTGCACCTGAACCAAAGCTTATGTAGGATAACCTGCTCAGGGCCTTATAGCTGGGAAGGTGTAGAGGTAGGATTCAAACCCAGGTTGTCTAACCCAAGTCTGTGTTCTTAACTATGAAGTCAAATTCCTTCATTTTAGACAAAGGGGAATTAATCTGTCTACCGACTATGTAAAGCCCTGGGGGAGGGTAGTGTAATTGGGCCCTGACATGGCTTACATGCTTGCTTTTTCTACTAGTAATTGACAGAAAACCTTTCAATCCACCATGATGACTTGGTGGGACAGGTCCTGAGGCTTCAGAATGTGTTTTTATGTCTCACTGCTCTGTAGCATGACTTTGTGTCATTTGGGGATAGGGGAAAATTATGATTTGTTTTGATTCCCAGTGCAACTTTCTATTTTACAACCACAATCAGTCTGAAGTGGGAAAGATATGAGAAACTCATTTCCTGAAGTTGAGGAAACTGTGGCACATGCCTTGACTAATGCCATACTGCTAAATATGGGCAGAGTTAAAACCAGAGCCAGACTGGTCTGTTTAGAGCATTCCAATACTCTTTTTAGGATGTCTGATACCCTCTGCTCCTCTGAAGTGAAATGGTCACTCACAGTATTATTTACTTTACTGTGGCAGCCTTAGAAAAAAAATAATTTGGAGTTTAGGAGAACCAGAGGGGTATAGGGAAGGCACGTGGTTAGTGAAGGGAAACTTGGAATGAGATGTTTGTTCATTTCTTCATTCATTCTTTCATTCATTTATTCACCTAACAAATACCGATTGGATATACTGATTATAGAACCTTTTTTAGTGCTAGTTGTTCCACTTATGTTGAGCTTCTATTTTCTCATCTGATAAATAAGGATATTGAAATACATCTAATAATTATAAATATGGAAAACTTGATCTCACTAGTAATCATAGTAATGCAATTATACATACTATGAGTCACCATTTTTGTTTTCACTTTTTAAAACAACAAACATTATAAAATAATGCCTAATGCTAATGAGGATATTATGAAAATGCAGTTTCAAATAAATATTTTGGAAAGGAGTGTCGTGGGTTAGTAAGAGCCATAAAAAGATCCATGCTCCTTGACCCAGGGATTCTGTTTCTGGGAATCAATTCTAAGTATATTTTAAGAAAGAATCTATGTACACAAAGATGTTTAATGACAGTTTTAATATTAGCAAAACATGGAAGCAATCTAACTGCTAAATCAAATGGACAATAGTAAATAAATTCTAGTGGATATGCTCAATGAAATGTTATGCAGCCAAAAGAGAAAATAACTATCATGAAGTTTCTATAGTAACATAAAAAATGGTTGATACAATGTTGATCATAAATAGAAAATATTCATTATTATCATAGAGATGAGGAGAGAGCCTCATAGGAGAAAAGAATCAAATGCTCAAAAGTGTGGTGATAGGGTAGATTAATGTGTTGTTTTGTATTTCCTGTTTTCTGAAGTTTCTGAAATATGTTTATGTTGCTGTTTTCCAGAGCCAGGCCATGATGTCAGACCTGATTTGAATCCCAACATCAAACGCTTACAAGCAGTGTGACTGTAGAGTCTTCTTCTCTGTAAAACGGGATTAATAAGTGAATACACTTCATTAGGTTGATGTGTAGATTAGAGAAAATAATGGATGTGGAGTGGTCCTACAGTGTCTGATTGGTTGAAATTTGTTAATGAATAGCAACTATTACCATCTTTATGAGGATTTTGAATGTATTGCTGAACATTAATGACAAAAATCTGAATAATATCTATGGATCTTTCTTGTTCTAAGTTTTAATATTTCTTATTTTTATTTTTTAAATTTTTTTATTATACTTTAAGTTCTAGGGTACATGTGCACAACGTGCAGGTTTGTTACATAGGTATACATGTGTCATGTTGGTTTGCTGCACCCATCAACTCATCATTTACATTAGGTATCTCTCCTAATGCTATCCCTCCCCTAGCCCCCCAGCCCCCAATAGGCCCTGGTGTTTGATGTTTCCTACCCTGTGTCCGAGTGTTCTCATTGTTCAATTCCAACCTGTCAGTGAAAACATGCAGTGTATGGTTTTCTGTCCTTGGGATAGTTTGCTGAGAATGATGGTTTCCATCTTCATCCATGTCCCTGCAAAGGACATGAATTCAGCCTTTTTACGGCTGCATGGTATTCCATGGTGTGTATGTGCCACATTTTCTTAATCCAGTCTATCACTGATGGACATTTGGGTTGGTTCCAAGTCTTTGCTATTGTGAATAGTGCCCCGATAAACATACGTGTGCATGTGCCTTCATAGCAGCATGATATATAATCCTTTGGGTATATACCCAGTAATGGGATTGCTGGGACAAATGGTATTTCTAGTTCTGGATCCTTGAGGAATCGCCACACTGTCTTCCACAACAGTTGAACAAATTTACGCTCCCACCAACAGTATAAAAGCATTCCTATTTCTCCACATCCTCTCCAGCATCTGTTGTTTCCTGACTTTTTAATGATCGCCATTCTAACTGGTGTGAGATGGTATCTCATTGTGGTTTTGATTTGCATTGCTCTGATGACCAGTGATGATGAGCTTTTTTTCATGTGTCTGTTGACTGCGTAAATGTCTTCTTTTGAGAAGTGTCTGTTCGTATCCTTTGCCCACTTTTTGTTGGGGTTGTTTTTTTCTTGTAAATTTGTTTAAGTTCTTTGTAGATTCTGGATATTAGCCCTTTGTCAGATGGATAGATTGCAAAAATGTTCTTCCATTCTGTAGGTTGCCTGTTCACTCTGATGGTAGTTTCTTTTGCTGTGCAGAAGCTCTTTAGTTTAGTTAGATCTCATTTGTCAATTTTGGCTTTTGTTGCCATTGCTTTTGGTGTTTTAGTCATGAATTCCTTGCCCATGCCTATGTCCTGAATGGTATGGCCAGGGCAATCAGGAAAGAGAAAGAAATAACGGGTATTCAATTAGGAAAAGAGGAAGTCAAATTGTCCCTGTTTGCAGATGACATGATTGTATATTTAGAAAACCCCATAGTCTCAGCCCAAAATCTCCTTAAGCTGATAAGCAACTGCAGCAAAGTCTCAGGATACAAAATCAGTGTGCAAAAATCACAAGCATTCCTATACACCAATAACAGACAAACAGAGAGCCAAATCATGAGTGGACTTCCATTCACAATTGCTACAAAGAGAATAAAATACCTAGGAATCCAGCTTACAAGGGATGTGAAGGACCTCTTCAAGAAGAACTACAAACCACTGCTCAATGAAATAAAAGAGGACACAAACAAATGGAAGAACATTCCATGCTCATGGGTAGGAAGAATCAATATCATGAAAATGGCCATACTGCCTGAGGTAGTTTATAGATTCAATGCCATCCCCATCAAGCTACAAATGACTTTCTTCACAGAATTGGAAAAAACTACTTTAAAATTCATATGGAACCAAAAAGAGCCCTCATTGCCAAGACAATCCTAAGCAAAAAGAGCAAAGCTGGAGGCATCACGCTTCCTGACTTCAAACTATACTACAATGGTACAGTAACCAAAACAGCATGGTACTGGTACCAAAACAGAGAGACAGACCAATGGAACACAACAGAGGCCTCAGAAATAACATCACACATCTACAACCATCTGATCTTTGACAAACCTGACAAAAACAAGAAGTGGGGAAAGGATTCCCTATTTAATAAATGATGCTGGCAAAACTGGCTAGCCATATGTAGAAAGCTGAAACTGGATCCCTTCCTTACACCTTATACAAAAATTAATTCAAGATGAATTAAAGACTTAAATGTCAGACCTAAAACCATAAAAACCCTAGAAGAAAACCTAGGCAATCATATTTCTTGTTTTAAACATGGCGTTTAAGTAGGTTTCTCGTGACAGAAATGTATTCATACATTAATGTGAGGCCAAAATATCGTGCCAAAATGATAGAGTTTTGAAAATAAATTTACCTTGGGGAATAAAATGAGATTATTTCTGTCTATTTAAAATCTGAACTGGTTCCTTCTTAGGGATGTGAGCCAACATATAGTTTTATATTTAGGGGATTTGGGAAGCTCTTAGGTTAGAAACTAGTCACTTCCCTCATTTTTTTTTCTTCTAATAGCTGCCCTTGGTTCTACATAAAACTAAAAAGATGGGTCATTATTTATGCACTTAGGAGTAATAGAAGAATCTTTGTGATGCTGTATGTTTAGAGCAGTCCCAAATTTTGCATTTCCCAAAGCTTTTGATATGGGGGGAATTTGAATGGTCATTTTCTTGGTACAAGAAGACTTATAATATGCTTATGTATTTCTAGAAACTGATGTATAAAGGCTTCCTGGGAGTGAAATGGTTCTTTCAGAATGGCTTTTGGATGATACATATGTAAGTGAATCAGATGGGTATTGATTAAATGTCCTCCCAACACAAAACAAATTGACTGGATGTATGAAGGGTTTCGCCAGCCCCCAGTGTTTGATATCCCCCAACAACATTTGGCTTCTGATTTCCAGCTAAGAGTTGAAAGGTGGAAATCTTGCTTGAAAATGTATTAGTGGAGCAAGGAGCAAGGCAGAAAGACAAGGAGTAATCTCTGAGGCAAGAAGCTTCTGGACCTTTTCATCATATCCATGTAGCTATTATTCAATAAAAGAAAACAAAAAGAACTTGGAAAAAGTTCTGAATTATATGTGCTAATTTCCCTCCATTCTGGTGAGATAGCATGACAGCCTTGTGTCTTGATTAGACCTGATTATGGAAAGGTTGGAGAGAGGCCAAGAGAAGTGGTTCCCCAAGGTGGTGGTGGAGATGAATAGGCAGTCCACCTTAATGTTGGTCTTGGATTTGGCAGGCCACCTTAAGATTGATAACACTTGACTCAAGAATGAGTATTTATGAGAGTCTTTGAAGCTTGGGTAATATTTTAAAACATGTTGCAGGTGTGAGACTCAACATCACCTGTTTGGATAAATATTCATTATCACCTTCAAACTCTATCAATATCCAGACACATTGTTGAAGCTTGTCTTAGCCAGCAGCACCCAGTTTGGTAACAGAAGTCTAAGAAACTTCAGAAGTAATGCATGAATTTTCTGCTCTAATATGCTTTTGCTTGACCAAATAATGCTATTTATGAACTTATGCTGGTGGTGGGAATTAGAGGGTTGGAGACATAAGCGTATAATATATGTTTTTTTTGTTTTGTCCTGTGTTTTGTTTCTAATGCTGGACAGAGACCATGTCAAAGTCCTCTGGAGACAAAACCCCATCTCTTCCACTGTCCCTGGCAAAGAATTGTCAATCTACTCCTCAGGATTTACGCCACTCAGCAGTATTTGGAGAACGTGGCAATGTTAGTCCTAATGGACTCCTCTTAAAACATTTTGGGTCAGGTGCCTCTGGTATTGAGTTTATTGTGAGGTTCTTGATTCCTGGTTTCAGTACTGGACCAAACACTCTAGGCCTCTATTATTTGGAATAATATAAACATTTTGTTGTGAATTGCCAGCTGGGGAATTGACAGCACCCTTTTCAATCCCTTGTGAACATATTCACTGATTGATCCAATATGAGCATGATTGGAAAATAGATGGCTTTTCTTTGAAGGTCTCCAACTAGGAAAACTATCTTTATATTGAATTGGTCCACAGATCTCTGATGACATAGAGAAACATGCACTGCCTCAGTTGGGATTAGAGGATCTGAGCAGTGGCTGGCCACTCCAATCACCATGCTGTGCTGCCTTCTTCCAAGCCCCATCTCACCAGATCATATGGTCACAGCAGAAGGTGAGTAAATGCTGGAACCTAGGGGAGCACAGTACACACAGGAAACTCTTCTCTCACTCCAACGATACAACTTTCCTAGGCCAGGTTATTGCCCTTTTGATCGCCTATCTTGGCAGAACCTATGCTTTTCTCTGATGAGGGACACAAAAGCTTCAAGAAGCACCAAGAAAACTTCTTATCTCTATTATTATTTTTTATGGAGATTATGTGCCCACAATAGAATGGAGGTGAGTTCTGCTGCAGGAAGTAGATTGCACTAAGGATTTGCAGATAGATCAAAGGGTAGGAGATGAGGAAATGTTGCCCAGGGAACCAACTTGCAAAAGGAAGATTCCCTTAGTATTTCTTCTTCTTGTCTTCATTTTGATGATGAAGGAGCTGGCCAGGGAAAGCTGATTTAGAGCCTTCTTCTCTGTATATATAGCAGGGCATGGTTGGGTGGTTGCAGAATGAGGATATTGTAGTGATCCTATTTACCAAACATTTATATTCAATCTTATCTTCTATTTTATCCTCCCCTCTCCCCGCTGATCTATTTTCCTCTTTGTAAACTGAATAGCACCCAATGCAAAAGGGCAGAGTGACATGAAAGGCACAAGCCCTCATGTGACACATAAATAACTGATCAGAGTGACATTTCAAGAACAGCATAATCCTTTATAAACATGGTTTCAAAGGTCAAAGCTAAAACAACTTGTGTACTGGCCATGTTACATTGGGCCTTTATATCTCATTGAACATGATTTACATGCAATCTTCCCCAAATATTCGATAACTGGAATGTCTGATTTTATCAAACTCATAAAATACAATGTGGTGTCTATGATGCTGTGGACCAGAGAGGGCTGGTTGAGAGTCCTGATTTCACCAGTTACCAGCTGTGTGATCTAGCGTGAGTGACCTCACTCTGCTCTCTGCAAAATGAAGGGAATCCTCATAACCATTCACAGAGTAGACACCGCTGATAAGTAAGATAGGGTGGGCAACCACTTAGTTCTGTGCTTAGCTGAGTCGATGTCAATTTATGTTAAATGAGCAATTAGCAAATGCCTACTGTATCCAAGACTTGTGTCATGCACAAAACTCTCTGGAGCATCAAAGTCTGTCTTAAAAATACATAAGGCTTTTGTTGCCACTGTTGACCTGAGCAGCTAGTGAAAGAAACCAGACAAAAGCCTTTTAATATTTATAACAAATTCAAGCCAATTTTGTGGACAAAGTTCTTTGTGAGCAATTTCTCCAACATCTGTGAACGTTTTTAGTTCATTGAATATTCCATGGATGCCTTTCCAAATGACTAATTTTGGTGTCAGAATTTCTGTTTATTGCTGGTGGGGTGAAGCTCCACACCCAACTCCCATCCAAAGGTGCCTCCATCTCTATCTTCTCTTTGTGCTTCTTGTTGGCTTCTTAGTGATGCTTGCATTAAGATAATGGTTTTTTTTTCTTTTTTTGCAAAATTTAACTTGTAATAGATGATGGAGTGAGAGATGGGTCACATAACAAAATTAGGCTCATTTTTGGTGCATTCAAGTGCTAGCCTCTACCCCAAATGGTAAATTACAAAAAATGAACAGGATACCCTGAAGAGTTGATGGATTTCCTTCCTCAAATTGCTAAACAGTAGATGGAGTAAGGGTGATTTTCCTAGTGTTAAAAACTATTCCCTGGGGGTAATTTTAAGCACCTTGGGAAGATGCATTAACTACTTTTGGTTACCAGACAGCCATTGCTAAGTAGAAACTTAAGTATTCACATGAACATAAAGAGGCACCCTAGTAAGAATAATTAGCAAATATCTTTGTGGGATGAAGACCTGGGTAGTTTTATTGGAAGAAATGTTCTGACTACAGTTTATAATGCTCTTGAACATGAACTTTTCCAAAAGTAAAGCTTGTAGGTAAGAAATGGCTTGGTGTTTGTGCTGATCTTTAAATTCCCCTTATAGAAAATAAGGCTTTATGAATTTCAAAGATGTTTTGTGAGCATGAACACATTGATTGTTCACAACAACACTGCCAAGCTGGGCTTGGTGAGGAGCTTAGGATGTTGACTTATTAGCAGAAGACTTTATTTAAAGAATGGTGAATTTAGAATCAAGGAAACCTGACCAATGACTGGACTTGGCTACTTCCTACTCGTGTGGCTTTAAGCAACTTATTTTCCCTCTTTGGGCTTCAGTTCTACTGCTTGTGAAACAGTGGGAGTGGATTAGATCAGGGATGGCACATTCTTGGCAAGTGTACTACCTCCTTCTCAACCAGCATCCTTAATGTACATTGTTAATTGGCCAGGGCATGTTTTCACACTGAGCACCAGAGGCTTTAGAACAACTTCACTTCTGTCCACAGGCCAACCACAATGTTGACCTACGAGTGCAAGGCATGTGTAATGGGATCAAGCAAGGTTCTCTGAGATGCTGAAATGAGATACAGAATACAATGATTATATTCAGGTAATTTATGGGTTGAATTTTTCCATGTTTATGACTGAAATCTAACATGTATTATTTCACCAGGGGCAAAACGAGGTAGTGGTAAAGAGGGTGGATCCTGTGTTCACATCCCAGCTTCGTATCTTATTAGCTGGGTCATTTAACTTCTCCACTCCTCTGTTTCTACCTCGTAGAATGGTTGTGAAGTTTAGCTAAGGTAAGGTATCTAAAACACTTAACAGAGCGACTGAGATATCTCAAAGATCTTAGTAATTGCTAGCTATGAATATTCAACTCTTGTTTTCTGGTGAGCCAATTAAGAGTTAATGAAGAAAACATTAGCTCAGATAATTGCAAATCGTTCCAAAGTGCTCCAGCATTGCTAATAACCTTGCATGCCAGAAATTCCATTTTAAGAATAGCTCTTACAACACTCTGAGATTTTATTAGTGGCTATTAATTGACAAAATCCTAAGAAATGCTTTTTGTTTTATTTTTGGAAAGCAAACTTTTGGTGTAGCTTGTGGTAATTTGTAAAACTCCCTCCTCCACATTCTGCATCTTTTTTACATTCTAGGGTAGCATCTGCAAATTTTCACCCTGAATCATAAAACAGTCAAAATTTAAAAACAGGGAAAGGATGACTTGCACTTTAGGAGCCTGGATGGCCTTCTGCCTGTAGAATCCTTCGTTGTGCTGATGTAGTTTTTTCTAGCCCTTTTCTCAGTTTGACATGGGGTCCAAGATAGTGAGACAAAAAGCAGAATCTCTCCTACTTGTGGCTCTAAAAGTTCTTCCCCTAATTTCTTGCCTGGTAAAAAGAGTGTGTATAAATACACAAATTACTGTTCAAAAGCTATTTGTGAGCTGTTTTCATGGACCTCATTGAGGGGACATTCTGAGAACACTTCTCACTGAGTTTGAGCATTTCCATCACATAGGGCAGACTTCATTGTAGAAAAACAATGACCCAGACACAAAGCCAGTTGATGAGACTTGGACTTCCTCCCTTCTGCTCCCCACTGCCAACCCTGCTCACAGCCGGCCAGACCCCAGCAGCTCTGCACATTCTCCAATGCTCAGCACCTGCCGATCAGGCATCATTTGAAATAACAGAGATGCCTTCTGTTATATAGGAAAAGCTGACATCTTTCAGGGCAAAGGATTTACACTGGAGGCTCCCTTCTTAGGTGAAGAAATGCAGAGGAACTTAGGGAAAGCTGTGTTGCTGAGTTCTGGAGCCCACTAGGGAAGAGTCTTCTACAGTAAAGCTTTGACTCTAGGCTGCTGGTGCTGCAGTGGGGGAGCCCAGAGGAGCTCCCAGTTTTGACAGATTTATTCCCAAAGATGTGCTTGCCCACTGACTGAGCCTTTGTTGTCTTACTCCTGCTCAAGCTCCTTTCCCTTGAGTTCCAGCCTTCCTTTATGAAGCAACACTAAGGTTACCCCGAATATAACATCCTACAGATCGGATAATGAGAATGGCCACAGAGCAGCAGGGATTTGGGCTTTTATTTCCCCCCCAAGCAAGAGCCACAGTGCACTTGCTGGAGAGTAGAATAGTTCCACAGAGATGTGTTTGCCTGCTGTTCACAGTAAAGTTCCTGATGTCTTTACCCCAGAACTTGTGTAATTTTTATTTATTTATCACATAGTTTCTTTATTTATAGCTCTAAGTAGATTTATTTCATCTTGGATATAGTTCACTGTAGTGAACACCTCTTACGGCACATGCTTGATTTGGGGGTCTGATATGGTTTGGATCCGTCTCCCCACCCAAATCTCATGTTCAATTGTAATCCCCAGTGTTGGAGGTGGGGCCTGGTGATTGGATCATGGGGGTAGATCCTTCATGAATGGTTTAGCACCATCCCTTTGGTGGTGGTCTCATGATAGAGTTCTCACGAGATCTGGTCGTTTAAAAGTGTGTAGCACCACCATCCACCGACTCCCGTTCCTCTTGCTGTGGGCCATGTGAAGTGCTGCTCCCCCTTTGCCTTCAGCCATGACTGTAAGTCTCCTGAGGCCTCCCCAGAGGCCGAGCAGATACCAACATCATGCTTCCTGTACAGCCTGCGGAACCATGGCTGATGAAACCTCTTTTCTTTATAAACTACCCAGTCTTAGGTGTTTCTTTATAGCAATGTGAGAACGGACTAATACAGGGTCTTTTTTGTTTTGTTTTGGTTTAAAAATGCACATTGAGATTTCCACCTACATCCTCCCATCTATCTTTCTGCCAATCCAAATTCTTTATTTTCTGACCCTGCATCTATTCAATACATATTTATTGAGTACCTACTATGTCCTAGACACCACTTAAGTGCCAAGTATCCAGCAGAAAACAAAATAGAGAAATCAAAGGCAAAAGCTTTTCCCTCTGTTGTGGCCATTTGCAGATGGCTGATGGACTCCCAGTCAAATTTGGATTTGGATATAGAGACTAATGATAACATACACACAGCAGGAAGGTATGAAAAATTTGTTATTCACATAAAGAGACTTTCTGGGAACAGTGGGGAGGCACCCAAGCAGGTCCAAAAATGACATGAAAGAACCAGGAATGGGGACTGGCTCAGGTTTGGTTTCTTCTGGTAGAGCGTGGGTGGAGCTGGGATACTGATCCCCACGCTTGTGCAGGGGCTTGTGTGATTTGAAGCTCTCATCAGCACCACAGGAGGGAGCACCCAAGCTTTCTTATCATCTTGCCTAGACATGGAGCAGAAGGAGAAGAGGGAGGGATGGTCAGCAATAAAATGTCAAAAATGGCTTACATTCTTTTTTTTTGAGATGGAGTCTTGCTCTGTTGCCCAGGCTGGAGTGCAGTAGCACAATCTCGGCTCACTGCAAGCTCCGCCTCCCGGGTTCACGGCATTCTCCTGCCTCAGCCTCCGGAGTAGCTGGGACTACAGGCGCACGCCACCACGCCCGGCTAATTTTTTGTATTTTCAGTAGAGATGGGGTTTCACCGTGTTAGCCAGGATGGTCTCGATCTCCTGACCTCGTGATCCGCCCGCCTCGGCCTCCTGAAGTGCTGGGATTATAGGCGTGAGCCACCGTGCCCGGCCGCTTACATTCTTTAAACGTTTTTATTAGTTGTAGTATAACACATGCACAGTAAGTAACAAATCTTAGGCATACAGCTTATGAGTTTTTAGACCCATGTCAACATAATCCTGGAAAGATACAGAATGATTCCAGCAGGCATATCGTTTGCTTGTGTCCTCCCATCCAGTCAATTCTTGCCACTCCAAGAAATAAGCGCTATTCTGACTTCTATCATCAAAGATTAATTTTTCCTGTTCTTGCAATTTTTATAAATGGAATCATAGCATGTATGTCTGCAGTGGTGCCTTTGTATTAAGTCAGGTGAACACATGTATTTACATGGATCTGGGACTGCGCTTTCTATTCTGTTGTATCCTGGCACCAATCTGACACTGTCTTAATCACTAAAGCTTTATAGGAATTTCCATATTTGATAATGAAAATCCTCTAACTCCAACTTTGTTGTTCTTCAACACTGATTTTCCATATCCTTTGCATTTCAACACAAACATTTTAGAATAAGCTCCTCAATTACACACACACACACATGCATGCACACATGCATACCCTCTCTGATGGGCCTTTTTTCGGAATTGCATTACATCTAAAGACCAATACAGACAGAATTGACACCATCCAATTCATATTGAGAATTTAAATCAATGTGAAATATTTTCTCATTTATGTCTTTTAAAATTTCTAACAACACTGTTTTTCAGTTTTCATTCTAGAGCTTTCACCTCTACAACTGGATTTATTCCTACCTATTTGATGTTTTTAAATACTGTTGTAAATGATACTTCAAAATTTTATTTTCCAATTACTTGAAGCCAATGTATAGACACGATTGATTTTTGCTACTGACCTTGAGTCTTGCAGCCTTGATAAATCTATTTAACAATAATAGCTTGTATAACTTTTGGAATTTTTGATGTGCACAGTCATATCGTACATGAATGTAGCAATATGTCTTCTAACTAATCTTTATACTTCTATTTTTCTTGTTTTACAGTGTTGCTAAAAACCTGTACAGTGTCAAAAGATGTGGTCATGTGCATACCCTTTTCTTTGTTTCTAACCTCAGGGGGAGATTCTTCTATATTCTACCAATAAGTGTCTTTTATTGGCTACAGATTTTTTATAGCTATTCTTTAATAGATGAAATACTTTTCTTTCTATTCTTATTTGCTGAAAGCTTTTTTCCTTAATCAGGAACAGGTGGTGAATTTTATCAAAGGCTTTTTCTGCCTCTGTTAGGACAGTAGTGTTTGGCTCCTTTATTCTGTTAAGGTGGTGATTTATGTTGATTCATTTTCAAATACTAATGTACCCTTACATGTCCGTGATGAACTCACTATATCATGATGTATTATACTTTTAAATATTGCTGTAGTCAATCTGCTTATGTTTTGTTTAGAATGTTTATGCCTGTGTTTATGAGAGATAATTTCCTATAATTTCCTATAATTTTCCTTGCTTGTAATGTCTTTGTCAAATTCTGTTATCAGGGTTTCTCTGACCACAAAAACTAGTTGGAAAGAATTCTTTTTTTTTTTTTTAGAGGTCGTATTCAATTCTTATTATTTCTTCCTTAAATATTTTGATTCATGTTCTTTATTACCAGAAAACCCTTGTGCATTTCCATGTTGTAAGAGATACCTCTGTTTATCCTGTCTCCAACTCATCACTCAGAAATTGTGTTATTATTGCTGATGAGATGCTTCAATACAGCTGCTTTAGGATATGTGTGACATCTTCTTTGAGTTTGGAACTGATAATTAGTTTTTGATGATAATCATCGTTCACATTTATTTAAAGCCTGTTACTAGGCGTTTTCTGACTTCTTTTCCTTCTACAAATACAAGAGCAGATTTGAGACAATTGATAACTCAATTTTACTTTCTTGAAATTTAAACGTTGAGAAAGTGTTATTTAATTCAGGCTTGGAAGTTGCAAGCCCCACAATGGTCTAGATCCATCCCAATTAACGAATTCATAAATTAATGGAAGGAAGAGAGAAATGAAGGGAAGGTGAGAGGAGGAAGGGGAGGGGAAAGGAAAAGTAGGAGGGGTGGAAAGAAAAAGAGTAAAGTGAGTGAGAGGGAAGAAAAGGAAGAGCCTAAGGGTGAGGGAGGGTGGGAAGAAGGAAATAAGGTGGGCTTAGTATGGCAGTACGTTCTTTGGGCGTTACAAGAAAATTAAGCTAGATATTGTTTCTAAGGAATCTTTAGCTGAGAAGAGATAAATGATGAGAACATAAAATCCTGCATATTTTCAGAGCTAGCAGGGAGTTAGGAGCTGCCTGGTCTACCACTCATTTGCAATTGAGGAGACAGAGGTTCAGGTAAGAGAATGCACCCGCCTCACGTCATGCTCTTCTTGGTCATTGGCAGAGCAGGGTCTAATACCACCATTTTGTAATTCTTATCAGGAAATAACAGGAGGGCATTTCAAGAGCAAACCAGCCAATGTGAGGAATTCAGAGAAACCCTCCAAAGGTCAGACCCTCCTGCCCTTTGGACTGTCCTTCCCTTTGTAGAGTGAAACAGGATATCAGAGGGTTTGGGGAAGGAAGTGCTAGCCTCTCTCAGTGGGACATAGGCAAGACTAGCGCCATGTGACTGGATCTGACCCTCTGTGTTGACATGTGTGTGGTCTGCCTTCCTGTGGCCTCTGCTGCAAGACAGGCCGGAATATTTGTATGTCCATTCTATCTCGAGGCATGTAGGAGGCAGGAGGCCTGGTTACCAGACCAGATGACAGGAAGCAGAGTCCTAAGACCAAAGGGAAATGTGAGCCCAATCCTTCAGGTTGGTCACCCACACTGATTGACAAGTCCTGCTTCTGACTCTAAAATGGGAAATAGCTCATGCCCCTGCAAAGGTTACATATTGGTAGGCATCATCATGAATGATGAAAAGATAAGCAGCAAGCATTTTATTTTGTTTTTACTGTACACTAATAATGATGGTGTGAAATCAAAACCTAGGAGACTCGGAGACATTTATTAGTCTACGTTGCAGGAAAATGCCAATGTTATGAGCATTAAAAAAAGATCTGTATGCCAATATATTAGGATTAAGTTCTAGAGGGAAGTAGAATCGAAATATGAGTTTAAGAAGGTAAATCAATGATAACATTTCTATTAAAAAAAAGAGATTGTTCATGCATTTTTAAAATAGACGGTGATGGGGCCTAAATCACTATGGTATTAAATCATCAAATTGATTTTTAAAAGGGATCTCGTGGTTTTACTAGAAAATTTCAATATTTGCAACATGCTGGAAAAGGCATTGTTACTACTTAAACACATAATGACAAATTTTAAAGGTCAAGTTAAATTTATGAAGTCTTTTTGCCTACAGGCCCTCTAGCAGAATTTTGAAAGAGTTTTGAACACTAGCCTAGACAAAATTGGGACTCCGAAGGGAAGTAATAAGTGAGGAAATGATGCTGGTGTTCCCCCGGTTGTTCACCACATCTCTCTAAGAGGCTCATGATCCATTACTGAAGAAGATCTCTCATTGCTTGATCTGTGTCCAAACCAAATCTCATGTCGAATTGTAATCCCTAATGGTGGTGGTGGGGCCTGGTGGGAAGTGATTGGATCATGGGGGTGAATTTCTCAAGAGTGGTTTAGCACCGTTCCCTTGGTACTGTGATTCCTTTGTGATTGCAAGTGAGTTCTCCTGAGATCTGGTCCTTTAAAAGTGTGTGCCACCTCCCCATTCTCTCTCTCTTTTGGTACTGCTCTTGCCACGTGAGATGCCTCGTTTCCCATTTGCCTTCCCCCATGATTGGAAACTTCCTGAGGCCTCCCCAGAAGCAGATGCTGCCATGCTTCCTGTACAGCCTGCAGAACTGTGTGCCAATTAAACAATTTTTTCTTTATAAATTACCCAGTCTCAGATATTTCTTTATAGCAATGCAATAATGCACAAATGCTCCGCACTGCTCCTGCCCAGTGGAGTTTTTGGTTCTGTGTCTGGATTCAATGTATTCACCTAACTCAAGTTGAATGTAGTGTGTGTTCCAAAAAAGATCTTTAAAGATTTTCTGGTCCAATGTACTTCACAGTTCTGAGAGAAGAGAATGCTTATGTAGAAATGTCAAGATGTAATATTGTTGTTCAGTTAAAATGTATAAGAGAGAAAGAAAATCTTGTATGCATTTGAGGTTGTGAGTGTTTGTGCATAAAAATATTTGAAAAGCCACCATATCACCTCTAGTTTTCTCTGATTGATTTTTATTTACTTTTTTCTTATTAAATTTTTCTTATTAACCTACTGTAAAGTTAACTTAACTTGGTGTATATTTTATGAATGTTAACCCATGTATACATGCATCTAACTACCACCACAGTCAAGATACAGAACAATTCTATCATCCCTACAATTCCCTCCTGCTGCCCATTTGTGGACATACCCCTCCTCCAACCCTGACCCCTTGTAACCACTTCGCGTTCTCTGTCTTTATAGTTTTGCTTTCTCCAAAATATCGTATAAGTAGAGTTATAAAGCATGTCACCTTTTGAGACTGGCTTTGTTCACTCAGCAGAGTGCCTTGAATATTCATCCTTGTCATTGTATTTATATTGTTTGTTTTCATTGCTGCATAATATTAATTGTATGGATGTACCAGAGTTTGTTTATCTGTTCACCCACTGAAGGACATTTTGGTTCTTTCCAGGTTTGGGCAATTGTGAATATCACTGCTGTAAACATTCATGCACAGGTTTTTATGTGAACATAAGTTTTCATTTCTCTGTGGAAGACAAATAGGAACAGGATTCCTAGTTCATATGGTAAGTGTATACTTTACTTAATAAGCCACTGCCAAATGGCATTTAAGAGTGGCTGTGCAATTTTTGGTAGAGCAATGTATGAGAGTTCCAGTTGTTCAATATCATCTCCAGCACTTGGTATTGTCCATATTTTGCTTTTGTTTTTTAGTTTTAAAAAAATTAACCTCTTCAAAGGTGATTTTAATGAGGTTTTAATTTGCATTTTCCTAATGGGTAATGATGTTGAACATCTCTTCATTGCTGATTTACCATCAGTATGTCTCCTTCAGTGAAGTGTCTATTAGTCAAATCCTCTACTCCTTTTAAAATCTGGGTTGTATGTTTTCTTATTGTTGAGTTATAAGAGTTCTTTATACATTGTGCATGTAAATCTTTTTGCCTAAGATGTGATTTGAAAATATTTTCTTACTGTATGTGGCTTGTCTCTTTATTTTTCCTAGCAGTGTCTTTCAAAGAGCAGAAATTTTCAATTCTGATGAAGTCTGACATCAATTTTATCTTTTATAGATTGTGTTTTTGGTGCTGTATGTAACAAACTTTCTGCCTAACTCAAAGTCATGAACATTTTCTTCTGTTTTCTTCTAAAGGTTTTCTAATTTTAAATTAAGACCTATGATCCATATTGATTTTCTTTTTGTGTAAGATGTAAATTATAATTCAAGATTCACTTTTGGCATATAGATGTTCAGTTGTTCTGACACTGTATGTTAAAAGGCCATCCTTTCTTCACTGAATTGTCTTTGCTTCTTTGTCAAAATCACTTCACCACATCTGTGTGGGTGACTGTCTATTCCATCCCATTTGATGTATGTGTCTATTCTTTTACTGAGGATCACACTGTCTTGATTGCTGTGGCTTTATAGTAAGTATTTAAATCAGATAGTGTTAGTCCTCCAAATTTTATTCTTCCTCAAGATTGTTTGTATCCATTTTAATTCCTTTTCCTTTACATATAAATAATGAGTCAGCTTGTCTGTATCTACACAAAATTCTGTTTGGATTCTAACTGGAATTGTACACATTTATACATATGTTTAGGAAGTATTGACTTCTTAATTATTTTAGATATTCCAATTCATAAATTTGATATGTACGTGTATTTACTCAGGTCTTTGATTTCTTTTGTTACAATTTTATAGTTTTCAGAACATAGACTTTGCATAAATTTTGTTAGATTTATGCTTAAGTATTTCATTTTTGGAACTATTGAAATTTCATAAAATTTTTGTTAAATTATTTTATTGAAATCTTAAATCAAGTTTCCAATTGTTGGTTGCTAATAAACAGAAATATACTCGCTTTTAAAAAATTGATCTTTCTTGGCTTCATTGCTGGGCTCATTTATTAGTTTCAGGAGCTTTTAGGTAGTTTTCTTGGGATTTCTGTACACAGACAGAAGATAACATAATTTGTACATAGGAACACGTTAATTTATTCTTTCTGAATCTGTATGTCTTTCCTTTTTCTTAACTTATAACAATGGCTAGGACTTCCAATATGCTGTTGAATAGGTGTGGTGAGAGTGGGCATCCTTGCCTTGCTACCAGTCATAGGAGGAAAAACATTCAGTCTTTCACCATTAGGTATGATGTCAGCTGGAAGTTTTCACAGATGCTTTTTATGAGAGCAAGGAAGTTTTCTTCTAAATTTGCTGAGAGTTTTTATGATGAGCGAATGTTGAATTTTTTTTTAATATGTTTTATTTGTCTAGTGGTCACCCAAGAATGATCATGTGGTTTTGCTTTGTTAGTCTGTTAATATGGTGAATTACATAATTTGATTTGCAAATTTTAAGTGAGACTTGCATTTTTGAGATAAACCCAGTATTTGTAGTCATAATACATTTTTTAATATACAGCAATGCTTGAGGTGATAGATACCCCGCTTACCCCGATGTGATTATTATGCATTGAATCCCTGTATCAAAATATCTCATAAACCTATAAATATACACACTTACTATGTAGCATTACAAACATTAAAATAAAAAATTAAAAAATAATAAATAAATTGTTCATGTTTTGTTGGAGACTCTCGCATATGTGTTCATGAGTTATATTGGTCTCTAACTTTCTTTTTTGTACTATATTTGTGTAGCTTTGGTATCAGGGTAGTGTGGCCTCATAAAATGAGTTAGGAAGTAATCCTTACTCTTTTATTTCTTGTTAAGATATTGTGTAGAAAAATATTCATGCTTCCTTGCATGTCTGGTATAATTTACCACTGGTACCATATGAGTCTGGTGTTTTGTTTTTTAATTGTTTTAACTATGAATTCAATTTATCAAATAACTATAAACTATTCGGATTATCTTTTTTGTTCCTTGAGTGAATTTTCGTAGTTTCTGGCTTTAAGAAATGGTCCATTTCATGTAAGTTTTCAAATGTATGTGCACAGAGTTGTTTTAATATTTTCTTGTTTTCTTCTAATGTCTGTGATGTCTGTACTGATAACACACTTTCATACCCAACACTGATAATTTGTGTCTTCACTGTTTTATTTGTCAATGTGCCCAGAGGTTTATTAACTTTTATTGATTTTTTTAAAAAGCAGCTTTTGATTTTATTTTACTTTTCTGTTTTCTAGTTCATTGATTTCTACTCTTATCTGTATTATTTTTCCTTCTATTTGCTTTCCTATTTTATTCTTCTTTCTTAAGGTAGAAGCTTTTAGTAACTTAAGATCTTTCTTCTTTTCCATTATGAACATTTAATACTGTAGACTATTTTACAAACACTGTTTTACTTACCACAAATTTTGATACACTGTATTTTTATTTTCATTCAGTTCAGACTATGTTACATTTCACTTGATACTTTCTCTTTGAACAATAGATGTTAAGTAGTGTGTTGTTTAATTTGGATATTTTGGATTTTACAGAAACTTTTTTTTTTTTTTTTTTTTTTGATGGAGTCTCCCTCTTGTTGCCCAGGCTGGAGTGCAGTGGTGCAACCTTGACTCATTGCAACCTCAGCCTCCCAGGTTCAAGCAGTTCTCTGCCTCAGCCTCCCAAGTAGCTGGAATTACAGGCGCCCATGACTACACCTGGCTAATTTTTCATATTTTTAGTAGAGACAGGGTTTCACTATCTTGGCCAGGCTGGTCCTGAACTCCTGGCCTCATGATCCACCTGCCTCTGCCTCCCAAAGTGCTGGGATTACAGGCGTGAGCCACCACGCCCAGCCTCCAGAACTTTTTTGTTACTGATTTCTAATTTAATTCCATTATGATCAGAAAATGTACTTTGTAAGATTTCAATTGTTTTAAGTATGTTAAGGTTTGTTTTATGACCCAGTATGTGATCTATCTTGGTGAACATTTGATGTGCACTTGAAAAGAATATGCATTCTGCTGTTGGTGAACATATTATAGAATAAATATTAATTATGTCCAGTTGATTGGTAGTGTTAAGTTTTTCTATGTTCTTGCTGATTCTTTCTCTCTCTCCCTCTCTCCCCACTTCCCCCTCTCTCCCCCCTTCCCCCTCTCTCCCCCACTGCCCTTCTCTCCCCCACTCCCCCTCTCTCCCCCCACCCCCTCTTTCTCTTCCTCTCTCTCTCCCTCTCTCTCTCCCTTTGTCGCCAGTCTGGAGTGCAGTGGGGGGATCTCGGCTCACTGCAATCTCTGCCTGCCGGGTTCAAGTGATTCTCCTGCCTCAGCCCCTGAGTAGCTGGGACTACAGGCGTGCACCACCATGCCTGGCTAATTTTTTGTATTATCATTATTTTTTTTAGTAGAGACGGGTTTCACCATGTTGGCCAGGATAGTCTCGATCTCCTGACCTTGTGATCCACCCGCCTTGGCCCCCCAAAGTGCTGGGATTACAGGCATGAGCCACCATGCCTGGCTGCTGATTTTCTACTTGTTCTATTGTTTAGTGTGAGAGGAACGTTGAAGTCTCCAACTATATTTGTGGGTTTGTCCATTTTTCCTTTCATTTGTCAGTTTTTGGTCTACATATTTTGAAATTTTGTTTTTAGGTGCATACATATTTAAGATTGTTATGTCTTCTTGATTAATTGACTCGTTTATCCTTTTGTAATTTCTCTCTTTACCTCCAGTAATTTTTTCCTGCTTTGAAGTCTGCTTTGTCAGGTACTAATACAACTACATCAGCTCTTGAATACTTATTGCTTGCTTTTACCACCTTTTTATATGTAACATATGTCTTTATATTAAAAGTGGGTTTATGGAGACAGCACAGAATTAGAGCTAGAGTTCAACAATTTGTCTTTTGCATTGGAGACTTGGAAGGGTGAGAGAGGGGTGAAGAATGAGAAATTACTTACAGGTACAGTGTAGACTATTCAGATGATGGCTGCACTAGAAGCCCGGACTTCACCACTAGGCAGTATACCCATGCCACAAACCTGTGTGTGTGTCCCCTAAAATCTATTTTTAAAAATAAAAAAGAGATTAAAAAATCGGTCTTTTAATCTGTGTGTTTAGGTCATTTCATTTAATAACCATTATGTTTGCATTTAAGTCTACCATTTAAAGTTTGTTTTCTGTTTATCCTTTCTGTTATTTGTTCCTCTGTTTCCCCTTTTTGCCTTCTTTTTGGATTATTTAAATACTTTATTATTCCATTTTTCATGTATCTATTGGGGTTTTGACTATGCTGTTTGTATAGCTTTATGTTTTCCTTTATATATTTTTTACTTGTATTGTTTTATTTTTTTCCAATGAATATGCATTATTTGGACAATGAAGAAAGGCAAACCACAAAAGACAAAAAGAGAAAGAAGGACCTCCAGAGTGGGAGAATAACTCCTCGCCTGTCAGGTAGGTTACACTCACTGTGTGCATCCCTGATATAAAATGGTGAAACATTTGCATAACCCATCCTCCCATGTACTTTACATCATCTCTAGATTTACTTATAATAGCTAACATAATGTAAATGCTATGTAAAATAGTTGTTATACTGTATTGTTTAGAAAATAATGACCAGAAAAAAATTCTGTACATGTTCAATATAGAAGCAACCATTCTTTTTTTTTTTTTTTTCAAATATTTCTGATCTGTGGTTGTTTGAATGCACAAATGTGTGTAACCCACTCCTATGGAGAGCTGACTGTACTTGCTTTTCCAGACTCCTTCGCATGGAGGGCATGGACATGTGACCTAGATAAAGATGGCCTCAATGTTGAATTCGGGGCTAGTGGTGTGATGTAGTTGGTATTGCCCAGAATCCAATTTGTTGACAGGTAGTGACAGTGGCAGCCACTGCTCCTGGTTTCTAGATGTAGGATGGATTCCAGTTCTGGGATCAACATCCAGCATCCTATCACTGCTGTTGGCTGTACAAGCTTTGGTGACAGCCTGGCAGTGGTGATGACTGCCATCACAAAAATCATTCTGATGTGTGATTTGGGGCATTGTTAATATATGCCCGATTCATTATCACTTGTTCTGGAAATTCTGTGAGGTACTCATATTCTTTCCTTCTTTCTTTTTTACTCTTTAATGATACCTTTTAATGATGAAATAAAAGCTTACCCTCCTCACAATGCTGAATAGGAGGAAGTTTCCAATACAAATTCACTTGCCTTGCAGTTTTTAATTTTTTAAGTGGCAAATTAAAATTGTATACATTTGTGCTGTACAGCATGACGCTTTTATATGTGTGTACATTGTGAAATGGTGAATTCAACCTAACCAATGTATCAATTACCTCACATACTTTTTATTTGCGGTGAGAAAACTTAAATCTCCTCTCTTAGCAATTTTTAAATATATAATACATTGTTATTATTAGTAATTATATAGTCACCATATTGTACAATAGATCTCTGGAGCTTATTCCTCCAAACTAAAATTGTGTGTTCTTTGACCAGCATCTTCCAAGTCTCACCTCTCCCCTCAGCCCAGAGCTACCATTTTACTCTCTGTCCCTATGAGTTCAACTTTTTTAGATTCCACATATAAGTGAGATAATAAGGTATTTGTCTTTCTGTACCTGGCTTATTTCATTTATCCCATAGTTTTTCAAGGGATTTATTTCTACTTAAATCATCCAAACTCAGTTTCCAATTCTCGCAAGTAAGGAAGCTCACTAATACAAAATAGACCAGATTTGTAAGGGAAATTAACTGGGCAATTGTGCATTTACTATGCACCTAATAGTGTGCTAAGCATTTTATTTGCATTATCTTGGTGAATCTTCCCATTCATACTATGAGATAGATACTACCCTATTTGTTTTACAAAGAAGATAACCAAAGGGCAAAGAAATTAATTATTGTGCCCAAGGTCATGACTTCATTGGGACCTGGACTGGACCTGATAAATACTGCTTTAATATTTAATAGTTGCATACAGTGGGCCTCTAGGACCATTTCCCAAAGCCTGTCTTTGGGTATAGTGTGAATAGAGTTGATTTGCCTGATCCTTAGCGTTCTTGGGGATACGTCTTTGCCACCTCTAAAATCAGCCTTGAGTTGAGAGCATGAGAGACAGAAGGCTATGGGTAACCTTAAGTCACTGCAGTGGCTAAAGGTGGCTCTGCACTCAGAAGTCAACTAGAGCACTAGAAGCCAACTATAACAACCTGGAAAGAGAAAACACGAACATGCAGCAAAGATACCCTTCTCAAAATAAAACAAATACAGTTGTTTTCTTCTTAAACATCAAAGCCTCTTATCAAAGAGGAAGTTCACACCTTCTCATGAGGTTAGAACAAATGTGATGGCATAAAATAAACCACATTTATAAATGCTATGGGCCAGGCACAGTGGTTCATGCCTATAAACCCAGCACTTTGGGAGGCCGAGGTGGGCAGATCACTTGAGGTCAGGAGTCTAAGACCAGCCTGGCCAACATGGTGAAACCCTGCTGCTACTAAAAATACAAAATTAACTGGTTGTGGTGGTGCATGCCTGTAGTCCAAGCTATTCGGGAAGCTGAGGCAGGAGAATCGCTTAAACCTAGGAGGCAGAGGCTGCAGTGAGCTGAGATCGCATCATTGCACTCCAGCCTGGGTGACAGAGTGAGACTCCTTCTCCAATCAATCAATCAATCAATCAATCAATGCATGCATGCATGCATACTATGAACACTAAGGCAGAGATTGCTTTGTGTCCACCACAGGCTATTCTGTTCCTTCTGTATACACCACTAGAGTTCCATCACTCCATCTCAGGTAAGAGGCACCATGAAATTGAGTGTTGATCCATGAGACTTCTAAGTGCATCTGATGCCATTCCACACTCTCTTTCCTCTGAAAAGAGAAACTCCAAAGATCCAGAGGAGGTGGAGCCACAGTTAGAGGGAGTCCGCATCCCTAATCTGTCACACAAAAGAAAGTTACTCAGGAGAACTCCCGAACAAGGAATATTCATGATGGACTATTGTATAAATGAGAAAATAAAGTGTTATTGTGTTAAGTCACTGAAATTAGGTAGTTGCTTGTTACAGTAGTTAGCTTGCCTTACCTGATACAAATGCCTAGTGTCCAAAGTGTTGTTTTACGGGGGTAGCTCCCTTTTCTTAACTCTAAAGATGCCTTATCCTGAAAAGCGAAGTTTAAAACAAATTTAAATACCAAAGGAACTCTTGTTTTTGGAAGCCTTACTCCATAAAATATAAAAAATATTAAAATACGCCATCATTCTATATGAAATATAATTTTTATACAGTAAAGTTTACAGTAGTCCCTTCCATCTGAGGTTTCACTTTTCATGGTTTTAGCTCTCCACAGTCAACTGCAGTCCAAATATATTAAATGTAAACTCCAGAAATGAACAACTCATAAATTTTAAAATATATGTTGTTCTGAGTAGCGTGAGGAAATCTCATGCCTGAGACATGACATCTCCCTTTGTCCAGCATATCTGTGCTGTATACACTACCCATATATGGGGCAGCCATAGCCAACTGTTTTAGTCCATTTTCTGTTGCTATAACAGAAGACCATAGCCTAGGCAGTTTATAAAGAATAGAGATTTATTTAGGTCATAGTTCTGGAGTCTGGGAAGTCCAAGAGCATGGCACTGACCTTCTTGCTGCATCATAACATGGTGGAGGGCATCACATAGAGTAAGAGTGTGGTAGCTCAGATCTCTCTTCCTTTTCTGATAAAGCCACTAGTTCTGTCGTGGAGACTCCACCTTGATCACCTTATCCAATCCCAATTACCTCCCCAAAAGTACTACATCCAAATTCCATCCACATATAAATTTGGGGATTTATTTTCTAATACAAAAAAATTGTGGGACACCTGCTCATATCTTGGACAGCCACCTGTTGATGGCATCAACAGTCACTATTGATTATAGTGGGAAACTAACAAGGCAATACAAAAATCCTCTGGGGTGAGAAGATGAAGGAAATTTGTGAGCTGACTGTTTAATCTTAGGCTGTCTCTCCTTAACTTCCTCCTCCCTTGGCACCCTAGGCAAGGGTGTTAAAGTTGAAGAAGACACATACTGCTTGTCTCTGAGTTGAAAAATGAATCTATGATCAGAGGAATTGATTAATATAGAGGCAGCAAACGGAAAGGGCCCACATGAGTCTCCAGTGGTTGAGGCTCTCTATCTTCCTTCTCCTTTACTTTGTAGACTAGGCCTGAATTTCAGCCCTTCCCTTCTACACATTATTGGACACAGTAGTTGTTATTGAGGGGACATGAGCTCTCAAGCTGAAAAACTGATATCCATGAAGCATAGTCACTTAAAAAAAATAGAAAATGGAATGGCATATATCAACCAAAGCAGAATCGTTAGAATTGATGATGCTCCACAGCCTGTCTCTGGGGCAAGTGCTCTTAACAGCTGTGTGTACTGCCCAGAGTCTGTCTACTGTACCCTGCAGATGCCAACTTTATGCCTGGATGCCTAGGTGCAGCTGAACCTAGATATCCCACCTCTGCCCCCCACTCACTAACTGATACCCCAAAATTTTGTCTTAGATTCACTACCTTTTGTTTTGTTTTGTTTTGTTTTGTTTTGTTTTGTTTGAGATGGAGTCTCACTCTGTCACCAGGCTGGAGTGCAGTGGTGAAAACTTGGCTCACTGCAACCTCCACCTCCCTGGTTCAAGCGATTCTCCTGCCTCAGCCTCCCAAGTAACTGGGACTACAGGTGCATGCCACCACGCCTACTTAACTTTTGTATTTTTAGTAGAGACGGGGTTTCACCATGTTAGCCAGGATGGTCTCCATCTCTTAATCTCATGATCTGCCAGCCTCAGCCTCCCAAAGTGCTGAGATTACAGGTGTGAACCACTGCACCCGGCCGATTCACTACCTTTTATGGTGACTCTGCCCAGACTGATATATTTTAATAAAATGTTTCTTGTCCCCTGCATAGATGTGATGTCACTGTCAGTTGACATCCATCCAGGGGACAAGAAACATTTTATATAAGCCTGATCAAAGAAATTTTATAACAGCCTGGGCAGGTTCTCTTCACCTGCCCTGCCTTGAGGAGGAGTCTTGCCCCTGGAGGGCAAGGCTACTCTCTTCCTACTTCCTCCTATGCTATGGCTGGCCTTGTTACCCCTCCTTGCCCTCCAATCAATCCCCTAGTCTTGAGAGACAACAGTCTTGTCTGCCAAGGACATGAGCTTCTTTTAAATCGGGTCAATGCCAGCTGAGATAAAAGCTGTTTTACACTAAATAAATCTGAAGCCACACAGTGTCATGGTAAATAAAGAGAATTTCTCTTGCCTACCATGAAAACAGCCTCCACAGATGCTAAGAACGAGCATCACCCTATATATACTTCTCACAACAAAAGATCAGCGAACCCAAGCTGAGGATCGAGATTTCCCCTTTACTTTTCTTATCTGTTTTATGTGGTAGCTCTTGATTCAGAGGCTAGCCTGGTGGGTGAGCATAGAATATGGGGATACCTGATCAGCCTGGGCCAAGGGTCACTAAAAGACTGGTGAATGTGTGACAAAGTGCTGGGGGCTGCTATCAATGGGCAAGTGGATGACAGAAGAGGGTTACGTCAGGAGAGCCACACTCAGCTGTCCGGGCAGGCAGGAGTGTAAGGGGGGGTAGGGCAGCTGCACTTGCTCTGAGGGCCTTTTTAAAACCTTGCCCTGCTGAGAAACTTAGTTCCTGATTCCTCCTCAGCTGTAGGCTCTCAAAATGGGAATTCACTCTCTGAGGGCCTCTTTGCTGTCTGCAGAACTTAAACGGAGTTCATCTCATCAAATAATGTTTCCTGAATCGCTGAGATCTTTCACATGAAGAGTGGGTCGCTGTGATGAGAAAAGATGTTTAAAGGAGTCGTGGAGGAAATCAGCTGGTATGTACAGTGATAAATGACGAGGGTGAGTGCTGGGAACTCTGTAAAGCTTGTCACAAATTAATCCTTGGAGCTGGCACAGGATTAATGACATTTCCAGAGAGCATAACTTGAAGTTGATTGGGCATCTCACATCCTTTGAAAGTAAGCTCTTCTCTTAAAACATTAAAAAATAAAATAGAGAGGATCTGACCAAGTGAGAGCTGCAAAAATGGTCTGGCTGCTGACACACCCATCTAGCATCACTCAGGATGAGCAATGTGTCTATTCGAAGTGTTTTTGAGACACAGTGAGATGGCCAAACCGGTAGCTGACAAACTGGATAAGCATGTGATTCTCCCTCTTGAGAGGGATGACATACATTTGAGTACATGTAAGACTTGTTTATTAAAATATTGAGCTGGCAGGGCTGCTGAAATTACTTAAACAGAAGATTCACTAAGCTATGGAGCAGCCAGTTCACCTCCCAACCCACCACCCCTTCGGCTACCAGAACCCTCTGCTGTGGGCCACCAGGCAGGCCAGGCTCTGGGGCTGCCCAGTTGTCATGAGAAATCCTGACACATGCAGTCTATGGCTATTTCCAACCATGGTCTTCTTTCTTTGCTAAAGAGTGATAAAAGAGGTAGCCAGGACCATTTCAAGGGCAGATGCAGATTTTGTTGCTCCTGGGGCTAGGTAAACAAGAACAACAGTATCACCACTTACTACTCAGAATAACACTCCCAATGCCATGAGCCAGAATCAAATGTCAGTATTCACTTGCCCAATTGAGCATTTTCATGATGACAGCCTTTTATCATTCTTGTGAAGATTTTAATGTAGCCAATTTTAAAAGAGCGTTTTTTAAAAAAAGTTTTCATTTTGAAATAATGTTAGGTTTACAAAAAAAAGTTGTAAAGAGAACACAGAGAGTTCCCGTATACCCATCACCCAGATTTTCCTAAGGTAAACTTTTATATGACTGTAGTTCACTTGTCAAAACTAAGAGATAAATATTGTTACATTACTATTAGGGAAGCTCCAGACTATTTAGATTTCAGTTATTTTTCCACTATTTTTTGTTTGTTTCAGGACCCCATCCAGTACACCACATTGTCTTTATGTTGTATATTTTCATAATCTCTGGACTGTATCAGGTTCCCAGTCTCCCCTTGTTATTTTATGACTGACTTTGTCATTTTTGAAGAGTAATGTCAGATATTTTATAGGATGCCCCTCAATTTGGGTTTCTTGGATGTTTTCCTTATATATAAACTGGGATTATGAATTTGGAGAAGAATATCACAGAGATGAAGTGCCTTCTTGTCACAACCTATCAGGGGATACACGCTAACAACACGACTTAACCACTGAGGGTAGTAAATATGCTTACTTAGTTAAGTTGGTGTCTGCCAACTTACTATTTTCCTATTTCCATATCCTGTTTTATAGAAGTGTCACTAAGTCCAGTCCATATTCAAGGTTGGAAGGGAATTAAACTTTATTTTCTGAATACAGGAATATCTACCTATATTATTGTCAATTTTGTAAAGAAGATATATGTCTTCCTCTGTTACAAAAATATGTAATATACATACACATATTAGTATGTGTATTTATTTTATACTTTGAGTTATGATCCAATGCTATGCTAGTTATTTTGTTGCTCAAATTGTTCCAGCGTTAGCCATTAGAATCTCTTTCAGGTTGATGCCTGTGTCCTTTTGACAGCACCCCATCCTTTTGTTTTTTGGGGGCACTTCCTTGCCTTCTGGTATTATACCATGTTCCAAGATCATACTGTATTTTGTCTTCCCTAGTTGTAGAATCAGTCTTTTCTCCAAGGAACCCTGGTTTCTTTTATTGGAGAATGATATTAGAAACCAAGACCTGGGCACGAGTATGCTTATGGCTATTGGGATGCCATTTCTTCTAGGCCTTCACAAGAACAGAGCTAAGAAGACTCATGCATGTATTCTAACGTATGTATACATAATATCTATACTTGTTTCTGTGTCTATCTGTATCCCTATGTCTGTTTCTACCAAGCTACATGTGAGTTGATACTGATGTCTAACTAATCAAGTAAGGTTCATTCTCACATTTCCCCCTTGCTGGTTTGTAACATCATTCTCTGAAAGAAACCTGGTTTGGAAGATGAAAGATTCTGATATTCTCTTATTTTTGTTTGTGTATGGAATAATTGGATCCTTTTCCATCTATCTGAGCATTCAGGCTTATCCAAGATAAAGCTGTCAATGGTTTATCCAAAAGTGCTGACCCCATAAGAAAAGTATAATCTGTATACATATTGATGACTAGAGATACTAATGGAGTCCAATGTGCCCTCTGACACGTCATAGGAAATTTTATATTCTGTTCAATGTTATCTGCAACACTATTTTCTTATTTCCAAATTCCCTGCAAATGAGTAAACTCTCAAAGGAGTGTGCAAATTTCATTCCAGCGTGGTAGGAGGCACGTATTAATATTGATTGAGCCTCTAAATATTTGAAAACAGTTTTATGGATATCCAGTAAACCATGCATATTTAAAGTGTAGAACTGAATAAATGTTTACATACATATACCTCTGTGAAACTATAACCACAATCAACATTGTAGTTGAGTTCACACATTAATTAAGCCAAGATAAGCTCTTCCATTCTATAAATGGGGTCCCACTGGGTAATGTGCCTATCTCTCTCTTTGAGAGACACAAGCCACTGGTTTCTGTCACCTCTGTCCAGACACAGCTGTTTTCTGGCTACTTATGGGAGCTTCCTGGTATTCTCTAGAGGAAATATGTTTCATATCACAGTCAGATTGAAGCTTCAGAATAGCGAAGAAAATTGACTCTTAGATGAGGAAGCACTAAAACAGAAAAAGAAATTTAAGAATTAGAGCTTCTGGGAGGAGAAGGACACAACAGGCAGTACGGATTCCATTCTTCAGTTTTTTAAGTGAATTCATATCTAGCCCAATATCTGTAGTTAAGAACTTATAATTTTAAAAGTAGATAAAAAGTATATTTCATTAACTCAGTCCCTGAATATTTGGGATTTATGAAACAGATGTGGAGTTTTAAAGCCATGTCTCCTTAGCTAAGATGCCACACATAGCCATTTTCTTCTTTGTTAGCCTATAAACCTATCAAGGTCAAAAATGGTAACAGTGTTTCATTCTCTAATATGCCAAAATAATGGATTGATCTTGGGAAATTATACAATTCTTCTAAGTTTTGATTCCTTCATTCCTAAAATGAGGACATTAATACCTGGCTAACATGGACTTTGTGGGCAGTGAATTAAATTACATGTGTAAGATTCAGCACTACATAAACATGAAGTAGTATAATATCAGTTGAAGGTAGACTACAATTAAAGAAACATACTATCAACCTAAAACAACCACTAAAATGACAACAAAAACTTACAGCTGATAAGTCAATAAAGGAATTTAAAAGGAACCATAAAAAATATTTAATTTTTTTTCTTTTTTTTTTTTTTTTTGTTTTGAGACGGAGTCTCCCTCTTTCGCCCAGGCTGGAGTGCAGTGGCGCTATCTGGGCTCACTTCAAGCTCCGCCTCCCGGGTTCATGCCATTCTCCTGCCTCAGGCTCCCAAGTAGCTGGGACTACAGGCGCCCGCCACCGCGCCCGGCTAATTTTTTGTATTTTTAGTAGAGACGGTGTTTCACTGTGTTAGCCAGGATGGTCTCGATCTCCTGACCTCGTGATCCGCCTGCCTCGGCCTCCCAAAGTGCTGGGATTACAGGCGTGAGCCACCGCGCCCGGCCTAATTAATTAAAAAGGAGACAGAAAAAGAGAAAGGGGGAAACAAAGAACAAAAGGGCAAATATAGGAAACAAAACAGTCAGATGATAGATTTAAACCTGACTACAACGATAATCACATTAAATGTAAATACTCAAAATGCCATGTTTAAAAGGTAGATTGTCAGACTGGATTTTTAAAATATCAAGGCTCAACTATAATCTGCCTATATGAAACACATTTCAAATATAGATACGCAAATAGCTAATATGGCATAGTAAAAAGGTGAGAGATAATATATACCATGCAAACACTAATCAAAAGAAAGCTGGCTTATCAGTATTAATATCAGACAAGGTAGATTTTACAGCAAATATTATCAGGAATAAATAAGGTCATTTCATAATGATAAAGAGATTGGTTCATCAGGAGTACATAATCATTATAAATATTAATGCAACTATCAAAACACATAAAACAAAAACTGATAGAACTGTAAGATAAAGTAGACAAATTTACAGTTTTAGTTGGCATAATTCAATATAAGAATGTGGGGTTTAATATATCTTTTTCATAATGAGTAGAATAAGTAGACAAAATCAGGAAAGATGTAAAGTATTTGAAAAACACTATCAATTAACTAACTTGACTTCATTGATGTTTATAGAATTTTCTAACCAACAACAGCAGAAGAGCAGAATACACATTCTTCTGAAGTAAACATATAACATTTATCAGGATCAATCACACTCTGGATTACACAAAAAAGTCTAAAAAATTAAGTATTTAAGTCACCCAAAACATCTTCTGAACACAATGGAATTAGAGATCAGTAACAGAAAAAATTCTTGGAAAAAAATATTCAAATAGGCAGAAATAAAAAAGTGTACTTTGAAAAACACATAGGCAGAAAAAGAAAGCAAAAGGGAAGTTAAAACCAAACACCGCATATTCTCACTCATAGGTGGGAATTGAACAATGAGATCACATGGACACAGAAAGGGGAATATCACACTCTGCAGACTGTGGTGGGGAGGGGGGAGGGGGGAGGGATAGCATTGGGAGATATACCTAATGCGAGATGACGAGTTAGTGGGTGCAGCGCACCAGCATGGCACATGTATACATATGTAACTAACCTGCACAATGTGCACATGTACCCTAAAACTTAAAGTATAATTAAAAATAATAATAATAATAATAATAATAATAATAATAAATAAAAAAATTTAAAAAAAAGTATTTTGTGCTGAGGGAAAATAAAATACAACATATAAAAATTTGTGGAATACTGCTAAGACAGTCCTTATGGGGAAATTTACAGCATTAAATGACTATACTAGAAAAGAAGAAACATCTCCAATTAATGGCTTCAGATTTCCCCTTTAAAAATTATTTAAAAGGACTGTAAAGTATGCAGAAAAAAGGAAATATTAATGATTGGACCAGAAAACAATTAAAATCAATGCCAAAAAAATAGACAAAATGATTTACAGGTTCAAGGTCATCCTAATCATAATTCCAACAGATTTTTTTTGTAAACATTGATGAGCTGATCCTAAAATTCATATGTAAATTCAAAGGCCTTAAGATCGCAAAAAACTCTGAAAAGAACAAAGTAGAGAACTAACATTAACCTAATTTCAAGATTTAATGTAAAGATACAGTAATCAAGACAGTATGGTATTGGTATAAAAATAGACAAATATATTATCAATCTCATTTTTCACAGATTCTGTATTTACAAATTGGCCTACCTGCTAAAATTTACAAGGGACCATGAGGACGTTTTTGAGATAAAAGGTATTTTTATTATGTTGATTGTGGTTACAGTTTCATGGAGGTATATGTATGTCAAAACTTCAGTAAGAGTGGTTTCTATGTGAAGAGACATCCAGGACCACTGCTTTTATGAAAGAGTTTAACCATTTAACAATGGGAGGAAGTCTAACCAGTTGTTATTATTAACTTGGGGTTCTTAGAACCCCTAGAGGTCCATGGATGTGCTATAGGAGATTTGCAGGGAGATAAACAAGCAGTACATGGGCATACATACATTTTTAGGGATGAAAGTCCATGATTTTCATCAGATTCTTAAGGGGGGCTGTAGGTCAAGAGAGCTTAAGAACTTTTACATAAATAAGCAATCTCTAATTATATAGGGAAAATATTCAAAATTTCTCAAGGTAACAAGATTTAGTCATTTAGTATAATTCAGGCACTGTTTCTAACATAGCCATTTGGGACACTAAAATGGCTGAATACGGACTTGGACTTGACTGATAAGGGTTTTTATATTAACCAGATTTATATAAGCCAGTGAAATAGAAAAAAATTGATTAATTAGAATATTTAAATAGCCAAACTGTTTCCTGGCACTCAGTTTTTCCTGTGTAAGATATAAGTGATAAGAAAGAAAAGTATTATTCATTAGACAAAACAACTCCTTGGGAATGTTATGAGGTCATGAGGCTTCTGTGTCTTTGGTTCCTCTTGCGCAGAGTTACAGGTGGTCAGAAAGGTGACTCTGAGGCATAATGTGGTCAAAGTCTTCAAAGATTAAACTTTCTAAGGCAGCAAGTTGGGCTGATGCATGTTAGAAAGATTGCAACAAGGATGGAAATAAAAAAGAGGTTTCTAGTTAACTCTCAAAAAGTGAGAAGGTTTAGTCTTTCACTTCCTAGCAACATTAGCTGGTCAAGGTTTTACAATAAGAGGGTCTATTTCCATAGTGTTTGTAGCTCACAGGATTCTTCACTGTTTTTTCCAGGTCTTATGTTGGCCCTTTGAGGATAGATGGCATTCAGATGAGGAGGGGATGCTCATTTAAGGATCCAAGGCTAAAGATTCATGGTGGTCTCAATGCCAAGAGAGGGAGAAATGGTTCCTAAAAACAGCAGCAGCAGTAACACAATAACGATTATTTCAACACAACCACCGTTTCTGAACCACTTACTCCATGCCAGATACCATGCTCTGCCCTTCTCCATCATTCCCGATAGGCAGCTAGGATGTCATCTCCTTCTGATAGAGGAACAGGGATTATCATCCCACACTTTTTAAAAATGGGGAACACAGGATGTGTGCTGAGCAATTGGAGTCTCATATTTAATTACCAGTGTCCCCCTCAGATGCACATGTATAGCACAGAGTTTGCTGTATTTTCTTTTTCTTCTGAGCATTTCAAAATATGTTAGGCGAACAGAATCACAGCACCACTGTGAGATCATTTTGTCCCTGAAATTCTCCCTCGTGAACCAGATTAGGCCTGCTCACTCTTGCCTGCTGTCTGGACATGGAGTTCTCACAATCATAGTGTAGTAGCTAACATTTATTGAGCACTTGCTGTGTGCGTGACCAGTAAGGTTGGCTATTTGAAAGTGCAACAGTGAATGCACTCTCATTATGTATATATTTATTCTAGGAAGTAGGTTCTTTTTCTTTTACTAGCTTTTTTTTTTTTTTTTTTTTTTTTTTAGATGACAAAAGCCAAGAGTTGGAGGCTTGGAGGGGTTCTTTGCCTTGCCAATTTAGTGGAGCCAATATTTCTGATTCCAGGAACTTTGCTTTTTTTTTTTTTCTTTCTTTCATATCTTGTCTTCCTCTCTTCCTCCATCTTTCTCCTTTTTTCTTCTCTTTCTTTTTAACTTTCTGTTATGGTAAATGTTAAACATTTACAAAAGTAGACAGAATTGTATAACAAACCCATATGTACCCTTTACCCAGTTTAAGCAAGTATGAATTCTTGGCCACACTCGTTTTATCTATACCCTCATGCGTCCCCTCCACCTTACCAATCTCAGGCATAGAGTGTTTTGTCTGTAATTATTACAACATGAATCTGTAGTAGAAGTTCCTGTGTCACATTTGCTGGTTTATCTCTGATTTCACCTGCAGCTGTAGCAAAAGTTTCTGTAGAGGCCAGACTCTCTCTGACAGTGACAAAGTCACTCCTAAAATGTGTGCTATGGGCATTTTCACTTTCTGGCTCAGGGCTTTCTCTGAAATGTGAGGAGTTATCAACTCATCCAATGGGGGATGGGAGACAATGTCCCAGACTCTCATCCTTCAGATGGACAATTCTGGGAGCGTTCTGTGTCCTTCTTAGAGGTATGCATGGAATCAGATCCCCGATGTCCACTGCTTTGACCTTGATGATGCACACTTTGATTGGCTTTTGCTACTTCTCTGTCTTACTCTCCCTCATACTTGACTCATGCTTCCTGGGATCATCTCTCAAACTACCTGAATCCAAGTCTTTGTCTCAGGCTCTGCTTTTAGAAACATCCAAGCTAAATCAGTATCTATAAAAAAATAAGAGTTTAACCTCCAACCCCACCCCCATCCCAATATCATTATCATGGCAAAAATAATAATTTCTTAATATCAAATATCAAGTCAGTGTTAGTTGTATTAATATCATAAACTAAATTGGGGGTTTTCTTTTCTCGTTCTTTCTTTTTTAAAGACAGGGTCTCACTCTGTTGCTCAGGCTGGGGTACAGTGCAGCCTTGAACTCCTGGGTTCAAGTGATCAGCCCACCTCCGTCTTGTGAGTAGCTGGGACTACAGACATGTGCTACCACGTTCATTCAATTAAACTTTTTTTTGTAGAGATGGTGTCTGACTATATTGTCCAGGGGGGTCTTGAACACCTGGCCTCAAGTGATCCTCCTGCCTCAGCATCCCAAAGAGCTGGGATTACAGGCATGAACCACTGTACCTGGCCCCTAGTGAGTTTTGATGGTAAAAAAATCTATCTGGGTTGACAAGATGTTTCAGGTTCATCTTGTATATTTCATTCCCTTGATCTTGAATTAGCTCCTAGGACCTTTCATTTCCTTTGTGGGGAAAGAATATTTTAATACTAAAATCTAGGCACTGGAGATGCTCAATATTTCTAGACTTTTCTATGTCTTTTAATTGCATACAATTAGGAAATTTGTTCTGTTTCTTTTATATGTTTTAAAATAAAATACATAATGAATTCATAGTGATACTTCTTTAAATCTAGCACTAAATGTCTTTCTGTCTCACAACTTTATCTCCTTTTTCCCACACGGAGAATCCCAGTTTTCAAGGACACCTGGGATGAGAGAATTTGAAAATCACATAATTGCTTATTTGCTTTATCCCACAATACAAATACTAATCTTACATAAGAATATCAACACCATCACTAACACTATGATAACTGTAAACATTTTCAGATTTGGATTTTCATTTTTTGCCTTTCTTTTTGTCCTTAGGTTTTATCCCACCCAGGATGTACCTCATAAAAGGCACCTGGGTTTTTTCTGGATATGGGAACCTGTGGTAGAAGGAAGCCATCTGTCTCACCAGAAAACAGGTCTGTCACACACTGCCCTGTCCATTTGGAATTTAGGACCTTCTATTCACAGCAGTAACAACCCAGAGAATCTTATTATGATCTTGATCCAAGTTTAGGTTCCAAACTTCAACTCTGGCTGTCTCATATTGAGCCTAAGGAATTCACTTCAGTGTTGTGGCCTCTCTGTCCCTCTCTTGAATTGACAACAGATGCCTAACTAAAAGAATTAACAAATTCCTTGTATCAGAAGGTGAGAGGATGTTCTCTCTTCATCTATTAGTGCAGAGAATATTCAGTCTGCCCTTGGAAAGAGAGAATCTTTGGTCGGAAAACAAGGTCCATGCCTCACACCATTATGCCCACTGTCCAGGCCCAACTTCTGGAATCAGGGAGTCTAGAAAAAGCTTCATCCATCAAGTGGCCAGACCTCCTGGCTGAGGTCTGTGCCACCAGCATCTCTGGTCTTCCTGTCTTCTTTATGGCCTTCAGGAACCAATCAGCTCTGCTGAAGTGGGTGAGATCCCAGATTCAAAGAAGTGGGCACAACTATTGGTCATCTGAACCTCTAAGGAAGAAGGAAGTGTGAATCACATGTCATTAGAAATAGCTCAAGCATCTGACAAAGAACTGTCTGACTGGGTGACTCAAAATGGCATGGGGCATGTGCCTAAATATCTCAACGGTATTCTTATCCCTGCATCCCCTGGTGTTCTGTTCTTCTCCTGCTATGGTGTCACTCTAAGCATCTCTGGAAAGTCCTGTGGAGGTTTATGCCCATGACTCAGGCATCCAACATGGATATGGTGGTAAGAAAAAACATTGAGCTCAATTTGAGACATGACATTAGCTGGAGCAGATAATGGAAGGCAGGGAAAGAGAGGAAATATGTGTGAATTTAGGCACAAAAAGAAAGAATACAGGATTGGGATTTGACTTATCCTTCCCTTGTGGCTGGGCCAAGGGAAGGCCATGAGTGCATGCCGGGTGCCTGCAAATGCTTAGCTGTGGGCACAACTTCTCACATTCTGTGACATCCTCTGTTTCCTGGCCTGTTCCCATGGGACTCTTCTGTCCTGACTTTTCATCAGGGATGGTCTCTGGGTGACTATTGAAGTGATTAAACCACTTCCTTAACTCTGATATAGACAGAGCCAAAGGACAGACTTGGATTTGCTGTCTTTCTCCTCCTCCCCGGCTTGTGCCTTTATCTTGTCCTGTATTAGCTCAAGAACCCATATGAGTCTCCAACTGCCAGAAATAGAAGTCCAGGCTCTGCAGTCAGGCACCCAAGACTGTCCCATCCTGACTGCCTTTGAGGGCCCTGTATGATCCTCCCAGGCCAGCCAAATGGTGGGTCTGCCACCCTAAGATTTCCTGCCCACATTTTCTTCTGCCACCACACCATGACCTTGGCAGTGCTCCTTCAGAGCCTAGTTTCATACTTACCTTTTCCCAATCTACAGGGATTTATTTTCCTTCTCAATCACAATAGCAACAGTCTACTCCATGTTCCTAGGACTCCCTAAGAACTTGTATCCTATTGAGATATCTTGCTACCATTTCATGCACGTGTATGTACATGTGTATGTGCAAGTGTGTATCTTGACTCCCAACTGACAAGCTCTCAAAGGTCAAAAGCCATTATTATCCTTCTTTGGAAAATCTCTGAAGTCACTAACACTATGTTTGTTGTAAAACAGAATGTTAAGGAACTTTTCCTATTGCTTGAGTATTGACAATCAGGATCTACAAATGAGGACAAAGTTTTGCATCCCAAATTTTGTGATGAGCCAAAAATATTTGGAAGGCAAGTGCCTATCTGGGTTTTTAATAGCTGTGCTACCATATCTACCACCTTATCGTCTCCCTCTGTTGCTTATTAATTTATATAGATCTGACAATTGGGTGTGGGCTGAGGAGTGTGGGATGAGGAGAAGGATTGCTGGAAAATTATTTGAGTGGTGAGTTGTCAGCCTTTCTCATCTCAGTGGGGACGGAGAGGTCTTTGTTCCACAGGAAACATTCCTTAGATGAGGGTGGTTCCTATAAGAAAAGGGAGGGAGATATTACATTTCCTGGCTGGAGGTCTTAATTAGCACAATTGATTAGCTTAATTAGCACAATTGACGATCTACCACTTGTACCTATTTTAGTAGTGAAGAAGAAAGGTGAGTAGAGATGCAAGTGCGGAGATTGGCCTCAGCAGCGGAACATGGCCAAGTATGTATGCATTTCACATAAGTCAAGTAGACCTGGAAGGTTCCTGGGATTGAGCTATCTTGCTGGTACCTCCTGCTGTCTGATGGATGTGATGACACCTGGCATAAGAGACTGGATATGAAACCATTAAGAGGTTTGAGCACACCAGAGGAGAAAATGTCCCAAAAAAAGGAGGAATGAAAAGGTGGAATATGCTCCCTCTCTCTTCTGGCCGTGGCTGGGTCTGAATCTGGGGAAGAGCAGGAAGTGAAACGGGAATTCATTTGGAAATGAGACTGAGGATTTAAATTGAGATTAGGAAGTTATAGAGCATATCCAACATATAAATAGGGGACAAGAGAAAGATTTGAGAGAACATCATTTAATACATCAATGGAAGAAAAACTGTTTTATATTTGAACTCTACTGAGTACAGATAATTTAATAAACATGTTCCATTGACTACATGACACTGATACAATTAATTTAATTATAATCTACTGATCTTCTCTCCTGACCACCACTCCCCACCACTTATTTCCTTATGGAATGCAAAACTAGGGTAGTACTAGATTCCATTATATCATGAGGCAGGGGGTTGTGATGACAATGGGCTGAGCATCACCTGATGAGCTCATCAATCTCATCAATAGAGAGGACATTGAATGAAAATATGTCTTCAGGGTCGTGACCTTTAAAAATTCTGTTACATGATGTTCAATATGTGTCTTGGAGCATCTTTAAGGGCTGTAGCAGTAGGTTAGAAGAGGCACTTGATGTATTTGGCTCTGGGCCCCAGTCCTGGCTTAATCAGAGATTTCAAATATTATGTTTTTTGTATTTTTTGGGAAAAAAAATACTCCTATGGTTAAAAATAATTAAAGTTCATTAAAATTCATTGGCCTAACATCTCCTAACTTAATGTGCACATCTACATTCCCATGGAGCTGTCATCATTCAAAAGACCTTCAGTGAAAAAAACAACTCCTATATGCCAGACTCTATGCTAGCCTCTGGATACAAAGAAGAACGCATAATTAGCAGGTTGATTTTTGGAGATTTTTCTCTTCTCCCTGCTTATTACCTGAAGTTACACAGGAAGTTCAGAGAAAGAAAATTATAAAAATGTTTGGTGCAGATTAATGATTCCATCTTCTACCCTTGATCTGCAACATGTATGCAACTAGGAGACAGGTGGAAGGAAAGCAGGAATATTTCAAATTATCCAGATACTCCCGGATTCCTATCTTAGCTGTGCACTGATAAATAGCTTCATCGATAAATTGGCATCTCAACACATTGTGTAATACCTAGAGGGAGCAAATAATCAATATTTGCCATATTTGATACCAGATATGAGTTCTTGGAGGCTTTGGAGTTGCCTCAATGCTGCCCCAACTTTTTGTGTTCTCTCCAAACACTAAAAGTGCCTACAGTAAAGCTGCTCTGCTTGATAATGACAGAATTTCTTTTTGCTGCTTGAAATTTATAGCAGGTGAGATTGCAGGACATGGAAGACTTTATCAATTTAATTTCCCATGGAATGGTAGCCTTGCATGGGTGAGCAAAAACCAGTCTTGGATGAGCTTTGGATCATCAAAGGAAAAGTAAGATCCCCCAGCCATACATCTTGAGCTGTAAAAGAAATGGGCTGAAAAGGAAATAGAGAGTCTCTACTGGGAACAAGAAATATTGATTCATTAGTGTGATTAAAAAAAGAAAAAAGACAAAACGAACAATCCAGTTTTCCCCTTTGGCACATAATGGTTACCTTGCCAAGGAGTAGGCAACAGGGAATTCAGGATTTGGGAAAATGCACAATGAACTTGCCAACATCATCTTGAATTCTTTCCTCTCTCCCCTTTCATGGCTTTGTTTACAGAAATTCAGAAAATGTCCCATGTCTACTTTGCTGTGCTTTTCTTCCACTCTTCCTTGCACTGAGGCCTACATTTTGGTCACATTAACTCCTTGAGGTGTCCCTGAAATTGTGCTGCTGTCTTGCTTGTCTCCGGGTCTTTGTTCCTGCTTTTCCCTCCTCCTGGAGCACCTGTCCTTATTTCTAACCTGGCTAATTCCCCCTTATCCTTCAGTTTTTGCTCAGACATGATCCCCTCTGAGAAGATTTTTCTCGCTAGGCTGGATTGGCTGTCCTTCTTGGCTCCTATCACAATGTTCCAACACAGTTAGATAAAGATCGGTTTAGGAGTCCATCCACCTCCTTCTCAAGACCACAAGCTCCTTGAGCACAGTCAGAGCCAAGTTTGATGCTCTATGTGTCTGGTCAAATCCTGCACCTGGAGCAGGAGGTGTTCAGTTCACAATATTTGAATGAAAGATGAATGATGAGATGAATGAGTGCATTTTAGTTTCAAAAAAGGCCTCCCTGGAAACAAACTTTGATGACTGTGATTTAGCCATCTTCCTTGAACATCTGCCTATTGTCTTTTATATAATTCATCAGATAACTCAGTCAGCTAAGTGTCTGCCAGACAGTGGGTGTTCAGTGTTATCTGGCAAAGAGATGAACTGGTCAGACCTCACTTTTCTTCCTTGGATTTGTTGGACAACCAGTCTCCCTGCCTTAAGCTGTCACCCATAGTGATCTTTCCAGTACAACAATCTGGTCATGTCATGCACCAGCCTGTCATCCTCCCATGGCCCCTCACTTCCAGCTGATTCATGTCTCAATGCCTTAGCAAGATATCCAAGTCTTTTTGTGGTTGGAAACCAAGTGGTCTTCCAAACCCCATTTTGTGCCATAGCCTTTCTGTATTAATTGGCATTCTCCAGAGAAACAGAATCAGAGATTTATTATGAGGAATTGGTGATCGTGGAGGTTGAGAAGTCTCATGATCTGCCATCTGCAAGCTGGAGACCCAGGCAAACCAGTGCTATAATTCAGTCCATGTCCAAAGGCCTGAGAGGCAAGAAGCCCAGGATGTAATCTTAGTCCAAAGACCACAGAAGATGAGATGGGATGTTCTAGCTCAACGAGTAAGGCAGAGAGCAAAAAGGGAAAATTGCTCCTTCCTCTAGCTTTTGTACTAATCAGGCCTCCAGAAGGAATTAAGATGGAAAGGAGAAGGGAGAGTGGAAAAAAATAGATATTAAAACAAATTTGGCTCCTTTTTATGATCTTAGACTTGGAATTGCAAGGTGGTCATATTAGGTACATATTATCAAGAAAATATGTGTTAGCTTAGTGAGATGGAGACGCAGATATTGTTCTTAACTAGCTACTAAGGCCCAGCTCAAATGTCACCTCCTCCATGGCCATCTCTGATCATTCCAGCCTTTGTTTTGCTTTTTCTAGTCTGAATAAAATTGGCATCTCTAGCTTGAGCCCTTAATTGATGACTATCTTAATTAGTGCCTTTTTTCATGTCTCTGCAGTAGGCTCTTTGCCCACTCTGGACAGATGTCCTGCCTTATGATAAATATAGCCTCACAGCAGATAGCACCAGGCTGGGCACCTCATGTGATAATTGACTGATACCAAAGCATGTAGACACCCGTGGCAACACTGTTACATATGTGATCTCATTTGATTCTTTCAACAACCTTCTACACGTAGATACTATTTTTCAGGTGAGAAAATTGAGAGGTTAAATCACCTGCCCAAGGGCCACACAGTTCATTACAGATAAAACTAGAAGCCTATCAGGATTTAGCCTGTGCTATTTCTCCTGTACCCCTGACTTGAAGAATGTGTTCCTGGCAGAGGAATACTCAGAGCCAGGCTCAGTGGCCATTGATGGTGGACATGGAATCCTGCTTCTGAAACTGTTTGCATTCTCAGGATCATACATATGATACTGCTTCAAACTGACTTCCAAGTATGAGCAGCAGGTGCTTCTTTGCCTCAGAGGCCATTAGGAGGTCATGATGGGGAACTCTGGGTCCCATAATTGCATCAAAGTTTACTGGATGGTAATAGGACAGGGTTTTTTGCTCTTCTGTGCTGTCTTTTTGGACACAGAACAGCTGGGGGAAAAACAGAAAGAAGGCAGGCAAGGAGTGTGATGTTCTCACCAGTGGTAGACCTGATGTCCCTTCCCTTGAGTTCATCGTGTGTGGCAGATTAGCATTCTAGAGCAAAAAATTGCATGTCCTCCTTGTTTAAGGAAAAACTATTTATTTCCATACATTTACATTTATTTATTTATTTGAGAGAGTCTCGCTGTGTCACCCAGGCTGGAGTGCAATGATGCGATCTTGGCTCACTACAATCTCTGCTTCCCAGGTTCAAATGATTCTCCTGCTTCAGCCTCCCGAGTAGCTAGGAATACAGGCACCCGCCATCATGCCTGGCTAATTTTCATATTTTTGTAGAAATGGGGTTTCACCGTGTTGACCAGGCTGGTCTTGAACTCCTGACCTCAGATGATCCACGTGCCTGGGACTCCCAAAGTGCTGGGATTACAGGCGTGAGCCACCGTGCCCAGCCCAGATATTTACATTTAAAAGTTCTTTCTTGATGAAAAAGAACATCATGGTTTTTGAGATGGTTAATATTATGTGTCAACTTGACTGAGCTAAGAGATGCCCAGATGGGTGGTGAAACATTATTTCTGGGTATGTCTGTAAGGGTGTTTCTGGAAGAGGTGGGCATTTGAATTGGTGGACTGAATAAAGAAGACCCACCCTCACCAATGTGGGCAGGCATATTCCAATTCATTGAAGGCCCAGATAGAACAAAAAGAAAAAGAAATGGAAAATTCTCTCTCTTGTTGAGCTGGAATATCCATCAGCTCCTGCCCTCAGACATCATTGCCCCTTGTTCTTGGACTTTTATTTATTTTTGTTGCTGTTTTCTTCTAAGTTTTTATTTTGAAGTGAGTCTAGACTTACATATGTGCAAAAATTGTAGAGAATTCCCTCACCCTCTTCACCCAGCATCCTGTAATGATAATCTTATGTAATCATAGCTTAATTATAGAAACCAGGAATTTAACCGTGATTCAATAGTATTAACTAATTATCATTTAACCCTTGGCAGTCTTCTAACTAATATATTTTTCATTTTTTTCCAAGTTTTATTTTAGGTTCGGGGTAAAAGTGCAGGTTTGTTACACAGGTAAACTTTTGTCATGGGGGTTGTTTATACAGATTATCTCATTACCCAGGTATTAATCCTAGTACCTATCAGTGATTTATCCTGATCCTGTCCCTCCTCCCACCTGCCACCTTCCAAAAGGCCCAGTGTGTGTTGTTCCCCTCTATGAGGGTCTTTAGATTTAGGTTAGGGGTTATATCATCAATTCTCCTGGTTCTCAGGCCTTCAGACTCCCTGGAGAACACTGACTAATATAGTATTTATTTTTACATTATTTTTTCAACACAGAATTGTAAAGAAGATAAAAGCTGCTTATATAAAAAGAGGCTAGAGGAAACAAATGTTACTATGTAACTAGTGGTTATCTCTGTCAGAGAGGATTTTATCTCTTAAACATACCTGGGATCATGGTTTATTTGTATACAATTTTGAAACTTGTTTTATTCATTTAATACTTCATATACTTACTTCTTATGTCCTTAAGTATTCTTTGTGAGCATAATTTTTATTGACAACATTATAATTACTTTGTGGACATGCCATCATTTGCTACCATTTCTTTCACATTGGACACTTAAATTGCTTACAGTGGTGTTTCACTGAGTGCCTAGTAGCTGTGGTGATGGTTTTTGCTCTCATGGTGGTTACTGGGAGGTTACCCAATGTCAGTCACCTAAGGCCATCTTGAATAGTCATTGCCCAACGGCATTCTGAGTTTCTATGTATTTGTCATGCAATGATACCCCATGAGCTCTTGCAAATCTCCCCTGGGAGGTCATTATAGCTGAGCAAGAGTCCATGAGGATTTCAAACATAGTCTTCATTACATTTATGCTTCCAAGGAATCAATTGTCCTTCTCCAACTATGTTTTCTGAATTAATGCAGTTCTCCAGGCCTATGGGGAAGTGAGATCTCTTATTTAATGATGTGCCATCCTCATGTACTGCTGCTTTCCACTTCACCCAACAGAGGTTTAAAAATAATATTCTCTTTTGTGTGTTTTCTTGTGGATTGTACTTGTGGAATAATGATATGCACACCTCCAGGACAGTTAATATCGAAGCCTGAAATGGAGGCTGCATTGTTGAAAACATTGTGACTATGTAAATTGAATCAAACTTTCCTCTCTGGAAAAGTTTGTTGCCATCCTTTTGCATTAATTCAGTGCCTTGTTCTTACCACCATCTCAGTAGAGTAGGCTGGTAAAGTTACTGCTGTATTTTTATGAAATGAAATTGAGGCCGGGTGCGGTGACTCACGCCTGTAATCTCAGCACTTTGGGAGATCGAAGCAGGCGGATCACTTGAGGTCAGCAGTTTGAGATCAGCCTGGCCAACATGATGAATCCCCGTCTCTACTAAAAATGCAAAAATTATCTGGGCATGGTGGCAGGCTCCTGTAATCCCAGCTACTTGGGAGGCTGAGGCAGGAGAATCTCTTGAACTTGGGAGGCGGAGGTTGCAGTGAGCTGAGATCATTCCATTGCACTCCTGCCTGGGCTACAGAGTGAGACTGCATCTCAAAAAAAAAAAAAAAAAAAAAAAAAGGAAATTGAGACATGGCACAGAGGTGAGAAAGATTTTCAAGGACACAGCTATGAAATCGTTCTGATTCAGTTGAGGTGCTCATCCACTTGGCTCTTTGGCCTTGAGAGCATCATATGCTGCTATCCTTCATGTGCTCCTCTGGTTTCCTGGGCTTGCCTTCCCTGGAGAAATACTACATTCTCTGGGTCTTCTCTATGTCTCATAATCCAAAATGGAAATCATGAAACATTTAGAGACCTTGGAGCCAAAGATGGGCCTCAGTGCTAGTAATATTATTGGTGAGAAAATAACAGCAATGATGTGGACACATTGCATTTTCTTAGTCTGGTGGATAGCATCTTTGGAAAACTTTGCTATTCATATTGATCTGGATCATATGGTGTAAATCAAATGAATGTTCTTGCTGTGCAAACACAGCTTCAAGACAGTTGTTTGTCATCAGTATGCTGCCACTAAGCCCCTTCGGTGTGCAAATTCTGAATCTGCTTAAAGCAATGGCTTTTAATCGATTTTTGGATTATGGATCTCTTTGGGACTCAGTGGATCCTCTTTGAGGATATGGATCCTCTGGAAGGAAAAACTACATACACCCACATTTCTGTACACAATTTCATGGAGTTTACATAGCCCCTGAAGCCAGGTTAAAGCAAAGCAAAACACAACAGTAGAAACCCTTCTGAATAGGTCCAAATACTGTATAGAAAAGAACACCAAGGACCAGGAAAATAAGTGGTTCATTTAAGTCTAGTTAGCAAGATACCAACAGAGTTGAGACTAGAATTCAAGCTACTAAATATTGCTTTTTCCCAATTTTAATGACTTGCTTTTTTAAGTGACATATAACAAGGTATTATATTCAAAATATTGACCAGTCAGTATAGCTCAGGAACATAGCAGATCTGATGAATCCACTGATTATCTCTGTCACTGGGGGTCCTTGATTGAAGGCACATGTTCCCTGAGATAGGAAAAAGCCTGGCAAATAGCCAAGACCTTAACTCCAAGGGGCAGATTTCTAAGCACAACAGCAGCAGCTGATTTGGCAGGCAGGGCCATGATCTGCCCAGGTCAGCAGTTTGCTTCTCCATCAACAGGATTGGGCATCCAAGCCTGAATCTGAAATGAGGCCCACTTGGTGCTGACAGCCTGACCATCAGCTACCCTGAGCTCAGAGATGTTTCTTTGAATAATGTGCAGTTTAAGGTTTGCTGGAAGACAGAGCAATTGATTCGGCTTTCCTAGGCAAAGACTTCAAATTAGGCAATTGAGTTTTGGATGTGGTTTAAACCACAGTCTCCAGAGAGTCATATGCAGCAACATTAGCCTTAAGAATCCAGCATGTAGACAATGCTGGCAGGGTCTGTTGTGTGGTTTGCAGAATCTCTTTCTCTGTCAGATGCTTCCCCCAAAGCAAGAATTCCCATCCTTTTAGGGTTAGCGAACATTAACCCTGTGATGAGACCCGGAACTCATCTAATACAAATCCAGTCCTATCTGCCCTGCTCATCTGCCCCCTTTCCCTCCATCTTATAGTTATGGAAACAGAATCTCAAGGAAGAAAAGTCATGAACTCAAGGTGTTGCAGATTTTGTGTTGAAACTCAGTTCTATGGCAGCAAGCCCAGTGTTATTCACAACATTGCTCGGTTGGTGGGTGTGATGGTTAATATTGTCAACTTGATTGGATTAAAGGATGAAAAGTATTGTGCCTGGGTATGTCTGTGAGGGTGTTGCTAGATGAGATTAACATTTGAGTCAGTGGACTGGGAGGGGCAGAACCACCCTCATCTGGGAAGGAAACATCCAATTGGCTATCAGTGTGGCTAGAAAAAGCAACCAGAAGAAGGTGGAATGGGCTGACTTGCTGAGACTTCTGGCCATCTTTCTCCCATGCTGGATGCTTCCTTCCCTTCCTCCTGCCCTTGAACATCAGATTCCAGGTTCTTTGGCTTTTGGACTCTTGGATTTCTACCAGTGGTTTGCCAGGGGCTCTTGGGCCTTCCACCACAGACTGAAGGCTGCACAATGTCGGCTTCCCTACTTTTAAGGTTTTGGGACTTAGACTGAGCCACTACTGGTGGCTCCTCGTCTTGCAGATGGCCTATCCTGGGACTTCACTTTGTGATCCTGAGGTCAGTTCTCCTTAATAAACTCCCTTATATATATATATATATATATATATATATATATATATATATATATATATTATATGTAAATATATATAATATATAAAAATATATTTATATATTATAAAATATAAAATATATATTTATATATTATAAAATATAAAATATAAATATATATTATATATAATATAGATATATATATTATATATAATATATATATTATATATAATATATATATTATATATAATATCGATATTATATATAATATAAATATCGATATTATATATAATATAAATATATATATTATATATAATATAAATATATATAATATAAATATATTTATATTATATATAATATAAATATATATAATATAAATATATTTATATTATATATAATATAAATATATATAATATAAATATATATAATATAAATGTATATTTATATAATATAAAGATATATAATATAAATGTATATTTATATAATATAAAGATATATAATATAAATGTATATTTATATAATATAAAGATATATAATATAAATGTATATTTATATAATATAAAGATATATAATATAAATGTATATTTATATAATATAAAGATATATAATATAAATGTATATTTATATAATATAAAGATATATAATATAAATGTATATTTATATAATATAAAGATATATAATATAAATGTATATTTATATAATATAAAGATATATAATATAAATGTATATTTATATAATATAAATATATATAATATAAATGTATATTTATATAATATAAATATATATAATATAAATGTATATTTATATAATATAAATATATATAATATAAATGTATATTTATATAATATAAATATATATAATATAAATGTATATTTATATAATATAAATATATATAATATAAATGTATATTTATATAATATAAATATATATAATATAAATGTATGTAATATAAATATATATAATATAAATATATGTAATATAAATATATATAATATAAATATATATTATATATAATATAAATATATATTATATATAATATAAATATATATAACATATATAAATATATATACACACACACATACACACATACATACATACATATATGCATATATCTCCTATTAGTTCTGTCTCTAGAGAACCCTGACTAATACAGTGGGTCTTTTTTTTTTTTTTTTTTTGAGACGGAGTCTCGCTCTGTCGCCCAGGCTGGAGTGCAGTGGCGGGATCTCGGCTCACTGCAAGCTCCGCCTCCCGGGTTCACGCCATTCTCCTGCCTCAGCCTCCCAAGTAGCTGGGACTACAGGCGCCCGCCACTACGCCCGGCTAATTTTTTGTATTTTTAGTAGAGACGGGGTTTCACCGTTTTAGCCGGGATGGTCTCGATCTCCTGACCTCGTGATCCGCCCGCCTCGGCCTCCCAAAGTGCTGGGATTACAGGCGTGAGCCACCGCGCCCGGCCACAGTGGGTCTTTTTAAAAATACCATCTTTAAAAAGATATTTTTGTGGCAACTTTTAAAAATATATTCTTTTCTATTCCTTTATATATTTTATGGCAAAACATATTAAAAGTCTTGAGTCAGAGCAGATTCCCTTGCAGGGAAGTCAACACTGCCTCCTTGAAAATATACCCTTTAAAGTGAATTTTCCTGATTTTGCAATGGGCAAAATTGTTTGGGGTTGCATGTAAGCAAAGGTCCTGTGCCCTGGGGTCTTACCTCACCAATGCTGCAGAGGATCATTCTATGGCCAGGGCCATAATTTGTCCAGTGATGCATGCAACTCTGAGGGATTCTAAAACATTTTATTGTAGCGTTGTATTGCCCTAACCTTTTCAAGATGACAAAGGAGATATTTCCTGCACCCTAGTGTTTCTCAACACAAATATTAGCTTGGAGTGCTTTATTCTATTTCACCCTCCAAAGGAATCTGTTATTGAAATTTTGGAAACAGAGATGAACAAAACCATCCCCCAATCCATTTACTGCAATTCCTAATTACCCCATGCTGTTTGTCTGTCTTGGACATTTTTGTGTTCAAATTGATGTCTGGAATAGGTAAAGTTCTCTGGGTTATGTCAACAGGATTATCACAAATCCTCTCTCTAATAGTCCTGCAGGGATTGGCATTTATCAAAGTACTGGTTTCAGCTGCCACAGTCTCCATATTCTCCATATTCATGATATCTGCATATGAAAACTAGAGTTCTATTTGCATAGGGATTAAAACATGATATGAGTTTTCCTATAGCTTATGTTCCCCAATGTAGAGGCAAAAATGGGCTACCTTTTCTATGTACTTTCAGTTTTATTTATGGTTTAAAATATAGCAAATTTTTATTTATATTTTTATGATTATAAAAGCGATATATACTCATTGTAAAAACTGGAAAATGGAAAATAAGAACAACCTCTCCACAATCTTACCACCAATTGCATTTTGCTGTGCTTACATTCCTTCTATTTTCCCCCAGAAATTATCTGCATACAGCATATAAATTTTATCCTTTTCTTTAACATGACAATATATGCCTTTTACAGTGTTTTAAAGATAATGTTTATATACCATTTTCAAGGGCTGCATAATCTGTAATGTGAGTACATCATAATCAGGAGCTACACTGTTTCCTTTTATTGTTTTTGCTACTGTAGACATTACTGCTTTGAAGACTTTGTGTATACTAAATGTGGGTAATAGCTCTCAAATGCCTCCTCAGGAGTGGCATAACTAGTCCAAAAGGTTCTTTTTTAAGGTTCTTGACATAAATGACTGGTACTCTCTAAGACAGTTGAATCAACTGATACTGTCACTAGCATATTACGAGAATGTTTATTACATGCCAGTTTCACCAGACCTGAGATATAGATACATACATATACCCATTCACATGCACACATATAGGTACACATTATATTTATTTCTTCTCAAATTTTACAGACAAGAGTCATCTCTCATTGTTATATAAATGTAAACATATTTGATCACAAATGGGGTCAAAGTTTTTCCATATAATTTTTTTTGTTTGTTTTGTTTTAGACAGAGTCTGGCTCTGCCGCCCAGGCTGGAGTGCAGTGGCGTGATCTCGGTTCACTGCAAGCTCCGCCTCCTGGGTTCACGCCATTCTCCTGCCTCAGCCTCCCAAGTAGCTGGGACTACAGGCGCCCGCCACCACACCTGGCTAATTTTTTGTATTTTTAGCAGAGATGGGGTTTCACCATGTTAGCCAGGATGGTTTCGATCTCCTGACCTCATGATCCACCCGCGGCCTCCCGAAGTGCTAGGATTACAGGCATTAACTTTTAACCAACTGTATTTCTTTTACTGTGAACTATCTCTTCCAGTCATTTCATGGGTTGTATTTTAAGATCAAAGCTGAGCACCATGAGAACACCATTGTACCAGCTTGTTTGTCCAAAAGACAACAGAACTTCAAAGCCATGAGGTGCCTGCCTTTCTTCCAATCAAGTGGACTCTACTAGTCATCCGTAGAGATGCACAAGCTTGGAGCATTTCCTTGTATTTAAGCTGAGGTAAGTTTTCCCATGTATGACTGTAGAAAAATGTGGCTTAAAGGAACCCCTACAGAAATGCCAAATGTCCTACTAGCCATGGGGTCTCATTTGGAACAACTGAAAGAATGCTCTGTCATTGGCCTGGAGGTCATTCTAAGAGGTGGGCAATCACAGGAGCTCATCTAGCACAGTGAAGGGGTTCTGCAAAGATCTTGCACCACAGATTCCTGTAATGAGAGGACTGTGCCTGAGGCCTTGGTTTAATTGGCATTTTCCTCCTCCTTCTCTGCTCCCATGGAAAAGCAAATCAACTTGGAACATTTAAATGGAGCTTTCTCTGAAGTCTCCTGCCCAGTGTTCTCTCTGAGAAATAAAAGATCCATCTTGAGGGGCTTAAGTAACTGGAAATATTTGACACTTGGCATTTCCAGCTTCATGGAAAGGAATCAAAGAGAAAGGAGGGTGGGAACAGCTGATTTTTGCACAGCTCTTGTCCCCTCTGTGGATCAGCACCCTTCCCAATCGTGCTTGCGTGCCTGTATGTGTATTTGTGTGTGTTGCGTGTGTTCTTGGTTGACAGAGTTCAACTGCTTTGTAAAGGACCAAAGAGTGAAATTAGTCAATATTAAATTTTAGAAAGTTAATGTGATCATTTCATTAATTCCTTGCATTTAATTTAAAAAACAAAAGTGACTTCCTGTACTTACATGCTGCCAAGACTTGAAACAGACATTTACTGTCTTAAGACAACTGAGGTCTGGGAGAAGTCATTTACCAAGCTCTGAAGAGAAGTTGAACTATTGGTCTCTAAATTTCTTTGCAAATCGTATTTTGGATACTTTTAGACTTTATGACCCACCCTCAGAAGGAGACAGCCTTTGATATGTTTTTCCATATTAGGATCTCATCTGCTTATAATTTGTTGCCTAGTCTCCTTGCGACCCAGGATATTGCATATCTGAGATGGATGGCTGGGTTAGGGGTACAATCTGTGACTTGGTAGCAGTTTTTTCTCTTTATGAGCCCAAATTTAAGGTTTTCTTTATTAGTTCCACATGCAAACTGTCCCAGATACAGTCACCATCTCTTTTTGACCCCAACCCAGCGTAGTATATTTTGGGGCTGTGTAGAGCTTCCCATCTGATTTTAGTTTAAATTGACACCCCATATAAAAATAAGTTGAGATGTCCATTTACCAGCAGGAAGTTCTGGGAACTGGAGTCCCATAAAGAGCTTAGATCACAGGGCCAGGTCAAAACAAGAAATGAATCTGTGTGTACTTACAGCTAGAGGCCACCAAAATTATGTGTGTGGGTGGTTTCTTACAGGATAGAGGGAAGATAACTGAAAAAACACAAAAACAATAAATCCCAATATTTCCTTTTGAGCATGGAATAACTTTGGAAAAATTCATTCATTCATTCATTCATTCAACAAGTGTTTACTGAGTGCCCTGATGCGCCAGCCTGCAACTGTGCCTGGCACTAGTGAGACAAGATGACGTGTGTTTTGTCAGGGTTCAAGGTTCACTGCAGGGGCCACAGGTTAAAGTAGGTGCTAAAAGAAAAAAGAATAAGCAGACAAAGGGATACCTGGAGAGCTTGAATCTTGGAGAGAGTGCAGATTCTCAGGCTGCAGTGATGTATATTAGTTTCCCATTTTGTATCACAAATTGTGTTACACAATACCACAAACTTAATGGCTCAAAACAAGACAGATTTATTCTCTTACAGTTCTGGAGGTCAGAAGTCCTAAAATGGGTGAGCAGGGCTACATTTCTTTTAGTTGTTCTTGGAGAGAATCAGTTCCTTGCCTTTTCTAGCTTCTAGAGGCCACCTACATTCCTTGGCTCAAGTCCACTCTTCAACTGCAAAGCCAGCAGCACAGTATCTTCTAATCTCTCTCTCTTTGTCCCTGTGCTTCCCTTGTCACACTGACTTTTGTCGTGTAAGGACCCTCATGATTATATTGTGTCCATCTGGCTAGATTATCCCATCTTGAGATAAAATGGGATAATCTCCCATCTCAAGATCCTTAACTTAATTACATCTGCAAAGTCTCTTTTGTCATATAAGGAGCATATTCACAGGTTCTGGAGGAGAACTATCATATAGGCCATAGTATAATAGCAAGGAAATTGGATATTTTAGATCATAATATAGATGATCCTTTACGGTTATTTGTCTTTGGGAAAAGGACAAAGGGAGAAGAGGATAGTGATTCCTCTCAAGCTCCATCTTGGTGCTCCTTCCCCTCCAAGACCAGAATGCATGTGGATGGTTATTTCCAAAACAATTGTAGACAGGGGAATTACAAATAAAGGGATGAAAGGCTGGGGGACCCCTGATTTAGGGGAACTCTCATGGGAAATATCTATAGTCAATGAAAGTACAGTCTCAGGCAGGCCCACATTAATAAGCCCCTAATTAGTGTACTTATGGAGGAAGGCACCATGTTGACTGAGGCATGATGGGCATTTCCTCCAAAGGATTGCTTTTGGGCTGACTCTGTTGGGTCTGAGGTTCAGGGGCAGCACAGTGAGCCAATTAGCTCTCCTGTCACCAGGCCGATGAAGAAGTCTCTCCTATCACCCTCCACACCCAACACACATATGCACCAACACAAACACAGGCATACTCATCAGCATACACATGCAGACACAGACACACACTTTCACCTTTATGTACATATACATGGTGATCTTTCCCCTACAAATATTTTTAATTGATGTAATTAATATAGTTAATGTTTTTGAGCAGTTTTAGACTTATAGAAAAGTTTAGCAGCAAGTATAAAGAGTTCCAATATTCTCCCTCATCCCCCACAATTTCCCTTCTCATCCTCTTGCATTTGTTAAAATTGATGAGCCAATATTAATATATTATTACCAAGTAAAGTCTATAGTTTACATTAACATTCACTCTTTGTGTGATACATTCTGTAGATTTTTGACAAATGTGTAATGACACGTAGCCACCATTACCGTACCACACAGGATAGTTTTACCAACCTAAAAATTCCGTGTGTTCTACCCCCATCATTTAAAATGTTTCTTTTCTGGGAAGTTCAGTAAAGTTTTGAACCCCTTTTCACTAATTAATGTGTAGCTTCTCCCAGACTCTATGGTCTAGTGTTCTTGAGTGTGGTGTGCCTTATCACGCTTCCATATGAGAATAGTTCAAGCTTGTAGTAGAAGCTTTTACTTCTTTCAGCAGAATTAGCAAAAGCTTTTACTTGTAAAGGATTTCTTTTCTGTCCTGAGGTCAGTGGTATACTGAGCCTGCTCATACTGCCTGTGAGATCTCACTGTATGCATTTCTTTCCAACTCTGAGTTCAGAGAGGTCCAGCTGGTAGTCTGAAATCAGTCATGGTAGAAGTATTTAGACCATGGACATCAGCAAATGCTACAAATCAGGGTTCGTTTTTTTCCCCCTCAGAGAGCCAGCTATTAAACATTGACCAGACGCTTTCTGGAGTTCTCCCTTTATCTGCTTCTTCATGGCTGGGAAATAGCAAAACTAGAGCATTTGCCTGGGATTCAGAGATGGAAGCCACAGGCTGGGTCAACTTAGTGGTCTGTGTCCTTGATGAGTTTGTAGAGAAGGGCCATCCCTCAAACCCTGGACTATTCACCTATGGACTTATCAACAGGAAGATAAACTATATTGTTCAAGCTGTTGTATTGTGAGACCTTTCTGTTATAGCAGCTTATCCTGTACCCATGAATAGAGCCAGCTAATTCTTGCCTGTGTACTTCTGCTCAACACTCATTCACCTGCCCCCCCTTCGATTTAGAATGATAATGTACATATAAGATGCATCTATTGTTACCTTTACAATCCATTTTCTAAATAGAAGCTAGAATGACCTTTTAAAATATTAATCAGATCACTGATTAAAACCTTAAAATGTTCTAATGGCTTCTCATTGATTAAGCCCCTCTTTGCCCTGCCTGCCTCCTCTTATGTCTTTCTCCCTCTCACTTACCAGGTTCTGGTGATGCTGGTCTTCCTTCTGTTTCTTGTACCACTGAGACTGCCTGCCTATGGCACCTTGCACTTGACATTTCCTCTGCTAGGAGTTAGGCTGACTCTTTATCATCTATGTACCACCTCCTCCCTGAGCCACCAATCTCCAGGGGCCTTTCTTACTGCTTTTATTTTCTATTTTTTTATAGTATAAAATAGCATTTGTCATCACCTGAAAGGATTTTGTTATTGATTGGATTCCTTATTTATAAACTGTCCCTCCTCAGCCAGATCATAAGATCAATGAAGGGACATCTGTCTATCGTATCTACTTTTAAGCACCATGTGTATACTGGTGGACAACCACCGTAGACGCTCAATAAATACTTGCCAAGTGAATACCTGATTATCCAACAGAACAGTATCAGCCTTGACTCTGTCCTCAAAGAGCTTAAAATCCATCTGCTGGTGACTTTGAAGCCAGGCTGTCAGTAAGATTAGGACAGTTTCTCATGGCACATTCTGCGACACAGTCTGCAGGGACAAACTTCACTTTACAAAGCAAGAATTAATTACAATACCAAAGTAACCCAATTTATTTATGTAAATTGAATTTAACTTAATTTCCAACTAGACTGGTCCACTGACTAACCTCCCCCCAATTTAAGGAATTTTCCACTTCATGAGAAGGTGAACAGAAAAAAACTGTTATTCATATTTTCATCAAGTTTATTAGAAACCAGGGATGATTCTGCAGCTATTGATATCACAGTAGGGGGAGAGAGAGGAGGACAGTGACTTTCCTGAGCTGATCTCTAGCCTGACTCAGTTGACTTTTTCTAAATGTCTTTCTTGGTGAAGCTGAAGAAGTTGTCTTGCTTTCATCAGCCTGAAAGGGAAGCTCATCAGCCGGAAGGTGGAACTTCTGGCAGCTGCTTCCCAAAAAACCCCTCTTCTTTCCCTTGACTTGCACTGAAACATTCAAGCCCAGGCTTTGAAAAGATTGAAATGTCTTTAGAAATCTTTGCACTGTCTTTATTCCAGGGCTACTGCCAGTCTTTGGCACTCCAGGCTCAGACTTGCACAGAAACCTCCTACTCTCTGAATCACTGGTGCCTTTTCCATTAGCCTGCAGGTACCCACAAAATATGCAGAGAAGATGTCTCTTGCTGTGTTGATTTCTCTCATTCTCTCTACTCAGGAAAGGGAGAATATCCCCAGCCCCATTTCAAGCTGTCATCATGAACAGTAGTGGAGGAGTGGATTTGCCAAACAGCTGTCAGAGCTGACACCAGGCAGTGTCAGCAGTGGGGCTGGAGCTAACCCTTGGTGGAGCGACTTTCCTCTTGCTCAATTCCTGGGTTCCCTCCTACTGTTCTGAACCAATGACGCAGATGGCAAGTGAAACAGGTAAGTTACTCATCAGCTGCTGCTTCTTTCAGCAAATGGTGAGAATGAGCAAGAGCTCTCTTTTTAAGGCTTGCCTGAACCCATGGAAATAGGGGGTATGTGTATAGGGTTTGTTTCAAGGTGAATGTACTCAGGGAGAAGTCTTCTGTGAGCGACACTGGGCATTTGGTTTCTCTCCTTCATTACCATAGAACAGCTCCTCTGTATTGACTGTCTCCCTCACTGACAAACTATCAATAGGCTCTCATGATAGAGGTTTTCCAATGATAGAAAACAAAAAATGTGAGAGTCCACTGAATAAAAGCTTTTAAATAAGTGCTCTAACTTTAGACATTCCTATTTTGATTTATGTTACTGTTTACTATAGAAAATAGTAAATAAAAAAACACAACGGAGCTTTACAGATTTTTCAACATTTTGGACAGAAATCCACTCTGTCTCCATTATTCCAAGTCAAAGACTGCAAACACATGGTATATGGGTTCACTTCCTATGACTCTGCCACAGCAGACATTGCTGAATGATCACAGCATTCTTTCTTGTTGAGCTGAGATACAGTGGGAGAATCCCTCTGGACACAGTGTTCTCAGCAGCCACTATAATCGATCAGAAATGTCATATGAAATGAAATCCATTTGCCATCCCTGTTCTAAGTTAATGAGGCCTTACTGTATGTGTGTAAGCCCAGGTGTCACCTAGGTTGGCCTCAGCTGATATGCTCTATATGCTCTCGTTTTCTAAATTTCAATTCCAGACTCACCTTTGTGGGGACACAGACTCCTGCCCAAAGTGAATCAACTATCCTGTTTTTCTCTCTCACCAGTGTTTCTCTCTGGGGTCACTAAAGTGTGGACCAAAGGGGCAGCTGCAAAACCTTGCTGGGAGCAACTTTTTCTGTGGCCTTGGAAAGTCAAGTCCTAATAGGAAACCAGTGCTCCCGAAGACAAGCGCATTGGAAGCTAAATCTAGCTAGGGCATCCTTAATGAATCTGTGGTGCACAGATCTGGCCTTGAGCCATTTTCTGTAACGTTCTCACTGATCTTATTTCAGAGAATTGTACCAGTTTTGCAGCAAATTACAAGGAAGGCCTGGCTTCTGAAATTAGCCAAAGGCCAATTAAGGTTTCTCTGGGTTCTTTCCGACTGCAGCGTCATCATAAATGACTCTGTGGTGCAGGGGAGGGCTGACATTTTCTAAGCCGGTATCATATTTTGGGTGTGATTAAAATCTTCATCTCAGTCACCTGCCTGACCAACTGCCAGTAGCCATGAAACAAAAGGATTACAGCCAATTTACATCCATTAACAAAATGACTTGAAACACTATCGGTTTAGCCTCAGTGGGGCTTAATCTGATTTTCAGAAGGGAAGAAGAGATGTAGAATTAAAGGCAAGAGGAAAGGCAGAAAAGAAATTCAAATGAGAATTTTCTTTGAAGCCCAGGGCTTTTTTGGTTTGTTCATTTTCGTAAGGATTTACTAAGTGCTTGTCGGGCTTTTATCACTACAGTAGACCCTGAAAGGGTACAGAGGAAGGAGAAAACACTAACAATGCCTGTCCTTGAAATTTGCGGGACAGTATGGGAGAAATACCATATACTGAGGAAGCAGGCGATTAGCAAATTTGTGCTAGCAGGAATTTCTTCAACATCCTTCAAGTGCCTGGCACTGTTAAGAAAGAAAATAAGAAAAATGAAAAATCACAGTTGATATTTAAATGGCTCTTACCATGTGCTTTGCATGAAGACTTCTGCACGTGGTGACTCAGTCTTCACAACAACTCTGTCCTGTGCATTCCATGGTTATCCCCATTTTTCAGATCAGCAAAGAGGCCCAAAGAAGCAAAGAAACTTGCCCAGGATCACACAAATCAGCAGGAGGAGCTGGGATTTGCACACAGTGAGTCCGGCCATAGAACCTGAGATCATAGTCATTATTCTCTCAAGGCCATGGGGTAGTTGAGGATTTGCATTCTCCCTGGGGAGATCAGTTAAGCTAGAAGTAGAGGATGAAGAAATGGAGGCAAGATGATGGTGTCAGGAAGGGGGAGGGACCTGGGCTAAACTTTGGGCATGGATGTGTACAGGGTGGGGAGAAGCTCTGCACAGGTGGGTAGAAAAGGTTCCAGATCAAGAGAAGAGCAGGAGCAGAGGTGACTGAGAGCATGACTGCAGTTAGAGACTAAGGGGTTTGTAGCTGTCCAAGGAAGAGGACTCATGAAATCAAAGGCTGTGTTCATGCAAGGACAGGGAATATAGCACTGGGGACAGAACAAGGACTTGGAATCTAACAGATCTAGGTTTAAAGTTTGACTTTACCACATGTTCCCTGAGTGATCCTGAGCAAGTTACCTGAGCTCTATTGACCAATTTCCCCAAAAGGAAAATAAGAAGAATGGCTATGGAAGAATAGGAAGAATATTGCATCTTGTAAGGAATTCACCTATTTATTTATTCAAAAATATTCACTGAGTGCCAATCGTGTGCCATGTGTTGCCCTAGATGTTGAAACAATGAACAAGATTCACATGGTCACTACCTTCCTAGAGTTTGCATTTCAGCTGGTGAGGCAAACTAACAAATAAGCAGAAAAAAAGTCCAGATTATGAGAGGAGTTTTGAAGAAAAACTCAGAAGGCACCTGGAATCAATGTCTTTTACAGTGTCTAGGACAATGTTTGGCATGTAGGAGGCAAACATTTTACATGACACTAAGCGCCATCTTGGAATTCAGTACATGAGAGGAAACCATGGTGTCAGATCGCTTCGCTACCCATTCAGAAGGCATTGCTCCTTTCCCCATTCCTCCTTGCTTAAAAATATTTAGTCAGGATTCATCTTCCAGCATAGGAAAGTATCCCCACTTCTTTCAAAGCACATGGCAGCTAATCATGGTAATCCTATTTGCCTGGCCAGGGACTGGTTTAGGGGAAGTCATATGACTCAGGTCTGACAGAGAAGATGTGAGGGGAATTCTACAGAGGGGACTTCTGGATAAGAGTTTCTCAGTCCAAAAACAATCAACCAAACAAAAGACGCTTAGAGAAAATGGGCTCTTCTCTCTCCAGCTGACACTTGCATATGACCATCAAAAATGTTGTATGTAGTTTTCTTAGGGCCATGAAAGAGCCAACCTAGAGGTCAAGCTAGCATGCTAAGTGTGACAGTGAAGAATGGTGGAAAGAATATGACTTGGTGATGCTGGTTTGAACACCGAATTAGTCCCCTTGGGAACACTCCATCATACATCCCATGTCAGGTAAGATACAGAACATGGTGGTACTTACTGTTGAGGCCATTGGGTTTAGATTTTCTGTTATTGGCAGCCAAGAAATCCTGACAAATAGAAGCATAGTTTGGGAACATTGAGAGATCATAAGACCAGGGTTTGGTTCTTTCTAAGGGTTGTTGATAATAGGAGAGGAAGAGAGTAAGACTGTTATTGATGTGCAGCTTTGGAAGATCATACCCATATTTGACAGAAAATTCCTTAAAGGAGTGAAGTCTTTCCTATTTCCATGGGTTGGATGAGTGTCTTCTGAGGACTCTACTCCTCAAATGTGGGCATGCATACCCTGGGGGACTCCCACAGGCATTGCGCTGAGGGTACCAGAAGCCCCAAATAGATGCCATACATTTCCAAGAGACCATTTTCTACTGAAATGTGGAAAAAAACTCAGAAATGCAACTTCATGAGTTGACTGTATGGATTTTCACTGCTTTTTTTCTCAGCGCCTGGAACAGTTCCTAACCCAGAATAGGGGCTCAAATATCTGTGGAATTTATAAATAAGTGGATTGAAATAAACAGGAATATGTTCTAGAATTACACAAGCATAGCATGAATTTTAAAAATCCAAACAGGTGAGCATACTAGGGTGTGTCTTTATATTTTCTACCATGAATAGCACTTGGTAAAATGTTTAAGGAGCTGTCTCTTAGGAATAGTCAAGCCAACTTTAATTTGAGCTTCACCATATATTGTTAGAACCATTTTCTAGTGCTGTTTCCTGGATCATGTTCCTATGCACATAGTCCCCAGATCTCAAGGCCAGCCACAGCTCTGAATGTGAGGAAATACCTGAGCAATTTCTTCTCGTGTCCTTTTCCATAATGCAAACCTGCATCTTTAGTCAAGTATAACTTGAAGGAAATAGGCTCTTGAAGGGCCCGGTTGGGTGGCCTTTGATAGTGCTATTTTTCTCATCTGATCAGGTCTCCCCTTGCTGACAGGATCCCTCCCTATCTTCCAAAGCCTGGCTGGAAGCCCTTTCAAGTTTTCCTCACTTCCCAAGCCAGAGTGAGCTAACTCTTATATCTCATAATCTGCATAATATGTTACCTATCACTGGGCATTAAACTATCAAACAATAGCACAGGACAAAGCCAGATGGAGCCCACATTCTTTTTCCCCAACAGGATATTCACTCTTAGAGGCAGGAGCTAGGTCCTTTGTTTTTTCATATTTCCTATTGTACTTATATCTCTGGTCGAGTCCTGACTGTGTCACTTTCCAGAATATTCACAGTTTTCTGAGCATCATTATAAAATATCTACTGTTCTAGTAGATTTATAAGGCTGTTATAAATATTAAAGAGATAAAAAGTGTGAAGAGGCTTTTATAATATCTAGTTTGCACTTAAAGATTACTCTACTGTTATTAGCATGTGGCAGGTGCCTAATTCTTGTTTGAGGATTTATCGAATGATGCATTCTCTGATTGCTGAGAGACCCAACTCTCTTGCCTTATTGAAATAGCAGGGCTCTACTGCATTTCAAACATGGGGTTTTATAACCCTGCTCTGAAATTGTTAGGGAGGAGAAACCAGTGGTTTTAGGGAGATGGAAACCCAGAGTGAAGCTGGGCCAGCCTCCACTCTCTTTGGTCACCAGCTCTTGGCTTGACAGGAGGCCCAGGACAAGAAGGAGATGAAGTACAGAGATGAAGTACAGAGTTGTCAGAGGCTGTTGGGGGCAGCAAGGCCTGTACCATGAGCAGTGTCCTCTGGAAGGTGAGATAGTTAGAATCTGGGCACCCAAGGACCTCATGGAGGGTCATACAGTGAAGAAGCCTGAGAACCATCAGCCCTCCAGAGGGAAGTGGCTGACACACAACAGCCAATTCCTTCACTCGGTCTTTGATGTTGGTCCTGTCTCACCATGAGTGTGCTACTGGAAGAATGGGGCAGGAGACCCACACTTATTATCACTCTGCTGGCCCCATGAGCATAAACAAAACTACTGAGATGTCAACAACCAAGTAAGTCATTGATTCTTTGCTCACTTCTCCAGCCTGAGTCCTGGGGCATTGGGGGTAACCCCCAACTTATTGTCCACTTCTGAAGTTCAGTCACAACACAAAGGCTACCTAGAACATGGGGGTGGTGATGGACTGGTGGAGCTGGGTGATTCTTCAAAGGCCATTGACAACACCCTCCTCATTACGAAGATGGGGAAACTGAGGCCCACAGAAGAGAAGGGACTTGTACAAATCACATGGCCCACTGATATTAAATTCAGACCTGATTCTTCCTCTTACATTCTTTCCAATCCTAAAAGTAGTTAGAAGCACACTTTCACTCTGGAAGACAGAAAATGGCCTCTGATCCCAAAAGTGAATTCTATATAACCAACCCAAGAAAAATAGAACATTTTAGTATGTATTTGGCCTGGATTCTAAAAGATCTTAGACCATGGAGGGACAGATAGTTTAATTATTACTGTCCTCCTGTCCTAAGCCCTTTGCAGCTTTTTTGTAACCCATCAAGTTTGTAAATCTACATATTTAATGCTCTTTTGTATAGCGTGGTTTTCACAAGAATGTGGGCAAGAAAGAAGTTCACAAGGAGCGTTTCATCAGTGCTGTGAAAAATGATAATAATATGGTTGACACTCTCTAGTGTGCCACAGCCTGCTCTAGGTCCACACATTAACTCATTCAATACTCACAACCATTCTAGCAATTCAGCTTGTAAATAAGGAAATTGAGGCATAGGGAGGATAAGTAATGAGCTCAGGATCACCCAGCTTGTAAGCAGGAGTGTTGGGATGTAGGTTTAGCAAGTCTGACTCCAGTGCCCAGGCTTTCAAGCTGGTTGCAGTGAGTGGTGCTTTAGAACAGCCAGCACTGTTATTTATTTATTTAATCAATCAATCATTGATTACAAACTCTGTCTCCCTTTCCCCAGGGGCTAGAGGTGGGAAAGGATCAGAAAGGCAGCGACTCTGCCAGGCAGGAAAGAGGCTCACGGGGTCCCTCCCCTCCCATCTAGCTGTGGTCATTAAAACCCCGTCTCTCCTTTAAGGAGGTAATTGTCTGCTCCTTCACCGCACTCTCAGAGGCTCACCTCCACATGCTGAGGTCAATACTGGATTGAGTTTTCATGTTCCCTTGGGGTAAAACTTGCAGACTCTCAGTTGTGCAATGAGAAATAGTCATTTGATCTTTCTCAACTCTATATGAATCTTATGAACTGGTCTGCAGAAACCACTCACATCACAAGAATAAAAAAGAGGGATCCCACTCTTCCGCCTCCTCCACAGAGGGAGGGTTAGAAGGCTGGAATAATTCATCAAGACCCCCGCCACAACCCCTTCCCTTCCACACCACCCCCACCACCACACACACCAGCGCTTCACTCTGCCGGAGAAATATTTGTGTTGCTTCTATGTGCCTTTGATCAATTTCGAAAGAAAGGATCAGCTTTGCTAGAGACTATGTTGTATTTTCTCTAAATCAGGGCAAATAACATTACTTCTCCAAATGTTGCTATTAGAGTAAGATTTATATTTACCTAGAGAGGCTTCTCCTGAGAGAGACGCAATGAGAAGTTTATGCTACAGACAGAATAATCTGCCATGCTGAAATGTGATTTGCTGCAGAAGGCTGTTTGGGGTTTGGATAAATGAGAAAGATAAATATGACTCCTGGTGGTTTTCAGTAATGTGATTATCACTGGGGAATAGATTCATTCTCTCTTTATCTCTGGCCAAAGCCAAAATATTCCAAAATAGAGGATTGGCTTGAGAAGGGTATGACATATGCCAATGACTGCACCTTTGTCTTTGTACATGTCCACGGTCACACATGCACTTTCCTGCACACACGTCTGCACATACATGCACATGTGTACACAGGGCATATACAGGCACATGTACACAGTGGCATTTGGACCTCAGCTTGGGCAGCCTGGTGGGCAGAGGAACAAGACATTCCCTGCCACAGTCATCTCTTCTCTACCACGAGGTAGAGCACATGAAGCCAGAGGAAATACCAGTTTACTGTCAGGAAAAAATTTTTCTCACAAGATAAAGCTACGAAACTCAGACAAAGTAAAAGTAAATTTGGCTACAAACCATCTAGGTGCTCATAGTTTCACTATCATGGTTTCAGGCTATGGAAAAAAAGTATTTGATGGACGTGGTTGGCTTTACATTACTCCTGTGTTTTGGAGCTCAGAGTCAGAACTGGAAAGAGGACCCAGGAGTTCTTGATTTAGGCTTGGCCTTTCATTTGTTTAACATTTATGAAGCTCTCACTTGTGTGCAAAGTTGTTCTGGGCCTCTGAAGAGGAACTAGACATAGCTCTGGCACAAGAAGTGTTGTTAGCATGACCCCTACATGACCAAACATAAGCTTGGAGAGTGAGACATCAAATGAGAAGCACATGGGAAAGCTGCTGGAAGGGAAGTGTCATCTCTGGTAGTCTTTGAGTTGGATGTAGTACCATGGAGGAGATATAAGATTTGAAAAGAAAGTGATGGAGGAGGAAGAATACTTCTGGCAGAGAGAACAGTATAATTAAAGGTAGGGGGAGAGAAAACTAAAGGATGTGTTTAGGCAATAATGAATAGGCTATTCTAGCACATGTGTGGATATAGAAGAGAAGAAGGCAGGTAGAAAACAAGGCATTTCCTTTTTAATTATTTTTTATTTTAATCATTTTTGGGGTACAAGTTGTTTTTGGTTACATGGATAAGTTCTTTGGTGGTGATTTCTGAGATTTTAGTGTTCCTGTCATCCAAGCAGTGTACACTGTACCTAATATGTAGTCTTTTTTTCCCTCACCCCCTATATCAGTCCATTTTCATACTGCTATAAAGATACTACCAGAGACTGGGTAATTTATAAACAAAAGAGGTTGAATTCACTCGTTTTGTATGGCTGGGGAGGCCTCAGTACACGTACAATCATGGTGGAAGGTGAAGGGGAAGAAGGCACCTTCTTCACAAAGCAGCAGGAGAGAGAGAGAGTATGCAGGGGAGACTGCCACTTTTAATCCATCAGATCTCATGATAATTCCCGCACTATCACAAGAACAGCCTGGGGAAAATTGCTTCCATGATCCAAACATCTCCCACCTCATCCCTCCCTCTGCATGTGTGGATTACAATTCAAGTTGAGATTTTGGTGGGGACACAGAGCCAAACCATATTACCCCCTTTCCAACCTTCCACCTTGAGTCTCCAAAGTCCATTATATTATTCTTATGCATTTGCATCCTCATAGCTTATCTCCCACTTATAAGTGAGAATGTACAATATTTGGTTTTCCATTCCTGAGTTACTTCACTTAGAATAATTGGCCTCTAGCTCCTTCAAGTTGCTGCAAAAGACCTTATTTTGTTCCTTTTTATGGCTCAGTAGTATTCCATGGTATATACATATACCACATTTTCTTTGTCTCCTTGTTGGTTGATGGGCACTTAGGTTGGTTCCATGTCTTTGTAATTGTGAATTGTGCTGCTGTAAATGTGTGTGCATGTGTCTTTTTCACACAATGATTTCTTTTCCTTTGGAAAAATACCCGGTAGTGGGATTGCTGGATAAAGTGCTCTACTTTTAATTCTGTAAAGAATCTCCATACTGTTTCCCATAGTGATTGTTAAAACATATTTTCCAAGTTCCATTTTCTCCTTGTCTTCAACCCTTTCCATGTTAGTCCAATGTGGTCATGCATCAGCTGCTGAGCTGAAACTCTTTGCAGGTGGCAATCACTCTCACTAAGTAAGGGTAGATAAGGGCTCTGTGCTCAGGACAAGGTAATAAGTAGAGGCTTCTGGAAGGTGTCTGGGGAGGAGATATGTCATCTATCTTCCTGCTTACTGCCTTGGCCCTTGCCTTTTCCTTAGCCTGAATTCTTTTTCTTTTTCCCATCACAATTTGTCTAAACCATACTCATACTCTAAGAGACAACTTAAATGCAAGTTTTACAGGAAATTTTTGCTTAATGTCCTTAGCCAGAAACAACCACTCCTTTTTCTGGAAACTTGAAATCTTGTGTTCCTGTTGGAGGTTGATGGGATTCTCCTATAAACAGTGGAAAACCCCAAATGATTAGCTGTGCCCACACTCCCAATTCCGTTTGGTCTCTGTGTGCCTATTCCTGTAAAAAGCTCTTATCATGGATCTTAAGTCAACTGCCAAACTTGGGCTTAATAAGCGTGAAATGTATTTTAAAAGAGAAGATTACAGGGTCAAACACTGTAGCTCTGAACTGTGAATCCGCTCTGTTGCAAATGTGGCCAACAGAGTGAGAGCGTGACTGTGTTATTCCAGCTCCTCTAATTAGGGATTTGGGAAGGAACCAATAGTTCCTAAAACTCTGAGTCCTTCACGGAGGATTTGAGAACAGGACACACCACCTGGAATACAGGAAGTCCTCAAGTCCCCTTATCAATGGAGCAGAAAGCAGAGCATCAAGAGCCCACTCTGGGCTCTTTCAACTTGTTCAAAACCAAACTCACTGCCTTCCTTTTCCCCAAACCGGGCTTCTTCTCTGGTGTCAGCCATTTCAGCCAACATTTATTCTACTACAGAGCTGTGCAACTCAGAAAATCTAGACAGCATCTTTGGCCTCTTCTCTGTTTCACTATTTCTTATCTATTATCAACTCTTGTGATTTTATGTACATCATTCAAATCCATCCCCTCCTTTCCACCTTTTCCTCCACCACCTTAACTAAGCAATTATCGTCTACTACCTGGATAATTGCAGCAGCCTCCTAACTCTTTATCCCCCATACTGTCTTGCCTTCCTCATGTCTGCTCCCTCCATTTCAGTTAGATTGATATTAGATCTACAGCTCAGTTTAAGTCACTGCCTAAAGCCATCTGGGACTTCCTGCTGTACTCAGCCAGGGTCCAATCACACAGGCATGGTAGGTCACGGCAAGGAATTGGAAACTATTTGACTTCTTCAGCTTCATCTTTCTTGACTTTCTCCTTGTCTCTCTCAACTCCAAGTGTTATGGCCTTTTTGGTCCAGGGTCTAAATATGGCATGGTCTTTCTTTCCTCTGGACATTTACAGATTGTACAGATTGCCTTTCCCTCTGCCTGGAAAGTACATCCTCCTCTCTTCACCCACTAAGTCATCCTTTAGTTTTCAGCTTAGTTGTCACTTTTTTAGAGAAGTCTTCCTTTATCCTACAAACTAGATCATGTCCTTCTCTTATAGGCTCTGAAGTACCCTCATGCTTCTTTTTTAGCAATCTTATGACACTTGATTAGATATTAGGGAATGACAAAAATCTATCTTTTCTACTAGACTGAAACTCTCAGTAACTTAAGGTACATAACTGATTTCTCATTATTATACTTCTCGGACATTGCACCGCTCCTGGCACCTAATAGGTATTCAGTGAACATTTACTATGAATGAATGAAGTAGTTGATAAATTAATAAACAGATGAACCCTGTACCTGTAAACAAGGACCAAAGACATGTGGTCCCTGGGAGAGAATTTCTTTGTGAAGCTACTAGTTGGGCTGCTCCCTGTTCTTATTTCCTTTTCTTTAGATCTTTTCAGGATAGCAGAATGTGACTACTGAAAAGAACATGCAAGGAGCATGTTCCAGTTTGGGGAGGGGACGTGGTCATCTTTTGGGAACAAACCCTTCCTTGGATATTAGGACCTGGATATCCTGTGGTCTCCTTCAGACTAACCTCTTGCCTCAGACAGTCTTCCCATATTTATATCAATAAACTCTGAGAGAGTGAGGTCAAGCTTTCATTGTTATGAGCTTCTAGATTTTGCATTAGAAGTAGCCTCCTAACTTGTCTTCATGGTTTCAGTTTTCCAAAATGCCAACCACCTAGACACTATTGTCATTTGCATTCTCCTCAAGCAGAATGTCACTTTCTTACACAAAACCCAGCAGTGCCCCTGTCCCTACAGGATGGAACCCAAGTGATGTGATGGAGGGCAAGTCAATCCCCATCTCTAGGTATCTTGTCCCTCAAATTGAAAATGATCTTCAAGATACTTCCCAGCTTCATTCCTATGACTCTAATCCCTGGGTGTGACCCTGAGAGCTCTTTCTGGCCTCATCTCACTTTTCGAAGCCAACTCTGATTTCTGCCACACACCCATTGATCTGGTGAGTCGGCTTGCTCTCCTGGTACTCCAGCTTCCCATGTTTCTCTCTCTCTAGCAGGACTGTCAAGACAATATTTAAATCTCAGCCCTCCCTTGGCATGTTCTCCCTTTAAAGGCTACCAAGCTTCTGCATTAGTTAGCATAGGCCAAGACATGCTGTAGTAACAAATCTGTCTCAAATTGCAATGGGTTAACACACAGTAAAAATAGATTTTTCCCATGATACATATCTAGTACAAGTCAGCAGGAAGCTTTCTCAAAGAAACTAAGGAGCCCAGGCTGACAAAGTCTTTACCATCTGGAATATTTCTGGGGAAAAAGAGCACTTAGAAAGTTCATATGTACTTCTCCTGTTTTGGTTCAAAAGTAGTATCAGTCACCTCCACTCACAGCTCACTGTCCAAAACTAATCACATGGCTCTGCCCAAATTCAAAGAAGTAAAGAGGCACACACAGCATCTGTGCAGTCCATGAGCAGTAAATGACTCTAACAAAGCAAGTCAAACATTAGTGCATATAAGATTCCCAGTAAAGGTCTGCTCATAGTGGCATATGGTGCCAATAGATTTTCTTTCTGTTCTGAATACATACAATATTTCATACCTGGAGATCTTATCAATACATGGAAGGCCAAACTTTGACCTTACTTTGATATTAGTTCTGTATTATGTTTGTCTTGTTTCCTTTAACAGGTGATAAATGCCCTTAAAACAGGGGCCTTTCCAATATTAATAGATAACTTCCCCAAGCAGCAAGGATAGAGGAAAAAACTCTGGGCATTGGTAGAGCTTTGTCTCTGGAAAGTCACATGCTCTTAGGCACATATTTTAACCTCTGTTGATAGGATAAAATTGAACCTCCAAACAAGGGCACAAGACTTCTTTAAATACCAGCCTAGTTACCTACTGTATGTGCAACTTTGGGAAACTAAACATTATCTCTTGAAGTCTCAGTTTTCTCATCTGCACAATGAAGGTAATACTGTCTCTACTTGGCATGGCTGTTGTGAAAGTAAATAATGTGTGCAAACTTCTTTGCACAGTGCTTTGCACAGGTTGAACACTCAATAGACGTTTCTTAGCTGCTGGTGGTGGTTCTCTGAACCCTGATTTCCTCAAGTGGGAAAAAGGCATAATAAATGATAAATCGTGCCACACCTATCCCTTGGTGTCATTTGGGACTAAATCAAAACAAGCAGAAGGTAAAAGCACATAGTAAACTATAAAGTGCCACAGAATATTAGGTGTTTTTATTATTATTAGACAATACAAATACAAAAGGAGCAAACATCTAATGCAAGATTAGGCACTGATTAGATGATTAGTGGATACGTGTTGAAGAGTTAAATATAATTGTTAAAACAAGAGGCTTTTCTAAGTACTTGGCACAAGATATATGCCCCCACCCTGACCCTCATGAATATTCTTATTTGCATTTCACGTGGCAAGTACTCAGCACACTTCCTGGTCCACCCAGTGATGTCTCTCCTAGTGGGTTGGAGATCTCTCCATGGCCTGGGAAGCTATGAAGCTCCCTCTCTCTTGTCCCCATTCATCTCTTCTTGTCTCCCTGTCCGGGTGGTAGTTGAACCAGTAGCTCTGCTGTTAGCTTGGTTGCATGAGTATCACTAGAGACAAACTATGAAAGGGGAAATGATCTGTTATTGCTCTGGCCCAACTCATTTTTCACTTGAACACAGGGCAGAGTGAAGCACATTGTTCTTTGATGTCTTTATTTTCCTGTCAATAAAAATCTTGTTAGCCACTTGGCTGAGAAGGGTTTAACATTGGCATGCTCATTTGGTCAATCCTGTCTCTCTTCCTTTGTTAACCCTGGTTGGGTGTGAAGACTTGAAGTGCTGAATCCTTCAAGATTAGAGTTCTTGGAGGCAGTGAACAGTCCAGGGCCAGTAATTCAGCTTGGAATCATGTTCTTTAACTCATTGGACAAGGATTTGCCACTTGTCTTATAAGGAACTCTGTGGAACTTAGAGAAGCATTGGAGGTGGCTGTAAATGATGAAATGGGAGGGGTGTGGGCAAGAGTGTGTTCTCTGGAGTCAGATTGCCCAGATGTGACACTTGACTGTCAACTTATGGCATTCTGTACCTATTGATGCTGCAGTCTCCCAGTTTCCTCAGATTTTTGAAATAATGACTATAAAGTCTTTGGCATAGTGCTTGCAAAGAAGTAAGCACGCAGTTTTAGCATAGCATTGATAATGATTATTCAAGGTTCACTGAAGATTATAAAGCACATACTGTGTGCCAGGAACTGTTTTTGAAGGCTTGAAATGCATCAGAGAACAAAACAAAATTCCTTTTCTCATGGAGCATACACAATGAGGATGATGATGGTGGTGGTGATGATGACATTGAAGATGGTCTCTGCCACCTGGGAGTGCAATGTCTGCTGAGGGAAATAAAGCAATTCCTCATGCTGCCATGGCCTTATCTTGTGGTGGTTGTGGCCCAACAAACTTATCCTACTGTACTGTGAGATCCTGGAAAGTACAAAGAATGCTCTGTTCATCTCTGAGTCTCTACTGCCTGGTTTTTGAGTTGTATTAATGGGTGTTTTATCTGAACTTTTCAACCTTATGATAGGGTACTGCCTATCATGGGTGAGGAATATGGCTCATGAAGGCCCCATTAAACTAGAGAAAATATGCTAGGGGTAGGGTAAGGCAGATCTCATTCATTTATTCACCCATTCATTCAGACATATTTCTTGAACACCCAGGAGGGGGCAGGAACTGTGTAAAGCACTATGAGGGACACTGAGATCCATGAGGTAGGGCTCCTGGTCACACTTTAGCAGAGCCAGGGAAACACATCAGTGGCCATTTCCCTAAGGTTATTATACAGCACCCATGCCTCCATTTCCAGTCTTCATCCCCTTTTACTGCAATGGAGACCCTCCCTTAGGGAGAAAGGGAGGAGCTGCTACTGATAGAAGTGTGTTTTGACAGAGAACCACCCGGCTGGAACACAGACCAAGGAAAACTGAGGGAAACTGTTCTGTCCTCCTCCACGTGACTACGAATACTGATAATGACAGTATTAGCAGCATCAATATTTCTAGAGATGAAACTCAGTTACACGAACAACTGACCTATAATTCAGTAAGAAATACTCCACCCCTGCATCAATACCTTCTACAGCAGATGCTTTGAGATTTTGTTATGAATGACAAATGAGTGTTGAGGTTGCAGTGATTCAAGGACTAGCTGGTCTACCCTTGGATGCTGTATTTGTATCACCACCAACTTCTGGTGTCATCTTGTCAGAGTCTTGCTGTTAAAAGTAGCATGAGGTCTCTGAGATATGGAGATGATCTCAGGAGTGATGAGTATGTGGGGAATAGGAGGAGGAGGGTGACACTGTGACTTTTATAGTGTTTTCTGTTCTGTAAACAGTTTTTATTTGTGGTTCCCCAAACAACCCAGTAATGTAGCAGGAGAGGTGTGTACCTCTTAACTTCAATTTTCTCATCTGTAAAAATGGGGCAATAGACTTGCCCAAGGTCTCAAAACTGGCGAGTGTCAGAGAGGAGCCAAAACCCCAAGTTTTGTGTGTTTTCCACAATGCCAACCAGGTTACTGGTTGTGACATAACCTTGAGTTGAGAAACTTCTGGATGAGTAGATGGTTTCTCTAGAACACTAGTTTCTCAGAATGTCAAAGGTATTATAAACACATACAAAGTTGTTTCTGTCAAATGAATCAGAGCACTGCTGGAATGAGAAAGTTAAACAGGATTCCCTACTGTGAGACTTCTCCGTGCCTTTCACAGGCTCACCTAAGTCACTCTTTGTGACTGTTCAAGACAGGGAGAGAGGATACAATGACTTCTTGAGAATGCAGGCATTCTTTTTTTGCATGCATCACTGATATTGTTTGGCTCTGTGTCCCCACCCAAATTTTATCTTGAATTGTAACAAACCCCACGTGTCATGGGAGGACCCCAGTGAGAGGTAAGTGAATTACAGGGGTATTTTTCCTGTGAAAACCTGTGGCCGTTCTCATGACAGTGAATAAGTCTCATGAGATCTGACGGTTTTATAAAGGGGAGTTCCCCTGCACATGCTCTCTTGCCTGCTGCCATGTAAGACATGACTTTGCTCTTCCTCCACCTTCTGCCATGATTGTGAGGCCTCCCCAGCCACATGGAACTGTGAGTCCATTAACCCTCTTTCCTTTATAAATTACCCAGTCTCAGGTATGTCTTTATTAGCAGCATGAGAACGGACTAATATGGACTACCTTGTAAGAACTTGTTTTCTTGGAAATACACTTGGGGAAACCTTGCTTTAATCTCTAGTTTTCTTTTTTAGTTCCCTCTAATAACCTCAGGAAGATGCCTCTCTGATCCAAAGAAGACTTGGGAGGATGGCAACCCAGTGATTAGCAGCAAGTTTGTTTTCAGCTAGAGCCATGGTCACACCCAGCCCTCAGTTCTTGCACAGGTCTGTCCGTCTAAGGCCTAACGTCCTAGTAGAGAGGGACCGACCTGCAGATAAGGAGGTTCTGCCACCACCCATCAGTGTGACCTTAGGCAAGTCATGTTCCTCTCTGGGGCTCAGATTCCTCTCCTGTAAAGAGAAGGGTTTGGATAAGAATAATTCCCAAGACCCATTCTATTAGTAGTCTCATAACATACAATTCCAATTTCTAGGTCAGTTGGTCCTCACATCATTAGTTGTCACACAGATGCATAAAATCCACCAAGCACCTTGTTAAGATGCATAGTCCTGTGTCCTAGCCACAGAGATTGCAATTTAGTAGATTTGGAGTGAGGCCTGGGGATCTGTATTTGTAACCATCATGCCAGAAGATTTTGTTGAGAAAGTCTGTTTACACCAATACCTGGAGAGATTTATTGAGACACAGTGAGGACTACAGGGAGTCCCCTGGACATATGACAGATTGGGGCACTCAGCCTTACACACCAGCTGATTGCAGGTGTATACATCCAGCCTATGGTCTGCCTCCTTGGGAAGATGGCCATTCTCTAACCCAAAGCTGCCTCTTAAGTGGGCTTTGTTCTCTTTTGATTCACCTGTAGTTGTTAATTATTCACTAACAGCCCTCTAGAGGGTTAGGGGAAGAATTGCTTTGTTTATTTAATAATCCATCACTTATTAGAAGGCATTAAGAAAACCCCATAGACTGTATCACACATTCAAGTGTGGACTCTGGAAATACCACCACAGTGGTGAAATCCATTTACCATCTGTTTACATGCTGTTTTGAAATGTTGGCTTTTAGAAAAGAAGTTGGGCTTTTTAGAAAAATTTTTCGCTAAACTGAGAGTTACATAATTCTAAGCTCTGTTTGGAGGCAAGCTGCCAAAAGTTTTGGTGGCTGAAAGAACAATTGTTTTCCAGTTTCACTTCAAACCAGAGATGGCTAAGGAACTTAAAAATTAAGATTTTTAAGTGAACATAAATTACTTTGGTAATCAAACGTAAGTTTTGTTTTGTTTTGCTTTGAAGTTTAGGGAGATGAAGTAGGACTAAGAATATGAGAATAATGACATCCTTTTCCCACAGGGCAAACTGGCAAAGGAAGCTCTGACTATGAAAAGCTCTTGGTGGAGGTTCCCACTCCTGACACCAAGATGGCTCTCCTAAGCCAGTTTTCACAGCTTCCAGAGGGAGAAGCAATACAAACAAGCAAAGGGTAGACAGGTCTATGCTTCTTAGTTTCTCGTGCTTATTTTCTAGATACTTGTCCTCCTGTTGTGCATCTATTTTTTACCTTGCCTTTCATTTAACATTATAACACAAGTGCTTACACAAGTGCTACAGGTCCTTGTAACAGAATAAATATATAAGGCCTTCATTGTTTCCTATCACACAAATACAAAATGTTCTTTAACCACTGTTGTACATTTTGATTGTTTTCAGTTATTTTTTTCTTTTATGAAAAAACATATTGTGATGAATTCTCAGTGCATGAAGATTTTTCTGTATTTAGAATCCTAGGAGAGTTCTAATGTAGATTGAGTTCTGGCACCTCAGCTGTGTAAATTGCCCTCAATTTTTCTTCACTTTCTCAAAATGTGAGGAACAGATTTTGAAGCCAAGCTAGTCTGAAGTCACATCCTGGGAGGGGTCTGACTTCAAAGTAAAGATCTATGAAAAGGAAAAAATTCTACGCAAGTCAAAATATAATATCATAATGCTATTTTGATCATATACATATTATCAAATATTAAATTGATAATATGTGTGGTTGAATAATAATACTATAAATTGTGTTCTGTATGCTTAATTCCTTAAATCTTCTGTGTATTATCTTTTCATTCATTTATTACAAAGTATGTTAGATGAAAGAGCTACCTGAATGTTTGTTAGAAAGTCTAATTCATGGTAATAACAATGATATGTTTCATTATAGTCAATTTGTACATTAGATTTGAAAGTACTTTGAAACGAGTAATTTTCTATGTTTTCATTACTACCCATTAGGAGAGTATTTAGTTATTCTGATCATTGTTCAGACAGAAGAACCAAAGCACAGCCTGGTAGAGGGACTTCACAGGGCTAAGTAGAGGCAGCACTGATACCCGGGGCCATGTTTTCCTGATTTGCAGACCTGTGGTGAATGGGAATACTTTATCAAAACAAAGTAAACTAGTCTTTATTCTTTAGTTTATCTCTGTGTGGAATAGACAACACAGTGATAGTACCTAGAAGAAGGTCAATATCTACCTGCTGAAAGTAAAGAGATGAAAAACATCTCTCTGTTCTCAAGAAAGCTGCCACTGTAATGGGAGAAATATAAGTGCAAATGGATTACCTTCAATCCAATTATGCATAACTCTATTATAGCAGTTAATATTGAGGGCACCCAGGGGGATGTCAGGGAAGGCTTCACCAAGGTAGAGAAATTTGAGTTATCCTTGAAGGAAAAATACAGGTTTATAAGCCAGGAAATAGGGTGTGTTCTGGGGAAAGGCATTCAAAGTGGAGGGCCCAGGGGCATAAACTGAGAAACGTAAGAGGGCATGGGCTTTTCTGGGATGGTGATGTAAATTCAGTGCCACTGGGTCCTAAGGCTTGGAGGGTGGGTCAGTGGAAGACAAGGCAAAGATACGTGGGGCACTTGAGGGCTTGTGGGAAATTCTAAGAAGTTTGGATTCCAAGTGGCTGGTGAAGAGAGTCAAGACAAGTTTGCAAGGTACATGGAGTGTGTGTGTGTGTGTGTGTGTGTGTGTGTGAGAGAGAGAGAGAGAGAGAGAGAGAGTTGAGGGAGAGAGAAAGAAAAGGACAGCTGCAGATTGAACATGTGCATCACCCTAAAATTCATATGTTGAAATCCTAATATCCAGTGTAATGGTATTTGGAGGTGGGGGTATGGGAAGTGATTAGGTCTTAAAGGGGGAGTCCTCATCAATGGGTTTAGTGTCCCTATAGAAGAGACCCCATAGAGATGCCTTGTCCTTTTCCCACCATGTGAAGATAGAGAAAAAATGAACCAGGAAGCAGGTTCTTACTGACACCAAATCTGCCAGCTCCTTATTCTCAGACTTGCCAGGCTTCAGAACTGTGAGGAATAAATTGCTGTTGTTTATAAGCCAATCTGTGATATTCTGTTATAGACACCCAGTTAGACTAAAACAGACAGAAACAAGAGATACACAGAGGGAGGGGAATAGGTTTTGGCAAACGAACTTAACTGTGGATGAGTGTGAACAATGTCCTGGAGGAGGTTGGTCTTTGTAGCTGGGAAATCACTCATGAGGCCATTGCAAGGAGTGAGGTGGAAGCTAGGGATTTAGTGTAAGGTAGGGAAAGCTGGGATAGAGAGAAAAAGCCCAGTGTAAGACACACATGATAGAATTGAGCATCTATTAAATACAGGGAGTAAGAAAGATGCCACAATGAAGGATAACTTCAAGATTTTTAGTTGGGGAAAAAAATCTGGAAAAGACAGGAAAGAGAAGCAGTTGGAGAGAAGGAGGATAAGAAAATGAGTTCTGTCTGGGACACATTATGTTTGCAGTGTTTGTAGGGAACCCAGACAGAGGTGTGGCAGCTGGAGATGTGAGCTGAGATGTCAGGGAAGGAGAAGGGTGTTTGGTAGTTGTCTCAAATGTAGCTTGTGTAGTGGACGATGTGGAGTGGGTGGGGTCCTCCAGAGAGGACAGACAGAAGGAAATAGAAAGAAGTCACACCTGGGAAATGCTGAACATTTATTAAAAAGGATCTAGCAAAGGAGGCTGAGAAGGGATGGGAGAAGAGGCAAGAAATGGCAGTGATTTGGAAAGAAAAGGAAGAGAATTTGTTGTTTGCCTGGTTAAAGATTTTCGCTAAGGAGAGGGTGGCTGGATAAGTTATCACCCAACTGGGACTCTTTTGTCCAGGCAAATGCCACTCTGGACAGAACACAGGGACTGTGGCAGTAACCCCAGTCTGTCTCCAACAAAGAAGGATATGTGGCCATCTACTTGCCATAACATCAGACTGAGGTAGACAGTGTTGTCCTGGGGCAAGCGGCTCAGGAGGGCTGCCAGGGAATGTGGCCTTCTTCATTTTCTGAAGCAAGTTAAGAGAGAGGGAAGAAAGAAAGAAAAATGCAAATGTTCACTGGCTTGGAGCTCCATTTTCTTGAAATAATTTTATTCTTTCACCAACTCTACAAGGGAGTGGTCTCTGATTGGGGAACCCTTTCCTTTGTTCTCTTGTTTCTGTGAGGGGCTTCTGTTATGGATCCTTGCAGCCTCTCTTCCCACAGGAGGAGATGCTGAAGATGAACAGTTTTTCCAGTTGGTGGGGTGTAAATGGTCTGCATATCTATCAGCTCACTGTTCTTTTCCCAGGTAGTTTAAGGCAAGAGAGCTCCTGTTTCCTTTTGCTTACCTCTTCCTAATTTGGAAATGGTCTGATCCACATTGTCCTCTTCTTTGTTGCCAAGAGTGACCTTTAGAGGAAGGTAGGTGGCTACAATTGACCGGCTGTTTTGTCTGAATTTGATGTAGTCCTTGGAAAAGTAATATATTAGGGATTACATTTGGCTATAGGTCCAGGCTGGACTCCCAAATCCAGATGTAACAGGAATTAAACTAATGTTGACAATACCCTCCCTCAATCTGACTCACGTCTATTTCTTATTTGATTCAAATTTTTGTTTGGAGGAGGAGAAAAGCATGAAGTATTGCTGTGTTCAAATCCCAACATATGCCCATTTTATGTATAAAGACATCTGCGAACTCCATTTGTAAATGACAGAGCAGGGATTAAGCCAGAGTGCAAACCTAAAGACCAAACCCAGACTCCTTGTCCTCTTTCTACTCCACCATGCTGCCTCTTCAGGCTGAAATTATACTGACAAAAAAAGGAAATTTACATAGTCCAAGTATATGATTCCAGTTACAATGGGGTATGGGTTCACTTAAGCCACTTTGATGTCCTGCTTGCTCCCAGGCTATCCATATAGGAAACACTCTCTTTTCTGTTCCCACGAGGTGGATTCTAAGATTGTCCTCTCATCCTTCCTGCTGGGATGGTACTGAAGATTAATACAGCAAATACACTTCCTCTCCCCAAAGAGTTCACATTTTTGCATGACATCAGCTTTCTTAATGGGGAATAGGAAAAGGGTCCAATTTCTCTGTGGGACCATTCAAGTCCTTTCCCAGGACAGGGTGATCCTTGAGAAAGTCATGAGAATTTTCCTTCAGGTTCCACCATGCTGTAGGCTATAGAGAATTTTTGACTTTTCTTTCCTTGGTCTTACTCATCTTAACCATCACCCAGCACTCCATCCCTGACTCTACCCCAGCAAGGTCATGCATGTGAGAACGCCTTGCATTTGTGGAGAGTGAGTCTATCCCCAAAGCATGACTGTATTCATTTATTCCTCACTATGCTCTGCTGGTTTATTTTCCCAAATGGGGAAACTGAGGTGAGACGTGTTCAAGGCTAACCAGGCATAGATAGCAAGTAAGCTATTAAACATGAGTTTGGGTTTCCTGACTTCTGTTGTTCTTTACCCCATAATAGTGGGTGTATTTTTAAGACTGAACTCCAATCTCTAAAACAGAAAAAAGAAGTAGAGGTGACTTGGAAAGCATGGGAACTGAGAGATTCTCCTATTCAGTTTCCCCTTTACTTCCTGTGTGATATGGTTTGGCTGTGTCTTCACCCAAATCTCATCTTAAATTGTAACTCCCACAATTCCCATGTGTCATGGGAGGAAGCTAGTGGGAGGTGATTGAATTATGGGGGCAGGTCTTCCCTGCATTGTTGATGTGATAGTGAATGAGTCTCACAAGATCTGATGGTTTTAAAAATGGGAGTTTGCCTGCATAAGCTCTCTCTTTGCCTGCCACCATCCATGTAAGATGTGACTTACTCCTCCTTGCCTTTCACTTTCGGCCATGATTATGAGACCTCCCCAACCACATGGAACTATAAGTCCAATAAACCTCTGTCTTTTGTAAATTGCCCAGTCTTGGGTATGGCTTTATCAGTAACATGAAAACAGACTAATTCAGTAAAAATTGGTACCAGTAGAATGGGGCGTTGCTGAAAACATATCCAGAAACGTGAAAGCAACTTTGGAACTGGGACAGGCAGAGGTTGGAACAGTTCAAAGGGCTCAGAAGAAGACAGGAGAATGTGGGAAAGTTTGGAACTTCCTAGACACTTGTTGAATGGCTTTGACAAACATGCTGATAGTGATATGAAAAATAAGGTCCAGGCTGAAGTGATCTCAGATGGAGATGAGGAACTTGTTGGGAACTGGAGCAAAGGTGACTCTTGTTATGTTTTAGCAAAGAGACTGGCAGCATTTTGCCCCTGTGCCCTAGAGATTTGTGGAAATTTGAACTTGAGGGAGAACTTTAGGGTATCTGGTAGAAGAAATTTCTAAGCAAGAAAGCATTCAAGAGGTGACTTGGGTACTGTTAAAGGCATTCAGTTTTATAAGGGAAGCAGAGCATAAACATTTGGAAAATTTGCAGCCTGTCAACGTGATAGAAAAGAAAATCCAATTTTCTGAGGAGAAATTCAAGCTGGCTACAGAAATTTGCATAAGTAACGAGGAGCTGAATGTTAATCAGTGAGACAATGGGGAAAATGTCTCCAGGGCATGTCAGAGGTCTTCAAGGCAGCCCCTCCCATCACAAGCCCGGAGGCATAGGAGAAAAAAATGGTTTCATGGGCTAGGCCCAGGGTCCCCATGCTTGTGGTCCCCATAGTTGGTGCCCTGTGTCCTAGCCACTCTAGCCATGACTGGAAAGGGCCAAGGTACAGCTCAGGCCATGGTTTCAGAGGGTGCAAGCCTCAAGCCTTGGCATCTTCCATGTAGTGTTAAGCCTGCAGGTGTACAGAAATAAAAAACTGAGGTTTGGGAACCTCTGCCTAGATTTCAGAGGATGTATGAAAACACCTGGATGTCCAGGCAGAAGTTTGCTGCAGGGGAAGGGCTCTCATGGAGAACCTCTGCTACGGCAGTGTAGAAGGGAAACGTGGGGCAGGAGCCCCCACACGGAGTCCCTACTGGAGCACTGCCTAGTGGAGCTGTGAGAAAAGGGCCACCATCTTCCAGGCCCCAGAATGGTAGATCCACTGATAGCTTCCACTGTGTACCTGGAAAAGCCTCAGACACTCAACACCAGCCCATGAAAGTATTCAGGAGGGAGGCTGTACCCTGTAAAGCCACAGGGCAGAGCCACCCAACAACATGGGAATCCAAGTCTTGCATCGGCATGACCTGGATGTGAGACATGGAGTCAAATGAAATCATTTTAGAGCTTTGAGATTTGACTGCCTTGCTGGATTTCAGACTTGTATGGGGCCTGTTGCCTTTTTGTTTTGGCCAATTTCTCCCATTTGGAACTGCTATATTTACCCAATACCTCTACCCCTATTGTATCTAGGAAGTAACTAACTTGCTTTTGATTTTAAAGACTTATAGGTGGAAGGGACTTGTATTGTCTCAGATGAGGTGTTGGACTATGGACTTTTGAGTTAATTCTGAAATAGGACTTTGGGGGACTGTTGGGAAGGCATGATTGGTTTTGAAATGTGAGGACATGAGATTTAGGAGGGCCAGGGGTGGAATGATATGGTTTGGCTGTGTCCCCACCCAAATCTCATCTTCAATTTTAACTCCCCCAACTCCCACATGTTGTAGGAGGGACTCAGTGAGAGGTGATTGAATTATGGAGATGGGTCTTTCCTGTGCTATTCTCATGATAGTGAATGAGTCTCACAAGATCTGATGGTTTTAAAAATGGGAGTTTCCCTGCACAAGCTCTCTCTTTTCCTGCTACTATCCATGTAAGACGTGACTTGCTTATTCTTGCCTTTCACCTTCTGCCATGATTGTGAGGCCTGCCCAACCATGTGGAACTGTAAGTCCAATAAACCTCTTTTGTAAACTGCCCAATCTTGGGTATGTCTTTACAAGCAGTGTGAAAATGGACTAATACATTGTGATATCCCCAGAAAACTCTCACTGTGGCAGGCACTGTTCCCCTAGATTAGATTTTGATTTTATATTTTCTAGTTTTAAAGTTGGGATGTTTGGGCTAAGAAAAAGTCTTAAGACTCAGAATTGTGGAATACTGGAAATGTATTCAGATCTGTCCCATCAATTCTAGGATCAAAACTCCGTCTCCTAGGCTTACTTGAGGCAAAAGGGTACAGTGTGAAAGGTATGGCATTTGGAGTTAAAAGACGCAAGTGCAAACCATGGCTGTCCCATTTACTGGCTATGAAACCTTGACCAACCATTTAATCTCTGAGTCTCAGCATCTTCATCAGTGAGACGTGCTTGTTTCCTCACACTCACAGAGCTGTAGTGAAGACTGGTTGAGCTGATATAGGCAAAAACTTTGTGAAATGGTAACTAGTCACATGTATATGCTACTTGTTATTGTTATGGCCACGTCTCTCCTTTGAAGTGGCTGGGTTGAAAATCTTTACTGGAGTAATCCTTCATTCATTTACCTATTTAATCAATGTATTAAGTACTTCCTTTGTGCTAGGCACAATTTGGTTGGAATTCTAGTTTACATTATCCAAGGAAAATTTTTAAAAATTTGTTAAAAGCAACCAAAAGCAGGTGGAGGAGGAGAACGAGTATATAGGCTCTGTCACTGACCAAAGAAAGGAATTAGTTGGGTTTCCATTGTTACGCCTCTTCAGATATTTAGAAGTCAGGATGTTTGGTGTATCAGTAAGACCCACAACTGAATTGAGGTGGTAAATCTGAGATTACTTCAAGCCCACCAAATACAGACATTTAAAAAATATCCAAAAATATCCAAATTCACTGTGTGAGTTATTTTCTGTGAAAGACAGGTGCTTTGAGAGCTGTCGAGTTGGGGGCTGAAATGATTCACAGCCTGCAGCTTGCTGGCTGATGGGAGAACACCACGCTGGGTTCCGCTGCTGCAGAGACCCAGGAAATGGGTCTCAAAGATCTTTTGGGCACCAGTGCAACCTTCCCAGTTAGATCTGGGCAAGAGTTCTGACAGTGGAGCTGGAGTCTGAGGTTGGGGTAGGGGGTGAGGCATGAGGGTCAACCGCTTTTGATGTAACAAGCTAGATGTAACAAGCTGCTTCAGATGTAATAAGTTGATTAATTCTGATAGATTTTTGTACTTTGCTAGGTTTTTGAAATAATGAAAGCCAACAACCTCATCAATATGATTCTATATTTGCCTATCTCAATAAGACAAGTTGCATATACAAAAGCCAAAGAGTAAATAACCCTGCAGAGTCTGTGCCCTCCTTTGAGAAATAGGTCAATGTAACATTAAAGAAAATTTAATAAAATAAATCATGGGTGAAATTCCTCTGTTCCTCCTGTGTAACTGGAGTGCAGGAGGAAGGTGTCCACTTGGAATTTTATACAGGATGATTAATATAACTTTTAAATTTTAGTTTTAATGACTTTGTTTTGCTCACTTTCAATTTGGAAATGCTTGAAACACAGCACATTAGATGTGGTAAGAAGTAAGATTTAATTAAGTTTGGAATCTACATTGTAGATTTCTTAGCAACTGCACTTGTTCAAATAAAAATGTATGGCTGAACATGCTGATTTTCAAATCTGAAATCTACACTGTCTTGTGGAAGAATAAATGGTTTAACAACTTTTCAAATTAATATGATAAATTTGTTTCTTGATTATTATAGGTTTCCTCATTAGGCTGATTAAATAAAAAGAAGAAAGAAATTTCAAGTCACCTATAAATGTAGGCAGGCAGATTTTGGACTCTGAATGCTATTTAAATACCTTCCTACTCAATATGTAATATGAGGACCAGCTCTCACAAATCTCCCAGAAATTTGTTAGAAATGCTGACTTTTAGGCCCCACCCCAGATTCTGAACCAAAATTTGCATTGAACGAATACCCAGGTGATTGGTATGCACATTACAGTTTCCATGGCTTTGGTACTTTAAGTACTCAGGGTGAATTTTGGGAGTAATACTATATTAAATGCTTCTGGAGTCACAAGGAGAGAGGTAGCTGATGCTTTGACTGATGAGTTAATTCCCAAACATATGGGAGACATATTTCTGTATGGCCGACTGTCCTTTTGTGTAAACTGTTGCCTCTGTCCTAGGGCTGTGGGGGAGTCACAGCATTTGATTTTTTGTGCAAGGGACATATATTTAAAAAAAAATCAGCTCCTCCCAAAATAGAGTATGAAGAAATAATATCATTCATATCTGTTCTTCATTATCAAAATAATATTGCTGTTTTCGTGCTTTTTAGACTCCTCAGGGTATTCTGTTGCCACTCTGAGTTTTTTTTCTTTTTACATATTTAGAAACAATTTAATAGAAACGTTGCTGCATGGGAACAAAAATATTTTTCTCACAAAACATTTTTGTTCAATAAGTTGCCACATATTTTTGTTCCATTTGGTACTTCATAAACTAACAGTATCTGTAGGCAATGCCACTGACAGGGCACAAGAGTAGATTTATGTGTTTAAAGTGGCCATATAAATCTATATCTACAGTTTTTGCTTTAGACAAAACTAATACTTAATTTAACAAATTGTTAAACAGTAATTTGTTCTAAGTTCCTAAAAAAGACTGCAGAGAAGGTAAGTTAATTATTTCATTCACTCATCTAAAATTACTGACCTTTTACTGAGGATACAAAGGTGAATCAAACATTTTCCATGACACTGAAGAACTCACCCTCTAACGTCGAAGGAAGAAAGAAGATGTGGCAGTGTGATGACAGCTTTCAGAGAGTAAGTGTAGATGCTCTGGGAGAGCATAGTAGGGGTTCTTAGTGAGGCTGATGAGTGATGGGTTCTTAGTGGAGCTGAGGGATGATTTCCCACAAAAGCTAACCCCTAGGTGGAATCCTTTAAAAGGAAAGCCTTGAAGCTACTCCCTCACTTTCTTCAGGCCTCTGTTTTGTGCCTGAGTGAAGTCCTCTGTGACCATCTGTATCAAGAGCAATAGTCACCCCAAACCTCTGCCCTCCCTATCTCTTCACCCTGTTTTGTTTCCTCCATAGCACTTATTACCATGTAGGGCAGCTGAGACAGTCCCAGTGATCCCCAAACCCTGGTATTTACGCTGCCATGTTGTCCCCTTTCACATTTGATCCATTGTGACCAATAGAATACGACAGAAGCAATGGTATGTCACTTCCAAGCTTAGGTTAGAAATAATACTGTGGCTCCCATCTTGATCACTTTCTCTTGGATCACTCACTCTGGGGGAACCCAGCTGCCAAGTCATGAGGAGCTCTCTGGAGAGGTCCACATGGTTTAGAAACAAAGCCTTGTGATCCACATGAGTTAACTTGGGAGCAGATCCTCCAGCCCCAGATGAGCCTTCAGATGAGACTATTATCCTAGCTAACAGCTTGACAACTTCATGGGAATTTATTATCTTGAACTACCCAACTACATCTGGTATATTATAGGTTTGCTTATTTATTATTGTCTCTTTCCTTAAGTAGAATATGACCTCCATGAGAGCAATTACTTTGCTTTGTGCATTGCTGTTCCTCTAGTGCCTAGGACATTGCCCAGATCCTAGGAGGAGCTCAATATATATTTGTTAAATGAACATTAGAGCCTACCGATATCCATTGAAGTGATCTGAATGAGGATTTAGAGTATCTCATTATATGTGGGAGATCTTCCAGATAAAAAGGATTAGCTTTATTTCTCTTCTGATCTAACTGGTTGGGTGTTTTAAGTGATGAAGTCTACAGCTAAGAAAATAACCCAGTCAGGCTCTCCAAAGAACAAAAACAGAGGCATGAAAGCTGATGTTTTCATTTTAGCCACACCTCACAGGATAATAGATTTTTCCTATTTGGGTTCTCAGCAAAGCCAAGGGCAGCAGACCACTGTTGGGACTGGTCATCAGCACAGATTTGTAAGTGACCACCAGAGCTGGGCGGTCCCAGGGAAATATGGTCCTTGGAATTATGAGCCAAAACAAACTCCGTGGACATCAAAGTCCAACCCCTCTACTCGAATTGCCTAGGCTTGGGTCCTGTGGGGCCAATGAGAGTAAATTCTTTAAAGCTGAGGAGCCCATGGGCCAGATGTAAGCCATAACTGTGGGAACCCAAAAGTCAAGAGACCAAAAGCAAATACAGAGCTTGAAAGAGCAGGCCAATAATGGGAAAACTGAACCAAGTCTGGGGAACTTGGACAAAGCATAAACAACCAGAAATACCTGAGAAGAGTCCTGAATTGTAGCTTTCCATAGGCAGTGGTTCTCAACCCTGCCTACACAACATAATCACCTAGGGGACTAATGCTCGTTATTAAATGCTTGTTTCTTACTTTAGACCTACCTCCTATGTTCTGCTCTGTAATGCCCGGGCTGGGATTCTGCCAACAGCATTTCTTCTTTACCAGCTCTGCCATTAGCGGGTGCTAGAAGAGACTGAAAGGATGGAGTAGGGAGAAGGGATTTTTCTCATTCTGTTTGCTTTCTTTGTTTTTACTGTCACCTTAGCAGTGGTTCTTCAATCTTTGGTCCCAGTAGCAGCAGTTGATTTTAATTTGCAGGTTTGCCACAATCCCAGAAGCAGTTGTTTCCGAGATATAAGCACTAGCCAGCCAGTGCCTTCTTCTCAGAAGTCAGGTCCCATCCAGCTCCAGGGGGTTCCTCCCCTGAGCTCAGACACCAGTAACAGTTGGCAGCACACCCCAGAGGCCACGGTCTCAGTTCTGCAGGGCTCTTCCTTCCAGCTGCTAAGTTTCGATAGCCCTAATTTCTTCCTTTGTTTCTCTCAGCGTTAGAGGTAGTAGCTGCTTTCTGCATTCCTCAATAACTGGTAAGACTAATTAAATTCTCTGTTTCTGGTTTCTATATCCCAACAGGACCCTGACTGCAGGCACTTAAGAGATATATAGATATCTGTGTTCTCCCATAACACAATGTTGATTTAATTGGTCTGCTATAATCAGGACATTTTTAAAGTCCATAGATGATTTTAATATACAGTGGTAAACAACAATACCACTATGCTGTATTGTTCTGTTTACCTGTATGGAAGGGTCCAACTGACTTAAAGATAGAGGGTGAGATGTGCCCCAAGCAGAAGCATGAACTGTTACTATTTTTACTAATTCTTTCAGCTGCTTATACTAGGATCTAGCAGAAACCCATTTTTAATTTGACCAGCTCCACTCATCCTTTAAAGACTAAGGGTTCTTTTGGCCATTCATATGTCTGACTCCTTAGCAGATAGTACTAGCCATTTGAGCTGGTTTCATCTTTCTGCTTCCATATTTTGAATGTTTCTGGACTTCTACTATACCTCTGGATATCTCATTATGGGTGGAATCAATGGAGGTAGGAGATTACTAAATGGATGTTTCCCTGTGACTAAAAGCAGACAGCTCTTGCGTACTTGCAAAGGTCTTTAGAAAAGAAAATTTGCATTTGCATTCAGAGAAAATGCATCTTACATAGGTTCTTTGTGTGCAAATTCAACACCCTAGCTCTAGATTTTCATTAAATATTTCATGTGTGTGTGGAATATTGTCACCATTACTAATGGGGTTTCTGTTTAATTTCTTGATATAATTTGTCATCAAATAATCTCCCAGAAAGGAGTTCTGGCCATGTAATGGGACTCATGGAGAAGGATGGTTTGTTTTTGCAAAGGGAATGATTTCAATTTCAAACAAGCGGAGATTGGGAATATATGGGCCTTGTGACTCGGCAGGAGCATTATAGATTGGAATTAAATTAATGTTCTCAGCACAAAGACTCACTGCTTCAGGTTTCTGCATTATGTGTCCCCTTGAATCAGACAGGGAAATGTACTTGATGAAAATTACCACCTTCACTCTCAAGAGACTTCACTTGGCCATCTTGCACTAGACTATGGAATTATGGTGACCTCAAATGGCATACCTCTTAACAGATAGGCTGTTTGGATCCTTATTCTCCCCACCACTAAATAAACCACATAACAGCTCAAAATAAAAAGTGGTAAAAGAAAATAAGCAGACAAACAGGAAATTGGTAAGATGACAAAAGATGCGCACACACAAACACAGTCTAAATCGTGCCATTCAACAGTGATTTGCTCTGCTTCTGCTCCCGTCTCTTAGAGGGAAGTCTAGAACCAGCACCTCTTCTACGTGTTATTTCCTGAAGGAAATGAGATTTGAGGCATGATAGACTGTAAAAGAAGTATGCTTAAGCAAAGCTGTTTATAACCTTTCAAGTATTTCTAGTTTCTGCTATAGACAGAAACATAGGAAAAGTACTAACATGAATAGGGAAAAAATCTTGAAATGGATTGGGAATAGGAGCACATTTCTTTGACCTTCAAAATGCTTTCTCTAGTTTGCTAATGGTTTGGGAGAGTAATCTCTAGGGTGTGAGGTTGTAGACTTCTAGAGACAGGAAGAATGATTGGAGAAACCATTGGTTTGTGCTAACCGCATTGGTGCCATCAATCCTAAATTAGGAAAGCTTCCACATTGTCCTTCTATTCAGAAATCTTCAATAACTCCCCAATGTCCACAGGAGAAATCCTTGAATTTTTATTGCACTATGATTTTTGTACCAACTTTCTTTAAAAAAAAAAAATCTTGCTAACTGGGACTCTGCCTTGCAGACACTCTAGAATCAGGATTCATCTCTGATACTAGTAGGTAAGAGCTCTCTCTTTCACTCTCAGCTCCCACGTGTTAGCAACCATGCAATCTTGGATAAGCTCTTTGACGCTCTGACCTTCCATCCCCTCTTCTTTAAGATAAGGGTGATAGTATTACAGAATAGATCTCATAAGGTCATTTTGCAAGGAGTGCATGTGGGGTGACCAACCATCCCCATTCGTCCAGGACTGAGAGGCATTCTGAGCTACTGAAACAGCTTTCAGTGGTAAAACAGAAAAGTCCCATGCAAACTGGGATGAGGTGGCCACCTACATGACATATTGCAAGTAAAACATATAGCATTGTGCTTGGCATATAATAAATATTATGATAATGATCATTATTATGCTATATATTCTTCCTTTTTCCTAAACATGCTTTGCATTTCCTCCCCCCAAGCCTATGTCCTGCCCCCATCTCTGCCCCTGCCACCCTACTGCCCATCACTGGAATTCCCCTGCCCTCTCTTTGCTTATCAGAATCTTTATTCTCTTATTTCTCTGACCAGGCTGAACACTAATGAGAATGGGCCTGATCTCATTCAGATTTGCATTTTCTGCAGTTCTTGACAGAGTACCTGTCACATGGTCAGAAGGTGCCCCCTCCATGTTTGATGGCTAATTAGCTAATATTCATTTTCTACTTTAGTAAACTGCTACATCTATAACTATATCAAATGTGCAGAAAGCACCCTTGTCCTGCAGGTATTTGCTGCCTAAGAAGAAAATGCATGTCGTACTGTCAAGATCTAATGCAAAATATCAAGTAATAAACTTGTAATACTGCATATTGACTTTCACAATTGCTATTGAGTTGCTTAATATTACCTCAACTGTCACATCTAAAAGGGACAGATCATTCAGAGGAATCAGACTTTCTTTTCAGTTCTTTGTAAAATAGCTCAGGAAGTTTTTGTGGTGTCACTAGAAGAAACTGTGACACTGCAGGGTCATGTGTTTGCACTCAGTGGAATGTTTTAGAATGTTCTTTTTGGATGAGATTGTATTTCATTATTTCTTTTCTGTAAATATAAGAATTAATTACTAACAGTAAGAAACCATTCTCTGATAACTAAATTGCTGATTAACAAAAGATTTGAAATGGATTTGAGTTTCAAAAGGGAACAGAAGAAATTGAAGACATGTATCTTTAAACAATAATTACACAGTTGAAAATTGTACACTGAACATGATTGTGCAGATTCAATTTACTTGTTATTGCAGGAAAGACAGGAGATTAATCCTATAAATTTAAAAGTGTCTGGATTTTGTTTAATTTGACTTAAAATTTGAAACTTCAAATTTATAAGTTGTGTCCCTTATTTCACAGTTCAATTAGCAGTTGTTTGGAGAGATAAGCTCACTCTTAGGGTGGCAGTCTCAGAAAAGTTTAAGAGCAAATATTCCTTTTATTCTATTTATGTCTTTCCATCCATTACAGTTGGAACCATGTGTAAAGCTGATTATTCAATTTTCAGAGTCATATTTATAATATTTTCCATCTCATTCCAGAGTTCATTGAATCTGAGACACAACTCCCACATGCAGATGAAATTATTATTGTTTTCTCCTGCTAATGCAAGCTTATGTTATTTTCCTCTTTTCCAATTCTTAAAATTTACATTAATAAGTGGTTTAAACCAGAATACCCATGATTGACAGGATCTGAATGCAACTTAGATGATACAATTCACTTGTAGTAGGCCTAAGGGAAGTCAAGTTTAAGATCAAGGTGGTCTCTGACCCAATAGGGCAAGATAACTGGATCAAACAGGCTTAGAGGATTCTTTAATACCAAACCCTTCCTCTCAGGAGATACATAGCCACAACCGCCTCTCATCCTCGCCCCTGATTTGTTTTTAATAATTTTTATTTTATTTTTTTGTAGAGACAGGGTCTCATTATATTGTACAGGCTGGTCTTGAACTCCTAGCCTCAAGCTATCCTCCTGCCTTGGCCTTGCAAAGAGCTGGGATTACAGGTGTGAGCCACTGCATCCAGCCTGAAATCTTGATTAAAGAGTCTACATCAATCATTAGTCACAAAAAGTCTAAACAACTGGGCCTTCTGTGATCTGGAATATACCTTCCACCTTATCCCACCTCCGCCCAGCCACAGCCACATGCACTCATGCTCTATTAAAGAGGAAAGACGTCAATCAGAAGCAAATACAAATAAGACAAAACAAAAAACAAATCCTCGCACATTAAAAAAAAAATTGTGTTATATATCCTGAATTCAGTAGACATTTAGTATAGTTGATATTGACATGTTCTTTTATGTAATGTATGGTTGAATTGATTTTTTTGACTGAGAGCAAAAAGCAGTTACAAAATTCTGGTTAAGAATATAAGTTTTAGAGTTGAGCAAACCTAGTTTTAAACCAAGTTCTGCCACTAATTAGCCTGGTGGTCCCAGGTAAGTGACAAACACATTGTACTTTAACCTCTGTCTCCACGTCTCTGAGGTGGTGATGATGGTCCTCTTGCACAGGTGTAATGAGGCTGCCAAGAGCTGCCTGGTGCCCATTGCCCTCGGGACAAAGACTCTAGCGCTCATGTCATGGGGAAAGGGGCCACCACACCGTGACAGCAAGTCCTTGCATCACCACAGTGCTCCACGCTTGGGTAGGCAGATTCAGGACCGCAGCTCATCTGATGCTAATGTTTGGGAGAGTAACCTCTAGGGTGTGAGGTTGTTGACTTCTAGAGACAGGAAGATGGTGTTTCCTCACCATCTAGAGATGGTGACCACCATTATAGTGGCAGTGAAGACGTGTTAAAACTCCTGTTTTACAGAGAAGAAAATTAGGATAAAAAATAATAGCAAATCACAGCATATGTTTCCTGTGGGCCAGGAACTGCCCTGCATGTTTAATGTATTCTCTCTCATCAAATGTTCATAGGAATCTAGTGAGGTGGCTACTGTTATGATCCCTTTTTTTTTTTTTTTTTTTTTTTTTACAAATATGAACACTGAGGTTTAGAGGTTAAGTAACTTGACCAAGTAACAGAGCAGATAAGTTATAGTGTTGCCTCCTCCTGTTTTAGCTGTAATGAAAAGCATTCAGTTAACCTGAACTTCCATCTGAGAGTGTTTTATCGCGTTCCAAAGGCCAAGGACCACAAAGGACAAGGCATGGAAAGGAAATTTTTTTCTTTTTTTTTTTTTTAGAGACACAGAGTCTTGCTCTGTTTCCCAGGCTGGAGTGCAGTGGTGAGATCATAGCTTACTGCAATCTCAAACTTCTAGGCTCACACGATCATCCCACCTCAGCCTCCTAAGTAGCTAGAACTACAGGTGTGCACAACCATGTCTCACTAATGTGTTAAAACATTTTTGTAGAGACAGGGTCTCACTAAAAAACTATGTTGCCTAGGCTAGTCTTGAACTCCTGGGCTCAAGCAATCCTCCAACCTTGGCTTCCTAAATTGTTAGGATTACAGGCATGAGCCACCGCACCTGGCCAGAAAGGACATCTGTACTCCAGAGCTGGGCAGAAAGGCAAGTGAGGACCTGCACCTTCTAAGCCCTGGAGGTTCTAGGCCGTGACTCAGAGCCAGGTGTCAGCTGGCCTGCCAGGGAGCAAAGCACAGCACCTTGAATCAAGACTACTCTGTTCTTTGGGTTTTGCCTGTGGAAAATGCAGTATGGCCAGCAGGACTGGAGTGAGAACTCCCTGAGAGCAAAGCATGGCTGACCCAAGAGAAGTGCGTGTCTGTTCCACCAGTGGTCCACGTGAGGACAGCACTTTGTTAAAGCAAAAGAAGGAAAGCATTCTAGGAACAGAGCAGAGTGTGCTGACTCCAAGGATTCAGCTGTGGGTCAAGGACCAGTAGAGCCTTAGGCAGGGAAAAGACCATTTGCAAACATAGGAAGGGCAACAGAACATTGTCCAGCCCTATCCTTCCAAAGCTGGACCGCTGGGCCCAGCTGTGCACTTTGTGTCTTGTGCTGACTGAGGGCTGAGCAGGACTGAGCTCTGGCCCTTGCTGGGCTTTTCAGTGGGCTGTAGAAACCCAGGGAGGGAGCCTCGTGGTCATCCACCTTCCCAGTCACCCTTGGTGACTTACACACTAGGTCTGTCCTGCATCAGGACTGCTCCCTTCTAGTCCTAGCGCCTGACCAAGTCTCCAATCCTTCTGGGCCTCCATCAGTAAGACCAGGAGCTTACCACAGGTATGTTTGAGACCTCATCCTAAAATTAAATGACTTTGTTTTCTTTTTGGAAGCATCTCCCTAGATAGTTTGAATTTCATCCTTCTAAGTAAGTATTTGGAGAATTTAAGCACTTCTATAAGTAGAATATTACCTTATTAACAAGCTCCAGGATGAACTGATGATGCCTAGTCTCTAGATTCAAACATTTAAACTGCACGTTAAATGTTTAAATGCACATTTCTGCCATTTGTTTTCAAGCCATTATTTAAAAAATGTTTTTACCTTTTCAAAAATAATTTTTAAAAATAGTGATTAATTACAATTAATCCAACGAATTCTATACAACTATTATGTATTATCATTTTTTATTTTCCTCTTCCAGCCTGTGCCCATCTACACAGTTATACTGATACAGTTGCAATCACAATGCACATATAATTTGGTCATTTTTCTCTCATTTGGCACTTTAGCTTAAATATTTTCTACGTACCTACAAAATCTTTCTAATTATCATTTCATTGAATGCATTATCTTCATCATCGTCCATGCACCATAATTTACTTAATTTCCAGAATGTTGCACATAGAGCTTGCTTGTAATTTCTTCTTGCTAGTATTGATAATGTTGTTAATTAACATTTTTGTGCATATAGCTTTCTTTTTTCTTGATGAGTTATTGATTCTTAAAGGGAAAAAAGCCCTCATGCATTTTGAAACTGCTAGAATGTGCGAAGCAATATTCATATCCTCAACATATGGTTGCGTGTAAGCCACAGAATTCCCTCCTGTTTCCAGCGAGAGGAGGCTTGGGACACAGTTCGTTATCAGCTGTCCTCTTTGAAGAGACTTGCAGAAATCATCCATCTGCACTTGGGGAAGCCCATTTATTTTATTTTCCCTCTTTTTTATTTGCTTCTTGTAAAAATTATTTTATAGGAGCAAAGCAGCTAACTGTTACATAGATAATTAAGTCCTTGTAACAAATCTAGGAGGAAAGACAGCGCGTTCTCCTCTCACTGCCCGCCCACCCCCCGGCCAGTCCCAAAGCTGGTGTTTTCATGTAACAGTGCTGCTTCCGTAACCACCCATTCAATTTAAAACTCAATTCCAAAGCAAAGAGCCATTTCTTTTTAAATGCAGTACATCAGACAAAGCAAATATGGACACTCCAAATCAGAAAGGACTGTGAACAATTTCAGCCACACCTGGAAACATGGTTTTTAAAACTGTGGCAAGTGTTGCCAATTTCAGGCACAGGGTAGGCATTCTGGTTCATACGCCCCTAAAGTCTACCTTGTCTTAAACTAAAAATCACGAAGAATCGAGAGATCTTCATTTTATGGGAAACTGGAGCTGTACCAAATGTAAAACATCAAATTAAATTGAGCGAAAGCCATACCTGTACTAATACTTTAAAAAGGAAGACTTGAAGCCTCACGCCTTTTACCAAAGGCTTGGGCAGCTGAGCTAGTGCAGCCTGAAAATGTCTCATAAAGTAAAATTTAGGTCATTTTTATTCATTCTGTTATGCAGAGTCACAGACCTCAGAAAAACACACTAATAAAACATCACGCTCAGCTTAATGGTCTCTCCTCATTCGACTCCATAATGATAAATGAAATGCCATTAGCATAAGGCAAGTCCATTTCTTGTGGTCTGTGGAGGAGCCCAGGATTGCGACAGAATTGGAATGCAGAGAATTGATTGTTCACAGTTCAAAGGGAAAACTATGGCACATTTCATAACCCCATGCCAAGGCCGCCACTCTGGGAATGAAGGCCAAGCTCTGAGAAGGGTTGGGGTCCCTCAGACTGCAAACAGGAAGTGTCTCAGACCTGGGTATGTGGACTAGAACAATACCTGAAAATAGCATTGGAGAGAGAGACCAGAAGAGCAAGAAGTTAGAGAAGGCAGCCAGGGGCCTCTCTTTTGCTCTGCTTCCAGTCAACTTCTGCAGTCTTTATAAAAACACCTTTATGCTGAGCTCCTCTCATGGGCCAGGTAGTCTGCTGGGCTCTGGGAAAATAGCTAGAGATAAGATAGACAAGATTCCTGCTCTCATGGTGCTTACATTCTAATGAGGAGGACTTTCTGATAAATTTAAAATGGCAGTTTTGCCAGGTGCAGTAACTCACACCTTTAATCCTAGCACTTTTGTTCCCAGACCAAATGGAGGGTGGAGCTGCTTATTCTCATGGCCCAGTAACAAGGTGCAGATGAACTGGGAAAGGAGGGAGTTTTTATTTCTGAAACTGGTTACAGAGAGAAGGCTTGGAAAATATCACCCAACCAGCTCAAAATTACGAAGTTTTGCAGAGCTTATATACCTTCTAAGCTATATGTCTACGTGTCAGCGTGCGTTCATCTAAAGACGTAAGTGATTAACTTCTTTTAATCTATAAGATCTGAGTCCTGAAGACCTTCCTCTGGAGCCTCAGTAAATTTACTTAATCTAAGTGGGTCCCGGTGCTAGGGTGATTAGCCTTATCTTTTGTCCCTGCTAAATCATGGAGGTTTGGGGAGTTCCTTCAGATCCCCACTAAACTTGTTTGCGGAGGCCTGGTGAGTTTCTTCAGACCCCCAGTAAAACTTGTTTAATCCTAAGCTGGTCCTATTAAGAATTCCTTCTTTATCTTGTCATGCTTCAAGGCCCAAGAAAGGCCTAGGCAAAACTTTTGGCGGGCTTTTGTTACATTCCAGCCTTTGTATGAGGGCACTGACTCTATCAGCTTTTAATATTTATCTTAACCACTCAGTCAGTGCTGAAACAGTTGTTACGAAGGCCTACATTAGTGAGACCTGGCCTGCCACACTTTGGGAGGCCGAGGTGGGTGGATCACTTGAGTTCAGGAGTTTGAGACCAGTCTGGACAACATGGCATAACCCTGTCTCTACAAATAAATAAAATAAAATAAATAAAAAATAAAATGGCAGTTTTATAGCACTTTTTTGTGGCCTGAAATTATTGACAGGATAATAGGGTGGTAGAGTTGCATGATTTAGCAAATAAAAATCCCAGATACCCAGTTAAGTTTGAATTTCAAATAAACAAGGAATTATTTCCTTTTTAGTGTATGTCCCAAATACTGCATGAGATATACTTGTGCTGAAAAGTAATTCCTTGTTTACGTGAAATTCAAATTTAACTGAGCATCCCATATTTTACCTGATAACCCAAGTAGTGGGTAATGGGTAAGGGCAACATAAAATACAGTGGTCAGGGAAGGCTTCTGTTCTAAGACGCTTTCAGGCAGGGAACAATGTGCTTTTTGAAGGTCTATGTGATAGAAACAGATACTAAGTATTTGCATAGTGTTTGCTTGGGTCAGGCACTGTTCTAGGTACTTAACATATATTAATGTATTTAATCTTCGCAATAGTCCTGGGAGATAGATTCTGCTATTCTCCCCATTTGGCAGATAGAAAAACTGAGGCACAGACACGGTAAGTAACTTATCCAAGGTCAGAAGTAGCCAGTCAGTCTGGCTCCAAAGTTTGTGCTCTAACCACTGTTGCCTGTCATGTAAGTCCACCATTGGAAGCATTCCATTTTACCGAAATCAAGGAAGTATCTTGAGATGTACTGCTATTTCAGCCAGCTGAGGAAGACACTGTACTCTCCCCTCTCTATATACACTTCCTGTCCTCCCTGATGATAACATTTGAATAGCACTTTTTACTTACAATCACTTTTATATGCATTTTTATTGGAACACTATCTAAGTTTGATGAATCAGGTATAAGCAGACAAGGAGGGTCTCCAACGATTATAGGAATTTAATCAACTTGAACAATCAGCCTGTTTTACAGCCTCCTGCCCTTCAGCCTGTTTTTCCCCAAACTCCATGTGGAATGCGGTCACCTTGTTAGTTGGAACCAGCTCCTGACAGATCCTGGCAATTTATAGATGAGCCCAAGTGAACATTCCTCATGACCATGCTGAAGTTTCCACTCCAGGAGGAGCCACAGCTTCACTACCATAACATACAACCTATGTGCTGGCAGAATGACTCACTGCCTCTGCATCACTGGGACCCCTTCTCTACATGCAACAATGTGCCCTCTCTCCTATCCATCACTCCATTAAACCCTCCTGCCATTTTCCCTCAGGGAAATGCTGCTTTGGAAAATACTCCCAGGGTTCTCACTTGCACCAAGTAATAAAACTCTTACTGATGATTGATGAAAACCTGTGTTCTCGTGGAGAGTCTTTTGTTACTTGCCAGGTGAGTGAACTCCAGTTTTTTGTTTTTGTGTTTTTCTTTTTTCTGGGTGACATAGGCTTTGCTGTTATCCTCATTTAGCAGATGAAGAAACTCAGACTTGGAAAGATTAAGTCATGTATTATCCCATGGCAATAAGCAACAGAACTATGACTTGCCCTTAGATCTGCAAGAGCTTACTCTTGGCATATAGCCCACATCTAGCAGGGGCTCAAAAAAGGTATGTTGAACTGGACACAATGTGCTTCACCAGCTCTCAGCTGGGTGACCCCTTTGTAGAGATGCTGAATATCTTCCCTGAATATGGTATTGTCTCCCTTGAGGATGCCAATTCTTCAAATGGCTTGACAAACTCACGTGGGTGTGCCAGAAGGCTAGCTGCTCAGACCTCCCCATGGAGGTGTAAATATTTTAGTCAGTGGCAGGAATAGTACTATGAATAGTCTTATACCCATGAATAATGCAATCCCCTTCCTTTTCTCAACCAAATGACTTTAGGACATATGGGGCCGAGAACATGATGCAGATATGAGGCTGGATTATGTACATCATTAGCCCACCTCCTATGGTGATGGAATTTGTCACCCCCACAAGCGCTTTTCCATTTGCTTTCAGAGGCTCATCCTTGGTCTTACATGATGGATTTGCTTTTCAGTTATGGAGGACAGTGCCCTGGACTGGGCATACTTCTCAGGGTAAACCTTGTTTCTTAATGTGACTTCTTTTAATGTTTTTACATTGGAAGGGGGCCAGGGCTGGATTTTTTTTCTTTCAGGGACCACAGGTTCTGACTTCAGGAGCCCAAGGAGAGCTCCTCCTGCCAGCAGCAGTATTGTTCTTGGCCAAATTTGGGTCTAGTGGAGAGTTTGAGAGAAGTTTGCAGAATGGATGGGGCAGAACATGGGGGCCCAAGGCCCTTAGTACAGAGTGTTGGGGCTGGTAGCTGAGTAATGAAAAGGCATAGGTGGTGAGATGGGAAGCCAACTCCTTATTTTTATAATTAAAAAGTATATAATTTAAAATTATAAAAGTATGCTTATTTTTACCTATCTTGACTCTCCCTGCCACATCTTTATACTGTGGATTTGATTGCAAAATGTGGCATCTCTTAATGTAAGAACCACAATAATATCTTGCACAGATTCCATTCCCACTGATCATCTGGAATGGTCTTCATGGAAGCCCTGAGGTAAGCAGGGATGGGGTGCTGACCTTGATCCACAGGAGATGAGGATTCTGAGAGTCAGGGAAGTTAGGGGGCTTGCCCGAGGCTCTGCAGCAAGCAAATAATAGACAAGTGTTCAAAGGGAAGTGCTTGGACTCCCAGTTCAATATTGCTCATTTTTTCTTTAAAAAGGTGAGTACAGGTGTGGATGTTCCCCCCTCCCCCAACCCTGCCTCCTGCTTTATGAGCTCTCTGCAACTGGCACCAGGTGCCCACACTAACTCACCTCACCCTCTTTCCTGTTCTGCCCCCAAGCCTCAGTCTGGGATTTTGAAGCTGTTGTGTTGCCTCCATTCCAGAAAGCTTGGCCCACCAGCCCCAAGATAGCAAGCTTGGTTGAATCTTCCTCAAGGAGAAACACTTCCCCTCCATGTTCTGATCTGCAGAGTGGTGGATGCTGCTTTTCTGCAGGCACAATGGACAGAAATGTAGGATACTTGATGAGCACCTCTTGATAAAAGGTAAAATATGTTGGCTGGGTCTACTTTGAATAAGTGTTTCCTAGTGATTCAGAAAAGCAGTGGAGGCTGGAATGCAGACATTTAAAGTGTGAGCCATGAGTCAGTTCAGATAGAAGAGGCAGAGACTTGAGGTCATGCGCCAGCATTTAACGTAAAGATGAAATGTTCAGACAACATTGTATTAGCTGCTGGGAACAGAGGAAGGGAAAGAAACAAAACAGAAGACAGTGAGGGTGGAAAAAGGATCTACTTTAGAGTAGTAAAGACAGGTTTGAATTGAGGCTCTGCTCCATACCAGCCATGCCACACAACTCACCTTACCCTGCTCAGGCAGGTTCATCCTTATTTTATAAATAATTGTTATGAAGATTGCTTCGTTCACCCCACCAATATATTTTCTATTATGTGCCAGGCTCTGCTTCAGGAAGTGGGGGACAAAGACAAAGAATCCCTTTTAAGGAGTTTGCATTCTCAGCGAAAGTAGAAAGACTAAAGAATTAAATAAGAAACTATCAGACACTGATGGGATAGAAAATTTAAAAGACTGGTGTGATAAGGAATGCCTGGGAAGAGGCTGGGTATGTTAAGTCAGGAAAGGCTTCTCTGAAGAGTCGAGAATCGAGAAGCTTCCATCCATGCTAAGATCTATGGAGGAAGTCTTTTGGCAGAGTCAACAGCGAATTCAAAGGCCCTGGGGCTCCACAGTGAGAGGGTGGATGTGCAGGAGCAGGGCATTGGGGCAATGAGGCCAAAGCAAAAGGCCTGGACTTGATTCCAAGTGGAGTGAGGGCTAGTGGAGGGCTTTGACCAGGACTGTAACCTGATCTGATTTGTATTTTAAAAAAGATATGCGTGGAGAACAGATCAGAAGGGGCTGAAGCCAGATGCCAGACTGGGAGGCAACGCTGCAACCAAGCCAGTTGAGATTTCAGTGCCCCAGCATTTTTAGCGACTGAAATAATGAAAATATAGCCTCAAAGCTTATGTTTAATCATGAAGCCACATTATTCCCTTTGAAATATAGATTGAAGAAGCTGTCTTTACCCTAAGCTTCTCTATGTGGCAATGAGACAAAATCAACTCCTTGGAAGTCTGTCATGCCAAATATCAGTTTCCAGCCCAAGTTGAGGTTTGAGGGGAGTGGGTAGGCAAGTGGTGGATAGCTGGAAAAACACTTGAGGCAGTTTTGACATGACTTTATTCTCTCTCTGGTAGCAAGCTGTATGTACAGCATGAGCAGGGTAGTTATGCCTTTTACAGACAATAGTGGCTCTGAGCCAAGCACGAGCTTACGTGAGTGGTTAATGTACCTCATGTGGTGTGGTTACATAATGTGTGGGGTTGTGGGCCTGTGCTCCAAACCCGCTGAGTCATGCTGCCCCTGGAAGGCCACCTCGGCCTACTCCTGACAAAAGCACAGCCATTTTCCTTATGGAGTCCAACTCCCAAAGCTTAGAAATAACTGGGAAGACAGGCTGCCTTGGGGCTTACTCCCATAGATCAGGTCAGAGCCAGTATCTACCTCACCAGGTGAGTCACCCAGGGGCGACAGGTTCATATGAAGAAGGCAGGCAGGGCTCACTGTCTCCTAGAACTCATCAGGGGATTGGCACCTGCAGCCTGGGTGTTTATATTTGAATTACATTTGATAGCATGTTGAATTGGTGACTAATTGCAGCATTCCCAAACAAGGTACTTTAATTACAGCTTCTTTAATTCCAGTGAGAGCTCCACTTGGAAAACAGAGTGATGAGGAGGATTCAGATCTGCTTACTCTGATCCGTAAGTGTGAGTTGAAAAATGAATGACCGGGAAAGTCTGTGGCTTACTCAGTGAGCTCCTGAAAAGACACTGCTTTGTAACTCTGCTAGAGATGCCTCCCAAGGGAAGGGGCCAATTACAATCATTGCAGCCTCATTCTAGAAAGTTGGTGACCAGTGCACATATGGGTGTGCTGGAAGGTCAATGCTGGTTTGGTCTCAGCCTCCCCTCCTAGCTGGGAACAGTTGTCCAGATGTCATGTGTATCTCTGGAGGGACTTGCTCAGTTAGCTTGAAAAAACAGACTCACTAATTGTGCTGCCCTCTGTTGTAAATCATGGACTGATCTCCTTCACCTCTTGAGCTGTAAAATTCAATTCAGAGCTTTGAATAGGCTTCTGATAGAGTCTTCCTAGTTTTAACAGATCCTTTGACAGGTTTTCTGTATTTATTTAATGGGACTCTTGTCCCCTTGCTGCTAGACTACACATGTGGCCCAGAAAACTGGGTCAGTTTCACAGGTAAAGTTTAAATATTGCCAAATAGCTTATTTAAATCACTTTTACGTCTTTTTATTAGATGAATCCACATTCATCTGCCCACCAGGCCATGAATTTTAGCCACATTATTATTTTCCACAGTGGCCTTAAGACTGGGAATCAGTTACTTTTATATTTCCATAGAAGATAATAAGTCTTTCCACAGCCCTGGGTCTTTCTCATCTTCTGTCTCTTTCAATGCAATATTTTCTCCAAAGCAGAATGGCTTTAGAGTTCTCTTGGGACTTTTATACCTGTCATTCTGATTATAATAACAATGATGAGAAAGCCTTACCTGCAACGCCTGACACTTTCATATAAGTGATCTCACTCGATCCTTACAGCCAGCTCTGAAAGGAAGACAAGGTAGCTATTGATACTCCTATATCCTCTCTGAGCCCAGAGGAATGATATCATGGCCACGTCTTCCAGTTGAGACAAGGTCTGCATTAGCTGATGCCATCCCCTGCTGCTTTTCTGTGATGCCTGTCAACAAGCCTTGTTTTGCCAATATTACATGGTTTCTTAGCAGCCCTCAGTGTGTGCCTCATGTCAATGTCCAGAGCAGCCCTCCAGGTGATTCTCAGTGTGTATATTGGGTTAGGACTTAGACCAAGTCAAATAGGCAAATGTCCATGAAGTGCCAATGTGTACGTAAGCTCTATGAGGCATTCATGGCACAGATAGGTGCTGAGAGAGTGAAGTCAAGTAGAAAGTAAACTACCTATCGTTTTAGATTCCAGACAGATCTAATTCAAATCACACTCTTCCTGGGTCTTTGAATAAGTTACATACACATTCAGAACCTTATGATTAAATGAGATAATATAAAATGACCAGCACTTTGAAAGAGTTACATTAATAGTGGTAGTGTTTTGTGCACATCATCTCTATAATCCTTACAACACTCCTTATGAGGTAGGTACTATTCTTATCCTCATTTTATAGACTGACAAACTGAGGCACATATAGATTGGTAAGCTTAGGTTATTGGCCAACAGTTACACTGCTGCATTTTGTATTCAGGTCTTTCTGGTTCTAAACACAGCTATTGTTCTTAAAATGAGATGACCCCAAGGAAGGGCCTGATGCCCCTTATCTGCTTTCTGTGTACCTGCCAGTGCCAGGATAGCTAGAGACAGAGAAACAACTAAATAAACAAAAAGGCCACTACCAAGGGGCAGAGACAGCCCATCCCCAAATGAGCTACCAACCCCTGGGTTAATGTTATTTAACTGCACATTTTACATGCTTTTTTATTAGCCTTAATAACCACCACTTTGTTGTGCCCTTGAGTGCCCAGAAGGGCTATTGCAGTGACTGGAAAACAGTAAAAGCTCCTCTCACTAGCTTCACTAGCTTCCCTCTGGCTGATAACTGATGGGGATTGTGAACCTTCCTCTTCCTTTCTGTGCTGAAGCTGCTGTGCTGGACTGAAAAGTCCTACTTGCTCCTGCTCATTTCCCACCATGGCAGGGAGGCTGCCCCCGCTGCTGTGCAGGCCGCACCTTGATTCAGAGCTGAGTAGGGCACTATGCGTTGGAAGGGGTAGAAAAGATCACGCCATAGGCTCTGAAGCAAGCCTTTAATCCCTTGCTATTCAAACTGTAGTCTGTGGACCAGCAGCATAGACCATGGAAGCTTATCAAAAAATGCAGAATCTCAGGCCCCTCTCTAGAACTACTGACTTAGATGCTGCCTTTTAACAAGATTCCTTCCTGGTATGATTCCTGTGTCCATGAAAGCTTGGGAAGCACTGAAGAACATTGCTCTAACACTGGAAATACCCCATACACTTGCATGGGAGCTTTGGAGAACTTCGAATGCCACATGGGGAAAATTTGACTCTAAAAATAATGCAGTAGGAATAGTGAATATCAAAAAGTCTTCCCTCCTTAATGCTTCATAATCTACAAAGTGCTTTGGTGGATGCAGGGCTGGTTCTCTAAGTGCAGCTCCAACCTATCCCACCTCTATTTGTCTGGATAACTTCTTTTTTTTTAGGGGGGGTGGGGGTGGGGAGAAAAGGCCTGGCTTTGTCACCCAGGCTAGAGTGCAGTGGTGCAATCATAGTTCTCTACAGACTAGAACTGGGCTTATGTGATCCTCTCACCTCAGGCTCCTGAGTAGTTGGGGCTACAGGCATGCACCACTGTGCCTGGATATTCTTATTTTTAGTTTTGTAGATACAGGGTCTTGCTATGTTGCTCAGGCTGGTCTCGACTCCTAGCTTCAAGCAGTCTTCCCATCTTGGTCTCCCAATGTGCTGGAATTACAAGTGTGAGCCAGCATGCCTGGCCTAATGATCTCTGTTTTAAAAAGAAAACAGATGTGTTTGAGTCCTGGCTCTGCCATTCGCCAGTTGAATAACTTTATGTAAGTTCTTTATCCCTCTAAGTCTCAGGATTCTCATCTGTAAAATGGGGGTGGTGATACATATGTAAATTTCTTTGCAGAACTATTGTTAGGATGAAAGGGGCTTATACAAATAGGACACTTGGTTCAATACCTGGCCACTGGCAAATCCTCAGTAAGTGGCAGTTGCGTGGTTTTGTTTCTCTTGCTGCTCTTAGTGAAATTTCCTACTTGACTGAGCTTCACAGGGCAAAAGCTGAGGTTGTCCTTTGACTGTCTAGTACACGGTAGGTTTATAAATTTGTGGAATGAATGCTTGATCTTCCCAACAGCTAACAAGATAAGTCAGGTAATATTTTCCCCATGATATGATTTAATAATCACAAGAACCGTGGGAGGTAGACTGTATTTCCCCAAGTTAGTTTATAGATGGTGGTAGAGGCTCTCTGAGTTGGTAGAAAATTCACCCAGGTCACACAGTTTGTTACTGATCTGATGCAGGCCCATTTCTCCCCCTGCTAATCTAATGCCCTCTTTGTTTCACCTTACCACTTTCTCTCAGGCTCATTTCATCTTAAATGTGTACCTTCGCAGGGTTTAGGGTTTAACAGGTGTCATTGGTAGAAAAGAGGAGATTCTTATTGTTTTCTTTGTTAACTGACTAGCAGCTGACTAGAGGAAAGAAATTTCTTGGCATCTACCCTAAGTCCAGCCTACTGCCCTGGAAACTCATCCCTCCAGAATAGTGTTTCCCACATTCCAGTCTTTGACCAACTGCTTCTACTCTTCTGGGCCTGTCTGCACACTAGCCATGCTATTTATTTTCTATTTTATCACATCAGCTCATTTTTATTAAACAAATATGTTTAAAGTGAAACTACACTATTGCCATAAATGGAAATATCGAATCACTTTCCAATAGTAAAGAATAACAATAAACAAGTACAATGAAACGAAAACATTCTTTTTCTATGTAGGCGGATATGGTTGCCTTCAGCAGGCTATGTGCTGGGGGCCTTTCTCTTCTTCCAAATTGAGATTAACAATAATGGTTAGTGCTAGCATGTCTTTGACATTTTTTTTTTGACATAATCAGAAGTATTGGGAAACAAAGGGAGAAAAGCAATAAAAAGAAAATGCACTTGCCATCATATGAGGCGATGCTATTTAATGTTCTTTGAGTGCCAAGAAAATTATTTCATAAGACCCCAGGGGCTCCATTTCCTGAGAAACCGTATTGTAGTATGTACTATGCCATCAGATGCTATTGGATAAGATGGGCATGTCTTTATTCCCCAATTTGTCTAGCGTAGAAGTAATGGAACTTGGATACTGGAGCAAACTGCATGGGTTTGAATCCCAGCTCTGATAATTACTAACCATTGACCTGGGAAAAGTTACTTTACCATTTTTGCCTCCATTTTCTCATCTGTAAAGAGAGTGTACTAACAGTAACTATCTATGTAGTTGTTGTCAGGATTAAATACATGGTGAGTCTCACAGAATAGTGAAACTCAGCAAGTGCTTGGCACACCGCTTGTGCCATATAAATGCTGGATGTTTAGCTGCTGCTGCTGCTGCTGCTGCTGTTTCAAAATGCTGAGGCCAGAATACGACAAGTCCTTGTCTATGATTCAGGTACTAACTCTTTGCCTGTTTGAGGAATATAGGACTCTACCCTTTCTGAGTCTACAGACTAAGTAATCCTTGATGCTGGAGTGTCATCTGAAAGGAAGAACAGGGGAGCTGCAACAGAAAGGCTCCAAAGAATCTGGGCATCTCTCAGCAGGAAGCTGGCATGTGTTTGGCTCCTGTTGTGTAACAGGCACTTTGACATGCCATCTCTATACTTTCTGCCATTAACCTGTTGTTTGTGCTATTTTCTAAATATTTCCTCTTCTCTGCCTTCCATGACAATGGCATGACTTCCCTTCCCATAATAAATTAGGCATATCCATGTGATTTTCTGTGGCCAATGAAATGTGAGTCGAAATAACATATGTCATAGCCAGCAGAACCTTTCAGAGCTAGTGGGTGATTCACCCTTTTTTCTTTGTACTGCTTCAATAATCAAGGAAATATGGTGTTCCTGAGCAAGTCTGACATGGATGAGAGCTCCCAGATAATACACGATGGAAAGTGTAGCTGAGAAGAAAGCAAAACTATGGTTTTTTGTTGTTTGTTTTGTTTTTTGAGATGGAGTTTCACTCGTCACCCAGGCTGGAGTGCAATGGTGCGATCTTGGCTCACTGCAACCTCTGCCTCCTGGGTTCAAGCAATTCTCTTGCCTCAGCCTCCCAAGTAGCTGGGATTACAGGTGCCTGCCACCACACCTGGCTAGTTTTTGTATTTTTAGTAGAGGCAGGGTTTCACTATGTTGGCCAGGCTGGTCTTGAACTCCTGACCTCCCAAAGTGCTGGGATTACAGGTATGAGCCACTCCTCCTGGCAAAACTATGTTGTTTTAAGCCACTGAAATTTTGTTTACTACTACATCAAAACCTACCCTATTCTGTCTGACACAAAACCCTAGGTGCAGATATACACCCAAATTTTTTTTTGTTTTAATTAATTTTTTCAAAATTTTTAATTTTTGTGGGTGCATAGTAGGTGTATATATTTATGGGGTACATGAGATGTTTTGATACAGGCATGCAATGTGAAATGAGCACATCATGAAGAATGGGGTATCCATTCCCCCCAAGCACTGATCCTTAGAGTTACAAATAATTCAATTATACTCTTTAAGTAAGTTATTTTAAAATGTACAATTAAGTTATTATTGACTATAGTCACCCAGTTGTGCTATCAAATAGTGGGTCTTATTCATTCTTTCTATTTTTTGTACCCATTAACCATCCCCATCTTCCCTGCAAACCCCCACTACACTTCCCAGCCTCTGTTACAATCCTTCGACTCTCTATGCCCATGAGTTCAACTGCTTTGATTTTTAGATCCCACAATTAAGTGAGAACATGTGATATTTGTCTTTCTGTACCTGGCTTATTTTACTTAGTGATATGGTTTACCTGTGCCCCCACCCAAATTTCATCTCAAATTGTAAGCCAAACTGTAATCTCCATGTGTCAAGGAGGGGACCTCGTGGGAGGTGATTGGATCATGGGGGTGGTTTTCCCCATGCTGTTTTCATGACAGTGAGTTCTCATGAGATCTGGTTGTTTAATAAGTGTCTGGCCCATCCTCCTCCCCTCTCTCTGTCTCCTGCTGCCATGTAAAATGTGCTTGCTTCCCCTTTACCTTCTGCTATGATTGTAAGTTTCCTGAGGCCTCTTCAGCCATGTGGATCTGAGAGCCCATTAAACCTCTTTTGTTTATAAATTACCCCATCTCAGATAGTGTCATTATAGCAGTGTGAAAATGGACTAATACAGGAAATTGGCACCATTAGTGGGGTACTGCTGTAAAGATACTTGAAAATGTGGAAACAACTTTGGAACTGGGTAAGTGCCAGAGTGTGGAACAGTTTGGAGGGCTCAGAAGAAGACTGGAAGATGTAGGAAACTTTGAAACTTCCCAGAGGCTTTTTGAATAGTTTTGACCAAAATGCTGATAGTGATACGGACAATGAAATCCAGGCTGAGGTGGTCTCACATGGAGAGGAGGAACTTATTGGGAACTGGAGCAAAGGTCACTCTTGCTCTGCTTTAGCAGAGAGACTGATGGCACTTTGCCTCTGCTCTAGAGATCTGTGGAACTTTAAATTTGAGATAGATGATTTAGGGTTTCTGGCAGAAGAAATTTCTAAGGAACAAAGCATTCAAGACGTGACCTGGTTTTTCCTGAAAGTATACAGTTATATGCACTTACAGACATTTAAAATTGGAACTTATATTTAAAGGGGAAGCAGAGCATAAAATTCTGGGAAAATTGCAGCCTGTGTATGTGGTAGAAAAGAAAAACCCATTATCTGGGGAGAAATTCAAGCTAGCTGCAGAAATTCACAAAAGTAATGAGGAACTGAATGTTAATTGCCAAGACAATGGAGAAAACGTCCCCAGGGCATGTCAGAGATCTTCAAGGTAGCCCCTCCCATCACAGGCCCAGAGGTCTAGGAGGAAAAAATGGTTTCATGGACCAGGCCCAGGGCCCTTCTCCTCTGTGCAGCCTTGGAACTTGGTGTCCTCTGTCCTAGCTGCTCCAGCTCTAGTCAGGGCAAAAAGGTGTCATGGTATAGCTCAGACTGTAGCTTCAGAGGGTGTAAGCCTGAAGCCTTGGTGGCTTCCACGTGGTGTTGGGCCTGTGGATATGCAGAAGGCAAGAGCTGACCTTTGGGAACCTCTGCCTAGATTTCAGAAGATGTGTGGAAATGTCTGGATGTCTAGGCAGAAGTCTACTGCAGGGGTGGAGCCCTTATACAGAGCCTCTACTTAAACAGTATGAAAGGGAAATGTGGGTTTGGAGGCCCCATACGGAGTCCCCACTGGAGCACTGCCTAGTGGAGCTGTGTGAAGAGGGCCAACATCCTTCAGACCCCAGAATGGTAGATCCACCGACAGCTTGCACCTGGAAAAGCCACAGGCACTCAACGCCAGCCTGTGAAAGCAGCCACAGGGGCTATGCCCTGCAGAGCCATAGGGGCAGAGCTGCCCAAAGCCTTGGGAGTCTCCCCTTCCATCAGCATTCCCTGGATGTGAGACGTGAAGTCAAAGGAGACCATTTCAAAGCTTTAAGATTTAATCACCTGCTGGGTTTGGATTTGCATGGGGCAAGTTTTTGCCAATTTCTCCCATTTTGAATAGGAACATTTCCCCAATGCCTGTGCCCCCATTGTATCTTGGAAGTAACTAACTTGCTTTTGATTTTTTAAGGGGGAAGGGATATGCCTTGTCTCAGACGAGACTTTGGACTTGGACTTTTGTGTTAATGCTGGAATGAGTTAAGATTTTGGGGGACTGTTGAGAAGGTATAATTGCATTTTGAAATGTGAGAAGGACATGAGATTTGAGAGGGATCACGGGCAGAATAATATGGTTTGGCTGTGTCCCCACCCAAATCTCATCTTGAATTGTAAGACAAATTGTAATCCCCATGTGTCAAGGAAGGGACCTTGTGGAAGGTGATTGGATCATGGGAGTGGTTTCCCGCATGCTGTTCTCATGACAGTGAGTGAGTTCTCACTCACAGATAGAAATGCTACTGATTTTTGTATGTTGCAACTTTACTAAGTTTGTTTAGCAGTTCTAATAGTTTTCCTGTGTAGTATTTAGGTTTTTCTAAATATAAGATCATATCATCTGTAAAAAAAATAATTTGACTTCTTTTCCCATTTGGATGCCTTTGATATCTTTCTGTTGTCTGATTGCAATGGCTAGGGCTTCCAGTACTATGTTAAATAACAGTGGTGACAATGGGCAGTGTTGTCACATTCCAGATCTTAGAGGAAAGACTTTCAGTTTTTTCCCATTCAGTATGACACTAGCTGTGGGTCTGTCATATATGGCTTTTATTATGTTGTGGTATGTTCCTTCTATTCCCAGTTTTTTGAGGGTTTTTGTCATGAAGAAATGTTGAAATTTATCAAATGCTTTTTTTTTATCATCAATGGAAATGATTTTATGGTTTTTATCCTTCATTCTGTTGATATGATGTATCATATTGATTGATTTGTATATGTTGAACCATCCTTGCATCCCAAGAGAAAAACCCACTTGGTTATGATAACCCAAAATCATTAGGTTATTTATCTGAATTCTTTTCCTCTTCTTTGAGGTAGCTACTTATAGCTATAAACTTCCTTCTTAACATTGCTTTTGTTGTATCCCATAGGTTTTGGTATGTTGGGTTTTCATTATCATTTAAGAAAATTTTCAATTTCCTTCTTAATTGCTTCATTAACCCACTGGTCATTCAGGAGCATATTATTTAATTTTCATGTCTTTGTGTAGTTTACAAAACTCCTCTTGTTATTAATTTCTAGTTTTATTCCATTGTGGTCAGAGAAGATGCTTGATATTATTTGCATGATTTTGAATGTTTTAAGACTTGTCTTGTGATCTTACATATGATCTGTCCTTGAGAAAGAGCCATGTCCTGAGGAGAAGAATGTGTATTCTGCAGTCATCAGATGAAATGTTCTGTAAATAGCTATTAGATTCATTTGGTCTATAGATTAAATCTGTTGTTTCTTTGTTGATTTTCTGTCTGGGAAATGTGTCCAATGCTGAAAGAAGGGTGTTGAAGTCTCCAGCTATTATTGTATTGGGGCCTATCTCTCTCTTTAGCTACAATAATACTTACTTTGTATATCTAGATGCTCCAGTGTTGGGTGCATAGATATTTAAAATTATTACATCTTCTTGCCACATTGACCCCTTTATCATTATACAGTGACCTTCTTTGTCTCTTCTTACAGTTTTTGTTTTGAAATCTATTTGTCTAATATTGTTATGGTGACTCCTGCTCTTTTTCGGTTTCCATTGGCATGGAATATCTTTTTCTATCCCTTTATCTTCAGTCTATGTGTGACTTTATAGGTGAAATGTGTTTCTTGTAGGCAAAAGATCAATGGGTGTTGTTTTTTCATCCATTCAGCCACTCTATGTGTTTTGATTGGAGAGCTTAGTCCATTTACATTTATTGTTATTATTGATAAGGAAAGGCTTACACCTACTATTTTGTTATTTGTTTTATGGTTGTTTTTGTTTTGTGGTCTCCTCTTTCTTCTTTCTTTCCTTCCTGCCTTCCTTTAGTGAAGGTGATGTTCTCTGATATGATTTAGCTTCTTGCTTCTTAATTTTGTGTATTCATTGTATGTTTTTGTTTGAGTTTACCATGGGCTTGCAAATACTATCTTATAACCCATGATTTTAACCTGACAATAATGTAACACTTTGTATAAATATTGAAATGAATAAAAAAATCCATGCCCTAACTTTATCCCCCAACTTTTAAACTTTTTGTTGTTTCTAATTATATCTTATTGTACTGGCTATGTCTTGAAAAGTTGTTACAGTTATTATTTTTGATTGGTTCATTGTTTAGTCTTTTTACTTGGGTTAAGAGTACTTTACATACCACAGTTAAAGTGTTATAATACTGTGTTTTTCTGTGTACTTACTATTACCAGTGAGTTTTGTTCCTAATGGTGAGTACTTATTGGTCATTAATGTCCTTTTCTTTCTGATTGAAATACTCTCTTTAGCATTTCTTGTAGGACAGGTCTGGTGTTGATGAAATCCCTCAGCTTTTGTTTAGGAAAGTCTTTATTTCTCCTTGATGTTCGAAGGATATTTTAACCAGATATACTATTCTAAAGTTTTTTTTTTTTTTTCCTTTAGCACTGTAAATATGTCATTACACTCTCTCCTGGTTTGTAAGGTTTCCACTGAAAAGTCTGTTGCCAGATGTATCAAAGTTCCATTGCATGTTATTTGTTTTTCTTTCCTCTTGACGCTTTGAGGATCAGTTCTTTACCCTTGACCTTTGGGAGTTTTATTATTAAATGCCTTAAAATAGTGTTCTTTGGGCTAACTCTGCTCGGTGTTCTATAACCTTCTTGTACTTGGATATTGATATCTTTCTATAGATTTGGGAAGTTCTCTGTTATTAACCCTGTGAATAAACTTTCAATAACTTGAAGGCCAATAACTCTTAGATTTGGCCTTTGAGGCTATTTTCTAGATCCTGTAGGTGTACTTCATTGTTTTTTATTATTTTTTTGTCTCCTCTGTGTATTTTCAAATAGCCTGTCTTCAAGCTCATTATAATTTTTTCTTCTGCTTGATCATTTCTGCTATTAAAGGACTCTGACATATTTTTCAGTATGCCAAATGTATTTTTCAGCTCCAGAATTTCTGCTTGATTCTTGTTAATAATTTCAATCCCTTTGTTAAATTTATTTGTAGAATTCTGAATTTTTTATCTGTGTTATCTTGATTTTCTTTGAGTTTTCTCAAAACAGCTATTTTGAATTCTCTATCTAAAAGGTCTCATATTTTTGTTTCTCCAAGATTGGTCCCTTGTGATCTACTTAGTTCATTTGGTGAGGTAATGTTTTCCTGGATGATATTGATGCTGGCAAATGTTCTTCAGTTTCTGGGCATTGAAGAGTTGGGTATTTATTGCAGTCTTCACTGTCTGGGCTTATTTTTACCCATCCTTCTTGAGCAAGACATTTTAGAGATTTGAAAGGACTTGGGTGTTGTGATCTAAGATGTATGTGCTTTAGGGGGCACCCCAAGCCTAATAACATGATTCTTGCAGACTCATTAGTGGTACCACACTGACAGTCTTGGACAAGACCCAAGATAATTGTCTTGATTACCAGGCAGAGACTCTTGTTATCTTCCTTTACTTTCTCCCAAACAGAGTCTCTCTCTTTCTGTATGTTCTGAGCCACCTAAAGCTGGAGTTTAAGTGACACAAGCACCCCTACACTGGATCAGACCTGAAGCCAGCACAGCAGTGAGTGTTGGCTAATGCTTGCTGTAACCACTTCCTGGCTACTGCCTATGTTTGCTCAAGGCCCTGGGGCTCTACAATCAGCTGGTGGCAAAGCCAGCTGGGTGTAGGTCCTTCCTTTCAGGGTGGCAAGGTCCCCCAGGCCCCATGTGAGTCCAGGGGTGCCATCTGGGAGTCAAAAACCTTAGAAGTCTACCTGGTGTTCTACTGTACTGCAGCTGAGCTGGCACTCAAACCACAATATGTAGTCCTTCCTTCTCCTCCCTTCCCTTTCTAAAGCCAGAAAAGCCTCAACCCACAGCCACCGAGACCTCAGGCCACGAGGAGTACTGCCAGACTATTGCTGATGTTCCCTTAAGGCCCAAGGGCTCTTAAGTCAGTTGTGGTGAATGTTGCCTGGCCTGGGACTCACCCTTCAGAGCAGTAGGATCACCTCTGTTGCAGGGCAGGTCCAGAAATGCTGTTCAAGAGTCAAGTCTTGGAATCAGAGACCCCATGATCCCACTTGATGCTTTAACTCCTGTGCTGTGCTGGTACCTAAGGCTCAAGACTTTCTCCTCTGCATTTCTCAAGCAGAAAGAGTTTTGCCCCATAACCACTACAGCTTGGAATATGCCGAGTCTCACCTGTAGCCAGCAAGTCTCAGGCTCACTCAAGGCCTTTGACACAGTACCTGGGTATTGCTGCTGCTTATTCAAGGCCCAAGGGCTCTTCAGTTGGCAGGTGATGAATGCTGCCAGGACTGAGTCCCTCCCTCAAGGCAGTGGGTTCCCTTTTGGCCTAGGGTATGTTTAGAAATGTTGTCCAGGAGCTAGGGCCTTGAATGGGTCCTCACAACTTTGACCAGGGCCATATCCTGCTATGGCTGAGCTGGTATCCAAGATGCAAGACAAAGTCCTCCCCAGTCTTCCCTTTCCTCTCCTCAAGCAAGAGGAAGTAGTCTCTTTTGGAGTCATGAACTGTGCAGCCTGGGGTAGGGGAGGTGTGTTGCCAACACTCCTTTGGCTGCCCCAGCTGATATCTCAGTATTTGGATGCCCCACCATCCAGTTAGTCTCTGGGCCAAGTTGAGCACTAGAGCTCACCTAAGAGTTGTAGTCCTTACGGCCTAGACTGCCTTTCAAGTTTATTTAGAGACACAGAGTACTTTGTCCCTCAGTGGTAAGGTCTGTGGGAAGTCAAGTTCTGACCACTGGGATTGGTGATTCCCCTCTGGGTAGGGCTGGTTTAAATGCTCCTGCCATGGGCTGGCATCAGCTGAGTTTGGTCTGGTGTTTCTTTCTGCTGTAGCAGAACAGCACGGAGTTTATTGCTTCATAATTTCTGTGTTCACCCTCCTCCAGCGCCCAGGGACACTCTGCACCACATTGCTGCGGCCAGAGGTGGGGAAGGGGTGGCGTCAGCAATTGAAGATTGTTGTTTTCTATCTCTTCAGTGTCTCTTACAGTGATACAATGTTAAAACCAGATACTATGAGGGCTTGCCTGATTTTTGGTTCTTATGATCGTGTTTTTTCTGTGTAGATAAGTTGTTAAATTGGTGTCCTTGCAGGGGGCATGATTGGTGGAGACTTCTATCCCCCCCATCTTTCCCTGCCTCCTTCCCACCTGAATTTTTGCATGTAACAAAAACTCTACTGCCCTTAGAATTCAAACTGGAGTGGGTGTACAGGTTTCAGTTGAGTTAGACATGCAGTACCTAGAACCACTCTAAGTGTTTCCCTGTCTGGCTTATTTTCTCCTAATCATAATCAGTCTCTAGTAAAGAAAGTGAGAAAACTTGGGCTCAGCCTCTTCATCAGCTACCATCTTCTTGTACAAACTTGAGAAACTATTTCCCCTATGAGTTTTTTTCTCAGATTTGCTGAACCTCAGGGAAAGAAGGAATCTCACAAAACCATTGACATAGGCCCTTGTTTTTTGTCCAAATTTCCTTGACCTCATCTCCTTTTCTAGTCTTTACCTGAATAGTTATAGGGAGAGGAAACTTACTACTCTCATTAATGGATGTAGATCTGGGCTATGAGTTGTGAGGCCTACTGGACTGTGAAATAATAGTCTTGAGTGTTTGACTTATTCAAAAAGTAAATAATTTTGGAAATCCTTACTTTGTAGGGTGGCCCTATAATTTATCATCCTAACGAGGACACTCTTAAGAACAAAAGGAGGTGCTAATAACAATTACACTGGAGCAGTACAAATAAAATGGGACTATTCTGAGCAAACCAAGACTTATGATTACTTGACTACCATGATTCTATGGCCACCAACAAGTGGTAAAAATTCCATGGGCAGGGCTGGGCCCCATCTTTAGTAATGAGCCCTGAATTTTGGTCTTGCTGCCCCCCTTACTTTCCACCCAAACTGTTAACAGTCAATCTTTGTTGAACCATCTCCCGTTCTTTAACCAATTCTCTTGTGAGAATTTCAGCCCCAAAGCCATTTCAGAAAGAAAGCATGTACATATAGTCATAATTTCAAGCAAATTCCCCCCATAGGCACTTCATAGTCCTGACTACTATCTTGATCAGATGCATATTTAATGCCTTTTGATAGAGACACAGATGCAAACTGTTCAACCCTTTCTGAGGTGTTAGAATGCTGCCAGGTGCCAGTACAGTTGCTGTGAGAGCTACTGGAATGCCTGGAACTACCCTCTCTCAGTGTCCCCACAAGACCTGAATCTCGGGAAACTTACTGCAAGGTAACAGAAGGAGAGGCAGGGCTTATTAAGTTTCCTTCTACAGGCCATTTGATTGCATTTCTGCCCTGAGCACAGGCTTATTTGCATAGTTGATTTATAGCTTTAATTCAAATATTACTGTTGTTTCACATAAACCACTAACCTGATTTCTCCTTAGATTTTTCTTTTAACAATCACTCAATACCACATCGAACCCAGTGAAACCAGGAGCCATTAATATGAGGCCTCCATTTCCATTTCCACTGGGACAGAGGAGTATGGAAGATGGAGAACGGAAAATGAACTGTTAAGTTTCAGAAATGTTTACTCCCACTGCAGGGCAGTCTGGCGCACACAACTCAAGCACATTCAGCTTCAAGAATCTTTGATAAGAATCTTTGTTTTTATGTTACTGATTCTATAAGAGGAAGTTTCTTTTAAAGTTGCCTCTCCTCTTCTTTTCTTTATTTGTTCTTTCCAAAAGACAGTTAAAATTTATGGAGCCAAGCACTGCGCTAATGACTCAGATGATGGTAGGGCTAAAGACAAGTTTGTCCTGGCCCTCAGGGAGATTGTATTCTTGCCAGACAATACAGACATCAGGAAAGAATTACACATTCTTTTAATCAATTATGTATTCTAAACAACTGCTTTGCTGAATAGACATTTTAAATACAGTCTATCTAAAAGCACTAGAGAGATTCTGAGGTTACTAGAACTGAGGGGCCAGGATTACAGAGATAGGGGATATGCAGGAAAGTGAGCCTGTGACAGTTATTCCCTTGAGGCTTTTGCCTTTTCTTAAAGAGGAGTTACAGAACAAGAGGTAGAGAATGAGAGCAAGAGAGAATATGATAACTTTCAGGAAAGAGCACAGTGTGACGAAAAAGCTAAGTGGCACTTTCATCAGTCTAACACTACAGGAGAGAGAAAACATTGAAGTTTGAGACTCTAAGAATGAGGGATCTTGGAAAACACACAAGATTTTCAGGGTGAATCAGGGATCTTGGAAAACACACAAGATTTTCAGGGTGAATCCTTCAGGGGCTACATTATAGAAGTGGGGTTGGATCAGAGGTTGACCAAGCCTTACAACGTCTGAGAATAAACCTCAAAGAAGTGAGTCCCCTGATTGGTTTAAGGTGTTATGGCCCTGTCCTAACCACCTGCCAAGAGGATCAATGATTGGCTGATAACACCAAATAATGCCAATGAGGATGTGGAGCAAACAAGAATTCTCATTCATTGCTCCTATTCAAAAATGATACAATCATTTTGGAAGATAGTTTGCCATTTCCTTAAAAACCGAAATATAGTCTTACTATATAATCCAATAATTGTGCTACTGGGTATTTACCCAAAAGAGTTGAAAATTATGTCTACACAAAAATCTGAATGTGAATAGTAGCTTTATTTATAATGGCCCAAAACTGGAAGCAACCAAGATGTCTTTTAGTAGGTAAATAGATCAACAACATGTGGTTCATCCATACAATAGTATATTATTTGACAGTAAAAAGAAATGAGCTATTAAGCCACAAAAATAGGTGGAAGAACCTTAAATGCATATTTCTAGGCAAAAGAAGTCCGTTTGAAAGGAATACACACTATATGATTCTAACTATATGACATTCTGGAAAAAGCAAAACTATAGAGATAGTAAAACGATCAGTGACTGCCAGGGTTTAGAAGGAGGAGAGGGATGGATAGGTGGAGCATAGGGAATTTTTAGGGTATTATTGTATAATGTATATTCATGACATTGTGCATTTGAGGGAACATAGAGAACTATATAACACAAAGAGTGCATCTTAATACAAACTTTGAACTTTAGGTAATGATAACAAATCAATATTGTTTCATTAACTGTAACAAATGTATTATACTAAAGCAAGATATTAAAAACAGAGGAAACTTTGTATATGTGTGACAGGGAGAGCTTATATGGGAACTCTGTGCTACCTGTCAATTTTCTGTAAACCTAAAAAGTAAATTTTATTATAAAACAAAAACTAATTGATAAGCAATTTACAAGTAAAAAACTAAGAGATAGACAAATGTGCAATCACAGTAAGACACATTAACATACCTTGGTAACTGACAGAACAAGCAGAGCAAAATGCTCAGTGAGGACATAGAAAATCAGTAAAAACACAATTCAAGAAAACCTGATCTAACTGACATATGTACAACACAGTGCCAACAGTGGCAGAATACACATTCTATTAAGTGCATGTAGAACAAAATTGATTACAAGCAGAAACATAAATATCAATATACATATTTTTTGAGAGTCTAATCTCCTCTAATTACTCAAATAATCTTATTTTTGACTGCACTTGGACTTAGGGTAGAAGCTTGCAGAAAGGACAGTCTGCATCTCTGGGCAATCTGTTCCTGGCATTTTTCTTTGGCTTCCTTCATTGTCTTGGCCAAAAGTTTAGCCTATTCTGTGGCCGCTTTTTTATTTTTCTTAATACTTTGTTTCTTCAGAGCAATACACTGGTGTTTGTGTTGCAGGACACGTGGAATAACAAGATGCTGACTCTTGGGTGCTTTGGTCCTGGGTTTCTTACCTTTTTTGTCTAAAAGGTTTCTTACAACATATTGGAGGATGTCATCTTGTTTAGGCAGATTAAAAAGACTCTGGATTCTGCTAGCTCCTTTGGGCCCCCAGGTAATGAGGTACCATAGTATCAGTCAGTACAGGAACATTATTCTCTCCTTTTTAAAATTTTACAATAACCAAGTTGAGAACATTCAGACTGACATCCACAATGCAACCTCGAACAGATTTGTGCTTTTTTTCTCCAGTTCTCCTTGGTCTATAACAGGAATGCCCCTTTCTCAGTAGCAGGCAGACACAGCCATGGGTCAAGACACACTACTGCATGGGGAAACCTTGTTTGTCCTTCCCACCACTGACTCAGACCACATAACCACTCTATTCTTCACTCAGAGTGTTAGCAGCAACTTCTGTTACCACACACTTCTCATAAAAAGTATGAAATTTGCATTCATCATCCATTTCAATGAGTTTCTGGAAGCCAGTGGCTGGGAAGGACATATTCAGTTTCATCTTGAAGCAGTTGATCACCTCTGAGGTGTCATGAAAAGGTGCTCAATATATTTTAAATGAACAATTTCATTCAGGCTGTGCTGGAATCAAGCACAAAAGAATGCTAAAACATCCCCAATTACTTGGAAATTAAGCAACATATTTTGAAACAATCCAGGGATTGAAGGTAGAATCACAAGTAATATTATGAAATATTTCAAACTAATGAAAATGAAAATACGATATAAAATTTTGGAGGATGCTAATAAAACTGTGGTTAAGGGGAAATTTTTAGGTCTAAATGCATACATTAATAAAAGATGGAAGGCTGAAAAATCTCAGTATCACTCTCAGAAAGAACATTCAATAGATCCCAAATGAAACTGAAGGAAAAAATAATAAAGAACAAAATTAATGAAGCAGAAAATATAAACACAAAAGATTCAAAGAGCCAAAAGTTGAATGTTTGAAAAGGTGAATAACATTGTTAAATCTCTAGCAAGAAGAAAAGAGGAGAAATTAAAAAAAAATCAATAGCAGAAATAAAAAGGGAGATTGCCACAGGTCATTCAGAGATTTGGAAAGATAACAAGAGAATATACTGAAGAATTATATTCCTGAAAATTTGGAAATGTAGACGTAGGGGACAAATTTCATAAAAGCCCATTTGTAAAAACCTGGTACAGTAAGAAATAGAGAATCGGAATGGTCTTATTTCATTTAAAGGAATTGAATGTGCAATAAAGAACTCTTTCACAAAGAAATATCTAGGCCCAGCTGTCATCTTCTCCAGTAAATTCTTTTAAATCTTGAAGGAATAAATAAGAATTTTATGCAAATGCTTGCAGAAAGTTAAAAAGAAGAGGAAACATTTTCAAATTTGTTTTATGAGGACAACATACACTTAATACCAAACTTAACACATACAGGACCAGAAAAGAAAGTTACAGGAAAATCTCAGGAGCATAAATGAAAAGTCTAAACTAAAAATTAGTAAATAACTCTAGTGATGTATATGTGTGCATGTGTGTGTGGGGGAGGGGTAGGTAGACAGGTGACTGGTTTTATTTTAGGAATAAAGTTTGCAAACAGAATTTGTGAAGTTTGTTTATATTTAATAACCAATCAATGTTATTTACCACATTAACAGAATAGGGGAGAAAAAGAATATAATAATCTCAACAAAGACATGTATAAAATCAATCCCCATTTATAATAAAAATTCTTAGCAAACCAAGAATGTAAAGGCCATCCTATATCTGATAACACTATTTACAAAAACCCTATAATGAGCATAATACTTAATGATAAAATATCAAAATTTTGCCTCTATGATCAGAAATGAGACAAGTATGTTTATTGTTAACTTTCATATATCCAACATTGTATTGAAGATCAGTTGTTAGAAAATCCAAAGGAATTTACACTAAAATAAGTCTGGCAAATTAGGAAGGTATGAGGTTAACATTTTTTAAAAAATCAGTATTTTTTACATACTAATAAATAAAAGATTTTAAAATGAATCTTATTTTAAAATAAGATTTAAAATAACAATACTATTAAAAGCATCAAATATTTAGGAGTAAGTCTAACAAAACTTATAAACACAAATCTAAAAACTTTCTTGAGAGAAATTAAAGAATACATAAATAAATGGTATATATTCATATATGAAAGATTCAATAATGTAAAAATGTTAATTGTCAACCATTAATATATATTAAATGCAATCCAAATTAGAATTTTAGAAAGTTTTTGTTTTTTGTGGATATTGACAAAGTAATTCTAAAATTTGTATAGAAATACAAAAAGTCTACAAATATCTGAGGTGATCTTGAAAAAGAACAAAAATTATGGAGAATTTACACCATAGGATATCAAGACATTAGGCTACAGTGATTTAGACAGCGTGTTATTGGCATATGAAAACAAAACCATCTCGTTGGAATAGAATAGAAAATTGAGAAAGCAGAATCATATCCATATGGTTAATTTATTATAGAAGAAACAGTAATAAGTGTACATTCCAACTAACAGTGCTGGGCTAAATAAATATGCACATGGAAAAAAATAAATCTTAAGCCTTATCTCGTACCAAATGTAAAAATTATTTCCAAATGGGTTGTAGATATAAATGTTAAAGATTTTAAAAAGTGCTTCTGTAAGATAAGATCTTTGAGATCTTGGGGGTAGGCAAAGATTTCTCAAACAGAACACAAAATGTACTAACAGTAAAGATTGATACATTGAACTACATTGCAATAAAGAACTTATTTTCATGATTAAGAAAGAAAAATACAATAAAGAGAGTAGAAGACATTTGTTAAGAAATAAAGAGCTCCTGTAAATCAATATGAAAAAAAAGACATGAAAAGGCACTTTGCAAAATAATGATTAATATCATTATTAATCAGGGGAGTTAAAGTCACGATGAAATACCACAACAGAACAACAAGACTGACACAGTGAAAAATATAGATAATATTAACTCTTGTAAAGGATATGGATCAGTTGAAACCATTGTAAACTGCTGGTTTGAAACATTTCAGAAACTTGTTTAATAATATTATACTGTCACTTAGTACAGACTGTATTAGTCAACTCAGGCTCATAATAAGATACCACAGAATGGGTGGCTTCAACAACAGAAATATACCTTCTCACTGCTCTGGAGGTTAGAAGTCTTAGATTAGGTGCTAGAATGTTCATGCTCTGGTGAGGGCTCTCTTCTTGGCTTGTGCACCGCTGCCTTCTTGCTGAGAGAGAGAGAGAGAGAGAGAGATCCAGTGTCTTTTCCTCATTTTATAAGGGCACCAGTTCTATTGGAAGGCTTCCCTCTTATGACCTCATTTAACCTTACTCTCCATAAAGGCCCCATGTCCAGTACAGACACATGGGAGGCTATGACTTCAACACATGAATTTGCGGGGAGTGGAGTCAGTTTAGTCTATAGCACTTGCATTGTACATGATCTAGCAATTCCACTGCTAGACTGCAACCAATAGAAATGTGATGCCAAAAGACATACTTAAGTATGTTTATAGCAGTATTTTTTATTATTTGCTGCAAACTGGAAATAACAAAACAGTGCATAAATGGTAAAGCAGCTAAATTATTTGTGGTCCTTTGTTACATGGATCTTTGCTCTGTTTGAGGAAAATAAGTGAACTACTCTTAAATGCAATAACATAGATGGATGTCAAAAACATAATATTCAACAAAGGGAGCCAGACACAAAAGAGTACAATACAATTCCATTTATATAATGCTCAAAAACAGCAACACTTAATCAATGGCAGGAGCAATCAGGGTAATTATTTTCTTCAGTTCAGAACTTAAAAGATCATCTCGGCTGGGCACAGTGGCTCACGCCTGTAATCCCAACGCTTTGGGAGGCCGAGGCGGGCAGCTCATGAGGTCAGGAGATCGAGACCATCCTGGCTAACAGTGAAACCCCGTCTCTACTAAAAATACAACAACAAAATTAGCTGGGTGTGGTGGTGGGCGCCTGTAGTCCCAGCTACTCAGGAGACTGAGGTGGGAGAATGGCGTGAACCTGGGAGGCAGAGCTTGCAGTGAGCCGAGATCGTGCCACTGCACTCCACCCTCAGCGACACAGCAAGACAATGTCTCAAAAAAAAAAAAATCATCTCATGTATACTTTCCATTATACAGTCAGCCTTGAACTTTATTAATACTCCTTTGGAGGTAATATGCATTTTTAGCTCTTTCTACTTTTAAGGATTTCTCTGTCTTTCATTTTTAGCAGTTTGATTTTGGTGTCCCTCACATGTATACTGTGCTCTGTTTTATTATTTATTAAATTAGTCCACCTGCCTCCATTTCTCAGTATATTCAGTTTGTCCTTTCTTTCAGTTAAATAACCCCATCTTCTCTATGGTCAATATTGTGTTAAATCTATCCATTATGTTTTTAATTTGATGTTTATTTGATTCATTTTTTTATAGCTTCCAGTTCGCTGATGAAAATCTTTTTTTCCTTCTTTATACTTTTAAACATATGAATTGTAGTTATTTTGAAGTCTTTGTTAACATGAATACAGTGCATCCTCATTATTTGTGGATTCCATATTTGTGAATCTGCTTGCTTGCTAAAATTTATTTGTAAACCCCAAATCAATACTCATGGCACTTTCACAGTCATTTATGGAAATGTGCAGAGTGGTGAAAAATTTTATTTTCTTGATGCACATGTTCCCAGCTGAGATTGAACAAGGTGACACTCTGCAGTATTGTTTCAGCTCTGCTATTGTAAACAGGTGTCTTATTGTGGTCTATTTTTGCATTTTTGTGCTTTATTTGGCAATTTTGCTGTTTATGGCTCCCAAGCATAGTGCTAAAGTGCTGTCTGGTGTTTCAATGTGCAAGATGGCTGTGATGTACCTTACAGAGAAAATATGTATACTAGACAAGCTTTGTTCAGGCATGAGTTATAGTACTCTTTGTCATGAGTCCAATGTTAATGAGTCAATAATGTGATACATGCAGAAAAAGAAAGAGAAAATTTGCCAGTCTGTAAGTAAAGCCACTCTGGAAAGTGCTAAAGTAACATGTATAGTGCATAATGAAGCCATGGAAAAGATTATAAAGTGTCTAAAATTGTGGACTATTAAGATGATGATTGATTTCTCAAAAGCATAATGTACAGCACTACCATGATGGTGAATGTCAAATAAACTTACTGTTACATCACTCAGGGTCAGGAAAATGTTACAGACTTCCCAGTTAATGATGGTGGCTCACACATTTGAAAAAGTGATATAGCATGAGAAATGTTAAATGTAGGCAAAGGAGGCTCTGAAGATCATGAGGCCATGGAAAAATTTTTTAAATACCTGCTAAGTAGTATTATACAGGAAGATTTATGTGGAAGAGCAGGTCGTCAAAGCTGATAACACTGGCTCATCTTACAAGAAGTTGTCAAACAAACTTATATAATGCCAACAGAATCTTGGCTGATAAAATTGTTGTGACCAGAGGTTTTCAGAACCACATCCTATATTTCCCTGTGTAGCAATAGTTCACTATTCATTACTTCAGCATTCTTAGCAATTTATAGAGCATAGCTACCACAAATAACAAGAATTGACTGTTTTGAATCATCTGTGGATCTGTTTTTATCATTTGTCTTTCCCCTTGGTTATTGATCACATGGTCCTGTTTCTACATCCCTAGTAAATCATTACTATTTAAATATCTTTAAAACACTGCAGAGTTTCAGCTGATCTTATCTTTCACAGGTAGATTCGCCCTTTCCTCTGATGGGCAAATGGATGTCAGGAGGCTGGGATGGGGTGGCTAATTTCCTTATTCCGGTCAGGGACTGAATGGGTCAAGCCTGGGCTACACTTTTCATAATTATCAGCCTCAATCTAATTTCCTCCTATTGTTAGGTTGTGGCCATCAGGAAACTTAATTGAGAGCCCAACTTTCTTTTTTTTTTAGTACTGAGTAACTGCAGAATTTTTTGCTCTACTTTAAGGAGATTTTTGGCTTTGCATCTTGACTCACCACTTTTTATAACTTCAGAATTTGGCAAAGGTATTGAAGAGGATATTGGTTATATGTTTGAGGCTCCTCAAATCTTCAATTTTGTCACTTCAGCCCACTATGACTGCCAAAATCCAATTCTGCTAGTTTATCTCTCCCATAGCAGTGGCCCTTTGCCAAGGCCAAACCTGGATTTGCAGATTTTAGATGTGCTCAGATTAGCAAGTGCTCAGGGGGAAAACAGTTGCAGATAGTAAATGTTGCTTCATGACTCCCTTGAGGGCTGTATTCATTTGCTAGGGCTGCCATAACAAAGTGCCACAGACTGGGTGGTTTAAACAACAGAAATGTATTTTCTTTCAATTCTGGAGGCTAGAAGTCTGAGATTAAGGTATCAGCAGGGTTGGTATCTTGTAAGGTCTCTCTCCTTAGCTTGTAGATGGCTGTCTTCTCCCTTTGTCTTCATGTGGTCTTCCATTTGTACCTGTGTCTGTGCCCAAATATTTTCTTCTTGTTTTTTTTTTTTTTTTTTTTTTTTTTTTTAGATGAGTGTGTCTCTCTCCTATGTTACTTGGGGCTGATCTGGAACTCCTGGCCTCAAGAAATCCTTCCACCTCAGCCTCCTGAGTAGTACAGATTACAGGCATGAGCCACCATTCTGGGTTCCTAATTTCCTCTTCTTAGGAGGAAACTAGTCATATTGGATTAGGGGCCATTCTGATGATCTTATTTTAATTATCTTTTTAAAGATACTGTCTCCAAATCCAGTCACATTCTGAAATACTGGGGGTTAGGGTTTCAACATATGAATTCAGAGGAGTCACAATTCAGTCTGTTACAGGTGACAGGTATCCCAGTTACTGGTGGCAAATTCCAAACAGGTCTGTGGCAACCTCAATTCTTGCCTCCTCAGAAAAAAGAATTCAACTGAGGGGCGTAAGGCAGAGAAAGAGATCCAGGCAAGTTTCAGAGCAGAAGTGGACGTTTATTTAAAAAGGCTTTAGACCAGGAAAGAAAGGCACGTGTGCCTGGAAGAGTCCCAACTGGGGATGTGAAGGTCAAGTGTGGTGTTTAAACTTATCTTAGGACTTTAGAGGCTGGCTCCTTTCCCATGATGCTTCCCTTAGGGTGGGCTGCCCATATGTGCAGTGCCCTCCTTACCCTGGCAGGTGAGCACAAGCAGTGTGTTTAGGGCAGTTGTACGCGTGCTGTTTTTATCATTTATCTTTCCCCCTTGGTTATTGATCACATGGTCCTGTGATCAATAGAAAGCCTCCCCACCTAAGGGTTTCTTCCCTTTTCTGGTGGAGTGTCCTGGAAGGTCATACTCTGCCATTTTGTCTCTTAGTGCACAGGCCTGGGCAGCTGCTTCTCCCTGGCAACTGTATTCAATGAACACTTTAATGCCACAGATATGGACCATCAGGAAATGGCCTCTCCCTGGTGCTGGCTGCCAATTTATCACTTCTAGAGATGCAATGTAATGATTGCCAAACCATCACCTGACATTCCTAGTGGGTGGGGAAGAGCCCCAATCAAAGCCTAACTACCTGTAAGAAGTCCATAATACTCCTGGTCTATAATTTCTCAGAGCCCATTCTCATAGTGGTTCCTTGTCTCCTAGGCACTGCAAGACTGTGGGAAATTCTACTGTTCTTTTCAGAGTTTGGATTGTTAACCAAAAAGAATTTGAGACAGGTCCCAATCAATTTAGAGGTTTATTTTGCCAAGGTTGAGAACCATGTCCTATGACACAACCTCAGGAGGTCCTGAGAACATGTGTCCAAGGTGGTTTAGTTACAGCTTGATTTTATACATTTTAGGGAAATGGAAGTTATAGGTAAAGACATAAATCAATAAATGAAAAGTATACACTGGTTTGGCCCAGAAAAAGGGACGTCTCTGAGCAGGGGCTCCCAGGTCATAGGTGGATTCAAAGATTTCCTGATTGGCAGCTAGTTGAAAGAGTTAAACTCTGCCTGAAGAGTTGAAGTCAGCATAAAGAGATGCTTGAGTTAAGGTAAGGTGGGGCAGAGACAGGGGGAAGCCAAGGTTCTTGTCATGTAAATGAAGCCTTCAGGTAGCAAGCTTTAGAGAAAGAGATTGCTTTCCAAGCCTTAAAAGATGTCAGACTCTTCAGAAAAGACCTAGTAATGACGAGATTCTCTATAGAATGCAAATTTCCCCCACCAGAGACACTTTGCACGACCATTCAAAATATATCAAGGAAAAACATTTTGGGGTAAAATACTTTGATTTCCTTCTGTGCTTGCTCTCTGTCATGTGATGCTATACCAGAATCAGGTTGGAATTTGGTATCTTATTGCTACATAGAGTCTATTTTGCCAGGCTTAAGAGCTCTGTTTTAATGTTAATGCTTGTCAGTTACCTCTTAACTCCAAAGGGAGGAGGGTATAATGAGGCATGTCTGACCCCCTTTCCCATCATGGCCTGAACTAGTTTTTCCAGTTTCTTTCAGATCCTCTTGGCCAAGAGGGGGTCCATTCAGTCAGTTTAGGGGCTTAGAGTTTTATTTTTAGTATACAGGTCATAGTCCTTTCTCCTTCTGCTTCAAGCAGCTTCAACATTTAGCAAATGTCCTAAGAGAAAATGTTCTCAGTTTGAAGCCATTCCATTTCCCGTTTAAGTCACTGCATCCCTGTGCATCTGCTCCAAGCCTTATTGTATCACTTTCTTAGCTCTTGCCCTAGCATCATTGCTCTGCCTGGGCCAAGCCCAAATTTTCAGCCTCTGGCTCATGCCCAGAATTGGCAAAGGGCAGCTAAATCCTAGCTCACCTCTGCAGTGCTTTCCCCCATAGAATTTCACTGCTGCTAGTCTTCATTGTTTCTGCAGCACTCTAATGCCTTTACATATATACCTTTTGAAACTTATCAAGTTTTTCTTGTTCTTCATGGGAACATGGCTTGCATGAACTTCTCTGTCTTATCAGGAAACCAGGGCAGTGGTTGAGTTTAAGGAGGGATGAGTAGTAACTTACAGGTGTTATGAAGACAGTCTCTGACTTAACCTGGGAGTTGGAGTTGCAGAGGTGTGTTCATATTAAGAAATCCATTGAGTTGTCCACTTAGATATACATGTGCTGGAATGTGTGTTGTTTCTAATAAAATATATACTTTTCAAAAAGGAAAAGACAACATAGGAAAGAAAAATACAAAGCTATGTGCTAAATACAACTTTTCCAAAACTCAGTGAGAAAGTAGCTTTTATATAGAGGCTCTCATTCTTCTCCCAGTTTCTCTGCCCTTAAATACTCACTCTTCCTGTATCTTTTCCTGTGTAAAGTGCCACCCCTCTTGATGTGAGGTGATCAACAGCCCCATTCTCACTCTCTTATCCTGCCATTGGACAACTTCCCAAATCTGGGTCCTTGCATCAGGACTGGTTTCCTAGAAATTTGGCAGCATAAGTGGAGATACCTGTTGGTATTCCAGCATGGGAAGGGAATTTGGAGCTCCAAATCTCACAGGCTTAGGTGGGGGCAGGTATATCTTCCTGCTTGGTTTTTCTGACAGAATGATTTACAGGTACATCTGTTTAATTCATGGTACCTGTTAGTGTGTGCACATACTCCCATCTCTGAAGACATTATTAGTTCTCAGAGAAAGCAGATTCTTAAGCCGTAAGAGGAAAAATGTAGATACTCTAGTGCCTGTGAGCTGCAGAGCCCTTCCTTTTCCACAAAGTAAGTCCAATTATTATTCCTTCCTCCTTCCAGATTGAGACATAGGGGGCCTACCGGCATAAGAAAGAGACCATATGCCCCTTCATCAAGGCTCCCTCAATTACGCAAAGAGAAACTGCAAATGTCTACTCTAGAAAGAGCTCTTTCCCCCTCAGTCTCCATTTGGGGAAAGGGATAAGGCTTAATTTTAATTATAATTATGGTAAGGGCAGTACAGGATAGATACAAAGTGTCATAAGAATGAATTGTGGGATGTGTTTGTGTGAGACCATCATGTTGGGCCCATTTGTGACCCGTCTCTGCAGCCAGGGTCACTCTGTTTACATGCTCATCAGATGATGTCTGCAGTGGCTGAAAACGAAGGCTGTCTAACAGCAATGTCCCAGTCATTTTGTTTCCTTGATATTTCAATGCATCTTCCAGGGTGGATGCTTTCTGGTGGGATTTACCATGAGATACAGATTTCTTTGTGCCCACACGTGTATATTTATCCATATGTCTTCACCATGTACACCCTTATCTCCAGTCTTTCAAACTTTTTCCTCCATGCTTCGAGAAACCAGTCAGAAATATATTCTCACCTTCAGCCACTGAAATGGGAGTGTATCCAAGTTGGTGGATAAGGACTGGGTTGACTGTGATGAAAGGAAATAATATGAAGTTTTTGGTTTATACCTCCTATCCTAAACACACACACACACACAACCACACATACACATTTTTCTATAAGCATCTCCTCCCACTCTTCTACCCACTAAAGTTAGGCTCTGGCAGCATCCTACAGGAGTAGGATGGAAGTGACACATTCAAAATCATAAAATTGGTAGAGATATGAAAATTGAGTATCACACAAGTTAAGAAACTTGCCAAAGTCACTAAGCTATTAAATGGTGGTCCTAAAACCTAGGATGAAAGGAATAACCATCAATAAAGTGAGTTTCGGATCTCTAGTGCCCTAAGTCTACCTCTACTCTCACATCCACTACATGCTTTGTGGAAGGTGTTCTCGTAGAGAAGAAAGATCACAGCTTTGAAGTTTGGCAGATTTGGGTTCTAACTGACTCTACCAATTTCCAAACATTTGTCTTTGAGCAAACTCTCAGGCCTCACTTTTCTCCTCTGTAAAATAGAATTAATTCTATCTGATTTATAAGATTGATATTTAAATTTGCATAGAAAACAGCAGCTAGTATACTTTGAGCATGTTGTAGAAACTTAACAAATATTCATTTCCATCTTAGGAAGATCCCATTATGATGGACAGAGCTACATTTTCGGTCTCCCAAGCCAGTGAGCAGCCTATCAAACAGGGCCCTTACCTAATCCCATCGATAAACTAAGGCCTTATTGTACATCAGCCTCAAGGTTGCCATTTGGAAGGCAATTATATTGATAGCAATTAATTTCCTCAGTCCTGGCTTTCCTGTTAATTATTCTGAAAACATACCCACATTCTGTCAATAAGCCTGCTTTCAAAATTAAAATTGTAGCAATTTTTCATCCTTAATAAAGGCTCCTTCCTGTTTCCTCCCTTCTGTTTCACAATTGAAAACATCTTAATTCTTGAGAATTTAAAGAATGTGGGAAAACAGGATGTATAGTCTTCTTTTATAACAATATAAATTTCTCTCCCTAATAATTGCTCCCTAAAGAAGAAAATGACCTCCCCTTTAAAGAAGAAAATGACCTCTCCTTTAACCATTTGGTGCAGGGACTTTACATTCTCTGCCTTGCTCAATGTGCACACCAAAGCTCCATGTAAGTGATTGCTAACTTGTTATCCTCACATTAGAAATGAAGAAAGCGAGGCTGAGAGAGGTTGCCTCCCTTAATCAAGATCACATGGTAAATGTGAGAGTCAATATTTGAGCCTTAGTTTGTCTGATATCAATATCCATGCTTTTTTTCCATGCATGTGTTGCTTATGTGCCATTTCTACCTAAAACCACAGACACACACACACATACACACACACACACACACACCCCCCACTCATGTTTATGCATGCATACAGACTTTTACTGCCTCCTATTTCTGGTCTATTGTTAAGAGAAGGAAGTAACTCTCTTCTCCATCAGCTTCTATCCTCCATATCTAAAGTCATTGTCTCCCACTAACCTCACTGAATACCCAAGAAACAGTAGTGTGAATGAAGCTTATTTATTTTCTTCATGGTATTGAAGAAAGTTATTTGCAGATTAGGCATCTTAGGGACTCATCTCAGCACTGTCACTGATTTGCTTTGTGGCTTGGGAAAGTTACTTGTCTTCAGTGACCCTTGGTTTTCTCACCTCTAGAACAAGAAGTTGTACAGGACAATCCTCCAGGTGTCTTCATCTCTTTGTCTATGACTTTTGCCTTTGTGATTTGATGTCTGCCAACCACATCTCCATACTTTGGGACATGCCATCACATATCATTAGCATGCATCTTTCTCACCCCTCATTCTTGTTGGAGGGCAAAACAACTTTTCTTTTTTTCCTTTCCTGATAGTGCAGGAAGGTTAAAGGTCGGAGGAGCCTCTTTTCTCACTGACTCTATTTTCAAAGAAATAGTTTCTTCTATTTAAAGAAAGTGAAGTCCATTTATTTCAAAATATCTTCCCCAAATATATTATATATTATATATATTTTTTTTCTAAATATTTAGAATCCCATTTCTATGGACAATCATCTTTCCTTCAAAGATTTCTGATGGGCAAGGCTGAGTCAACACAATTTCAATGAGAGAGCAAAGTCTAGCTTTTTCGGTTCAACTGTAGGGGAAAGAGATGTTGACAGGAACTCTTAGTATTCCTTGTGGTTTTAGTTCTGAAGGTGAAGGAAGGAATTGCTGGTATCTTGAGGTCATTTTTGTCTCGGCTGAAAACCATCTCCCTGATCAACTAAATGAATTTTAATTACTAGAAAAGTATGCATATGTCTTTTAGACACATCTAACTCTTTGCCTTTGGATCATATTTGGAGCCAAATTCTGAAAAAGAATGCAATATGTCAAAATGTCTTCTGTTTCCAAAGGGGAGAATAAATGATGATTCCCAATATTCATGTTGCAAGTTGTTCTCTAAATGGTAATGAGGCATCACTAGGTAAACGTTTGCTAGAAATTTGGGAAACAAACCAATTCCATGAAGTGCAATCTAAGAGCACAATGACTGTGAGGAAGAGAGCATAATATGAAGGCAGAGGTACCAAATACACCCAAAGTAAAGTTTGGAGGAAATGGTCAAGATTTGACCATATCTGGTGAGCCTCAGCCTGGGTAGAGTCTGAGATATCATTGTATTCCTGAACAAGGAAACTAGAACAAAAATGCTCCCACTTAAGTTTCTGTATTACTGTCCTTGTCCCAGTCTTTTGCCAGTGTCTAGGAAGAAAAGTAACAGTGGAAGAAACAGGCACACCATTCCTCTCAATATAGGAGACTCACTGTGTGAAAGGAAGGTCCATGCCCCAGGGAGGCTCTAGACCCTTGTTCATTGACCCAGGGCCCTGGTGCAGGATGCAACCCACATAACTGTGTGTAGCAGCCCTGGACTCTCAGAGGTGCCATGTTTTCTCTTGAATTGGGACCTTGTCCAAGCCTAGAGTCCTCTCCTTCCCGCCTCCAGCCTTTTACTGGTGTGCTACACACTGTTCTCTTAGCTGTCTGCTTAAACATTACTTCCTGGGACCGCAACCTGCATTAGATGCCTGCTTTAGGTATCTCCACCTCACCACTCATAACTGAGCTGCAATTGCCTATTCTTTGATCCTCCCCATGATCTAGGGAACTCCTAGAGGCCACTGTTTTTTTCCTTTTCTGCTATCCATGGTGCTGAGCACAGAGTGGGCACCTGGTAAAACTGTGTAGCAGAAATGAGGGAATAGGTGAGGGGAGCAGGGAAAGAGAAAAAGGAAGAGAAGGGGAGACAGGGAGAGAGAGAAAAAGAGAATGTGGGAGATGAAGGGAGATACAAGAAAGAGACAAGGAGAGAGAAATAAAAAGGTTGAGAGTGAAGGAAAGGAAAAGGGGAGAGAGGAAAGGGAGAGAGAAGAGAACTAGGTCTGCCGCCCAGGAGGTGGAGCTGGGCTTCCCTGCATCTTCACCTGCCTCCTGGCCTCCTCTCCTCTCTCACTTCTCACCATCTCATGGTCACACCTCATCTAGTCCTAGTGTGTGGATCCAACAGAACAAAACCTTCTTACCCGTGAGAAATGCACAAGTCAGAGTCTCCCTTTTCTTTTCTCCCAGAACTATATTCTAGGATTTCCATCAACAATGTCAAAACCCTAATCTGAGGAGCAAGCTAAAGCCAGCAAGACCCCTGGTCTTGGGGGTCTCCTCATTCAAGTTTACTAAGCTCCTGCTAGTGCAGAGAGCCAGGAGGATGCTGTAGGTAACATGGGCTACAGAATGAATTGTTTTACAGAGCTTATTAAAAGTGCTTCCTTGGGGGAAATGCCCTTTTTCTGCTAGAGTAGGGGCTCCTGGTCTTGCTCTAAGGCCTCTTGTTTATGACATGTTCTGGAAAAGGGTTCTGGGTCTGGAATTTCCTACTAGACCAATGAGAGAGAAATTCACTTGGTTGCTAGAGGGCTGAGAATTGAATTTAAGTTTTTACTTAAAGTTTTGATTTTTAACTTGCAGCAACAGTACCTTGGGGAGCTTGTTTAAAATGAGCAGTTCTGGGTTCCAACCCCATAGACTCTTACTCAATGGGTTGGAGAGGGGTCTGGAATTCTGCCTCCTGCTTGCTTCTGATACAGGCTCTCAGGACCTTTAGGGAGAAGCCTGACAGAGGGAGGCTGTGGCCAACTCTCAATGCAGTTCGAACCCTTTGCTTGCTGACTTTGGTTCCACTATGAGCAGGAAAGAAGATGGTGAAACCTCCAGCCATACAGTTTCTGGAGAGGGGACACTGACCATATTTCACTTGGTGGCTAGCCCTTGGTGGGTTTGGAGTATCCAATTTAGGTCTTAATTTTGTTTCTTCCAGAACTTTTACTTCTTGCTAGGGTCTCCATTATTGGGAATTGGGCTACATTCCCATTCTTATTACCGTCTAAGGTGGCTCCACAAGATGAGAGACACCACTCCCTCCAGCGAGGACACAAATGGTGTTTTGTGAAATAACAACTGTGCACAGGGCTGGCTTCTTCCTGGGAAGCTACAGCCTAGGTAGCAAATTAGAAACTTTGTCAGAGAAGGTGGGTAGGAGGACAAGATGCTGAAGATCCCTCTGGTGGTCCATAAATGTGCATTGACAAGGGCGGACTGCAGAATGTCAGCTGAGTAGGGAAGAGGGGGGTGGCAGGGAAGGGTGGGAAGGTGAGTAAGGACAGCAGGAGCTAGAATCTCTGCTTCCTTTCCCATTTCAGCTACTGAGTAGCTGGGGGATGTGGTGTCAGCCTTCTGGCTCTCAGGGCTTCTGTTTGCTCTTACAAAAATGGAGAACATACTGCTGACTCCCTTGACCCCCACCCCATAGCTGCAATGTGAAGAGTAAATGCCATGACACATAGGGAAGCACCTTTAGAAACCCACGCAAAAGTCTTCCAGCCAGGGATTTCATACATTAACTTGAAGGGTGCAGAATCTGCCACCCCAAAATATGCTACTTTGGCACACAGATTATTTTGGGATAAAGGCCCTTTAAAAAAGCCAGCAGGTGCAAGAAAGGTGCTCTGACCCTCCCCGTTATCTTCCTGAAAGCAGGAGATAAACCCCCGTATGGAAGATGGCCTCCCTGTACCAGAAGGGAAAGAACATTCTTATCATCAAGGACAGGAAGTTGAGACCGAGAGAATTCTGTACAAACAGAACCTTGTTAAAATCATTCTTATCTTCCTTTAGCCTCCCCACACAGTTTACTTTTACACAATTGCCTCTTTTTGTTCGACCTGGTCTAAAAGCATTTATGTTTTGCCACTTCTTTGAGTCTTCATTTCCTTGTGAGGGCTTACAAAAAACTTTGATTAAATACATTTGCATGCTTTTCCCCTATTAATCTGTCATCAGTCAAATTCTCAGGCCCAGCTGAAAAACTAAGTGTGAAGAGAGAAGATTTTGCCTTCCCTACACATAATAAGCAGCACAATTGCCATGGAAGATTATGTCCTGTGACATTTCTAATGCCCGCATTTCCAGCCGCTACCTGTCCTTCCTTCCTATACGTTTCCAGGTGCTGTGTCTCTGCCTAGAAGGTCAGCTCACAGCTTCCATTGTCTCTCAGCCTAGAGTTCTTTTTTTCTACATTTGGCTTCTCAGAAGCAATCCATTTTTTGTTGTTGTTATTTTCTCATATTCTATACTCTTCTCCTTTCCGGCTTTGTTTCCCATATTCTAGAGATGGCTGCTCAATTGGTGAGTTCTTCAATAAATACCTTCTAAAAAATCATATGCCCTTCCACAGTCTATTCAGTCCGTTCTTTATTGCTTTATTTCTCTACAAAAACCAAGTGAGGCGACTCATCAAAGTGCAAGGCCTTGACTCCTGGGAAACCAGACAGATCATTCCTAAAAGGCACTGCTACCTCCAGTCTAGAATGGTCTAGACCATTCTCCCAACACATCTGCCAACCACATCTGCTCCTGCCACCCAGCCTCTTCTGTCTATCTATCTCAGGCCCCAGAGTATTCCACTTGCTCTTCCCTCCGTTCTCCAAGTAGCACCAAGGCTCCCTGGCCCCCTTCATCCATGTGGATCTCAGCTCAAATGTTTCCTCTTTAGAGAGTCTTCCCTTGATTTCCACATCTTACACAGCTCTCTCATTCGACATTCCTCTACCCTGCTTCATTTCTTCTTCAGAGCACTTTAACCGGTGATTCTCAAACCTAGCTGCAATTTAGAATCACTTGGAGAGCTGGGTAACTGCCTAGGTTCCCAAGCTCTAATCCCTGATTTAATTGGTTGTGATAGAGGAGCTGGCATTTTTTAAAAAAGCTCTCCAGGTAATTCTTATGTGGAATCAGGGTTGAGAAATTCTAGCTAAACATTGTTATATATTTGCTATTTGCCTCAACTATTAGAATAACCATAGATTGCAAATAAATAAAGGCCAAAAATTCCTTCCAAACCTGTATACCTGCCATTTATAATGTATCTTTGATGCGTCTCCCATCAAGAGATGGAGTACCCTTTACATCTGCGCTGGCCTTGTGTCTTGATTTTACCAGTAGAATGCTGAAACACAATACTGTAGAACGTCTGAGGGAGCCTACTGGAAAGAGAAGGGCTATGTGGAGTGGGGATAAGCTGTCTCTGCTGAGGCCCTTCGAACAACCAGCTGAGAGCTAGCACCACCTGCCAGCTGGGAGTCAGGCCTTCTTAGACCACCAGCCCCAGATAAGGCGCCACATAACTGCAGGTGCATGAATGCACCCAGGTGAAACCAATAGAAGACCAGCTCAGCTAATCCCAGCCCCAATTGCTGACCCACAGAATTGAAAGTAAATGGTTATAGCTTTAAGCCATTAGGTTTTGGTGCCACTTGCTATGTAGGAATAAACTGATATAGAATGTAGGTCTCATGAGGACAGAGACTCTGTGTGGTTTCGGGTTTGTTGTTTATTTGTTGTTGCTATTCTATCCCCATTCTGTAGGTCAGTGCCTACCAGAGCACATGGTAGGTTCTCAACCACTATTTTCTAAATAATTCAATTAAATATCTGATAAGCCTTTGCAAATAGCTGTTTTGCACTTGCTAAGAGTCTGGTTGGCATCATGGGAGACTTCTCTAAGTACTTAGAGTCAGCTAATTAGAAAGAATATGACTCCTTTTCTCTTACCCAAGAAATCTCTGAAACTGCTGCAGTGAAGCTTTCCTTTCTCAGTGGGTCATTTCATAAAAGGGTTGTTTAGCATAAATCTTTGCTGATTCAGGAAACCTTTTTTTCTAACTCTTCAGTTTAAACACTCCTTAGTTCAGAGATACTTCAGAAATTGACTACTTCCTTCAGTTCTCCCCTGAGAAGAGCACCAAGCTAGCCAGGGATGAGAGGACACCATTCTGAGCAGGTGGGTGGGATGGGAGTGGAGCTGAGGGCAGTGGAGTATAAGGCATTTGCAAACAACAACAACAACAAAACTGGCAAACTGGTGACTGACAGTGGTTTCATTTCAGTTTCTGTTATAAGAAGACTATATTTTGGTAATAAGCTCTACTCAAGCAAAAGGGCTGTCATTATAAGTCCCAGTGCAAAGAGAAACTGAGAGAGGGCTAATGGGGTGCAATGGGGTGGCCTAACCAAGAACTGTGTGCTGAGCTGGAGAGCTTTTTGAGTCCAGCTGTCTACAGCTGGGTTCTCCCTTAAGCAGACTCTGAAACTAAGATTTGGGTGATCCCAGGAAACACAAGTAGGGAAATGTGGAGGTGACATAAGAAAGGGAAAGAGAACAACAAAAGATGTGTTGATGAGCAGGTTACTGTGTGGGCAACTGGAGCTCAGTCCTGTCGGGGAGTCAGGCAGACAATGGAGAACACACTTCTGAGTTGTCCTGCTCCAGGAGGTAAGGAGGCTGGCATAGACATCCACCTATTTTGGGCTTGCTCTATGTAGGAGCCTTGCCTACTCCTGCAGTCAGAGCAAGCACTTAGAACAGGAAGGAACAACAGTGAGTACATAAACCATGAGGGGAGAAGTGACAGTGTCTGCTATAATGGCCAGTAGTTTGCAAAAGAGCCCATCCCAAGCCATGCAGCTCCTGAAGGGAACCGGGTAGCTGGTGGGTGGGATCTGCCAGGCCCTGGAAGCCTGTCTAGGCATTTGTCCCAGACTTCCCCACAATGGCCACTCTCCCTCTCAAGATACCGCTCCTTCCTAAGGGTGCTTGTCTCCAGATCTTAGAGCTTTCTTAGGGTGGCTTCCCCTGAGTGGATGGCAGAAGGAAGTAATGGCAATGTCATATTTGATACGACAGCCAATGCTTATTGAATGCCACTTATGTGCTGGACAAGGATTATATCATTTCATTCTCAACAATGCTGTGAGAGATATTGTCATGAAACATCTTTTGTATCTGATAGAACAGGCACAGGGGGGTGAAATAATTTTCCCAAATCACACAGTTAGATGTAAGAGTTGAAATCCTAGCTCTGTCCTTCGATACCTCCACACCCTTGACCATTACCCTTGACCACTACTCCCTATAATAGGGAAAATTATAAAGGATTTATGGGCAGATACAAATTGTATCCTGGGATGGTCTCTGAATCGCTAGATGACTTTGGATAAGTCATTCAACTTTTTTTGTTTGTTTGTTTTGAGACAGGGTCTTGCTGTGTCACCCAGGATGGTATGCAGTGGCATGATCTTGGCTCACTGCAACCTCTGCCTCCCAGGCTCAGCTGATCCTTCCACCTCAGCCTCCCAAGTAGCTGGCACTATAGGCATGCACTACCATGCCCAGTTAATTTTTGTAGAGATGGGGTTTTGCCACGTTGGCCAGGCTGGTCTCGAACTCCTGGGCTCAAGTGATCTGTCCACCTTGGCCTCCCAAAGTGCTGGGATTACAGGCGTCAGCCACTGTGCCCGGCCTCAATCATTCAACTTTGAAGCTTATTTAACTTTGAGACTTATTTTTCTCATCTGTAAAATGGACCTAAGGACCTATCCTAATGGGGTATGTGTGAGGAGGAAATGGAATTGTGTGTTTTGGTGGCTGGCACTTAGGAGGGCTCCACAAAAGTGTGCTCTTTGCATCCGCCTATGAACTCTGCCTTCCTTCCAGGTGACATCTTTCTCATTCTTTTCTGTGGTGCTCAGAGGACACCCCCAGGCTTGCCTTTGTCTTGTGCTGCTTTTGGGGGAGTTTTGATCCAAGAATTTCTTTAGATCATACATCCTAGCTGGGTGGTGAGCTCCCTGAGGCAGGGAACTAAATTTGGCCTTTTATTATCATTGTCCTTGTATTCTCTAGAATATGGGTTTAGTGCTGGCACCCAGTTAATGCTTGATAATGATTATCGATGTTTGTTCTTGTTAATAAGAAAAATAAGAAATATTTTGAAAACAGAAAAATGTACAGACAACCTGATTCCAGTATCTCTGGAGGGCATTTTCCATCCGTGCTGAGTGTCTTTCTGGTCCTCAACCTAAGTATTTGAGGCTTCTGATAAATGGTAAGGATCTCTGTCACCAAGTTGGACTCTTGTTGTACATTCTAGCAGCTTTCACATCTGTCTAGCATGTACGAGTGTTGCCAATTCTTGCGGGGCCAGCATCTTCAACATTTGGGTCACTGCAATGATAGTAGCAACATTTATTAGGCACTCTCCGTGGTACACACTTTATAGATACTGCCTTGCTGAATGTATACCTGAAATATAACATGTAGACAGTATCATTACATTTGAAGAAACTCAGTCACAGAGAGGATAAATAATTTGCCCAAAGCCACATGGCTTGAAGAGGGTAGAGCTTGGATTTGAAATATATCTCTCTCATAGTTTCTTCATGGACTCTGTTGATATTGGACTCTGTAACTCTTATCCATTCTTCTATAACTCCTCTCTGGTGGGCAATACATTCAATCTTATAGTTAAAATGAGATTTGCAGAGCTGGTAGATATATAATCTTAGGACAACTTTCAAGATTTTAGCTCAGAACCACTGAGTCAGCCATTAACTGACATTATGGTAAATAGTTACTCATTTATTTGCTCATTATCTTTCTCTATTTACTGGAATGTAAGCTCCAAAAAATTTCTTTTGTTCCCTGCTATATCTCTCTGTATATAACAGTGCCTACGATGTAGTAGGTGCTCAATAAATATTTGTTAAATGAATGCATCCATTATATGCTAATTTAATAGTTTCATTATGAGAGCAGCCATCTCATTTCTAAGCTATTTGGAGGCACTTCACTCCTTTCTGCCGCCTCTCCACAAACACACATCACCACTACATTTTATCCTCATGAGACTTATACTTAACTGGTCAGAGGACACATATGAAACCATAAAGCACTTTAGGTAACCCACATAAAAGCAGGGTCCTTATATGTTCTGGACTCTATGGAGTTAGGATCTGAGAACCCAGTCTAACACATAAACATTACAAAAGGAAGCTCAATTTTTACATATGTATCTTTAAGAACATAAAAGTTGATAAAATTCATAACCTATAAGCCATGTTTCTGATAAGCACCTTTCCTCTCCTCCTTCTTTTCCACCTGCTATTACTCTGGTATCGCTAAAAGTCTTTCTCAATGTCCAACCTATTTGACATTTCTCTCCTCTTCCTCCTTCATAACCCCCAGGCCTATGTTAGGTGGACTGCCTGAGCCTAGTTGCCTAAGTCTACTGATCTTCCCTCCAGTTTTTCTAGTATGCTATCACTTGCTAGCTGTGTAACCTTGAGTGTGTTACATAGATGGTGCCTCACCTTTCTTGTATATAAGGAGGGCATTTACTCCTATGGGGAAGGGCCTATGAAGATTAATGAGCTCATACTTATAAGATGCTTCCAACAGTGCCTGGTACACAGGAAGTGCTTAATAACCTTAACTGCTAGTGGTAGTAGTAGTGGTCGTAGTATTCTTAGTAATATTATCATCTGATTGTACACCACTAAGTACTGGAGAATCAACCAACTAAAATGGGAAGTCTAGAGACAGCAAAGAGAAGGGATTAATCTGCTGCTGCACAGTGAAATGTCTCTTTTTTGTTGTGTATGTGTATGGGAGAGTTGGGTAGAGGGAAAGGTGGAAGCCTTATTACAAAATCCTGCACACATAGACACCAGGTACTACAAGAATTTAGGTACTAGAAGATTTCTCTTCTCTCTGTACTGTAGCTCCTGGTATCTATTTTCAGTTTTGTCTATTCTTTCAAAAGAGGCTTTTTGGACCACCTATCTTCAAATATTTTAAATCTTCATTGAATTCTGTCCTGAGACTCTCTGCTTACATGCCCTGACCTTCTTTTTTGATTTTCTTCCTCTGTTTTTATAGCTTTTCTGCTGATCACAGGGTTAAGTCTGTTAGACATTCTGAAGGTCTCTTCTTGGCAATATTCTCTCCAGGTGACACCCAAAACATCATTGTAAGCTCTACATGGCATTGGGGAAAGGTAGGATGAGGCCTAATCCAGGCTGTTTAATTTTCACCCATGGCCCACATTCTACCAGTGACAGGGCACAGGGCAAACCTCATAGAAGTAATCACTGCAACAGGGGCAGCTGCCCATATCCACTGTCCTCCACCCACACTGGTGATGCCCACCAGAGACTGGTGTGAATTCTGTGTGCATAGGGAGACAGGACCAAGAGAGCCAATTTCATTTGAACCCAGGGTGGAGACCAGGTGAATCTCAATTTTGAAAGGACTTTAAGGCAGTTTTTCTGGGCTCTGATTCTAATTTGCTAATTGGAAGCAATTCAGTAGGATGTAGCATTTCTGGTTTAAAAGATATACTCAGAAGAGGGGCTAGGATGTTTGTGTTTTGCGCCTTGAATATCTGTTTTCTCTGTTTATAGGATTTCTTTTTCCAATCATATTTTTCTCATAACACAAATGCAGTCTGATTTAGAAAGGAGGGGTCCTTATTTTAAAAACCCAAACTCACAAATAAGATAAAATTGTGAAGTTTTGATTTGCTTCTATATTTTATTCTAAATTTTAAAAAGGAACTTTTAAGGTTGCAAATTCTCTTTCTGGGCACCTTACTCCTTTTTGAAGTCTTATAGGAGTTAGGGTTGTGTGGAGGAAAGAGGGAGAGAGAAACTGAAATCTAAGGCTGTGGGTTGGAACCACAGCCAGCAGAAGCTCAAAATGAAGTTAAGGTGGAAGTGTGTCTGAATTTTAACTTAATGCAAAGGGAAAACACAGTGGATTCACAGGGAGAATTTAATACACATTCTTGTTAATCTTTCAAAGAGAGGCTGAAATTCATTCACTGATTCAAAAATAGGTATTGAATGTCAGCTATCTGTAACGTCCCCTTGAAGGTGTTAATGACCTGGCAATACATAAAACAGGCAAAACTCTACCCCCATCAAGTTTACATTCTAGGGTATATAGAGACACACACATATGAAAGGATCTACAAAAAACATCTATACACTTCAAAGAAGCAGCACAAGAAAGACTACCTGGTTCCCACTTTCCAAATGAGGACACAGAACGTTTACCTGAAAAGAACCTTCTGGTCCCTTCTCAGTCAAACCCTTCTGTACGTCCCCAGGCCCAAAGGTCATCCTGATGAGTGGAGGAATCATGCCCTTGCTCACCTTATAGTGTCACAACCTATACACCCAACATGTGATGTTATTTCATTTAGTTTTTCATTTTTCAGTATCACATAAAGGGACAGATGACTTGCATTCTCTTGTGACTTCTGTGGCTCTATATTATGTTTTGGGGTTGATCTTCAGAGATGCCTGCATTTGGAGTTCACACATTGTCCCTACTGGGTAGGATTACATGTATGACTATCCCACACTTTATGTGTCCATTCTATTTTTGATATATTTGGGTTGTTCCATGTAAAAAATATATCATGATCAAGCTTTGTTGATCATTCTTAAAACTGTCTCTCTCCAGGTTCTCATATGCAAGAGTTCCTGCAGGAATAGAATTTCTGGGTCTTTTTCCATCTACTTTCTAACTTTCTAGAGGACAGAACCTCTTCTCTCAGATGCCTTTTGTTGCCTTTTACAGAGTGGATGGTAAAAGTTGGTTTAAGGGACAAACTAAAAGGAACCTGGTTAATGGTGAATTTCATGAGTTTCTGATTCAATTTTGCTTTGGCAAGAAGAAATAAAATGCAAGTTTAGTCATCCATGGATTTCAATTTCTAAATAAGAGGAAAGATTTCTGAAGAAGAGAATATGAAAGGAACAGTTCTTCAAAATGGGTAGAATAAACCTAAGTCACTGTGGCATCACGAAAGAACATCAGGCTGCAAACTCCATGAAGGCTGGGACTAGGTGTTCTCACAGGTGGCAGCAATAATGAGAACAATGTCCATATCCAGTATGGGTTAGCAATTAAGGGGATGTGTAAGAGGCCTGCTCCCATGCCCACCGTGCAGTAAGAGATGTGTCCAGTCTTATTTCCTCCCCTGCATTTCAGCTCTTCCACTGACAAGCTCTGCTACCTTTAATGGCTTGCTTGGTCTCCCTGTAACTCAGTTTCTTCATCTGTGAAATCCCATTCATGAAAGCAATCCAAAGAGCCAGGTGTCACAGTTTAAAGAGGAAATGAAGTTCCAGCTATTTCAGAGTGATTGTCAGTGATGGGAAGCTGGGAGAATCAGCAAACCAGCAGAAGGAAAATGTATCTCTTGCTGACATGTCAGCATAGGCTGTGAGGACAGACAAGGGGCAGATCAACATACAGCATCAACCATCTTATCACTTATAGGCTACTTTAAAAAGATCTTCACATTTCTTTGAGTCAAGAACAGCCAGACCAAGTGGTTGTTTCCATCCTGGTGCCTGGATGGAGGGCCCCAGAGTCCCTTAGGCCTTGGGTACTGGGCTGAGATTTCTGGCAACAGCAGTGGTAACAGACTGCAGGTTTCAGGCAGCTCAGAGGCAACCTACGCTAAAACCATCAGTGTAGCCAGATAATAAGGAAGGGATTACATGGATTGATGAGGCCAAGGGAAGGATTCTGGCAGAACAAAGTGGGATCTAGAGGCCTTGCTAGGCCATGCAGAGAATTTCAAATTCATGATCCAGGTCAAATGGAGCTGCCAAGGTTTTCTGTTGCTATGGCTCCTGCCAGTAAAGAGGAATAACCCTGGCTTACTTGCTGCCTATGCCCAGTAGAGTAATCCATTCTGAGATGCAGCATCGATGAACTCCAAAGCCCCCATTGCCCTTGCAGAGAGAGGCCAGCAAATCCTTTCTTTTTCCAGGGGAATTGTGTCCCTGGCATCTCATGGTAGGTGCCATTCACTGACCAGGCTATCACGAGGGCTGTGTGTTGGCTCAGAGGATTCTTGCCCACTGGAAGCTCAGAGGATGGGTCAGAAAAGCACTCTTAGCCTCAGAATATCTTGGGAGCTTCACAGATGGGGCATCTTGGCCTTACAGTTGCTCTTTAGACATTGGCTTCATTTGGAATAAGCAACAGAAAAGCTTGGCTTTCAAAGGGCAGCCAAGACATGGCAGAGAGGCTCTCCAGATGGTGGCCGAACAATCAGCAGCAATCCCAGCATGGGCTCTGGTGGCTCAATTTGCTTAGATATACCAGATGACAAGGAACTAAGAACCCCAATCTTCTGTTGCCTGAGATCTCTGGAAAGTTTGGTAGGATAGAGAAGCTGCTGCTTCAGAGCTTTTTGAGGCTGCTATGGAGAGAATGGGTCAATGCTTCTTCAGATTGTTCAATGAAGTTTACATGCTATTTACAGGAAAAAAAAACATCTAAAAAGGTGAGAGGAAGCACTCTTGCTCTGCATCAAAGTCTCCTTGGCCTTCAGGCCTGCTATGGTATTTAGCTCTCTCACCCCCAGGCCTCCACAGGACTTGATGGTCCCAGTCTGGAACTGTTTTTCCCTAACCTCTCCTCAGCTGTGTGTCATTCTTGTGGACCTCAATACCCAAACTCCCAAACTTTTTTCCTCTGGGAAATGGTCCTCCAGCGTTGCCCTGAGGCCTCTCCTATAGGAGTAGGTAATACACACTTGGGATCTTTAGCTATGTGTGCCTGACCTAGGGAAGTGAGACATATAGGAGTAGGTAATACACACTTGGGATCTTTAGCTATGTGTGCCTGACCTAGGGAAGTGAGACAACAGCAGGGAGAAAGTGGGCCGTGATCCTGAGGATTAGAGAGTGGTGAGAATTCTCATTCTGCCACTTACTAACCATGCATTTTGGGCAAGTCACTGAACGATAAACAAGAAAAAGACTCAAGTGCTTCATTGATTATTGTGAGGATTTAAATATATTTTTTGGGGAGAAAATGGAAGGGAAGAGATGGGGAGAGAGAACAAGCTAAGCACAGTGCCTAAATGCCTACTGAGTAGTAAGTGCTTGATAAGAAGGAGCTGTTATTATTATGACAGGAAAATGCTCATGTGCACAAACACTTTTTTGTTGTTGTTACAAAATTTTAAATGATTTCAATAGAATGCTAGGTTAAAAGATCTGATCACAGATCATCAGATCCAGTCACGTTATGTTTTAAATTAGGAAAGTGAAACTAAGCCCCAGGAGAAGTGACCTCCCTGTGGTCACCTAGTCACCTAGGGGCAGAGCCACTGCTGAGAACTAGAGCTCCTGACCCCAACGCCCTGTCTCCCTGGCTGTTTGCCTCAGAAGGAGTCAAACAGACCTCATGGTATCACCTACCGTCTGGTAAATGAGAGTGGCTGGCAAGAGATCTCCTTACATTGAAGGGAACAGAAAATTGCTCAATTCATTTCCTTGTAGACAGTGGTGAAAATCTCATTCAGGAGAAAAATGGGAGTGTGTGGATGATCAATCGATGTCATCCCAATGTACCTAACAACCCTCAACAGACAGCCTTGGGGTAATGAGCTATCAGCTCTGTTGAGCTCTGGTTGTGCTGGACATCTTCTGTTTGTTGCTCCAGAACTGCTCTCAACCTTCTCCACCCTGCTCCCTGTCCTTGGAGGCTGACCAATGTGGACCATGCCAACAGGCTTCCTGGCCCCTGGGATCTGGTTTGGTTCAATCAAACAGGAGCCCTGGCAGGACATCAAAGAGAGGAAGGGAAATGAGAATGGAGAATTACATTCCTTTTCCCTCCCTGCGAGGTTACCTGTGGCTGGCCATGTCCCTCAACACAAGGTCATTGCCCCTCACATGAGAATCTGGGTGTTCTTGATGACTCTCTTCTTCAGGATTCCCACAACTCTTCCTCCCCTTGTCCTTTTGGGCTTAGGGGTGATGATGTCTCTGCTCTTATTAACCCTGGGATATTATCATCCCTTGCGGCTTCCCTATATGCTATCCACACCTTGTAAATAAACTATCCATGAATTATCCTGAGTATACTATCTGCTTACTTTTGGAATTCTGATTTATATACCAGTCATCAACTTATCTTAAACCAAGATCCAGCTATAGGCCCCCAGGAGATGACCTGTGTTGGCTAGGGAAAGAGTTCCATATCAAATAATCCTGTCTTTCTGAATATGCCCGCTTTCTTGCTATATCTCCCTTATTTAGCCCTTCTTAAGGACTTTGCTGATGGTGGCAATGGAGTCTGACTCTTCCATGTTGTGAGAGAAATTCATGTGTTATAAATGGCAGGTAAAGGTGAAAAGAGAGGGGCCTACCTCAGTCTCTATTTATCTCGTGAACTTTATGGGGCCTCTTTTGGTTTTCTGACCTAAGCTGAGCTTCAGAAAAGCAACCTGAAAAGCCATTGATTGTAGTAGTTTTATAACTAATTCTAACCCTAAATCCATTTTCAATAGTTACGAAAACTGACTTCTTGAGATATGGAGATAGGATTAGTTGAAATATAAACCCTTATTAGAGTTTATGGTAAGTCTAGGAGCCAATCTCATGTTTACAATCCTTGAAATTTTCTTACTCTACATTTTCCTGTTTTGTCTTACAATAAAAATTAGATAGTAAGCTCTCTGGGGACAGAAAATATATTTTTGTAAAATTAATTTTTTTAAATTTACAGTCACTAAAGTCAGGCACTAAACTGGACATGGAAGATGCAATGGTTACTAAGAAAGATGTGATCACTGTAATCAAAGAACATATGGTGTAGCCCTGGGTAAATTATGGCTGCAAGCCAACTGCCTGTTTTGTCAATAAAGTTTAATTGGAACACAGACATGACCATTTGTTTATATAATTTGCTTTCTGGCTACAAGGCCAAGTTGAGTAGTTGCAACAGAGATTTACTATCTGTAATATTTACTACCTAACCCTTCACAGCAAGTTTGCTGACTCCTGGTCTAGGCATATGCCTTCCCATTACCTGGCACAGCACTAGGGACAATTTTTTTTTTTCTACAAACAGATTATATTTTCTACAGTTTTACAGTTAGATCAACAGATTATTTGCAGCTGAAAAGTATCATCACTCTCCTGTTAGTAGGAGACAATCGTTAGTGGATTATTTTTAATCTTTACATCTTAAATAATTTGCTGAAATTTCTGGATGCTGTTGACATAAAAACAATTTTTTTCTTGTTTTTTTGGTGGATCAGTGTGAATTCAATACACCTGTGCAACTGTGCAGAAGTTTCAAAGGGGGAAATATTCTGATGCAGAGGGTAGAAGGAAAGGATTGAATAGAACCTTGATTGCTCCCATTCCAGGATGTGTCATCTGGTTTTCTGCTGCTCTTAGCCTTCTCTAAATGCACTTCTGCTGTGAATTTCTTTCTAACTTTTTGCTCATAAATGTGTGAAGAAAATCAATAGGCTCAGAAATCTGTTTTAACCATTTCCCTCTTGGTATTTAACAGCAAGTGGGTAGGGCAACATTGTAAATATTCTAGGGAAGAGAAAAAAGTTGACAATTGCTACTTTGGTTTACTCAGTGTCTAAAGCTGGCTTATATGTACTCTTTTGGGCCACAAATGCAAAATATTGTGAATAGAAATCACTCCAATCAAGGGTAGCCTTATAATCTTTGGTTATCTCAGTTTATTTGCGTGATCCATTCAATGTGGAAGAAATTCACAAAGGCCCTATGTTCTAGGCACTGTGATCATCCTAAGAACATGTAGCAATGATGTAGCCCACAATACCTTATTCAGAGGATTTACAATCTATCTAGTAGAGAAGGGTAAAAAAAGGGCTACATATATATAAAACAGCAGTGTGATTTAATTGCCATACATAGTTTAAGAGGACTGAAAGGTCCAGAGGAAGACAGAATTAATGAGAGATGGAAATAATGCAGGAAATGTTTTGGTATTGGACTAAGGCCTTGGAATAAGAAGAGAGGAGGATATTCCAGGAGATGTTAACAGTATAAGCAAAGGTAAGGACTTAGGTTGTGCAATTACATGTGGGTGGATTATGGAAAACCCACTGCTTGGTAAAGAGGTAGGAAAAGTCATCCAGGATCTTAAACATTCGTGTAAAAAGTCTGGACTTAAGTTTGTAGGCAATAGGGAATCATTATATTTCTGAGGACAGGATTGGCATGCTTGAAGCTTCTCTGTAAGACTGTGATGGTAGCTATCACAATGATATAATTGATTGGGGGATGAGAAATTGGAGGTGTGGAGGCCACTTAGATGGGGATACTCCAGGTGAGGCTAAATACTTACAATACTCCAGGTGGAGGTAAACGTGGTTATAGGCATGGACTTCCTATGGAGATACATGAGGCAGGCTTGGCACTTGTCAGAATATGAGTGAAAAGGAGATGATGGAGATGATGGTGACTTAGTGTCTAATTATGAAGCAAGGGCTTCAATATAGAGAGAAATGCAATAGTACGTATCCCAATTCTGATTGCAGCCAAGATGGACCTACTAATCATGTTGCATCAGTCCAAAACAAAACATATTTCTAGACCTTCTATACTGATCTATGTCTGTTAGGCCCCAACTTAAGAATGCCCCTCCTCCAAGGATAATTTTTCAGACATGGAAACAGGTCTTGTTTATATTTGTGAATCAATTACAATGTGAGAAATTGTAGAAAAATTGTAGGAAAAAGCCAGTATCTTTTATGCTTTTGTTATTCACTAAATATTCTAGTACAGTACTAGGCATACAGTAAGTGATGATACTATACGAGTGCAGAATAATTTATCCTGATAGACAACCTCTGAAACATTAGGTCATGCACACATCAAAGCTAACTGCCTGGAATGATGAGCTCTGGACAGAAGAGGTCCTAACCAGATATCCATTAGGTCCATCCAGATGTATGTCAGGAGAGTTATTTTAAAAGGCCCCAAATTAAGAGTCATTACAATAGTAAAGAGTGATTTTCAGGGGACTAGGAATGGTGCTGCCTAGATGGGCTGTTGCAATGATGACTTTCAGGCATTTTGGGCAGGAGTGAATATGTTGGGCAGAGTTGCATGATGACAGAATTGAGACAGAATTGACACATATAAGACCAATAAGACCAATTCTGGTTGATTTTAATCAAAGGGGAGGAATTTTTATGTCCTTGGGTTAATGGGAGAACAATGTGGAACATTAAAGAGTGATAGAAAATGTTAACTAGGGCTCTTTTCTCAAGATGCTCTTGGGGGCTCCTTAAAAGATTGTGACTGAGGATGAGGAAACCTTCCACAATTAAGTCTTTTCCAACACTGTCTGTGAGATTGAAGCTGCTTCACACACATACAAAAGTTTGCTTTCACTTGTGGGATACAAACTATATAAACACTTACGTCCCTTCAGCACACATATCACTTAATGTTAAAATATTAGAAGCATTCCTATTAAAATCCAGAGCAAGAGAATTATGGCCGTTATGATCGCTACTATTCAACATAATAATGGAGGTCCTAGATAGTGCAATAAGATATGGAAAATAAGTAATGGCCACTAACAAGAAAGAGATACTGTCAATATCATTTGGATTTATATAAAAAATCTAAGTAGTTTGTCAGGCAGTCTTCCTTGAATTTCCTATTTGAACTCTTAAGAAAATTCAGCAACATGGCAGATTCTATCTTCCTATCTATCATCTATCTATCTATACAACAGTGATAGCTATAAAATGTTCTAATATGAATATGAAGAAAACCATAACATTTACTGAGAGGTGTAAAATAAGTATGGTATATTTATGGTTGAGAAGACTCAATAAATCCTTCATAAATCTAAGTTCAGTGCAATCCTAATCAAATTTCTATGGAACCTATCAAATTGATTCTCAAATTGTTACAGAATAGAAAATATATAAGAAAAATCAATTTTTAGAAAAAATGATGGGGACATGTCTTATTAGGCAACAAAATATACTAGAAAGCTATAGTGATGAATAGGACATGAATAGGAAATAAAATAGTTAAAAAAAAATCAGTAGAAGTCAGAAGAATCTGAAGATAAACCAGATATAAATGCACATGAGAAATAACATTTTCTGTAATTGAAGAACGAGCTGGAGGCAACTGGGTAGCCATCTGAGAAAAAAAATTAAGTTAGATCCATATTTAAAACAGTCTACAAAATAAATTCCAGATAAGGTAAAGATAAAACCACTTATTTTTTAAAGGTGAAAAGCATTATTATAAAATAAGAAAATATAGAAAAAAATTAGAAATAAATATTGGAGCAGGAAGATTTTAAGTTAGACAAAGAAGTTGATTAATTTGACTCTATATAAATTATCTGACAAAAGATATCAAGTTTAAAGGCAATAACATATGTTGCAACTATTTTCTTTCACTCTAGTAGATTGAAATATTTAGTTTCCGTTATCAATAAGGAAAAAGATAGAGAAAGGAATATGAGCAGGCTATTTACAGAATAAGAAATGCAAATGGCCAATAACATATAAAAAGATGCAAAACTTCACTAATAATCAGAGAAATATAAAATAAACAGTGAAAAATCAGTTTTTCCCCCATAAATATGGAAGATGGGGAAGAAGAAGAAGGAAAATGAAAGATGATGATGATGAAAGGTTCTATTTACTGTTGGTGCTGATATTGATAACAGGCTCTTCTGGCAAAAAATTTCAATGTTTATCAAAATGTGGTATGCATAGCCTCTTACTTAGCAATTCTTAATATAAGCATTTTTCCTAAAAAGTATTTCCATGTGTACAGAAAGAATAATCATTGCAATGTTGCATGTTATAGTGACAAACTGAACACAACAAAATGTCTGTTAGTAAGGTACAGTTAAATGAAATATACCACATCTATACTATGAAATATTATGCAACAATGAAAAAGAATGAGATAATCTGTATTCATTAAAATAGAAAGATCTCTAAGATATATTTCATTTGTAAAAAAAAAAGCGATTTGCAAAACAATATTCGATATAATCCCATTTGTGTAAAACAAGCAAACAAAACAAAAATATATAATTCTAAATTTAAACACATATATAGAACAAAATCCAGACATATGTATAGCAAACTGCATAGAGTTGTTATATCTAGAGAGCACTGTGAAATTTGTGTGGCAAAAGGGATCTTTCTTGTAGGATGATTTGTTTGAATTTGTATAAGAATGTACAAATTAATTATATCCTTAAAAATAATAAATATAACTAAAAAATGAAAACAAACCAAAATTCAAGCACATAGGATTATGGCTCATGCTTAAAGGAGTTTGATCTAAGTATTTTTTTTTTTACATTATGTAATTGTACATTCCTCCTTCCCAGTGGACTTCTTATTTCCCTTTTAGGATTTATCCTTGGAAATGTCAATGCCAGAGACCCATCCGTTAGCTAATTAGGCACATTTCTGAGTATACAATTACTTTTAGGCATAGCAGATGTTGCATCTCATGTCCAAACCTTGGCTAATGTGTAGATCATTAACTCGGGTCTGACTCACATTAAATTTTGTGAAGATATGAGGGCCTCTTCTTTTATTTGTTTAATAAAGAGCTAAAAATTTCAGCTCCTTAGTGATGTAAATTTATTAGCTTGCATTAGCATTTCTCTAGATTTTTACATTATCCTGAGTTCTCTATATAATATTGATCATATCACTGACTAGAATCCAGGCTTTAGCCATAAACAGATAAGAATTGGACTTTCAATCATATAATCAAACAAAGCTAGAATGGATATACAAATAAAACTATTTTTGCTTAGCATTCCATTTTTCTCTGCAAAACAGGAAAGTTGTGAAAAATCAATCACGGCACAGTTTTGCTGAAGGGAATGCTATTTTTATAATGATGTCTAGTTTCAAACATCTTGTTGGGTCACCTTCTAATTTCCATTTCTATGGACTTCTTCATCAGAACTAGTAAACAGGGCACCAACTATGTTGAGGCCTTTGCTTTAGATAAATCTGGATTTTGAATTTTAAAACAAAGGAAAAGAAGGTCAAGCCAACTGCTTGAATGTGCCACTTTCCTGTGCCTGGCACTGGCTTCCACCAGTTGTCTTGTTCAACAAATACCAGTGAGCACCTACTAGGTCCCAGGCAGAACACTAGGACCTGGGATATAGAAATCGGTCCAACAAAATCTTCCCCTTGTGCTGCTCACAGCCTTGTCATCACAAAGATCGATTAGAGAGAGGATGACTGAGCTGCATGGACCACTCTACTCACTCAACCCTTATGTGTTTTAAGGTCTTTGGTGTGGGGCACTGTGCTCACCCTGGGGACACAGCAGCATCCTACAAGACTCTCTTGCCCCTTTTGGACTTACAGTCTGCAGGGGATAAAAGACAAAATGTGAAACATGTTGTGATGGCAATAGAAATATGGCAACCTAGGAGGGACCTACTAGGCTTAGCAAATCTGTCCCTGAGGGGATCAGAAAAGGCTTCTTTGAGAACAGGGTTTTAAGCCATGTGATGCTTGCAGGATGAGTAAAAGTTTGTAACTAAGGGATGAGGGGTAGAAGAATTATAAATGGGATAAGCCTATGCCAGATACGGTGATGGGTACCTGGGGTCCCAGCCTACAAAGGGCTTACTTTCCTGTCTCCGTCTCTTCCTCAACCTGCTTAGAATCCTACAGGATCTCCTCTCCCTTCACCTCAAGCCATGACCCCTGACTCTTAAACCCAATCCACACAGGCCCCCTCAACCCCTAGTGCAGCAACAGCCCCTGGATGCTCTTCTTGGTCTCCCCATTTCTACTCTGAGTGACTCCATCCTCCTCCCTCACCCTATCACCATCCAAATGACAGCAAAGTAACTGACATCACTGCATTTGGGCAGTTCCTCTTTTTCAGCTGTCCTTTTACGTGCAAAACCATGGCCTTGTAAAAAAGTACAGGGTACTGATCTTCTTGAGGTTGCCCTGGGACTCTAAATCATCCTAATATCCCCACTTGCTGTCCTTGCTTTCAGTAATAACGAGTCAGGAAAACACACCCTCAGTGTACTTTTTTCTCCTGTGGTCTAATTAATAGACACTTTCCAATTTGCAAATGAATTTGGTATAATCTGCACTTCTTAAGGGCTTCACATCACTGGGGAAAGCTTCTGCGTTTATTGTAATAAACTGTCATAGTGAATAGCATTTATTATAAGTTTCCCAGAATCTCTAAATGATGAGCAGACCTCCCAGCTACCTCTGCCACCCTCACTCCCTCCCCTAATTAAAAGCATATAGATGTGTGTATAGATGCGAGGATTTGGTACCTGCTTTATAATTATCCAGGAACATGACTCAGCTATTTTGGAAGCTATTTTGGAATCCCACGGGGGAGGGATTGGAGGGTATGCAGAGTAGAAGATTTGCCCTTGTCAGAGAAAGAGAGGAGAGAGAAGAGGGGATAGGAATCTCTGATCTCTCCTTCCTCTGAATACTAGGAACTCACTGGGCAATTGTTTTGTGTAGTTTTTTTTTTTTTTCTTTTGTGTCTAGTAAACATTAAGCTCTTACAGGTTGGTGGTAGTACTGTATACCCCCAAGTTGTGCCCAAATCATATCAAGCATAAAGCCTCGCAAATAGTGTACTAGTGAACAATTGTTGTCCATGATGTTAGGAAAAGTAAAGAGAAAATTCTTAAGTAAAAGAGGCAGAAGTATATGTGGAAGGGAAAGTCAAGGACTGGCGCTGACAACTTATATCTTCCAAAATGTGTCAGAATATTTCTGTTTAAAATAAATAGTTAGGCTGGGTACAGTGGCTCATGCCTGTAATCCCAGCACTTTGGGAGGCCGAGGCAGGCAGATCACAAGGTCAATAGATTGAGACCATCCTGGCCAACATGGTGAAACCCCATCTCTACTAAAAATGCAAAAATTAGCTGGGCATGGTGGCGTGTGCCTGTAGTCCCAGCTACTCAGGAGGCTGAGGCAGGAGAATCCTTGAACCTGGGAGGTGAAGGTTGCAGTGAGCCAAGATCGCACCACACTGTACTCCAGCCTGGCAACAGAGTGAGACTCCGTCTCAAAAAATAAATAAATAAAAAAAAAATAATAAAAATAAATAGTTAATATTTTTCACCTGTAATTTAACAAAGGGAAAAGGTAGGGAGATATTAACCTAAATGTTGATGTGGACAGAAGCACTATGGGATAGGCACTCTGACTCCCAACTGTGAGCACACATGGATATTATTTAACTTTATTTTAGGTTCGGAGGGTACATATGCAGGTTTGTTACATGGGTAAATTGTCCCTGAAGTTTGGTGTATAAATGATCCTGTCACCCAGGTAGTGAGCATAATACCCAATAGGTAGATTTTCAACCCTCACCTCCCTCTAGAAGTCCCCAGTACCTATTGTTCCTATCTTTATGACTGTGTGTAGTCAATGTTTAGCTCTCACTTATAAGTGAGAATATGCAGTGTTTGCTGTTCTGTTCCTGTGTTAGTTTTCTTAGAATAATGGCCTCTAGGTGCATCCATGTGGCTGCAAAGGAAATAATTTTGTTCTTTTTTATGGCTGCATAGTATTCCATACTGTATATGTACCACGTTTTCTTTATCCAGTCCACTGGTGATGGGCACCTACCTAGGTTGATTCCATGTCTTGCTGTTGTAACACTGCTTTAGGGGAGGGGGAGGTAGAGAATGGCAATTAAATCATATTAAATTGTTTATGTTCTTTGACCTAGGAATTCCATTTCTAAGATTTATGCTAAGGAAATATTTATTTAATATTAGTAGTGAGAAAGTATGAGCAGTCATAAAATATTTTTTCTCAATATTATTTGTAACAGACAAAATTAGAAACAACCTAAATGTCCAACTGTGTGGGAATAAACCAGGGAATATCCACTTGATTATAAATTGTGTAGCAGAGAGGGATTAATAGCCCCCACGGAGGAGGGATTCCACAACCACCCATTCTAGATTACATGGCCTGAGTAGAGTTGCTTTCCTGCTTATGTTTATCTGTAAAACGGGTATAAAAACTGTTGCCTCATAAGGTCATCATGGTATCTACTGAAGGCTAGCACTGTGGCTGAAATATGGTGGACATTTAATATATGAGAGCTACTACTATAGAGCTACTAAATATTCATGAAATCTGTGTGAAAACAAGGAGAAAGGCTTATGCTATCTTAAAGGTAAAACAACATAGCATTTCACATTAAAAAAATAACAATTTTAAGTAGAAAAAAGACTTAAGAATATACGAGAAAATTGTCAAGTGAAAACATATTAGAGTAATTTGAGTTTGTGTTCTGCATTTTTTCTGGCATTTTTTTCATAAGTATACATAATTTTTAAAATATGGAAAAACTTCTTATGGATAATAATCCATTTCTACATTTTCTTACCCTTATAACCAGTGATATTTCTAGGTATCTATTAAATTAGCACTACTAGTAGAAAGAAAACACATACAGTGGGGATCTAATATGGGTGGTGGGTATGAATATAAAGGAGGAAGCTGAGGCAAAATTACCATAGAGAGTTTGTTTGGGTCAAGTTTGAGGATAGCTGTTTAGGACACACAAGTTGCCAAAGGAGAGGCTCAAGTTTTTAAAGAAGTGACAAGTCAGGAAAGGGTTAATTACAAAATCCATAAAAGTTGTCCACAAGGTTTTATCATTGGTTTACAGAAATAACATTGATTAGCAATGAACTATACATTGTTGAACTATAGGGTAAGAGTTATGGGGTCCAGTGTATGGCATTTTATGGCTATTTGGCATCAGTTAGTCTAGACCCCACATAGCAAGTGGCTTCAAGAGGTAACGGTTTTTCACAAGCCAGGATTGATGTGACTGTTATTTTTCACTCCAATGCCTCTCTGGGCCTGGTAATTTAAAGAGGCTTGTGTTCCTTATATAAAAAGTGTTTTTTCTTTCTCATAGACAAGCACAGAACTGAGAGTTGAGAGACTTGTGTCTTTTCCCGCTTTATGACCTTGGGAAAGTGACCTTGTGATGGTTACTGGCTTTCTCTGACCTCTGTTTCTGGAAATGAGAATAACAATACTTGAGTGATTGTCTCACAACTATGAGAATATTATGTAAGACTGAAGAAAGACTTTAAAAAATGGGAAATGAATGACAAATGTTCATTACCTTTCTATTATAGGCTTTATCTCTTCAAAGATTGAATCCTGCCCTTTATCACTTGTTCTGTGAAAAAGCCAACTGGGTTGGAAACCAAGATTCATCATGAGCCACATCCACTTTTATCCTTATTTCATTTCTTGTCTCTATGCCTTATAAAGAAAATCAATACATGGATCTTACATAGCATTTGTTTTCTTTTTTTCTTCTTTCTCAATGAATTTCAACCAGAAACATCTGCTGTCAGATTAGGAGTGACTAAATTTGATGTGACTTTCTCAGTTTAGATATTTAGGATCATCAGCTCTTGCTTTTACCCATTTGCTGCCAGTTGGTCTTACAAACCAAAATAAAGGGGCAGAAAGAGGGAAGAATGTCAAATACCCCAACAGCCAAAGGAAGACAGTACTCATGAGCTCAGACCTGCTCAGTCAAGAAATTGCATTTACGATGTGGGTAAAGTAGTAAATAGCACATTCCATGATGTTATGGTCATTTTCAGATGTTAGCCTATCCTTCCATGCTGAAACCTAGCAAATAAGAAGTCTTGAAGTGTTGGTCATCTCTAGTAGCCAGAAATATAGATCTTTACCCATAAGAAAACATTTATTTTTCTTTTTTAAAAGACTTCTTGGCCGGACGCGGTGGCTCATGCCTGTAATCCCAGCACTTTGGGAGGCCGAGGCAGGCGGATCATGAGGTCAGGAGATTGAGAGCATCCTGGGTAACAAGGTGAAACCCCGTCTCTACTAAAAATACAAAAAATTAGCCGGGCGTGCTGGCGGGCGCCTGTAGTCCCAGCTACTCGGGAGGCTAAGGCAGGAGAATGGCGTGAACCCCAGAGGCAGAGCTTGCAGTGAACGGAGATCGCACCACTGCACTCCAGCCTGGGTGACAGAGCAAGACTCCGTCTCAAAGAAAAAAAAACTTCTTACTGCCACCTCAATATACCACACTTTTGAAGACCCTGAGTATTACATTTCTATTTTCTTTGCTTGGCACACCTTTCCCCCTTCCTACATCTGCTTACATAAATTCCTACTCTTTATCCAGGTGAATCCATTGATGTTGGTTTCTCCTGAAGTCATATCTGAGTTCTTTATGTCTTTGACTCCTCAAACGATACACAAAGTCTAATCTTTTCTAACTTGTATGCAGTGAGCAAGTCTAACTTTTAAAAAACAGAAAAATTCATTATATTAAAAAGTAATTGCATATATATACATAAATTTAATACTTATATATGAATTATCCCTATGTACTTTTGTATATGACATTCAAATTTCTCTAAATTATTACTTAGAAAAGAGGCAGTTATTTCATATTTGAGTCCTTATGAAGGTCTCTCATGTTAAGAGACCTGTCCTTCTCCCAGGCATTTTATTTTGAATAATAAAGGATTGTTTAGGGGAAGATAGTGGCTCTCGACCTTGGTTGCACAATGGGATCACCTAGAGAACTTAAAAATCTTCCAATGCCTGGACTGTATCCCAGATCATTAAATCAGAATCTCTGGGAGTGTATCCAGGCATCAATGTGTTTTAAATACACTCTAGGTGATTCCAATGTACACCTAGAACTGAGAATCACTGTGTTAACATGAAACAACCTTAATCAAAGCTAGATAATTTCATCTGACAGAAGCAGGAATTAAGCACAGCTTTAGTGAGTATTTCTGGGTGCAAAGACTTCACCATTGCAAATGATGAATATCATTATTTTAAAAAATTAAAAGTCATTTTTAAAAGGATAAATAGTCACTATAAGCTGCAAGAGTCTCAAATACGTATCTACAGGATAAATGAGAAACATATTCTTATATTATGCTAGTGAGTTCTAGTGGCATGGAATAAAATTTCCAGTGACAGAACTGTGCCCGAAATAAAAAAGTGTTACAGTTGAAACAACTTAGCCGTGAATATGGTGTGTAAGAAAACCTTGTCAGATGATTCAAGAAGGGAGCCTAGTGATGATTAAGACACTGACGTCAAAGTCCCATATGAAAAGTTTGAATAAAATTGTTCTGTAAAATGAGTGTAGAAAAAGTAATATTTCCAGATCAATATATTAGAGAACACTTAATTCAAATATATGTTATAGTTAAATTAAGAAATAAGATATTGATCATTTAAACCACATCTCTAAGCATTTATAGATCAAAATTGAACACAAACATTCAAGTCAGTGGGAAAATACCTTGTATTTGGGGGACCCTTTACTTGGTTGCATTTATGTTATTTTTCTGCTTTCACTTGCTAAAATTAAGCTCTTTAAGGACAGAGGCTATCTCTTATTGACTTGTTTTTAAAACATACTCAAATGTAGATTCAGGTTTTGTGGGATCAGAAGCACGTACAATTTGGGAAGCCCATTTAATACAGAAGAACACAGAATGAGCATAGGACATTATTAGGGCCCCTCCCAATGCCATCAAGTGCAGGGCTCTGAGGCTTAAGCCTCGTGAGGTTCATGGAAATTCACTTCCACACACACTGTAGTGCCTAGCACCAGTGGCTGGATAAGACGCTGATATATCTTAAGTTGCATTGCTTTCCTTAAATGAATAGCCTGAACAATCCTAAAATGATTTGGAGCATCCTTGATTGATCTCCATTTTCTAAGAAAGCAGGGACAATTTCCTGTTTTGGAGTAGAGCAGAAGAAGGCAAAGATGCATTCAGTGTAGTTAATGAAAATTGAGCTAGGGCAAATGAAAACCCCACATCTGAGGGACAGACGTGGCAAAGCACGTTTGGGCCATGGAGCTCCTGAAGTGGAGGTGGGGAGGTATGAAGCATCTGGTGGTACACAAATAGTGTGGTCTAGCAGAGATTTTTCCTGTCCAGAGATTCCTATTTCCTGTAGAGTGAAAAGGACCTATTTAAAAACAGTTTCAGACTCTTACTGTTTGGACCACTGACTTCCACGTGGGCTCTTTGCAGGCAGGGGCATCTGCTCATTCAGCTTGGTATCCCCAGTACATGTCTCTCACTGCCTAGCTGGCATCAAAATGCTTACTGAATTTGTACAGAAACTTTAATGTAGTCAGTGACGATGGCATCAGTATGGACAATCAGCTTCCGCATTTCAACAGGGCACATGAAATTAATAGTTCGGTATTAATTTCCTTATTCTCTCTTCAACCCAGAATTCCACTGAGGAAGCTGTTGTGGCAGGGAGATAGCCTGCAACTGAGGTGCCCAGGTAAGATTCTAGCCAGATTCCAAACTCAGAAATATTCAGTCCTCCTACATTCTGGGGGAAGAATTGGCTGAAACTTCAAGAAAATTCTTTCATTTGACGATTTGACACTTGGAGTCTCTTGGTTTTGGGTAGAGCTTGAAATCTCTGACTCAATAAACTGGAAGCCTGAAAAGAGGAAAACGTACCATTCTTCTATACTTATTAGAAGTTGACCCAAAGTTAGTACCTGAAGCCACTTAAAGGTGACTAAGGATTCACTCTGAAGATGAAAGTGACTGAAATGATGAGCTGGTACAGACCCACGCAGTCCTGGAAAAAGGAAATGGGGCAGCTGAGAAGCAGCAGCCCTGGAAGAAAGAAAGATCAAAACACACTTCATGGAGAGCCGCAGGAAACACTGATGACATCAGATCCTAGGAGCCCTCTCGACATTTCCCAGCGGTCTTGAAGCCAATACATAGCATCCTCTTGGAAGCGAACCTTTTGAGAACATCAGAATGAAAAGAACACAAGAACACGAGTGTCCTCTATGCTGAGGACACAGAAAGGCTTTAGGGAGAGCCAGGATACAGCACTTAAACCAAGATGGCCATTCTGGTGCATGCACAGAGAGCAATGGCAGCTTAGGTTGGGGGTAGCGGGTGGGGCATGGGATGAGATTTGGGTTCTACTTCAGTTCTAGGTGCTATGAAGTCTTAGAATGATTTCTTTTTAAATAACTGTCTAGCAAGGACTGGTTTAGGGGGAACTCCCATGGTCTCCTCCTTGGAGGTGAAGTAAAACAAGAAAAAGTCAAGCCCTAGAGAATTCACATATATTTAACTCATCTGATCCACTGGGAAACCCTTGATCAATTCTGTAATCTTGCTACCATAGAACTTCAATGACAGTGTCAGCTGCTTCAAAACCCTTAGTGACATTTCCTGGAAACAGACTTCATTCTGTGTTCAGCTTTCACTTGACACATTTCAGGCCTGATGATTTTAAATGAGGGAGAAAAAAAACGTTGTTAAATATTACTGCAAAATTTTACTTGGCTTAATGGCCAATAAAATAACACAGTGTGTTCAGGTGGCTCAGCCTTCCGGTTTGACCATCTGGCCTGATGAATATGCCCAATTTCTCTTATCTTTTGCTGGCTTTCCCTCCATTGCCTATTTGAGTTCTTGGTCCTCAGCATAATTGGCTCCTGAGACCTTCTTAAAGGGCATGTCCTGACACAGATCTAACAATACTTTAATAAGGTTTAAAAAGAGTTTAATAGAGTTTAATAAAGAAAACCCATGATAGAAGAAACTCCAGTCAGTCAAGAGTGCCAGCCTTCCTCGCGTGGCTTAAAAATACACCTTAAGAACATTGGTATTTCTTATTCAAACAAAATGCTCAAAGGGAATAGCCACTCATTCCTTCTCCTACAACATTCTGGATTTAGCATTTAGGAAGGAGCAGGGACCTTTCAAGAAAGAGAGGCCTGAACCATTTAAAAATCGAGAAAAAGTTGCAGAAATGGTAAGTCTGGCCTGCTTAGACTGATGGAATCTTAGAATTTCCACAGAAGACTGACAACTGAAAAGACAATGAGTCACACTATCTAGAACATTTCTAGACCATCTTGCCCCACAGGACAAGGCAAACAAATATAGAAACACGGTCACCTTGTGAGTTCAAGCCAAAAATACTTCCCAATTTTCCCATGATAAAAACACTTTCCCATTTAATTTTATGACATTTTAGAGTTTATGTAAAAACAATCTGAAGAAGTAGATTTAGCATACGCATAACAATTTTTTATCTTCACTTGGCTATGGTAAAGTAATTGTTAAGAGTAATTGTTACAAAACCGTTTTCAGGCATTGAATAACAGGCAGGGAAGACCACAATAGCTAAGATCAAGGAAACTCACAAGGAGAGCCCCAAGATCACCCAGCTTTCTTCCTGGGTACAATTTTTTTGACGTCAACCTAGTGAGCTGGAGTCCAGGCAGAGTGCAGGTGTCCCACCAAGCAAAAGAGGCAGAGGTCAGAATTCAGGGCAGCTAAAAGAGCCGGATTCTATATGGTAAGGCATCAGAGGCAGAAAGCTGAACATGGGGTGTATGAGAGTTCCTTGATATTACTAGTTGAGGGTTACGCTTTGCAGATTACATGGAAAAGCTTAGGAGAAAGTGGCTGTTAATAGTATTGAGAATGCAAAAGAGTTTATAGACACAAATCAGTGCTGAGGGGCATTGGTGGTCCAGTCCAGTTAAAGTGGAAAGAGCTCATTAACACTCCAGCATCTAGTTAAGACATCAGAAAGTACTTACTTTAAAAGAAAGCGCCACACTTTTAGAGAACGACCTATTCTAGACCCACCCAACAGAGTCTAAAATAAAAAGACTGAAGCAAAATTAACAGAGCATCAGGAACTTCTGGGAGAATATTGGGAACCCTATTAAACATGTAATTAGAGGCTCAGAAGGAGAAAAGAGCAAGAAAGCAGCAGAAAAAGTACTTAGAAATTAATGGCCAAATATTTCCTATATTTGATAATAAACACTGACTTATAGATGCAAGTGCTCTGTGAATCCACAACAGGATAAATGCAAAGAAAACCACACCCAGGCAAATCAGACTCAAACAGCTAAAATTCAAAATTAAACGAAATATCTTGAAAGTGGATAAAGCACAGTACATACAGGGAAACTAAGGATGATAGCTTCTATTGAAACTAAGGAGAAATATGAGAAAGTATCCTTTATAGAGAAATATGAGAAAGTATCCTTTATAAACATAAAAATGAAAACTGAAAAATGCATTACCATAAGACCTGAATTATAACAAAGGCTAAATGTTACTTTTCAGGCTGAAAGGATCTAATACCAGATGGAAACTTGGCTATGTGGGAAGGAAAAAAGACCACTGGAAGTGGTAAATAATTAGATAAATATATGACAGTTTTTTCCTCATATTCTGAAAAGACATCTGACTTTTTTAAGGAAAAATTATAACACTAATTTGATGCTCACAGTATATTTATAAATAAAGTCTATAACAAAAATAGTACAAATGATGTGGGGTTGGGTAAATATAATTACATTATTTTGCAGTGTGAAATGGGAATTGAGAAGAAGAAAATGAAAACTATCAGGTTCAAAGTCTGAAGAGGTACAATATCAATTTCAAAATAAGCATTGGTGTATCAAGCTTGTATATTTTTAACCCAAAAGTATTCAATAAAGATAATAATATCATAACTAAAAATAGGGGCTATTAAATGGTTCATTAAATAAAAAAGGCAGAAAAGAGCTAAAACAAAAACAAAAACACTGGACAATTACAAAATAAATAGCAAAGTAGTAAACTTCAATAGAACCATATCAATGTAATGTTAATGTACTAACTAAAGATTCGAATTAAAATGCAGAGATTGGTAGGCTAAGTTGAAAAGCAGGTTTCAACTATATGCTATACATTAGAAACATATTTTCAATATAAATAAACAAAACAAAGTTGAAATATGAAGAACAAAAAAAGCCATACCTGGCCAAAAGCAAACATAAGGAAGCAAGTATGGCTATATTACAATCTAAATATATAACCAGAAAGAGACTAAATATTGCAAGAAAATGGATAAAGATGATGGACATTTCATAACAATAAAAGGTACAATTCATGAGGAAGACATAATTTTATTTATTTTTATTTATTTATTTTTTGAGACGGAGTCTCGCTCTGTCGCCCAGGCTGGAGTGCAGTGGCACAATATTGGCTCACTGCAAGCTCTGCCTCCCAGGTTCTGGCCATTCTCCTGCCTCAGCCTCCCAAGTAGCTGGGACCACAGGCACCCGCCACCCGCCACCACACTCAGCTAATTTTTTTTCTTTTTTTTTTTTTTTGCATATTTAGTAGAGACGGGGTTTCACTGTGTTAGCCAGGATGGTCTCGAACTCCTGACCTCGTGATCCGCCTCGGCCTCCCAAAGTGCTGGGATTACAGGTGTGAACCACCATGCTCAGCCTGACATAATTTTAAAATATATATACAATTAATAACAAAGCAGCAAAATTCACAAAGCTGGAAATCAATAGAAACATAAACCAATGCATCATTATAGTTGGAGATTTTAACATTACTTCTCTTAGGAGTGTTGCCATACTTGATATAACTAGTAGGGTAAAAAAATGTTGATAAAGGTATAAAAATAAATTTGAATAATACTATAAACCAGCTTGACCCACCTGAGAGATTTACAGAACACTATACTCAACAACTGTAGAAAATACATTATTTACAAATGCACATGAAATGTTCACAATTTCATTTGACAAAGCAATAAGCCTCAGTGATTTTTAAAAGATAGAAATCTTTTATGTTCTCTGATCACACAAGAATTAGTAATTTATAACAATACAATATCTAGAAAAATCCATAAATATCTGTAAATTAAACAACCCACTTCAAAATGACCCTGGTGAAGAAGTGGCAAGAGAAAGCAGAAAATAACTATAGTCAGCTGGGCGCAGTGGCTCACGCCTGTAATCCCAGTACTTTGCAAGGCCGAGGTGAGCAGATCATTTGAGGTCAGGAATTCAAGACCAGCCTGGCCAACATGGTTAAACCCTGTCTCTACTAAAAATACAAAAATTAGCTGGGTGTGGTGGTTGGTGGCAGGTGCCTATAACCCCAGCTACTCAGGAGGCTGAGGCAGGAGAATTGCTTGAACCCGAGAGGTGGAGCCTGCAATGAGCCAAGATCGCACCACTGCACTCCAGTCTGGGCAACACAGCAAGACTCTGTCTCAAACAAACAAACAAACAAAAAAAACAACTATAGTCAGTAATAACTTAATTGTATATTTTAAAATAACTTAGAGTGTAATTGGATTATTTGTAACTCAAATGATAAGTGCTTCCAGGGATGGATTTAAAAAATGAAAGAAAACATTTTAAATTGAATAGTAATGAAAATATATCAAAAGGTCAAAATCAACTTGATTTAGGTCATCTGTGAAAAATTTACAGCTAACATCTACAAAAATGGTAAAATATTGAATGTCTTCTCTTTAAGCTTAGAAATAAGGCAAGGATGTTCACTTCTATTCAACATTGTACTAGAGATCCTAGCCAGTTGAATAGTCAAGGAAAAAATGCAAAAGAGTAGAAAGAAAGAAAATTGCCTTTTTGGCATACAATATAAATGTCTATTTAGAAAATCCTAAAGAATCTTATAAAATAGTATGTGAATGAATGAGTGAATGTAGTAAAGTCACAGGATTCAAGGTCAAAATATGAAAATCAACTTCATTTCTACATATATTGACAAAAAATACTTATTTAAAAATTAATGATACCATAAAACCCAATTATGTACAAAAACTCCACATTCAAAAACTGCAAAACATTGCTGAGAGAAATTAAAGAAGATTTAAATAATGAAGAATTATATCATATTCATGCATTGGATGATACAATACTGTTAAGTGTCAGTTCTTCACAAATTGATGTATAGATTCAACAAAATCACATTCATAATTCTATCAGTCTCTTTAAAAAAAAATCGACAAGCTGATTCTAAAAATTATTTGGCAACATAAAACAGATCTAGAGTAGCCAAAATGATTTTGAGAAAAAAAGAGTTGGAGTTCCTACATTTCCTGATTTCAAGACTGTGTACTGTAGATACACATCTACAGAAACCAAGGCAGTGTGATTCTGTTAAATATACACATTTAGATAAGTGGAACATAACGGAGATTCCAGAAATATACCACATATGGTCCATTGATTTTCAACAAAGGCACTAACATAATTCTATATAGAAATAAAAATGTTATCCTCCTATCAGGGGAAAAATAAATTTTAACCACTCCCTCACACTTTATAAAGAGATAATTCAAAATAGAACATGAGTGCAAATATAAAAAACTAAACAACAAAGTAGATAAAGTTCAAAAAAATGATGAATCAAGAAAGATACAGGAGAGTGCATATATTACTTTATATAAAGTGAATAAAAGGCAAAATAACAGGCAAAACAGTGGTGATGTAACTCAGAACAGGAGTTTCCTGTGGGAGTGGACATGACTGGAGAGGAACCCCAAAGAACTTTCTGAAGTAATGGTAATGTTTTATATCCTAATTGTGGTGGTGGTTACATAGATTTACATAATTGTCAAAGCTCATTGAATTGCATATTTCAAATGTGGGCTTTTTAGTGCCTGTAAATTATACCTCAATAAAGTTGATTTTTAAAAAGCTGATTTAGAAAGTTCCCTGTTAGGCTGGGTGCAGTGGCTCACGCTTGTGATCCCAGCAGTTTGGGAGGCCAAGGCGGGTGGATCACCTGAGGTCAGGAGTTCGAGACCAGCCTGGCCAACACGGAGAACCCTGTCTCTACTAAAAATACAAAAGTACTGGGCGTGGTGGCGCATGCCTGTAATTCCAGCTACTTTGGAGTCTGAGGCAGGAGAATCGCTTGAACCTGGGAGGCGGAGGTTGCAGTGAGCCAAGATCACACCATTGCACTCCAAGAGTGAAACTCTGACTCAAAAAAAGAAAAGAAAAGAAAGTTCCCTATTGAAGAGAGTATATCTTCCTTCCACATTTTTTTGAGGCTTCTAAGTCCGTCCTGCATTGACACCAGAATTTATAAGAGCAATGAGCTTAATTCTGTGTGTGGTAGTTTCCTGACACACTGTCAATGACTATTTAATAAGACAGCTAGAGAGAGAGAGAGATTTCCTTTTATAATGGCTTCTTTTAGTATTATTTTCTTTTATAACGTTAGAAAAACAGAACATGATAAAGAAACCAGTGGCATTGGGTTTATTTGCTATAAATTATTGATAAGCATTTACATTGTTAAGCTGTGAAATGGAGTTCAATATTTTTTATTAGATGTTTTCCATAGCTCCTTTTTGGTGGAAGGATAAAGGAGAGAGAATTATGGTTTAGAAAGCCCAATAAAAATGTAATCATAGTGTATAGTTGCCCCATGGTAATAATATGTCCACAACAATATAACAGCTGGCCATTCTAAGCTGAGTTGAGATCCCGAGAAGCTGTGGAAGCAAAATGCATTCCAATTCGTGAAGTGATGTGTGACAGTGAGAAGGCAGGTTGGGGGCTGCTTGAGGGAATTATTGATTCCTGATAATACCAATATCACCCCCTTTCTTCACTGACTTTAACTTTACCACTTACATATTGTTTACACATGATTAAAATTAGGCTGGATATGGGATCATGGTGGCTGGAATTGTACTGTGTTCAGTGGCTGGCTGTTTGCACCTGAATGTCAATTCAATTCCCACTAAGGCTTAGGGAGAAGTGGATTTAGTCACATCTAAATGCACTCATCATCTTGGGTGCAGACAATGGCAAATGACAGTAACAAATAACCAATAAAAGTTCAGTTCAAAAGGTTTCTATTAGCAGAAGAATTGGGAGGAAAAGCATGGGTTGCTTTTTGTTTATTTGAACTGTGCCCAGGTCTCTAAGTACAAGGTAACACAGAGTTCCATAATTGTAAATGACTGATGGTGGCTGAATCTTCAAAAACCGCATATTCAGGTTGGCTTCGGTAAGGGGGAAGGTCAAGTGATTATCTTGGAAATTATTTGGCTCATCTCAAACTCTGAAGCCTGAAAAGCAGGCCTGGATTGCTTTAGGAGAGTGGCTTGCAGCTGAGATTTTTCTGGCAAGCAGAAATGTAGTTTTGACTAAACTGTTCAGATGAAGGAAGATGGAAGCTTTCAGAGTTTGAGATGAATAATTCTTCAAAGGCACATGCTTGCCCCTCAGTGAGGCATAAACAGTTTCATAACTGTTTCTTGGTTAATTTTGAGTGGGATCAGGGTTGGATATGTGGGCATGGGAAATGGGGTGGGGATGTGACCTGGGCTTTGTCTTGGAGCTCATTTCTCTGCAGTAATGTTTTTTGGATTAGATTCCTAGGAATATATTATGATTCTCAGAATACATGTGTTCTGAAAGAAAGGATATCATGGTGAATAAATATGAGAAATGCAACATATGCTTCTCCCTTTTGGCATCTCATAAAATAAATTGGCACCACAACCCTCTTTCAGAAATCCTGCTGTAAAGAAATCTGTTCCCTTACCTCTTGCCACTACCCTTGAAGGCCTTGATATCTGCGATGATCTTTCATTTAACTCCCGGACTTCTTATTTACTTGACCTCCTCATAACCAGTGATATTTTCTCTACCCCACCTCCTTTTCCCATGTTCAAACTTTTGAACTCTTGATGTCAAGCATGTCACTATCTGACCACCACCTGTGACTTTTCCAGCTCACCTACTTCATAATATGTGCTCCAAAAATTATAAATGAGGCTGTGTCATGAGGGGGTAAATGCGGGCTTCGGCCCTGGACTACTACGCTTCAAATCCCAGCATTAAACAGCTATGGGACTGTGCACAAGCTCCTTAACTTCTGTGCCTTCAGTTCATTTCCCTTTAAGAGGCAAATAATAGCAATAATGAGAACTATCTCTCAGGGTTGCTATAACAATTTGATAAGTTAATGCATATAAAATGTTCCAAACAGTGCCAAGCACATGGCATTTGCTCAGTGAATGTGGAGGCCTCATCGAGCTCTCCAACCCCTTGAGTTAACTTCTCATTCTCCATTACCTCCCTCCTTCATGTCCTTACTTTCTTCCATGGCTGGCGTAAATTTCATCATATGTTCCTTCCAGGCATCATAGCTCCCACATTCTATTATTCCATACACACACACACACACACGTATAGCAAAGCTCCAACTAATTAAAGACAATTACTGATTTCTTCATGCCTTCACCTGAGCAAATGGATGCTGCTGGGGAGAACCACCAAGAGTCCTGTCTTCTCAATTGCAATTCCTCAGCCAGCATCACTAATGGAGCCTTAATATCACCTGGAAATCCAATGACACGTTCCCACTTTTCAACTAATGGTCTATTTCACACATCATTCTTCCTCTTCCCATTTTCCATGCCACTGTGGACTATTCTTCAGCTGATGATCTTTCCTCGTGGGTCATTGAGAAAGCATAATTGACCTGGAGGAACTGCATGATTTTATCCACTACCAAATCCACCTCTGTGGGTTCGGATTACCTGCCTCTGTGCTCATCTCTCTTTACTGTTCCCAAAGATCAGAGGCCAGCATGTGCACTTGGGCTTCATCAGGTCCCCTCTGGGTCCCCTAGGAACCTGGAGACATACCTGTTTTCCCTCTTTCCTGTATGATCAATTTCTCCCTCTCTCAGATCATCGTCATCATGGAAATGATCGTGTGTTTCTTCTTTAACAACAATTTAAAAGCTTTTTTTGACTTACATTCCCCTCTAGCTGCTGTCCTATTTCTCTGCTCCCCTTCACTGTACACCTGTTTTGTAACTTTCATAATGAAAAAATTTCAAACACACACAAAAATAACATTGTACAATGATCCCCCATATACTCATCATAGAGACCATGTTAACTTTAGGTTGTATTTTCTTCATTACTTTTTCAGTTTTTGCTGTAGCATTTTAAACCAAATATCAGATGTAATAACATTTTACTTCTATTTCAGTTTCTTTCTTAAAAATAAGTGCATTTTCTTGCATAATCATAACATCACATCTAATACAATTAATAAAAATTTCTTATTATCTTCTAATATCCAGCTTAGCTTCACATTTACTAAATTATCCTCAAAATGTCTTTTTATTTTGGTAGTTGAACAACAAGCCAAATAAGGTTCATACATTGCATTTCATCGCATCTCTTAAACCTCTTTTAACCTAGAACATACTTTGTTTCTATGCCATGGACTTGTTAAAGATATACTTTAGTTGTTTGCTTGTAAAATGCCCCACACAGTGTAATTCCTAGCAGAGCTCCACTCCCTCATCTGCTCTTCTCCCTTGGCTGGGTTTCCTGCTCCCACACCCCATAAGGAAAACTCTGCCATTTCTGCATTAACACAGCCAATGGGCATGTCTATTTTCTTGCTTTACTTCATCTCTCAGCCATCATTTGACAAGTCATGCTGCTGCTTCTTGAAACCCTCTCTTCTCTTGATTTCTGAGATCCATTCTCTCCTATATTTCCTCCCACCTCAAAGGTAGCTCCCTTTGTAGTCCTTTTCTGCCCTTTCTTACCATGACTCACCCTTACATAGTGGCCTGCCTGAGGGCTTCATCCTAGGCCTTCCCTTTTCTCTCTGGCCTCTCTGCTGAGCTCATCTCATCCAGGCCCATGACTTTAAATACCACCTATCCATAGTTAACTCACAAATGTAGGTCTCTAGCCCAGATTTCTTCCAAAATTCACAAGTAAAATTTCCAATCTCTTACCTGAATTTCTGTTTAAATATAGAATGGGCATATCAATTTTAACTTATCAAAAGCAAACACAGGCTGGGCATGGTGGCCATGCCTGTAATCCCAACACTTTGGGAGGCCGAGGCGGGCAGATCACCTGAGCTCACAAGTTGGAGACCAGCCTGGACAACATGGCGAAAACCCATCTCTACAAAAATATAATAATTAGCTGGGTGTGATGGTGCAAGCCTGTAGTTCCAGCTACTTGGGAGGCTGAGGTGGGAGAATTGCTTGAACCCAGGGGGGCAGAGGTTGCAGTGAGCCAAGATCATGCCACTGCACTCTGGCGTGGGCAACAGAGCAAGTCTCTGTCTCAAAAAAAAAAAAAAAAAAAAAGCAAACACAACACATTACGATGTCCTCTCATAACATTCTCCTTTTACCCAAATATTTTAAATTTTATAAATGGTACCACAAAACACCTAGTTTCTTAAGCCAAAAAATGTATAAATCATTTTTGTTTCCTCTTTTCTCCCCCAACTTTCACTTTCAATTTTTTAGCAAAATTCATTGACTCTATCTCCAAGACATACCCCAACCCTATACCCTATCTTTCACATCTCCACAGACACCACCCCAGCCCAAGGCACCATCATCCATCTCTAGGCTTCTGTAGCCCTAACTCGTCTTCCTGGTTCTACATTCGCCCCTGCTCACTTCATTTTCCCCACAGCAGCCAGGGTGATCATTTTGAGAATGTAAATGAGAACATGTTACTTCCCTGCTTAAAACACCCTATGACTCCTCCACCAAGCCCATCATAAATCCATATTTCTTCCTCTGACCACCTCTGTGTCCTGGTGTCCTATCCTTCTCCTTGAATTTCTCCCTAGTCACAGTGAGCAGGAACCAGAATGTTACAGATGAAGAACATTAGCCTCGCTGGCAAGGCTGATGAGAACCTTATAAGCCCATTACAACACCTCAGACAAGCCATTTCTGACATACACTCCTTAAACCGACAGACATGCCCATCCAGGCAGAGGTGCAGATGGTGACCTTCAGGCCTTCCCAGCAGCATCAGTTTGTTTCTGCATTGCTATCCTCTCTTAAAAATGTTACCTTGGCCGGGCGAAGAGCTCAAGCCTGTAATCCCAGCCTTTTGGGAGGCTGAGGTGGGCGGATCACGAGGTCAGGAGATCAAGAGATCAAGACCATCCTGGCTAACGTGGTGAAACCCCAGCTCTACTAAAAATACAAAAAAATTAGCTGGGCGTGGTGGCGGGCTCCTGTAGTCCCAGCTACTTGGGAGGCTGAGGCAGGAGAATGGCGAGAACCCAGGAGGCGGAGCTTGCAGTGAGCTGAGATCGCGCCACAGCACTCCAGCCTGGGCGACAGAGCGAGACTCCTGCTCAAAAAAAAAAAAAAAAAAGTTACCTTAAACATTAACAAAAAACAATGTTCTCCTTGTTTTCTCGGCACCCAGTTCTGTTCTTCTTTACTGAGCTTTCCGCAGTTTATAATTACGTAGTCAATGCATGTGTTTCTGTGTGCATATGTGCATTGCCTGTCTTTTCTATTAGTCTGTAAGCTCTAGGAGGAAAGGCTTCACATTACTTTTGAAGGCCTCTCTATATGCAGTATGTAGCACGGTACCTGATAAATATTTGCTGAATGAATAAATGCATAAATGTAGTCCTGGGTGACTCAATTAGTATCTTTGCTCTGATTGGGAATCTTGCTTGCACTTGTGCATTCAGTAGAAGGAGATAAAGAAGACAAAGGGATGCTATGTGTGCATGACATAGGAGGGTCAGTGAAGATCACTTTGGAGGAAAATTTGAGAAAAACAACCCCTGCTCCTCTGCTTTCCCTAAGAACAAAATAAGGTGTTCCACAAGTGACTGGGATGATCTCTAATTCCTAATGGTCATAAATGGCTAAATGCCAAGGGTTTGTTTTTTCTTTTGTTGTTGTTTAAATAGAACTCAGGTGCACACAATAAGATTAATTAGAATCTGTGACCCACGACACACTTTCATCATTGGCTAATGTCTGGCCTACTTTTTTATTATTTAGTTGATTTAAAAAATTTTAACGAACATGCACGAGTCTACCACCAAACATAAAAGCGAGGATCTTTCAATAACCTACATCTAACCATATGGTATTTCCCAGCAGCACATCTGCTTCCTTCAATCCAAATTTTGTGCACATCATTCTTTTCCCTTCCTTTTTATATTGTTCTATTAAATATTTATGTATGCCTAAACACATATCTTTTATTTAGAATGTTTTTAAGTTTAAAGAATGTCATGCTGTACATAATCTTTTGAGAGTTATTTTTTGTTGATATATTCCTATGATGCATTCAGACCGCTGCATGCTGTAACTCAATTATTTTCACTTCTGTATAATATATTTCATTGTGTGACTATAGGCCATTTATTCAGGCACTCTCCCATGGATGAGCATTTGGGCCAATAATATTACCCTCACACAGCTACAATTTTGAGGTCGTCATTGACCTCTGGAATTCGGCTAAGCCAATGTCTTTTGTGTGTTTATGTAGTGAGAAATGTACTAGGAATATGGGAGATGTCAAGATGAATCAGATATGTGTCTGTCCTTGGCAGTTTCGCTGTTTAGAGACAGTGACACAGATACAACCATAACCACAGAGGGCAGAATTTGCTAAATGCTGCAAATGTGCTACGCAGTGGGGTAGAACAGGGGAGGATAGGAGAGATTCCACCTAAATTTCTAAGAGGTGTGAATGTTGGATTATGATGTAGGCATGTTACTTTGATAGCCTTTGAGTATTCAAAAATTGGAGGAGCGTTGAAGACAGAAAATATTTCGAGTGGGGAGAATATGAGAAGTTCAAAGGTAGGAGAAGATACAGAGAATTTGGAAGATAGCGATGTCTGGAAGTGGATGAAGCCTGAGTTACCTGACAGAGAAGGGGCTCATTTTTTGAAAAGTTCGAAAAGGAGGAAGGGAGGCAGAATCCTGGCCCTAGAAGCTTTGTAGGCTGGGAGGAGAGATTAAGCATTTATTCCATCTGCACTCGAAAGTCACTGGAGAAGACAGTGTCAACAATTTTGGTGGCTCTGAGGGTGAGTGGGTGGGTTTCGATGGTCTTGGGTCTTCTTTCGGATAATTTGCAGGCACACTGAGAAGGGTGTATCTACTACTCTGGGAGATCCTACAGACACCCTTTTGCTTTCAGTTTCTTCACCCAACATCTTCCTTGATATTCTCTACAGAATTTGTGGGCCTGTCTCTTGCAGTTAAGAGGTCGGAGACACTGTCTCTGAAGACAATCTTTGAAGATGGAGACACCGATTTTTGAATGTTCTATGTTGGGTCTAACACAAGGTTTTTGCTCTAAAAATATTGCCTGTCTTAGCACTTTTCTTATGATTTTTTTCTTTCTAAAAAGAAGTGCTAAGGCGGAAGGAGAACTTTCTTTTTTGTTTATTTTAAAGATTTCTCTTCAGGAAGATGACTTCAACATGCATGCCACATTTTGATGAACAAGGAAAAATAATGAGTATGAGGACAATAATAAGTAATAATAAATAATAAAAATAATAAGAGGTTTAACCTCTTATTGCTCGCTTGACAAACAAATACATGCACACTTACATTGGACTACCCATTGGGGTCAGAACAGGAGATGCTGCCAAATTGTTTTATTTCAGAGACATTCGTTTATCATGAGAGGAGAAAGATGTAATCCCTTTTCTCTAAGTGACTCTTTACACAAATCATTTGGAATCATTTTGAAACAAACTATATCCCATTTGTTCTATTATGGAGTTCTATTATGCTCTCCACTTTCAGAAGAAATCCCTTCTTGGTTTTTAACTGCAAAAGTCCTCAGATTAAACCTCTATTAACAACCGGGAAGCCAACTCCCATGACTAAGCCTGCATAGTGGAAACTCTTTGCCCTAATTATATAGATTTGAACTCTAATGTGTTTGCTTCTGCTTTGGGATATGAGCATGTGTCTTTCCGAAGAGTGGAATAGGAGGAGAAGAAATACTCAAAGGCTCAAATAAGCGACTGAACCAGGAACACTGTACGGAAATCAGGTCATTAAGTCACAATGACACCACAGTGACCCAGAAGCAGCAATTTGTAAATTAATACTTAGAGCTGAGCTGAGCTGGGCTAAAAGCTATGGTGTGAGTTGACCTGAAGAAGAGAAATCAAGCAGTGTTCAGGGCTCCAGAAAGAGGAAGACTCCACAGAGCTCCAAACCCTCCTGTGGGCAGGCACAGGGCCTGCCACATTTCTCCAAGGCCTTTGCTCGATATCGGCTGGTTCCTTTGGCTTAAATCATGGGAGCATTTCACGGTAAAAGGCTATGCAATGTCCAAAAGAATGAGAAGAGCGAAGGGCCTACCAGTTAAAAGCACAGGATTCAAAGACACCTATGTCTGAGTTTGCTGTTGACTGTGAATGACCCTGGGCATTTTGTATAAGCTCTCCATACCCCAGTCTCTTCTTTTCCAAGAGAGGGATAAGCAGTCTGTCTCATATTTCTTAATGCTTATCAAGTGACAATTTATTTATTATTATTCTCTCCCCTGTAAATATAAGTTCCAGAAAGATGGGGACCTGGGGGTATTTTATGCACTGCTTCATTGTCAGGGCCCAGGACAACTGAATGCTGAATATAGTTATTTTGAATGAATAACTGAATGTATCAATAGATTTGCTCTATGAATTCAATGAGCCCACTTTTGATACAGTGTCTAGTAAATTGTCTGGCACATCCTAATTTGATAAGTGATGGCCTAACCTTTTCCCTCTACTTATCTCTCTCCATTTCTAGAAAGGGGCACAGATCCCTGGTTAAATACTAGAGGAGAAGATCTCTGTTTGCACTGTTTAATGATGACTGTGATTTCTCTGATGCAAAGTAAGGGCAGGGACCCAGCATTTTCTGGCACCATCCAGGAAGATGTATTATCCCATTTCTCTTGAATCTCATTCACTCCCAGCCTGGAAATCTTTTTCTTAGCCACACACCCTGCTCAATCCTGCCTCTCACTTTTCTTACTCTGGGCTCTGCCAACAGTGGCTTGTCTTCTCTCTCCCCTTCTGAGTCCTAACCTTTGGCAGGGTCCATCTCAAGCACCTGCTCCTCTGTGGGTTCCTCCCTTCCCCCTCCTCCCTCAGTCAGCTTCTCCTGAGTATTAGTTCTTTTGGACACAAGTTCACATAGAATATGCACTCTATGGGCCTTTCAGAGCAGAATGACACAGGCCATGAGTACAGAGGCTTGATCTACTTCAAATAGAGACTCCTCCATTGGCCAACACTTGTTGAATTCCTATCTAACACTCAGCTCAGTGTGAGATGCTGGAATGGAGAGTAACAAGGTGTTAGGGACAACTTTAAGAAGACCAAGATCAGGTGGAGATCTGCTGCTCTGGGATTTGGCCTAAAAGAAGAGAGGAACTCCAAATACTAGAGGCTTACCCCTGAATTACCTGAATCTGTGTGCATCTTTCTTTCTCTGTAGTGACAGTTTGAGTGATGCACTAGTTCAGATAGGTTGTCAAATTTATTCCTATACATGCCAAGGAGCTTCTGCCACTTGGTGTGCTGAGAGGGCTTTGCAGGATGACGGGAAATCAGAGTACTTATTTACTTTGAGGACTCCATGGATTTTCTAATGCAGTCATAAGAGTCCACTTTTCTTTTCAAAGCAGTATATTTTTTAATTGGAAAGATTACATAAAACCCCAATATATAGACAAAAACATGAGCTGTTCTAGATAGTGTATACTGCAGGAGAGGCCAGAGGTCTCAGACTCCTACCTTTTGGCCTTCCTTTTTACTACAGATTTTTGCCTTTTCATGGAACTCAGAGGTCATAATTTATAGTGTAGAATCCAAAGCAAAGAAAAACAAAACAAAAGGCTGCAAGAGCCAGGTGAGATGGTTACTAAGTGACCTCAGGTTGGCTGAACTCTTTTATGCCCAGCCCTGTATACACCTTATTTTATCCAGTCTTCCCACTCACCCTTTGAGGTAGGCTATGACAGCCCCATTTCACAGATAAAGGAACTGAACAAAAAGGAGACTCAGGATTTTATTCATTACTACCCTGCCTTTAATGCCAAGATTCAAACCCAGATCTTTCTGAGTTCAAAGCTAGAGTTTGGATCCCCATCTTAATTCCAACTCCCAAACTCTATTCCTCCTGGAATGGGCAGTGGTAAAACTACTCTCAAGAGCATAGAGGCATAGGATGTTTTTAAGATCAAAATTTTTCCTCTTGGTCGTTTTTGTCCCCCAGTAGGCCTTATCCGCACCAACTCTGAAGGCCAATGTCTTTGGTAAAGAGCAAGTCTGAGCCACACATACAGGGTATAAGTAAGACATGGGAGAACAAAATAGAGTAAGACAAAGGCTCTAGGACTTGCCCAAGTTTACCAAATCAGCACCAAAAAAGACATTAGACTTCCAACCCCAAAACTTTATTCCTAAGTCCTATGTCCCCAGAACAAAAGCAAATATTTTGCCCAAACCAGAGCCTGGTGGCTTATACATGCCCCAGAGATGGAGCCCTTGAGAAGCCCTGGAAAACAGCCTCCCATTAGAGATGGTCATCTGCAGACAATGCAGGAGGGGACTCAGAGCCCAACTCTGTACTGTTTCTTCTCTCCAGACGCCCAGGTCTGCCAAGTGTGGAAGCTGCTCTCTAATGGGAGCCCTCAGAAATGGTACAAATTGAGGCCTCCAGTAATGCAATCACTTCTAATCAGTGTTTAATGAGGATACAAGCAGCCTCAGCTTACCCCTGTTTCAAAGAGGCAACTACACATAAACCTCAATTACTCAGACATTTAAAAATCAATTTCAAATAAAATGTCCAGGTGATGGAACTAAAGGGATTAGAAGGATCTGGATGTGTGCACAGGCCTGGCATGCCTTGTCAATGCAATTGAGGTAGGCAGCTCCTGTAATGTAATAAAGCTGGCCGGCTTTGTGCCCCCAGGGGTAGAAGGGGAACAGGTCTAATTTTCCATTTCCCCACAGAAACAGAGGAAGATTCCAATGACAGAAGGAAGAGGACATCTCTATACTTCTGCCCATTCAAGCTGTGTTCGGAATGTTGTCTTCATCTCATTTTATAGTTGTAAAGAGGAAAAGTAGCCTCAGGCTATACAACTCAAGGTCTCTGCCCCAACCTGGTCTCAACCTGTACCACCAAATCAGACACCTTTTTTATATGTGATCATGATTTTTTTTTGCCAGTCATATCTACTTATCATTCCCATCAACATGCTGGTAATTTAGGTCAATAAACTTTTATTGACTATGTACCATGTGTCAGGTGCTTTTCTGGGCAAGCAGGGGCACAAAGGTAAGGAGGTTATAGTCTCTACCTCAATTTACACAGTAGAGGAAGGATGAGGCCAACTCTCCACCTGATCTGGAAGTATGGTCCTGCAAAACCAAGTCACTTGTCTCTTTAGTCAAGTGCAATGTGCAACCAGAGAAACACTAATACGTAGGATAGTAGCATCAGTAATAATCATCATAGCTAGCATTTAATGGACAAGTATTAAGTGCTAAGTATGGGCTAAATACTTCAATGGCATTTTTTTTTTTAACCACCAAAACCACCCTATGAGTTGGGTATTGCTATTATCTCCATTTCCCCACGTTGTAGGTTAACGAAACTTATAGGGTTGTCATGTTAATTAAGGAGGTGCATACTGTAGTGGGCACCAATGGGGTTGGCTACCAGTGCCACTCTCCCCAAACCGAGAGTTGCCACCCTCTCCATTCATGTTGCATTCAGTGGTATTCCCTGGAGTTGTGAAAGCACAGCTTTCAAAAATTTAAAACCATGACTCATACAAAATAGAATGAATACAAATAAAAATATTCAACTATTAATTAATGAAGGAAGCAGAAGGGTGGTAAAGCTGCTTCCAGGAAAAATTAGAGGAAGAAAATGTATATAGTTGGTCAAAGGGATATTAAAATAAATTTGCTAATTTAAAAAAAAAGGGTTAATGTCTTACAGGGCAGTCAAGCTGTAGCTTTCTGGTTATCTTTTATCCCTTATAGAAACTGACCAGAAGATCTATAACTTCAGAACAGATGGGGTTTAATCAGATAGGAAATAGCCAATTCAAACACAAGCACATTCTCCTAGGTCAGGGGTCAGCAAACTCTTTATAGAGCCGGGTAGGAATACTTTCGGTTTTGCAGGTCACAGGATCTCTGCTGAAACTACTCAATTCTAACATTGTAACATGAAAATAACCTTAGATAATACATAAACAAATGGATATGGCTGTGTTCAAATAAAACTTTACTTACAAAACATATGGCTGCCAGTCATAGTTTGTCGACTCTTGTCCTAGATAATTAAATATGAATTTGGGCGAGCCAGTTAATGCCCAAGGGAGATATTGAAGGGACATGCAGTTATCCTCTTGCTTTATCTCTAATTTTTTTAATTTATCTTTCTTAAGAGCACTAAAATGGGAATGGAGCCTCCTGGATTTGCCGATACAGTGTCTTGCCTGCCTCTCATCTACATAGATACAGTGGAGCCTTCATGTTTATTCAGATGGACCACTTCCTCTCTCTGCCTAATCTTATTAGAATTGATGGGAACACCGCTGGCACCTGACCCAGTCTCCAAATTTACAATGGTGCTGATTCCTGCCTCAAGCTGGTTGCTGTCTTGAGTGGAAGAGGTATAACCTCTAGAGCTGAGTTTCTTCTGCCTCACTTGGAAGCGAGGCCTTTGAGGTCAGAAGGAAGTCTAGTTCACCACTCACTGTGTCTCTGCACCTCTATTTCATTATCTATACTGTGAAGATAATAATGTACCTACTTCATGGGGCTGTTACATAGTTTAAATGTGGTACTGCACTGTGTGTAAAGCACCTGGCTTGGAGCAAAGTACGTGCACTGTAAATATTACTTCTCTTGTCTTTAGGATTCCTCCCTGGTTCTCATCTCCGGTGACTTCAATGCTAAGTGGCTTTAGCATTGACACAGGAATTATGCTGATAGCACAGCTCTGCCTTCCCTTTGCTTGGGTTCAATGCCCTTTCTCCTCCATGCTGCTGTTTTATTTCATTGTTGATGTCTAACCTTTGACTTTCATTCACATTACCTCTAATAACTTTGTGCTTTATGGGGGAGTAAATGTGCTATCTGCTCTATTTGCTTTTGTGAGCGAGAAAGAGTAGGTGAGTTTTAAGGACAAACACTGATTGAGCAGTCTTGTGGCTGGGGGCTTTACACAGGCCGTCTTTAATCCGAACAACCATCCATTTTTAGGGACACCATTATCCCTGTTTTATAGATGAGGAAACTGAGGCTCAGGGAGGCTTTAGTTGCTGGCCAAAGATTGTCCTGTTATGAGGGCTGGGATTCCAACCCAGGCCTGACCAACTCTAAAGATAATGAATGATTTCATCCATTATGAAGGAACAATTTAAAGTGCTCTTCATTTGGCTGAAATTTTGCCTCTTAGTTGCTTCTCTTTTTTTGGCAAAACTGATCCTCTGTGGCCCAAATGAGGAAAAAAACAACCATTTCCCAGTGACTAAAATTAAACAAGAAGCTTTTAGGATGATGCGCTCAAACACTTCAGCAGCTTATATCCCATTTTGCATTCTTGAGCAAGTCAGTAGGCAATGTCTCCACTGTGGATTTCTCACTTCTCTGGAAGTGATTTTCTGTATTCTCACCAGGCTCCGCTCTGATCATGACAAGAATTCAGAAGCCAGAGTCACATAAAAGCACGATGCATAGCCAGATCATTCCAGAAGGTTTATGTCCATGTCCATCAAAATGTGGCTTTACTCCTTGAACAGAATATGTCTGCATGTCTGCTCACAAGAAAAGCATATCTTATGACAGCTGGGACCAGCCACTGCCGTAACTTGAAGAAACAACAGGATAGGGAAAAGACGAGATGAACTTTCTGTAGATACTTATTTTTAGCTGCTGGGCATCATAATATCCTACCTATTTTTAAGAAATACGGTAGGTTGAAGTCACTGCTCCTCTTCCCCCTATCCCTATTACAGATCTTGCTCCACATCCCAGTTCCATGGCAGGTATGTCATGTGACATACACATACACATGTAGCATAAACTGGCCAATCAGATTCTCCCACCAAGGATTTTGAATTTCAAGAATGTGATACATCTGTACAGCAGCAGTTAGAGATTAATCCTGATAGCTTTGCTGGAGTTTAAAGTCTATCAGCAGAGGGGCAAATATCCAGGAGTATCAAGACTGGTGGCAGCAGTTCAAAAAGACTATTCCTGTCAAAGGATCTTGATGGTGCCCAACCTCCTTTGGATTCTGCCCATTTTCTGAGCTTGGTTCTCCAGGATCTTATCACTATTCTGAGTTTTCCAATAGTTTTATAGGAAATTCTTGTTGTACTTAAGCTAGCCTGATTTGGTTCCCACAGTTGGCAACTGAGTACCCTGAATGATGTACTTCTCAATGTCCACCTGCAAGACCTGGGCCCCTGGGCGTATTACCATTCTCATTCAAAGGAGATTCCTTCAAAAGAGGCTGTCAGCATTTCCATTAAGTTGGAAGAAAAAGACAAAAAGCCTCAGAACTTTATATATATTTAGAACCTTGGCACCAAGCAGTTATTTTGGTCATCACTTTAATTTTGCTAATCTACTAATCCAAGGGAGGTGTGCATACAGGAGTCCAGACGAGGACTTTTCCTCCTGCCTGTCATCAATAATCTCGTATCAATGCCTAGCTTATTTCTTTCATAGGAATAGAAGATTTGAGAAACACATTGGGTCAAAGTCTGCTGTTATATTCATTAAATAAATAAGCTGAAACCCAGGTTCTTAGTGCTTGCTTTTGTTCCAGCCTGTCCTAGATGTCTTAGTTTCATCCTAGTCACAAAGTGATAAAGGAAACTGACATTTATTGGTCATCTGCACCACTGAATTCATTCCTTAAATCTGCATGGTGAGGTAAGTATACCCATTTCTTAGTGGAGGAAAGAGGCTAATACAGATGAAAGAACTTGCTCAACCACGGTGCTGATAACTGTGCAGCCAGGATTAAAAGTAACTCCAAAATCCATGCACTGTCCACTCTCCCAGTTTTGGGAAAACTGAGGCCTCTGTTGCTGATAAATTCAACTACAGATGAGACTATCCTGGCCAAAAGGAAGAATCTACTTTTGCCAAATAATGCATGGAATTATTTTAATTAAACTACATTTCATTTTAAAAGAATTATTTTAATGGTTATACAGAATGCCTAACACATAGTAGGTAGTAAAAAAATATTGAATTAGATTAAATGATTTCTGACTTGTTAAGAGGGAAAATAATAATAGATGTAGAAATAAATAATCCAGGCTTGTGTGTGGTATTTTCCACATTTTTCAGTTTGTTTTGTTGCTTGGCAAAAATAAAAGTCCAAATTCTTTCTGGGATGTTTCATAACTGATAGATGAAGTTGGCCTAATTTTTGATCCATAGAGAGCGATTCGAAATACCAATAGCCTCAGGGTTACATTTCCCAACTTTTGTTGTGGAAATATTTAGTCAGCTAATAATCTCTCTCCTGCTGATGACTTTGGCACGAACTGCACCCCTTGTTTTTAAAGAAACACAAAAACAATCCTCAAGAAGGATTCATACCTGCCTGAAGCTCTGGAAGAGCTAGAATGACGATGATGTGGAATAACATGCAGGAGGGAACTTAAATTCCTTGCTAAATATAATTAAAGCAAAAAAAATTTTATAAAAGAACCTGTAAACACAAGAATGTGCATGCATGATATGAATAAATTAAGCAGAAAGAAAATTCATGTACAGAGACCCAAAGGACTGGTTAAAACATTTTATTAAACTTATTCTTTTTTGGAGTCTTGCTATGTTGCCCAAGCTGGCTTCAAATTCCCAGGTTCAAGCATTCCTCCCACCTCAATCTGCCATCTAGCTGGGATTATAGGTATGCAATGCCATAGCCAGCCTGGAAATTTTAAAAACGTGATCTCTGCCAGGTAGTGTCAAAATGGCTTAAAGAAACTTCTATTTGAGGTCAGCCCCATTTATCCATTCATCCATCCATCCATCCATCCTGAATACATACTGAACTTCCATTGAGGAGAACAGGAAGAGGTGAAGACCGGCTGTTCCCCTTGCGGAGCTTGATGGAAGTAACACAATTTATTCTTTGTATTTCTTTAGCTAATGTTTATTTAGCATTTACTATGCAACATGCACTATGCTTAAACAGCAGGAAAAAATCCCATTCAACTTTCACAACTACTCCATGAAAATACTGTTATCCCCATTTTCCTTCCAAGAAGCTAAGGTACAGAAAAGTTACATAATGTATACATATACAATGAGCTAATGAGTCCAAGTCCATCTGATTCCAAAATCAAGGGCACACTTTTAAGAACTTTGCTATAATGTCAGTTTATAGAGGCACAAAATCAGAACATGAACTAGGTTCTATATCTGGCAAATAGTGATAGTTATATTTTTAGAATGTGAAAAATTACAATCCTTATAAGATGCGTGTGTGTGTGTGTGTGTGTGTGTGTGTACTTCCTGAAGGATTAGTGTAAACTCTTGGAGAGAGGATTAAGGAGGAAAAAAATATGGATCAAGAAATGCTTTATGAATTCTTGGCAGTAAATTTGATCCTTAAAAAAATGGATACAAGGAGAGTATCTGGTAAAAGAGAACAGTATAAGCAAAAGTGTGGAGAGAAAAATGTGTTCTAAGAGCTTATGAAGAAGAGGGCCATCCAGACAGTATTATTGAAGAACCTGTCTTGCACCCAAATAGATCTTCTTTGGTTGCTAAAGTCTAAACTTCCACCATTTGAGAAATATTCCTTTTTGACATTAGAGTTTTCAGTTTTTATTCTGTCAACATGAGTGTCCTATTAAACACCAGAACTCCTGGGAGGGGTAATTAACTAAGCAATTTGTTCTCAACTATGAAATTAGAATCCTGGCAGGAAAAAGATAGCATGTTGACGTTCTTATTCAGGGACTATCTCAAAGATATGGACAACATTAAAGGGGACCAACAAGGGCTGGTTAAGAATCCCAGGGAATAGCAACAGGAAGTCTTCCATCCCACCTTCCTCCTCCTCTGGTGGGGCGGGAACCATTCCTGGATCCCCAAGAGAGCTGTAGATGCAACTCAGGTTGCAGATATGGAAACAGGATGCCCATCAGGAGTTGAGTGGACTTTGAAAGGGGAAGCCAGGCCAGCAGAGAAAGAGATGAAAACAAATACATTAACCTCTTTTTTCCCCCTCTGCCTTTCCATATGCTGATGGTGTCTCCCACTGGTCAGACCCAACAGGAAGCCAGAGGGCAAAGGCATGCAGCTGAAGCAGTGAAAAAAGGGGGCCCTCCCAGGGCAAAAGCAGGCTGGGGAAGGGTGGGGAGAAGACCTGGAAAGGCAAATGGAGAATGGCCCGCCCAAGGACTTACAGTGGTCAGGTGGGACATAGGTCATCCGTCACTAATTGCATTTAAAGTAATGACCTTGCAAATTAATTTATTTTAGTTTTGTAAATGAAGGCAGTATTCAACATCATCCCTTGCAATAGCTTTCTCTAACTCATTTAAATTTAGATTGTCTTTTAAGTTTGTGAGAGAAAAGGGCAGTGGTATACCCGGTGGGCTGGGGATTATCCATGACCCTTCATGCACTCAGCAGTGTGTCTGACATGAGTGGCATCCATCATGTGTGTTGTGTGGAGAGAAGTGGAGGATCATTGCTTTGAGTCAACCAGCCAGCCTATGGTAGGAATTGATAGTTGATCAGACCTCTTTCCCACTAGTGATGGAGGAAGGAAGGGAGAGTGATGTAGCAGGAAGAAGTGTGTGTGATCAGAACACTGGGAAAGGGAGTAGGGGCAGAAAGAAGGGGCAAAATTAAAAACACGACAGTGATAAGATTTTGCCTAGAGTTGGCCCTGTTAGGGTAAGAAGCCTCATTCCTCTATGACCAAAGCACATGAAGCCAGTTGTAAACAGATGTGAAGAGTAGCATCTAGCATCATGTCTTCTCTGTTTGGGGACAGGGGGTGATTATACACACACACACAACCCTCAGAGTCAATTTTTAAAGCAGTACAGTAATCAATCCAAGCTGGTGTTGTAAATGGAAGGCAGAGAGAGGGTTGTTTGGGAAACACTTATCTCCCTTATCTCAGAGTGACACAGAGAATGTGCAGGAGTGGTGTGTGTGTGTGTGTGTGTGTGTCTGTGTGCTAGAGAATTTGGGAGATGGAAGCTCAAAAGTGCTGTTTTCATGCTTATAATTATCTATTTCCCCATTAAAAAATTGGCTCTTATATGTCATTACTGGCTGGATATTAAGTGTCTTCTTGAGGCGATTTTGAGACTTTCTTTTTCTGCATGCTCATGCACGCATACACACACACATGCACAAACACACAGTTAGATGCATGGTTGCATGCATAATAAAACTTGAAAACTTAACTGCAGCACACTGCATAAATTAAATAAGGCAAACATATCCTTGGCAAGACTTGAAGTAAATGCTAGAGTTTTCCCAGCAATAAGTAGTTCCATAATAACAGAAGTGAAAAGAAAATAAACTAAAACTTCTAAGTCCATCTTAGTTACATGGAAAGTCCACTAAAGTTTTCTTAAGAAGCTGATACCAAACTCCTAAAAATCAACTCTGGATTCCAAAGGTCGACTTTCCATCCCAAGTCATTACTTACTGGTGCAGGATTTCTATTATCCATGTTGAGCCATGGCTTATAGATAAATAAGGAATTTAGAATACAGCATTTGAATTCATTAAGCTGCTTCCAGTAAGTAATTTGAAACTCTGAGAAATGCCAAAAACATAATTACTAATCCAAATAGCCCTTTTTATCTGAATAAGTAAAAATGGAGATCAATATCTGGTTAATGGAGATCATTTCCTATTATATTTTTAATGTTGTGATATGGATTGTAACGGTTGCTTTATATCGTTACTTTATATCGTTACATTGTCACTGTCATTGGAAACATCCTGTAAAGAAGGGCAGATGATTTACTTGAAATGTACTAGCAAGAGAGATGTCATCTTCTTCTGCAAATACTGGGCTTAAAACTTGGGTAACTCACTGGAGACTGTTGAGTCTCTCCCTGGATCTTCCTGAGGTTTTCATCCAAATGCAAATGATTCCAGGAGGCTCTCTCCATAGGAAAGAGGCCTAGAGAATTCCTCAGGACTTCAGGATAAAACAACAAATTAAATAAACATTCTTACTATATCTCTTGCTTAAACTTATACTGTGATCACAACCAATTTTGATTCACACATTCCCCAATTTCTTCAGAATAGGAATAATTTTGTCCCCTCCAGACAACTTGTGGAGTTCTTACAAGACCCAGAAAGACCCGAAGTGCACTTCAAAATCTCAGGAACCACTGGAAGGGCAGTGGGTCAAAGGAGTCAGGGTCTGCAAACACTGTGTGAATCAAACCTGGCTCCACACCTTCCCCATCAAGGTCACCTGTCCCCAGTAACCCAAGCTCAAAACTTGAGGCTGCCTTGATTTCTGCTCATCCTCCTTCAAAGGAACTTAGTTCTCAAGTCCTTATCACTGCATGCCACAGCTTGCAGTTGATCTCAACAGGTGAGCCATGGCATGCCAGGGAAGTGCTGGTTGAGTGTCCAGCACTGGTTGGTTGTCCAATTAACTCTTATTCCATTTCCCTTCTCTGCTAGCAGAAGCCATCTCCCGCTCTAGAGGCTGAACATGCCAGGCCTGGCTTTCTCAGTTTCCCTTGTAGCTAAGGCATGGCAATGAGACCCAGCCCTAGCCAATGGACCAAGTCTCTTAGGAGAACTCTGGTAAAGGTTTTCTCCTCCCAATATGAAGAGATGCACTATGCATACTTAAGAATGGTTAAAATTAAAAGGACTGACAATACTAAACATTGGAGAGGATGGGGAGCAACCAGACGTTTTCCACATTGCTGATCACAGTGTAAAAAGATCCAAACACTTTGGAAAACAGTTTGCTAGTTTTATACAAAGTTGAGTACATACTATTTGATCCAGCAACTTCACTCCTAGGTATTTAGTCAAGAGAAATTAAAACACATGACTATGAAATGTTGCACATGAATACTCAAAGCAGAGCATATTCATAATAGCCCCACACTGGAAACCCAAATGCACACCAACAGTGAATGGATAAACAAATTGCAGTTTTCTCATAAAAGAGAATACGAAGCATGAATAAAGAAGAATGAAAGACTGATACATGCAATACCATGGATGAATCTCATAAACTTGCTGAATGAAAGAAGGTAGACACAAAAGTATAGTAAATGTCACATTTCCATAAAATTATAAAAAAGGCAAATCTACAGTGACAGAAAGTCAATAGGTGGTTGCCTAATAGCTGGAGGTAGGAGGGAGTATTGGCAGTAAGAGTGGGCACAGGGAACTTTTGGGGTTGATAGCAATGTTTTATATCTTGATTATCTTATTACATGGATGTACACATTATTGAACTAGACACTTATTATAGGTACATTTATTGTCTATAAATTTTATCTTAATAACATTGATTTTTTAAAAAAGAGAGATAAATAAACAAATAAGACCACCAAAGCCTCAGAACTGTGAAACTGGGTTTCAGAGGTGGTTTGAAATATTGTTGAATTTTGCATTGAAGTATATTTAATGGTTCAATTTCAGAATAACATATTATCAATAAGACCCATTATTTCTGAGATTTCTTTTAATTTTTTTTATGCTTGAGCTCTTATTATATGCTGAACTCTCTCTCTCTCCTTTAATCCTTACTGTCTGAGGTAAGGATTACTTCAATGATGATTATATCAGCTAAAAAACAGGAATTGCTTTAGAACTTTTGAGCATGAAGAATTTGATTCAGGAAGTTGGTTATAGCTCAGTGAGGGAGCTGAGAAGGCAAAAAGGGTCAGTGAGACAACCCAGAGATTAGCAGTAGCAGGAAGCTGCTACTCCCTCTGGGGCTGGAGGCAGAATTCAGAAGCAAGACATGCTGAGAGAGGGGCCACCCTGCATAAGTTGGAACTCTGGAAGAGATACTGCTATTGTCAGAGGCACAACAGGAAGTGGAGAGAGTGGGAGAAAAACCTTGACATGTCTCTGACTCCCACCCTTCCACCTTTCACCAGTGTGTCCCATGGGTTAGACCAGCCCAGGAGCCAGAAAGCAAGGGAGCCTGGAAAATGTGGTTCTCTTCGACACAGAGCAAAGCAGAAGGACGGAGAATGAATCCATTGAGGGCAAATAGATATTGACCAACACAAGTGTCTTTGTTTTATCAACTTCCTTGACTTCCTCTGTGACTGCCACCTCAACAGTTCCCTCCAAAATAGAGGCAAACTGGCAAATAGACCCTGTAAGAGGAGCAATAGCTCAAGTTGCTGTTTTTAGCTTCCCTCCCTTTAATCCTAAAGAAGAGAAGAGATTCGAACTAAGGCAATACAAGCAGGCTGACACTTATCTCTCAGTGGCTTTACTGCGGTGGAATATACCAGCCAATTCACCCAGGAATCCACCAGATGACACATTGCAAAGTAAGACATGCATTAGGCATCAGGTTTAGGTATTTTCCCAAAGGCAATGTTCAAGCATTATGAGAGTGATGAGGGCACAAATAGAGGCATGTTACAGACTGAGTTGTGTCCTCCCTCAAATTCATATGTTAAAGTCAAGAGAGGCACTTTAAGGAGATAATTAAGGTTAAATGAGGACAAGGGTGGGCCCTTAATGCAACAGGGCAGATGAAGAGGAAGAGACATGACATTAAGGACACATGTGCACAGAGAAAAGGCCGTGTAAGAACACAGGGAGAAGGAGGTCATCTTCGAGCCAAGGAGAGAGGCCTCAAGAGAAACCAAACCTGCCAACACCTTGGGCTTGCACTAAAGTCCCCAGACTTTAAATTTCTTCTGTTTAAGCCACCTGATATGTGGCATGTTGTTATGGCAGACCTAGCAGATTAATACAAGGTACTGAGCACAATACATCTAACAAGAGTCAATGCTTATTGCTGTTTTCAAAGACGATTCTAGGAGGTCACGCATAGTCAACTACCTATGCCCTGAAATTATTTACCAGGCAACCAGTTTGTTTCCATAGTCAGGGATGAGGCTTAAACACATACCCATGGGAGAAAATCATAGCAATGATCCAAATTTGTACATAGATATAAATGATCTTCTTGAGAGTGACTTGTAAGCAGTGGGGAAAAGAAAGAATGAAGCAACTGGGTATTCAAAACAGAAGCGGTTTCAAAGAGGTGTGTGGGGAGGTGGGGGAGGGAATTGAGGACACTGAAAATAAAATTTTCCAAGTTTACAAATTTACCATGTTGGCCTGGCTGAAGTCATGGTTAAGAATTTTTTTTTCCTCTTTATAGCTGTGATTTTTGTTCAATACCATATATGGCAGCAGATCAGCAAGCTATTTTTTGACATGTTTCTTTCTCCAGACCATTTTACATAGAAAGTTACTAAAATAGTCCAATTTGGATGTTTTTTTCTTAATCTTACAATTCTTGATCAAACAGGACACAACAGTTCTGTGTCAATATAATTATGAGAATATTATTTTAATGAAGAAGCTTAAAATGATGTCCAAATAGACCAACAATGCTCAGATAGGCTATGACGGTTTGGGGATTTTAAGAGCTTCTGTGTGATTGCTTTTGAGGAAAGCAGTTTTAAGAAGCAAATTAATATTCTGCAATCAGCATTGCTCTCCGGTCCTCCCAGGGTCTGAGCAGCAATTCAGGATCTGCTTCGGATGAACAGTTTCACATTTTTCCCTGGAGACCAACCCAAGTCCTGTAAGTCACAAGTGAACTCCATAAACACAGTTTTCCCTGTAGAATCAGAGAGGGAGTGTGTTGGGATCTGAAAGAGAAGCAGGGTTTTCTGGGGAAGGTTATCTTAGGAGGATGCAAAGGACAAAACTGTAGCAAGGCTTGAAGCCCTATTGAAGAGAAATCTATGTGCAAAAGCACTAGGTTACTTCCACCTCCAGAAACCAAACTCAGGAGAGTTTCTGATGCAATTCGTCAGTAGCTTTTGGAGCCTTGCTACTCAACGTGTAGTTCCAGATCAGCAGTATCAGCAAACCTGGGAGCTCATTAGAAATACAGACCCCCAGACCTATCAAATCAGAATCTGCATTTCAACAAGATCCTCAGATGACTTCTATGCCCATGGAATTTTGAGATGCAATTCTCTAAAGTATTGTTCAGCCAGATGGATGTGAAAGGCATTGAATCATTCTGCCAGGGCTTGATTGTACACGCAAGGCTTTCATTCCCATCATGAAGAATAAAGCTGAGGGGAAAAGACACAGAGAACAGAAACAGGATTGAGGTTGTCTCACACCCAACAACTCTCACCCTCCACCTGTGCCAGGCCATCTTTCAGAAGCAGCAGTGAACAGAACCTACTGAAGTTGCAGTGGCATGCCTAGACTATGGGGCAAGGGCTCCCTCGCTGCCACTGAAGCTGTTGTCAGAAAATGCACCACTCTCAGAAACTGGTGCAGGGTTCACAGAGTTCTTTCTTCTCCCTTTCCAATCCTGTTTCTCTGGTCTCCCCTGTGCCTGCAAGAGGTGAGTACCAATTAGTTGCTGTTTCCACCCCATATTTAAAACCCAACACCAAACAGGTTGCCACTGCTGTTGGCGAGGTCACTCTCAGTGCTAGGAAACTTGAAGTAATGAGCTAAAACTGTCAAGTAAATTAATAGATTCCAGACTTGATGTGATCACCACTTGGAAATCTAGTACCATTTTGCTATAGTTTAAATGAGTCTTCCCAAAATTCATATGTTGAAGCCTCAATGTGATTGTATTTAGAGATAGGGCATTTAAGAGGTAAAGATAAGTAAGACAATAAGGGTTGAGTAATGATCTTATAGGATTGGTGACCTTATAAGAAGAGGAATAGACAGAAATCTCTATCTCCATGTGCACTTTCTGAGGAAAGACCATACGAACACACAGTGAGAAGAAGGCTGTTTGCAAGCCAGGAAGAGAGTCCTCACCAGAAACTCATTGTGTGGCACCCTAGTCTCACACTTCCAGCCCCCAGAATTGTGAAACAAGAAATTGTTGTCATTTAAGTAGCCTGAGAAAACAAAGACATATTCCCCCAAGAAAAAGGACTGTTGGAGCCTAGATTCCTGATGAGAAAAGAAATGGTTCTGAATTTAAAGCTTATCTGCTGACCTTGGGAGGGTTAACTTTTTGCTAATGACCTGTTGCTATGTATAACTTCTGAAGAAATGTCTATTATGTTCAACAGGAGTATATACTACTCATCCTTTTTATTACTTGCCGAAACTCACACACTAGGGGGAGGAAGGATGTATTGACACTTGCATTGCAGATGAAGTAACAACACACACACTAGTCCATTTAGGGTCTAAAGTCTGATTTTTCCAGGACTGAGAGGCTTTCTGGGACATGGAACTTTCAATGCTAAAATCAGAAAAGTCCTGGGCAAACCAGGACAAGTTGATTATCCTAAATGGGCTAAGTTTCACCTGTTGGAAGACCAATGGTGACATGTAGTGAGAAAATGGAGCATTTGTTAAAAGGGGATAAGAACCCTGGACTAGAGCCCTGGTTAATTTTAAGATTGTGTAGCCTTGGGTAAGTTACTTCACCTCTCTAGATCTAATTCTCCTCCCTCAGAGATGAGAGACTAGATTATTCCTAAGGGATGTTCCAGTTTGAATATGCTACAGTGTTTGAGTTCTGGGTTATTCTGTCAATTGACAGTTGGGGAGATCCAATTGTATTAATCCACAAAATAATCTAAGAAGAAGAAGTTTCTGAGCTAGGTGCAAGGATATAACTGTGCCTAAGTTACTGCCTTTATGGAACTTGCTGTTTACTGAGAGCAAGAGATGATAAACAAGAATTGATGTGACAAGCGCTGAGAAAGAAATAAGAAAGGGTTGTGATAGACAGTGATTGGACATCTTGTTTTAGCTGACATTGACAAACCTGGGAGCTCATTAGAAATACAGACCCTCAGACCTATCAACTCAGAATCTGCATTTCAACAAGATCTTCAGATGACTTCTATGCCCATGAAATTTTGAGATGGAATCCTCTAAAAAGCCAAACATGACAAACTGGGAAAGGATAGTGTATTAGTTTGTTCTCACACTGCTATAAAGACATATCTGAGACTGGGTAATTTATAAAGGAAAGAAGTTTAATTGACTCACAGTTCTGCATGGCTGGGGAGGCCTCAGGAAACTTACAATCATGGCATAAGGCAAGAGAGAAGCAAAGACATGTCATACATGGTGGCAAGCAAGAGTGAACAAATGAGCGAAGTGGGACAAGCCCCTTATAAAACCATTGGATCTCATTAGAACTCACTCACTATCACAACAGCAAGGGGGAAACTGCCCCCATGACCCAATCACCTCCCACCAGGTCCCACCCTTGACACACGGGGATTATGGGAATTACAATTTGAGATGGTATTTTGGTGGGAACACATAGCCAAACGACATCAGATAGGGAAGAGCAAGCACATAAGAGGCTGCAATGGGAGAGATTATAAAATTAAAGAAACAGAAAGGGCTACAGATGAGTGGAGCAGAGTGAGGCAGAAGATAGTGGAAAGAAATGAAGCTTTAGAACTAGGCAGGAGCTAGATCACATTAGGCTTATAGGTCACAGTAGGAAGTTCAGGTTTTATCCTATGTGCCAAGAGAGGATATTAAAGGGTCTGAAATCATATCAGAGTTATAAAAAACTGGTTAAACTCACTCACTAAATTACAAGTGTGTAATTGTGGATTACACAAATAATTACAGGTATAATAATGTAATATGACAGTCATGACAAGAATGCTCCTGTTCCATAAGTTTGGTTTTAATTAACCAAGAAGAGCCGTCAAAGGTTTGATGCAAGTTCAGGATAACTTGCATCAGTAATTTTACTTCATCACTTTAAAGTTTAGCATCCACTTCAGCTTGACTTTCAGGGTAAATGACAAAATAAATCTGTGGCTCAAATTACCCCAACCTACCCCTTTGGGAGCAGAATGTTACTTGGAACACATTCTTATAATTAAGATCTAATTGTTATTGATGTTCAGACAAATGTTCTTGCTGGCTTCATCTCTAAGAAACTAAAAAAACAGATTTTTCCCCTTTGCTTACTGATAAATAGCACTTAAATAAGTGCTCAAGGAGATATTACCCCGATTTTAGATCTTGGCAGGAGTTTAAATTAAAGCAGAAAGGACCACAAATTCGATCTGAGTTGATGGTTTATCCCCCACCCATTACAAGAAAATTTGAGATAGTTTCAAAAATTAAACACTGCAAAAAGCAATGCAATAAAGAGAATAAAAAAGAGTACAAATCTCTTCCTCTTTCAAAAGGGAACGACTTTACAATAGATAAACTTAGTAACTGAATTTTGCCATGAATTTTCTGGAAACCATGGCAAGAGAGTGGTGGTTTGCATAATGTTTATTATCTGATTAAAAAAAAACCCATCAGAATCACTCTGCAGAAAAAAATTTTTTCTTTGAACTCCAGAGAAAGAGGAATTTATCCTGTACATGTTTATAAAAAGGACATTGGGTATCTAGTGGACAATACCTTCAAGTAAAATTTTGCAAGAAAGAAGATAGAAATGCAGTTAAAATTAAATGTTTCTTGGGCCAGTGTCTGTAAAAGTTAACATGGTATAAATCCACAAAGGAATTTTTGTAGGAAGCCAAGGTATTATGGTCTAGATACTTTGACAGGGACTGTGTTTAGAGAACCTGGAAGAAAGAAGACATTTCTTAACATGTCCATTAGACACTTTCTCCCAAATTACAGCTGTTTTAAGCAAGTTTTTGATCAGTATTGAGTTGCAGTCAATTTGGAAAAGTACAAACCTCAGGGAAGGCAGACATTCAGAACTATCAGTCAAAGTGTGCTCTAAATGGCCAGTGATGAGGGAGGCTGAGCTGTCCTGCTGGGGTGTGAGGTTAAGATGTAGATTTGTCTAGAGCATGTACCACTTCATCACAAGTTTGCTGGAGAAAGATGCCTTTTTCCATGGAAAAGAGCTTTGAATATTCTTGAGAACTCATATAAGTCCTTTGTTGTAAACCCAGATTTCCATCTCCGAAGTCATGAAGAAAGGAAGAATGTGGGCAGGTGTAAAAGGGAGCATCTGACTGGGGAATATCATTTCGTAGCGATGTTTGTTTGCCGATTTTAGGGATTCTCCCACAGTTATTTAAGTCAAGCCTATATAATACATCAATAGTTTTGCATTTTTATACTTTCTTATTCATTATGTTCTAATTTGGCTTTGTGTCTTTGCTAAATTAAAAGGCCAGGTTATATCTATTTATTCTTTTCATTAAAATTATTATTATTATTATTGTTATTTTTTGAGCTAGAATCTCACTCTGTCACCCAGGCTGGCGTGCAATGGCACAATCTCCGCTCACTGCAACCTCTGTCTCCTGAGTTCAAGCGATTCTCCTGCCTCAGCCTCCTGAGTAGCTGGGATTACAGGCATGCCCCCACCACACCTGGCTCATTTTTGTACTTTTAGTAGAGATGGGGTTTCACCATGTTGGCCAGGCTGATCTCGAGCTCCTGACCTCAAATGATCCATCTGCCTTGGCCTCCTAAAGTGCTGGGATTATGGGTGTGAGGCACCATGGCTGGCCAGAATTATTTACTATTAAAAATTAAGACTAAATATTAATCTATCCAGTTTACAACTTGATTGTGTGTGTGTGTATGTATACGGCTATGTAACGTATACATCTAGTCCTTCTAGCTGGATCATTCTTAAGGTAAATAAACATAACAACAATGCACTTACACAGGGCATTTATTATGTTGACTAGGGAGTCAGCTACGCCAAGCCACATGGCTCTCACAAGAGGACTTATTCCTGGATAAACTCAATCTGCTTGGGCGTAGGCATTTTCTGTGTGGAGTCCACTGGGCCCATTATTGGTCCCTACAAGTTCTTGAAGGCCGTAGTCCTTGAAGACTCTGGGAACCCAGAGAAGAACAGGCTTAGCACCATTCCTGTACAAAGTAGGTAATGGATGCATGTTTCCTGAATAAATAAGCAAACAAGTGATGAGAAAACTTCACATATAGCTGTAACATAGGGCTGAACATGAAAGCCAGAAGATAAATATCAAGAGCTACTGGGTTTAAGGGGGGAAAAAGGAAAACTACATCCAGCTGGGTAAATCAGCAAAGGCCCTAGAGAAAGGGTGATATTTAGATAAGAACTGAAGAAGGAAAAGAATTTTAGACTATGAAGATGGAAAAGGAAAACAAATGTAGTGATTATTGTTTTTATCTGGGCAGCACCAATCCCAGGGCAACATTACTAACAGACTCTGCCATACTAGCCAATGTGTGGCAGATGAGCCAGTTAGGCCAATCATCATCCCACTTTAATTTAATTTGATTTATTTTATTGTATTTTTTTTTGAGACAGGGTCTCTCTCTCTTGCCCAGGCTGGACTGCAGTGATGCAGTAATGGTTCACTGCAGCCTAGACCTCCTGGGCTCAATCGATCCTCCCACCTCAGCCTCCCAAGTAGCTGGGACTACAGGTGCGTGCCATCATGCCTGGCTAATTTTTTTTTTTTTTTTGGTAGAGTTGGGGTTTCGCCATGTTGCTTAGGCTGGTCTTAAACTTTGGGGATTAAGCAATCTTCCCGCCCCAGCCTCCCAAGTGCTGGGATTAGAAAAGTGAGCCACTACGCCAGCCCTCTTTACTTTAGTCTCTGCAATAGAACACCTTGAGGTTAAGAGATGCTTTGTTCAAGCCAGGCCAGTCACATGGTCTCTCCTAAGGATTTGGAACTTGAACACAAAAGATGGAGAAGCTAAGAGGGGGTTGACTGGGACAAAGCCACCTTGAAGACAGCCTTTGGAAGAAGGTTCCCAGGCTCCTTTTGCTTAGATCTCTGAACTGCCTTGGGATGTAGAATTCAGGACAATTAATTGTCCTGCTCTCCCTTTGAGTCTGTGAGCCATCCTTCCAGTTAATGCCCTCCAACTCCTTTATTTTTCTTAAGTCAGTCCAAGGAAGGCAGTTTATTGCCTACAAAGAATTCTTAACTCTGCAACTAACAGGGAGAGGCATGGAAGCAAGAAAATAGGAATTCAGAAAGACTGAGTATTTTAGCAGGAGTAAAATATAGGAAAATAATGGATTGTAATGCTGGAGAAACAGAAAATGACCTTACTGTTGCGGGATTTAAAATCTAGGATGAGGTTCAGTTGACCTCATTATTCACAGATCCTGCATTCCCAAATTTATGTACTTACTAAAAGTTATTTCTCATCCCCAAATCATTACTCATGGTGCTTTCATGGTCATTCTCAGACACACATAGAATGGCAAAAAATTTGATGCACACATTCCCACCTGAGGTCGAAGGTCAAACAAGTTGAGGCTTTGTCTTTTTGAAAAAAATTAACTTTTTTTTTTTTTTTTTGAGATGGAGTCTCGCTCTGTCGCCCAGGCTGGAATGCAATGGCGCGATCTTGGCTCACTGCAAGTTCCGCCTCCCAGGTTCATGTCATTCTCCTGCCTCAGCCTCCCAAGTAGCTGGGACTACAGACGCCTGCCACCACGCCTGGCTAATTTTTTTTTTTTTTTTTTTTGAGACAGAGTCTCACTCTTTTGCCCAGGCCGGACTGCAGTGGCGCTATCTCGGCTCACTGCAAGCTCCGCCTCCCAGGTTCATGCCATTCTCCTGCCTCAGCCTCCCGAGTAGCTGGGACTACAGGCACCCGCCACCTTGCCGGGCTAATTTTTTGTATTTTTAGTAGAGACGGGGTTTCACCGTGTTAGCCAAGATGGTCTCGATCTCCTGACCTCATGATCCACCCACCTCGGCCTCCCAAAGTGCTGGGATTACAGGCGTGAGCCACCGCGCCCGGCCAATTTTTTGTATTTTTAGTAGACATGGGGTTTCACTGTGTTAGTCAGGATGGTCTCGATCTCCTGACCTCGTGATCTGCCCACCTCGGCCTCCCAAAGTGCTGGGATTACAGGCGTGAGCCACCGTGCCCAGCCCAAAAATTAACTTTTAAATATTATAATATTTAAATGACAGAGGTTGTATATATTCAAGGTGTAAAAGTGATGATTTGTGTAATGATTATCATAATCAGATTAACAGGTCTTGTTTTAGCTCTCATAACTATAAACAAGTGTCCTTTTTGTGGTATATTTAGTGACATGTATTTCACCTTTTTGTGCTTTTTGTTGATGATTTCACTGTTTAAAATGTCCCCAAAGTATAGTGCTAAAGTGCTGTCTAGAGTTCCTAAGTGCAAGCAAGCTGTGATGTGCCTTAAAGGCAAAATACATGTTTTAGATAAGCTTCAAAAGGCAGGAGTTATATGTTGCTGGCCATGTGTTCAATGTTAATCAACAACATGTATTAAATAAAGTGTCTTTAGGCATAGACACATACAACAGGTTATATATTAATTGGTTGACAAAAATTTTATGAGCAGGGGCTTTCTGGAACCTAACCCTATTGTCCCTAGAAGCAATGGTTCAGTATTCACTAATTCAGTATTTACAGTGACATTATAGAACATAACTACTGTAACTAATGAAAATCAACTACACTTAGATTTAACTTTATAATCAAAGGGGAGTTACACAGAACTGATGTGTTCAAAACTGCAATGGGAGAATTATTTGTGTGGCAAATGTGCAGAGTCTATTTAAGCTGGGGGAGGCTAGAATCAAGGAGACCAATGGAGGCTGTCTGGGAAGTTTCTGTCAAGCAGGAAGGAAGGTAAGAACTTTCTTGAGAACTGTGGTACCAGAAAAGAAGACATGCAGGTGAGATATTGTGAAGATAGAAAATATAGGAAGTTTGTGGCTGTGGGATCAAGTTGAGGAACAAATCAAAAGGAACACTACAATTATGAGTCTGGGTGAGTGGGAGAAAGACTGACAAGGCAAAAAGCTATGTTAGGCAAGAAGTTGGTCATGGGAGGAAGATGATGGATTCAGTCTTAGATGTGTTGAGTTGGGAGGCCTGTTGGTATGTCAATGAATAGTTAATACTCAACAAGCAATAGTTGTATTGTTGATAATAATTGTGAGGAGAAGGAAAGTGGTGGCAGAGGAAGAAGAGAGGGAGGAGAAGAATATTGCGGACACTTACCAGGAAAACTGGCGCTCAGCTGCCCCTTTCAAGGCCAATATCCAAAATGGCTGAGCTCTGGATGGCCCCAAAATGCCAGTCACTGCATCCCTTAGTGTGCAAATTGAAGGTGTGACACAGTAAAACTGCTGGAGTTTTTAACTCTCAGCAATCAACTTGCAATGCAAGCACAATATGGAGTCATGTTTCTTGAGCCCACCCATCAATGTTGGTGCTGACCCAGGAGAGATTCCAGCATCAGCAACAGGCTGTGTCTAGAAGCAGCTCTTGTCAGGAGCCCCCAGAAAGAAATTCGCTCTCCATCCAGAGGCTCAGACCTTGTTTTGGCGGCCTGAAGCTTATGTGCAAAGCTGAACCCGGAGACCAGAGGGCCTGCTGCTACACTGTTGCTCCCTTAGAGAGGAGCTTGGATGGTGCCTTCTGCTCTGAGGCTGTGTCTTTGTGGCCAAGCTTTCTTCTATCTCAGAAGCCTGGTGTGAGCAAGAAGAAAGTCCCTCCTCCTTCTCGTCCCATGGATTGCCTAACTCCCTGGCCCCAAATTTCTATCTTCCCAGTAAAATTGATCCCTGTTTCCTTCAAAGGAAAATTCTATCCCCACCTATTTGGATAGTTTTACCTCATGGACCCCTCAATTGGACAATCACACAACAGCCTAGGATTTCTGAAGGTTGAGATAATTTGGTATAATTCAGTCACCTGATTAAAGTTCTACAGATCTCTGCTGTGTGCTGTATGCCAATGGTCTGTAGGTTGGTTTGGATGCTGTGGTTAGTATATACTGCATACTTTCATTCCCTGGAAACCCTGGAGAGCAAGATACCACCTTCATTCTTTCCAACTTCACCAGTGGCCATTGATCCTGCAGCTCTGTCCTGTGGCCCTAGAGGTGAGCTTGTGCAAGGAAAAATGCCATCATCAGTTGGCAGGATGGAGAATCAGTGTCAATGTCTCTGACGCATCTCCTCACTCACCTGGCCGAGGTGATAGGGGCAGCACCTCAGAGGGGTAAGTAGTGGATGAAGAACCCAAGCTGGGTGTATTAGTCCATTATCATGCTGCTATGAAGAAAGACCCACGACTGGCTAATTTATAAAGGAAAGAGGTTTAACTGACTCACAGTTTTGCATTGGTGGGGAGGCCTCAGGAAACTTACAATCATGGCAGAAGGCAAAGAAGAATCAGGCACCTTCACAGGGCATCAGGACAGAGTAAGTGCAAACAGGGGAAATGCCAGATGCTTATAAAACCATCAGATCTTGTAAGCACTCACTACCATGAGAACAGCATGTGGGAGGAAACCACCCTCATGATCCAATTACCTCCACCTGGTTCCACCCTTGACATGTGGGGATTATAGGAATTACAATTTGAGGTGAGATTTGGGTGGGGACACAGAGCCAAACCATATCTCTAAGTCCCCAAGGTCACATTTAAACTTCTTCGCATCACAGTATTGAAAAAAAGAAAAAAGGCAGTTGCAGAAGAGTCTCTCAAAAGGAACATTTTCCTTTCATTATTTGCTTTCTTTCTTCTGAAATACCCTCTCTGACTTTCCAAAATAAAATAAAGTTAGGAGAGAAAAAATCATTCCCTCTCCACTTCTGATACATTGCAGCTGATGTTAGGGTTTTCCTAAGATTCACTGAGGTGAATTTCACTAGGTAGCATAAAAAGAGCTTTTCAGAAAAGGCACTAACAGATGTTACAATGAAAGCAGACACCTTTGCAGCTGATTTATCAAAACCCTTGAAGAACCATTTCAAGGCAGGTAGCAAAGGCAATAATGTTGAACAAAGGGAGTACATCCAGAGGCAGAACTGTATTGCATGTTCTAAAAAGAGAAAGAGAAATAGGAAAAGTCCATAGGAACCATTTTCCCCATTTTGTGCATGTCTCTTTACCAGTTTCTGAGCATGAACCAATATAATTTTTCCAGAGCCCATTCAAAGCCAGAGGGGGATAAATAAAGGCACTTCTTTTCTCAGGTTCTCATTAAGATATGGTAGAATTCTCTTCTGAATTTGAAGGTAATTACAGAAAGTTGCTTTTCTGTTCCTTTAAGGAGGAGCAGTCGAAAATAACCTCCTGTAAAGTCATGGTCTTTGACGGTTAACCAAAGGGAGCGTCATCTTTGAATAAATGCATGCATCAATGGAGGCACAAACCACACACATTATGCTTTATATTAAAACCTCTGCTGGATAAAAAGAAAGGGGGACTTGCAGCCCAGGAGAAGAAAGGTGCCTGGATGGCTTCCAGTAGGACATCCCGTCCTAAGGAAGGACTGGGCTGCAGCAGCCTGTTCAATCAATGCAGTGAGTCAGCACTGTGGAAAGAGAATCAAGTGAGAGCAGTGAGCCTTGAAAGGCAGCCTGCCTTGGAGCTGGAGAGGTTCCTGGAGGGGTGGGGCCACGTGATAACTGAAGCTCATACTCCTTCCTCCCACCGTCCATCCCCATGGGAGAGATCTCAAGGGAAAAATGGAGTCTCTGAATGCTAGAACATTCCAGCTGGGTGGGACACCCAGGGCTCATCTAGTCCAACCCACCAGTTACATGGTCCAGAAATGGAGGCTCTGAGACAGCAATAATAAAAGCTAACATGATGAGCTTTTTATGTTCCAGATACTGTTCTCACCACTCTATCTATAATAATGTGTAATTTAATAAAACAACAACTCTTATCTTTGCATCATACCTGACAGTTGGTGCTGTAATCATATGGTCCTCATTTTACAGATGAGAAATTTGAGACCAAAGGAAGTTAAGTAACTGAACTAAGGACCTATAAACAGAAAAGTGACCTTAGTGATGACCTTGAGGATCCTCACCTCAGTCCTCTGAGCTTTTGTCTTTTTATCTTCCAATGTCTTCCTTATTGGGTAGTTGCAAAATTTCAAATGTGCCTCTAGTAGCTCTGGGTACATGTTAGACACATAGTTGTTAAGTGGAGTTGAAGATGTTCATGAAGCAGGGAAGGGAAGGAGGAACATGCTCGATGCTGTACTTCTCTAGATAGTTAGGTTTGCTTTAACCCTGAAAGGCTCTTTTTATGCTACCTTTGCTTAACTTTGGCCAAAAGTTGACAAGGGGAGCATGGGGGAGTGAGAGAAGAGCAAAGAAGTTGAAGAAGGCCAAATCTACAGAAAAGTGAAAGACAGACTGTATTTGACAGAATTAGAGAAACAGAACCAATAGGATGTATGTATCCATCTCTATCTGTATCATCTATCTATCTGTCTGTGTGCCTGTCTGTCTACCTACCTATCTCTACACCTGTATTATATCTAACAATATCTCGATCTATTAATATCTATCAAATAAAAAATTGGCTCATGCAATTATGAAGGATGGCAGGTTCTAAAAGCAAGCTGGAGACCCAGGAAAGAAGATGGTATTGTTCTAAGTCCATGGTTAGCAGCCTTGAGACCAGGAAGAGCTGATGATTCAGTTTGAATCTGAAGGCTGGAACAAACCAATATCCCAGCTTGAAGACAGGCAGATAGGAGGAATTATCTCTTATTCCAGGGAGGGTCAACATTTTTTGCCTATTCAGATCTTCAGCCTGGATGGGGCCCACACACATTAGGGAGAGTAACTGTTCTCTCAGTCCATTGATTGAAATGTTAATCTCATCCAGAAATATTCTCACAGGCACACCGAGAATAATGTTTAACCAGATAACTGGATGATTCATGTCCCAGTAAAGTTGACACATACAATTAGCCATCACTAGTTCATCCCTTGTCAACTTGGCACCCATATGCATCTGCTTACTTAATCTTAGGTACTTAATCTCCAAATAAAGATAATAACAAGGTTATAATTCTGCCTAACATGATGCAACTATTCTGCTCACAACTAAAATCAATTTAACTTCTTTCCCAGAAGAGAAAGTAAAGTCCTTGAATGATGTTTACTTTTCTCCTTTATATTCTGTAACTTCAATACTATGGTATAAAATTAACAACGATTAAATGCTGTAAAATAAAGTTAATCAATAAAGTCATGTACATCTCATGTTACATGATAAGGGGATGAGAGGAAAGAAAACAAAGATGTTTGCTTAATACACACACATATCCATAACAAAATAAGGAGCAAATACTCATGACAATTATAGTCCTTGTTTCTGTAACTGGTCATGTGGTCATAGCTGGTACTTATAAACTACCTTCTTCCACTACCCATTCCATATTCCCTTTGCTTTAGGCAAACACCTCAGCTGGTCATTGTTTTTTACCTGGTAGGCTGACCCAAACCTTTATTCCTAAAGGGTCTGAGCTATTAGTAGTCCTGTCTCAGTTAGGTTGTTGTAGTTTTCCATTGTTCTTAATTACAATGAAATGGTAATATTAAGAGATGCCCCAAGAGATCTCCTGTATTCTAGATTTACTCTTCCCTACCTCCATTATGGACTAGTAATCCAATTTCCCCTTGTTTTCCAGGATCAATCATCTCAGCCAACACAGTAACTCATTTCTTTGCCTGCTGATTCAAAGGCATGATGAGGAACCCAAAGTGGCCAGGTGGAAGTTTGAACATCCAGTTCAATAGAATTATGGTTGTGTCTCCTGGGGGAAGCATTTCTCCCTTTAGAACTAAGATCTCTTTGCCAGAAGAATATAAGGATGCAGGAACAGGGAGCAAGTATCTGCTAGTGGGTCACCAGGAGTCATAGTGAATGGTCCCACTCTCATTTCTACCCCTTGACTACTGGACCCAAAATTCCTGGCTATGGGAAAAATAGCACCATACATTGGAGGCTTATATAGAGCATATACAGTGTTCTGGAGAACATTGCCCCAGACCTGCAAGGAATTGCCACTAGCCGGTGCTATAATTGAATCATCAAAAGGCCATGCCACTGTTCTACCTAACAGCTGCTTCAGGATGGTGGGGAACACAGACCAGTGAAGTCTGTGAGCCTGGGCCCATTACTGTATTTCATTTGCTGTGGAGCAAGTTCCTTGTTCAGAAGCAGTACTGTGTAGAATACCATGGTAGTAGATAAGGCATTCTGTAAGTCCTCAGATAATAGTTTTGGCAGAAGTGTTGCATGCCAAGAAAGCAAATCTATTAAATATCCAGAATCCATGTCTATTTGAGTAAGAACAAAATGCTGCCCCTTCTGTAATTGAAGAAGTCCAATGTAATAGACTTGCCACCAGATAGCTAGCTGAGCACCCTAAGGAATAGTGCTATATCAGTAACTTGGCATGGGGCTCTGCTGCTGGACAACTCAGCATTGGCTTCAGTCAGGTTGACTCTGATGAGTTGAAGTCATCAAGGTTTAAACCCATGTATAACCTCCATCTATGCTACCATGCCAACTTTATTCATGAAGCCATTGGGCGATGGCAGGGGTGGCTGGGAAAGAGGCTGACTGGTATCCAAAGAATGGGTCATTCTATCCAATTGATTATTGAAATCTTCCTCAGCTGAGGTCATTCTTTGATTAGCATACCCATGAAACAGAAATATCTTCACGTTATTTTCCCATTCATAGAAGTCTATCCACATACCTCTTCCCCAAACTGCCTTGTCACCAACTTTTCAATCACGTTCCTTTCATGTCCCTGACCATCCAGGCAAATCATTGGCCACAGCAATGAATCAGTACATAATCACACATCTGGTCCCTTTTCCTTCCAAGCAAAGTAAACAACTGGGTACATTGCTCAAAGGTGTGCCCAGTGGAAGAATTTCCCTTCACCACTATCCTCAGGGATGTCCCAGGAGAGGGGCTGTGGTGCTATAGCTGTTCACTTTTGGAAGGTACCTGCATATTGAGCAGAACCATCTGTATACCAGTCCTGAGTCTTCTCTTCCTCCACCAAGTGATCCTAGGAAACTCCCCACGAGGACAGAGGTGCAGGCTCAGAAATAGAAGGCAGTGTAGCAGAAGTGGGGAATCACATGCATTTGGGCCACTTCATTTAATTTATTTGTGCCTTCAGGGCTTGCTCAAGCCCAGTCATGTATATACCATTTCCATCTGATAATGGAGTGCTGCTATGCACACCAAACTTTATAACTTGGTGGGTCAGATATCTTCCAGTTCATGATGGGCAGTTCAGGTTGTATAGTAACTTACTGGTCTATGGCTCAGTGTTTAGTCTCTGATAAGGCTCAGGAGTAGGCCAAGAGCCATTTCTCAAAAGAAAAGAAGTTATCTATAGAGAATAGCAGGGCTTTGCTCAAAAATCCTAGGTGCCTATGCTGCAGTTTCCCTACTGGGGCCTGCCAAGGTCTCCAAGCCACATCACTATCTGCCATGGACATTTTACAAACACCATTGGATCTGATGGGTCATATGGCCATGTGGCAGAGCAGCCTGCATGGTGGGCTGCACCCATTGCAGAGCCTTCTCTTGTTCTGGCACTCCCTCTCCACTGCCCCCAACCCCTGCTGCAAAAGTAATAGCTTTTCAGATCATTTAGTAAATAGACTGGAATAGCATATCCAAATGAGGATTATGTTGTTTCAAAATTCAGAAGACCACTAGGTATTGTGCCTCTTTCTTGGTTGTAGGAGGGGCCGGATGGAACAACTTAGGTTTCACTTTAGAAGGAATATCTCTACATGCTCCACCTCACTGGACTGCTAGAAGTTTCACTGAGGTAGAAGCCCCAAATTTTTGTCAGAATTATGTTCTAACCTCTGGTGTGCAAATGTCTTACCAATAAGTCCAGAGTGGTTGCTATGTTTTACTTATTAGATCCAGTCAGCATAATGTCATCAATGTAATGGACCTGTGTGATAGCCTGTGGAAGGAAAAGGTGATCAAGATTCCTGTGAACTAAATTATAACATAGAGCTGGAGACTTGATATATGCCTTAGGTAGGACAGTGTATTAGTTCATTCTCACACTGCTATGAAGAAATATTCGTGACTGGGTATTATAAAGGAAAGAGGTTTAACTGACTCATAGTTCCACATGGCTGGGGAGGCCTTAGGAAACTTACAATCATGGCAGAAGGCACCTCTTCACAGGGTGGCAGGAGAGTGAATGAGTAAGTAGGGAAATGTCAGACACTTATAAAACCATTAGATCTCATGAGACCCACGAATTATCATGAGAATAGCATGGGAGAAACTGCCCCCATGATTCAGTCATCTCCACCTGGTCCCACCCTTGACACTTGGGGATTATGGGAATTACAATTTAAGGTGAGATTTGGGTGGGGACACAGAGCCAAACCTTATCAGACAGTGAAGGTGTATATTGCTGGCCTTGCTAGCTGAAGGAAACTGGTTCTGGTGGTCCTTATTGACAGACAGGGAGAAAAATCATTTGCCAGATCAATAGCTGCATACCGGGTATCAGAAAACATGTTAATTTGTTCAAGCAATGAAATGACATCTGGCACAACAGCTACAATAGGAGTTACCACCTGGTTAAGCTTGTGATAATTCACTGTCATTTTCCAAGATCCATCTGTCTTCTGTACAGGCCAAATAGGGGAACTAAATGGGGACATGGTGGGAATTACTACCCTTGCATCCTTCAAGTTCTTGATGGTGGCATAATGTATGCAATCCCTCCAGGAATGCAGTATTGCTTTTGGTTTACTATTTTCCTAGGTAGAGGCAATTCTAATAGCTTACACTTGGCCTTTCTCATCATAATGGCTTTCATTTCACAAGTCAAGGAACAAATGCGGGAGTGCTATTATCTGGTTCTGCCAGGTCTATTACAATTATGCATCTAGAACCAGGAAAATAATCACAGGATGTATTTGGGGGCTCACTGGGTCCACTGTGAGACTGATCACCTGATCTCATAAACCCCTACTCTGACTGGTGGACCACAGTGACATTTTGGGCCTCAGGGAATTATATGAGTTCCAAGCCAGTGTCCATTAGCCTCTTATGAATAATTAGTCTGATTATTTCCTTTTCCCAGTGCTCACCGTGATAAAAAGCCATAGGTCCCTTAAGAGAAGGCTGGAAAAAAGATTAACCGTAAATTTTTGGCAGTAGAAGATGGCCGAATAGGAACAGCTCCGGTCTACAGCTCCCAGCGTGAGCGACGCAGAAGACGGGTGATTTCTGCATTTCCATCTGAGGTACCGGGTTCATCTCACTAGGGAGTGCCAGACAGTGGGTGCAGGCCAGTGGGTGCGCGCACCTTGCGCAAGCCGAAGCAGGGCGAGGCATTGCCTCACCTGGGAAGCGCAAGGGGTCAGGGAGTTCCCTTTCCAAGTCAAAGAAAGGGGTGACGGACGCACCTGGAAAATCGGGTCACTCCCACCCGAATATTGCGCTTTTCAGACCGGCTTAAAAAACGGCGCACCACGAGACTATATCCCACACCTGGCTCGGAGGGTCCTATGCCCACGGAATCTCGCTGATTGCTAGCACAGCAGTCTGAGATCAAACTGCAAGGTGGCAGCGAGGCTGGGGGAGGGGCGCCCGCCATTGCCCTGGCTTGATTAGCTAAACAAAGCAGCCTGGAAGCTCAAACTGGGTGGAGCTCACCACAGCTCAAGGAGGCCTGCCTGCCTCTGTAGGCTCCACCTCTGGGGGCAGGGCACAGACAAACAAAAAGACAGCAGTAACCTCTGCAGACTTAAATGTCCCTGTCTGACAGCCTTGAAGAGAGCAGTGGTTCTCCCAGCACGCAGTTGGAGATCTGAGAACGGGCAGACTGCCTCCTCAAGTGGGTCCCTGACCCCTGACCCCCGAGCAGCCTAACTGGGAGGCACACCCCAGCAGGGGCACACTGACACCTCACACGGCAGGGTATTCCAACAGACCTGCAGCTGAGGGTCCTGTCTGTTAGAAGGAAAACTAACAAACAGAAAGGACATCCACACCGAAAACCCATCTGTACATCACCATCATCAAAGACCAAAAGTAGATAAAACCACAAAGATGGGGAAAAAACAGAACAGAAAAACTGGAAACTCTAAAACGCAGAGCGCCTCTCCTCCTCCAAAGGAACGCAGTTCCTCACCAGCAACGGAACAAAGCTGGATGGAGAATGATTTTGACGAGCTGAGAGAAGAAGGCTTCAGACGATCAAATTACTCTGAGCTACGGGAGGACATTCAAACCAAAGGCAAAGAAGTTGAAAACTTTGAAAAAAATTTAGAAGAATGTATAACTACAATAACCAATACAGAGAAGTACTTAAAGGAGCTGATGGAGCTGAAAACCAAGGCTCGAGAACTACGTGAAGAATGCAGAAGCCTCAGGAGCCAATGCAATCAACTGGAAGAAAGGGTATCAGCGATGAAAGATGAAATGAATGAAATGAAGCGAGAAGGGAAGTTTAGAGAAAAAAGAATAAAAAGAAACGAGCAAAGCCTCCAAGAAATATGGGACTATGTGAAAAGACCAAATCTACGTCTGATTGGTGTACCTGAAAGCGACAGGGAGAATGGAACCAAGTTGGAAAACACTCTGCAGGATATTATCCAGGAGAACTTCCCCAGTCTAGCAAGGCAGGCCAACATTCAGATTCAGGAAATACAGAGAACGCCACAAAGATACTCCTCGAGAAGAGCAACTCCAAGACACATAATTGTCAGATTCACCAAAGTTGAAATGAAGGAAAAAATGTTAAGGGCAGCCAGAGAGAAAGGTCGGGTTACCCTCAAAGGGAAGCCCATCAGACTAACAGCAGATCTCTCGGCAGAAACCCTACAAGCCAGAAGAGAGTGGGGGCCAATATTCAACATTCTTAAAGAAAAGAATTTTCAACCCAGAATTTCATATCCAGACAAACTAAGCTTCATAAGTGAAGGAGAAATAAAATACTTTACAGACAAGCAAATGCTGAGAGATTTTGTCACCACCAGGCCTGCCCTAAAAGAGCTCCTGAAGGAAGCGCTAAACATGGAAAGGAACAACCGGTACCAACCGCTGCAAAATCATGCCAAAATGTAAAGACCATCAAGACTAGGAAGAAACTGCATCAACTAACGAGCAAAATAACCAGCTAACATCATAATGACAGGATCAAATTCACACATAACAATATTAACTTTAAATGTAAATGGACTAAATTCTCCAATTAAAAGACACAGACTGGCAAGTTGGATAAAGAGTCAAGACCCATCAGTGTGCTGTATTCAGGAAACCCATCTCATGTGCAGAGACACACATAGGCTCAAAATAAAAGGATGGAAGAAGATCTACCAAGCAAATGGAAAACAAAAAAATGCAGGGGTTGCAATCCTAGTCTCTGATAAAACAGACTTTAAACCAACAAAGATCAGAAGAGACAAAGAAGGCCATTACATAATGGTAAAGGGATCAATTCAACAAGAGGAGCTAACTATCCTAAATATATATGCACCCAATACAGGAGCACCCAGATTCATAAAGCAAGTCCTGAGTGACCTACAAAGAGACTTAGACTCCCACACATTAATAATGGGAGACTTTAACACCCCACTGTCAACATTAGACAGATCAATGAGACAGAAAGTCAACAAGGATACCCAGGAATTGAACTCAGCTCTGCACCAAGCGGACCTAATAGACATCTACAGAACTCTCCACCCCAAATCAACAGAATATACATTTTTTTCAGCACCACACCACACCTATTCCAAAATTGACCACATAGTTGGAAGTAAAGCTCTCCTCAGCAAATGTAAAAGAACAGAAATTATAACAAACTATCTCTCAGACCACAGTGCAATCAAACTAGAACTCAGGATTAAGAATCTCACTCAAAATTGCTCAACTACATGGAAACTGAACAACCTGCTCCTGAATGACTACTGGGTACATAACGAAATGAAGGCAGAAATAAAGATGTTCTTTGAAACCAACGAGAACAAAGACACAACATACCAGAATCTCTGGGACGCATTCAAAGCGGTGTGTAGAGGGAAATTTATAGCACTAAATGCCCACAAGAGAAAGCAGGAAAGATCCAAAATTGACACCCTAACATCACAATTAAAAGAACTAGAAAAGCAAGAGCAAACACATTCAAAAGCTAGCAGAAGGCAAGAAATAACTAAAATCAGAGCAGAACTGAAGGAAATAGAGACACAAAAAACCCTTCAAAAAAATCAATGAATCCAGGAGCTGGTTTTTTGAAAGGATCAACAAAATTGATAGACCGCTAGCAAGACTAATAAAGAAGAAAAGAGAGAAGAATCAAATAGACACAATAAAAAATGATAAAGGGGATATCACCACTGATCCCACAGAAATACAAACTACCATCAGAGAATACTACAAACACCTCTACGCAAATAAACTAGAAAATCTAGAAGAAATGGATAAATTCCTGGACACATACACTCTCCCAAGACTAAACCAGGAAGAAGTTGAATCTCTGAATAGACCAGTAACAGGATCTGAAATTGTGGCAATAATCAATAGTTTACCAACCAAAAAGAGTCCAGGACCAGATGGATTCACAGCCGAATTCTACCAGAGGTACAAGGAGGAACTGGTACCATTCCTTCTGAAACTATTCCAATCAATAGAAAAAGAGGGAATCCTCCCTAACTCATTTTATGAGGCCAGCATCATTCTGATACCAAAGCCTGGCAGAGACACAGCCAACAAAGATAATTTTAGACCAATATCCTTGATGAACATTGATGCAAAAATCCTCAATAAAATACTGGCAAACCAAATCCAGCAGCACATCAAAAAGCTTATCCACCATGATCAAGTGGGCTTCATCCCTGGGATGCAAGGCTGGTTCCATATACGCAAATCAATAAATGTAATCCAGCATATAAACAGAGCCAAAGACAAAAACCACATGATTATCTCAATAGATGCAGAAAAAGCCTTTGACAAAATTCAACAACCCTTCATGCTAAAAACTCTCGATAAATTAGGCATTGATGGGACGTATTTCAAAATAATAAGAGCTATCTATGACAAACCCACAGCCAATATCATACTGAATGGGCAAAAACTGGAAGCATTCCCTTTGAAAACTGGCACAAGACAGGGATGCCCTCTCTCACCACTCCTATTCAACATATTGTTGGAAGTTCTGGCCAGGGCAATCAGGCAGGAGAAGGAAATAAAGGGTATTCAATTAGGAAAAGAGGAAGTCAAATTGTCCCTGTTTGCAGACGACATGATTGTATATCTAGAAAACCCCATCGTCTCAGCCCAAAATCTCCTTAAGCTGATAAGCAACTTCAGCAAAGTCTCAGGATACAAAATCAATGTACAAAAATCACAAGCATTCCTAAACACCAACAACAGACAAACAGAGAGCCAAATCATGAGTGAACTCCCATTCACAATTGCTTCAAAGAGAATAAAATACCTAGGAATCCAACTTACAAGGGATGTGAAGGACCTCTTGAAGGAAAACTACAAACCACTGCTCAAGGAAATAAAAGAGGATACAAAGAAATGGAAGAACATTCCATGCTCATGGGTAGGAAGAATCAATATCGTGAAAATGGCCATACTGCCCAAGGTAATTTACAGATTCAATGCCATCCCCAGCAAGCTACCAATGACTTTCTTCACAGAATTGGAAAAAACTACTTTAAAGTTCATATGGAACCAAAAAAGAGCCCGCATCACCAAGTCAATCCTAAGCCAAAAGAACAAAGCTGGAGGCATCACACTACCTGACTTCAAACTATACTACAAGGCTACAGTAACCAAAACAGCATGGTACTGGTACCAAAACAGAGATATAGATCAATGGAACAGAACAGAGCCCTCAGAAATAACGCTGCTTACCTACAACTATCTGATCTTTGACAAACCTGAGAAAAACAAGCAATGGGGAAAGGATTCCCTATTTAATAAATGGTGCTGGGAAAACTGGCTAGCCATATGTAGAAAGCTGAAACTGGGTCCCTTCCTTACACCTTATACAAAAATCAATTCAAGATGGATTAAAGATTTAAACGTTAGACCTAAAACCATAAAAACCCTAGAAGAAAACCTAGGCATTACCATTCAGGACATAGGCGTGGGCAAGGACTTCATGTCCAAAACACCAAAAGCAATGGCAACAAAAGCCAAAATTGACAAATGGGATCTAATTAAACTAAAGAGCTTCTGCACAGCAAAAGAAACTACCATCAGAGTGAACAGGCAACCTACAACATGGGAGAAAATTTTCGCAACCTACTCATCTGACAAAGGGCTAATATCCAGAATCTACAATGAACTCAAACAAATTTACAAGAAAAAAACAAACAACCCCATCAAAAAGTGGGCAAAGGACATGAACAGACACTTCTCAAAAGCAGACATTTATGCAGCCAAAAAACACATGAAAAAATGCTCATCATCACTGGCCATCAGAGAAATGCAAATCAAAACCACTATGAGATATCATCTCACACCAGTTAGAATGGCAATCATTAAAAAGTCAGGAATCAACAGGTGCTGGAGAGGATGTGGAGAAATAGGAACACTTTTACACTGTTGGTGGGACTGTAAACTAGTTCAACCATTGTGGAAGTCAGTGTGGCGATTCCTCAGGGATCTAGAACTAGAAATACCATTTGACCCAGCCATCCCATTACTGGGTATATACCCAAATGACTATAAATCATGCTGCTATAAAGACACATGCACACGTATGTTTATTGCGGCATTATTCACAATAGCAAAGACTTGGAACCAACCCAAATGTCCAACAATGATAGACTGGATTAAGAAAATGTGGCACATATACACCATGGAATACTATGCAGCCATAAAAAATGATGAGTTCATGTCCTTTGTAGGGACATGGATGAAATTGGAAACCATCATTCTCAGTAAACTATCGCAAGAACAAAAAACCAAACACCGCATATTCTCACTCATAGGTGGGAATTGAACAATGAGATCACATGGACACAGGAAGGGGAATATCACACTCTGGGGACTGTGGTGGGAAGGTGGGAGGGGGGAGGGATAGCATTGGGAGATATACCTAATGCTAGATGACGAGTTAGTGGGTGCAGCGCACCAGCACGGCACATGTATACATATGTAACTAACCTGCACAATGTGCACATGTACCCTAAAACTTAAAGTATAATTAAAAATAAAAAATAAAAAATAAATTTAAAAAAAAAATTTTTTTTGGCAGTAACCTGCGGTCCTTCTGCAAGGGGTTCTGAGTCTGCAAACTCATTGAAATCTAAGAATTCACTGAGGGGCTGAACTCTCTGTTTTTATTGTTCAGGTTAAACTTTTGTTTACTTCATCTAGAAAAATGTCTGCTTATACAAATCAAATGAGAATTGAGTAGGTTTCCTATCTATTTTACTTCTGGGAACACCATGACCAACTAGATAACACCCTAGGTCTGTGCAAGTCAAATTATGTTGATTTGTTCTTTTGACTCTGCAGTCTGGCAACGTTAACCACCTTGTCTTTGGTGGTTGAGTGGTGCCACTTGGCCTCTAATACTCTGAGATCAAGTTACTTCCACTGCAGTTAGACTCCCAATTCAGTGACTGCTATAGGTTTGACTTGCAGAGAAAAGCAATTACAGAGCAGGACTCCCTTCACAAATATATTTCTCACAGCATTGGTGAAATATATGTTTTCTGGGCCCTTCCAAGGTGGGCAATTAGGTCTTAAATGAGAAATCTATGCTAACATTCCAATCTCTCTAAGCCTTTGAATCTCTTCCTCTACATTAAACCAAGGCAGGTTGATCATTTCTAACTCACTAACTGTAAACCACCTATTGGTGTATATTTCAGCCAAGCAATCAAACAAACTCTTTTAACAATCTCCCTTTCTAACTCCCTGAGCTGCAACATTAAGCATTAGAATCTCTGCTTAGTAAGTCCATATAAATAAATTTGGCCTGGTCTAACTTTATGTTCCTTCCATTACTATCCAACACCCTTAACGTCCATTTTCACACAAGTCCCCTGGATTTCTGCCTGTATAAATTAGAAAACTCAGACAGCTATTTTGAAGTATAGAATACCTCTTCCTGGTTCACACCTTGTACCTCACCTTTAGGGACCTGCTGTGACTTGAGTCAGTCATAGATCTAGAGTAAAGATAAGTGGTGGAGTGTGTTCCAAGGAGACTCAACATTGTCTTGTGTGGCAGCTGCCTGAGCAGAGCCATTACAGTAATGCGTCACATTACTGCATTCCTCAGACAATGCATTATTCTGCTCAAACACGAGTGGGAAGGCTACTTCCAATGGAGGTGGGGAAGCTGCTTTCACTGTAAGTGGAGAGACCTCTTCCACTGACAAAAATATTCATCAGAATTTAGGGGCTCAATGTCACCAGCTTTAGCAGGGGATTCACACATATCCCTATTCCAACTTTTAGAATCCATTTCTTCCAAATCAATGCCCTAATTTTAAAAGCAGACACCCTATGAGGCTGAGACTTAACTTGCACTGTCATTCAGCCAGTTGCAGGATGAGATTCTGGGTCTGACTTTCAGTGGCCAACCCTGTGGCTGAGGCAGACGAGTTTCTTTCAGGGTACACATAGAAAATTTCAGGTAATTTATGTAATGCTTAAGCTGGGAATTCAAATCCCTGAGCTTATCGTTCTTTTTTTTGAGACGGAGTTTCACTCTGTTGCCCAGGCTGGAGTGCAGTGGCATGATCTCGGCTCACTGCAAACTCTGCCTGCCAGGTTCAAGTGATTCTCCTGCCTCAACCTCCTGAGTATCTGAGACTATAGGTTTGTGCTATCACGTCTGGCTAATTTTTGTATTTTTAGTTCAGATGGAGTTTTACCATGTTGGCCAGGCTGGTCTCAAACTCCTGACTTCAAGTAATCTGCCCACCATGACATCCCAAAGTGCTAGGAATACAGGCATGTGCCAACACGGCTGGCTAATTTTTGTATTTTTAGTAGAGATGGGGTTTTGCCATATTAGCCAGACTGGTCTTAAACTCCTGATCTCAAGTGATCTGTCCACCATGGCCTCCCAAAGAGCTGGGATTACAGGCATGAGCCACTGCGCCTGGCTGAGCTTATCATTTTCTTTCTCCACTTAATGCTCCACATTAGGAGCAACCACCCAATCTCATTATATTCATTAGTTTGAGAAATATGTTTGAAAGTATCATATGCAGTGTCACCCAGATCCCTGTGTCATCTAAGTGGTTGATTAGTAGTATCAAATGGTGATATTTTGCATATCTTCATTGTTAGATCACATCATTAGCTATCAGTCCTCTCCCTACTACTAAAAATAGAATTGTTAGCATCTTTAATCCTGTTAGAGAATCAATTTTAGAAACCTTAGAACCAATTCAAAAAACTCATTCTTAAAATCCAGTTCCTCAAAAACCACTCTTACTAACAAAATCTGTGATAGTCAGGGTTCTGCAGAGAAACAGATACAATAGGGTGTGTGTGTGTGTGTGTGTGTGTGTGTGCATGTATGTAGGAAGAGAGGCAGGCAGAGATTTATTATAAATATTTGGCTCATGTCATTATGAAGGCTGGGAAGCCCCAAGATCTGGCATCATCACACAGGGGAACCAGGAAAGTTGATGGTGTAGTTCCTTTCCACAGCTGGTAGGCTTGAGATCCAGGAAAAGCTCATGTTCCTGTTGGAATCCAAAGGCAGGAAAAAACTGATGGCCCAGCTTGAAGGCAGTCAGGCAGGAGGAATTTTCTCTTATTCCAGGGAGGGTCAGCCTTTTCTTCTATTTAGGCTTTCAATTGATTGGGTCAGGCCCACCAATTAGGGAAGGTAGTCTGCTTTACTCAGTCTACAAATTTGAATGTTAATCTCAATCAGAAACATCCTCACAGGTATACCCAGAATAAAGTTTGGTCAAATGTCTAGGCACCCTGTGACCCAGTCAAATTGACACGTAAAATTAAACATCACTGAGCCCTCATTCAAATATTTCTTCATTTTAAAAAAGTTTTCTAAAGACGTATTATGTTCCAGGCACTGGTTTAATCATGGGAGATATGTCAGTGAACAAGAGAGTTAAAAATGCTTGCACTGTTGAGTCGTTAATACATTCTAGGAGGAAAGAAAGAAAACAAATATATCAAATATGCAAATTATATAATATGTTAGAGGACTGTAGGTACAATAGGAAAACAAAGATCAGGATAAGGGGACTGGAAATGCTGGTGAGGGCAGCAAAATGTTTGTCATTTTAAATAGGCTCAAGTCTGAGGCCACAGTTGGTGCCCCTAATCACTGAGCTCAACTGGTGCTCTGGTAGAACAACATTTCTGTAAATTCCAAAATGTGTCAGATCTCTCTGAGCCCTGGTAAAACACAAATAAAAGAGTTTTTGAAAAATTAAACTCATTAGAAATTTCCTGTCTTGAGCTTTTTTCTTTCAGACAAATTATAATAAAGCATGGGGATTTTTGTGTCTTAAGCCTTGGCTCAAATATGACATAAGAAACTAGAATGAGGGGTGATATAGGTAGTATAAATAATGAGGCTATGCTATGAACCTAATTGTGTTTCCCCAAAATGTATATATTGAAGCCTAACTCCCAAGGTGACTCTAGAGATCGGGCCATTAGCAGGTGACTAAAATTCAATGAGGTTATAAGGATGAGGCCCCAGTCCAATAGGGCTGTTGCTCTTATAAGAAAAGGATGAGGCACCAGAGCTCTCTCTTTCTCTCTCTGCCATGTGAAGACACAGTGAGAAGGTGGCCGCCTCTAAGCCAGGAAGAGAGTCTATGCCAGAACCTAACCATGCTGGCATCTGATCTCAGACTTCCAGCCTTCAGAACTGTGAGAAATAACTTTCTGTTGTTTAAGTTACACAGTCTATGGTGTTTTTCTTTATGGCAGCCTGAGCTGACTAATACAGGAGATAAGCATGGGAAATGAGGAGTCTATGGCAGTCAGATCCTCCTTACAGGCACATACGCTTTCATATCGTTGGAATGAGCATAGAATTATTCAGTGAAGAACTTGAGTTGTCAAGAGTGTATATATAATTTGTGTACAACTGTGATTCATCATAAGTGGAGTTTCTGGCTAAACAGAATTCCTAAGCATTTGGGAGAATGAAGAAACTGAGTGCAGCTGCCTCATTCCTTCTGCCTGGGTTTGCTGACTGTTCAAGGCCTGCCGGGACTGGGGCTAAGGACTAAGCCCCACTCTGGCTACAAAGACTCCTATTAGGGTGGGCTGGGAAGACTGATTGGTTTGGGAGACAGGATTCCAATGACAGAGCCTGCCAGGCTGGGCATTTCTGAGTAATCTGTAGACAATAGGAAGTTTGAGGAAATTTGGACTGGATAGAAAATGATTAAATATATGCTGAATAGTCTAGTACATTCTGGAAACATAGAGGTCTGAGGTGGAAGACAAGATTGGAGGAAATCTCAAAAGCTGGGCTTAGTAGGTGAGTTCTACATTAAGACAAGCATGATTTTGAGAAGGGTGAACCTGCATCACTAATTGCATTCAGAGGGTGAATAAGACCAGTAATGCACAGATGTGTAGCTACAATTGCCAAGATTTGAGAAAGACCAATGCATTTATAACATACACAAGAATCTGTGTATTTCTGTGATTTACAATTTGCAACCAACAGAATTCCACCTCACAACTTGCTTGACGGTGGTCAACTTGGCATGGAATAAGCAAATGTTTGGGATACACTTTAAGGATAGCAAATTCATTTTGACTCATTCATTCATTCAAAACAAATCAATAATTGTTGAGTATCTACTCTGGGCTAGGAACTGTGTTAGTTGCTACAGATACAATGATATGCATGATAGACATGACTCCTGCTGGAACTTACGGTATAGGGATCACGTTTTAACATTTTCAGCTAACTCATTCTGCAATTTTCTTCATGGTCACAGCCCAACAAATGTCCTCACAAGCTAGACATAGACACTTTTATAACCAAAGAACACAGAAATTTATTCTTTTTATCCACCCTATAAAGTGCAAACTCTATGGGCACCAGCCTAGCAATTTCACCTATGGTTACAGAATCCCAGTGACTTAGTGTCTCTGCAATCATTCTCCCTGGGTTTCCGGAGAAGGGAAAGTAAATGGTAGACTTTCAATCTTGTTTTAGGCCTCGAGTTTTCCAAAATCTGTTCTCCAGACTGTTTTGTTTTTAATTAAAATTTACATAGAATTGAATGAGTTAACTTTTGGAAATCCACTAACAGAGTGCCAGCCATGCAGTAGGTAGTAATGTCAGTTAGCGTCATTTTACCGAAAATAAAGCTAGTTATGTTTCATTTGTGTTAGCACTCCCACCTCTTTGCTGATCCAAATAAAACCTCTCAGAGGTACACAGCAAAAGAGAATTATAGACACCATCTAAATGTGAACTTTTGCCCACAGTTTTGCTTGGAAGTGAGCAGGTCGATTTCTTATACCCTCATTAAAGCATTTCATATTCTCATATTTGAGGAAGGATAACCTGCTGCAAAGAGAAGAGATGAGAACAGGTAGAAACATGCTTGCAGATGATCAATGTGCCTGGGATTTGCCTGTGGCTTAGGAAAGGCCAGAAGCCAGGGCTTGGTCTAACTTTTAGCCAGTGAACACACCTTTTACTAGTGCCTGGTCATTCGTCTACTCAGCAGTTGGAAACCACCTCCCTCCAGGAGCCTATTGACAAACCACAGCCCTCTTTTCCAGTTCTAGGGAAATGGGCAAAATGTAAGGAACAAAATGCTGTCTGCCTTCTTCTAATGCTAGAGCCATCTCGTGAGCCAAAGAGCCAAAGAGGGTGACTTGTGAATGCACTCTAGAAAAGCAAAGTGAGAGCTGTTATGGAAAGAGTGCTAGACTTGGAATTAGAGTTCCAGTCATAGTCCTGTTTCTTATTAGCTACATGACCTCACACCAATACACGTGCTTCAGATGTAAGACTTCTAATCATGGGTGTTTGGAGCATACTCTGCCTTACTTACCTCACAATGCCACAGTCATGGTTTTTTATGAATAATTTCAAACATGTATAGTACAGAGAACACCTATATACTACACCCAGATTCAACAGTTTCCTAGATTTTGCCACACCAGTATCAGACATTATGCCTTCCTTTCTTGGCTAAGTGTTTTTAAGCAAATCTCAGAACTCATGTCATTTAACCACTCTATACTTCAGTATGCATTTCTATAAAATACAGACATTTTCATATATAACCACAATGCCATCATCAACTCTAGTCAAATTAACAATAATTCTGTGATTTGTCTAATTATCCATTATATTCACATTTCCTGATTGTAACAAAAATTTCATTTTATAGGAAGCTTGTTCAAAACAGTATCCAAATAGGATTACACATTGCATTTGGTTATGTCTCCTAGAATCTTTTCATATAGAGCAGTGCCTTCCTCATCATTTTACTTTTTCATTCTACTGTCTTTTAATTTGTTTCTGTAAACTTCATGTTTGTTAATAACAACACTTTTTCTCTGAGGGTTCCATTATAGTCATGTTTGACCTTTCTTCCCAAAATTACATCATACGGGATGCCATGTATTTTATCTTCCTTCAAGTGGTAAATATTTCTGGTTTATTCACTAGAATAAGTATTACTTAAATTAATCAGTGGGTTCAAATGGTAAAAGCCTGACCTTTCATGGAAAAATTCTCCATTCATTTTTAAAAATGTCTTCATTCATTGAAAATCTTTGCCTAAATTATTGATTCTTATTATAAGTTGCAAAATGATAATGTTCTAATTCTGTCACTTCTTCAACCCTTTACATTTATTAGGTGGAATTCCTCTATAAAGAAGTAGTTTTCTTCGTCAACTAGGGCTACTTGGTCATATTGAAATACTGCTTATCCAAGAAAGAAAAAATAAATGTTTAATTATTTCCCTTTAATTTTCAGAGTGAGGTTACTTCCAATGTGACCAATGAGTCTTTTTTAATTTGGGGGGTTAAGGGCTATCTTTTTAAAAAAACTATTATTATAAACATGTATATTTTTGTAAATTCACAGAGGTGTTCCTCAGTTAATTTGTTCTGATGTTCAAATTGTCCCATCTTTGGTCAATGAGTGACCCTTCAAACTGTTTCGATGTCCTTTTGATGTAATTCCATTCATCTTTGACTACATCTTTGCTATCTGCATAAAAAGATGGCCAATGCTCATCTTATGCATTTCCTGTCTCAGATCTGGAATTAGTCATTCTTCCATGGATTCCTAGTTCCTTTTAGTGGGACACAGTCGGTTTTTGAAAACTGGGATCATGAACATGAAAGTGTAAACACTAATGTGCTGGATCCTGGTTACTATTAGCTTCCACCGTGCCACACTCTCAGTGTCTGCCAGAGCAGATCTTTCAGTTGACTGATTTTTCCCTTTCATCTCCTACATGCTATACCTCCTGCCATGAATTTCAATGCACACAATAAATATTCCTTGTGATGAGGACTGGGTATAATTCACCATTGAATCTCCAGGGCCTAGAACAGATCCTGAGATATGCCAGGGTGCCCAAAACTTTTTGTTGCATGAATACATTTTTCATTCTAAGAAAACTTTCCTGCCTCCCATCTTTCTGAATCAATTACTTTTTAAAATTTTAAATTATAATTTACATCTCTATTAAAGTTTCTAGCACCTGATACACTGGCACAGAGTAGGCATGCAATAAATATTATTAGATAAATAAATGAACATATGATGTCATAACACCAATCTTTTTCAAATCTATCAGGGCTTCCTCATTGCTCTTGCATACATTTTAAATTCCTCAACATGGTATACAAGGCTCTGCATCATCTGGTCCTGACTATCAATCCTTTTAGCCCCATCTTCTACAACTTTTCTTATTGCTCACCCAGCTCTAGCCTCACAGACTTTTTTTTAGTTCTTTAAAAGTACCTCATTCCACCCTGCCTCTGGGTTATCACATGCTCTTCCCTCTACCTGACATGATTCTCATTCTTCTCCTCTCCCTTCTCCATTCTGCCCACTTAATTCCAGCTCCTCTTTGGATATCCCCTTATAATCATCTCTTCTAGAAGGCCTTGTATGACTCACACGCCTCCAGACCTCCTTGCTATATGTCCTCATAGCAAGGATGTCTTGTTACTTTATTACCATGGTATTTATTATACTAGTAATGTGTTATTACTTGCTTAATGTCTATATTCTCCACTAGGCTGTAAGCTCTATCCAGGCAGTGTGATCTAACACTCTATTCCCCATTTCTCAATAGGTGCCCAATCAGTACTGGCTGAATCAATGGATATTAGATTCATTATTAGTAGATGGTAAGCTCCTGGAATACAGGAACTATGCTTTTTCCATCTTCATATCCTTTTGAGCTTCCAGAATGATTTGAATTACTAGAAGAGATTTAGGAAATGTTGATTGAGTGGCTAGACATTGTCCCTAATCAAGGCATTTAGTTGCCCTAACTGTGCAGAGAAAAGCATTTCCTGGCACAGCCTACCACTCCAGTCCAGATTCTGAGTATGAAGTACTTTTCCTCCTAATGATTTGCAATGTACCTGTATGTTCACCTCCCCCACCATCAGCTTTAGACAAATCACAGTGCCAAAGAGCCAGCAGCTGGAAGGGTGGCCTAAGGAGATTGCCACGCTTGGACTGGTTGCATTTTTCTTTGTGCACCTAAGAACCGGTATTTAATCCATATGACCCTGCTCTACGCCTAGGACAAGGCTGAGTGCAAGCTGGGGGAAGAACCCTGCTCTATCCAGAATGATTTCACTGATAGGAAGCCATGCAACTGCATTCCATGGGTCCCTTTCAGCCGCCGCTTAGTAACAGAACAACTCCATAACCAGTTACAGCCATAGCCGGGAGGGGAAAGTCTAGTGCCACCTACTGGTTACAAGTCAGACTGCCTTGCTTACATAACAAATATAGCCTCTATGAAGGGCAGGCATTTTGAATATCTTGTCAACTTTAGTGTGAACTTTTATTATAGAAAGAACTATTCCATTTCATTTGGGACAGGGTGCTCCTTAGTGGATCAGCATACTTGGAATCAGTCAATTGCAAAGTCAGGAATAAAGGTTCTTAAAAAACTGGCACAGTAGATTTAAGCTAATGGTCTAGAAAATTTCATATTGAGAAAGCAGAATTTATTTCTGGTGGGGATAGGATGGGGTGGGGAAGAGTAGAGAAGTCTTCAGTGCATCCATTGGTATCTGAATAACTACCCATTTGCAAACACAGTTACTGGCTAAGAGACGGTTTGCACAATGGCTAATACCTCAGACTTTAAAATCAAGCAAATCTGGATTCAGATTTCAGCTTGGGCACTTATTAGCTGCGTAACCATAGGCAAGTTGCATAACTTCTTTGAGCCTCGGTTTTTCTCATCTGTAGAACAGAAGAATAGTACATAGTACCTACCTTATAGGATTTTTGTAAGACATAAGCGAAGCTATATATATATATATATATATATATATATATATATATATATATATATATATATATATATATATATATAAAGCACTTAGCCCACTTACTCCAGTAGTGCTTATTAAGGTAATTTTAAAAATTGTTACTTCTATAAGAAAACTTCTTAGAGCATTATTTTGATATGACTTTTCCAATCATTTACATAAAGACACAAAAGACACAGCTCAGACTCTCAAAGAGCTTGCAGACTAGCTGGGAAAACTAATACATAAACACCTAACTGGCGCACAACTGGACAGCTATTCTAGTTGAGCTATGAGAAACAGAGGAGGGAGCAACGAAGTCTGTTTAGGTTGGGAGAAGAGACACAATAACTGAGTGGGTTCTTGAAAGATGGAGAGAACCACACCTAAGATGGACAAGTGAAGGGAAGAGCAAGAGTAAGAGCTTAGAGGCATGAAAGTGAAGGGCATGTTAGGAAATACAGAGTTGCCTGATGCAACGAAAGAGAACTTTAGGTGGGATGAAGCTCAGTGTATTCAAGTCCCCAGAAGAAGGCATAGTGGATCAAGACGAGTTGGCAAGAGTAAGAATGGGGACAGATGCTCTGCAAGGGTCCTTGGATGTTCTGTGATATTAGTAATGGACATTGACTATTTTTGTCCAATGCCCATTTTTCTATCTGGCAACCTGGTTTTCCTTTGGGGAATAATCCATTCCGAATTTTCTGTCCATGTGGTTTGGGTTGTGCTGATCAGCTAACCTCATACCCATTTCATTTTAAAGGGTAGTCATATGATCCATGCTTGGAGAATGAGTATATTCCATCTGCTTGATCACAGTGGCTGGTTCAAAGATTGATGATGTTACCTAGGTTAATCGAATCAGAGTGAACTCTAGGGCAGCTGAGAAAGCTTACAGCATTTGATTACTGTAGGGTGAGTGTAATGAACCCAACTGTAATGAACCCTAAGGTGACTCAGGGCGATTTATAGCATTTGATTACCATAAGGATGTACAAGCCTGGGCTGCTGGGGGGTCATCACATGTCCACCAATGAGACAACAGAGAACAAAGAAAAAGTGAAGATAGAGAGGAGATGGACTAACCCCTGACTATGTAATCTGGACTCCTGGATCCAGCATTCCTGATGAACTTTACAATTCCTGAACTTTTCAATAAATGTATCTTTTGCTTTAGGCCACATTAAATGGCTTGCTATCACTTTCAACCAAGAGATTCCCAACCAATAAAATATCACTGGTTTCATATTTTTAAAACTTTTTGCATTTTATATCTCATGGGACTACCTCATTGTTATAACTCATACATAACTAGTAGACATTATTAATACATTTCTCAGCAAAATCAGGGAACCCTCTAATTCCCCAAACCAAGTCTTTCAGATGTAAACTCTTTAAATTCCTGATGAGCGAGGAAACAATAGATTCAGCAGATAGGTAAGAAAGTTATTACACCTAGTTTGCAGCCCAAGCTAGTATTTCAGTCAACAATGCATGCCATTTTTAGACAATTAAGGTTTGAAAACCATCTGCATGAGTTTTAAAGACTGTTACAGGCCCTCTGCCTATTGTTGGTCATGTTTTCACTGCTGAATTCCCGCTGAATATATAAGAAGACTAAAAAGAAAGCTCTTTACTATTGACAGCTTTGATTCCAGCCCCAGCAAAGCATTATACTTGGAAATCAGCATGCTCTCTTATTGCGCCTGGAAGCCAGCCAGCTGACAAGAAAGAGCCACTGCTCTGGGACAAGGCCACAAACACAGGTGCCGGCATGCCCTCTCTCAGCTGCCCCTGCTGGAACTGCAGTGCTCAGCAAGGGACATATCTGTATGGGATACACAGAGGCTTCAGCAGAGTAAAAATGTTCATAAAAGGAAGTATTTGGCATGATAGATTACATTTTTCCTATCTTTATATAGTTTCAAAGGTTCAAACAGTACTAAGTTAGCCTACCCAAACAAAAATCCTTCCCCCTACACCCAGGAAAGAGGGGTCAGTTTCAGGAGACCCCATCATGAATCATGAAAGCCTAAAAAGTGTGCCAACCAGAAAGAATAAAAGCAACACACCCATCCATAGTGCCCCCTGAATGTATAATATAATACACAATACACACATTCAGTCTGCCTTTCTGAATCATTATTCTGACAATACAGTGTAAAGAGGTTGATTCCACAGCAGATGACAAATGCCCTCTTCTAGGCTGAGGAAACAGCATATATGCTGCTAGTATAGGTATAAACTTTCCTCAAAGATATTTTCTTTGTCTTACAGAATCTTATTAAAACCAAAAAGTGGTATTATTGGCTACTATTTCTTTTCTTTTTTTTTTTTTCCAAGACTGCGTCTTGCTCTGTCACCCAGGCTAGAATGCAGTGGCGTGATCTTGGCTCACTGCAACCTCCAGCTCCCTGGTTCAAGCAATTCTCCTGCCTCAGCCTCCCAAGTAGTTGGGATTACAGGTATGCGCCACCACACCTGGCTAATTTTTGTATTTTTAATAGAGATAGGGATTCACCATGTTAGCCAGGCTGGTCTCGAACTCCTGACCTCATGATCCGCCTGCCTCAGCCTCCCAAAGTGCTGGGATTACAGGCGTAAGCCACCACACTTGGCCTACTATTTGTTTTAAATCAAATGTGGGGGAAAAAATCACCATTTAAAATTACTCCGTAAACATCAAAGGATATTTCAGAACTCAGGACAACCCCATGCAGTTAACGATATTCTTGATCAACTGCCAAATCTAACATTGTCCAGTGTCTAGGTCAAAGAGATTCCCTTTTCCCTAAAAGACCTGCAGACACTGAATAATAAGGAAAACCTAAGTGTGTGGGTGTGTTTGTATGTGCATAACCCCCATGATATTTGCTGTTATTGCCACCTACTTTTTTTCCTAGCACTTCCACAACTGTAATTAAAGAATGTGTTGTGCAATGCCCTTATTTCCTTGTTGCCTGTCAGTGGACTGAAAACTCTGTGGGAACTGGGACAAATTGTGACCTATTATTAAATCTACCTGAGCCCATCACAGAGCTGAGAGAATAGAAAGCACTTGCTAACAATTTGTTAAATGAGTGGAGTGACAGTAAAAAAGAGGAGAAGTCCACTTCAAACGATGTTGAGCATATGACTAAAAAATAAAATACATTACACTATATATGTATATTTGCATATATATACATATACATACATACATACACATATATATATATATAATATTAATATATATCTGTATATCTCATACATTGATATGGTTTGGCTGTGTCCCCACCCAAATGTCATCTTGAATTCCCACATGTTGTGGGAGGGACCCAGTGGGAGGTAACTGAATCATGGGGGGCAGGTCTTTCCCTTGCTCTTCTCATGACAGTGAATAAGTCTCATGAGATCTAATGGTTCTATAAGAAAGAGTTTCCCTGAACAAGCTTTTTTTTTTTTCCTACTGCCATCCATGTAAGATGTGACTTGCTCTCCTTTGCCTTCCATCATGATTGTGAGGCCTCCCCAGTCACATGAAACTGTAAGTTCATTAAACCCTTTTTCCTGTACAAATTACCCAGCCTCGGGTATGTTTTCATCAGCAGTTTTCTTCATCAGTGAAAACGGACTAATACAGTAAATTAGTACTAGTAGAGTTGGGGCACTGCTGAAAAGACACCTGAAAATGTGGAAGCAACTTTGGAATTGAGTAACAGGCAGAGATTGGAACAGTTTGGAGGGCTCAGAGGAAGACAGAAAAATGTGGGGCAGTTTGGAACTCTCTAGAAACTTGTTGAATGGCTTTGACCAAAATGCTGATAATGACATGGACAATGAAATCCAGGCTGAGATAGTCTCAGATGGAGATGAGGATGGAGCAAAGGTGACTCTTGTTATGTTTTAGCAAAGAGACTGGATGCATTTTTCCCCTGCCCTAGAGATTTGTGGGACTTTGAACTTGGGAGATATGATTTAGGGTAGCTGGCAGAAGAAATTTCTAAGCAGCAAAGCATTCAGGAGGTGACTTTGGTGCTGTTAAAGGGATTCAGTTTTACAAAGGAAGCAGAACATAAAGGTTCAGGAAATTTGCAGCCTGACAATGCAATAGAAAAGAAAATCCCATTTTCTGAGAAGAAATTCTCAAGCCAGCTGCAGAAATTTGCATACATAACAAGGAGCCAAATGTTCATCCCCAAGACTCTGGGGGACTGACAGAAAAGCATGATTGGTTTTGAAATGTGAGGACATGAGATTTTGGCGGGGCCAGGGGCAGAATGATATGGTTTGGCTGTGTGCCCACAAATTCTCACCTTGAATTCTCACATGTTGAGGGAGTAACCTGGTAGGAAGTAATTGAATCACAGGGCAGGTCTTTCCCATGCTGTTCTCATGATAGTGAATAAGTCTCATAAGATCTGATGGTTATATAAGGGGAGTTTCCCTGCAGAAGCATTTTTTTTTTTGCCTGCTGCCATCCACATAAGATATAACTTGCTCTTTCTTGCCTTCTGCCATGATTGTAAGACCTCCCCAGCCATGTGGAACTGTAAGTCCATTAAACCCTTTTTCCTGTATACATTACCCAGTCTTGGGTATGTCTTCATCAGCAGTGTGAAAACGGACTAATACCTACCTATTTCATAAATCACCTTCATTCTGGGGAAAGATATTAATAGCAAATGAAGACTGATCCCAAAGCGAAGAAGTCATGCTTACAGATGCAGCAAACATTGACTAAACACAATGCTGTGACAAGAATAGAGCTGGGCTTGTAAGGAATTCAGTCCTTATCCAGGAAAAGTAGTTAATACACACATGAAAGATCAAAGGGTTGGATAAAAAGAATCTTAAGGCATGTATTCTTTTCAGTGACCCCCCCTGCCCGCCCCCAGCTTTCAGGAGAGTGCACCCACCTGGATACAGCCAAATAATACCGGTCCTCTTGAAACTGTCTCAAACTATGACCTTGGGACCTTTTGCATTAGAGTCACATTGGGAACTTATTAGAATGCAGAACACTGGGTCTCACCTAAAATCTGTTGAATAAGCATCTCTAGGGCTGGATACTGAAAGGTTTTGTTTTTTTTGTTTTTTTTTGTTTTTTTGGAACTTCATGGTTGAATTTTTTTTTTGGAACTTCCTGGTTTATTTTTTTCACATCCTAAATTTTGAAAATCATTGCCAAATCAAGAATAAGTTGCCATAATTTTATGACCTGAGGAAAATAGCCCTGAAAATGCTATATTTTAATAAAATTTGATTAAAATGTGATTTTGAAACGTGACATGAGCTTTGATCAAAAATGCAAAATATTTTGTCAACTCCTTTGATGTGTTTAAATTGGGCACTGGCTTCTTTGGACACTTTTTTTCTTATGAAATGGTTTGCATAACTGGGATGGCTGGAGCTTGGAGTGAAAGAAGGAAAGCGTTGTGAGAGACACAAGAGAGTAGATGAGAATGAGCCAGGAAGGACTATTTTGAAAATATTGTTTTGTATACTAATAACAACGGACACTCACTGACAAATAGTGAGTGTTTAAGCAGGGGCAAAAAGTGTTCACTTGGCTTCCAGCATATCTGAAAGCACTTTCTGGGAGCAGGAAAATAGTTGAGAAAACAGGGGGTGGGGAAGTGTGATAACAAGACCAGTTGGTTCCTGTAGAGCTACAGATGAGAGGAGATGGTGGCTTTGGAGTAGTATATTGGTAGTCAGAAGGTAGACCTGCATGACTTTAAGAGATATATAAGAGGCAGAATTCACGAAACTTGGTTATTGATGGGATGTAGTAGAGGGAGAAGCAATAAGAATAATTCCAGGTTTTTGGGCAATTGGAAGGTGGTGACATTGGCTTAGATAGAAAAGCCTAAATGAAGACAACCAGGTTGGTGTGGTTAAAACAAGATGGGGATAATTCATCAATTTAATTTTGGATATCTGGAGTTCAATAAAGTGGTGACATCAAAGTAGAAAAATCTAGTAAATAAATACATCTAGAATTCAGGAAAGAGATTTGACCAGGATCAGAAACATAGCTGTAGGAGTCCCCAGAAAAAGAAGAAGAATTCAAAGCATAGGAGTAGGTTTAATTATATAAAGACAGTATGAAATTGGGATGAGAAGTGGGTCTAGGCTAGCACATTTAAAGAATAAGCAAGCAAAGAAGAGTGTATAAAAGTGATGGAAGAAAACATCTAAAGAGGTAAAGAACAAGAAAGAGTAGGCAGTTAAGGGAAGATAATATTTCTAAAAGGAAGGAATAATCTACAGTGGTGTTGATGCTGTGAGTTCAAGTCAAAGATGGCCATACATATATGTATACAAAACATATCTAAGCAAAGGAGAAAAGAGAAAGACTTCATGTTGGAAAGGACTAAATGACATAGTAGGGCCAGTGCTAATAGTGACCAAATGCAAAATGCAATGCAGTTAAAAGTTGCAAAGTATATTATTTTCCAGAAGGAATGGGGTCTCAGTTAATTCTTGATGAATGATGGATGTCCAGATAACTGAAGGAAGTTTTATGCTGAATACTAAGTCTCATTATTTTGGATACCCAATTCCTGTATGACAATGATACAGTTCAATATAGTATCAATTTTAATCATAGTCACTAGTGCGCATTGGCTTCCAAATTTTTTTTAGTGATTTTAAAAAAATTTTAGGCTGACCAGGATTCATTCATCAGACTTTAACAGCCTCTAATTTCACTTGGCCAGATAGCTCTCCCTAATTTTAATTCCATCTGGGTATGATCAATCTGTCCCCTTCCCTTTTATTCCTCCTTTGAGTTTCATGGTTCCATGCGTGAAACATGAAACTTCTATTCAAAACTATTCTTAGATGATTTTGTGGATGATACAATTGGAGCCCCTCAACTCTCAAATGTTGGAACATTCCACAAACAAAAAGCTGTCACACTGGAACTGTAAGATCCCTTAGATGTAATCTAGTCTCCCATTTCACAGGGAGCAACATGTGAACCTAAGAGCTAAATTAACTTACCCAAGGCCATACAATGGTAAAACTACATCAGGTAACTCCAGTCATGGGTTCTAACTGCCTTTCAACAAGCACTCTATTTCCTCACTCCATGTTGCCTTTGATCTTCCAGAAGATGAAATTTGGTCATAGCCATTGGTTCAGATTACGGTCACATGGAACAATTAGACTCAATTCCAGGATTTTTTCTTTCTTTTTGAGCTATTAGGGAAGCACACGCTTTTTCCCTTGTTTTTGAACTTGAACAGCTACCACAATTTTACCCTTAGAAGGGAAGAATCTTTCTGAGAATGGAGCTAAGACAGCAGAAGGCAGAAAGAAATCAGATCTCAGTGCCATGGTATCAGCCACTTGTCAAGCCATGCCTCATGAGCCCTACCCATGGAGGTGCTACCTAAATGAGCCCTCATCTTTTCCTTTTTGCATAAACCAGCTTAGATTGTGTTTTCCGCCACTTACAATTAAGAGAGTCCTGATTAATACATCGTTAATTCTTCCACTGTCCCTTAACTGAAAGTAAGGTGTTCCTAATGAAGGTGAAATGCACTGGTGGTAAGAAATCTGAAGATTGTAGAAGAATCCCAAACAGTCATTTATTTTAAAACATGTGCCTCATGCTCCCATCACTCCGTGAGAAATTTCTGCCTTGAATAACCTTACTCAGCCTTGGCTCTTGTTGCTTCATTATGAAATCTAGGTGAAGAGGCTGCAGTCATTCTGATTACTGAAGAAAGTAATCACGTCAGAACCTTGGGCCCCATGCTGGGCGTCAGCTGGCTCAACTTTCCCTAGGACAATACCAAGGAGCCCTCAAAAGCAATTTTCCATGTTCCCATTGATTAAACCCAAAAAAACTTTTTTAGAAATAAGAGTTGATTGTTCAACAAGAAAAAGCTTGCAAAGTTTCAGCATAGTTTTCTCCATACTAATTGTAGGTTTAAAATGAGAGATGCCACATTAAGTATTTCCATGTAAAAAATAAAGATAAATAAGTATTTTGAGGACTGGAAGGGCACAGGTCTTAAGGGTCAAAAACCTGGCTCCAGTCTGAATTTTGCCACTCATAGCTGTGTATCCTTGCCATCTTTGGACTACAGTTTTTATTTATTTATTTATTTGCATTTTAATTTTTTTCAGAGTCTCACTCTGTAGCCTAGGCTGGAGTGCAGTGGCATGATCTCGGCTCACTGCAACCTCTGCCTCATGGGCTCAAGCAATTCTCCTACCTCAGCCTCCCTAGTAGCTGGGATTACAGGCACCCCCCACCATGCCCAGCTAATTTTTGTATTTTGGGTAGAGACGGTTTCACCATGTTGGCCGGGCTGGTCTCAAACTCCTGACCTCAGGTGATTTGCCTGCCTCGGCCTCCTAAAGTGTTGGGATTACAGGCATGAGCCACCACTTCTGGCCAGGACTATAGTTTTTGATAAAGTAGAGGAGCTGGATTGTTTGTTTCTTTAGTGGTTACTTGTTTACTAATAGTATGTCAGAATCATTGAGAAAATGCATTTTGGGGTTCAGGATTCTCACAATGTAAATTCAATGGCTGAATTACCTCCTGCAAGAACCTTGACCTCTCTGAGCATGTTTCATGATCTGGAAATTGTGGTAAATAAATGTATTTACATTTTAGGGATTTTTAAGGAATAGATAAGATTATACACATAGAATTTAGCTTACATGAGTTAAATAAATTGCAATAATAATTATTAGCAACTTAAAATTTTATAACAGTTTTCAGAGATGTAATGAAAGATAAACTGTTTTAAGACTAGGAGCCCTGTTGTTTGATATGCTTCAGGGATTGCTTAGAAGTATAGAGCCTAAGATGAGTGTACACAGGACATGGGGGGAGGGGATGGTCATCTTCATAGTCTTTTCTTTTACCTGCTTAAACAACTTATTTTGTACAGAGATGTGTATGTATATATATTTATATATATGTAAACATAGATATATGTATATATATACCCATACATATGTATACATACACAAAAATGCATGTATATAGCTGGACTCTGAACAATGAGAAGGTTAGGTGTGCTGACTCCCCTCAAAATCAACTACTAATAGTCTACTGTTGACATAAATAGTTGATTACATAAACAGTGGATTAACATATTATTTGGTATGTCATATGTATTATATACTGTATGCTTATAATAAGCTAGAGGGAAGAATGTTATTAAGATGTTCATAAGGCCTGGGATGCAAGGCTGGTTCAACATATGCAAATCAGCAAATGTAATCCAGCATATAAACAGAACAAAAGACAAAAACCACATGATTATCTCAATAGATGCAGAAAAGGCCTTTGACAAAATTCGACAGCCCTTCATGCTAAAAACTCTCAATAAATTAGGTATTGATGGGACGCATCTCAAAATAATAAGAGCTATTTATGACAAGCCCACAGCCAATATCATACTGAATGGTCTAAAACTGGAAGGATTCCCTTTGAAAACTGGCACAAGACAGGGATGCCCTCTCTCACCACTCCTATTCAACATAGTGTTGGAAGTTCTGGCCAGGGCAATCAGGCAGGAGAAGGAAATAAAGGGTATTCAATTAGGAAAAGAGGAAGTCAAATTGTCCCTGTTTGCAGATGACATGATTGTATATTCAGAAAACCCCATCGTCTCAGCCCAAAATCTCCTTAAGCTGATAAGCAACTTTAGCAAAGTCTCAGGACACAAAATCAATGTGCAAAAATCACAAGCATTCCTATACACCAATAAGAGACAAACAGAGAGCCAAATCATGAGTGAACTCCCATTCACAATTGCTTCAAAGAGAATAAAATACCTAGGAATCCAACTTACAAGGGATGTGAAGGACCTCTTCAAGGAGAACTACAAACCACTGCTCAAGGAAATAAAAGAGGACACAAACAAATGGAAGAACAGTCCATGCTCATGGATAAGAAGAATCAATATCGTGAAAATGGCCATCCTGCCCAAGGTAATTTATAGATTCAATGCCATCCCCATCAAGCTACCAATGACTTTCTTCACAGAATTGGAAAAAACTACTTTAAAGTTCACATGGAATCAAAAAAGAGCCCACATTGCCAAGACAATCCTAAGCCAAAAGAACAAAGCTGGAGGCATCATGCTACCTGACTTCAAACTATACTACAAGGCTACAGTAACCAAAACAGCATGGTACTAGTACCAAAACAGAGATATAGACCAATGGAACAGAACAGAACCCTCAGAAATAATACCACACATCTACAACCATGTGATCATTGACAAACCTGACAAAAACAAGAAATGGGGAAAGAATTCCCTATTTAATAAGTTGTGCTAGGAAAACTGGCTAGCCATATGTAGAAAGCTGAAACTGGATCCCTTCCTTACACCTTATACAAAAATTAATTCAAGATGGATTAAAGGCTTAAATGTTAGGCCTAAAACCATAAAACCCTAGAAGAAAACCTAGGCAATACCATTCAGGACATAGGCATGGGCAAGGACTTCATGTCTAAAACACCAAAAGCAATGGCAATAAAAGCCAAAATTGACAAATGGGATCTAATTAAACTGAAGAGCTTCTGCACAGCAAAAGGAACTACCATCAGAGTGAACAGGCAACCTACACAATGGGAGAAAATTTTCGCAATCTACTCATCTGACAAAAGGCTAACATCCAGAATCTACAAAGAACTCAAAGAAATTTACAAGAAAAAAACCAACAGCCCCATCAAAAAGTGGGCGAAGGATATGAACAGACAATTCTCAAAAGAAGACATTTATGCAGCCAACAGACACATGAAAAAATGCTCATCATCAATGGCCATCAGAGAAATGCAAATCAAAACCACAATGAGATACCATCTCACACCAGTTAGAATGGTGATCATTAAAAAGTCAGGAAACAATAGGTGCTGGAGAGGATGTGGAGAAATAGGAACACTTTTACACTGTTGGTGGGATTGCAAACTAGTTCAACCATTGTGGAAGACAGTGAGGCAATTCCTCAAGGATCTAGAACTAGAAATACCACTTGACCCAGCCATCCCATTATTATATCATGCTGCTATAAAGACACATGCACAAGTATGTTTATTGCGGCATTATTCACAATAGCAAAGACTTGGAACCAACCCAAATGTCCAACAATGATAGACTGGATTACGAAAATGTGGCACATATACACCATGGAATACTATGCAGCCATAAAAAGGGATGAGTTCATGTCCTTTGTAAGGACATGGATGAAGCTGGAAACCATCATTCTCAGCAAACTATCGCAGTGACAAAAAACCAAACACCGCATGTCCTCACTCATAGGTGGGAACTGAACAATGAGAACACTTGGACACAGGAAGGGGAACATCACACACTGGGGCCTGTTGTGGGGTGGGGGGAGCGGGGAGGGATAGCATTAGGAGATATACCTAATGTAAATGATGAGTTAATGGGTGCAGCACACCAATATGGCACATGTATACATATGTAACAAACCTGCACGTTGTGCACATGTACCCTAGAACTTGAAGTATAATAAAAAAAATTAAAAAACAGATGATCATAAGGAAGGGAAAACATATTTACTATTCATTAAATGGAAGTGGATCATCATAAAGGCCAGAGTAGGATGAGGAGGAGGAGGAAGAGGAGGAGGCTGGTCTTGTTGTTTCAGGAGTGTTAGAAGTAGAAGAAAATTTATGCATAAGTAAACCCACACAGTAGAAACCGATGTTGTTCAAGGGTCAACTGTGTGTGTGTGTGTGTGTGTGTGTGTGTGTAAAATCACATGGGAATAAAAGAAGAGCTTTTTCCTGAGTAGGCCCTTTCCACAAGGGACATGTTAGTAGAAAAAGGGTGAATGTGTTCTGGTTTCCTCTACACCACCTAGAATCTGACCCTGTGTCCCATGAGCTTGGCCCTGCATGGGCCCCCTTAAATAGCCTAGTGAAAAGCCCATGGGGAGATGGGGAGGCCAGCTTGTTTTCATATGCTAGGCTTCAAAATCTCCCTGCTGACTTGGCAGCATGAGAACAATAAGTATAAATTCCTTTTACCCTTGTAGGACCTTGGTCATAGCATCACAGAATTTAAACATCTAAGATTTTTTAAAAAGTTTAGTTTTGGCAAAATATTGTCTGAAAATGCAGAGATTTCTGCCTGTGTTAGATGACTTAATGGTTTGGGATGGCAATAAAATATTTCCTTTAAAAAATGTTTCCTTTAAAATGTATTTCTTAGAAGACGGATACAAGAGAGTCAAACTTAAAAGTCTGAAAAGGCTCTATCTTTTTTATAACATCACTTTTCAACATGTTCCTTGAAGAACTATGACAGAAACAATTGCTTTAGAGAATAGTGAAATTATACTTAATATGGCAAAGAGAGTAAATCTCTCCTCTGCAGCATTTCACTTCTAATCAGTCTTAAGTAATAGTGAAGAGATGTTCATTGGGAGCGTAATTTACTCTTTATACAAAAGAAAAAAATTCTAGAATAATTTACTACATTTACATCTCCAACCCAAACATAAAACAGGAGGGAAACCAATTTTCTTATCACATGACATGATGATTTACAGGAGAAAAGAGAATTAATTTATCTTCTTGTAGGACATGAAAATATCCAAGAACAAACCATTGTGGTTTTTTTTAAGCACAGAAAGAGAAACAAGTACAATGCAAATACCTTTCATCTCAAAAACTTCCCCCTTTTTGTGTCTTAAAAAAAGACTTGTGTCTTGTCTCCCAGTCAAGCATAATAAGCATAGATTCTTGAAATGGTTGTAGCCTCAATTTGATCTATCATGTTCCCTCCTCCTGTAAATGTTCTGTATCAGACACTCTTTCCAATGCACACTTTTAAAATTTAATTAGTTCCCTTGCACAGAGAAATAATGTTTCCAAAGGATAGTTCAAAAAATGTTAAACTTACATGAAATCTTAGCATGGGGCAAACATTTTGCCCAAAGTTTCCCCGGTTCATCTTTAAAGTTTATTTCTCTGAAAAAGATGTTAGCTTTTTCTCTCCAAGGCCTGTATGAAATGAATAATTCATGTCCTAAAATTCATTAGTTCTAGAATATTCTAATTTAATTTAAGCCATGAGTGCTTTCCTCAGATGCTTTTTTGAGATAAGTGCATCACCCTCACCCATACCCAGGGAGTCTCCAGTTAGACGATTATATTCTAGAAGTCCATGTATCAACTTTTTGGCTTTCAGTTTATCTTTCCCTATAGGCACTGTGATGGTTAATGTTGAGTGTCAACTTGATTGCACAATATTTCAGTACTGATTGACTGTCTGTAATGTTTAGAGTATATTTCAGCTACAGGATAGTTTATATGTTTTGGTAGGTCTTAGGGGAAAAAAAAAACTTTCTGAGTTCTTTTTAAGAGTAAATCTCCTGGGAATGTAAAATATTGCAGCTGCTGTGGAAAATGGTCTGATAATTTCTCAAATAATTAAACATGGAGTTACCATGTGACCCAGAAATTCTACTCTAGATACATAGGAGAAATAAAAATACATGTCCACAAAAAAACTTGTATACAGACATTCATAGCAGCATTATTTATGATAACCCAAAGTGGAACTAACCCAAATGTCTATCCAAGGACAAATGGATAAACAAAATGTGGTGTGTTCATACAATGGAATATTATTTGACAATAAAACGGAAGAACTGATATACACTATAACTTGGATGAACCTTGAAAACATTATCCTAAGTGAATGAAGCCAGTCACAAAAGTCCACATATAAGATTCCATTTATATGAAAGTCCAGAACAGAGAAATCTATAGGGACAGGAAGATTTGTGGTCATTTGGAGCTGGGGAGAGAGTTGGGAGTGGCGAGCAATAGCTAAAGTTTACAGGCTGTAAGATGTAAGATGATGAAAATGTTCTAAACTCGATTGTGGTAATAGTTGCACATATCTGTGAATATACACTAAACAAATTTATTTGTACATTTTAAATAGGTGAATTGTATGATATGTGAATTGTATCTCAATAAAGCTTTTTAAAGAGTATATCTACTTATTATCTCAACCTCAGCATAAGCTGGTTATTAGCAACTTATAATCCCTTAACTTGCCTAGGTTTCTAAAACAAAATCATACTTATTCTGCATTAATTTTGTATTGTAATCTAAAGCTCTTGATAGTTGGTCAAGTTCATTCACACTCAGACGAAAATGAGTTAAGGTTGTCATAGGCCTTGTGTTTACTGTACACAAAGGAAGTATTCTACAGGAAATTTAGCATGGGTATCACTTTTCACTACAGGCATTTTATATATAGTCTATAAAATTCCTTCTTACATCCTTACAGAATACAAAGCATCAATATTGGGTGAAATCTATGAAACTTAAAAAACTGGCAAGGAGTAATGGTGGTGGAGATTTGTTTATTTTTTCTATGTCTTCACACATCCAACAAATTCTCAGAAAATACCAGGTAACCGGATCCCTTCTGAGTGTAGTAGAACAGAAAGAGAGTGATTACAAGACAATATTACAGTTCATTTTCAAATTAATAGAGGTCAATGTATCAGTAAGGATATATACACACATACACATGCATGCCTACTATACACATAGCACTCCCTACCTCACACCCATTTTAGGTCTGAACTTCACTTGGAATTGGTAACAGTTATAAACAATTTAACTCTGATGTGCTAAACTTTGATCTACTTTACCCATTAATCTTATGTGTTTATACTGTCCAGTGGAGTAAGACTGAAGGATGAAGGCTCTTGATGCTAAGAATATTTAGATAGCTACAGAGGTGAGCCCTAGGGAACCCTCAGTCTCCTCTCTTGATGGGAATTATTAAATCATAAAAAGCCAAGACGTCTTAGTCCCATACTTAAGGAAACAGGGCAAAAGTGAGTCAAGGACACATTGATCCCTAAGAAGGTAGGAGAGGTCAAATTAAAAACATCTTGCTTTCTCCTCCACTGATTCAAAGGGCAAGAAGCAAAGGGAAGATGGTTAAAGGGCTAGTAGTAGTCTTTTTACCCCGTACACAACTAATCTCATCATAGAATGGGTGTGTGCAAAATTTTCATGACCTTAGAGCATTTTATTTCTTGACTGATTCTACAACATCAGAAAAGTTTTAGGAAAAGCTCTATGGCTAACAGGAGGAAAAATTGTTAGATGTCAAATGATATTTAATGCTTATATCTAACAGCTTACATCAATTGAGGCAAAAGTCCAACCTGCCAGGTCCTGTGCTGAACACTTAACATCAATTATTTTACTATATGCCAGTAGCAACTTATGAGTAGAAACCATTGTTATCTCTGTGTTATACATAAGAAAATTAACTGACTTGTCCAGTTCATACATGGCAGTAGCCAGAACATAAACCCAGCTCTGTCTGCCTTTGAAGGACATGCTCTTAAAATATCACCACTTTATACTGCTTCTTTAAAATCCCTGAGTAACATTAATTGCCCCTGTTTGACTGTCAATTTAATTTACATTAAATGTTAGAATTAATAAGTAAATTTAGCAAAATCCTGGGTACAAAATAATTTTAATTTCTAAATTCTAGCAACAAACAATAAAATAAAATATTATTTATATATAGTACCAGCAAAATAAATAGGAATATATTTAATGAAATATGTAAAAGTTTCCTACATTGAAACCTTTTTAAAAATACTGAGTTACAGAAGACCTAACTAAATGGAAAGACTATACCATGTTCATGGATTAGATCTACCATTTAAATATGTTTCCCTCAAACTTATTTATATATTCAATACAATCCAAACCAAACACCAGATTGTTGTTATAGTTTATTTACATAAAAACTGACAAATTGATTCTAGAATTTGTGGAGAGATGATAGGGTCAAGCAAATCACAAGGAACAATAAAGTTGGCTGGGCATAGTAGCTCATGCCTGTAATCTCAGTACTTTGGGAGGCTGAGGTGGGAGGATCACTGGAGCCCGGGAGTTTGAGACCAGCCTGGCCAACATAGACAGACTCTGTCTATATTTAAAATAAACACTTTTTAAAAAGAACAATATGACTATAAGGCTTATGTTACCAGAAATCAAGTTAATTATAGTTACAGTAATTAGTACAATTCAGTGTTTCACAGAAAGACAAATAGACCAATAGACCAGGATAAGAATCTAGGAACAGACCTATACATATGCGATCACTCAATTTGAGACAGAAGTGAAACTTTAAGGTAGGGGGATAAGAATAGTCTTCAATTAATGGATCAATATGATATATGTTCAGAAAAAATAAATCTTATCCTTATCATACATAATACACAAAAATTAACCCCAGATAGATTGAAAATCTAAACAAGAATGGCTTAAAATACCATGAAAGAATATCATCATAATTTTGGGCTAGGCAAATAAGTTTTAAACTGGATATAAACAGCACTAACCATAAAGGAAAAAATAATAATTAGATTACATTAAAATTAAGAATTTCTGTTCATTAAAAGGAACCATTAAAAGTGTAAAAAGATAAGTGCCAGAATAAGGGAATGTATTTGCAGTACATTTTTTTCAACAACACAGAGTACATGAAGAATCCTCACAAATCAATAAAGAAAATATAACTGACACAATGGGGTTAGATGGGAAAAAGATACATATAGACAATTCAGAAAAGAAGATGTTAAAAAAACAATAAAAATATGAAAGAGTGCTCAACTTCTTTTGCGGTCAAAGAAATGAAAATCAACATCACAATGCAATACTACTACACACCTACTTGAATGGATAAAATGAAAAAGACAAGCATTGGTACATATATGGAGCAACTAGCTGACTTTCCATCAGCAGTGTGTGAAATTTCTAAATCACCCATATAAGTGCTAATACTTGTCTTTGGAAAACTGGTTGGTGGACAGTAGCTACTAATGCTGAACCACTTCAAGGTAGATACCTAACAAAAACATGTAAATATGTCCACAGAAAATTATTGGTATGTGGAACAACATGAATTTCACAAACATAATGACAGACAGATGTCAGATACAGAGAGGAACTACTATATGATTCTGTTTACATAAACTTTCCAAACACAAAACTAATCTCTGATGTTAGAAGTCAGTATCGCTGGTGGAGGTTAGTACTGGCTGGGGCCTAAGAGGAATTTTCGGGTGCTAGTGATGTTCTATTTTTTATCTAGGTGCTAGTTGCATGGATGTGCTCACTTTAAGAAAATTCAGTAAAGTATATACTCTTATGACTTGTGTCCTTTTCAGTATGCTTGTTATACTTCAGTAAAAAATTAATTTAAAAAGTAACATATGATCTTTATGGATACATCCCTGTTTGCTTCAGAAAGATTAAGATTCTTGAGGAACAGATTCTTCAGACAACATTGCATCTCCATCTAGGGTCTTGCATCCCACTAAGCACATAGATTAGCAAGTGAATTCATTGAGGTCATTAGTTACTTGGAATGAAATAAAATGTAGTATGTTCTATTCCTTTTAGTGGAGTATAACTTCATTAGTTTCAGCTTATTTGTACCACATCTATGAGGGCACCATTGCCTGCTATGACTAGGATCAAAGTCAACAAGTTGAGAAGATTTGTTCTCTATTTTAGCAACACACACCTGCACAGTTTGCTCTTCCTACCAGCCTCTCCTTTGAAGAGTCTTAATCCCACCTTCACTGGCTCTCCAAGGCTATTACAGAATTTTTTTCATCAAGAAAGTATATATATATATAGGTGATACATAAAGAGATAGAAAGCACTTAGAAAGATCTTAGAGATTCCTAGTCTTTCTTTCCTCTGGCCATTCATTTTCAAGAGGGTATGACTGAGGAGCAAAAATAAAGATAATTCATTCAAATAAATAGAGCTAATTAATGGCAGAACTCAGATTAAAATCTAATTCTTATGATTGCTAGTCTACATTCTCCCCACTGTACTGAGCTTCTCCATGATCTTGTAACAGTCATTATTTAACTTCTGTGGTTTGCTGTGCACTTGTTATTAAAATGTTGCTCCTTACCCTGCAACACCTCAATTATCTTCAGGATGGAGACCACACTTGACCTGACCCAGGGCCTGGCACAAACAAGGCTTTCCCAGGGTCACCTGCTAGCTAATTCAATCAGCCACATGAATTACTCCACATATCTTTTTAGAATTACATTTCTCAGACCATCTAAGGAATAAATAATAGCCAGAACAAATAAAATAGATGGTCCTGGGGAGGAGAGCCTATGCCAGCACAGACAGTCATAGCCAGGCCACCAGACCTTAAATGCCCTAAGTCTCCCTTAATCCCTGAACAATATAATCTACCTGCCATCGATGAAAAACTCAAAGCCAAAGAATTCAACCAAAGGCACTTCTTCTGGCTGCCACTTCAGTGGTTCATTTACTTAGAGCTGAAAAATCAAAGGAGACAAAGGATGTATCTGTTTTATTCAAACTCACATTCATTTTCCATCAAATTTCCATTTTTCCCCTTAAATGGGTGCATTTTAATTTTGGGCTCATTATTTATTATCATTTCATTTATTTAGAAATGGAAAGTTCAAACAGTTTAAGAGATTAAATAACTGGACTTTCTAAAGCTAAAAATAAATCAGCAAATCTAGGTATGTGTTGGATTAAGTTTCAAAATATTTGTGGTTTTTGATCCAATATCAAAATACATTATTGCCAAATATTCTTTCTTTCTTTTCAAATCTTAAACACATGTATATTTTAGGGGAAATTCAATACAAAGTTTTCAGAGTCATTGCTAAAGATATGTGAGCTTTATAAAGAGCTTCTCTTTTAAAAGTTAAACAAATTCTTTCTAACATAAAATCAGATGGTGAAGAAATTCTGACCTTTAAAAATGCAATTATTTAATCTTCATGTTCTAACTAACTCTTCAAAAGCTGCAGATATCAATTTAATCAAATGCCTTCAATTTTTCCCAAGAAAAGTTGCTCAAGAAACTAACGCGAGTTGATCACTTATAAGATGCTGTGCATTTTTAGGTCTAGTGCCTTATTTACTTTTGAGAACAGCTCTTAGAAGGAGGAATTATTATTTCCTAAAGAGTTGAGTCACTTACTCCACATTTCAAAGGAAGAAAATGGCAGAACTGAGATTTCCCACCAGGTCTGCTTGATTCTAAGGGCTGAGCTTTTAAAATAATTGTCATTGTGTCTCTGAGCTGGCTAAAGGTAAAAGACACAAAATAAATGGCATGAAAACATAAACTTTCATTACTTTATCTTAGATGAGGGGAAAAAAGAGAGAGAGAGAGAGAAAAGAAAAATAAATAAAGCACCATTAAATAAAGCTCCCAAAGACATTTTTATGTCATAAAATTTCTTAGCCTTCTATAAACCCAGCTTGGACCACCTGATTATATTTATAAAATACTCTCTGGGAGCTAACAATTAATTGGGAAAGTTAAATAAATGAACATAAATTACCACCACAATGAGCACTATCTTTTATTGTGGCACAAAAAGCATCTCTTTCAGTACTTAATGGAGAAAAACTCCAAGAAGGAGAGTGAAATGCTCTTGGGTTAAAAATGACTTTCAATAAATGATTGACGTAGATCAAAGACAATGCATTAGAGAAAGCTGGGTCCTGATGAGTCATATAATTTCATTTCAACTCCATTCAACATGCATTTATTGACGATCATAGAGACATGAAAACCCATCCAAAAATTGTCATGGTCATTTCATTTCAATTTGAAAAACTACCAGGAAAAACACCTACAGCTAGAATCATACAAATTCCTTCTAAGACAATTAAAACATTCATAACGCTTTCAAGTGTCACATGACAGGACAGAGCCAGAAGTTATCATTATCAGTTCTGCTTTTGAGATACAAAAACTGAATTTCCTTGAGAGCAAAGGTCTACCCAAGGTCATGTGACACATCAGAAAATGGTGCTACCCACTAGTCTCCTCCGTTTTATTCCAAAGCTGCTTCTCAGCTGGGCAGATTACACAAATGACACGAATGTAGTCAGACACACTCATATGACAGCTGGTTTACTGTGCTAGCCAATATGTATCATTCAATTTTGGAAATACAGATACTCCTGAGTATTAAGGGAGCTGAAAATCAACCCATTGTCTCCAAGTTTTAAGAAAACCAATAGATGACAGCATTTCAACCCACCATTTCGCCCTAAGGGAGTCACCATAAGGAAAGAAAGTACTGCAATCCTGAGAAGTGTTGAATCTAATGATTAGAGAATTACAAAGAAATCGAATGACTAGTCAGGTTTTTCTGCATGCATGATTGGATGCCAAGTTTTTTAATTAGTCAAAAGATTTCCAGGGGGAAAGAAAGCAAGTACAGCTCCAGCCAATCCAGCAGAAAAGATTTCCATTCCTTTTCCTGCTCTTTGAGGGCACTGTAAAGCAAACAGTCAGTTCTAGGGATTCTGAATTCCACATATGGAAGGACTATGGGATAACCAGAGAAATTCCTTCTCATTAAAAGACTGGGTATTACCTAAGGCTACTTGGAATTTTTCACTGTATCTTCAGTCAGTCACACCTTGTAAATAAAATAATAGTAGTTATAACAACTATCATTTATTGAGCAGCTATTATGTGCCAAGTGTTTTAACAAAAACAATGACAACAGTGAGGAGCATTTTTCAGATGGCTGTGAAAGTAACTTGTTCAATGTAAACACTTCAGTGTAGAATAGGGATTTCACCCAAGATCAATCTAGCCAAAACTTCCATCAACTTAGAACCATACCATTCTATCGTCCACAAAATGCAGTCTGTCATTCTCCGATGTGTGTTTACAAGAAGAAATTCTTGATACTGTATATATGCTCACCTGTGACTCTGGGTAAAGATTAGTTTTAAAGGGTGAGGTTGTTTCCCTTCTGTATCTTGAACCAAAAATTCAACTGTCAAACTTAGAATATGTGAAAGACATGAGATAAATTTAGAAGTGGAGATCATTCGTTCATTAAAGCAGCTTACTAGGTGAGGACATAAAAGGAAAGAAACTGGGTATAAGCCTGTTACTTTTAAATGACTATCACATGGATTTGGCCACAAAGATACTCTTGGCTGGATTAATTAATTAAACTCCTTATTTTTTCATTTCAAATTTTGAGCAGTACTTACTTCAACTAAAGGAATTGCCTTGTGATACGGTTAGGCTTTGGGTCCCCA